>NC_000001.11:18099163-19349163 GCF_000001405.40 Homo sapiens | reverse complement strand
TTGAGCAGACAGCCCACCCCGTCGTCTTGGCACCAGGGTTTTGCTAGTGGCAGATAAAGATGATGTTCCAGCAGACGCTCCAGTGCTGCCGAGGTTGGTGTGTTTATTAGACCTGAAATGAGAACTGTGACTCTCAAGCTCATGGGCACTCTCACTACTCCTGTTTTATGGAGACCCCCTGGGGTCTGAGGGTCGAGATTCCTCAGGATGACTTGCCAGAGCATGCCAAGACAGATGGGAGCAGAGAAGCCGGTCTTTCTAGCATTTCTCTCCCTCTTTTCCACTAGTCCTCAGTAAAACAGCCTTGCCAGAACCAGATGTCTTTTTTCTGCAGATATTTACTGTTATGACTTGGGAGGCAGCAGGTTCTGGACTGTTGCCCTCACCTAGACCGCCCCCCCCCCTTGTCAGATGCCACCCGTTTTCTCAGACCCGTCGGTCTCCCAGACCACATTGCTTTGTGAGCAGATGCCTGTCAGGGACAGCTCTATCAGAACAGACCGAGTCCAGCCCAGTGAGCCGTGATGTTCTCTCACTGCTCGGTCCCCCCTCTGCCATCTACAGCGACATAGGTTGGGTCTGTTCCCCTGGCAGACAGCAGGCCTTCAGAGCCCTGCCAGAATCTCTTGTGTCTCCCCTAGCACACACACATCCCTCCCCACCCACCACCGCCAGGCCTGGATAGCCCTAGTTCTCTCCCATTTCTTGGTGTCAGGGTGTTCAGACCTTTTAAGCAGATGAATGCTAACTCATTCAAGGCTTTTAAAACCCAGTGCCTTAGCAGGGTACAGTGGCACACACCTGTAGTTACAGCTGTGTGGGAGGATTGCAGGAGTTCCTGTCTAGCCTGGGCAACATAGCAAGACCTCCTTGTCTTTTAAAAGAAAATTAAAAAAAAAAAAGTGCCCTAAACTGAATCCAGCCCTGCAGATGTAGCTGGGCCAGGACAGAACAGAGGGTAACCACTGCCTTCCCAAGCAAGCAATGGAAACTGGCAGCTGCAGTGTCTTCATCACGCGATGGGGTGGGAATGCTGCCCCTTATCTGGGCACAAGGAATAGTGTCATCTGTGCACCTTAAAGTTGCACAAAAGCTTTCCTAGTAGCGACATCTCATCCTTGTCAAACTTGAAATTATCTAAAAACCACAAGTCTCTTCATAGGAACTGTTTGCAAGTCAGCAGTTCCCCATTTTGTACTGCATGAAATGCACCCTTGAGCCTAAATATCTGGCTTGCATTTGCCCTGGTACATTTAACTGGCGTGGTGAAGTAGGAGGAGCAAAGGCGTCGGAATCTAACAGTGCTGTATGATTCTTGCTTCTTTAAGCTTCGGTTTCCTTGGGTTTAAAACAGGGTTCCTAGGAAGCTGAGATGGAAAAAGGTGGCTGCCGCCTGGCTCCATTCCAAGTTGCTGCTCTCGTTCTGTAGCTAGCCCAGGTTTCCGGGTTCCGTATTAACCCTGTGACCATCTCAACCCTTGACACTGTCGATAGGAAGCTGGTCGTTCTCTCAGCTGGGCCTTTACTTAAGTCCTGGACAAACAAGTTGACCAAGGGCAGGCAGAGACTGCTACAGGGTGCCACATAGTGTATGCAGTGCACAAATGGTTCTATTTTTGGTGGGTCGGTGTTGCCAGCGAGCTGACCCTGACCAGGTGTGGAGGGGAGTGGGTGGGGGGCTGTGGAAATGTGGCCAGGTCCCTACCCCTATCGGCAGAGGCTCCATCCTGCCCTTCCTCTCAGCCACAGGTGCAGGATGGTAGATGGGAACTTGCCAGAAGGATGCGACCCTATTTAAGTAGTTGTGTTTTCTTCCAGCCCAGCATCCCCACCAAAACAGGAAAAGAAGTGCTCTCGTGCAGGGCTTGTTCACAGTGAGCCTGGCTGGCTCCTCATGATCTCTGAGTTTAAAATGTGCCAGCAGATGATTTTAACGATCCCATCAAAAATTGTTGTCTGGATCAGTTTCGAGCTAGCGTTTCCTTGCAGAGGCCATTCTTCCTTTTTTGACAAAAGTTGGGTCGGCCAGGTGCAGTGGCTCATACTTGTAATCCCAGCACTTCGGGAGGCTGAGGCAGGTGGATCACCTGAGGTCAGAAGTTCAAGACCAGCCTGGCCAACATGGCAAAACCCTGTCTCTACTAAAAATAAAAAATAAAAATAAAAATAAAAAAAAGCCGGACGTGGTGGTGGGCACCTGTAATCCCAGCTACTGGGGAGGCTGAGGCAGGAGAATCACTTGAACCCAGGAGGCAGAGGTTGCAGTGAGCCAAGATTGCACCATTGCACTCCAGCCTGGGCGACAAGAGCGAAACTCCGTCTCAAAAAAAAAAAAAAAAAAAAAAAGACAAAAGTCGGGTCAGTGCTGCCGCCCCCAGTGTCAAGGATTTCAATCACAGGTCGGTTTTGCCCGACCCTGGAAGCCTGGTCGTTTAAAGTGGCTTGGTTCTCTCCTGCCCTCTGCTCACCCCGCTCTTAACCAGGTTGGTTCCACCTTTCACAGCCTGAAAGTCAGTCTCCCTGATGAGGAGATGTAGAAATAGGTGAGAAGCAACAGAGCCCGTACCCTCTGAGACAGTATCTCCCCCCAGACTCCACCCTGTTCTCCTGGTTCCAAAGAGAGGAACCCACCTTTTGCTGGTTTTTCTTCTGTGGGCCTGGTCTCATTTTGAACTCTACCCTTTCTTTTTTTTTTTTTTTTTTTTTTTTTTAGCTTCTCTCACAAATTTTATTTTATTTTAATAAAGCTTCAAAAATTATAAATAATGTCTAAGCAGATTTAGAATCTCAACAATAAATGCTTAGCCTTAGAGTACTGCATTTTTGTATTATAATTTGATGGCCACTTCTTGCATGGTTTCTACTCTACCCTTTCTGATGCTGTTCTTTTCTTCCTCTTTCTTGATTATTTATTTCAGCTTCCACATTTTATTTCAACAACATTAGTCATCGTAGCTGCGTATTCCTGTTTTCAGTGTAGTAACGTTGAGCATTTATGTTCCTAGCACTCTTCCAGGTACCCTGTGCGTTATGAGGCAGGCACATCTCTCCTGAAAGAATTTATATTCTTGTCAGGGAAATAAGGCTTCAGATAAGAAAAAATTCGGGGGAAAGTGCCGAATTCCTTCTACCCTAACCTGCCTCCATTTCCTCCCTCCTCCGAGTTGAGATGATTGGGTCAGAGCCAGCTCTTCCTGGGCTTGGGAAGAGGAGATGGGGCTTGAGTGCTGCTGCCCCCCTCATAACCTCAGAGTCTATATTGAGACTCTCTTGCTCAAACTCTCCTCGCAGAGTAGAACGAACAGGCCCTGGTGCGAGGAAGGGTTTGACCCAGGCTCTGCCATTGCCACCTGCATGACTAGGGTGAGCCACTGAATCCCTCTGGCCTGAAGTCTCCGTCAGAGGTTGTCTGTCCCTCCCTGCGAGACTGCAGCAGATGGCACCCCAAAGCCACCATTTGGGAGCGCCAGGGCGCAGCAGCAGCACAGAAGCTTCCCCTGCAGTGTCAGGCCCTGAACCTGGGGTGGATGGCCCAGCGTGGGCCTGGGCCTGCCAGTAGAGGCCTGAAGACAAACCGAGTGAGTCTTCTCCAGTTGGCTCGGGTGAGCTGGTGCCTGCCAAGGGCTGCTGCTGTGGCTCTGGGCATCTGCCTGCTCTACCATGGGCAGCAGCAAAATCTTCTCCCTTGGAAGTGGGACTCTGGGCTTCTGCCCTCTGGGCTCTTTATGGTCTGAAACTGAAGTCGGTTTGTGCTTCAGTTCCCAGGCTGCAAAACTGGCCTTGTCATACCTGCAGCTGGCTCCACGGTGGGAACAGTAGGCTCTTTGCAGACCGTGGAGGTGGGGTGGGCTGTCTGCCGTTCTCAGAAATCTCTGGCTTTCTCTGACTTGGAATGTTTCTGTCTTTTGCAGATGGAGAAGGATGAAACTGTGAGTGACTGCTCCCCACACATAGCCAACATCGGGCGCCTGGTAGAGGTGAGTGACCTGGGCTCTGGCTGGCTCCTGCAGTGACCCACAGCAGTGACACTGCAGCCCCGGAGCCGCTGTGCTGGCCTCCTTCTCTGCTGCTTTCTCTCAGCTCCACCGCAGCCGGCAGAGCGCTTCTTGGATTTTGCCCTGGCCTCATATTTTTGGAGCCTCTGATTTGGATGCCAGCAGGCTCCAGCTTCAGGGCCACCTCCTGCTCCACCCCCAGACCTGGGCTCCCAGAAGACTGCTCAGGCGCTGGCTCTGGGGCGCACTAGGTCTTGTCTCCCCTGATCGCCTGGGTGTGAACAGGGCCCTGCGCTGGGAGAGGAAGCAGATCCCAGGAATGCCAGTGGGCCCTGGTGTGGCTTCAGTTGCGGCTGCCTTGGCCCTCCTGTCACCACGTTGTTTGGGAAGGCAGGGAGGTGCTCTCGGGTTTCACAGAATTGTTCACAAAATTAGTGGGGAGCCCAAGGGGTGGTGATGTGGTTTAGAGCAGCTCCCAGGCATGGGCAGAGCTGGCCGCCAATCCCTGGGTACTGGCTTCCTCCCTGCCTGTGGACTGTGGATGGGAAGGTGCCGGGAGCACAGATGGCAGGTGGGGTCTTGGCAGCCTGGAGCGCGCTCACTGATGCCCCAGAGCAGGCGTGTGCCACCCTCCAGTGGCCACACTGGGGACTGCAGGGCTGGCAGGTGGAGGGAGGGCGTGGGCCTCAGGGTTCCTGACCTTTTGCCACTGCGCTGACCGACCTCCCTTCCAGGACATGGAAAATAAAATCAGAAGTACGCTGAACGAGATCTACTTTGGAAAAACAAAGGATATCGTCAATGGGCTGAGGTAATGTACCAGAAAGCACAAGCTTTAGAAGCAGACAGAGGGATTTGAACCCTGGCTCTGCCAGTTACTAGCTGTGTGGTCTTGGGCCTCGGTGTCCTCATTGGTAGGCTGCAGTGCCCCTCTTCTGGGATGATCATTATGTTGATTTTGGAAAGTAAAGTCCTGATGTGTCATCTGCACTCTCCGTAGCAGCTGTCGGTCCCTATCTGCACCATTTGTTTTCTGGGGCATGTTCACCCTAACAGCCATTGGTGCCCTTGCCCCCGGAGCCTCCTCAGCCCTGCAGTTTGTCAGTCCCCGCTCAAAAATCTCCCCACCCTCCAGCCTGGGCCTAGGGGAGCCATGACACCACATTCCGGGCAGCCCGGCTGCCTCTGGCTGGCCTGCTCTCCGAGACAGCAGAGCGCAACGTGCAGGCAGGGCCCTCAGTCCGGGCCTTCTCAGGCCCCCAGCCTCCCTGACGCCACATGCAGGCAGGGCCCTCAGCCTGGGCGTTCTCAGGGGGCCCCAGCCTCTCTGACGTCCTCTGCCAGGGCTCTGCTGCCAGTGGCCAGTGTCCTGCACCATCCTTCCCACCTCGTGCCCTCAGCTCTGCAGTGTCAGCCCAAACAAAAGCCGGGCGCTCTCTGGACCCTCCAGGTCCACGGCGGACAGAGCAGGAGGCAGGCCTCTGACATGAGGCCAGAGCCCAGCTGGGGGCAGTAAACGGCTGTGGAGGGAGCACTGGCCTTGGAGTCAGGAGAGTCAGGAGGCCGGGATCTCCCCTAAGCTCTGTCATCCCGAGCTGCATGGCCTCTGGCACTCCTCGCAGAGGCCCTTGTCCAGTCGAGGAGGCACGGTCGGCTGAGATGATGAATCTAGAACACGCTCTGCAGTCCAGCAGCACCGTGTGAGTCGGGCTGTGCTATGCCTTTAGCGGCCAGCCCTCTCACCCACTGCCGTGGTGTAGCTCTCACAGCCCAGCCCAGAGGAGAGGCAGGCTGCAGTCCCGGGGCTGCCCCAGCTCGTGGACTGGGGTGGGCGACAGATTTCAGTCACCTGCTTTACAGTTTTAAAACAGAGGAGGAGTCCTCTTTGGACCCTTGTCTTCTGATCCCCTGCCCACCTGGGGGAGGCTTGGTCTTCGTGACCTGTGACAGGGTTAGAGCCCAGTGGTCCCTGGCGTTAGGCCTGCCACTGGCAGCCACTGCCCGATACACCAAACACACTTTCCCGCCCAGCCAACCTGCACAGTCCCCAGGCAGTGGCTGGGAAGTGGGGGAGAGAAGCCGAAGAGCCTGCGGGTGGTGGTGGCGAGCCCCTGAATACCACGACCACCGCCAGCGTGGACCTCTGCAGCGGCGATACCACTCCACACCCCAGAGCCGCCACGGCATCCCCCCTTCCGCCTCGTGGGTCTCCCTGAATTTCCTCCTCAGCTGTGGCCCCCTGCGTTCCTGGCTTCTCGTCGTTCTCTTCCCTCCCACTCCACTCATCTTGAACACTCTCTGTAGATCTATTGATGCTATCCCTGACAACCAAAAGTTTAAGCAGTTGCAGAGGGAGCTCTCTCAAGTGCTGACCCAGCGCCAGATCTACATCCAGCCTGATAATTAAGCCGATCCAGGTACCCTGCCTGAGAGCCGCGAGACCCTCCCCACTAAAACAGGACTCACCAACCCGCCGAGACCCTGCCGGTCCGGCTGCTGCTCCGCGGCCATTTAAACCACCACTAACCCCCACGTGTGCTCCCGGTCGGTGCACAGCCACATTCCCGTGTAGCCTCGGCCCCATGTAACACGGCACCTATCACGTGTGTGTGCTTTCCACTCTGGGTGGAGGCTGGGTGTGGGGAAGACGGCTGATTTTTTGGCTTTTGCTTCTGAAGAAGCCCAGGCCAAGGGACGGATGCTGCCTCTCCAGCAGCAGCCACTTGTGTGCACCGGCCTGACTGTCCCCAGGGCAGGGATCTGCCTGCCGTCCACCCCCCCATGCTTCAGAGGAGCCTCTGATGCTGGTGCAGGGATCCCAGAAGCCACATAAGCCTCCCCGCTGCTCAGCGGCACATTGCCTGTCCAGGGCTAGCTGGCTTGGAAGGGGTGACCTCACTCTCTGATCTCTGAGTCTCTGGGGTTGGAGGGCAGAGTCAGGGCTGGACTCCACCCTGGCTGGCCCAGATGCTCTGCTGGAGCTGCCTGGACGCCCAGTGCCGACTCGGCCACAACCAGCATAACCTTCCGCCCCTAACGAGCTGCAGCTGTTCCTTTAAACAGGTTTCGCTAATGGAAAGGAAAATAGTCTTGCTTGTTGGTAATGGCCAAGAACCATGACTTGAGCTTGTGACAGATCCAGATGTAGGGAAGGAGGCAGCATCCCTGGAGAGTAGGAGGGAAACTTGTTTGTAAAAAGAAGGCATTTGGAACCCTGCCAACTGGGGCTGCAGAGCCCAGGTCCAGGGGCTGCGCACTGAAGGCCCACCCCAGAAGGGGTGCAGCAGACTTTCCAAGGTGGAGGTGGGGTCAGGCACTTAGAAAACCAGGTGGAGCTGCTTTTCCGAGGCCGTGGGACTTAAGTGCACCAGTCTGGTCTGTGTGTGCCAACTTAAGGCCCACGACTCGGGTCAGCCTCACAGTGTGGCCATCAGGCATTTCCATCATGGCATTGAGAAAAAACTCTTTTTAAGATACACCGTGATGGTGCAGTTCCCTGGCCGCCCACTGGGGGCGTCCTGGCGTAGAAACCCTGGCAGCCAGGTCTGCTCAAGATGACTCCTCCCTCCCACAGAGTCGAGCACTGTCTCCAAGCGCTGATTCGAGGTTGCTTGGCCGTGACCTTCCCAAGCATTGTCCCTTAAATAAGCCCCCTGCTCCTTCCGCCTTCCACCATTTCACTTCTAACTTCCTGTGTCTAACATGATTCTAGCTCTGGAACTTTCTCCTTCGTGTGATCCAGCCAAGACCTGGCGGGCTTGGCTCTTCCTTCCCAGAAGAGCCAGTGACCACCCAGGCTAGAGGTCCTGTGCGCTGCTGCTTTGCCCGCCGCATCTCCCGCTGGCCATGTTGACCTCCCGCTGTGAGCTTGGCAAGAAGCCCCTGGGGAATCGGCTGAGATTTGGAGCCTGGGGGCCGTGGGGGCTGATGCCTTTGGCCGCCGCAGAGCCAGGGACAGTCCTGGGAAGATACTCAGAAACGTGTATTTCCCCAGCATGAACCAAATGTCTGCGTTTCTCCTGGGAGTTTTTTCAGTTGTATGCAGCTTGCTTCCAGGTCTTGTCTTATGGCACCTGCTGAGTATTTTGAGGGCTCTTCCTGTGACTTGTAGGGATTCGGTAGCCAGAACTCAGTCTGGGTGCTGTTGCTTCTCCTGGGCCCTGCTTCACTTCCATTTGCCCATTTTTGCTTCTGGGGATTGATTTTTCTGATTCTTCCTTCCCATGGCTGGTGTGAATCAAACGTGAGAGTCCGGCTGAGTGCACTCTCCGTAGCACTCTTCTTGAGCAGCCCTCTACCCACTCTTTCCACTGCTTCTAAACTGTTATAAAACCTACATTTAGGAAGTCTTTGCCTAACCAATATGTTGGGTAAATTTGACAAAATGATTAAAGAATTGCTAGGGGGGCATTCCTCTGAGCCTCAGTTTCCTCATCTGTAAATTGGGTTGATAGCTTTTTTCTTTTTTAAGCCTTGACTTCGCTTTTTGTTGTTGTCGTTGTAGAGATGGGGTCTCACTATGTTGCCCAGGCTGGTCTTGAACTCCTGGCCTTAAATGATCCTCCTGCCTTGGCCTCCCAAAGTGCTGGGATTACAGGCTTGAGCCACCACATCCGGCCGGGTTGATAGTTGAGACTTCCCCAGGATGCCCGTGAAAATTAAATGAGATAATATATGTGAAAGGCGTTTTGTAAACTGTGAAATCTCCATAAGCCTTCATTGTTTCTGGCTTTGTTGATGAGCGTCCCCACACATACGTGAATGCGGTCGCCCTGAACGTTTCCCCACAAATCCAGAATTTGACAGCAGGGATCCCAGGGGCACTTGGCTGTCCTGTGCCGCCCTTTGCAATCCGGGCTGAGGGGTTTTCTGGGCCAAGTTAACAGCGGATGGTGCCTCACAGCAGAGGCCTGAAAGCACCTGCTGCGTGGGCCATAAACACAGTGTGCTCAGACACGCAGAGACACTGGTTCTTACCCACTCCCAAGGGTGGGATAACGCTGCACCTTGCACTTGTGGGATGAGGAATGAGGCTCTTCTGCTGGGCAGGGCCTGGGCAAGGGAGAAGCTTTTATAGAGGAACCCGCATGGCCCCGGAGTCCTCCCCTCTTAGCCCCTGGCCTGAGTCCCCAGCCAGCAACCCAGGGTAGCTGTTCTGAAGCAGAGGGGCTTTGTTCCATTGTGTTTGGAAGCCCAGAAGCCACCTTGTGGCTTAGGGTGACATAGGGACCTACACACAGAGGAGTGAACTTAGGGTTCTAGGGACTATGGCCGGGTCACCGGTGGCCAGGGGCAGAGATGAGCACCTGTCCATGTAAGCCATATGCCACCCCCACAGGGCCTGGCAAGGTGCAGAGGGTGCAGGTCTCGGCCATGTACCCCTTTGCCCCTTTCTGAGAGGGGCAGATGCCCAGCCCAGTGACCCAGAGCCTCACCCCAGGAAGCGGGTCCATGCAGCAAATCAGCCAGGCACTGGCATGGTGGCCCCCAGGCCTCCACCGCCTCACCAGTCCCTGTTCAATCTGCTGATAACGCCTTTCCTCCCTTGCAGGTCTGTGCAGACTTTTGCAGACAAATCAAAACAAGAAGCTCTGAAGAATGACCTGGTGGAGGCTTTGAAGAGAAAGCAGCAATGCTAAACCTCTGTTTCATGCTAACCAGACACGCCGTGCACTCGTTAGATTCCTTTCTTAGAAAACTCGTTTTCTGCTCCCTTCCCTCGTCCCTTCCCTCCCCGACAGGTCACATAACAGCTGCATCATTGACCGCACAGCGCCATCTCTCCCTGAGAATAAAGCCGATAGCCACCCTCCTCCGGCTCCGAGCCTGCTTCTGCCACACCTCGCTCTCAGTTCTCTCCACATTTCCATAGAGACCGTGTGGTTTTTGTTCACCCGGGCCCCCCGTCTTCCTCCCTGTCCCCCCATTTATAGGCATAAAATCCACTGTCTGCCAGCCTCCCTTCCCTCCCACCTTTTTGGTACATTGGTGTAAAAAATGTAAAACAAAAAAATTTTATGAACTAACTGTGGTGTGTGAAAGAGAGAAGAAAAACTGGAAATCTTATTCCGTGTGTGTTTGGGAGTTGCTTGGGGTTGGGGGTCGTGGGGACAGGGGACAGCTCTGGGAGCAGAGGTGGCCCTCGGTGCCGTCCTGCGCAGACTCTCCCGTCCCACGGAGGCCGCGGGGTGGGGGCTGGGGGGGGTGCCGCCGACCGTTCCGCTCTTCCGGCCAGGTGCTTTTCTGTCAATTTCTATGGAATGCAAAAGGAGGTTTTTGTTTTATTTTGTTTTTTTGTAAAGCTTAAGAAAAAAATCTACATCTTATACTTGAGCCTCCATACTTAAAAAAAGAAAAGAAAAGAAATCAATAAAAAGAAACTGGGGCGCAGTTAGCGCTGGCCTTCTGTGTTCCTTCTCGCCGGCCTCGCTTTCCGAGCGCGTGTGGCCGTGGCCGTGCGCTGGCTCCAAGCTGGGACGCGTGTGGGCCCCGCTCACGGCAGCAAGGAAGTGTCCCGTCCCCAGCCCCGCCGCCCTGAAAACACCAGGTATGTGATGAGGTGCAGAGTCCCTGTCCCTTTCCGCCCTCTGCCGTTGGAGGGCAGAAGCACCAGCAAACACTGTTCTGGCGCCGCAGCACGCACCTCCCGCCGCCTTCCCACTGTGCCTAGTACAAATGTGAGGCAGCCGAGGTTCAGTTGCAGTAACTCAGCCAAGGCTGCACAGAGCCACAGAGTCTGCCTTCTACCCTCCAAACTGCCCCAGGGAAGATCTGAAGCAGATCTCAAAGTCCCTGCCGAGACCATCCCCCCATCTGTCCGTGGCCAATCAGCGGGCTCCACAACCTGGCCAGCCCATGTGTTTGAGGTCCCTGGGTCTGATGCAACATCTTTTTTTTTGAGACGGAGTTTCACTCTTGTTGCCCAGGCTGGAGTGCAATGGCATGATCTTGGCTCACTGTAACCTCCGCCTCCCAGGTTCAAGCGATTCTCCTGCCTCAGCCTCCTCAGTAGCTGGCATTACAGGCATGTGCCACCATGCCCAGCTAACGTATTTTTAGTAGAGACGGGGTTTCTCCTTGTTGGTCAGGCTGGTCTCGAGCTCCCGATCTCAGGTGACCCTCCCGCCTCCCAATGTGCTGGGATTACAGGCGTGAGCCACCGCACCCGGCCGATGCAGTATCTTTATGGAGTGCAAGTGCCATGGCATACAGACAGCAGAGAAGCCCCTGCCCCCTGAGTTCCTAGTGCCACGTGGAGAACGCAGGCACACTCCAGCCGTGAGCCATGAGGGGATGCACCCAGCGAGCCGTTCCCCATGGGCACACGGGTGTTGCAGCCTCCCGGGGTCATGTTGGCAAGGTGCCTGGCACACAGAAGGGCCCAGCGAGCTGTTCCCCATGGGCACACGGGTGCTGCAGCCTCCCGGGGTCATGTTGGCAAGGTGCCTGGCACACAGAAGGGGCTGGAAAAACAAATGTTTTGCTTTTCATTTTCTTTCATGGTAAAGTTTTATCCAGGATCATCAAGGTAGGTACAGGGGCCACTGCAGTGGGGTCTTGTGGATGGGGAGAGAGATTGGGCTCAACTCTGAGTGCAGCAGCACGGGCAGGTGGGGATTAGAGCCAAGGAGCAGAGGGGGGCAGTGGGTGGAAAATGACTCAGAGGAAACCTCAGGGGTCAGGGGTCTTCCGGCCAAACACACCTAACAGGATTCTTGCTGAAGACAGGCCAGGGTGACCAGACATCACCTGGGGGTGGGGGTGGAGGATGAGGCCAGGTGTGGTGGCTTACGCCTACGATCCCAGCACTTTAGGAGACCAAGTTGGGAGGATGGCTTGAGCCCAGGGCTTTGAGACTAGCCTGGTTAACATAGACCCCATCTCTACAAGAAATACAAACCAGGCGTGGTGGTGTGCACCTGTGGTCCCAGCTACTTGGGAGGCTGAGTTGGGAGGATCACTTGAGCCTGGGAGGTTGAGGCTGCAGTGAGCCGAGATCGTACCACTGTACTCCAGCCTAGAAGACAGTGAGATCCTGTCTCAAAAAAAGAAAAAAAATATCAAGGATGGCCGTTTTTGTAAAATTGACTTAGCAAGGGATTGCTGAAACTGGATTTTACAAGGGCACACAGGTGGGCCTAGGGGAAGGTTCAGGAGCCTGACTAAAGTTTGGCCAAGCAAATAATCTTTGGCAGTTGTCACTTCAAGAAGAAACTGGACAAATGGAAAATGCCTTTCCTTGGACACATGAGAGGAGCTGAGGTCGCAAGGGAAAAACAGCCACCCCTGAAGTCAGTGAGACAGGCACACCGGGAACGCCACAGCAGAGGCCTGCTGTCCTGCAGCAGAGGCTGCTAGGCTGGGAGCTGCTGTGCACGCCAGTGGTAATTCCACAGAACTGCAGAGGTGGAGTGGACTCTGACTCACCTGAGAGTCACCCCTGGAGGCTCAGGCCCGCTCTCCTCTCAGGGGATTTCCCTTCAGGAAACCCACCAGTTGCTCCTTGAGCTGTCACTTTCATCAGCCGTACAATCCTGGGACCAAAAATAATGCTTGAAACCCAGAAATTGTGACTGCGATGTATGACAGGCCTGATCTTGCTCTGCTATCTAGAATCTTCCACAGGGACCCTCACTACCAGTTGGGTTTTTTTGTTTTTGTAGAGACGGGCCCTCACCCTGTTGCCCAGGCTGGTCTCAAACTCCTGGCTTCAAGCGATCCCCCACCTCAGTCTCCCAAAGTGCTAGGATTACAGGTGTAAGCCACCACGCCCAGCCCTCATTGCTAGTGTTGTGTTGTTTTGTTTTATGATGGAGTCTTGCTCTGTCACCCAGGCTGGACTGCAGTGGCGTGATCTCGGCCCACTGCAACCTCCACTTCCCAGCTTCAAGCGATTCTCCTGCCCCAGCCTCTCAAGTAGCTGGGACTACAGGTGCCCGCCGCCACGCCCAGCTAATTTTTGTATTTTTAGTAGAGGCCGGGTTTCGCCATGTTGGCCAGACTGGTCTCGAACTCCCGAATTCAAGCGATCCCTCCCCCAACTTGGCCTCCCAAAGTACTGGAATTACGGGTGTGAGCCACCGCACACAGCCCTCACTGCTAGTGTTTTAATGCTAAACTCAGCTGGTGAGATTGGGGACAGTGGGCCTCGAGGATGTGTTTGGTGACCCTCTCCCACTTCCCAGCCATGCCTTTCCCTGCTCGTTCCTTGGCTGCCTGGTGAGGAAAGCTCTGGGGTCCAGCAGGGCACCTCGGGCATCCCTAAGAAGAGAACGAAGGCGTATGGGAGCCCCTGGGGTTCATGGGCTGCAGGCTACAGACTCCTGGGGTTTGGCAGCAGCAGAGATGTCCCCCACCCCAAGGGCTCACTAGATGCTTCCTGGAGGTCCCCTTGGTGCCAACTAACAGAAGGGGAGGCAGCCTTGGTGAGGGTCTCTCCAGGGCTGAGGGCTTAAGTGGGTAATCCAGGGGGTCCCTGTCTCTCTGAAGCCCTTTCATTCCTCCCTTGCTTGGCCTTAACAAATCAGCCTCCGGAGTCTGTTGTTGTTGTTGTTGTCTAGAGCCGTTTTTTGTTGTTGTTGTTGTTTGTTTGTTTGAGGCAGAGTCTTGCTCTGTCGCCCAGGCTGGAGTGCAGAGGTGCAATCTCGGCTCACTGCAACCTCTGCCTTCCGGGTTCAAGCGATTCTTCTGCCTCAGCCTCCCAAGTAGCTAGGACTACAGGCATGCGCCACCACTCCTGACTAATTTCTGTATTTTTAGTAGAGACAGTGTTTCACCATATTGGCCAGGCTGGTCTCAAACTTCTGACCTCGTGATCCGCCCGCCTCAGCCTCCCAAAGTGCTGGGACTATAGGTGTGAGCCACCGTGCCTGGCCTTTTCTTTTGAGACAGGGTCTCGCTCTGTTGCTCAGGCTGGAGTGCAGTGGTCTTACTGCAGCCTTGAACTCCCGAGCTCAAGCCCTCCTCCCGCCTTGGCCTCCCAAGGTGCTGGGATTGCAGGTGTGAGCCACTGCGCCCAGACTGAAGCCTTTCCTGAGGTTCTCCTGGGGCCCCAGGTTCAAGACTCCTAGTCTCCCAAGATTTTCTCCTGCATTCAGATTACTTTCTGGGTAACTGCTTTGTGGCAGGCCCTGGGCTAGTTGCACCCGAGGGTGTGGCACTCTCTCAGCAGGTGGGGTGATGCAGGCATTGTGGATTTTGCTAGGTGGGACAGCTCCTCTTTTTCTGGTGCCAAACCGCCCCCATGCCACCTGGGCACAGTACACTCAGGACACTCCCTCCTCCCCTGTGCATGACCCACACTGGGACAATGAAGACATTCTCTCTTGGCCAGGTGCGGTAGCTTACGCCTGGAATCCCAGCACTTTGGGAGGCCAAGGCAGGCGGATCACTTGAGCCCAGGAGTTCGAGACCAGCCTGGGCAACATAGCAAAACCCCATCTCTACTAAAAATACAAAAATTGGCCAGGTGTGGTGGTGCATCCTGTGATCCCAGCTACTCGAGAGACTGAGGCACGAGAATCACTTGAACCCGGGAGGCGGAGGTTGCAGTGAGCCATGATTGTGCCACTGCACTCTAGCCTGGGGAACACATCACGGCTGTCTCAAAAAAAGAAAAAAAAAAGTACGCCTCATTTCAAATACTATAAGTTAAATCCTGTAAATTAAATATCATGTAAGTTAAATATAAGATAAAACATTTCAATTTGTATTTTTCTCAATATAATGTTGCAAGATGTCATTATATTCTCATTACCCATAACTTCCCATCCAAATCTTAATGGCACATTTGGTATTTTTTCAAATGGCTTTGAGATATAATTCACATACCACACAATTCATGTATCTAAAGTATACAGTTCTGTAGTTCTGTGGTTGTTGGTTACATCCACCAGACTGAGGGCTCCCTGAGGGTTGGTGCCTCAGCTTTCCCTTCACTTACTCATTCACCAAACATTCAGCGCCTACTGAGTACTGGGGTTATGATGGCCAACAGGAGAGACAGTCTCTGCCTACTGTTTGGTGGGGGTGGAGTACTTAGTAACCGTCGTCATTATTGAGTGCTTACCTGTGCTGGGCACAGTGCTGCTACTGGGTGACTGTGTCCCCAGGGCTGTCCCAGGCTGGGGGCCTGGAGGAGTAGTTATCAGTTGAACTGAGTTAATCCACGGTGGAAGGTAACCCACTCCCTGCCCTAGGGCCAATGCTAAGCAGATCCAGGTTTTCCTGTGTTTTGTTTTGTTTTGTTTTGTTTTGTTTTGTTTTGTTTGAGACAAGGTCTCTGTCACCCAGGCTGGAGTGCAGTGGTGCTGTCTTGACTCACTGCAGCCTTGACCTCCAGGGCCCAAGCAATCCTCCCACCTTAACCTCCCAGGTAGCTAGGTCTACAGGTGCACACCACCACGTTGCCCAGGCTGGTCTTGAACTCAGCTTACGCAATCCACCTGCCTCAGCCTCCCAAAGTGTTGGGATTCCAGGCATGAGTCGCCTCACCTGGCCAGTGGATCAGTTTAAAGCTTTACCATCTGGGGTAGTTGAGGCTCTGCACCTGGCTGTCACCCGGCACCTCTGGGGTCCCGTCATTCAGCTCCGATGAAAGCCAAGTCACACAGACAGAAAGGGTGGAGAGTGGTGAAGGTTGTGGCTTTCTCCCCTTCCTCGGCTTCAGGAATGGAAGGCCATGTCGTCTTGGCTGTGGCTTCAAAACCCTGGAATCCCAGCAAATTTGGGAGGCTGAGGTGGGAGGATCACTTGAGCTTAGGAGTTTGAGAACAGCCTGCTGGGCAACATGGCGAAACCCCATCTCTACCAAAAATACAAAAACTAGCTGGGCGTGGTGGCACTCAAGTGGGAGGATCACTTGAGCCCAGGAGGTGGAGGCTGCAGTAAGCCAAGATCGTACCACTGCACTCCAGCCTGGGTGACGGAGTGACTCTGTCTCAAAACAAAAACAAAAAACCAGGTTTGATAACTAATGGGACCTTGGGGCTGAGAGAGCCAGGGAGGGCGCGGGGTCCAGTGCTCGGCACAGGGCTGCCAGGACCATCCCTTCTGCTTTGCTGGAGAACGCCACCAGCTAAGCAACCAGCTTTTCTGTCCCATCCCATCCCCGGAACCTGAGGAAGCGAAGCAGCGTGTGTGCACAGCACTGGGCCAGGCACTGCGCATGTCACTTCCCCATACAGTGTCTCGTTCAACAGGTAAAACAGAACCTGCCAAGGCGGGGACCTCTGGGGGTGCCTGGCCCAACCTCATGCTCCATGTGGGCGTCCTAAGGGAGCCAGCCCTTCCTGGACAAGGGCAACTGGTAAGCGTGGTTCCATTTCCTTGATCACACCAAACTGTCCACACTTTTCCCTTCAGGCCACACCTGGAGACAAGCATCCTGCCATCCCATGACCTGCAGGAAGGAGCAGGAGGTGTAAGCCAGGGAGAAAGGGAAGCCACCTGTGGAGGCGTTTAACTTGGTAACATGTTTGCCCACCATCAGCAAACACGGCCCCATCAGTATGGCAGAATCCCATCGATGAGATTCGCCTTTATTGTAATTTTTTAAATTTTTGTAGAGATGGGGTCTTGCTATGTTGCCCAAGTTGGTCTTGAACTCCTTGGCTCAAGTGATCCTCCTGCCTCAGCCTCCCAAAATGCTGGGAATACAGGCGTGAACCACTGCACCCGGCCTTGGCCCTTCTCTTTGTGAGGAACCTGGGGGAGGTTCCAGGCATTGGTAAGCCCCCTGATGACAAGCAAATATAGCCATTGTTTATTTACCAGGCACTTACTGTGTGCCAGGTGCTGGGACACGAGCCTCCGTGCTCATCTTGATCACGGCTATGTTCTGAGGCAGACAGTGTTGTTGGTCTCATGGGATGAAGAAACGGCTTCGGACATCTGCTCAAGTCACAAGGCTCAGTGGCTGGGGCACACTTGGAGCTCAGTGTGCAGGACACAAAGTCTGTGCTCCCCGTCACCTGCCTCCAGCATCAGAATGTCACCAGCTCCTTCAACAGGGCTCCAGGGACCCAGGCCACCAAGTTCTTCCAGCCCCAACAGTTTGAATCCTCCTTGGGGCGCTGGAATGAGGCCTCCAAGGGAGAGGAGACTCAGGTTTGGATGAGCTGCAGGCCAGGTGCTCTCTGAAGGTAGGGGCTGTATCGCCTCCATCACACAGGGCACTCCCCAGGGGGAGGGGCCATGTCTTCCCCATCAGATTGGAGGCCTCCTGAGGAAGGAACCATAGCTCCTGCCTGAAAGTGCTATCACCCCAAAAGCTGGTGTTTCCCAGGAGGAAGGGATTATGTCACCCCATCAGAGAAGGGCCTCCAAGCAGGGGCTATGTTATCCCATCTCACTCTTCCCCACCCGGCCCCAGTTCAGGACCACACTTGGGGCTCATGTGGCTATACTGTGCCCCCAGATCTTCAGGCTGGAAGGGCACCTACTGGTCCCAGGTAACTGGTGTGGAGCCAGGTCCCAGACCCAGGTGGAGCGAGACATCTAGCTGGCACCTGAGGCAGGCACAGGCCAGGGCAAGCTGGGGCTTCGGGCCTGGGGGTAACTTATCCTGAAATCTCGGCAGGGCCAGAGGCTCAGCAAAGTCGCTATTCAGGATGGTGAGAAGGGAGCCTGGGTCCAGCAGGGTTCGGGCCACTCCTGAGGGTGAAGCTGAACTGCCACAAGCCATGGGCCCCCAGCAAGGATGGAGGAAGGGGACACGGGCCGCCAGCGTTGGCCAGGTGTGGGGTGGCTCCCAAAGCTGGAGGGTCTCGTGTTGCTGCTGCTCCTAGCTGGGCAAGCTGCTCAATTGTGCTGAGACTGTTCTCCCATCTGTAAAATGGCCATAAAAATACTCCCATCTTGGCCGGGCGCGGTGGCACACCTGTAATCCCAGCACTTTGAGAGGCTGAGGCAAGCAGATCACCTGAGGTAAGGAGTTCGAGACCAGCCTGGCCAACATGGTGAAACCCCGTCTCTACTAAAAATACAAAAATTAGCTGAGCGTGGCGGCAGGCGCCTGTAATCCCAGCTACTTGGGAGGTTGAGGCAGGAGAATCGCTCGAACCCGGGAGGCGGAGGTTGCAGTGAGCTGAGATCGCACCATTGCACTCCAGCTTGGGCGGCAGAGCAAGACTCTGTGTCAAAAAAAAATAAAAACTCCCCCATCTCAGAGCTGGCTGTGAAGACGGGGAGATCTCGTGCACTGATGGCAGGCGGCGCAGCCCGCACATGGCAAGTGTGCAACTAACAGCTGCATGCCAGATGGCATCCTGGGCTCCGTGGGTGTCCCCTAGGGGGACAGGGCAGGGGAGACTGGCCCTCTCTGCCCACCTGGGTCTCAGAGGTGTGCCTTGCCTCCTCTCTCTAGCAAAAGGCTCTTCACCCGACCAAACCCCATCACCTGCTGCTGGGCTGCTGCTGGGTGTGCCCCAGGACCTTGTCCTTGGCATTGGTGTGGCTTTCAAGGCTCCTTGTAAGCAGCCCCACCTTGGAAGCACCCGAGACACCCACCTCCAGGCCTCTGTACCTGCCCCTCCCTTTTCCTGAACTGCCCTCCCCTCTGCCTTCAAGATCCAGCTCAAAGGCCACTCCTCTGAGAAGTCCTCCCTGATTGACCCTCCTGGGGCTGGTCTCATCTGCTCATTTCCTGACATTTCTACCTTCTGGTCATGGTAACCATCTCCTCTCCTGGAAGGCAGGGCCTTGGAGCTGGTTCACCACAGCCCCGGTGTCTGACACAGCAAAGGCTGAGTGGAGGGCTGTGCTCACAAAGGATCTGCGGCACCAGAATGGCCATGGCACCGTTTCCCTTCTCCGGGGCTGGGAAGGGAGATCCTAAAGGCAAGGCCCACTCTGGGACGCAGCGTCTCTCCCCAAGACTACCCCACCAGATACCCCAAGTCCCTGGTTCTGGTTTTCCACAGCTAGGGTTGGGTGTGTGGGGTGAGATCAGGCCAACAAGGTGGGGAGCTGGCGTCTCTGTGCTCCAGGCACCTGAGGGTCATGACCCCCAGGAAAGTGGAATCAGAACAGGGTCTGGAGCCAGGCATGGTGGTGCTCATCTGTAGTCCCAGCTCCTCGGGAGGCTGAGTGGGAGGATCCCTGGAAGCTAGGAGTTCGAGGCTGCAGTGAGCTATGATCGCACCACTGTACTCCGGCCTGGGCTAAAAAATTTTAAAAATAAAACAGGGTCTGGACAACACTGAGTTTGCGGGTCCAGGAAGCACTCGGAGCTCAGCTCTGCCCTCCTCTCCACTCTCCCACCTTGCTCCTGTACCCGCCACTTCTTCCTCCTGCCTTCAATCCTCCCTCTTTCCCTGTGATATCTCCCGCTCATCCTTCTGACCTATCACCTCCTCCAGGAGGCTCTCCCTGATCTCCAAGATCTGGTTGCTCCTCTTCTCCAACTAAAAGTCCTCAAAACTAACCTTTATTGAGCCCTTACTATGCGCCAGATCTGGGGCTAAACTCCATAATGTCAGCATCTTATGTAATCCTTGAAAGGACACAGGAAATGACAGTACTGTCCATTTCACAGATGAGATAAGCTAGGCACTGAGGAACTGCGATGGAGAACCCAGATCCAACAGAACCTTAACCATTCTGCTTCTTCCTGAACACCGAGGGGCAGGCTCCCCGTGGGGAGTCACTCTCCCTGCTATGTCCCCACAGTAAGGTGTGGGGCCTGTCAGGAAAGGGCCCGGAGAAGCAGGCTAAAGAAACCAGAGGCCCCAGGAGGCTGGGCCAGGGCTGCAGGCAGATGCGGTCCCCTCTGCTCAGCTCGTCCTGAATCCCCATCCACATCCACCGCTGGTCCCCAAAGCAGCCCCGATCCCTCAGCACCTTGGGGAAGGAGCAACAGAAGCAGGTCTCATGGGGAGGTACCGTTTCCTCGGTTATCTTTTTTATTTTTTTGAGACGGAGTCTCACTCTGTCACCCAGGCTGGAGTACAGTGGCACGATCTCGGTTCACCGCAACCTCTGTCTCCCAGGTTCAAACAGTTCTCCTGCCTCAGCCTCCCAAGTAGCTGGGACTACAGATGTGTGCCACCACACCTGGCTAATTTTTGTATTTTTAGTAGAGATGGGGTTTCACCATGTTGGCCAGGCTGGTCTCGAACTACGGACGTCAAGTGGTCCACCCGCTTCGGCCTCCCAAAGTGCTAGGATTACAGGTGCGAGCCACTGTACCCGGCCTGTTTATTCAGTTGTCTGGAGTTGACAGGACAGTCCTGAGTCCAGCAGGCTGTGGCTGTGGCCCCTGGGGTGAGTAGGCAGAATGAGGTAGGTGGTAGGAGGGGCAGCCTCACTGTCTCCTGAGAGGCCCTGGGGTCTCCGCTCCAGCCCCGGCCTTGAGGCTTCGGGGTCTACCTGAAGGTGTGTTCCTGGGGGGACGGTTCGGTCCACGGAGGATCCAGAGGCCACCCGCAGGCTGATGCAGGGCCGCCGTACCATCACTGTCCACACCTCCTCCTGCCTGGTGTGGCATCCGGTGGTGCCTGTCCTCCTGCGCTCAGCCTGGTTCTGGTCAGCTGGGGAGGAGGGGCTCAAGCTCCGAGGCGGCGGTGCTGCGCCTGTACACCAGGAACTGGATGGAGATCTGGGGGTGCCGCCGTTAAGGCCAAGCTGAGCAGAGACTGGGTTGGACCTGCCCCTGGGGGCCTTCGACTCCTGGGAGCTGCCTCCCTCTCCCCTCCCTCCCACCCCCACGCTGCAGGTGGGAAGGGCCAGCCATAACCTCCCAGCCGCTACCTTAGCTGTGCCCTCCACTCAGAACTTCTGCCCGGCTCCTCAAGCCCTAGCCAAGCTCCATCTGTCTCCAAGCCTAGCACTGACTTCTCCTTCCCGTGGGCAGCCTCCCTTGACCCTGGCCCAGGATCTTCGCTTGCTCTCAGCTGTGGCGTCCTGGAGGCTTCCAGGTGGCTGGGCCGTTTTGGGGCACAAGAGCCTAAACTTTCACCCCTCCCTGCGCCCGGCAGGGACTTAACAAATATTAAAACAAAGGCCATGTTTACTTGCTCCGAAATGAGACCCAGGTAACGCTCTTTACAGCCATTCAGCAAACACTTTCTGAGCCCTCACTGAAAACGGGGTCCTGTGGGGAGTGTTTCCAGATACCTCATCTTACACAACATCCTGACGAGACAGTGGCTGTTAACTGAGGTGAAGACACGGCAGCACAGAGAGGTTGACTGTGTGCCCTGCGTCACACAGCTAGGAAGCAGGGGAGGAGCCAGGATTTGAACCCAGGTTTGTCTGACCAAGTCATGTGTCTCTCCACACTCCAGCTCTCGTCTGCACAGCCTAGAACATTCCTCTCCTGCCTTCGCCTGACTTCTCCTACTCTGTCAAGTCACAGGTTCAATGAGACTTATAGGGGCCTTTGCTGCCCCTCTAACCAGGACGGTCCCTGGCTAGACGCTCTTGTTGTTTTTCTCTGCAGCACTTGGTGCCACTGCAATGAAGTAATTCTTTGATGATAGCGTTGTGTCCTCTCTGCGCCCCGCTGGGCTGTAAGCTTCTGGGGCACTCATGGCTGTTCTTGCTCACTCACGGCTCCAGGGTCCAGCTGGGTGCCTGGCACACAGGAGGTGTGCACGACTGGGTGAACAGATGGAGGGAGGGAGGGAGGGAGGGAGGGATGGATGGATGGACGGATGGATGAAGGGAGGAAGAGACGGATGAGTGCTGACGCTGTGTGCAGGCAGAAGCTTCCTTGCCCACACCCCGCCACCTGCCCCACACGCCCTGAAGGATACGATGGTGTCGAGCAGCAGCACGCCCAGGCTGCCCACAAGCCAGGGCAGGTGGTGCAGCAGGTAGCTGCCCTCGCTCTGGCCCTCCTCGGGGTTTTTGAGCAGCACGCTCAGCCCATACAGCGTGTTCCCCAGCATCACCAGCGCGAACAGAGAGTAGGAGATCCCCTGGGTGGACTTCCGGAGGAACTGGGGCAGGAGGAGGTCAGGTCAGAGACCTCGAACAGGCCTCTTGTCACTCTGGATTGTAACTGTCCACATGTCCACCTGCCCCACCACAGTGCACCTGCTCTGAGCCAATCTTTCCCTGGGTGCCCAGGGATATGGGCCCGACACACAGAAGAGCCTCCTCCCACCCACAGACAAGCCCCCCCAGGCCCCTGCCCAGGTCCACGGGAGACCGTGGCTGTGCCAGGCCTGTGGCCCCACACCACCCTGCATTCCACCCCACACAGGCTCTAGCTGCCCAGCAAGCCTCCCCTCCCCGACTCCCCAGCTTCTCCTCTCCCCTCAGGCCTCCAAGCTCAGCCCCTCACCTTCCCCTGACCTCCCACTCCCCCAAGACACACATGGGCCTCTTGTAGCCTGGCTGGCAGGCCACGCCACGCCCATTTTCCAGAAGCAGAAATGGAGGCTCGGAGATTGGATTAACTTGCCCAAGCCAACAGCGGGAGTAGACCAGACTTTCTGAACCAAGGCTCCTATGCTGTGCTACTCCTTAGCCCAGAGGGCCCGGGTGGCCAGGCCAGCTCTCCTCTACTCGGCCCCACCCAGCCCCTGCTGGAGGCTCACGTTGGTGCGGATCTGAGGCAGCCGGGAAAGCAGGTACAACACGCTGGAGATGGAGCCGATGACGAAGCCAATGACTTCCTGCCGGGTGAAGGGCTGTGGGGCAGAAGGGGGCACTTGGTGTCTCGTAGGAGCCAGAGGTGATCCCCCACCCCATTTAGCACCCATGAGGCTGTGCAGGGGAGAGCCCTGGGGATGAGCCAGCCTCCATCCCTTCGACCGCCACGCCCACGCCTCACCTTGCTGCCCGACTCCACGGACAGGAGCGCCCGCCCCCGGAAGGCTTCCCTAGGGGCAGCCACGGGCCCAGCAGCACTCAGCAGCGGTGTGGCGCACGCCATCCCCATGAGGAACAACAGCACGGAGTTGATGGGGGCAGACACTGCACACAAGGCAGGGGGAAGCTGAGGTTAGATGGCTGAGTGGCAGCGGTTGTCGGGGGAGGGTGCTAAGTCCTGGCCTTGCCCCTCAGGGGCTGTGTGACCTTGGGCAAGTGACCTAACCTCTCTGAGCTTTCATTCTTCATCTGTCGAATGGGTACAACAACAGTACCCTTCTCCTAGAGTTATAAAGGTGAAACGCTGAGGGCAGGGAGGTCAGGAGGGGGTTACACGAAGCAGGAACGCTGATGAGACAACTTCCTCCCCAGGTCCCTCCCCGTGTCTGTATAGCCTCAAGCTGACCTTGTCTCCTGCTCCTCCTGAAGGCTGGGGCAGAGGCAGCCTGTGTGACTTGCCCTCGTTTCCCCAGCTCCAAGCCCAGGGCCGGACACAGAGGAGGAGCTGGAGCTGTGTCTGCTGAATGAGCCCCTGGGCGAGAGGAACCGGCCTGTGGTCTGGGCCAGGACGCGCTCACTGCCCTCAAGCCTCTATCTTGGCCAGTTAAGGCTCAGGCTCTTAGATAAGGCCCGGGGAAGGCTTTCCGAGGTTTGGGTTATCACCCAGCCATGGGAAACCCGCTTCCTCCCACACTCCAGGCGCCCCCCCCCACAACTGCCCCCTGCTGCTGGTAGAGCATCTGACAGAGAGCGGTCCCCATACTCACACAGAGAGGGGCGCGTCCTGAACTTGTAGTAAAAGTACAGCGTCAGCATCACCAGGTCTGCCAAGACATAATACACAGCCGTGTAGGTCTGTAAGAGATGCAGGGGGCCCAGGGGTTGGCGCAGTCCCAGGATCTGAGACCACGCCCCGGCAGCCCTCTGTCATATCCCAGCTGGGTGACCCGGACCAAGTCACTTCTCCTCTCTGAGCTTCTGTTTCCTTATCTGGCAAGGAAGAACTCCCAGTTCCCACCTGGCAGAATGACAGAACAGGTGGGCGAAAGACCCAGGAAAGGATCTAGCCCAGGAGGGGCCAATGAGCTGGTGGTCAGCGCTAGCAGTCAGGACAAAGTGGGACTCCGCGGTGAAGTGATGGCTCTGGTTTGGCCTGACACCAGGGCAGTCAGAACTTTCTGGTCCCACATGGGAAGACAATGCCTTCCTGATTGGGAGCCCCAGCTCTGCCTGCCCACAGGAGCAGGATGGCATCTGGGCCTCCCACGGAAAAACTCCCTTTCTCCTCGAGGGGCCCACCCTCTGAAAGCTTCGCCAGCACTCCAGCACCCTGGAGGTGGAAGACCCCGAAACCTTCCTGTTAGACATGCTCATATTGCAGATGGGGAAACTGAGGCCCAGAGAAGAGCAGTGACCTGCCCACAGTCACAGTTCGGCAGACAGAAGGATGGGGCCCTCCCACAAGATGGAATGACGGGTCAGGGTTCTGGAGACCAGGCGGGCCAAAGAGCCTGGCATCTCCTCAGGCAACCCTGCAGGGTGAAGCAGGGTTAGGGGTAGCGCCACCTTGCCCGGGTACCGGCCCACCTGCAGGGGCAGCTGGTCAGCAAGGAAGGAGCCGATGAGGTTGCAGGAGTCTCCGCCAATCCAGCCCAGGAGGAACCACAGGGACAGCGCCTGGTCCATGTTGCCCGTCTTGTAGGCTTTGATGAACTGGCTGTGGAAGAGGAAGAGGAAGGGATGCATGCTCAGGCCACCTTACAGGGGATGCCGCCTTATAGGGGACACCGCCCAGAGGAGACGACCATGGGGATCGAGGCGGCGATGGAGAGGAAGTGGCCTGGCGGCCCATCCTCCCCACGGGCGGGATCCTCAGAAGCCTTCTCGGCCCTTTGGAGGAGTCCCCTGGGGAATCCCTTCTAAGCCGAGGACTCTACGGCTGTGCATCTCTCCAGGGAAAGCCGCAGCCTTACTCAGATTCTCCTCTACCACACCCTGGGGTCTCCAGTGGGGATCTGGGGCTTATGTAGGGTCCTGAAGTTTTGTGTTGGGCCCTGACAACCGCTGCATAGAACCCTGGATCCTTTCTCCTGTGGATGCAGGGAAGGGCATTGCAACAAGAACAGTGCTGGGAAAGGGACGTGCGGGCCGAAGGCCTGGGCACGCCGGGTCTCCAGGAGCAGCTGTAGCCAAGACAGGCAGAACCCCAGCCCAGTTCTCTTTAGAGGGCAACAGAGAAGGGCGGGGCTGAGGCGCCTGGAGCTCCACTATCAAGGTAGTAGGCTTTTGGTCCCCTGGTTGTTTTCCCAAAGGTCCTTGGTGCTGGGACCCTCTTAGGACTTCTGGCCAGGTGTGGGTACGAGGCCAAAGCTGGCGGTGGCACTAAGGCCCAGGGCAGTTCTGAGCCCTCTGCATGTGTGTTGACTCATTCTGTCCTCAAGACACCTGTGCTGTCCAGTCTACCACGATGACCTCCTCACTGGGCCTGGAGGAAGCCGTGCCATACCACTCGGATTCAACCCCTACCTGAGCCTCCGGTCTTGCTCTTAACCATTATACATACTGCCATTTACTGTTCCAGTTTCTCTTTAACCACCTGCATGCATGAAGGAAAACAGACAGACAGAAAGAAACTAAATGGTGGCCAGACACGGTTGGCTCACACCTGCAATCCCAACACTTTGGGAGGTTGAGGAGGGTGGATCACTTGAGGCCAGAAGTTCGAGACCAGCCTGGCCAACATGGTGAAACCCCATCTCTACCAAAAATACAAAAATCAGCCAGGCATGGTGGCGCACGCCTGTAATCCCAGCTGTTCAGGAGGCTGAGGGATGAGAATTGCTTGAAGCCAGGAGGTGGAGGTTGCAGTAAGCCGAGATCACACCACTGCACTCCAGCCTGGGCAACAGAGCAAGACCCTGTCTCAAAAAAGAAAATAAAAAGAAACAAAGAAACTAACTAACTAAATGGCAGCTCATCCCATCCATTATCCAAGCCAGAAACTAAGAAACCGGCATTCTTCCCACAGCGAGTCCTTCCACCTGCCTCCCTCAGCCTCCTAACAAGCCTCCCTCCTTTCAGAAATCTTTCATCCTCCCTTTCAGAAATCTTTCTAAAACCCCCATCTCAGCCAGAAGCAGTGGCTTATGCCTATAATCCCAACACTTTGGAGGCTGGGTGTGGTAGCTCACACCTGTAATCCCAGCACTTCAGGAGGCTGAGGCAAGAGAATCACTTGAGCCTACAAGTTCAAGACCAGCCTGGGCAACACAGCAAGACCCTGTCTCTACCAAAAAAAAAAATTAGCCAAGTGTGGAGTGGGGACCTGTGGTCCCAGCTACTCAAGAGGCTGAGGTGGGAGGATCACTTGAGCCCAAGAGGTTGAGGCTGCAGTGAGTTATGAATGCACCACTGCACTTCAGACTGGATGACACAGTGAGACCTTGTCTCAAAAAAAAAAAAAATTGTCTTTAATAACAAATAAAAAACTAAAACCCCAGTGTCACCAAAAACTGCCAGAGCCTTCCAGTGCTCTTGGATAAAGGCCCCCATTCTGTGAGGGGATCCTTGCAAGGCCCCAGGCTCGCCGCCCCAGGATGGCTCTCTTCCTCCCAGCTCTGGTCTCAGATGTCCCGCTCACCCCTCCTCAGGCCCAGAGACCTCGGAGTCATCTTTCCCGTCTCAGGAAATGTCGGTTCCTCCTCTGGGCCTCCCCGACACGAGCTCCGCTGGCATCTTCTCCTTCCTCCTTTGAAACACTTGACATCCCCGTCCCTCCCAGATTCCCTCAAGTTTCCTGAGGACAGGGGGAGTGACTAGCATAGGCCCAGCACTGAGAAGGCCCTTAATCAAGGTTTATCCCTTACAGTAAAGCTCCTCCTAAGATGCTATGACTCGACTTGTCTTCATCAATTGCAGGAAAGTGATTCTGTCCCACTCAGGAGAGACTGAGTCCTAGGGAAGACCAGGGGGGCAGCCACCCTCTCTCCATCACTTAGGGCTCTCTCCCAGGCCTCCAATCCCCTCCCTGGTTAATCAACCAGCCCAGGCAGAAAGGGGGATCCTCAGCCAGCAACTCGGATAGTCCTGAGGAAGCTCTCACCCCTGGACAGGGAGCCTCCCGCCCCCGGCCCCATCAGTCACCTACACCCGTCCAGTCTGTCTGGTGAGGGCCTCTCCAATCCCCCCACCACTGATGCTTGCTGAAGGCTTCCACAGCCTCCAAGGTGGCCTCCCTGCCTCCACTCTCTCTCTGTCACTCTGCTCCTTCCTCCCCGTCACTCCCAGATTATCTTTTCAAGGGTACCAGAATGGAAGCTCTCCAAAGGCAAGGACAGTGTCTGTTTAGCTTACTTGCACCACACCCAACAGGCACCTGGAACAAGGTAACTCAGTAAAAACATCAAGCCTCTGATAGGGTGCCCAGAGAAATCAATGGGGAAGGACAGTCTTTCCAACACCTGGCGCTGGGACAAGTGGATATCCACATGTGTGGTGGCTCATGCCTGTAATCCCAGCACTTTTGGAGGCTGAGGCAGGTAGACCACCTGAGGTCACGAGTTCGAGACCAGCCTAGCCAACATGGTGAAACCCCATCTTTACTAAAAATGCAAAAATTTGCCAGGCATGGTGGCACATGCTTGTAATCCCAGCTACTCAGGAGGCTGAGGTAGGAGAATCACTTCAGCCCAAGAGGAGGATGTTGCAGTGAGCTGAGATCGCACCACTGCACTCCAGCCTGAACAACAGAGCAAGACTGTGTCTCAAGAAAAAAAAAAAAAATGAGGTTGGACTCCTACTTCACATCATTTACAAAATGGATCAAACACCTAAATGTAAGAGTTACATCTTTGTAACACTTAGAACAAGAGATGCTGGGCACAATGGCTCATGCTTGAACCCCAACACTTTGGAGGCTGAGACAGGAGGATTGCTTAAATCTAGGAGTTTGAGACCAGCCTGGACAATACAGTGAGACCTTGTCTCTACCAAAAAAAAAAATTTCAATTAGCAAGGTTTAGTGGTGCACGTCTGTGGTCCCAGTTACTCAAGAGGCTGAGGTGGGAGGACTGCTTGAGCGCAGAAGGTCAAGGTTGCAATGAGCTATGTGATCACACTACTGCACTCCAGCCTGGGGGACAGAGTATGACCGTGTCTCAAAAAAAAAAAAAAAAAAAAAAGAAGAGATAAGGATAAATCTTTGTTATCTGCATTTGGCAGTGGTTTCTTAGATATGACACCAAAACCACAAGAAACAAAAGAGAAAAAATAAACTGGACATCATCAAAATTTAAAATTTTTATGCTTCAAAGGACACCATCAAGAAAGTGAAAAGACGGCCGAGCAGGGTGGTTCACAGTTGTAATCTCAGCACTTTGGGAGGCTGAGGCAGGCAGATCACCTGAGATCAGGAGTTTGAGACCAGCCTGGCCAACATGGTGTAACCCTGTCTCTACTAAAAATACAAAAATTAGCTGAGTGTGGTGGGAGGCGCCTGTAGTCCCAGCTCCTCAGGAGGCTGAGGCAGGAGAATCGCTTGAACCCGGGAGGCAGAGGTTACAGTGAGCCAAGATTGCACTGCTGCACTCCAGCCTGGGCAACAGAGCAAGACTACGTCTCAAAAAAAAAGAAGTGAGGCCAGGTGCGGTGGCTCACGCCTGTAATCCCAGCACTTTGGGAGGCCAAGGCGGGCGGATCACAAGGTCAGGAAATCGAGACCATCCTGGCTAACACGGTGAAACCCCGTCTCTACTAAAAAAATACAAAAAATTAGCCAGGCGTGGTGGCAGGTGCCTGTAGTCCCAGCTACTCGGGAGGCTGAGGCAGGAGAATGGCGTGAACCCGGAAGGCAGAGCTTGCAGTGAGCCGAGATCGCACCACCGCTCTCCAGCCTGGGCGACAGAGCGAGACTGTCAAAAAAAAAAAAAAAAAAAAAAAGACAGGCCACCAGTGTTGAGGAGGATTTGGAGAAACTGGAGCCTTCATATGCTTTTGGTGGGAAAGTAAAATGATGCAGCTGCTTTGAAAAACAGTCTGACAAATCCTCAAAAGGCTAAACTTAGAGTTAACATAGGACCCAGAAATTCTACTCCTAGGTATATACTCAAGAGAAATAAAAACATATTTCCCCACAAAAACTCATACCTGAAGGTCGGGCACCATGGCTCATACCTATAATCCCAGCACTTTGGAATGCTGAGGGAGGAGGATCACTTGAGCTCAGGAGTTCAAGACCAGCCTGGGCAACATGGTGAAGCCCCAGCTCTACCAAAAATATATACATAAATTAGCCAGGCATGGTGGCGCATGCCTGTATTCCCAGCTACTCGGGAGGCTGAGGCAGGGGAATCTCTTGAGCACGCCAGGCAGAGGCTGCAGTGAGCCAAGATTGCACCACCGCACTCCAGCCTGGGGGACCAGAGTGAGACCTTGTCTCAAAAAGAAAAGAGACGGAGACTCTCTCTTGTCCCCCAGGCTGGAGTGCAGTAGTGCAATCCTGGCTCACTGCAGCCTCTGCCTGGTGGGCTCAAGCAATTCCCCTGCCTCAGCCTCCCGAGTAGCTGGGACCACAGGCACGCGCCACCACACCCCGCTAATTTTTGTATTTTTAGTAGAGATGGAGTTTCACCATGTTGGCCAGGCCGGTCTTGAACTCCTGCCCTCAGGCGATCTGCCCGCCTTAGCCTCCCAAAGTGCTAGCATTACAGGTGTGAGCCACTGCACCAGGCAAAAAAAAAAAAAAAACATGAATGTGCACAGCAACATTAATCATAATGGCTACAAAGTAGAAACAACCCAATGTCCATCAATGGATGAATGGATAACCAAATGTGCTATACACAGAGTAAAACAGTATTCGGCCACAAAAAGGACTGAAGTACTGATCTGATACATGCTATGACATGGATGAATCTTGAAGACATTATGTTAAGTGAAAGAAGCCAATCACAACAGGTCCTGTGTGATTCCATTTATATGAATCATGAAATGTCCAGAAAAGGCAAATCAACAGAGACAGAAAGTAGACTAGTGGCTGGCAGGGACTGAGAGGTTCCGGGAGAAATGAAGAATGACTGCTGATGGGCATGGGTTTCCATTTGGGCTAACGAAAATGTCCTAAAATTAGTTGTGGTGACAGTTACACAACTCTGGCTATACTAAAACCAATGACTGTACACTGAATGGGTTAATTGCATGAAATGCGAATTCTCTCCCAATAAAGCTGTTAAAACAATGTCAAGCCCCTGATCAAACCCTTGTCTTTATCCCTTAGGATAAAGAGCACATTTCTTAAGAGCAGAGCATGCCGCTTAGGCCACAGGGCCTTTGATGACTCCTGTGACCTCACCTCTCCCTTCCCTGACCCCCACACACTCTGTCCACTATATAAACGCAGCTGCCCCTTCTCTGTACATCTGCTGCTTCCTCTGCCTGAACTGCTCTTCCACACTCAGCCCCTGGCTCTCACCCCCAATGCTGTCCTATCCTTGGCTTTTAGCCTAGAGGCCAACACCTCCAACTCCCTTCTTTTTTGTTTTTAATTTTAATTTTTTTTTTTTTTTTGGTAGAGATGGGGGTCTCACTGTGTTGGCCAGGCTGGTCTCAAACTCCCGACCTCAAGTGATCCTCCTGCCTCGGCCTCCCAAAGTGCTGGGATTACAGGCGTGAGCCATTGTGCCTGGCCTCCAGGTCCTTCCTGACTGTAATCTTCTTCCGCCTCTGCAGATCAGGTGGGTGTCCCTCTTCTGTGCTTCATGTAATGAAATACTAGCAGTGTCACCACTGACAGCTTTCAGGCTTGTGCAAACATTGTGTGAAGGCCCTGAGTGGGCAGCTCTCCCTACACACCCTCATGCCATCCTCACAGCAACCATCTAGTTAGGTAACAATATTTCCATGACACAAGCAAGGAAACTGAGGCTCAGAGCAGTGAGGTGACACGCCCAGGTCAAGATGCTCTTGACCCCTGTGCAGCATGTCCTCACTCCCTGATCATGGCAGCGGCCACACAATGTTGTGTTCACTGCTGCTGTCTCCACCACGAGACTGTCAAAGTCTGGAGGACAGAGGTTGTGTTTGACGCATCCCAGCCCTCCCACTCTCCCGCCCCATCTCTGACCAGCTGTGTGACCTAAAGCAAATTGCTTAACTTCTCTGGGTTTTGGATCCCTCATCTATAAAATAGATGGATGGTAACTGTCCCTGTTTCACAAGGTTGTTGTGAGGATTAAATGAGGTAGAAATATGGCAAGTGCTTAGAAGCAAGCCAGGTATATGGTGGGCACTCAATAAACTGTTGCAAAGGTGATGATCTCTGTATCAGCACTGCCCAGCACTAGGTCTGACCTGCGGTAGCAATCAGTGCAGGTCCCTGTCGAGGGAACACACCCCAGCCTCTAGTCTGGAGAGGCCCGTGGCCCACCAGACAACCCCTCGCTGAGCAGTAGCTGGAGCCACTGCCTCAACCCCACAGCCCTGCCCTGGTCCTGCCACCAAGACACTACTCACGGGAAGGTAGATGCAGCAAAGCAGAGAATGGAGATCAAGCCCAGGCCCACGCTGGCCTCGTCCCAGCCGTCCTGGGCACATTCACCCAACACATCCCATATCCACTGGATGGAGCCACTGGGGCAGCTGGAGAAGTTGCGGGAGCCCAGTTTCTTCCAGACCATGGCTGTGGAGGAGGGGCCCCCGGCCAGGCAGGGCTGCACCGGAGGGAGGGCGCTGGTGTTCTGAGGCCAGCAAGGGTTCTACAGGGAGGAAGGGAGGAGGCTTTCAGCACTGGGAGGTCCAGGTCCTATTCATGGTCATCCCAAACTAAGCTCATCCCAGCCTTTTCACGGGGCTCCTGGCCCTGAGCCAGAGAAGGGCAAAGACATAATCTTCACCCACCAGGACCCAATCAGCTCCCAGGTGCACAGATCACAGCAAACACACGCCAACTACAGACACATGCAGGCAGCGTGCTGGATCTGCAGAAGGGACGGGTGTGTTCAAATCCCTGCTTCATCACCCATTCATGCTAGACTTTGGGCAAAGACTCAGCCTTTCTGTGCCTGAGCCCTCTCATCTGTAAATGGGGTCATCACAGTGCTGCCTCCCACATACAGCTGTTGTGTGGGTTCAGTGAGTTCATACACAGTGTGTTGAACTGAGCCCTCGATGTTACCTTTTCCTATGACTCTTGAACACTTAGGGTATTCCTAATTTCTTGTTATTATTGTAAATTACTCTCTAAGGATCTGCTGAGGCCAGGCCCATCAAGTTCATCTAATTTAAAGCAGGTTGTAGCCACGAATGATGGCTCATGCCGGTAATCCCCACAATTTGGGAGGCCAAGGCGGGAGGACAGCTTGAGCCCAAGAGACTGAGACCAGCCTGGCAGCCTGGGCAACATAACAAGACCCCATCTCAAAAAAAAAAAAAAAAAAAAAAAGAGGTGACAGAGCAAGACTCCCTCTAAAAAAAAAAAGAAAGAAAGAAAGAAAGAAAAAGAAAAGAAAAGAAATACAAAAATTAGCCAAACATGGTGGTGTGCACCTCTGGTCCAAGCTACTCAGGAGGCTGAGGTGGGAGGATCACTTGAGCCCAGGAGGTACAGGCTATAGAGAGCCATGATCACACCAATGCACTCCAGCCTGGATGACAGAGCAAGACCCTGTGTCAAAACAACAACAAAATAAGGGCTGGGCACTGTGCCAGCACTCTAGGAGGCTGAGGTGGGAAAGATTACTTGAGCCCAGGAGTTCGAGAACAGGCTGGGCAACGCTGTCTCCATGAAAAATTCAAAAATTAGCCAGGTGTGGTGGCACACGCTTGTAGTCCCAGCTAGCTACTCAGGAGGCTGAGGTGGAAGAATCGCTTGAGCCCAGGAAGTGGAGGTTGCAGAGCAAGCCATGATCATGCCACTGCACTCCAGCCTGGGCGACAGAGCTGAACCCTGTCTTAAAAGAAAACACACACACACACACACACACACACACACACACACACACAAACCATAAAGAGTTGCCCCACACAGATGAGGCAAGTGGAGAAGAGGAGCAAGGGATCCCCGGGGTTGCATGAATGACAAGGACTCAAGTTTGGGACGATGCAGCCTGTATTCTCCCAGGAGCTCACAGAGTGTGGGGGGGATGCCTAACAGCAGGGAGTCCACAGCCACCTCCCCACCGTCACAATGACAAAGCCAGAATATGGCTGATCGCAGGGGTGGGCAGGGCAGGCCTCTCCCGCTACCCGGGCACCCTGGACAGTGAGTAGAGCAGTCATTGCCTGCGTGACACCTTAGAGGAGGGAGGGAAAGTGAGGCTCGGCTGGGCCATCTCCATCAGTGATCATCACCACAGCTCGGACCGGTGAGCCAAGCATCCTGCATGCACTCATGTTGCATCTTCCCAGCAACTATGAAGTGGGGACCACTGATATCCACAAGGAGCCTGAGCCAGAGTGCGGAAGTGATGTGCCAGCGCCACCCAGCCAGGAAACTACAGAGTCAAACCCAAGACTCAGACCTACACCCCTGCTCATAGCCACCTGCCACACCACCCGCCTCAGGTCCATCTGTCACCAGCGAAGCAGAAGACTTCTGTGGCTCGAGAGAGAGAGAGGGAGAGAGGGAGGGAGAGAGAGAGACAGAGAAGCCTCTGTGGTCTGGCATGACTGCACAGCCAGAAAGTGGGCTTCCTCTTTTTTCCCTGTGCTCAGAGGGGATTTCCTCATCCAGGTGGGGGCTGTCTCTAGCTGCCTTCATTCCCACTTGTGTCAGGAGGCCTGGGCTCCCCAGCTAGTCCCTGGCTGGCCCCACGGAACTGCTGAGGACACAGAGACCAGGGAGCACCGGGAGGGAAAGGAAGTGAGTCAGCACCTCCTCTCAGGAAGCCGTAGACCCTCAGCCCTAATGTGACTCGCTGTGGGCAGAGACCCTGGACCTAAAGGTAAGGGTGCCCCAGGTCACTGTCAGCCCAGCTCACTGGACTACCTCCAGGGCCTGGCACAGGCAGGGAGGCTGAAAGCCTCTTCCCTGTGTCTTCGTGGCCCACCTGGGGGACCATCAGCACAGATGATGTTGGAAGCCTTCACCTGATGCTCCATCTCCGGCCCCTGAAAGGCCACTCCAAATTAACATATAGTCCAGGTGTGGCCGGGCGCAGTGGTTCACACCTGTAATCCCAGCACTTTGGGAGGCCAAGGCAGTTGGATCACTTGAGCTCAGGAGCTGGAGAACAGCCTGGCCAACATGGTGAAACACCATCTCTATCAAAAATACAAAAATTAGCCAGGCGTGGTGGGTGCGTGCCTGTAATCCCAGCTACTCAGGAGGCTGAGGCAGGAGAATCACTTGAACCCAGGAGGCAGAGGTTGCAGTGAGCTGAGATCGCGCCATTGCACTCCAACTGGGTGACAGAGCAAGACTCTCAAAAACAAAACAAAACACAAACAAACAAAAAAAAAACCATATAGTCCAGGTGAGAACTACACGTTTGCAAGGCCAAAGGCATTTCAAATCAAGTCCTCATGTTCTCAGCCACCACTGCCAACTGGGGTGCACCCCCACACCCCCTTGCAGAGTCTGAACACAAGGCTGCAGCTCATCCACTGCCATCCTCACCACTCCCCAGCAAGGTTGGGTATACTGTGCTCATTTGACAGGTGAGGCTGAGCAGCCCTGGAAGTGAATTAACCTGCCTGAGCCTGTCCATAAAATGGGGCTAACGACACTCACTCCTTGGGGCAGCTGCCCTGACTAAATGCACATAAAGCTCTCAGCCCTGTGCCTGACAACACATGGCAGCGACTGTTTTCAGGATGAGAGTCCAGCATCTCAACCACCTTGGGGACTCTCCCTCTCATTTCCCCCTTTCCCCAGGTTAGGGAGGAAATGAAATGGACACATCTCAGCATGTGTGTGTTGGGGGGTTGTCTCGAGGAAGGTACCTTGGTTTATGGCCCCTGCGGCCTCTCTCTCACTTCCCCCTTTCCCTAGGTTAAGGAGGAAATGAAATGGATGCACCCCAGTATGCGTGCGTGTTGGGGAGTTGTCTTGAGGAAGGTACCTTGGTTTATGGATCCAGGATACTGGGTGGGTGTCCCCCTGACCTTGGACAGGACCCATGTGCAATGTGGAGCTCGGGACACTCTGAGACACACCTGATCCCTGAACAGAAAGGCCTGGCTCTGAGGGCCATCCTGCGTAGTTCCTGTCACCTAGAAGCCAGGCATGGGCCCACATCCTGTTCAAACAGCTCTGAGCAAATGGATGTCCAAGGTTGCAATGGAGCTTGACCTCACCTGCAGGGATGGGAAGGACCCCAGAAGCGGTACCCTGGAATCACCCTTGGAGGGTGCATGTTCAAAATTTGGAGTCAGTGCACCTGGGCTGGGGCTTAGAGATTCTGGGTTTAAGAAGCCCTCCAGCGATTCTGCTCCATCTAGTGCACTTTGAGAAAGGTTGGGCTGGAGATGACATCTCCTGCCACACCCAAACTCCTCTCCCTGATCCCAAGCTGAGTCAGGGTGCTTCGGGCACATGATCACAGCCAATCATGTGTCCACCTTTGTCTACAGGATGAAGTCCAAATTACCTGAGGCTAGGCCTCAAGTTACTCCAAGAACTGCCCTCCCAACCTTATCTCCTGCCTCCTGACCCACGTCTTCAGTCATTTCAGGTCTCCAGGCTTCTGCACGTGCCATCTCTTCCCCTAGAAGTGTCCTGCTCCCCTTCAAGGGCCTGGTCATGAGATAAGAAGACTCACTTCTAAATTGCCCTTTCAAAGATGCCCCATGAGAGCTGGCTGGACAGGACCTTCCACCTCCTCCTCTCCCCTTGTCCACACACCTGAAGAACGCTACCACCGTCCTCTGCGACCACTGTCTTTGAAACGTACTCTCCCCACCCTGGGTTGTGCATTTCTTATTCTCCAGGTGTAAACACACCTAGAGGTTCAGCAAATGTTGAGAGACAGTGAGAGAAAGAGAGAGGTAGAGAGAAGGACAGAGTGAAGAAGAGAGGAAACGGGTGAGAAAGGAGAAAGGGTGGAAGAGAGAGAAGAGGAAGGAAAGGAGAAAGGAAGGGGAGAAAGCTGTGAGCTCGAACAGCCCAGGGTTGAGGAGAAAAGCACTCTGGAACAGACCTGCCCGATGCCTACCAGTCTGGAACTCAAGTGATTGAGCTTCGTAGTTCTCATCTGAAAAGTAGGGGAATAATGCAATACCCACCACCTAGGCTGACTGCAGAGTTAAATGAGACAATCCAGGCCAAGCGATTACAAGGGTGCCTGGCACTGGCACTCAACACCAACAGCCCAAAATGACTATTATTTGTTCTCATTGTAGCCCCTCCAGCGTCCGGGCACACAGGCGCCTTCAGTAAGCGTTGATTAGACATGACCTGTGACCCAGGCCCGGGACCCCTCACACTTCCAGACTCAGACTCTCCATTTACACGTTTGGAAACCTACCCTAAGCACGGCGTGGGAGGAGGCAGTGTAGGCCCTCGGTCCCTGCAGACCTGGGGAGATTGTGGAGGGAGGAGCGTCCCAGCTCGGGGCTACCACCCACTCCAGGCCTCGGCGTCCTCGGCCACAGCTCCCTCCTGGTGACTCAGCCCGGCGCGGGCCGCCTGTTTGGAGGGATAATGATAGGACAGCTGCTGGGGCCAGCGCCGCGAGGGCCCCTCGCCCGGCCGGCCCGGGAAAAACGAAGCCATCAGATGCCAAGGGGCCGGTCGGCCGGGGCAGGGCAACTCCTGGCCAGGCCAGCTCGAGAGGCCGCGCTGGTCGCCTTTGAGGTGGGGGGCCACTGGCTGCGGATTCCCGAGGGCCACCCAGTCCCGGCCCGGAGCCTCGTCCCACGATATCGCGCCACAAGGAGGGCGCAGGAGCCGGGACAGTCCAGCGGCCGGAGGAGAGGGCTGGAAGGATGTGGCAGGGAAGCCCAGGAGCCCCGACCCCCAGCCGTGAAGTTTGCCACCTGCCCCCGGTCCGGCTCACCACGTCCAGATCCGCCGCCAGGGCCCAGCTTCTGGGTCAAGGCCCGCCGGGTCAGCTGACCGCGCGCCACCGCCCCCGCGGGAACCGCAGGCCCCGCCCCCACGCCGCGCGCTGGGCTGACCGGGCCTGGAGGCGCCGCTGGGGCCGCGCCTGTTGTCCCCGCCCCCAACTGCCTCCGCGCTCCTCCCCGGCATGGGCGGGGCCCCCGGCTCCCAACGCGCAGGCGCCGCTGCTATGCTGAGTGCCGCGTCTCGCGTAGTCTCCCGCGCCGCCGTCCACTGCGCGCTTCGCTCTCCGCCGCCCGAGGCCCGCGCGCTCGCCATGTCCCGGCCACCGCCACCGCGGGTCGCCTCGGTGCTGGGCACCATGGAGATGGGGCGCCGCATGGACGCGCCCGCCAGCGCCGCGGCCGTGCGCGCCTTTCTGGAGCGCGGCCACACCGAACTGGACACGGCCTTCATGTACAGCGACGGCCAGTCCGAGACCATCCTGGGCGGCCTGGGGCTCGGGCTGGGCGGTGGCGACTGCAGAGGTAACAGTAGCTGCAGATCCTCCCCATGCATCGTGTAGAGCTGAGCCTGTCCCCAGCCGTGCACCACCCCGCTCGGGCCCGGCCGCGGGCAGCACCGACGGATTCGTCCCTCGCTCCCCACCCCAGGTCCACCCCGCAGCTCTGGGAACCCCGGGACAACTAGACAGTGCTTTGCCCTGACTCCTTTCCCCCACTCTCCTTCCCTTGGGAGTTGCAGCGCGAGAGTCTCCCCCCAGCCTGGTCTGACCCATCGCTTCCCACCTCCATTGATGCCCCCGCCTCCAAACCTGCCAGGTGCCCACAACCGGTCCCCACCCAGGCTCTCCCCCTTTTCTCTACCCCTTCGTTACCATCATCACGCATGCACACCCTGGGCACCCTTTTCTCATCCTGGCCTTTTCTTAACCACTAGAATTTGACCTGTGCAGCTGGCAGTACCTCTGCCTCTCTCAGGGAGAACTGTGGCGATGCCGTAAGGCTGGCTGGGAGAGTAGGAGTGTTAGGGAGTGCGGACGGGTCAGGGTGTAGGGACTTTCTATCCACTCTATGCCAGGCTTTGACTTGGGGCCATAGGAGGGAAAGTGATTCCAGCCCTCCACAGGGAGTTCAGAGTCTAATGAGGAAGATTGAAGTAATGATTGCTGGAGAGCCCAGAAGAGAGAGTACTTTAGGGAGCTGCAGGCCGGGGAGAGGCACTAGGGAAGGCTCAGCAAATGCTGGATGGAGCTCAGCCTTAAAGGCTCAATGGTAGGTTGGAGGAGAACAAGAGAAAGGAACATTAGAGTCTGTGCAAAGACTTGGTTTGGAAATGCAATGTGCGTGATGTGTGAAAGGAAGGCCACTGGGCAGGTGGGGCTTGAGTGGAGGATGGAGGGGACTGTCCCTCGTGAGCCTGGTGCCCTTGATAGCCCTTGGGAGGGTGCCTGGCACTCAGTGAGGGCCCAGGGAACGTGGGCTGTTACCCTTACCATGCTTCACCCACTGGACTATCCTGAGGCTGTTGCTCCCCACCCCTGAGGAGAGGTTCTCTCTGGGTCCTCCTGAGTCATAGCGCTTGGGGGGTCGGGGGGAAAAGAGGGCAAATGTGAATCTCAGGCCCACGCTGTTTCTAGTTCACCTGGCTGCATGTTGTTGTTTTTGTTATTATTATTATTTGAGACGGAATCTTGCTCTGTCACCCAGGGTGGAGTGCAATGGCACGATCTCAGCTCACTGCAACCTCTGCCTCAGCCTCCCAAGTAACTGGGATTACAGGTGCACACGGCCACGCCCAGCTAATTTTTGTATTTTTAGTAGAGATGGGGTTTCACCATATTGGCCAGGCTGGTCTTCAACTCCTGACCTCAAGTGATCTGCCCACCTCAGCCTCCCAAAGTGCTGGGATTATAGGTGTAAGCCACCACGCCCGGCCACGTTACATACTATTAATAATGAAGATTTTGTTCCTGAGTTGGTTTTTCTTCTCTAACCCTTCCCCGCTTCCGTCTTTGGGGCCAGGAGCTCACTGAACCAAAGTCCTCAGGCCAGGCCTGAGGCACAGTTCATGCCAAGAATGCCTGGGGCGTTGTGGGGAAATGGAGAAAATCTGGATGAGAAACTGTGGAACTTGTTCTGTCCCATATCCCAACTGATCTCGTGACACCCTTCTGAGCTACTGAGCTGACTTTGCTAAGTATGAAAAGTGCAGAATCCATCCCCCAACCAATCCAGACAGCTGGGGTTCTTTTTTTTTGTTTTGTTTTTTGTTTTTTGACACAGAGTCTCACTCTGTCGCCCAGGCTGGAGTGCAGTAGCACAATCTGGACTCACTGCAACCTCTGCCTCCCAGGTTCAAGTGATTCTCCTGCCTCAGCCTCCTAAGTAGCTGGGGTTACAGGCACGTGCCACCACGCCTGGCTAATTTTTGTATTTTTAGTAGAGACAGAGTTTCACCATGTTGGCCAAGGCTGGTCTCGAACTCCTGACCTCAGGTGATCCACCCACTTCAGCCTCCGAAAGTGCTGGGATTACAGGCGTGAGCTACCTTTCCTGGCCCAGCTGGGGTTCTTTTTTAATTTTTATTTTTGTAGAGGGAGGGTCTTGCTACATTGTCCAGGATTATCTCAAACTCTTGGGCTCAAGTAATTCTCCCTACTCAGCCTCCCAAAGTACTCCCAAACTAGGTTTACAGACTTGAGCCACTACATCTGGACCAACAGCTGGGGTTCTTTATAGGGGAAAGAATAGTGCAGAATTAACTCATTTCCAAGCTGCTCGGATGCAGAACACTGTTGTCATAGCGATGTGTCCCTACAGTGTTTGGATATATGCTCATGCTTCTGTGAGTCAGGAAGGGGAGGGGAGAATTATAATTACATTCTGCTCAGTTTGCCTTCTAAGCTCTCAAGTTGATCTCTACCACTGGGCCACATTTATGTGGCTGCTTCGCTTTCCTAAACTCTTCCAGGCCTGCCCCCTTGACTTCTTTCTCTATACTGCAGCCAAGTGTGAACACAGGTGACCGGTTCACACCCTGACAAAATCTGGAATGATCAAGTTCAGATTCAGTGGGATGGTATTTAAGAACTTTTGGGATGAGGTCTGTCCCTGTCTCTTGTCCTACGTCCCACTGCTCCTTGCTCTAGAATTTATGCTCTTATAACTTAGACTTGAAGGTTTGGAGCCTCACATAGTGTTTTTTTGCCTCTTTGACTTTGCATGGGTTCCCATGCTCTGGAGTGTACTTCCTGCTCTTCCTTGTTGGCTGGGACTCTGGGAGTGATCCCCTAGAGAAAGCCTTCCCTGGAGTCTCCAAGTTGGCTTCATGCATCTCATCTGGGCTCCTTGGCATCGTGTGCCTTTCCCTCCTGTGCTTACCATATTGTACCATCATCCTCTAGGGCTCCAGGAGGGCAGAGATCCATTGTGTTCAGTTCATCTCTGCATACTCAGTCTCTAGTGCAAGGCCTGGCACAGCCAGCAGGTTGGTGACTAATGATAGTTATTCTAATAGGTGAACATTGAGAACTCACATATATGACATTATTTAATCCCCAGGACCTCCCAATGAGGACAGTTTGATTATTATCACCCCATTTTACAGATCATACAATTGAGGCCAAGAGAATATTAGTAATTTAGCCAGGGTTACATGGTTAGCAAATGGCTCTAATAGGTCACTTAACCATTCCATTCTCTCTCCAAGTGAAAATTGCCACCAAGGCCAACCCTTGGGATGGAAAATCACTAAAGCCTGACAGTGTCCGGTCCCAGCTGGAGACGTCATTGAAGAGGCTGCAGTGTCCCCAAGTGGACCTCTTCTACCTACACGCACCTGACCACGGCACCCCGGTGGAAGAGACGCTGCATGCCTGCCAGCGGCTGCACCAGGAGGTGAGGGGGCCCTCCGAGCTCCAAAGGTGGGCTCCTGCTCCTTTCTTTATCCTGATCCTACTCATGAGAGCAGAGGCACCAGGGCAGTCCCAGGGTGGGGCAGGGAATAGCCCCATTCCCTGGGGCCCCACCCTGGCCTCCCCTTCCTGGTCTGGGCTACACTGCGTTCTGACTGGAGCCTCACCCATGCAGGGCAAGTTCGTGGAGCTTGGCCTCTCCAACTATGCTAGCTGGGAAGTGGCCGAGATCTGTACCCTCTGCAAGAGCAATGGCTGGATCCTGCCCACTGTGTACCAGGTGAGGGCCGGGGCTGCAGAGGCCAAGGTCTCCAGGACTCCTGCTAATCCTGGGCTCTCTTTGCCCCCCTGACTGCCCCCTGTGCCGTCTGCATAGCAGCCACTCCCCTGCTGAAAGCCTGCAGATGGCTCCCATGTACCCTCAGGATGCCATTCAAGCTCCTCAGCCTGGCCACTGGGCATCTGCTTCCTTCCTGCCTATCTGTGCACCTTGGACCCTTCCTTCCCCACCTCCTTTCATACTTCAGCCTGGAACACATTTCCCCTGCCCTCCTCCCTGGGAGAAGCACTCAGGCCTTACATAGAGGTCTCCTCCTCTGGAAGCCTTTCTAGACAGCCCCATAGGAGTCTCCAGTCTCCAAATCTCATCTTCATACATTCAGCGAGTACTTTCCAGCTCCTTGTTTGATTGTAGAACCTAACTTTATTGTAATTAACTGCCTTCCTTGTCTATTTTTTTAAACTTGAGTAAACATCTCCTGGAAGCAGGGATTTTGTGATACCTACTTGTGGTTGTAACCAGTGTCCAGCATGGAGTTCATACAGCAGATATTTGTGGAAAGATACCATTCCACTTCAATTTTCTGTCCTTGGGCCCAACACCTTCCCTCCATCCCCTACTAACAGTAGTGATGTTAGAATATTGCTGAAGTCCTGGGCCGGTGTTGCTTTAGAGGTTTGAAAGTGGAAGGCAACAGTTCCTTCTCTTGACATGTCCACCCTGTCCCCGGGGTCCCTCTCCCTGCAGGGCATGTACAACGCCACCACCCGGCAGGTGGAAACGGAGCTCTTCCCCTGCCTCAGGCACTTTGGACTGAGGTTCTATGCCTACAACCCTCTGGCTGGTACGTGGAGCATTCCTGACCCTGTCTCAGCCTATTCCTGACCCACAGATGCCCAGCCCAGAATTTATGAAGCAGGGAGGGTTTGACAAGAGGCTGGGCTGTGTTCTTCAGCCCCTCCTGGGTCCCTGCCCCTCCCCTAGACCAGAGCCCTGAGGGATGTGGCAGCTTCTGGGGCACTCTGGGGCCAGGGGCTGATTGCTGCCTTCCCGCAGGGGGCCTGCTGACTGGCAAGTACAAGTATGAGGACAAGGACGGGAAACAGCCTGTGGGCCGCTTCTTTGGGAATAGCTGGGCTGAGACCTACAGGAATCGGTGAGCCGGGGGTGGGCTTGGTGAGGATGGCTGGGGTGGGGTCAAATCTATGTGGAATGAAGTCCTGGGCTGTTCCTGAGGTAAGACCTTCCTTTGCTGTTTGCATCTCCTCCCCTGCATTGCTTCAGGAATTCCCAAGCCCTCTGTGGGTTTTCTTGTTGTCTTGAGACCTCTGGGGGGGAAATGAGGATCCCTGGATGTTGGGGTCTTGAAGTCATAGCTCGTTCCTGAGCAATCACCTGCTGGGAAGCAAAAAGCGAGCCCAGGATGGGCCAGGCATGGTGGCTCACACCTGTAATCCCAGCACTTTGGGACACCGAAGTGGGAGGGTTACTTGAGCTCATGAGTTCAAGACCAGCCTGGGCAACATGGTCTCTACAAAAAAAAAATGCAAAAAAGTGGTCAGGTGTGGTGGTGCACACCTGTCTGTAGCCCAGCTACTTGGAAGGCTGAGGCAGGAGGATTACTTGAGTCTAAGAGGTTGAGGCTGCAGTGAGCCATAATGATGCCACTGCACTCCAGTGTAGGCAACAGAGTAAGACCATGTATCAAAAAGCAAAAAGAGAGCCCAGGAGGGAATCCTGCCCCATCTGAGCAGCCTTCGTGTCCCTAGGGAAGTCCCTAGGCTACTGAGTCCTCAGGAGTAAAGATCCATTGAGGTCTCTGCTGAGGGGCCCAGCATCCTGGGTGGTTCTGATGCCCAGCAAAGTGGGAGACCTATGACTAGAGAGGACACCCGCCCCTCAGGGCTGCAGGGTGTGGGGTGGGGCAGTGGTCCTGGATGGCTATTTGGTTGCGGCTCCCAGTGTGACCCCCATGGTACTGACCCCTGTGCTAACATCCCCTCTGCACAGCTTCTGGAAGGAGCACCACTTCGAGGCCATTGCGTTGGTGGAGAAGGCCCTGCAGGCCGCATATGGCGCCAGCGCCCCCAGTGTGACCTCGGCTGCCCTCCGGTGGATGTACCACCACTCACAGCTGCAGGTAACCAGCGACCCTGGGTGCTCAGCTTCTTCCCTTCCAGGGGGACCAGCGTCACCTTTAGGTGAAGCCCAAAGCATTTGATTTCTGAATTCCTCTGAAATTTTTCTTTCTTCCAATTCTCATAAGCACTCTTCCCACTGGTCTTTGATGGTATCTGAGTGGAGGCTTTGTAGTGAGGGATTTTCATTACAGGGATTTTCTTATTCCTTAGGCTTTCTGAAGTATGATTATCCCAGTGTTATTGATGAGGAAACCGAGGTTCACCCAGCTATTAAAGTGGCAGACATTTTAACACAGGTTTAACTAAGACCCACCCATCTCACCCTTTTGGTTTCTCTCTCTTGATGCCTCATGTCTTCCTGGTTAAAACTTATTTCCTGATCAGTGGCAGTGACCCACACCTGTAATCCAGCACTTTGGGAGGCCGAGATGGGAGGATTGCTTGATCTCAAGCATTTGAGTCTAGCCTGGGCAAGAAAATGGGACCCTATCTCTACAACAAATCAAAAACATTAGCCAGGTTGTGATGGCTTGCTCCTACGTTCCCAGCTACTCTGGAGGCTGGGATGGGAAGATGGCTTGAGCCTGGGAGGTCAAGGCTGCAGTGAGCTGAGATTACACCACTGCACCTTAGCCTGGGTGACAAAGCAAGACCCTGTCTAAAAAAAACAAGCAAACAACAATGAAAATAACAGCAACAAACTTATCTCCAGCTTCAGCCTTCCATGTTGCATAGTGTCTGGCATATATCCGGTAGATGTTCAGTACGTGGGAGCTGTGTTTTACATAAGTTTTCTCATTCCAATGCTGAAAACAGAGAAAAAGATTGAATGTCATGCCTGCATCGACAGCACATATACTAAAATTGGAATGATACAGAGAAGATTAGTATGGCCCCTGCGCAAGGATGACACGCAAATTTGTGAAGTGTTCCATATTTTTCCGCTGCCACCACCACACCGCACTACCTCCCACCCCCTTTTGTGTACAAAACACAAGGAAAAATATTTTTGTTTGAAAAAAAAAAAGATCGAATGTCAAAACAAGCTTAATAACGTAGCCTGCTTTTTAATTTTTTTGAGACAGAGTCTCACTCTGTTACCCAGGCGGTAGAACAGCAGCACACTCATAGCTCACTGCAACCTCAACCTCCTGGGCTCAAGTGATCCTTCTGCCTCAGCCTCCCTAGTAGCTGGGACAAGGCATGCACCATCACCCCTGGCTAATTTTGTTTTGTTGTTTTTTGTAGAGACAGAGTCTCTCTCTGTTGCCCAGGCTGGTCTTGAACACTTTGGCTCAAGTGTTCTTCCCACCTTGACCTCCCAAAGTGCTGGGATTGCAGGCATGAGCCTCTGTGCCCAGCCAACTTAGCCATTTTTACACAGCTGCTGGGGGCAGAACTGGGCTGTGAATGTAGTTCTGTGTGGAAGCGTCGTGCGGCAGTAGGGGAAAGGATGCGGGTTTCAAGTCACGTGGGTACAGCTATCCAAGGCACCTTAAGTCCTTTCTGGACATACAAGATATAAATATAAACAGAGACCCCAGATCTCAGCAGGGAGGTGGCTGGGACGGCTGTGAGTGGAGTCGCTGTGCAGCAGAAGAGGGTTGAAGTCTGGCCGTCTCCCTTGCAGGGTGCCCACGGGGACGCGGTCATCCTGGGCATGTCCAGCCTGGAGCAGCTGGAGCAGAACTTGGCAGCAACAGAGGAAGGGCCCCTGGAGCCGGCTGTCGTGGATGCCTTTAATCAAGCCTGGCATTTGGTTGCTCACGAATGTCCCAACTACTTCCGCTAGGCCCATCATGGCTCAGGCTGCCCAAGGCTTTTCTGTCACCTCTTTTGTTCTCTCACACTGACCAGTCTTGGCCTTAAGCTGACTTAGAAGGGTTTTTCTGAATTGTCTAGATCCATGCATTATTTTTCTAGCTTCCTGCCTTGCTCCCTATTCACTTTACACTGTGAAAGGTGGGGGGTGAGTCCCACTTGAGCGCTTCCTGTTGAATAAAGCAGGCACTTGACCTGGCTGTAGCCTAGGTCTTGAGTGAACCCCAAAAACTTGCTTTCTCTGCTGTTAACACTTTGTTTCCCATCCTACCTGGGGACTGAGAAAGGGCAGAACCATGGGCTGGAGTCTTCAGAGGGCAGAGGTAGTAGGAGGGTCACAGAAGCACACTGCCCTCCCAGGGTCTCCTCGGGCCCCTGGTCTGAATACCCACCTGACCTCTCAACATTGAGGTGTCTCTCACTCTTCTACACACGATAGAAAAGAGAGTCATACACCTGCAGTACATTTTCTCTAATTCAGAGTTGCCTCAATACATTCTTAGGAATGAAACAACTGGGACAAAGAAACTACCATTAGAGTCACTACCAAGAAGAAGAACACTTCCCAGGATCTGTGGAACATCTTGAAGCTCTCAATCTTAGCCTCCTCTTGTCTTAACTAAAGCCTCTTGTCTTTTCACCCATTAGGTTCTCAGTCTTGGCTCTGGGCCTCCTGTTCGGCATGGGGACAGACATAGGCAGCCAAGGTCCTCATTTCCCTTGGAAACCCCTACTCCAAACAGGAGGCACCAAGGCTGAGAATAAGAATCCTTGGTTCAGTGGTTGCTGAACCTGCTGCATTCCCAGTGCACCAAAATCCCTCCAGCCATGGGCAGGGCAGCAGGCAGCACTTGGAGCAGCTTCTTGAAGCAATGAAAGAGGCCCAACCTGGAAATTTACTTTTTCATTTATATTTATTATTTGTTCTTGAGACAGGCTCTTGCTCTGTCACCTAGACCGGAGTACAGTGGCATGATCACTGCTCACAGCAATTTTGACCTCCGGGGCTCAAGGGATCCTCCCACCTCAGCCTCCCGAGAAGTTTTTATTTTTATTTTTTTTGTGGAGTGGAGATCTCCCTATGTTGTCACCGTCTTTTCTGTTTACCCGTAACAAAACAGATGCTCACCCATGTGGAATGGTGTATCAGTTATCTTTGCACAACAAACCACACTAATAAGTTGCTTGAAAAGATAAAATCCAAGGCTGGCACAGTGGCTCATGGCTATAATCCCAGCACGTTGAGAGCCCAAAGCAGGCAGATCACTTGAGCTCAGGAGTTTGAGACCAGCCTGGGCAACATGGTGAAACCCTGTCTCTACCAAAAATACAAAAAATTAATCTGTGTGTGGTGGCACATACCTGTGGTCCCAGCTACTCTGGAGGCTGAGGTGGGAGGATCGCCTGGGCCCCGGAAACAGAGGTTGCAGTGGGCCGAGATCATGCCATTACACTCTAGCCTGGGTGACACAGTCAGACCCCATCTCAAAAAAAAAAAAAAAAATCTTATTGATCAAAAGATTTGATATAATTCCTATTATTCCCAGCTGACTTTTTCTTAATACTGAAATTGACAAACTAATCCTAAAGCTCATATGGAAATTCAAGGGACCCAGGAGAACCAAAACAGTCTTGAAAAACACATAGTTGGAGGACTTATACTTTCTGATTTCAAAACTTACTACAAAGCTACAGTAATAAAGACAATGGTTCTGGCATAAGAATAGAGCAACTGAACAGAACTGAGAGTCCAGAAATAAACTCTTACTGATTTTAGAGTTGAGTGACAACTCAATAGGGACAGTTCAATAGGGAAAAGAATCATCTTCACCAACATCCAGATGTCCTGCTGTGAAAGAGTGAAGTTGGACCCCTTCCCCATACCATAAACAAAAAATTAACTCGAATCACCATCTAAATGTATAAGGTAAACTATAAAACTCTTAGAAGAAAATACTTGAGTCAAGTGTGACTTTGGATTAGGCAGTGGTTTCTTAGATGTTGACACCAAAAGCACACGTGGCAAAAGAAAAAGTAAAGTCAACACCATCAAAGATGAAAGTGTTCGTGCTTCAGGGAACACTATCAAGAAAGTGAAAAGACAACCCAAGAATGGGATAGTATTTTGCAAATCACATATCTGTTAAGAATCTTGTATCTATTCTAGCTATAGGACTCTTACAACTTAATAAAAGAGAAAACCCACCTGGGTGCACTGGCTCACGCCTGTAATCCCAGCACTTTGGGAGGCCAGGCGGACGGATCACTTAAGCCCAGGAGTTCAAGACCAGCTTGGGCAACACAGCAAAACCCTGTCTCTACAAAAAATACCAAAATAATTAGTCGGGTATGGTGGCGGGCACCTGTGGTCCCAGCTAATCGAGAGGCAGAGGTGGGAGGATCTCTTGGGCCCAGGAGGTGGAGGCTGCAGTGAGCCAAAATCAGACCATTGCACTCCAGCCTGGGCAACAGAGCAAGACCCTACCTCAAAAAAGAAAAAAAAAAAAGAAAAGAAAGAAATCCCAATTAAACAATGGGCAAATTATTGGAATAGACCTTTTTCCAGAGGGCATACAGGTGGTCAGTAACCACATGGAAAGCTGCTCAAAATCAGTACTTATCAGGGAAAAGCAAATCAAAACCCCTTCAAATCTGCTAAGCACTAGGATCATCAGAGTCAATAAAATACAGAAAATAACAAGTGTTGAGGGTTTGGAGAAATGGGAGACTTAGGACACCGCCATTGAGACTGTAAAACGGTGCAACCATTTTGGAAAACATTCTGGCAGTTTTTCAAAAGATTAAGCATTTATATGACCCAGAAATTTCACTCCCTAGGTATACCTAGAAGAAATGAGGCTGGGCGCAGTGTCTCACGTCTGTAATCCTAGCACTTTGGGAGGCCGAGATGGGCAGATCACCTGAGGTCAGGAGTTCAAGACCAGCCTGGCCAACATGGTGAAACTCCATCTCTACTAAAAATACAAAAATTAGCCAGGCGTGGTGGCACACACCTGTAATCCCAACTACTTGGGAGGCTGAGGCAGGAGAAGCGCTTGAACCTGGGAGGCGGAGGTTGCTGTGAGCCGAAATCTTGCCGCAGCACTCCAGCCTGGGTGACAGAGTGAGACTCTGTCTCAAAAAAAAGAAAAAAAGAAATATATGTCCTTATTAAAAATTACGTGAATGTTATAGCAGCATTATTCATAATAGCCAGAAAGTGGAAACTGCCCAAATGTCAATCTTAATAGGTGAATGGATAAACAAAATATCTGTATGTACAATGGAACATTTTTCAAAAAAAAAAAGGAATTAAGTATGAAACATCTACAATGTGGATGAACCTTAAAAACATGTTAAGTGAAAGAAGCCAGTCACAAAAGGCCTCATATTGTATGATTCCATTTATATGAAGTATCTGGAATAAGCAAATCTATTAGACACAGAAAGTAGATGAGTGGTTGCCTAGGACTGAGAGGGAGTTTGGGAGGAAATGGAGATTCACTGCTACTGAGTACAGAGTTTCTTTTGGGGAGGTGATAAAAATGCTCTGAAATTGACTGTGGTGGTTGTACAATTCAGAATACACTAAACACCATTAAATTATACACTTTAAGTGGGTCAGTTGTATATAGTGCCTCAATAATATGTAATAAAACAATCAATTAGCTCAGAAATCTGTTAGAGCAGGGCTCAGCAGGGAAGCCTCATCTGTTCCTCAGTGTCTCAGAGGTGATCTAGCAGCTGGAGGCTAGGGTTGCCTGAAGACATTCACTCAAGCATGTGGCAGTTGCTGCTGAGGGCCAGCTGGAATATCAGCTGCTGTCATCAACCGGCACACACGTGACCTCTGCATGTGGCTTCCAAGGGAGCACATCCCAGGCAAACTAGGCAGAAGCCATGTGGCCTTTTATGTCCCAGCCTCAGAAGTCCATAACATCACTCTTGTGTCCTGGGAGGAGAGTCAAAGATACCTGTGCAAAGAGCACGTGAGAGAATGGAGTGGTTATCTTTGGAAAATAAACTGTAACACTTGGAGCAACAGTCCTGAGTGGAGAAGGTGAGCCCCGGGACCTGCCAGGAGACTGTGTCTTGACTATCCCCATCAGAGATGCATTTTCTGCTATGTCACATCCCATCCGTTAGAATCTTCCGGATACTATATCTCATAGTTGATGGTCTCTTGAATTCAGCAATTTCATATCTAAAGAGATTCTTGAAGACACCATGTTGTACACCTTAAATATATATACAATTTTTATTTGTTAATTAAAAAATAAATAAGTGAGGCCAGGCGCAGTGGGTCACGCCTGGAATCCCAGCACTTTGGGAGGCCGAGGCAGGTGGATCACGAGGTCAGGAGTTCAAGACCAGCCTGGCCAATATGGTGAAACCCCGTCTCTACTAAAAATACAAAAATTAGCCGGGCGAGGTAACAGGTGCCTGTAGTCCCAGCTACTCAGGAGGCTGAGGTGGAAGAATTGCTTGAACCCAGGAGGCCAAGGTTGCAGTGAGCTGAGATTGCGCCACTGCACTCCAGCCTGGGTGACAGAGCGAGACTCCGTCTCAAAAAAAAATAATAAGTAAGTGAGAAGGAACAAAAAAATCTAAAGAAGCAGAGCTGGATCTGGAGAGCATCTCATATATTTAATCATCCTCAAACTAAGGAAGCTGTTCTGTGCTGTATGAAAGACTGAAGGAGGAGGGGGCATCGATTTTTTATTTTATTTTATTTATTTTTTATTTATTATTATTTTTTTGAGACAGAGTCTCACTTTGTTGCCCAGGCTGGAGTGTAGTGGCATGATCTCGGCTCACTGCAAGCTCCGCCTCCCAGGTTCACACCATTCTCCTGCCTCAGCCTCCCGAGTAGCTGGGACTACAGGCACCCACCACCACACCCGGCTAATTTTTTTGTATTTTTAGTAGAGATGGGGTTTCACTGTGTTAGCCAGGATGGTCTCAATCTCCTGACCTCGTGATCCGCCTGCCTCGGCCTCCCAAAGTGCTGGGATTACAGGCGTGAGCCACCATGCCTGGCCGATTTTTTATTTTAACGTTTTGTTTTATCTTACTGTTTTTCCTTAGGTGAGAAAAATGTACCCTTCCATGCCTGTGCTTTCTAAATTTTGGGACTGATACAGATCCACAGAGGCCACACCTAAAATTAAATTATCGTTAGTGCTAAAACTTAATTGACTGTGTATATAACTGTGCAATTGCTGTTACTGATATAACTGTTTGGGGTTCATTCAACAGATTAAAGAAGCAAGGTCTTGCATTTAACACACAAACTAATGAGATACTGCTTTATACAAGAATTTTAAAAACACTGTCATATGGTTTAGTGTAGTTAATGTCATGCTTATGTCATATAACATAGCATGTTAGAGTTCTCTAGAGGGACAGAACTAACAGGATATATGTACATAAGAAAGGGAGTTGATTGGCCAGGTGTGGCGGCTTATGCCTGTAATCCCAGCACTTTGGGAGGCCGAGACAGGTGGATTATCTGAGGTCAGCAGTTCGAGACCAGCCTGACCAACATGGTGAAACCCCATCCTACTAAAAAAATACAAAGATTAGCTGGGCGTGTTGGCAGGTGCCTGTAATCCCAGCTATGCAGGAGTCTGAGACAGTATCACTTGAACCCAGGGGGTGGAGGTTGCGGTGAGCCGAGATTGTGCCACTGCACTCCAGCCTGGGCAACAGAGTGAGACTCTGTTTCAACAAACAAACAAACAAACAAAGGGGGGGGAGTTTATTAAGGATAATTGACTCACACGTTCACAAGGTCAAGTCCCATGATAGGCCGGCCGCAAGTTGAGGAGCAAGGAAGCCAGTGGTGGATCAGCCTGAGTCCCAAAACCTCAAAAGTAGGGAAGCCAACAGTTCAGCCTTCAGTCTGTGGCCAAAGGCCTGAGAGCCCCCGACAAACCAATGGTGTAAGTCCAAGAGTCCAAAAGCTGAAGAACTTGGAGTTTCATGTTCAAGGGCAGGAAGCATCCAGCACAGGAGAAAAATGAAAGCTGGAAGACTCAGCAAGTCTGCTCTTCCATCTTCTCTTGCCTGCTCTATTCTAGCTGGGCTGGCAGGTGATTAGATGGTGCCCACCCAGATTGAGGGTGGATCTGCCTGTCCCAGTCCACTGACTCAAATGTTAATCTCCTTTGGCAACACCCTCACAGACACACCAGGAACAGTAATTTGCATCCTTCAATCCTATCATGTTGATGCTCAATATTAACCATTATACATTGGTTCAAGTTCTTTCTTCAGTCACAAGAGTAACACAGGTAGAAGAGACAAATGAATAAGTGCCAAGTCTTGCTGCAGAGTTTCCTTCATAAGTTTTGTTTGCAACCTGGCCATTTCTTTTCTAAGGTCACTTTGTTCATCAGTAAGATGAACTCTGATTCTCTTCTAGGTCCTCCAAACTCCGTAGGAATTGCTGATTTCAGTTTAATTTGTTTCAGTGTCTCTGTCTCTGAACCATTCTAGCTTATAGACAACTCTTTTGTTGCTCTCGAAACATTGTAGCTAGTTTTTGTTCCTCTGGTTCCTCAGCCTTCACTGTTCGTGTTCCAATCTTGAAACAAAGTCAGAAACTGCTTAGAATATTTGTAATGAAGTTTCTGCCTTTCCTCTTGTGTTTTCAAAACATGTTCAATTCTCTTCTTAGTGGTGTGGATAAAAGCATTCATATACTCCTGTAATCCCAGCACTTTGGGAGGCCGAGACGGGTGGATCACGAGGTCAGGAGTTCGAGACCAGCCTGGCCAACATGGTGAAACCCCGTCTCTACTAAAAATAAAAAAATTAGCCGAGCATGGTGGCAGCGCCTGTAATCCCAGCTAGTCAGGAGGCTGAGGCAGGAGAACTGCTTGAACCCGGGAGGCGGAGGTTGCAGTGAGCCGAGATCGCGCCATTGCACCCCAGCTCTGGGCAACAGAACAAGACTCTGTCTCGGAAAAAAAAAAAAAAAAGCATTCATATACATTCTAGCCTTTTTCTCTGTGTAGCAAAATCCTGTTTAATATCAGCTCCGCTTACTTGTAACTTCTGTACATCATCCCCCACGTCTTCCTCATCTGTTCCTACAAAGTGCTTTCTTTCTCCATGCTCATCAGTTCCTGAATGCTTTCCTCCCAGCTCATTTCCTGGGCTGCCATAACCTGGGCCTCCACTGCCTTGGCAACCTTCACGATGCACTCCCTGTCCACAGGCTCCATGGCTGGCTGTCCTGGAACTTCTGAACCTTGTGAGTGCAATGATGCACTGGAAGTAGGTGGAGATGTGTGTGATCTGCAGGCTTGGGTATCTGGAGGCCAGTGGGCACACTGGACACTCCCTGTGATCTAAGAACTTATTTAGGCAGATAGTGAGGGTAAGGAAGTCCTTGGTAAGGTTTTCCTTTTAATGAAAAGCAGCCCCCGAATCATTTCTTTCCTAACGAAGTGCAGCCTGTAAAATCAAGCTGCAGACATAGATCAGCAAGCTGGAAGCTTGCAGGGGTGAATGCCAGCAGCTCTGGCAATAGGAAAAGGCCCCCTGGAGGCTAGGCATGTTCAACATGGTGGCTCCATCTCCCCTTTTTCTTTATCAACCACATGTACAGTAAGGAGCAGGCAACGTGGCGCCAGCCAGGTAGAGAAGCCATTTGTGGCCAGGTGCGGTGGCACACGCCTATAATCCCAACACTTTGGGAGGCTGAGGCGGGCAGATCACCTGAGGTCAGAAGTTCAAGACCAGCCTGGCCAACACGTTGAAATGGTGTCTCTACTAAAAATACAAAAATTAGCTGGGTGTAGTGGCAGGCGTCTGTAATCCCAGCTACTCAGGAGGCTGAGGCAGGAGAATCTGTTGAACTTGGGAGGTGGAGGTTGCAGTGAGCCGAGATCACACCACTGCACTCCAGCCTGGGAAATAGGAGTGAACCTCCATCTCAAAAAAAAAAAAAAAAAAAAAAAAAAAAAAATCCATTTGCAAAATAGATTAGGGTGGGGCGGGGAGCTTCTTCCTGTACTATGTAAACATCGCACCTGTTTCAACCAATCTTTGAGCCCTATGTAAATCAGACACTGCCTCCTCATGCCTGTCCTTGTGCATGCTGCTGCAGGCTGGAAGACCCACTCAGGTGCCCCTCTCTCTGCAGGAGAGAGAGCTATTCTCTTTTTCTTTTGCCTATTAAACCTCTGCTCTTAACCTCACTTCACATGTGTTCGTGTCCTTGACTTCCTTGGCATGACGCAGTGAACCTTGGGTATTACCCCAGATGAACGACACTGCTTCATTCCTTGGCATGAGGCAATGATCCTTGGGTCTTACCCCAGATGAACGACACTGCTTCATTTTGGGGCCCCAGGTGGGATCAAGGTATCATCATCAGAACAGTGAGGACAGGAGTGGACCTCAACCATGTCCTTTCATTTCAAGGTTCTTGGCCTCCATTTTAAAATCAAATCAAATACTGGGCCCCCTTCAGCTATTTAAAAATGATTAGTGTGGCTGGCAGCCTTACAAGACTTGGGGGACAGGCTTGCTGGGGAGAACATTCTGAAGCAGTGGGAATTTTTACAGTTCAAGGAAGTAATCCTGTTAGGCAAGATCAGGAAATACCGTAGTAACTGAGGTAGAGCTCAAGGCAATGCCATTTTTGTGATTTTCTAGGAACAGTGGGTCTTCCCCTCCTCTCCCCATAGTGAGGTCTCTCTCTGCCCTTGGTCTGGAGAGCACATGGCATTTAAAGGTCAACGGCCCTACCCAGTGGCATAGGAATCCTCTCCATGAGGCACATTGTCAGCCCTTTGCCAAAACACTCTGGCTTCCCAATTCTCCTCCCTTTTTGCACCCCTCTGCTGGACACCAGGCTTTATGCTACTTCCATAAATGGGAAAACTCTGTCTTCAACAATAAGGAGGAAAATGTCCTCCAAAACCAAATTTTAGTCTCAATACTGTCCCATCAGCAGGAAAATAGCCATTTGGTTCCTATGTTTTTTTTAAGGCACCTATTCTGCTTGTAATTAAAATAGTACTTAAATAGTAAGGGTAATTTAAGTCCGGAAGTTAACTGGAACCATTCTCTAAGGGTACTTTAGCACGAGTCATAATAGCAGGATATAGAGCTCAAACCAGCACACTTCCTCCATTATGGAGGGAAATACAACAGTTGCCTAAATGCAACTGTTACATAGTCTCTCCCAAGATCCATTTTTCAGGGAGCCACACAGGTCACACAAGTCTTGGAAGTCAAAAGGAAATCATAAGTGCAGGACTAGAGTCACATGGGTAAGCATGACTAACCCCAATCACTTAGTTCCTCTGGTTCCATGGCTGGGGGTCACACCTGCAACCATGGGAGGCATGTTTAACAAGATGCTGGGACCCAGGAACCAAGGAGGGAAAACAGTAGGGGTGGCGCCCTCACTGTCTTCCCCTTCCCCTCCTCTGGAGTGCGTTCTGAAGCACTGGGACTCCTTTGACTCTGAGATTTGGAAGAAAAAACAGCTCATTTTCTTTTGCACAAGAGCATGGCCTTCTTACTAGACCTTTGCAAGCATTGCACAATGGACTCAGCTCTTTCAGCAGTCATATCAGACAGGCCCAAAGGGAATGATTCCCCAAAACTAGAGAAACAAACTCCCAGGAACCCCTCAAATGAAACTTCCAGATGCCCTGGCCCTTCCTCCCTCCCTTTCACATTGTCAGCTTCTCCAATTCTACCACCCAAACCCCCAGACTTTTCTATGGTATTTTTCCTTCCTTCATTCATGATTTAAAATGGCTCCTATCTCTTCTTCTATAATGTTCCTCCAAACTGGGAGAAGTTAATTTCCTCAAACCTTAAAATGCTTGGCTTAGGGTTGAGCTCGGGGAACAGAACCCAGAAGCCTGACATGCTGTCAAAAGGGTAAAAATTTTTATTTTTATTTTTATTTATTTATTTTTTTTGAGACAGAGTCTCGCTCTGTTGTCCAGGCTGGAATGCAGTGGTGCAATCTCAACTCACTGCAGCCTCTGCCTCCCTGGTTCAAGTGATTCTCCTGCCTCAGCCTCCTGAGTAGCTGGGACTACAGGCACGTGCCACCACACCCAGCTTGCTCCATCAACACTGAATATTAGTGATTGAGTTGTTGCCACTACTGGCACTCAGAAAATTATCCAGCTGTGGTGGTGTGCACCTGTAGTCCCAGCTACTCCAGAGGCTGAAGTAGGAGGATCTCTTGAGCTCAGGAGGAGGTCAAGGCTGCAGTGAGCCAAGACCATGCCACTGCACTACAGCCTGGGTGACAGAGCAAGACCCTGTCCCCCACCCCCCCCCCCAAAAAAAAACAAACAACAACAACAAAGAAATATATTGAAATAACTGGTATCTTCAATACAATGTTGAATAAGAGTGGACATCATTGGTTCCCAATCTTAGGGCAAAACTTTCTGATTTCATCATTAAGTATATTAGCTGTAGGTGTTTTGTGTATGCCCTTTAAAAATTATTTTATTTTTTGTAGAGAAGGGTCTTGCTATGTTGCCCACACTGGTCTTGAACTCCTAGGCTCAAGCAATCCGCCCATCTTGTCCTCCCAAAGTCTGGGATTATAGGCATGAGCTACTGCTCCTGGCCTATGGATGCCCTTTATCAGTTTCAGGAATTCCCTTCTATTCCTAATTGGCTGAGAGGTTTATTTTCCTTTCATGAATAGGTATTAAATTTTGTCAAATGCTTTTTCTGCATCTATTGAGATGGTGATATGGGTTTTGTCTTATAGCCTGTTAGTATAGTAAATTATATTGATTGATTTTAAAATATTAAGCCAACCTTGTATTCCTGGGATGAAACTAACTTGGTCATGGTGCATTATTGTTTGTATTTACTACTGTATTCATTTTGCTAAATTTTAAAAGGATTTTTGAAAAAAATAAAGAGGATTTTGTGTCTAGATCCATGAAGGATATGTGTGTAGTTTCTTTTCTTGTAACATCTTTGTGTCATTTGGTATCTGGTAATGCTAGCTTCAAGATGAGTTGGTAAGTGACCTCTCCTCTTCTATATACTAGAAACATTTGTCCAGAATTGATGTTGTTTCTTCCTTAAGTGTCCAATGAAGCCATGTAGACCTGGAGTTTTCTTTGTGGAAATATTTTTTTTTATCAAGAATTCAATATCTGGGCTAGACGAGATGGCTCACACTTGTAATTCCAGCACTTTGGGAGGGTGAGGCAGGAAGAATACTTGAACCCAGGAGTTTGAAACCAGCCTGAGCAATATAGCGAGACCCTGTCTCTACAAAAATATTTTTACAAAATTAGCCAGGTGTATTGAGGTGCACCTGTAGTCCCAGCTACTTGGGAGGCTTGGGCAGAAGGATCGCTTGAGCCCAGGACGTTGAGGCTGCAGTGAGCTATGATTGCACCATTGAACTCAGAAGACAAAGCAAGACCCTGTCTTAAGAAAAAAAAAAAATTCAGGTTGTTGTTTTTTTTATTTTTTTAGACGGGGCCTGGCTCTGTCGCCCAGGCTGGAGTGCAGTGGTATGATCTTGGCTCACTGGAACCTCTGCCTCCTGGGTTCAAACGTTTCTCCTTGCCTCAGCCTTCCAAGTAACTGATTATAGGCACACACCACCACACCCAGCTAATTTTTGGATTTTTAGTGGAGATGGGGTCTCAGCATGTTGACCAGGCTGGTCTCCAATTCCTGACCTCAAGTGATCTGCCTGCCTCGGCCTCCCAAAGTGCTGGGATTACAGGCATGAGCCACTGCGCCCGGCTGTCTCATTTTTCCTTACTCATTTTCCAAACACATTCCTTACTCATTTTCCAAACATAAACTTTGGTAGTTTGTGTTTTTCAAGGAAATTGTCCATTTCATCTAACTTACTAAATGTATTCACATAAAGGTTTTAATAATCTACCCTATTGTCATTTAAAATGTCATTTAATGTCATTTAATGACATTTAAATATCACTTAAAATGATAAATTTGTATAATTTGTAGTGGTGTCTCTTCTGCTCTTTCTGGTGTGGTTAATCTGTGTATTCTCTCTTTTATTCCTGATCAGTCTAGCCAGAGGTTTATCAACTTTAGCGATGTGTTTATAGAACTACTTCTGGTTTTACTGACTTTTGCTGATGTTTTTGTTTTATATTTCATTTATTTTGGCTTTTTTTTTTCTTTGAGATGGAGTCTTGCTCTGTTTCCCAGGCTGGCGTGCAGAGGAGTGATCTTGGCTCACTGCAGCTTCTGCCTCCCGGGTTCAAACGATTCTCCCACATCAGCCTATTTTGGCTATTATTTTTATTATTTCCTTTCTTCTGCTAATTTTGGTTTTACTTGACTCTTCCTTTTGTGGTTTCTTAAAGTACAAGCCTCGGCCGGTGCAGTGGCTCACACCTGTAATCCCAGCACTTTGGGAGGCTGAGGCGAGAGGATCCCTTGAAGCCAGGAGTTCAAGACCAGCCTGGCAAACATGGTGAGACCCCTTCTCTACTAAAAATACAAAAATTAGCCGGGCATGGTGGTGCATGCCTGTAATTCCAACTACTCAGGAAACTGGGACATGAGAATTGATTGAACCCAGGAGGCTGAGGTTGCAGGGAGCTGAGATTGCACCACTGCTCTCCAGCCTGTGTGACAGAGTGAGACTGTGTCTCAAAAAAAAAAAAAAAAAAAAGTAAATGCTTACATTATTGATCTGAAATATTTCTTCTTTTGTAATATGTCAAAGTGGTGCTATAAATTTCCCTCATAGCACTACTGTGGCTGCATCTCAGAAAATTTGATATGTCCTGTTTTTACTTTCATTCAGTTCAAAATATGATCTAATTTTCCTTGTGATTACATATTTGACCCATGGGTTATTTAATTTCTAAATATGTGGGGATTTTCCAGATATCATTCCATTATTATTTTCTATTTTTCCTTTTTCTTCTATTTGTTAACTTATTTACTTATTTTCAGTTCCCTCTCAGGCTCTAAATTCTGTTATTCTTTTCTTTTCTTTTCTTTTTTTCTTTCTTTCTTTTTTTTTTTTTTTTGAGGTAGAGTCTTTCTCTGTCACCCAGGCTGGAGTGCAGTGGTGCGATCTTGGCTCACTGCAACCTCCGCCTCCCAGGTTTAAGCAATTCTCCTGCCTCAGCCTCCTGAGTAGCTGGGATTACAGGCACACACCACAATGCTCGGCTAATTTTTTTGTATTTTTAGTAGAGATGGGGTTTCACCATATTGGACAGGCTGGTCTTGAACTTCTGACCTCAAGTGATCTGCCCACCTTGGCCTCCCAAAGTGCTGGGATTAAAGGTGTGAGCCACCGCACCCAGCCTGTGTTATTATTTTCTAGTTTAATTCCATCGTGTTCAGAGATGTACTTTGTATGATTGGAATCCTTTCAAATTTATTTATTTATTTATTTATTTATTTTTAATATGGAGTCTCACTCTGTTGCCCAAGCTAGAGTGCAATGGCCTGATCTCGGCTTACTGCACTCTCCACCAACCAGGTTTAAGTGATTCTCCTGCCTCAGCCTCCTGAGTAGCTGAGATTACAGGGGCACGCCACCACGCCTAGCTAATTTTTGTATTTTTAGTGGAGACGGGGTTTCACTGTGTTGGCCAGGCTGGTCTCAAACTCCTGACCTCAGTTAATCCACATGCCTTGGCCTCCCAAAGTGCTGGGATTACAGGCGTGAACCACCGCTCCCAGCCTCTTTTACATTTATTAAGACTTGTTTTATGCCTCCAAATATGGTATATCTTGGTGGATGGGCACTTGAAAAGAATGCATATCCTGCTGTTGTTGGATATTCTATTCATGTTGTTTATGTGGAATTGGTTCATAGCATTGAGTCTTGTATACCTTTACGGAGTTTCCGTAAATTATGACTGATAACTGTTCTACAACTATTGAGAATGGTGTGTTGAAATCTCCAATTATAATTTTGTATTTATCTACTTGTTCTTTAGTTCCATTATTGTTTTTCATGTATTTTGATGATCTATGCTTAGGTGCATATATATTTAGAATTATATCTTCTTTATTAATTGACCTCTTTGTCATTATGGTATGTCCCTCTTTGTCTTTGGTAGTTGTTGTTGTTGTTGCTGTTTTGAGACAGGGTCTCAATCTGCAGCTTCGACCTCCCAGGCGTAGATGATTCTCCCACCTCTGCCTCCCAAGTAACTGGGACCACAGGTGCATGCTACCACAATTTGATAATTTTTAAAATTTTGTTGTAGCGATAAGATCTCCCTGTGTTGCCCAGGCTAGTCTCAAACTCCTGGACTTAAGCAATCCTCCCTTCTCAGGCTCCCAAAGTGCTAACATTACAGGTGTGGGCTAGTATGTCACCCACTGTGTGGGCCAGTATTCTTTGTTTTGCAATCTACTTTGTCTGATATTCACTTAGCCATTCCAACTTCTTAAAATTTAGTTTTGTCAGTGTATGTCTTTTCCCATCTTTTTGCTCTTAAACTATCTCTGCTTTTATATTTGAATAGCTTTCTGGTATTTACCATATAGTTTGGTTTTGCTTTTTTATCCATTCTAACAATCACTGCCTTTTACTTGTGAGCATTTACATCATTTATATTTATGTAATTATTGATATGATTGGGTTTAAATCAATTTTGCTATTGGTTTTTCATTTGTTCCATCTGTCTATTGGTCTTTTTTTTTCTTTTGTATTTGGAGACAGATTTGCCCTCTGTCACCCAGGGTGGAGTGCAGTAGAGCTATCACAGCTCACTGCCGCTGGGCACTGGTCCATTTTTCTATCTTTTTTTTTTTCTTTTGAGACAGGGCCTCCCTATGTTGCCCAGGCTGGGTTCAAACTCCTGGGCTCAAGTGATCCTCCTGCCTTGATCTCTCAAAGTGTTGGCATTACAGGCGTTAAGTCACCAGAGCCAGTCAGTTTTTTTTCACTTAGGTACAGAATTCAATGCCAACAGTTCTTTTCTTTCAACACTTTAACCATGTCACTCCATGGGGACGCTGTCTTGAGCCTTTGGTAAGCCTCATTCTCCAGGACCACACGGCAGGCGCGACAGCCCTAGGTCCACCCCACCCCGTAAGCGCTCCCTCCGGGAGGAGACAGAAACCCAGGACAGCTCCGGGGCAAGGCCGAGGAAGGAGGGACGACGGGGCAGGGAGGCCCGAAGAGTCCCCGCCTTTTGGGATAGTCGCCACCCTTGGACCCCCTCACCCTTGGGGACGTTGAGGAGTGTTAAAATCTCCAAGACGCGAGTCACCGGTACGAAGCCACAGCCATTTCGCTGCTTGCTCGGTGCAAGTGCAGAAGGTCCTAGTAGCCGAGCGTGGAGTCGAGCTCGTGGGCGGCGTCGGGCACCTTCGGCCGCGCCCTCAGCTGCACCCGCCGGTGGGCGGGGCCCGAGCCCGTCTCTAAAGCCACGAGGCCGCCCGCTCCGAGCCTGGTGCTTCCGACCGCTGCGCGCGGCTCCTGGGCTGTCACAGTCTCCCGTTGCCGCCGTCATGTCCCGGCAGCTGTCGCGGGCCCGGCCAGCCACGGTGCTGGGCGCCATGGAGATGGGGCGCCGCATGGACGCGCCCACCAGCGCCGCAGTCACGCGCGCCTTCCTGGAGCGCGGCCACACCGAGATAGACACGGCCTTCGTGTACAGCGAGGGCCAGTCCGAGACCATCCTTGGCGGCCTGGGGCTCCGGCTGGGCGGCAGCGACTGCAGAGGTAACAGTGGCCCCTGATCCTCCCCCTGCACGGTGCAGAGCTGAGCCTGTCCACAGCCGTGTACCGCCCCGCTCTCCCTGGCCCCGGGGCAGCACCCAAAGTTTTGTCCCCCCCACCGCCCCCACCCCTGTTCACCTCGCAGCCTTGGGAACACCAGGCTCCTTAGGCACGTCTAGCTCCGGACAACTTTTCTCTCGTCTTCTCTTCTGTTCGTCTCTCTTCTCTTCCGGGAGGTAGCCAGCACCCTCACTGACGCCTGGATGACTTGGTCTTGCCTGGAATGACTTGGCTAGCCCCTCTCTGGAGCACAAAAAACACTGGGATCTGGCATTGTGCAGCTCCTGTCCCCACCTGTGCCCTCCAGGTGCCCTTGACGGGCCTGATCTGCAGAAATTCTGTTCTTACCGCCTGGCACTCCCTGGCACAGTCCAAAATCAGAGTTTGGACCCAGCACACTATCTGCTTCCTCCTTTGCACATGCCAGCCTGCTCGGGGCCCCGGACTTTGCTCTGAGTACCTTGTGGTACTCACAAGGGCACCTCACAAGGGTGGCAGTGCCCGGAAGCCTTGGCAGCTCCCTCAGGGGGATGAGGGATTGGGGTGGTACAGAGTCTCACTGCCCTCTCTGTGGGAGGCTCTGTCGGAGGCTATTGGAGAGAAATGGACACTAACCCACTCCAGGAAGCTCCAGTTCTAGAGATGGCTGGGGAGCCCAGAGTGACCCCTTCCTGGGAGGGACCCCGTGAAGAAAGAATGGATAGGAGTTTGCCAGGAAGAGTACAAGGGGCAAGGGCGTCAGGGCAGTGGGCATGGGTGTGGAAAGGCAAATGTGTTTTGGCAATGCCGCGGGTGCTGGAGGAGGCAGGTGTGGCCGGAGGGGAGGATGTGTGTATAGGGGCAGGAGGAGCCGCCCTCAGTCTGATGCCATTTGCAGTGCTTAGGCCGATGCCTGGCAGGCACATAGTGAGGGCTGGGAAATGTTAGCTGTTTGTTTGTTCTTAGTATTAGCACCATTTGCCTCCTTCCACTGAGTGTCTGAGTGGAGTCTTATTTCTCCTCTGATTCACCACATGGTAGATCCAGAACGAACCTGGCCTGTGCGTGCATCCCAGTGCCACGCTCTTTCTAGATCACCCGGCTGCCACTCAGTGAGAGCTCTAACCATATTTCTGATTTTTTTTTTTTTTTTGAGACAGGGTCTTGCTTTTTTGCCCAGGCTGGAGTGGAGTGGTGCGATAGGGCTCATTGCAGCTTTGACCTCTCAGGGCTCAAGCCATCCTCCCACCTCAGTCTCCTGAGTAGCTGGGACTACTACAGTAGCACCACACCCGGCTAATTTTTTGTATTATTCATTGAAACTGGAGTCTCACTTTGTTGCCCAGGCTGGTCTTAAACCCCTGAGCTCAAGTGATCCTCCTGCTCTGGCCTCCCAAAGTGCTGAGATTACAGGTGTGAGCCACCACAGATCTGTACCCTCTGCCTGGCCCTTATTTCTGATTTTTTTTTCTTTCCTTTTTTAATCCTTCTTTGTCTTCTGTCTGAGTCCAAGGTTGGCTGGCGAAAGTCCTCAGATCTGATCTGAAGTTAAATTCAATTGAGAAGCAGAGGGGTGGTGGTGGAATGGAAAAATTCCATATGAATAGTTCCTCAAACCTGCTCTTTGCTAGGCCTCAAGGGCTCCAGTGACTGCCCTCCTGCCAGCCTAGGTGACTTTCTAAGTGTGAAAAGTGGGAAGAGGACTCTCCACTCACCTGTTAGTCCAGTTCACTAGGAACTAAGATTCTTTTTTTTTGTTGTTTGTTTTGTTTGTTTGTTTGTTTTTTGAGAAGTCTCACTCTGTGAGACATTGTGCTGTGGCACAATCTCGGCTCACTGCAACCTCCGCCTCCCGGGTTCAAGCAATTCTCCTGCCTCAGACTCCGGACTAGCTGGGGACTACAGGCGGGCTCCACTATGCCCAGCTAATTTTTGTGTTTTTATTAGAGATGGGGTTTCACCATGTTGGTCCAGCTGGTCTTGAACTCCTGACCTTCTGATTTGCCTGCCTCAGTCTCCCAAAGTGCTGGGATTACAGGCATGAGCCACGGCGCCTGGCCCTGAATTTCATTTCTCTTTCCTCTCAGTGAAAATTGATACCAAGGCCATTCCACTGTTTGGGAACTCCCTGAAGCCTGACAGTCTCCGGTTCCAGCTGGAGACGTCACTGAAGCGGCTGCAGTGTCCCCGAGTGGACCTCTTCTACCTGCATATGCCAGACCACAGCACCCCGGTGGAAGAGACACTGCGTGCCTGCCACCAGCTGCACCAGGAGGTGAGGGGACCCCTGAGCTCTGGGAGGTGGTCCACTGCTGCTCTCCTTATCCTGATCCTAATGGTGAGAGCAGAGGCACCAGGGCTGTTCCAGGGTGGAGCAGGGAACAGCCCAACTCCCAGGGGCCCCACCCTGGCCTCCCTTTCCTGGTCTGGGCTGCACTATGTTCTGACTGGAGCCTCACCTGAGCAGGGCAAGTTCGTGGAGCTTGGCCTCTCCAACTATGCAGCCTGGGAAGTGGCCGAGATCTGTACCCTCTGCAAGAGCAACGGCTGGATCCTGCCCACTGTGTACCAGGTGAGAGCCAGGGCTGCAGAGGCCAAGGTCTCCAGAACTCCTGCTCATCCTGGGCTGTCTTTGCCCCTCTGACTGCCCCCTGTGCCCTCTGCATAGCAGCCACTCCCCTGCTGAAAGCCTGCAGATGGCTCCCAGGTACCCTCAGGATGCCATTCAAGCTCCTCAGGCTGGCCACTGGGCATCTGCTTCCTTCCTGCCTATCTGTGCACCTTGGACCCTTCCTTCCCTACCTTCCCCTGCACTCAGCCTGGAACAAGCCCTTCCCCCACCACCGCCCCTTCCGTGAGAGAATGGTTCAGGTCTCACATACGTGTCTCTTCCTCTGGAAGCCTTTCTAGATGGGCCCAGAAGACCCTGAGACCTCAGGTCCTTGTTTACCTCCTCATGATTCATTGCACAAATATTTGCACACCTGCTTGGTGCCAGGCACTGGTCACAGAACTTTCTAGTCTATTATGATTGCCTCATGACTTGATTATAACTGTTTATACTTGACCTTATTATAAAACCTTGAGGGAAGGGACCCTGTCCTTTTGGCTTAAGAATCTAAATCTGACAACCAGCCCATAGTTGGTGCTCATGAAAGTTGGCAGAATGAATGAATTTTCCATGGGCATAAGCTTCTTTCACCAGCACCAGTTAGAATAAGTATACGCCCAGACGGTTAAAGTCCTAGAATTGTTAAGGTCTGAAATAAGGGTTCTGGAAGGGTAATTTTGAAGTCTCTTCTTTTGACACATCCACCCTCTCCCCCGGGGCCCCTCTCCTTACAGGGCATGTACAATGCCATCACCCGGCAGGTGGAAACGGAGCTCTTCCCCTGCCTCAGGCACTTTGGACTGAGGTTCTATGCCTTCAACCCTCTGGCTGGTACGTGGAGCATTCCTGGCCCTGTCTCAGCCTATTCCCGACCCACAGATGCCCAGCCCAGGACCTGGGAAGCAAGGAGGGTTTGACAAACTTTGACCTCTGAGGTCAAAGACGTAAAGGCTGCATCTTCAGCCCTCCTGGGTCCCTGCCCCTCCCCTAGACCAGAGCCCTGAGGGATGTGGCAGCTTCTGGGGCACTCTAGGCCCCGGGGCTGATTGCTGCTTTCCCTCAGGGGGCCTGCTGACCGGCAAGTACAAGTATGAGGACAAGAATGGGAAACAGCCCGTGGGCCGCTTCTTTGGGAATACCTGGGCAGAGATGTACAGGAATCGGTAAGCTGTGGGTGCTTGGTGTGGATGGCTGGGGTGGGGTCAGCTTTATGTGGAATGAAGTCCTGGGCTGCTCCTGGGGTAAGGCCTTTCCTCGCTGCTGCACCTACTCCCCTGAATTTCTTCGGGAATTTCCAAACCCTCCATCGGTTTTCTTGTTGTCTTGGGACCTCCAGGAGGAAAGGAGACTCCCTGGACCTCGGGGTCTTGAAGTCGTTGCTCTTTCCTGAGCAATCACCTGCTAGGAAGGAAAGAAGGAGCTCTGGAGGGAGGTCCAGGAGGCCTGGGGCTGAGTCCTGACCCATCTTAGCGGCCTTTGTGTCCCTAAGGAAAATAAGAGCAGGCTGATGAGTCCTCAGGAATAAAGATTTGTTGAGGTCTCTGCTGAGGGGCCCAGCATCCTGAGTGGTTCTCTTGCCCAGCAAAGTGGGAGACCCATGGCTAGAGAGAACACCTGCCCCTCAGGGCTGCAGGGTGTGGGGTGGGACAGTGGCCCTGGTTGGCTCTTTGGTTGTGGCTCCCAATGTGGCCCTGACACCTGTGCCACCGTCCCCCCTTCCCAGCTACTGGAAGGAGCACCACTTTGAGGGCATTGCCCTGGTGGAGAAGGCCCTGCAGGCCGCGTATGGCGCCAGCGCCCCCAGCATGACCTCGGCCACCCTCCGGTGGATGTACCACCACTCACAGCTGCAGGTAACCAGTGACCCTGTGCGCTCAGCTTCTTCCCTTCCAGGGGAACCAGCAATATCTTTAGATGAAGGCTGAAACATTTGTTTATCGATTCCTCTGAAATTTCTCTTTCTTTCAACTCTCACAAACATTCTTCCCACTGGTCTTTTTCTATGTTTTTTTTTTGGGGGGACAGAGTCTCACTCTGTCACCCAGGCTGGAGTGCAGTGGCATGATCTCGGGTCACTGCAACTTCTGCCTCTTGGGCCGAAGCAACTCTCTTGTCTCAGCCTCCCCAGTAGCTGGGATTACAGGCGTGCGCCACCATGCCCAGCTAATTGTTTGTATTTGTAGTAGAGACAGGGTTTCACCATGTTGCCCAGGCTGGTCTCAAATTCCTGAACTCAGACAATTCGCCCTCCTCAGCCTCTGAAAGTGCTGGGATTATAGGCGTGAGCCCCTGCGCTCGGCCTTCTCATTGGTCTTTGATGGTATCTGAGTGCCAGGCTTTGTAATGAGAGCTTCATTGCAGGGATTTCATTATTCCTTCAGCTTTATGAAATGACTATCCCAGTGTTATTGACGAGGAAACTGAGTTTCACCCAGCTATGAAAGGGGCAGACATTTTAACACAGGTTTAACTGTAAAGCCCACTAGTCTCATCCTTTTGGTGGGAGCTGGAGTTTCCCTCTCTCAGTGCCTCATGTCTTCCTCACTTATATCCAACTCCAGCCTTAGATGTTGCAATAGTGTCTGGCATATATACAGTAGGTGCTCAATAAATGGGAGCTAAGTGCTCTACATAATTTTTCACACCCATAACCATGTTGAAAATAGAAAAGAGGATTGAATCTCAGAGAGGTTTAATAACTTAGCCGCGTTTACACAGCTGCTGGGGGGCAGAACTGGGCTGTGAATGTAGGTCTGTCTGGAAGCGTCGTGTGGCAGTAGGGGAAGGGATACAGGTTTTGCGTCACATGGGTACAGCTATCCAAGGCACCTTAAGTTCTTTCTGGACATATGGGATACAAGAGATCCCAAATCTCAGCAGGGAGGTGGCTGGGACGGCTGTGAGTAGAGTCGCTGTGCAGCAGAAGAGGGTTGAAGTCTGGCCGTCTCCCTTGCAGGGTGCCCACGGGGACGCGGTCATCCTGGGCATGTCCAGCCTGGAGCAGCTGGAGCAGAACTTGGCAGCGGCAGAGGAAGGGCCCCTGGAGCCGGCTGTCGTGGACGCCTTTAATCAAGCCTGGCATTTGGTTACTCACGAATGTCCCAACTACTTCCGCTAGGCCCATCGTTTCTCAGGCTGCCCAAGGCTCTTCTGTAACATCTTTTGTTACTCACATTTTCTTTAATTTAGAACTGCCTCAGTAAATTCTTAGGGATGGAAGTATTTGGACAAAAACCTAATAGAAGAGTCACCACCAAATGAAGAATAAAACTCCCAGGGTGCTGTGTGTTAGTCTGTTTGCGTTGCTATAAAAGAATACCTGAGACTGGGTCATTTATAAAGAAAAGAGGTTTATTTGGCTCACCACTCTGCAGTCTGTACAAGGGGGTGTGGTGCCGGCATCTGCTCTTGGTGAGGGCCTCAGGAAGCTTACAGTCATGGCAGAGGGGGAAGCGGCGCCAGCGTGTCACATGGTGAGAGAGGGAGCAAGAGACAGACAGGGGAGGAAATTCCAGGCTCTTTTAAACAACCAGATCCTGTGTGAACTCATAGAGCTGGAACTCACTCATTACTATACAGATGGCACCAAGCCATTCATGTGGGATTTGCCCCCATACCCTAACCCCTCCCACCAGGCTCACCTCTAACATTGGGGATCACATTGCAACATGAGATTTGGAGGGGACAAAATACCCTGATGATATCATTGTACCAGTACCACCCCCCCGCAAATGTCATGTTCTTCTCACATTGCAAAGTACAGTCATCCCTTCCCAATAGTCACCCAAAGTCTTAACTTGTTTCAGCATCAACTCAATCATAAGGCCAAAGTCTCATCTGGGACTCAAGGCAAGTTTCATCCACCTATGAACCTGTATAATCAAACAAGTCATTTGCTTCCACGATACAGTGGTGGTACCCGTACTGGGTAAGATTCCCATTGCAAAAGGGGAATCAGCCAAAAGAAAGGGGCAACAGGCCCACGCAAGTCTGAAACCCAGTAGGGCAGGCGTGAAAATGTAAAGCTCCAAAATAATCTTTGACTCCATATCCCACATCCTGGGCACACTGGTGCAAGGGGTGGGCTTCCAGGGCCTTGGGCAAAATTCAATTGCTTAAAATGACAAAATCCCCAAGATGATAAGAAAATTCAACATAATCTTTGTCCAAATCCCAACTGGCTTTTTTATTTATTTTTATTTTTTTAATTTTTTGATATAGAGTCTCGCTCTGCCTCCCAGGCTAGAGTGCAGTGGTGCAATCTCGGCTCACTGCAACCTCCACCTCCTGGGTTCAAGTGATTCTCCTGCCACAGCTTCCTGAGTAGCTGGGATTACAGGTGTGAGCCACCCACCTGGTTAATTTTTGTATTTTTGTAGAGACTGGGTTTTGCCATGTTGTCCAGGCTGGTCTTGAACTCCTGACCTCAGTTGATGTGCCCCACTTGGTGCCTCGAATGCTGGGATTACAGGCATGAGCCACCACACCCAGCCAGCTTTTTTTTGAGAACACAGAAGTTGGAAAACTGGTTCTAAAATTCATAGCAAATTCAGGGCACCCAGGATACCCAAAACATGCTTGAAAAAGAACACAGTTGGAGGACTCCCACTTTCTGATTTCAGAACTTACTACAAAACTACATAGCCGGGCGTGGTGGTAGGCGCCTGTAATCCCAGCTACTCGGGAGGCTGAGGCAGGGAGAATTGCTTGAATCTGGGAGATGAAGGTTGCAGTGAGCCGAGATCAGGCCACTGCACTCCAGCCTGGGTGACAGAGTGAGATTCCATTCTCCGAACAAAACAAAACAAAAAACAAACAGAAAAAACAACTACAATGCTAAAGACAGTGTGGTCCTAGCATAAGGCTAGACATAAATCAATGGACTAGAATTTAGAGTCCAGCAGTAAACCCTTTCATGGTATTGTCAATTAATTTTAAAGAGCGTCAAGACAATTCAACAAGGAAAATAACCATCTTTAGGCCGGGCGCGGTGGCTCATACCTGTAATCCCAGCACTTTGGGAGGCCGAGGCAGGCGGATCATGAGGTCAGGAGATCGCGACCATCCTGGCTAACACAGTGAAACCCCGTCTCTACTGAAAATACAAAAAATTAGCTGGGCGTGGTGGCGGGTGCCTGTAGTCCCAGCTACTCGGGAGGCTGAGGCGGGAGAATGGTGTGAACCCAGGAGGTGGAGCTTGCAGTGAGCCAAGATCACGCCACTGCACTCCAGCCTGGGCGACAGAGCAAGACTCTGTCTCAAAAAAGAAAAGAAAAGAAAAGAAACGAAAAGAACCATCTTCAACAACATCTGGATATTTGCAAGTAAGAGAATGAAGTTGGACCCCTTCCTCATACCATACATAAGAAAATAAACACAAAGTGAGTCATAGACCTAAATGTATAGGCTAAAAGTATAAAAACTTTTAGAAGAAAATACAGGGCCAGGATGGTGGCACACTCCTGTAATCCCACCTACTGTGGTGGCTGAGGCACCGGAATCACTTGAACCCAGGAGGCAGAGGTTGCAGCGAGCCAAAATTGTGCCACTCCACTCCAGCCCGGGTGACAGAGCAAGACTCTGTCTGTCTCAAAGAAAGAAAAAGAAAATATAGAGATAAGTCTTGTGGCCTTGGATTGGGGAATTGTTCCTCAGAAGCACAAACAACAAAAGAAAAATTAAATTGGACATCATCAAAGTTTAGAACTCTTTTACTTTAAAGACTCCATAAAGAAAGTGAAATGACAACCCACAGAATGGGAGAAAATACTTGCAAATCATTTACCCGATGATGTTCTGTCTAGACCAGGGGTGTCCAATCTTTTGGTTTCCCTGGGCCACACTGGAAGAAGAAGAATTGTCTTGGGCCGCACATAAAATACACTCACACTAACGATGGCTGATGAACTTAAAAAAAAAAATCACAAGAAAATCTCATAATGTTTTGGGAAAGTTTATGAATTTGTGTCGGGCCACACATTCAAAGCCATCTTTGGGCTGCATGCGGCCTGCGGGTCGTGGGTTGGACAAGCTTGAATTATATAAAGAACTCTTATCATTCAACAATAACAATATCAATAATGCAATTGAAAAATGAACAAAGGATCCAAATAGAACTTTCTCTAGCAAAGATATACAGATGGTCAGTAGACAGATGAGAAAGCGCTCAACATCATTACCCATGAGGGAAATAAAAATAAAAACCACAATGTGTTTCCACTACTTCACACCCACTAGGATGGGAGTAGTAAGACAGACAGACGATAGAAGTGCCGTAGAGAAACTGGAATCTTCATATGCTGATGGTGGGAATGTAAAATGGTACAACCACTTTGGAAAATAGTTTGGCAGTTCCTCAGAGGATTAAACATAAAATTACCATAGGATTCAGCAGTTCCACTTGTGGGTATATAGCCAAGAGAAGTGAAAACATATCTCCCCACAAAAAACTTGGGCATGAGTTTTCACAATATCATTACTCATAATAGCCAATAAGTAAAAACAACCCAAATGTCCATCAATGAATGAAAGGATAAACAAAATGTGGTATATTCATACAACAGACTATTATTCGGCTGTTAAAAAAAATAATAAAAAAGTAGCTCACGCCTGTAATCTCAGTACTTTGGGAGGCCAAGGCAGGAGGATTAATTGAAGACAGGAGTTCCAGACCAGTCTGGACATAGAAGTGAGACCTTGTCTCTAGTAAACATAAAAAGAAAATTAGCTGGGTTCTGTGGCACACACCTGTAGTCCCAGCTACTCAGGAAGCCGAGGTGGGAGGATTGCTTGAGCCCAGGTATTCAAGGCTGGAGTGAGCTATGATTATGCATCACTGCACTGCAGCCTGGGTGACAGAGCAAACCATGTTTCTAAATACATAAATAAGTAAATAAAATGAAGTAATGAAACACCTACAAGGTAAATGCACCTTGAAGACTTGTAAAATTAAAGACGCCAATTGCAAAAGGTTTCATATTGCATGATTTGATCTGTATGAAATGTCCAGAATAGGCAAATCTGTTTGAGAGAGAGAAAGTAGATGAGTGCTTGCCTAGGACCGGGAGGAGGTTTGCGAGGAAATAGAGATTCACTGCTAATAAGTACAGGGTTTCTTTTGGGTGCACTTATGAGGATGCTCTGAAATTGATTGTGATGGTTGTACACCTCTGAATACATGAAACAGCATTAAATCATCACTTTAAGTCAACTGTATAGTGTCTGAATTATGTCTCAATACAGTAGTTTTTTTGTTTTTGTTTTTGTTTTTGTTGTTTTTTTCTTTTTTGAGATGGAGTCTCACTCTGTGGCCCAGGCTGGAGTGCAGTGGCGCGATCTTGGCTCATTGCAACCTCCGCCTCCTGGGTTCAACCAATTATCTTGCCTCAGCCTCCCAAGTAGGTGGGACTACAGGCGTGTGCCACCACATCTGGCTAATTTTTTATGTATTTTTTAGTAGAGATGCGGTTTCATCATGTTAGCCAGATGGTCTCAATCCCCTGACCTCATGATCTGTCTGCCCTTGGCCTCCCAAAGTGCTGGGATTACAGGTGTGAGCCACTGCGCCTGGCCAATACAGTTGTTTTTAAAAAACAAAACAGGCCGGTCATGGTGGTTCATTCATGCCTGAAATGCCAGAACTTTGGGAGGCCCAGGCAAGGGGAATCTCTTGAACCCAGGAGTTTGAGACCCCTTCCCCATACCACACACAAAAAAACTAACTCAAATGAATCACCCACCTAAATGTATAAGGTAAAACTGTAAAACTCTTAGAAGAAAATACTGGAGTAAGTATGACTTTGGATTAGGCAGTGGTTTCTTAGATATTGACACCAAAAGCACACGTGGCAAAAGAAAAAGTAAAATCAACACCATCAAAGTTTAGAATGTTCGTGCTTCAGAGAACTATCAAGAAAGTGAAAAGACAAGCCACAGAATGGGATAGTATTTTGCAAATCACATATCTGTAAAGAAACTTGTAGCTGCAATAGATACAGGACTCTTACAACTTAATTAAAGAAAAGACCCACCTAGGTGCAGTGGCTCATGCCTGTAATCCCAGCACTTTGGGAGGCTGAGGTGGGAGGATCCCTTGAGGCCAGGAGTTCGAGACCAGCCTGGCCAACATGGCGAGACGCTGTCTCTACTAAAAATACAAATATTAGCCAGGTGTGGTGGCACATGCCTGTAATTCCAGCTATTCGAGAGCTGAGGCACGAGAATTGCTTGAACCTGGGACACCGAGATTGCAGTGAGCCGAGATCGCACCACTGCACTCCAGCCTGTACAACAGAGCGAGACTTTGTCTCAAAAAAAAAAAGTAAATGCTTACATTATTGATTTGAGATATTTCTTCTTTTATAGTATGTCAAAGTGGTGCTATAAATTTCCCTCTTAGCACTACTGTGGCTGCATCTCAGAAAATTTGACATGTCATGTTTTTACTTTAATTCAGTTCAAATTATGATCTAATTTTCCTTGAGATTACATCTTTGATCCATGGGTTATTTAATTTCCAAATACGTGGGGATTTTCCAGACATCACTCCGTTATTATTTTCTATTTTTCCTTTTTCTTCTATTTATTTATTTACCTATTTACTTATTTTCAGTTCCCTCTCAGGCTCTAAGTTCTGTTATTATTTTCTAGTTTAATTCCATTGTGTTCAGAGATGTACTTTGTATTATTTAAATCCTTTCAAATTTATTTGTTTATTTTTTTCTTTTCTTTTTTTTGAGACGGAGTCTCACTCTGTTGCCCAGGCTGTAGTGCAGTGGTGCAACCTCGGCTCACTGCAGCCTCCACCTGCTGGGGTCAAGGGATTCTCCTGCCTCAGCCTCCTGAGTAACTGGGATTATAGGCATGAGCCACCACGCCCGGCTAATTTTTGTACTTTTAGTAGAGATGGGGTTTCACCATGTTGGCCAGGCTGATCTAGAGAACCCCTAACCTCAGGTGATCTGCCTGCCTCAACCTCCAAAAGTGTTTGGATTACAGGAGTGAGCCACCACACCTGGCCTGTTAATTTATTTTTGTTATTTTTTTTTAAGACGGAATCTCACTCTGTTGTCCAGGCTGGAATGCAGTGGCATGATCTCAGCTCACTGCAACCTCTGTCTCCCAGGTTGAAGTGATTATCCTGCCTCAGCCTCTCGAGTAGCTGAGATTACAGGTGCATGCCAACATGCCTGTCTAATTTTTATATTTTTAGTAGAGACGGGTTCTTACCATGTTGACCAGGCTGATCTGGAACGCCTGACCTCAAGTGATCTGCCTGCCTCAGCATCTCAAAGTGCTGGGATTACAGACATGAGCCACCATGCCCGGCCTCTTTTGCATTTATTAAGACTTGTTTTATGCCTCAAAATATAGTATATCTTGGTGGATGTGCACTTGGATGCATATTCTGCTGTTGTTGGATATTCCATTCATGTTGTTTATATGGACTTGGTTAATAGCATTGTTCAAGTCTTTTTTTTTTTTTTTTTGAGATGGAGTCTTGCTCTGTCACCTAGTCTGGACTGCAGTGGCGCAATCTCGGCTCACTGCAACCTCTGCCTCCTGGGTTCAAGCAATTCTTTGCTTCAGCCTCCCGAGTAGCTGGGATTACAGGTGCCCGCCACCACGCCTGGCTAATTTTTTGCATTTTTAGTAGAGACGGGGTTTCACCATCTTGGCCAGGCTGATCTTGAACTCCTGACCTCGTGATCCACCCGCCTCAGCCTCCCAAAGTGCTGGGATTACAGGCGTGAGCCACGGCGCCTGGGCTGTTCAAGTCTTCTATACCTTTACCGAGTTTCTGTAAATTATGACTGACAACTGTTCTACAACTGTTGAGAGTGGTGTGTTGAAACCTCCAACTATAATTTTGTATTTGTCTATTTCTTCTTAAGTTCTATTATTGTTTTTCATGTATTTGATGCTCTATTTTTATTTGCATATACATTGACGATTATATTTTCTTTGTTAATTGACCTCTGTCATTATGATAGGTCCCTCTTTGTCTTTGGTAGTTTTTCTTGTTGTTGTTTTTGTTGTTGATTTGAGACAGGGTCTCAATCTGCTGCCCAGGTTGGAGTGTAGTGGTATGATCACAGCTCACTGCAGCCTTGACCTCCTAGGCTCAGGTGATCCTCCCACCTCAACCTCCTGAGTAACTGGGACCACAGGCACATGCTACCACATTTTGATAATCTTTTTAAAACTTTTTGTAGAGATAACATCTCTCTGTGTTGCCCAGGCTGGTCTCAAACTCCTGGGCTCAATCCTCCCTTTTCAGCCTCCCAAAGTGCTGAGATTACAGGTGTCAACCACTATACGGGCCAGTATTTTTTGTTTTGAAACCTACTTTGTCTGATATTGATGTAGCCATTCCAACTTTTTAAAATTTAGTTTTGTCAAGGTATGTCTTTTCCCACCTTTTTACTTTTTTTTTTTGAGATGGAATTTCGCTCTTGTTGCCTCGGCTGGAGTGCAATGGTGCGATCTTGGCTCACTGCAACCTCCGCCTCCAAGGTTCCAGCGATTCTCCTGCCTCAGCCTCCCAAGTAGCTGGGATTACGGGCATGTGCCACCCCACCTGGCTAATTTTGTATTTTTAGTAGAGATGGGGTTTCTCCATGTTAGTCAGGCTTGGTCTCCAACTCTTGACCTCAGGTGATCCACCCCCCTCGGCCTCCCAAAGTGCTGGGATTACAGGCATGAACCACTCCGCCTGGCGCATCTTTTTACTTTTAACTTATCTCTGTTTATATATTTCAATAGCTTTCTAATATTTACTATATACTTGTGTTTTGCTTTTTTATCCATTCTAACAATCTCTGCCTTTTACTTGTAAGCATTTTTTCATTTATATTTAATGTAATTATTGATATGGTTGGGTTTAAATTAATCTTGCTATTGGTTTTTCATTTGTTCCATCTGTCTATTGGTCTTTTTTTTTTTTTTTTGTATTTAGAGACAGATTTGCCCTCTGTCACCCAGGGCGGAGTGCAGTGGAGCTATCACAGCACACTGCAGCTGGGCGTTGGTCCATTTTTCTATCTTCTTCTTCTTTTTTTTTTTCTTTTGAGACAGGGCCTCCCTATGTTGCCCAGGCTGGATTCAAACTCCTGGGCTCAGGCGATCGTCCTGCCTTGATCTCCCAAAGTGTTGGGATTACAGGCGTAAACCACCACAGTCAGTCAGTTTGTTTGTTTGTTTCACTTAGGTACAGAATTCAATGCCAACAGTTCTTTTCTTTCAAGACTTTAACCATGTCACTCCACGGGGACGCTGTTTTGAGCCTTTGGTAAGCCTCATCCTCCAGGACCACACGGCAGGCAGGCAGGACAGCCCTTACTTAGGTCCACCACACCCGTTAAGCTCCCTCCTGGAGGAGACAGAGACCTGGGACAGCTCCGGGGCGGGCGAGGCCGAGGGATGGGGGACGACGGGGCAGGGAGGAGTCCCAGACCTTTGGGATCTTCGCCACCCTTGGACCCCCTCACCCTTGCGGACTTGAGGAGTGTTAAAATCTCCAAGACGCGAGTCACCGGTACGAAGCCACAGCCATTTCGCTGCTTGCTCGGTGCAAGTGCAGACGGTCCTCGTGGTTGAGAGCGGAGTCCAGCGCGTGGGCGGCGTTGGGCACCTTTGGCCGCGCCCTCCGCTCCACCACCGGTGGGCGCGGCCCGAGCCAGTCCCTAAAGCCACGAGGCCGCCCGCTCCGAGCCTGGTGCTTCCGACCGCTGCGCGCGGCTCCTGGGCTGTCACAGTCTCCCGTTGCCGCCGTCATGTCCCGGCAGCTGTCGCGGGCCCGGCCAGCCACGGTGCTGGGCGCCATGGAGATGGGGCGCCGCATGGACGCGCCCACCAGCGCCGCAGTCACGCGCGCCTTCCTGGAGCGCGGCCACACCGAGATAGACACGGCCTTCCTGTACAGCGACGGCCAGTCCGAGACCATCCTTGGCGGCCTGGGGCTCCGAATGGGCAGCAGCGACTGCAGAGGTAACAGTGGCCCCTGATCCTCCCTCTGCACGGTGCAGAGCTGAGCCTGTCACCAGCCGTGCGCTGCCCCGCTCTCCCTGGCCCCGGGCAGCACCCACGGCTTCGTCCCCCACCCCATCCCTGTCCACACCGCAACTCTGGGAACCGCCAGTTCCTCAGGCACATCTAGCTCTGGACAACTGGATGGTGCTTTGTCCGGACTCCTTTTCTGTCGTCTTCTCTTCCGGGAGGTAGCCCAGCACCCTCACTGACGCCTGGATGACTTGGTCTTGCCTGGAATGACTTGGCTAGCCCCTCTCTGGAGCACGAAAAACATTGGAATCTAGCATTGTGCAGCTCCTGTCCCCACCTGTGCCCTTCAGGTGCCCTTGACGGGCCTGATCTGCAGAAATTCTGTTCTTATCGCCTGGCACAGTCCAAAATCAGAGTTTGGACCCAGCACACTATCTGCTTCCTCCTACGCTCATGCCAGACTGCTCGGGTCCCTGGACTTTGCTCTGGTAACTCACCAGGGTGACAATGCCTGGGAGCCTTGGCAGCTCCCTCAGTGAGATGGGGAATTGGGTGTGGTACAGGGTCTCGCTGCCCTCTCTGTGGGATGCTCTGTCTGAGGCTATTGGAGAGAAATGGACACTAACCCACTCCAGGAATCTCCAATTCTAGCGATGGCTGGGGAGCCGAGTGAGCCCTTCTTGGGAGGGACCCCGTGAAGAAAGATAGGATAGGAGTTTGCCAGGAAGAGTACAAGGGGCAAGGGCGTCAGGGCAGTGGGCATGGGTGTGGAAAGGCAAATGCGACTTGGCAATGCCGCCGGTGCTGGGGGAAGCAGGTGTAGCCCGAGGGGAAGATGTGTGTAAAGGGGCAGGAGGAGCCGCCCTCAGTCTGATGCCATTTGCAGTGCTTAGGCCGATGCCTGGCAGGCACATAGTGAGGGCTGGGAAATGTTAGCTGTTTCTTTGTTCTTAATATTAGCACCATTTGCCTCCTTCCACTCTGAGTGTCTGAGTGGAGTCTTGTCCATTTCTCCTCTGATTCACCACATGGTACATCCCAAACAAAAGAGGCCTGTGCGTGCATTTCAGTGCCACACTCTTTCTAGATCACCTGGCTGCCACTCGGTGAGAGCTCTGATCTTATTTCCGGTCTTTTTTTTTTTTTTTTTTTGATACAGGGTCTTGCTCTTTTACCCAGGCTGGAGTGCAATCATGGCTCATTGCAGCTTTGGCCTCTCAGGGCTCAAGCGATCCTCCCACCTCAGCCTCCTTAGTAGCTGGGACTACTACAGGCCTGTGCCACCACACCTGGCTAATTTTTTGTATTATTCATCGAAACCAGAGTCTCACTTTGTTGCCCAGGCTGGTCTCAAACTCATGGGCTCAAGTGATCCTCCTGCCCTGGCCTCCCAAAGTGCTGAGATTACAGGTGTGAGCCACCACAGATCTGCACCCTCTGCCTGGCCCTTATTTCTGATTTTTTTTTTGTTTACTTTTTTAATCCTTGTCTTCTGTCTTTGAGTCCAAGGTTGGCTGGTGAAAGTCCTCAGATCTCAGATCTGAAGTTAAGTTCACATTGAGAAGCAGAGGGGTGGTGGTGGAATGGAAAAATTCCAAATGAATAATTCATCAAACCTGCTCCCTCCCAGGTCTCAAGGGCTCTAGTGACTGCCCTCTTGCCAGCCTAAGTGACTTTCTAAGTGTGAAAAGTGGGAAGAGGACTCTCCACTCACCTGTTATTCCAGCCCACTAGGATCTAGGATTTTTTATTTTTATTTTTATTTTGAAATAGGGTCTCATTCTGTCATCCGGGCTGGAGTACAGTGGCATAATATTTGCTCACTATAGCCTTGATCTCCTAGGCTCATGTGATCCTCTCAACTCAGCCTCCCCAGTAGCTGAGATTACAGGCATGTACCACCATGCCTGGCCAAATTTTGTGTTTTTTGTAGAGATGGGGTTTCACCATTTTGCCCAGGCTGGTCTCAAATCCCTGGGCTCAAGAGATCCACCCTCCTGGGCCTCTCTCAGTGCTCGGCTTATGGGGGTGAGCCACTGTGCCTAATCTCCAACTAAGATTTTTTTTTTTTGCGGGGGGGACAGAGTCTTGTTCTGGCACACAGGCTGGAGTGTAGTGAAAGATCTCGGCTCACTGCAACCTCTGCCTCCTGGGTTCAAGCGATTCTTGTGCCTCAGCCTCTCCAGTAGCTGGGATTACAAGTTTGAGCCACTGAAACCAGCCTCCAACTAGGATTCTTAATACGGGGCAGGGAGAAGAGTGTTAAGCTTACTTCTTCTTTTTTTTTTTTTTGACAGTCTTGCTCTGTCACCCAGGCTTCACTGCAATGGCACGATCTGGGCTCACTGCAACCTCTACCTCCCAGGTTCATGCAATTCTTTTTTTTTTTCTTTTTTTTTGAGACAGAGTCTCGCTTTGTTGCCCAGGCTGGAGTGCAGTGGCGCGATCTCGGCTCACTGCAAGCTCCGCCTCCCGGGTTCATGCCATTCTCCTGCCTCAGCCTCCTGAGTAGCTGGGACTACAGGCGCCCACCACCATGCCCGGCTAATTTTTTGTATTTTTAGTAGAGACGGGATTTCACCGTGTTAGCCAGGATGGTCTCGAACTCCTGATCTTGTGATCTGCCTGCCTCAGCCTCCCAAAGTGCCGGGATTACAGGTGTGAGCCACTGCACCCGGCTGGTTCATGCAATTCTTGTGCCTAGCCTCCCAAGTAGCAGAGATAACAGGCGTGTACAACCACCCCCAGCTAATTTTTGTATTTTTAGTACAGATGGGGTTTTACCATGTTGGCCAGCTTGGTCTCAAATTCCTGACCTCAGGTCATTTACCCACCTCGGCCTCCCAAAGTGCTGGGATTATAGGCGTGAGCCACCACATCCAGCCCTGAATTTTCATTTCTCTTTCCTCTCAGTGAAAATTGCTACCAAGGCCAATCCATGGATTGGGAACTCCCTGAAGCCTGACAGTGTCCGATCCCAGCTGGAGACGTCACTGAAGCGGCTGCAGTGTCCCTGAGTGGACCTCTTCTATCTACATGCACCTGACCACAGCGCCCCGGTGGAAGAGACACTGCGTGCCTGCCACCAGCTGCACCAGGAGGTGAGGGGACCCCTGAGCTCTGGGAGGTGGTCCACTGCTGCTCTCCTTATCCTGATCCTAATGGTGAGAGCAGAGGCACCAGGGCAGTTCCAGGGTGGAGCAGGGAACAGCCCAACTCCCAGGGGCCCCACCCTGACCTCCCTTTCCTGGTCTGGGCTGCACTATGTTCTGACTGGAGCCTCACCCGAGCAGGGCAAGTTCGTGGAGCTTGGCCTCTCCAACTATGCCGCCTGGGAAGTGGCCGAGATCTGTACCCTCTGCAAGAGCAACGGCTGGATCCTGCCCACTGTGTACCAGGTGAGGGCCGGGGCTGCAGAGGCCAAGGTCTCCAGAACTCCTGCTCATCCTGGGCTGTCTTTGCCCCTCTGACTGCCCCCATGCCCTCTGCATAGCAGCCACTCCCCTGCTGAAAGCCTGCAGATGGCTCCCAGGTACCCTCAGGATGCCATTCAAGCTCCTCAGGCTGGCCACTGGGCATCTGCTTCCTTCCTGCCTATCTGTGCACCTTGGACCCTTCCTTCCCTACCTTCCCCTGCACTCAGCCTGGAACAAGCCCTTCCCCCACCACCGCCCCTTCTGTGAGAGAATGGTTCAGGTCTCACATACGTGTCTCTTCCTCTGGAAGCCTTTCTAGATGGGCCCAGAAGACCCTGAGACCTCAGGTCCTTGTTTACCTCCTCATGATTCATTGCACAAATATTTGCACACCTGCTTGGTGCCAGGCACTGGTCACAGAACTTTCTAGTCTATTATGATTGCCTCATGACTCGATTATAACTGTTTATGCTTGACCTTACTACAAAATATTTGAGGGAAGGGACCTTGTCCTTTTAGCTTTTGAATCTAAATCTGACAACCAGCCCACAGTTGGTGCTCATGAAAGTTGGCAGAATGAATGAATTTTCCTAGGGCATAAGCCCCTTTCACCAGCACCAGTAAGAATAAGTATATGCCCAGATGGTTAAAATCCTAGAATTGTTAAGGTCTGAAATAAGGGTTCTATGAGGGTAAATTTAGGTCCCTTCTTTTGACACATCCACCCTCTCCCCGGGGCCCTTCTCCTTACAGGGCATGTACAGCGCCACCACCCGGCAGGTGGAAACGGAGCTCTTCCCCTGCCTCAGGCACTTTGGACTGAGGTTCTATGCCTACAACCCTCTGGCTGGTACGTGGAGCATTCCTGGCCCTGACTCAGCCTATTCCCGACCCACAGATGCCCAGCCCAGGACCTGGGAAGAAGGGAGGGTTTGACAAGAGGCTGGGCTGCATCCTTCAGCCCTCCTGGGTCCCTGCCCCTCCCCTAGACCAGAGCCCTGAGGGATGTGGCAGCTTCTGGGGCACTCTGGGCCCGGGGGCTGATTGCTGCCTTCCCGCAGGGGGCCTGCTGACCGGCAAGTACAAGTATGAGGACAAGGACGGGAAACAGCCCGTGGGCCGCTTCTTTGGGACTCAGTGGGCAGAGATCTACAGGAATCAGTTAGTTGGGGGTGCTTGATGTGGATGGCTGGGGTGGGGTCAGCTTTATGTGGAATGAAGTCCTGGGCTGCTCCTGGGGTAAGGCCTTTCCTCGCTGTCTGCACCTACTCCCCTGCATTCCTTCAGGAATTCCCAAGCCCTCTGTGGGTTTTCTTGTTGTCTTGGGACCTCCAGGAGGAAAGGAGACTCCCTGGACCTCGGTGTCTTGAAGTCGTAGCTCTTTCCTGAGCAATCACCCGCTACAAAGGAAAGAAAGAGCCCTGGAAGGAGGTCCAGGAGGCCTGGGGCTGAGTCCTGACCTGTCTCAGTGGCCTTCATGTCCGTAGGGGAAATGAGAGCAGGCTGCTGAGTTCTCAGGAATAAAGATTCGTTGAGGTCTCTGCTGAGGGGCCCAGCATCCTGGGTGGTTCTGATGCCCAGAAAAGTGAGAGACCTATGACTAGAGAGGACACCCGCCCCTCAGGGCTGCAGGGTGTGGGGTGGGGCAGTGGCCTTGGATGGCTCTTTGGTTGTGGCTTCCAGTGTGACCCTGATGGTACTGACCCCTGTGCCACCATCCCCACTGAACAGCTTCTGGAAGGAGCACCACTTCGAGGGCATTGCCCTGGTGGAGAAGGCCCTGCAGGCCGCGTATGGCGCCAGCGCTCCCAGCATGACCTCGGCCGCCCTCCGGTGGATGTACCACCACTCACAGCTGCAGGTAACCAGCGACCCTGGGTGCTCAGCTTCTTCCCTTCCAGGGGAACCAGCATTCATTACCTTCAGGTGAAGCCCAAAGCATTTGTTTTCTCGATTCCTCTGAAATTTCTTTCTTCCAACTCTCATAAACACTCTTCCCACTGGTCTTTTTTTTTTTTTTTTTTTTTTTTTTTGAGACAGAGTCTCGCTCTGTTATGCCAGCTGGAGTGCAGTGGCATGATCTCGGCTCACTGCAACTTCTGCCTCCCAGACTCAAGCAATTCTCCTCCCCCAGCCTCCTGAGTAGCTGGGATTACAGGCACGCACCACTATGACCAACTAATTGTTTGTATTTATAGTAGAGATGGGGTTTCGCCAAGCTGCCTATGCTGGTCTTGAACTCCTGAGCTCAGACAATTCGCCCTCCTCAGCCTCTGAAAGTGCTGGGATTACAGGCGTGAGCCCCTGCGCTCGGCCTTCCCATTGGTCTTTGATGGTATCTGAGTGCCAGGCTTTGTAATGAGGGCTTCACTGCAGGGATTTCATTATTCCTTCAGCTTTATGAAATGACTATCCCAGTGTTATTGATGAGGAAACTGAGTTTCACCCAGCTATGAAAGGGGAAGACATTTTAACACAGGTTCAACTGTAAAGCCCACTAGCCTCATCCTTTTGGTGGGAGCTGGAGTTTCCCTCTCTCAGTGCCTCATGTCTTCCTCACTTATATCCAACTCCAGCCTTAGATGTTGCAATAGTGTCTGGCATATATACAGTAGGTGCTCAATAAATGGGAGCTAAGTGCTCTACATAATTTTTCACACCCATAACCATGTTGAAAATAGAAAAGAGGATTGAATCTCAGAGAGGTTTAATAACTTAGCCGCGTTTACACAGCTGCTGGGGGGCAGAACTGGGCTGTGAATGTAGGTCTGTCTGGAAGCGTCGTGTGGCAGTAGGGGAAGGGATACAGGTTTTGCGTCACATGGGTACAGCTATCCAAGGCACCTTAAGTTCTTTCTGGACATATGGGATACAAGAGATCCCAAATCTCAGCAGGGAGGTGGCTGGGACAGCTGTGAGTGGAGTCGCTGTGCAGCAGAAGAGGGTTGAAGTCTGGCCGTCTCCCTTGCAGGGTGCCCACGGGGACGCGGTCATCCTGGGCATGTCCAGCCTGGAGCAGCTGGAGCAGAACTTGGCAGCGGCAGAGGAAGGGCCCCTGGAGCCGGCTGTCGTGGACGCCTTTAATCAAGCCTGGCATTTGTTTGCCCACGAATGTCCCAACTACTTCATCTAAGCTCATTGTGGCTCAGGCTGCCCAAGGCTTTTCTGTCAACTCTTTTGCTCTCTCCCGCTTTGTCTAATTTAGAACTGCCTCACTAAATTCTTAGGGATGGAAGTATTTGGAAAAAAACCTAACAGTAGAGTCACCACCTAAGGAAGAATAAAATCTCCCAGGGTGCTGTGTGTTAGTCTGTTTGCGTTGCTATAAAAGAATACCTGAGACTGGGTCATGTATAAAGAAAAGAGGTTTCTTTGGCTCACAGTTCTGCAGTCTGTACAAGAGGGTGTGGTGCCGGCATCTGCTCTTGGTGAGGGCCTCAGGAAGCTTAGAATCATGGCAGAAGGGGAAACGGAGCCAGCGTGTCACATGGTGAGAGAGGGAGCAAGAGACAGACAGGGGAGGAAATTCACACACTGATGGTGGGGATGTAAAATGGTACAACCAGTTTGGAAAACAGTTTGGCAGTTTCTCAAAGGATTAAACATAAAATTACCATAGGATTCAGCAGTTCCACTTGTGGGTATGTAGCCAAGAGAAATGAAAACATATCTCCCCACAAAAAAACTTGGGTATGAGATTTCACATTATCATTGCTCATAATAGCCAATAAGTAAAAACAACCCAAATGTCCAAGAATGAATAAATGGATAAACAAAATATGGTATATTTATACAACAGACTATTATTCGGCCATTAAAAAAAAAAAAGAGTGGCTGACACCTGTAATCTCAGCACTTTGAGAGGCCAAGGCAGTAGGACTGATTGAAGACAGGAGTTCCAGACCAGTCTGGGAAACAAAGCGAGACCCTGTCTCCACTAAACATAAAAACAAAATTACTGGGGCCCCATGGCACACACCTGTAGTCCCAGCTGCTCGGGAAGCTGAGATGGGCGGATTGCTTGAGCCCAGGTATTCAAGTCTGGAGTGAGCTATGACTGTGCCACTGCACTCCAGCCTGGGCGACAGAGCAAACCCTGTTTCCAAACAAACAAACAAACAAACAAATACACAGACAGAAGTAGTTAAACATCTACAAGGTAAGTGCATCTTGAAGACGTGTTAAGTTAAAGAAGCCAATTACAAAAGGTTTCACGTTGTATGATTTCGTTTATATGAAATGTCCAGAATAGGCAAATCTGTTTGAGAGAGAGAAAGTAGATGAGTACTTGCCTAGGACTGGGAGGAGGATTGCGAGGAAATGGAGATTCACTGCTAATGAGTACAGGGTTTCTTTTGGGGGCGCTTATGAAGATGCTCTGAAATTGATTGTGATGGTTGTACAACTCTGAATACATGAAACAGCATTAAACATCACTTTAAGTAAGTCAACTGTATAGTGTCTGAATTATGTCTCAATACTGTTGTTTTTAAAAAACAAAACAGGCCAGGCACGGTGTCTCATTCCTGAAATCCCAGAACTCTGAGAGGCCTAGGCAAGGGGATTGCTTGAATCCAGGAGTTCAAGAGCAGCCTGGGCAACATGGTGAAATCCCATCTTGACAAAATATACAAAAATTAGCTGGGTGGTGGCAAACCCACTGTTTGGGTAGAACTCAGTGGGGGAAGCCTCATCTGTTCCCCGGTGTCTGAGGCGTGATTTAGCAGCTGTAGGCTAGGGTCACCTGAAGACATTCACTTATCAGCTGCTGTCATTAACTGGCACACATGTGGCCTCTGCATGTGGCTTCCAAGGGAGCACATCTCAAGCAATCTAGGCAGAAGCCATGTGGCCTTTTATGTCCCAGCCTCAGGAGTCCATAGCATCACTCTTGTGTCCTGGGAGGGGAGTCAAAGATACCTGTACAAAGAGCATTTGAGAGCATGGGGTGGTTATCTTAGGAAAATAAACTGTAACACTGGGAGCAACGGTCCTGAGTGGTCAAGTCGAGATGAGCCCCAGGAGCTGCTGAGACTCTTGAGTATCCCCATCAGGGATGCATTCTCTGCTATGCCACATCCCACCTATTAGAATCTTCTGGATACTATATCTCAAAGATAGTTGATGTCCACTTGAATTCAGCCATTTCATATCTTTTTTCTCTTCTTTTTTTCCCACTCCACCTCCTCCCTCAGCCATTTTATATCTAAAGAGCTTCTTCAAGAGACAGTTCCCAAACAGCACCTTAAATATATATACAATTCGTATTTGTTAATTTAAAAACAAATGAGAAGGAACAAAAAGACCTAAAGGAGCAGAGCTGGATCTGGAGAGCGTCTAATATATATTTATTCATCCTCAAACTAAGGAAACTGCTCTGTGCTGTATAAAAGACTGGAGAAGGGCCAGGCGCAGTGGCTCACGCCTGTAATCCCAGCACTTTGGGAGGCCGAGGCGGGCGGATTATGGGGTCAGGAGATCAAGACCATCCTAGTTAACATGGTGAAACCCCGTCTCTACTAAAAATACAAAAAATTAGCCGGGCATGGTGGTGGGCGCCTGTAGTTCCAGCTACCCGGGAGGCTGACGCGGGAGGATGGCGTAAATCCGGGAGGTGGAGCTTGCAGTGAGCTGAGATCATGCCACTGCACTCCAGCCTGGGCGACAGAGCAAGACTCCATCTCAAAAAAGAAAAAAAAAAAAAAAAAAGACTGGAGAAGGAGGTGACATAGATTTTGCACATGGGAATTCATGAGGAGGGGAGTTCCTGAAACTTCAGGCTGCCATGGGCTGCCCTACTTGCTTCATTTCTGACCTGCTTGTTCCCAGTGACTGGGTTGGTTGGCATCACCAGTGTCTCAAATTGGGCCATTCTGAATACATTTCAGAAGCAACAGGAAGGTAAGAGTGCCAGGCTCCACAATTGTTTATGAACAAGTACATTTCTGCTGCATGGATTTTTAATTTAATAAGGCTGTTTTTACCATGGCTTTTTTTTTTTTTTTTTTTTTTGAGATGGAGTCTAGCTCTGTTGCCCAGGCTGGAGTGCAGTGGTGCAATCTTGGCTCACTGCAACCTCTGCCTCCCGGGTTCAAGCAATTCTCTGCCTCAGCCTCCCGAGTAGCTGGGACTACAGGCGCCTGCCACCACACCTGGCTCATTTTTTATATTTTTAGTAGAGACGGGGTTTCACCATCTTGGCCAGCCTGGTCTTGAACTCCTGACCTCGTGATCCACCCGCCTCGGCCTCCCAAAGTGCTGGGATTGCAGGCGTGAGCCACCGTCCTTACCATGGCATTTGTAAGTGTATGTCCACTGCAGAAACAAATTTCTATTCTCAATGTTGAGCTTTATTAACTGAATTTGAAATAGCATTCACAACAGTTAGATGCTTTCTCTCTCACAAAATGGATTTCCAAAAGCTTTACTCTGATTCCAAGAGTTGGATGGAAGACAGTTTATATATACAAGCTGGAAGCCACCACACCCAGTCTATTTCTTAAAATTTGGACAATTTATTAAAGTGATATGTGCCCATGGTTAAAAGCTGTCACTTTCCAAGTCTCATTCCTCAGAGGCAACTTCTAGAAATTCTTGCAGCTTTCTTTTTCTCTAGCAGTTACTGCTGCACTATGTCTAAAGTATACACTTGGCTGGGGGTGGTGGTTCACACCTATAATCCCAACACTTTGGGAGACAAAGGTGAATCGCTTGAGCCCAGGAGTTTGAGACCAGCCTGGGCAGGTCAGTGAGACTGTCTCTACAAAAAAATTTTAAAAACTAGCCAGGCATGGTGTCATAGGCCTGTAGTTCCAGCCTTAGGAGGCCAAGATAGGAGGATTGCTTGAGCTTAGGAGTTTGGCCTGGATATTAAAGCAAGACCACCATCTCTTATTAAAAAAAAAGCTACACACTTTATCGCTATTCCTTAATATATCAAATTTAGATGTCGTGTGTGGGCTGCTGGAAAGTTCCTGATCTTAGATTTACCAAATCCACACCTGCAAGGTTAATATTTGTGCACAATGTGATTTATTACTTCTTTTTGTTTTCTCCCCCTGGGAGGAAGGCAGAAACAAGCCAAGCTCCATGGAAGTGGTGCCAGTGCTAGTTTTGTTGAAATGGCCAAGGACTTAGGCAGCAGTGTCCAACATTTGGGTTCACCTTGTGTGCACTGCTGTGATTTACAGCCTTATTTGGATGATAAGGATGATCAGAAACCCCAAGGGTTTCTAATAATCCTTGCCATGTTCAGGAACCACCGTCCTAAGCGGAGGTTTTCTCAAGCTTTTCACACTGCAGGGCCCAGGCTACAGCCCTGGAGCATCGAGACCTGCTGGGTTTCATCCCATCTGTTCTTTACAGTGTGCAAAGCTGGCCAGGCCCCTTACTACCTTTATACTTGGCATTTAGCACATGGGGCTGGCATGGGGCATTTCCCTTCCTCACTGAGCAGGTGAGGGCAGGTGGCTCAGCCAAGGCCGCAGAGCCAGGATTGGAGATCAGGACTTGTCATGGGTCCTTGTGTCCCCCAGGGCACACAGGTGTGGTGCTGTAGGTGCTGAGGGGTCCTAAGGTGGCGGGTGTTTAACACCTGGTGAGGTTAAATGCTAGGGTTTTTTCTTCGAAATGGGGTCTCACTCTGTTGTTCAGGATGGAGTGCAGGGGCTCGATCACCACTCCCTGTAGCCTCTACCTCCCAGACTCAAGTGATCTTCCTGCTTCAGCCTCCAGAGCAGCTGAGACTAGAGGCGCACATCACTACGCCCGGCTAATTTTTTTTTTTTTTTTTTGTAGAGACAGGAGGTCTCCCTACGTTATCTTGGCTGACTTCTAACTTCCGGCATCAAGCAATCCTCCCTTCTTGGCCTCCCAAAGGGCTTGGATTACAGGTGTGGCCATCACGCCTGGCCAAATGCAAGGATTCTCGCCCACTGCCTCCCCTCTAGCCACCCAAGAACACGGATGAGGGGCCCAGAAACATGCATGCATTCTGATGCTCAAAAATGTAAGATGTCTACTTAGAAGCCATTAGCCCCTCAGTGCTTCAGGGACCTGGGTGCAGGCAACCGCCCTGAGATGACCCCTAGTACTGACCCCCGTGCAATACCCTCCCCCAACCCAGCTTCTGGAACAAGCACCACTTCAAGGCCATGGCCCTGGTGGAGCAGGTCCTGCAGATTGTGTATATAGCACCAGTGCCCCTGGCATGGCCTTGACTGTCCTGCGATGGACCACTCGCAAGCTGCAGGTAACCCAGCTGTCTCTAGATGCTCAGCTGCTTCTCTCAAATTCTGTGGGGGTGGGGAGACTGGGGAAGCTGCGAGGGCTATGCAGTCATTTGGTCACTTTGACCAAGAGGAGTTAAGTCCTTTTCTTCCTATGAAGGCTCTCCATGGCCCAGTTCTTTTGGGTGGGGTAAACCTGTTCTTACACAAATTACTTAAGCGGCCAGGTAACCAACACTAGTTATTGCGATGGCCATGTTAAGTATGGTCATCTCAGTTTTACATGAGGCAACTGGCTCAGAGGCAATTTCACTTGTGTAGGGTCCCACAGCTACACATGGTAGGGAACGAACGTGGGTTTGACTGAAACTAATGTTTTTCTTTTTGGGGGGACAAGGTCTTCCTCTTGTCACCCAGGCTGGAGTGCAGTGGCTTGATCATGGTTCACTGCAGCCTTGACCTCCAGGGCTCAGGCAATGCTCCGCTTCAGTCTCCCATGTAGCTGGGACCACAGGCATACACCACCATGTGACTAACTTCTGTATTTTTTGTAGAGACAGGGGTCTCACTACATTGCCTGGGCTGATCTTTTTTTTTTTTTTGAGACAGAGTCTAGCTCTGTCACCCAGGCTGAGTGTAGTGCTGTGATCTCGGCTCACTGCAAGCTCCGCCTCCCAGGTTCAAGCCATTCTCCTGCCTCAGCCTCCCGAGTAGCTGGGACTACAGGCGCCCGTCACCATGCCCAGCTAATTTTTTGTATTTTTAGTAGAGACGGGGTTTCACCGTGTTAGCCAGGATGGTCTCCATCTCCTGACCTCGTAATCCGCCTGCCTCGGCCTCCCAAAGGGCTGGGATTACAGGCATGAGCCACCGTGCCCGGCCTGAGCCTGGGCTGATCTTGAGTCTTTGGGCTCAAGCAATCCGCCCACCTCAGCATTCCAAATTGCTAGGATTACAGGTGCAAGCCACTGCATCTGGTCTGAAACCTACATTTTTAACCATTAGCTTTTCCTGGCTCCTTGGCTGCCCACCCTGGAGACAGCCCAACCCTGTGTGTAGTGGCAGGGTTTCCCTCTCCCTGCTGTCCCTAACCCCCTTCTCCAGCTTGGGTATTATATGGTTATGGCTTCCCTTTAGTGAGCACGTTACGTGCCTGGTCTGCAGGCAAAGTGCTTCACACAATTTCTAATTCAGACAAGCGGCCTGAAGTCTGAAGCTGAAAGGCTGGGTGACTGACCTGGGTTTACCCAGCTGCTGAGCAGCAGATGAGTGGCTCTGAAGTCAGCTGTCTAAAGCTGAGACAGCGTGGAGGCAGGGCTTTAAAGCCCAACGGTCATGGCTGTTTGCAAGCAGTAATGCAAGGCATACGTGAATAACCAGAGCCCAGTTAGCGGCGGGGCCATGGCTGGGAGGGGCATGATTAGTCACTGTGCAGCAGAAATGTGTTGAAGTCTAGCTGTCTCCCTTACAGGGCATGCATAGGGACGTGGTCATCCTGGATGGAGCAATTGGAGAAACTGGCAGCAGCAAAGGGACCCTGGACTCGGCTGTCACAGAGGCCGCCGACCAAGCCTGGCACCTGACCATCCCACTACCTCCTCCAGGTCTGGCTAGACCTGGCTCAGGTGCGGAGGGCACCACCTGCCACCCTTCATTCTCTCCCCCTGGCCAGTTTTGGCCTTAAATGGTTGTAGGCTGCTTTCCCCTCTCAGCCCGGTTTGCAGATCCTCCCCTACACTCGTGCAGTCTTCCCAGTCATCCTCACAAGGCGAGAGGGCCGGGCCTGAGCTCTCCTTCAGCACTTCCTGCTGAGGCTGGTGCTTGACCTGGCCTAGGCCTGGGTGAACATGGTGAATTCCTCTTCTGCCCGAAGCCTGCTTCCTGCTGTCCTTCCCAAGGGCGTGGTGAGAAGTGGGCGGGAGTAGGAAGTCTCCAAAGAACAGAGGCACTGAGAGGGTGTCAGAGGCACAATGCCGTTGTGAAGGTCACCCCACACCGTGGGACCCAGCCTGACCTCCCAACAGCAGGGCTGGAGGTGGCCCTCTTCCATGCATGGCAGAAAAAAGAGGGCCACTGTACACCCTGAAGCTGATTTACTCTCATTCAGAACTGCTTTCATGAAATACAAATAGAACAATGTGGGCTGGATGCGGTGGCTCACACCTATAATCCCAGCACTTTGGGAGGCCAAGGTGGGTAGATCGCTTGAGCTCAGGAGTTTGAGACCAGCCTGGGCAACATGGTGAAACCCCATCTCTCCTTAAAATTTTAAAACAGAAAAATCAAAAACAAACAAAAGCAAATAGAACAAGGTGGACAAAAATCTACCATTAGAGTCACCAAGGATAAAACCTCCCAGGATGCCGTGGACACTTTAGACGCTGGCTCTCAACTCTTGCAGTGATGTCACTCTCAGCCCAAGGCTGTCTTCCTGGCATCCATCAGATCCGCAGCCCTGGTTTGGAAGTGTGTGGAGGGCTAGGAAGGATACCTAATTTTCCTCAGCAAATCCCTCTGCCAAGGGGTACCCAGGACTGAAGAGAAACCCCAGCTCTGGTGTGGAGCTGTGCTGTCATGGCAGTGCCAAGGCAGCCAGTGGAAGTTGGCTGACAAGGCAAACTGAGGCAATCCACGCAGAATTCAATGGCCACCCAGGCTGGAGTGCAGTGGCATGATCATGGCTCACTGAGCCTCCAACTCTCAGGCTTAAGCAATTCTCCCACCTCAGCCTCCCAAGCAGTGGGGACCACAGGCAAGTGGCACCACGACTAATTTTTTTTTATTTTTTGTAGAGACGGGATCTTGCTGAATTGCCCAGGCTGGTTTCAAACTTCTGGGCTCACCAAAGGCCTCTTTTCTAAGAAAGAGCCCTCTCCCTCCTCTCCCTCTTGCTGTCTCCAGGAGAGACATCCTGCAAGGTTGTATTCTTTTTTTTTTTTTGGGACAGAGTTTTACTCTGTTGCCCAGGCTGGAGAGCAGTGGTCCAATCTCAACTCACGGCAACCTCCACCTCCCGGGTTCAAGTGATTCTCCTGCCTCAGCCTCCTGAGTAGCTGGGACTACAGGCACATGCCACTATGCCCAACTAGTTTTTTTTTCTATTTTTAGTAGAGACGGGGTTTCACCGTGTTAGCCAGGATGGTCTTAATCTCCCGACCTTATGATCTGCCCACCTCGGCTTCCCAAAGTGCTGGGATTCCAGGCGTGAGCCACCGCGCCCGGCCCACAGTTTTATTCTTTACAGGAGGTCAGTGCCCATCATGTTCCCTGTCTACAGACAAATAAAAAGCTGCTCTCTCCAGAGGGGCGGCAGCAGTCCTGATGGTCCAGTGAGACCCAGAAGCTTCCAGGAGACCTTCAGTCCCGAGTCCCTTTCAGTCATCATCTTCTGAGTCTGACTCTTCTGTGGACTCAGATGCGCTCTCTGGCAAGTCGTCTCCCATCTGCTGGAACCTTCCCGACTGTGAATCCCACATGTATTTGATGGTCACCTTGAATTCAGCCATCTCATACCCAAAAAGCTTCTGCAAGAGACAAAGGGAACAAAGAATCAGGAGGAATGAAGGTATTCAAAGTGCAGGGGGGCATTTTCAGCAGGCAGAGGAAAGCCAGCAACCCCGCCCGCAACAGCCCGCAAGGCGCCAGACTCACCAGGACGCGAGCCTGCTCTGGGGTCAGCACATCGCCCTCCTTGCACACCTCGTAGTCAGACAGCAGAGTCACCACACCTGCAGAAGAGGGTGGCTCTCAGTTACCTCTGGCCCAGAGGCCTGCAGAGCCCTCTCTGCCCTGGTCATGTTGGGAGGAATCCAGTCAGCCACCTGCCCTCCCCACGGCTCCAACACACACTGGGCAGTGGCTGTCTCCCTGAGGTCCCTTTGATTTGCCGCAGCCTCGACCTCCTGGGCTCTAGTGATCCTCTTGCCTCAGCCTCCCATGTAGCTAGGACCACAGGCACACACCACCATGGCTGTCTAATTTTTTGACTTTTTTTTTTTTTAAACAAGCGCAAGGCCCCTGATGGGCCTCAAGGGCTGCATTTTGGCTGTAAGTTACTGTCTGCTTTCACCCCCACTGTGAGGCATGCACTCTTAGCCCCATTTTCTCATGAGAAAATGGAAGCTTGTAGAAATAACTTGCTCAGCTAGAAAGGGATGAGCTTGCAGGCCCGTGCTCTTGGACTCTAGGCTGTGACCTTTTGGCTCCAGGGCTGCCCATACCTCTCTTGAGGGCGGTGGGCAGGCCCAGCTGCCTGAGCTGTGGCTCCATGGAGTGGGGGAACTGCTCCAGGGGCCCTGGATCCAGGCTCACAGTGAAAGCTGCTTTGTTACCAGCTCGGGCGTAGTCCATTTCTGTGTATTTCGTGAACCACCTAAGGGAAAAGAGAAGTGGTAGGAGGAGATGCTCCTGGCCACGCCACCAGCCCATGAGTCAGGCTCCCCCAAGTGTCCCGTGGCCCTGGGCCTTCCCCCATCACAGACCTTGGCTGCTGGCCAGCAGCCAGCCCAGAGCACCATGCTGGAGAGGACAGAGAGGGCTGTGGTCCCAGGCCACTAGCTCAGTGACAGGCTTCCAGGAGCAGTTCCAACTTGATGCCACATATGGAACGAAGTTCCTGCATCATTCCCTCCCTGAAATCCCCTCTCACCCGCCTCTTTCCCTCCGTTCCTCAGCAGTACTTACTCATTCACCTCCTCCTTTGTGCGGTTGGTGAACAGGAGACCCACCTCACCCCTCAACCTTTTGCTGACCTACAAATCAGGAGTGAGGACAGCTTGGTCACATTAGAGCAGTGGTTCTCTACTAGGCACGTTTTTGCTCACCGGGTACATTTGGCAACATTTAAAGACGTTTTTGGTTGTCATAGCAGGAAGGAGTGGGAGGCAGGAAGCTGCTATTCCTTGGGTCCGGAGGTGAAGGGAGAACCCAGAGCTTTAAGCCAGGCCCTGCTCTCCCTGAGCCTCCGGCCTGCCAATGGCTGGGGGAGGCTGTCACATGGGAGTAGTGGGAGAGAGGGCGGCTTTGCCTTAGCTCCACCCCGTGAGGGCCAGAGACTTACCTGGTGCAGGTTGTCTTTGTATTCATCAGATGGGCTCCGACCCAAGGCCACCATCATCACCTTGTTTTTGCCAAAGAACATCCTACCAAGCAAGAGAAAGAGCATTCTGTGAAGGAAGAGCCCTGCCCTCCCCATCCCTCAGCAACATGCAAAGTAGCTCCGGTCCCCAGTGAGCTCAGGCCCAGGCTGAGCCAGTGGCACCCACTTCTCCATGCTGCCTGGCCACACTGTCCCCACGTTGGGGTCCCTTTCATTATGTTCCCACCCACAGACTCCTGACATGGCAACATTTTGTCTCCCAGCCCATCACGAGCATCATGTACCAGTTCTCTATCTGGATGTATGCGGGAGGCATGTTAACAGCCTGAACCAGAGCTGGTGCGGCAAGAGACCACCACCAGAGCCACCTGCCCCAGGACAGAAACTTGCCATGTGGCTCCTGCATCCTGCTCCCAGGTCACTGTCTGTGTCGCAGTGTCCCTACTGACATTCTAAAACTGGTGTGATGCTCCTAAATGGCCCACAGTCCAGGGTTAAAGGGCCACTTCTCCGGAAAGGCCCACCTCTCAAACATCTCCTGAGCAACTGCCAAGTCCTGCCCCTAGGAGCTCAGTGCAAAATCTGCTTTTTGAGGTGGAGTTTCACTCTGTCACCCAGGCTGGAGTGCGATGGTGCAATCTCAGCTCATTGCAGCCTCTGCCTCATGGGTTCAAGTGATTCTTCTGCTTCAGCCTCCTGAGTAGCTGGGATTATAGGTGCCTGCCACCATGCCCGGCTAATTTTTGTATTTTCAGTAGAGAAGGGGTTTCGCCATGTTGGCCAGGCTGGTCTCAAACTCCTGACTTCAGGTGATCCCCCTGCCTCAGCCTCCCAAAGTGCCAGGATTACAGGCGTGAACCACCGCACCCTGCCCAAGACCAGCTTTAACAGTGAAAAGGAAGTGCTCTTCAGTGGCAGGTAGCACTTTGTCCTTATTAAGGTGTCAGCGGCATGACCCAGGCACCTAAAGGGTCAGAAATTGCTCCTGTGCTTTGACTGAGAGCAGCCTGGCCGGGTCCCCACTCAGAAGGGCCTTCCTCCCCCTGCCCGCTCACCGGCTGTGCTTCCAGGCGTTCCGGATGTCCTTCAGCTTGCTGTTCCTCATGTTGGCCACAGAGAAGATGAAAAGGTACTTGTAGGTGTCCACACATTTCCGAAGCTGTGGGACAATTCACGAGGCTCTGAGTTCAAGCAGCAGCATACAACGGGCACTACTCTGGCCTCAGATGAGAATGAATCTGCTCTGGGCCCCTGACAACTATGGAAACTGGAAGAACTGGAGGCCTCTAATTTGGTTGTCTCCTACCTCCATTACTGAAATTAGGATCCCTAACCACAGGGGAGGCTGAGCCATGGATCTACACCCCACGGCCTTTTCCAGGTCTCTCACTTATTTATGACCAACAGTGGAACTGATCATCAGCTGTTAACCTAGAAACATTCACCCACATTAGGAAGGGTCCTGCTACATGGAAACACATGGAGCCTCTCTGTTATAAGGGGAGGCAGCTGATCGGTACTGCTCTGCACGTGGTGCTGGCCAAAGCCACCATGAGGCAGCCTCTAGGAGTGGAGTCATTGTGCAGGAGGAGACTGTTTCACCCAGCCTGCAGCCCAGGTTGGCAGGTCAGAAGCTGTACAGACAGTGGGTTGGTGCAGTCACCTACACCTGGTAAATCTCCCAGCTCTTTTTTTTTTTTTTTAAAGACAGGGTCTCACTCTGTTGCCCAGGCTGCGTACCACCACGTCCAGCTAGTTTTTTTTTCTTTTCTTTTTGTAGAGATGAGGTTTTGTCATGTTGCCCAGGCTGCTCTTGAGCTCCCAGACTCAAGCTGTCTGACCCACTTGGCCTCCCAAAGTGCTGGGATTACAGGCGTGGCCCACCATTCCTGGCCTCCTGTTTTTTGACATTAGGCAGGCTAACAAATCTCTGTAAGCTTCAGTGACCCCAAATGCAAAACAGCAACATCATCACCTAGTACCCACATCACAGGGATGTTATGAGGATGGAGTGGAACAACGCATAAGAAACACAGTGCAGGACAGGGCACAGAGTACGAGCTAGTCAAAGCTGGAAATCATCACTATGGAAGTTTTTGCTGGTGCTGCTGCTGGAGGAAAAAGGCCTGGATTGGCAGCTTGGAGATTTTTTTTTTTTCCCCACTAGTATGTTCCCCTGGCCAACAGTCCTATCCCTGGCCAACAGTCCTATACCTACCTTTATAAACCAAACAATTGCAAGCTCTAGAAAAGAACAACCTCTTACCTCTTCTATCAGGTTTTGTTTCAATTCCAAGCCTTTCTTGGCAGTTTTGGTTAAGGAGACTAATAAAAACAAAAAGGAGAGAGATGATGAGAGACCAATCTAAATGCACTGGAGACTTATTTTCTTCTCCCCTTTGGCAGAGAGCACTCAGCTGGATGCAGCCATTCTGAAAAAAGGCAGCAAGGCCTTTGTGGCCATCATTTCTGGCACACAAAGCCATTCCCAGGGCCCATGGAATGCCTACTCATTAGCATTCCTGGGCCTGAAGATCCCTGGATATAACTCCTGCTATTTAGACAAACTAGGCCTTTCTTAGCTCCTAAGGCTGACCCAAAAAACTTGATTGCAGTGTGGGGGTGGAGGCTGTTCCTGCTGCTAGAAGTGCTCTCAGTGGCAGACCTCACCTGCTGGCTGAGGCAGGCCCCTGTTTTTTGTTTTTTTTTTGACATGGGGTCTCACTCTGTCACCCAGGCTGGACTGCAATGGCACGATCTGGGCTCACTGCAACTTTGAGCTCCTAGGCTCAGGCAATCCTCCCACACAGGACTACAGGCACACACCACCATGGCCTGCTAATTTTGGCTGGGACCACAGAAATGCACCACCATGCCCAGGTGAGTTTTGTATTTTTTGCAGAGATGGCTTTTGCCATGTTGCCCAGGTTGGTCTCGAACTCCTGGGCTCAAGAGATCTGCCTACCTCAGTCTCCCAAAGTGTTGGAATCATAGGTGTGAGCCACCATGCCTGGCCCCTTGCTGCTCTTGACCATGATGCAGAGGCCACTCTAGCTGGCCTATGCTGTGCAACCATGAGGCTGGGGACTGAATCTCCTGGTATGTATCTGCACCCCAGTATTGCAATTTGGACCCAAAGACGCAGCAACACCTCTCTGGGGAGGAACATGTACCTCTACTGTAAAAATGGCTGGGGCCCAATTTGCCCTCTACCCACAGAGTTTGGCATTTGCCAGACCTGACCCAGGCCCCTCCACAGAATCAAATCGTTCCAGAAACACTTAACAGAACTCCAACTGCAAAGCCCCGGGCGCCTTCACAAAGGGACCCAGGCCTCTCTTCTTTAACCTGCCCGCACTCAGCCCCTCTTAACTAGGTACCACACAGACAAAGACAATGACATCAGTCAATGGTAAGTGGAGCAGAGGAGGGCAAACGAAATATAGCGGGCCACTTCCCATCATTTCCACTGTTATACCTTTGGCTCAAGCCAGCATCACCCTGTCTTGGATTAATGCTGGTCTCACTGCTTCCATTCCTGCCCTCTGCCCTGTCTTCCCCAACTATTCTCACCAAGGCAACCAGAGTGACCCTTCATAAGTAAAGGTAAATCACATGGGTCCTCTGCTACTCACTTCACCTGGGCAGGAAAGCCAATGCCTTGCCAAGGCCGAGGAAGTCCTGCCCTCTCTGCCTAACTCCCTCCCCAAACTCTATTTGGCTCCTTCTGCTCCAGCCTCACTGGCCTCTTGTCCCAAACACGTCATATCTGCTCCCATTTCAGAGCCTTTTCACTTCAGGTTCCCTCTACTTGGAACAGCATTCTCCCAGATAATTCCACAGCTGCTCAATTCCACAGGTTGCTCGCTTCCTTTCTTTATTTTCTGCTCATTTGTCACTTCATCAGTGAGACCTTTCCCGACCACACTATACAAAATATCAACATCTCTTCACCCCATTTTCAATCTGATTTTTAGCATTTTGCGGAATATGTTTCTCCTAAAACGTTAGGCTCGATAAGAAATAGGCTTTCCTTGTGACTGCTGTATCCTCTAACGCCTAGAAAGTGCCAGACCCCTAAATATTTTTGAATATTCCAGGGAGCCGGGTTAAGAGAGAGGCCACCACAGCAAAGGTGGTCAAAAACGGTCTCTTAAGAGGTGCGCAAGTCGGGTGTAGTGGCTCACGCCTGTAATCCCAGCACTCAGGGAGGGTGGTTGGAGCCCAGGTGTTCGAGACCAGCTTGGCAACACACTGAGTCTTCTCTATAAAAAATAAACAAAAAAAACCTAGCTGGGTGTGGTGGCGTGCGCCTGTAGTCTCAGCTACTCGGGAGGTTGAGGTGGGAGGATCGCTTAAGCCAAGGAGGTCAAGGCTGCAGTGACTTATTTTATTTATTTATTTTTGAGACGGAGTCTCGCTCTGTCGTGCCCAGGCTGCAGTACAGTGGAGCGATCTCGGCTCATTGCAACCTCCGCCTCCCGGATTCAAGCGATTCTCCCGCCTCAGTCTCCCAAGTAGCTGGGATTACAGGCACCTGCCACCATGCCCATCTAATTTTTAGTATTTTTAGTAGAAAAGGGGTTTCACCATATTGGCCAGGCTGGTCGGGAACTCCCGACCTCAGATGATTCGCCCGCCTCGGCCTCCCAGAGTGCTGGGATTACAGGCGTGAGCCACCGCATCCGGCCTGCAGTGTTACGATCGCGCCACTGCACTCCAGCCTGGGCAACAGAGCGAGACCCTGTCTCAGAGGGATCCTATTAACTGACAACTAAGAAGGCGCAAACCATACGAAGATGTAAGCATGCCAGGCAGAAACAACCGCAGACACACAACGCCAGACACGGGAACAAACCTGTGCTGAAAGAAGGGAAAGGCAGCCAGGGTGGCGGGAGCGCAGGAAGATGAGAAAGGGCCGAAGTTGGGAAAAGTGGGCCGAAACGGCAGCAGGCATAGCCGGGGGCGGTGTTCAGGAGCTGCCTCCCGACCCAGTTGGCCTTGCAAGAGCACCTGAAACTAGGCAAAACGAGTCTCCGCTCCCCAGACCCGACCGGGCGTCAGCCACCTCTGGCGGTTTTACAGCCCCGAAGCCCCCATTCCAGCTCGCAGCGAGGCAGCGGAACACCTCGAGGATGTCCTGGCGTTCCAATCTGCGCCCCCGCCGCCCCGAAGCCCTCACCGCAGGCTGGGTAGCCAGCCCACGGAGCTCCCCCCAGGGTCCCGACTCCCCCTTCGCCCACCTTTCTTGTCGCGCTTGGATTTGGGCATCGCGCTGAATCCACGTGCGGCGGAAGACGGTGCACCCCGTTAGGACCCCGGCGGCGCGGGGGACTCTGGGACGGCCCTCGGGGGCTGCCCCTCGCGTGTGCCTGACCCAATGTGCACTGCAGCCTGCCTCTCCCTGCCAAGCCGCCGCCTGCGCTTTCTCCCGCGCCTGTAGGGCAACTTCCCGTGTGCCGAGGCAGTCCCTGAATCCCGAGCGTCCCGTCCGACCGAGGGCCTCGCGCGCTATCCCAGCTCTGTGGTCCCGCGGAGGCGGAGCCCGCGGCGCGGTGCATGCCGGGACGGCGGTGGGTGGTGCATGCGCTCGCATCATGGCGGCTGAGTGGGCTTCTCGTTTCTGGCTTTGGGCTACGCTGCTGATTCCTGCGGCCGCGGTCTACGAAGACCAAGTGGGCAAGTTTGATTGGTGCGTACGTGTGGAACATATTCGAGAGATAAGTGGCTGTTTCCCCAGTACCTGTCTCCTACCTGCTAAAGGTTGTCACTTAACAGGATTGGCCGCATAATTTGCAGGACCCAGTACAAAATGAAAACGTGGGGCCCCTTGTTAAAAAATTATTAAGGATTTAAAGTCGTTGGAAGCAGAGCCTTAAACCAAGTGTTAGGGGTCATTCTAAGCTGATCCTTGCGTGTAAGCCGGCCCTGCCATCCAGGAATGCTTGGGGTGCCGGTCAGAGATCACTGATCCCGTCCTCCCTCGTCAGGTTCGATTTTTTTGACTGTGAGGTTTCTGGTCTACCAGGTGTCAGAGGTCGCCAAGCTGTCAGTGAACTTTAATTCCTACTCGAATTGGTGTCTTGTAGGCAAGTGAACAGGAGCTTTCGTCTTAAAAGTCCTAAACTGAGTCCTTTTCCCCTCTCATCAACCTAGTCTGGCCCTGGGCTCACAGCAGGATTGCCCAAAACACTAAGCAGCTAGAATATGCCATTCACTCATTCATTCATTCACCCACCCACGTCTTCCTTAAGGCCCTGGAGTAGCTTGCTTTTGTTTGAATTTTACTAGTTAAGACTTGTGTGATCTTGGGGAAAGTGACTTAACCACTCTGTGCCTTGGTTTCTTTGTCTGTAGAATGGGTTTACTAACAGTCCGTTATCTCTTACAGTACTTGTGAGAATGAATGAGACAATCCCATTAAATTACTTAGCACAATGCCTGGCTCATTGAATGCAGTCATTAAGCGTTATCTGTTATTATTGCTATTTACACTTTATTCTTCAGGGCCCAGGTCAGATTTCTCCTCCTCTGAAGTATTTTCTGTCTTGGAAAAGTTGATTCGCATATATGTTGAGTACCTGTTATGCCAGACAGTGTGACAAATAAAACATGTTACATTTTTAATGATGTGCACAACTGTTCACAATGTCATATGTGTATGTTACACATATATATCGGGTGATATGTGTATCTAATTTTGCAGAATACTTGATATATGCAATTTTCTTAATTTTATTTTCATGAATGAATGAATGAATGAATGGCATTTCCTAACTGCTTAGTGTCTTGGGCAGCTCTGCTCTGAGCCCAGGGCCAGGTTAGGCTGATGAGGGGGGAAAAGGACTCTGTTTAAGACTTTTTTTTTTTTTTTTTTTTTTTTTTTTTGAGACAGTTTTGCTCTTGTTGCCCAGGCTGGAGTGTAATGGCGCGATCTCATGGCTCACCACAACCTCCGCCTCTGGGGTTCAAGCGATTCTCCTGCCTCAGCCTCCCGAGTAGCTGGGATTACAGGCATGCGCCACCACACCCAGCTAATTTTTGTATTTTTGGTAGAGACAGGGTTTCTCCATGTTGGTCAGGCTGGTCTCAAACTCCCGATCTCAGGTAATCCACCCGCCTAGGCCTCCCAAAGTGTTGGAATTACAGGTGGGAGCCACTGCGCCCAGCCAAGACTTTTTAAAATTTTTTGAGACAGGGACTCATTCTGTAGCCCAGGCTGGAGTACAGTACTATCATGGCTCACTGCAGCTTTGACCTTGCAGGTTCAAGTGACCCTCCCAGCTCAGCCTCCTGAGTAGCTGGGACTACTGGTGCACACCTCTCCAGTTTCTTTGTATTTTTTGTAGAGACGGGGTTTTGCCATGTTGCCCAGGCTGGTCTTGAACACCTGGGCTCAAGCAATCTGGCTGCCTCGGCCTCCCAAAGTGCTGGGATTACAGGTGTGAGCCACTGCACCTGGCCTACAGTTTTCAGATTGAAAAATAAATGAAGACATACAGGTATGCATCACTTAATGATGGGAATACATCCTGAGAAATGCCCTCTTGTGCAAACGTTGTAGCATGTACTTATGTAAATCTAGATGGTTTAGCCTACTACACACCTAGGCTATATGGTACAGCCTATTCTTCCTAGGCTACAAACCTGTACGGCATGTTACTTTACTGAAAACTGTAGGCAATTGTAACACAATGGTAAATATTTGTGTATCTAAACATAGAAAATGTATGGTAAAAATAGGATATGAAAGATAAAAAATGGTACACTGGTATAGGGCACTTAACATGAATGTATCTTGCAGAACTAGGAGTTGTTCTGGGGTTAGTCAGTAAGTGGTTGGTGAGTAAATGTAAAGGCTTAGGACATTACTGTACACTACTGTGGACTTTATAAATACTGTGCATTTAGACTATACTAAATTTATAAAATTTCTTCAATAATAAGTTAACCTTAGCTTAATGTAACTTTTTTACTTTACAAACATTTTATTTTTTTAATTTTTGACTTTTGTAATAATACTTAGTATAAAACACAGACTTTACAGCTGTACAAAAATATATTTTTAAAATTTATTTTTGACATGGGATCTTGCTATGTTCCCCAGGCAGATATTGAACTCCTGGACTCAAGCAAGCCTCCTGCCTCAGCCTCCCTAGCAACTGGGATTACAGGCATATGCTACCATGCCTGACTTAATAATATTTTTCTTATATCTTTATTCTATAAGCTTTTTCCTACAATACTAAAATTTTTTTTTTCAGTCTTAAACTATTTTGTTAAAAACTAAGACACAGGCCGGGCGCAGTGGCTAACATCTGTAATCCTAGCACTTTGGGAGGCTGAGGTGGGTGGATGGCTTGAGTCCAGGAGTTCAAGACCAGCTTGGGGCTGGGCGTGGTGGCTCACGCCTATAATCCCAGCACTTTGGGAGGCCGAGGCGGGTGGATCACGAAGTCAAGAGGTCAAGACCATCGTGGCCAACATGGTGAAACCCCGTCTCTCCTAAAAATACGAAAATTAGCTGGGCGTGGTGGCACACGCCTGTAGTCCCAGCTACTTGGGAGGCTGAGGCAGGAGAATTACTTGAACCTGGGAGACGGAGGTTGCAGTGAGTTGAGATCACGCCACTGCACTCAGCCTGGCAACAGAGCGAGACTCCATCTCAGAAACAAAACAAAACAAAACAAAAAACAGGTTGGGCAATATGGCGAAACCCCATTTCTGCAAAGCATACAAAAATTAGCCGGGCATGGTGGTGGGTGCCTGTAGTCCCAGCTACTCGGGAGGCTGAGGTGGGAGGATCACCTAAGCCTGGGAGGTCGTGGCTGTAGTGAGCTGTGATGGTGCCTCTGTACTCCAGTCTGGGTGACAGAGTAAGAGCATCTCAAAAAACAAGCAAACAAAAAACAAACTAAGACACAAACACATTAGCCTGGGCCTAAATAGGGTCAGGATCATCAATATCACTGTCTTCCACCTCCACATACTGTCTTACTGGCAGGTTTTCAGGAGCAGTAACACCCATGGAGCTATCATCTGTGATAACAATGCCTGTTTCTGGAATACCTCTTTTTTTTTTTGGGACAGAGTCTTACTCTGTCGCTCAGCCTGGAGTGAAGTGGCATGATCTCAGCTCACTACAACCTCCACCTCCCGGGTTCAAGTGATTCTCATGTCTCAGCCTCCCAAGTAGCTGGGACTGTGGTGCACAGCACTATGCCTGGCTAATTTTTGTATTTTTAGTAGAAATGGGGTTTCACCATGTTGGCCAGGCTGTTCTTGAACTCCTGACCTCAGGTGATCTGCTCGCCTCCGCCTCCCAAAGTGCTGGGATTATAGGCATGAGCCACTGCGGCCAGCTTGGAATACCTCTTGAAGCACCTGCATGAGACTATTTTACAGTTAATTTTCTTTTAATAAGTAGAAGGAGTACTCTAACCATAAAAAGTAGATACGTAAACCAGTAACACAGTCATTTATTATCATTGTCAAGTATTATGTAGTATACATTATTGAATATGCTGTACTTTTATACAGCTGGCAGTACAGTGGGTTTGTTTACACCACCTTCACCGCAAACGTGATTAATGCATTCGACTACAATGTTATAGCAGCTACAATGTTACTAGGTTATAGGAATTTTTCAGCTCCATTATACTCTTGTGTGACCACCACTGTATATGCTGTATATGCGATCAATCATTGACTGAAACATTGTTTTGCAGTGCATGACTGTATAGTAAAACGTTAAAAGTATATGTACAAAGCTGGGCACAATGGCATGCACCTGAAATCCCAGCTACTTGGGAGGCTGAGATGGGAGTATTACTTGAGCCCAGGAGTTCAATCCAGCCTAGGCAGCACAGTGAGATCCCATCTCAAATAATAAAAAGTGTATCTATAGTGGTGGTTGTATTAGTTTTCTCAGGCTGCTATAATGAAATACCATAGACTAGGTGGCTTAAACAATAGAAATTGATATTCTCACAGTTCTGGAGGCTGGAAATTCAAGATCAAGGCATTGGCAGGTTTTGTTTCCTCTGAGGCCTCGCTCATTGGCTTGCAAAAGGCTGCCTTCTTGCTGTATCCTTACATGGCCTTTACTGTGCTTACACATCCCTGATGTCTCTTCCTCTATTGGATTAAGGCCTCACCCTTTTGACTTTATTAAAACATAATTACATTTTTAAAGGCCTTGCCGTCAAATACTGTAACACTGGGGGATAGGGTTTCAACACAGGAGTTTTTGAGGATACAATTCAATCCAGAAGAGTGATATATTACATTTTAAAATTTTTATTATTTATTTATTTTTTATTGTTTTGAGACAGAGTCTTGCTCTGTCACCCACGCCGGAGTACAGTGGCATGATCTTGGCTCACTGCAACCTCCGCTTCCAGGGTTCAAACGATTTTCCTGCCTTAGCCTCCCAAGTAGCTGGGATTATAGGTGCCCATCACGCCCAGCTAATTTTTGTACTTTTATAAGAGATGGAGTTTTACCATGTTGGCCAGGCTGGTCTCAAACTCCGGACCTCAAGTGTTCGGCATGCCTGGACCTTCCAAAGTGCTGAGATTACAGGTGTGAGCCACCGTGCCTGGTGGAGATTTTTAAATTGTTATAAGTGTTCCCCCCACCCACTCATTTTCTGTAATAAGGAGGCATTACTTTTATATCCAGATAAAACAACAGTATTTTATTTACTTATTTATTTGAGACAGAGGCCCACTCTGTCGCCCAGGATGGAGTTCAGTGACACGATCTTGGATCACTGCAACCTCTGCTTCCTGAGTTCAAGCGATTCTTTTGCCTCAGCCTCCCGAGTAGTTGGGATGACAGGCACGTGCCACCACGCCCAGCTAATTTTTGCATTTTTAGTAGAGATGGGTTCTCACCAAGTTGGCCAGCTGGTCTCGAACTCCTGATCTTAAATGATCCACCCACCTTGGCCTCCCAAAGTGCTGGGATTATAGGCGTGAGCCACTGCGCCTGGCCTGTTTATTTTTTTGAGACAGAGTCTTGTCAGGTTGGAGTGCAATGGTGTGATCTCGGCTCACTGCAGCCTCGACCTCCTGGGCTCAAGCGATCCTAATCGAGAAAATTATTAGCCTCACATGGTAGGCTACCAAGTACAAAGGAGGTGCTTGCTCTGTGCTGTTAAGAAGTGCTGTGATCTCAGTCGGGCGTGGTGACTCACGCCTGTAATCCCAACACTTTGGAAGGCCGAGGCGGGTGGGTCAGTTGAGGTCAGGAGTTCGAGACCAGCCTGGCCAACATGGTGAAACCCCATGTCTACTAAAAATACAAAAAAATTAGCCGGGCGTGGTGGCAGGTGCCTGTAATCCCAGCTACTCGGGAGGCTGAGATAGGAGAATCGCTTGAACCTGGGAGGTGGAGGTTGCAGTGAGCTGAGATTGCACCATTGCACTCCAGCCTGGGGGACAAGAGTGAGACTTCGTCTCAAAAAAAAAAAAAAGAAAGGTAAGGTGCCCTTTTGGGTGTCACTTATCTGAAGGTAAATATGTGCTTCCATTTAGAAGGAAGAGTTAGTATTATCTATTAGGAGCTAATTTTCTTCTCTTACTCTCTTTGCATCTGACTACATTGAATGGAAATCTTGCTTTTGGTCAGAGCTCTTCACTAACAAACACTTCTTTTTTTTGAGATGGAGTTTTGCTCTTGTTGCCCAGGCTGAAGTGCAATGGTGCGATCTCAGCTCACTGCAACCTCCGCCTCCCGGGTTCCAGCAATTCTCCTGCCTCAGCCTCCCGAGTAGCTGGGATTACAGGCATGCGCCACCATGCCCAGCTAATTTTGTATTTTTCATAGAGACAGACGGGGTTTCTCCATGTTGATCAGGTTGGTCTCGAACTCCTGACCTCAGGTGATCTGCCTGCCTCGGCCTCCCAAAGTGTTGGGATTACAGGTGTGAGCCACTGCGCCCAGCTAACAAACACGTCTTATGTGTCCTAAAATGAATGTGATGGTGATAGCCCTGTGATTTTTTTTCCGGAGCATTTTGTGGAATGGTGATTTTAGCTCCTTATGGTCCCCTGTACTCTTTTTTTCTCAGGAGACAGCAATATGTTGGGAAGGTCAAGTTTGCCTCCTTGGAATTTTCCCCTGGATCCAAGAAGTTGGTTGTAGCCACAGAGAAGAATGTGATTGCAGCATTAAATTCCCGAACTGGGGAGATCTGTGAGTGAACTGAGAACTGTGTCTACTGGCTGCCTCAGGGATGAAAGACTTACCATTGCCAACTCTGCCTGGCTGATTCCTGAATAAGGAACATGTTGGCCAAAAGATGCCTCTCCTAGTGGATTCTGATACTTTTTTTTTTTCAGTCTTACCATCTTTGAATATTTGTATGTTCCTATAACTGACCTTTGCGGTTTGTTCTCTCAGCTTGAATCCTGAGTGTCCTTAAATAAGATATTGCTGCAAGCCCAGGCGGGAGGATCACTTGAGCTCAGGAGTTCGAGACCAGCCTGGGGATCACAGTGAGGCCCCATGTCTAAAATTAAAAAAATCAGGCATGGTGGCGTGTGCCTAGATTCCCAGCTACTTGGGAGACTGAGGTGGGAGGATTGCTTGAGCCCAGCAGGTTGAGGCTGCAGTGAGCTGTGATCATGCCAGTTCACTCCAGCCTGGGCAATAGAGCAACACCTTGTCTCAAAAAAAAAGATGCTGCTGCAAAAAACACATTATTCTACTTTGCAGTAAACTCTCAGATACCCTCACTTAATTACCTACACTGGCCGGATGTTTTTAGGCACTAAAATAAGGGAAATAGAATTTATGATCACTATTTTTCTTGTGAATTGGATGGATTTTATTAATCTTATTGTTGTTTGTTTATATGTTTGATGGGGTGGTAGTGGGGCCTGGACAGTAGTGGCCCCTCTTAACCCCTTCTACCCTCATTACCCCGTGAATGGGACTGGATCACTGCCAGTTAGCTATACTCCTTCACTCCCTCGAGATAAAATTGGACATTGCTGTGCAAATGAAGAGCTCTTCATTTATTTCTTAGTCTTCTGGGTTGCCACCTTTTGTTCATAGTAATGTCTAACTTTCATGTCTCTCAGTGTGGCGCCATGTTGACAAGGGCACGGCAGAAGGGGCTGTGGATGCCATGCTGCTGCACGGACAGGGTAAGCAGAGTCCTCCCGTGTCTCCATTGTGCGGCCAGCTCCCTGTCCCATTCCTTGGCTCCTTGATCTGTACAGGGTCTGGTAGGGAAAGGAGACTGGGGACTCCTGACAGTGAAGGACAGGTACCTGTTTAACATGTATTTGCATCCAGAAATCAGAGGTGAGGCCACTGCTCACAGTGGGACCCTAGGAAGCGACAGAGCAAGTGGGAAATGACTTCACCACGATCTTTTCTTTTCCAGATGTGATCACTGTGTCCAATGGAGGCCGAATCATGCGTTCCTGGGAGACTAACATCGGGGGCCTGAACTGGGAGATAACCCTGGACAGTGGCAGGTAGGGGAGAAACTGGATTTTATCTTGACTGAGTTAAAGGCTTCACCGGAACACAGATCTGCATAGACAGCAACTCTGGGCTTTTGGCTTTTTCCCAGGGACCACTGAAGAGCCAGCCATTGACATTGAGTACCCATTGTGGATATGCTTGCTCAGCCAACATGTATTGAGCGCCTGTTAGATGCAGAGTTTCTAGGTGCAATGTTTGCGCTTGTGCTTGAATGCTGTTCCTAATTTCACTGTGATTCGTGAGTTTTGCAATGTTCCAGATATAAGAACATAATATAAAACTTCCACTGTTTAGTTTTGTTTAAAGAACAGCCTGACCTATTGTTAACATCTTTGCTAAAGTTGTTTATTTTTATTTATTGAGTTTTTTGAGACATAGTTTCACTCTGTCACCCAGGCTAGAGTGCAGTGGTGTGATCTTGGCTCACTGCAACCTTCACCTCCCAGGTTCAAGCAGTTCTCGTGCCTCAGCCTCTCCAGTAGCTGGGATTATAGGCATGTGAACCACGCCTGGCTAATTTTTGTATTATTAGTAGAGACGGGGTTTCACCATGTTGGCCAGGCTGGTCTCGAACTCCTGACCCCGTGATCCTCCCACCTCAGCCTCTCAAAGTGTTGGGATTACAGGCATGAGCCACCGGGCCTGGCCCCTAAAGTTGTTCAAATGATAGGGTCATTTGTATTAGCTTATACATTTTCTGATAGTAATTCATTTGGTAAACACGTGCTGAGCCCCAGGCGATGAGAACACATGGGACTGTGAGACAGTTGCTGTCATTGAGGATTCCGCTGTCCATTGGGAGGCAGGCAGGTAGCACAGTAATGACAGCACTGTCTCATGGATATGTGGCAGAGGGTAGGTCCAGTTGCTGTGAAGTCCCAGGGGAAGGAGGGAACAGCCCTTAGGAGATACAGATGGTTTCAGGGAAGCAAGTAGTGTGGCCAAATGGTTGCAAGTGCAGAATCTCAAGTTGACTAACAAGAGGCAGAGCCAGGGTTAGGATCCAGCTGTGTTTGACCCCAAAGCCTGTTTTCTTACCCACTAAGCAACAGTGGGTACTGTTCTGGACTGTCTCTCCCAGCCTGAGGCTCTGCAGGTGTGGGCTGCTCTCAACCTGTACTTGTGTTCAGTTTCCAGGCACTTGGGCTGGTTGGCCTGCAGGAGTCTGTAAGGTACATCGCAGTCCTGAAGAAGACTACACTTGCCCTCCATCACCTCTCCAGTGGGCACCTCAAGTGGGTGGAACATCTCCCAGAAAGGTAAGGCTGCCTGCTCACAGGCAATAGCTGCCTCGTTCTACTCTCTAGGAGCTCCTCTTTCTCCTCGAGGGACCCGAAGCATTTGCTTTAACCCAGGCCTGTCTCTTGTTGGTGTTCCATGGAGTGTGTTGCACTCAGAATATCTTGAAGGCTGTGAGTATGGGTGAAACTCCGGAGTATGCCTGGAGTTTCCTTTGCACTGAGGAGAACACTCTCAAACTGGGGTGCTAGGGCGAGCCATGCTACGGGAGCCACTCACTCGCTCATGGTTATGGTACTTTGTGCCTTCTGACTTCTAGTTCAAGTTCTAGTTCTAGTTCTAGTTCTGACTGAGCCTTTCGTTCATATTAAGAGTTAGAACAACTCAAGAAGACCCAGGGTAGGCTGAGTGAGGTGTGAAATGGTTTCTCGAGGTCCTGCTGGTAGAAAGCATCGAAATTGGGAAGGAACAAGAGAGAAGGAACAAGATAAAAGGATCTACTTAGACACCCTGTGGCCATTTTCAAAGTTTAGAGCAGGACTCAAAACTTCAAATTCTGGCCTGGCATGGTGTCTCACGCCTGTAATCCCTGCACTTTGGGAGCCTGAGGTGGGTAGATCACTTGAGCTCAGGAGTTCAAGACCAGCCTGGGCAACCCCATCTCTACAAAAAGTACAAAAAATTAGCCAGGCATGGTGGTGCGTGCTTGTGATCCCAGCTACTTGGGAGGCTGAGGTGGGAGGATCACCTGAGCCTCGGGAGGTAGAGGCTGCAGTGAGCCGTGATCGCACCACTGCACTGCAGCCTGGGTGACAGAGTGAGACGCTGTCTAAAAAAAAACACAACAAAGAAAATGCTATGAGGCGGGTTATGAAATATCCATGAGCAACACTGGCTGGATGGGAGCTGCAGTGCTCCTGGCCTGCCTGGAGGGGGCAGCCTTACCCACCTGATTGGTGCTCTGTATTTAGGCCTAGTGTTGCCACATCTTCTAACCGTAGGAAAATTTAGAAATCTGATTGTGAAGTATAATATCTTCTAAATGTTGACAACTAATTCAAATTAAGAACAACAACAACAAAAGCCCCCAAACTGTGTGAGCCAAACAAAACCTATTTGGGAATTACTAGTTTGTGACATCTGGCTGAGGCCTGGCAGCCCCTGAGGATAATCCTGTCCTGGGTTGAAAGCTGACGCTGCGGTTTCTTCTTCCCTCTCTTAGTGACAGCATCCACTACCAGATGGTGTATTCTTACGGCTCTGGGGTGGTGTGGGCCCTCGGAGTTGTTCCCTTCAGCCATGTGAACATTGTCAAGTTTAATGTGGAAGATGGAGAGATTGTTCAGCAGGTACAGGAGGGTGACAGGAGCCTGTGAATAAGGTGGGGTTGGGGGAGACTTGATAGATTTCTTTGTACTGGGGAACAGGGAACTTGGCTGGGCAGATGCAAAAGCTACTTATGCTCCCTCATTCTGGTCACTTGCCAGCTGCCTTCCCATTAGGCCTCTATTTAAAGTACTCATATTTGCATGTGTTATCTTCTGGGGTGGCTAAAAAATTACATAGATCTAGTCTCTGCCTGTAAGTATCTTACAGTGCTGTGAAATCACAGTAGGACACCACATATGGCAAATATAGTAAAGAAGTGCTGATTCTGAAGTGCCAGGTATTTAAAATTATCGGATATATTTTTCCAGTGACCAGAAAGAAAATCCTGATATTTTTTCCAACTTTGAAGGCTCTCAGGAGGTTGGAGGGTGGGGTTTCAGGGGACAGGAAGAACTCCTATACAACCAACCATGAAGAACCTTTGAGCTTAGGACCCCCAGTGGGATGCTGGCAGCAATATTGCTGTTGGGCTGAGAGGGAAATGTAAAAATCTTTCACGAGCTTCCTGTTAACGATGACTTTTCTGTAGGTTAGGGTTTCAACTCCGTGGCTGCAGCACCTGTCTGGAGCCTGTGGTGTGGTGGATGAGGCTGTCCTGGTGTGTCCTGACCCGAGCTCACGTTCCCTCCAAACTTTGGCTCTGGAGACGGAATGGGAGTTGAGACAGATCCCACTGCAGGTGAGAGGCTGCCACTGCTTCTTCTGGCCTGAGGCATTTCCTGCGGGGAGTAGAAAGTTTGGCATGATTCCCCTGGAGGGTCTTTCTCCTAGACTCTTCCTGAGCAGTGGAAGCCATTCAGGCCTCTGGCTGAACTGGTGTAAGAGGAAATCAGTCACTTTCCTCTTTGGGGAACTTGAACTGGAGCATTTGGAGCCACCTGCCATGGCCCAGTTACTTCCCCCGGCAAAGTAGGGCAGAGGTTGTGAGCCTGGGATGGGTCAGGGAGTCGTCAGCTGTTAGCCATAATCCTCCTCCTTCTTGCCTTCCAGTCTCTCGACTTAGAATTTGGAAGTGGATTCCAACCCCGGGTCCTGCCTACCCAGCCCAACCCAGTGGACGCTTCCCGGGCCCAGTTCTTCCTGCACTTGTCCCCAAGCCACTATGCTCTGCTGCAGTACCATTATGGAACGCTGAGTTTGCTTAAAAACTTCCCACAGGTAACTGCAGGCAACATGGTTTGCTAGGATTCAGGAGATCTCTCCAAGACATGGATGCTAGAAGGCAGTGCTTTTGAATCTGGAAACGTTTGCTCTTAGGCCCAAGATTGATGACACCTTCCCGTAAGTGGTTTGAGAGGGGGTAGGTAGCCTTATCATAGAAATGGTGTATTTCCTCCTGAGTATTACAAAGGATCTTTAGAGCAAAACTAGTGCCTTCCTTAGTCCAAAGGAAATATGGGGACATAAATGAGAGCTTCCCCATAGATAGTAAGAACAAGCAGCATGGGATTTAAGATTGACCTGTGCCTGCGTTGGAGGTAGGGAGAGTTCTGTTTTCAGCTGTAGATGCAACTGAGGCCTCCCTCTGCTCTTAAATGCCTGACCATTCTGCTCCAAAGTGGGGAGCACTTTCAACTCTAAGGCCAAGGGCCTTCCCTGGAGAGGTGACCCTCTGTAAGGCAGCTGGCTAGTACTGGTCCCATTTAGGAGCTGATGCCTTGCTTTTCCCCCAGACTGCCCTAGTGAGCTTTGCCACCACTGGGGAGAAGACGGTGGCTGCAGTCATGGCCTGTCGGAATGAAGTGGTGAGTATTGAGAACAACAGTCAGCACTTGGGATTTTCCTTCCTGGTCTCCACTAGGAACCCTGAAAATCAGAAGTCTGGGCACATTGACCTGGTCAGTTTGAACCCAGCGGGCAGGAGGCTGTTGAGAAGTGAGGTCTTGCCTCAACTATAGAGCTTTCTGCACACCCCATTTCTCCCCAGGAACGAGACCCTAATGTGATGACCTTACTTTCATATGGGGCTATTAAGGGTTGAATAGGCTTTGTGGGCAGGGGTGAGAAATGAGCTTTGTCTTCTCTCAAGTGCTAAGAAGACAAAAACAAAAGCTTCATTTCAGTGACTGGGAAGTGACCCTTTGGCTGAATTTTCTCCTGTCCTTCTCTTTCTCATAGCAGAAAAGTAGCAGTTCTGAAGATGGGTCAATGGGGAGCTTTTCGGAGAAGTCTAGTTCAAAGGTATGGTGTGGCACTGGGCAGTATGCCAGACCTAGAGACGCAGGAGGCCACCAAAGAGAGTTGGGGGAAGAGCTTTGGTTAGGAGCAGGTCCTAGAGTTCCCAGCTTCAAATGAGGTTTCCTAAGTACTGTAAATTAAATGATGTTTCTCTTAATCTCATTTTACCGGGAGATTAGGAGGTAGAATCCCTAGAGTCTGTTTCTAGCCACTTTCTCCTCTGGGCCTCAGCGTCCCCATTTCTTTTGGGATCCTGGCTGGCACAGTTGAGTAGTACTCTGTGCAGTTACCCTGTAGCAGAGGCATGAGCCCCTGGCTGGAGGCATAGGTTCCTGCTGTGGCTTCCATCTAAGCGTTTCCCTGCCTCCTGTCTTGCTCAGTCTTACCTTGCTCAGCCCTACCTCTCTCTCAGAAGTCTCTGCTACTCTGTACTGGCTTCCAAGACAAGTATGGTAGTTGTAATTTCATTTATTTACTCAGGCACCTTATTTCTGCCTTAGGATTTAGCTTGCTTTTCTCTTTTATTCTCCTTTGCATATATTTCCCCTTCTGGCCTGGCTCCTTCTCTAGGGTATTTGCCCCCAATCCTTGGACTTCCTTTGGTGGGCTTTGCTTTCGGGGGATACCTGTAGTTGACACGTGCTGTCTGTACTCCTAGGACTCTCTGGCTTGCTTCAATCAGACCTACACCATTAACCTATACCTCGTGGAGACAGGTCGGCGGCTGCTGGACACCACGATAACATTTAGCCTGGAACAGAGCGGCACTCGGCCTGAGCGGGTAAGGCAGAGCCTTTCTTTGCAGACTGTCCTGTGGGCTTCTCAGCACATGGCTTCCTTTCCTCAGGGCCAGGTCTTAGCCATGGGGCTTGGATTAGGCTCTCTAAACATGTGTTCTAGTGCTCTCTGAGCCACTGACTTGTTAGAAGTCACAGTAAAGGCGGGTATTATTTATGCCAGCTCATCATTGTGCACCAGGGACTGTTCTAAGCTTTTAACTTACACATTAATTGATTTAACCCTCCAAACACTCTCATGAAGCGGTTGTTCCTGACCTGGTTTTAAAATGATTCTGTGGCCTGGTGGGATCGAGTACCATAGCCAGAGTCACGGAGCCAGTAAGAGGTGTCACTGCGGTTCAGATTCAGGTCTAACCCCACAGCCTGGACTCCTCATCACTACCCAGTATTGCCTCTGTGTGCATCTGGTTGTGTTCCTCAGCTGCTTGGGCTGTGGCTTCTTCGTTTCTAAAGCGGAAAGTCTAATCCCGGCCTCCTGCTCACTTTGTGGGGTGTGATTAGAGCATGGATGAATGGCGTGGTACCCGTGGAGTACTCAGGTTCTTCCATGGAAAGGTCTGGGAGACCCCAGCATCATTATGTTGGCTCCTAAGAATATGTATCACTTACTGGCATCCAGATAATAGCTACATTGTTTAGACATCAAATAATGCCATGGCCTGTACCTCTGTTAAGTCCAGGCTTTGACTCCTGGGGTCTGGTGCTCTCAGAGGCATTTGGATCCTCACTGACTACACCGGTCTTGACTGTGGCTTATAGCTGTATATCCAGGTGTTCTTGAAGAAGGATGACTCAGTGGGCTACCGGGCTTTGGTGCAGACAGAGGATCATCTGCTACTTTTCCTGCAGCAGTTGGGTAAGTAGACCTCATTCAACCCATTTTTTTATTTCCCCAGGCCTTCCAATGTGTTCCAATCAGACTGTTTTTTGGGAGGCTGCAGGTTTCTGGAAGAGATTCAAGTGGAGTGTGCCCTGAGTGTTTCGTTCATAGCCAAATGTCACCTGCTTTTTTTTTTTTTTTTTTTTTTTTGAGATAGAGTCTTGCTCTCTTGCCCAGGCTGGAGTGCAGTGGCATGATCTCGGCCCACTGCAATCTCCACCTTTCGGATTCAAGCGATTCTCCTGCCTCAGCCTCCTGAGTAGCTGGGATTACAGGCGTGTGCCACCACGACCAGCTAATTTTTGTATTTTCAGTAGAGACAGGGTTTCCCCATGTTGGCCAGGCTGGTCTCGAATTCCTGACCTCAAGTGATCCGCCTGCCTCGGCCTCCCAAAGTGCTGGGATTACAGGTGTGAGCCACCGTGCCTGGCCTGTCACCTGCTTTTTTTTTTTTTTTTGAGACGGAGTTTTGCTCTTGTTGCTCAGACTGCTGGAGTACAGTGGCATGATCTCAGCTCACTGCAACCTCTGCCTCCCAGGTTTAAGTGATTCTCCTGCCTCAGCCTCCCAAGTAGCTGGGATTACAGGCATGCACCACCACGCCTGGCTAATTTTGTATTTTTAGTAGAGATGGGGTTTCACCATGTTTGTCAGGCTGGTCTCAAACTCCTGACCTCAGGTGATCCACCTGCCTCGGCCTCCCAAAGTGCTGGGATTACAGGTGTGAGCCACCGTGCCTGGCTCTTTTTTTCTTTTTTGAGACAGAGTTTTGCTCTTGTTGCCCAGGCTGGAGTGGAATGGTGTAATCTCAGCTCTTTGCAACTTCTGCCTCCTGGTTCAAGCGATTCTCCTGCCTCAGCCTCCTGAGTAGCTGGGATTATAGGCGCTAATTTTGTATTTTTAGTAAGAGACAGGGTTTCACCATGTTGGCCCAGGCTGGTCTCAAGCTCCTAACCTCAGGTGATCTGCCCGCCTTGGCCTCCCAAAGTGCTGGGATTACAGGCATGAGCCACTATGCCCGGCCCCGTTACCTGCTTTTGAAGAATAACTTGGCATTCTCGGTGGGATACAGAACTTTCCTCCTTTGACCTATTGATTCCAGCCCCTTGCTCTGCCATTTCTCCTTTTATGCAAGAGCTTGTAGTAATCCCTGAGTCAGCGAGAAGAGTCTCTCTAGAAAATCTGGGAGACAGGCTTAGCTTTTGTTTATTTATTTATTTATTTTTTGAGACAAGGTCTCACTGTTGCCCAGTCTGGAGTACAGTGGCGTGATCATAGCTCACTGCAGCCTCAATCTCCCGGGCTCAAGTGATCTTCCTATCTCAGCCTCCTAAGTAGCTGTGACTACAGGCGCTCGCCACCATGCTTGGCTAATTTTTTGATATTTATTTATTTTTATTTTATTTTATTTTATTTCAAGACGGAGTCTCGCTGTGTCGCCCAGGCTGGAGTGCAATGGCACAATCTCGGCTCACTGCAACCTCCACCTCCCGGGTTCACGCCATTCTCCTGCCTCAGCCTCCCGAGTAGCTGGAACTACAGGCGCCCACCATCATGCCTGGCTAATTTTTTGTATTTTTAGTAGAGAGGGGTTTCACCATGTTAGCCAGGATGGTCTCGATCTCCTGACCTCGTGATCTGCCCGCCTTGGCCTCCCAAAGTGCTGGGATTACAGGCGTGAGCCACTGTGCCCAGCCCTGATATTTATTTTTTGTTGAGATAAGGTTTTGCCCTGTTGTCCAGGCTGGTCTCAAATTCCTGGGCTCAAGAGATTCACCCACCTTGGCCTCCCAAAGTGCTGGGATTACAGGCATGAGCCACTGTGCCCAGCCCCAGGCTTAGCTTTGTAAAAATGTTTCCTGTAGCAGGGAAGGTGGTGCTGTGGAGCCGTGAGGAGTCCCTGGCAGAAGTGGTGTGCCTAGAGATGGTGGACCTCCCCCTGACTGGGGCACAGGCCGAGCTGGAAGGAGAATTTGGCAAAAAGGCAGGTATGAACCTAAGAGGTTGGAGCTGCAGAGTTGCTGGAGGGGCCAGTCTGGAAATGACCACAAGAGACACTGTATCATGCATCTCTGGCTTCCTAGGCTGGGCAGATTGCTAGTCTTTTCTGAATGAGCTCTGTGATGAGGTTCCGGTGCATTCATGGCCATATGGTTTATGAAACCATTCTTTTCTGTGAAAGAATGAACTGTGAATCCTTCTAGGGAAAGCTAGGGAAAAATCCCTCTAGGGAAAGCTGAGGGAAAAAAGTCTTTTTTTTTTTCTTTTTTTGAGACAAGAGTCTCGCTCTGTCACCCAGGCTGGAGTGCAGTGGCGCGATCTTGGCTCACTGCAACCTCTGCCTCCCAGGTTCAAGCAGCTCTCCTGCCTCAGCCTCCTGAGTAGCTGGGATTACAGGCATGCGCCACCATGCCCGGTTAATTTTTGTATTTTTAGTAGCAACAGGGTTTCAGCATGTTGGTCAGGCTGGTCTCAAACTCCTGACCTCATGATCTGCCAGCTTTGGCCTCCCAAAGTGTTGGGGATTACAGGCGTGAGCTGCTGCGCCTGGGGGGAATAAAGTCTTAACTTGGTATTGTAATAGCTACCATTGCCTGTGTACTAAAAATTTGCCAGGCACCTTATACTCATTGTCCCTAAAGCAGCAGCCATATCTGTCTGGAGACACCATTGGGTTGATCTGGGTATTGTGGAAACAGCCCAGTGCCCTCTAAAGCTGGCCATGGTCCCAACTGCCAGGATGAACTTGATTCACTCTGCTCTGATTCAGTCCTGCCCCCCACCCTCTCTCTTCTCTCCATTCATCCAGCCCTCCAACGGATAGCTGTTGAGGGCCTGCTCTGGACCAGGCACTCTGCTAGGCAATGCACATTTTCTTAAGCTGAGGATTAATTTGACTTTACTGTTTATTTCTGCTGCCTGGATCCAGCAATTCAAGGTAAAACCTGCTTCTTGCTGCCTTGTTGCTCGTTGCCTGCTCACATGGCTAGCTTTTGGTTAATTGTTTTTCTTCCTAACTTGGACCAATGAGGTACATCCTTGGGGTGTGTGTGTGTGTGTGTTGACTGCCATGCTTGTGAGTTGTCCTGTTGCTTCTCACTTCTCTTCCTTGAGCAGAGGTGGGTGGAAAATAAGATAAGCAGAGGTTCTGCTCCTTTTTTAGTGAGTTATTACCATGTACCAGCCACCACGCTAAATCCTTTATGTACATCGTATGATGTAATTTTGGAACAGTCCAGTGGGTTACATGCCACTTTACAGATGAGGAACCAGAAGCAAAAAGGTGAAGTACATTTCTCAGTGTTACCCCGCAGTGAGTGGTGAAGCTGGGATCTTAATCTGGGCCTGCTAGATTCCAGAGACCATGCTCTTTACCTTGCTTCCTTGCATCTGTTTACAAATCTGTGGTCTCCAATGGAGGAGATTTGGAGGGCAGTGGCTTCATTGACGGAATCAGGGAAAGAGTGAATGATGGTCCTGGGAACTCGTTGCAAGTACGTCTGTTGGGTGCAGGTTAAACAGCTGACAAAGTAGGAATGAAGCAATGGGAGATGGAAGTACCTGCTCATGATACATATTCACTGACCTGCACCCTCCACCCCCACACTCATACCTCTTCTGGCTTTGTCATGGCACCCAGAAACCTTCTTTTAGCATCTTGGATGTGGGGCTGTGGTGGAGACATTCACAGCATGGCTGTCTCCTGCATGCCTGATCCCTGACCTCTTAGTCTCCTATTCCAAGATTCCAGCTGGGTTTAGTTGTTAAGAGCCAGTTAAGCAGTTTTTGGAAGCTCCTGCATGAGCCTCACCTGAGTGTGAGACTTTGGGCATCAGATACAGGACTGCCCTTTGGGCTTGTGGCCTAGAGTGTGGACTTTATTGCTCCAGAGGAGAGGCAGAGATCCCTCATTAGGAAAATCATGTACCTCCTTATGGACCCCTAGTCTGATGTAGAGTATGTTACTTTTCCTTTACACCAGATGGCTTGCTGGGGATGTTCCTGAAACGCCTCTCGTCTCAGCTTATCCTGCTGCAAGCATGGACTTCCCACCTCTGGAAAATGTTTTATGATGCTCGGAAGCCCCGGAGTCAGATTAAGAATGAGATCAACATTGACACCCTGGCCAGAGATGAATTCAACCTCCAGAAGATGATGGTGATGGTAACAGCCTCAGGCAAGGTGAGTGGGGTTTAAGCTCCAGTTACTGAACCTTTTCAAATTCTGAGGGTGAGGAACAAAAAGCCTTCAGTGAGGGATAACACTGGTTCTAGTTTTCAAGGACAGACTCAGTTCTTTGGTTTCTCTTTCTAGTAGTGAGCCAAGTATTTGTTTATCTTGCAGCTTTTTGGCATTGAGAGCAGCTCTGGCACCATCCTGTGGAAACAGTATCTACCCAATGTCAAGCCAGACTCCTCCTTTAAACTGATGGTCCAGAGAACTACTGCTCATTTCCCCCATCCCCCACAGTGCACCCTGCTGGTGAAGGACAAGGTGAGGCATCCAGCTCTGACTTGAGCCAGACTCAGTGTGGCTTTTTTGCTATTTTGTAACTTAAATTGCTCCTAGGCCCTTGGAATTGTGTGAGTTAATGAGGAACATTCAGGGGTTAGAACTCTGTTTCTTCTAGTTTCATGCATGGGTGGAGGAACCATCCAGCACTGATGTGGAATTGTTTAGAAAGTGGGTGTGACTTCACCAGCTATGTAGGGAGCCAGCTCTCCTCTTTTCTAAACATTGGCTGTTGGTTGCTGAGTGGCTATTTTCTCTTCTCTCTTTGAGGAAGAGCAGGACACAAAGATATTTTTGTGTCTTCCCAGAATTAGAATGGATTTTTGTGTATTCATTCTAGCATAGAAGGCGGGCTTGGTAGACACTTTCCTGGAACGGCTGCCTGGTGCGATCTCGGCTCACTGCAGCCTCCACCTCCCAGGTTCAAGCAATTCTTGTGCCTCAGCCTCCCGAGTAGCTGGGATTACAGGCACACGCCATCATGCCCGGCTGATTTTTGTATGTTTAGTAGAGACAGGGTCTCACCATGTTGGCCAGGCTGGTCTCAAACTCCTGACCTTAGATGATCCACCTGCCTCGGCCTCCCAAAGTACTGGGATTACAGGTGTGAGCCACCACGCCCGGCCAGGTTGCTGAATTGTTACTTGACTTTTTTATTAGTTCTTGTTTAGAACTGGCAGAGCAGCCAGGCGCGGTGGCTCACGCTTATAATCTCAGCACTTTGGGAGGCCAAGGAGGGCGGATTGCTTGAGTCCAGGAGTTCGAGACCAGCCTGGGCAACATGGTGAAACCCCTCTCTACAAAAAATAAAAACAGAATTAGCCACGTGTGGTGGTTTGTGCCTGTAGTCCCAGCTACTTGGGAGGTTGAGGTGGGAGGATCACTTGAACCTGGGAGGCAGAGGTTGCAGTGAGCCTTGATCATGCCACTGTACTTCCAGCTTGGGTGATAGAGAGAGACCCTGTCTCAAACGAAAAAGAACTGGCAGAGACAGTTTGACTTTTTTCTTTGTGACGTTAGCCTAGGGGACTATTCACCTACAGCCAAGAACTTATTTTCCACAAAGAGGGCAAAGACTAGAGAACCCCCACAGTTGTTGAGCTGGAGTCCCAGCTCTTCAGGTCTATCCCTAGGATTTGCAGTCTTTTCTTGTTGGTGGAGCCTGACAGTTTGCTCATTTTAGGAGTCGGGAATGAGTTCTCTGTATGTCTTCAATCCCATTTTTGGGAAGTGGAGTCAGGTAGCTCCCCCAGTGCTGAAGCGCCCCATCTTGCAGTCCTTGCTTCTCCCAGTCATGGATCAAGACTACGCCAAGGTGTTGCTGTTGATAGATGATGAATACAAGGTACTGTCTTCAGAGGGGATGGAGAACATGCTAGCGGAGTCCGGTTTGGGGCCAGGTGGTCAAACACAGCGGCCCGGAGATGGAGTGCTCTCTGCACCCAGCACGTGTTTGGGCTCTAAGGCCATCCCGAAGAGAAATGATGGCTGTGTCTGCATTTGTGAAAACTCAGGTTCTTAACAGAACTGAATGTAAACCCTAAACTGAGTTCAAATCAACTGATTTGCAGTTTTATTCTTAAGGCTCTCTTTGATGGGGAAATTTCCTAACTCTTTCCTTGGGCTCTCTGGGTTTTTCAAGGTCACAGCTTTTCCAGCCACTCGGAATGTCTTGCGACAGCTACATGAGCTTGCCCCTTCCATCTTCTTCTATTTGGTGGATGCAGAGCAGGGACGGCTGTGTGGATATCGGCTTCGAAAGGTAGGAAGGCATGTCCTGGCACAACCCTTTGTGGATGAGATGCAGGTGTTTCCTGGCCATTTGGCTAAGAAGTGAATTATGCTACTCATTCTACTGTAAACTTAGATTAGCATAATCCTGATGTCTGATACAAAGTCAATCATTTGTTCATATTTGTTGGGCAGCTACTACATGGCAGATACGGTTCTAGGTGCTGTGGATGGAGTGGTGCACAGTAGAACAAATCTCTGCCCTTGTGGAGCTTTCATTCCACATTCTTTTTCTTTTTTTTTTTGAGATGGAGTCTTGCACTGTCGCCCGGGCTGGAGTGCAGTGGTGCGATCTCGGCTCACTGCAACCTCTGCCTCCTTGGTTCAAGCGATTCTCCTGCCTCAGACACCCAAGTAGCTGGGATTACAGGCGTGCGCCACCGCGCCCGGCTAATTTTTTGTATTTTTAGTAGAGACAGGGCTTTGCTGTGTTGGCCAGGATGGTCTCAAACTCCTGACCTTGTGATCCACCTGCCTCAGCCTCCCAAAGTGCTGGGATTACAGGCGTGAGCCACCGCGCCTGGCCCCATTATTTTTCTATAGCAGAGAGATGGGACTTTTTTTCCATTCTTGGGAGGGTAGAAGGTAGGAATGTGGGTTGAGTAATAAGTTGTACTTTTATATGAAGATGATGTTGACCAACTCGTGATGGAATGTGTGCTTTGAATTTTATTTCTAGAAAGGGGGTCAGTTTGCTTTAATCCTCACATACTTGAGACCAACTCTTGTAAACAGTAATACACGCTGGCTGTGAAGTCCAGCTCTGAAGTTCACGAGGGGCTGGCATGGCCTTGTTAGCAGGACTGTTTGGAGAAGTACTCTGTGGTGTGTACTCACAAACAGCTCTCCCATCCTGTCCTGTAAGGCCTTTTGAGAGGCATAGAGTTTAACCAATTTGCTAGATTGGAAGTCTAGGTTTGTCACTTACTAACTTTGTGACCTTGGGCTCTGGTCTTCTGTTTTCTTATCTGTAAAATAAGGTGATAAGTACCTGTCTCATAAGGTTGTTGTGAGAATTCAACACATAAATCACATAAAACTGCCTGGCACATGGTAAATGCCATCTGAGTTGGAGGTGCTGTTGTTTTGAAAATGCAGCGCCCTTTTGTGACATTTGTAACAGCTAACCTTAGCATAAACAGCACTGGAAATGGTCTGCCCAGAAGACACATCCTTTACCCTTGTGAATGAAAACATAAATAAATAAAATCATCCTTCTGAGTTAATAAAAAGAGGACCTTGAAAGAGACAGTTTTGTAGATTCAGGGGAGTGAACTGGAGTGTGGGTGTCATGAATCTGGAGTCCTGAGGACATCATCTGAGTGAACAATGACCAAGGAAGACAAAGGAGGCAGAGCTGTCTGTGGGAAGTGAGCCAGCTGTGTGCGCGAGTCCGGGACCACAAGGGAGTGTGCTGCCTTTGCCCTCACTTGGTGACCTTCCTCTCTGGGGATGTTTTAGTGAGTTCTTATGTTTTCAAAGAAGGTTGTGGCAATGAAGGCTTATTATTAATAATTTTCACTATTTTAAAAATTTAGGTAATACATTGAGTATATTCTCATTGTAAAAGAGTCCATTGATACAGAGAGGTGAACAAGCAAAATGTGAACAGACCCTTGTAGCCCCATTCCCAGCGGTCTTCCCCTCCCCAGGTGGAAAGCCTGTCAGCAGTTTGCTGTGCCTCTTTCTACTGTCCTTGTGTATTTATGATTCCCTATCAACAGCTGTGTGGACACACGTGTGTGGCTCATACTTTATTTATTTTTTTTTAGAGACAGAGTCTCGCTCTGTCACCCAGGCTGGAGTGCAGGGGCGCAGTCTCAGCTCACTGCAACCTCTGCCTCCTGGTTTCAAGCGATTCTCCTGCCTCAGCTTCCCAAGACTACATGTGCACGCCACCATGCCTGGCTAATTTTTGTATTTTCAGTAGAGACGGGGTTTCACCATGTTGACCAGGCTGGTCTCAAACTCCTGACCTCAAGTGATCCTCCCGCCTCGGGCTCCGAAAGTGCTGGGATTACAGGTGTGAGCCACCACGCCCGGCCCATTTTATTTTTTTTTCTCATTCACATGCAATTGACCTATATTTATTCTTATGAAATTTGCTTTTTTTCATTTAATGGGTTTTCTACCTCATTGTTTTGTCAACTTCAGTTTTTTATTACAGAAAAATATTGACAAAAGTGCAAAATCATGAGGTATGGCTCAGTGAACCCTCACCAAGGGAATACACTTGTGTACCTGGTGACCACTTCAGGAAACAGAATAGCACCAGCTCCTAGAAGGCCCTTGTGCCCTTTGCCAGTAACTACCTCCTGTCTCCACCCCCAAGGGCTCCGCATAATTCCATAGGATGGATGTATAATAATGTATTTAACCATGAGTGTTTATTGGTTGGTTTCCTATGACCATAAACAATCATACACGAAATGTTTTGAGCTCCCTGTTAGCTTAGACATTCACTGCTGGCCCCAGTATACAGGGATCTTGGAGTTTAGTAATAAATGGTAAATTTTCCTTGCATATTTCCTACTCAGATAAACAACGGGATACTATTGAGCGTTCGCCTCCTTTCCTACTGGCTTTATTATCTTTTTTTTTTTTTTTTTGAGCCGGAGTTTCGCTCTTGTTGCCCAGGCTGGAGTGCAATGGTGCAGTCTCGGCTCACTGCAACCTCCACCTCCTGGGTTCAAGTGATTCTCTTGCCTCAGCCTCCTGAGTACCTGGGATTAAAAGCATGCGCCACCACACCCGGCTAATTTTGCATTTTTAGTAGAGATGTGGTTTCTCTATGTTGGTCAGGCTGGTCTCAAACTCCCGACCTCAGGTGATCCACCTGCCTCGGCCTCCCGAAGTGCTGGGATTACAGGTGTGAGCCACCACGCCCGGTCTAGTATCTATCTTAATCAAACCGAGAGTTCTGAAATTTCTTCATAAACTAGATCTCTATTGCTGTTTTTCTGGTTTATTTTTTGTTTTGAGTCTTGCTCTGTCACTCAGGCTGGAGTGCAGTGGCGTGATCTCAGCTCACTGCAGCCTCTGCCTCAGCCTCCCGAGTGGCTAGGATTATAGGTGCCTGCCACCACATCTGGCTAATTTTTTGTATGTTTAGTAGAGATGGGGTTTGGCCATGTTGGCCAGGTTGGTCTTGAACTCCTGACCTCAAGTGATCCGCCCGCCTTGGCCTCCCAAAGTGCTGGGATTACAAGAATGAGCCACTGCTCCTGGCTCATTTTTCTAGTTCTGATCTCTATTCCTTCCTGCACAAAGGCCTCAAATAATGAACTGTAGGATGTGTCTAACTCCAGCTGTTTCAGTTCTAAGTGTACCCTCCTGATTACAGGCTTTTTTGCCCCTGCCCTAGGATCTCACCACTGAGCTGAGTTGGGAGCTGACCATTCCCCCAGAAGTACAGCGGATCGTCAAGGTGAAGGGGAAACGCAGCAGTGAGCACGTTCATTCCCAGGGCCGTGTGATGGGGGACCGCAGTGTGCTCTACAAGGTACATACAGCCAGCTGTCTGGTCTACAGCAAGGGCTTTCGAATCAGGAAAACAAGGGCTTCAAGTCTGGCTGTAGGACTTGGTACATATATGACCTTGAGTAAGTCATTTAATCCCTTTGAGCCTTAATTTTTGTTTGTGAAATGGGGATAATATACCCTCCTCCTGGGCTTGTTGTGATGATCACATGGGATGTTCATGTCTAGCCCAGTGCCTAGCATATGGTAAGTAAGCAACAGATGTTAGCTCTTATTTTTTTGACTTTTTTTTTGTTTGTTTGTTTCCTGTGACAGAGTCTTGCTCTGTTGCCCAGGCTGGAGTGCAGTGATGCAGTCATGGCTCACTGCAGCTTCGTCCTCCTGGGCTTATGCAATCCTTTCACCTCAGTCTCCCAAGTAATTGGAACCACAGGCACATGTCATGCTAATTTTTTAAAAACGGCTGGGCTTGGTGGCTCATGCCAGTAATCCCAGCATTTTGAGAGGTCGAGGTGGGTGGATTACTTGAGTCCAGGAGTTTGAGGCCAGCTTGGGCAACATGGCTGAAACCTTGTCTTTACCACCCCCAAAAAAAAAAAACAAAAAAAACAATTAGCTGGGCATGGTGGTGCATGCCTGTGGTCTCAGCTACTCGGGAGGCTGAGGTAGGAGGATCACCTGAGCCTGGGGAGGTTGAGGCTACAGTGAGCTGCAATTGTGCCGCTGCACTCCAGCCTGGGTGACAGAGTGAGACCCTGTCTCCAAACAAACAAAAAAAATTTTTTTTAAATTTTTTATTTTTGTAGAAGATAGAGATCAACCTAGGAAACATAGTAAAACCCTGTCTTCAAAAAAAAATTTTTTTTTAATTTTTTATTTTTATATTGACAGGGTCTCACTATGTTGCCTAGGTTGGTCTCTATCTCCTGGCCTCAAGCAGTTCTCTTACCTTAGCCTCCCAAAGTGTTGAGGTTAGAGACTTGAGCCACTGCGCCTAGCCCAGCTCTTATTACTAGTGGTAGTACTGATAGAGCATTCTGGGGTTAAACCATAGTCGAGCCATCAGAAACTCCATCTCTGTGATCCAACACTCTAGTTAGTGTTAAAGAGAGGGAGATTAAGGTGACTAGTGGGCTGCAAAACTGTTATGGGAGAGAATGTAATGATAGTAGTAATGCACATTAATTACACCCTCTGGTACAGCAGAGACTGAATTGGAGGGGGTGTCATAGAATAGAGATCACGGAACTTGACGGTAAAGCTGGATCACTAAGCATGAGCCAGTGCAACACAGTGCAAGCCTCTAGTTTGACTGTTAAGACTTGGCTCTGCCGTGGCCTAGCTGTTCATCTCTTAGGCTGCCTGAGCTTCAATTTTCCCCAGTATAATGGGGATAATAGCACCAACGTCAGAGGATTGTTTTGAAGATTAATGATAACATGTAAAGTGATTAGAATAGTGCCTGCCACATACTTAACATTATTATTAGTGCTATTGACTCTTTTTTTTTTTTTTTGAGACAGGGTCTTGCCATGTTGCCCAGGCTGGAGTGCAGTGGTGTGATCACAGCTCACTGCAGCTTTGACCTCCCGGGCTTAAGCAGTCCTCCCATCTCAGCCTCCTAAGCAGCTGGGACAACAGGTGCATGTCACCATGGCTTATTTTCTTTTCTTTCTTTTCTTTTTTTTTGAGATGGAGTCTTGCTCTTTCACCAGGCTGGAGTGCAGTGGCACGATCTTGGCTCACTGCAACCTCCACGTCCCAGGTTCAAGAGATTCTCCTGCCTCAGCCTCCCGAGTAGCTGGGACTACAAGCGCGCACCACCATGCCCAGCTAAATTTTGTATTTTTAGAGATGGGGTTTCACCATGTTGGCCAGGATGGTCTTGATCTCTTGATCTCGTGATCTGCCCGCCTTGGCCTCCCTAAGTGCTGGGATTACAGGCGGGAGCCACCGTGCCCAGGCACTTATTTTATTTTCTTTAGAGATGGGGTCTTGCTGTGTTGTTCAGATTGGTCTTAAACTCCTGGGCTCAAGCAATCCTCCCATCTTGGCCTCCCAAAGTGTTAGGATTACAGGCATGAGCCACCGCACCCGGCCAGCAGCAAGCAGTTTTTGAGTGCTAGCTGGATGCAGGCACTCATTTAGACACTGGGATATAAAATGGGCAAAACAGACAAAACTTCCTGACCTCGTGAGGCTTTCATCATAGTTGGGTGAGGCTAATAATAAAGAAAATAAATAGGTAAATTAGATAGTATATTAGAAAGTGACCAGTTCTATAGAGAAAAATAAAGCCGGGAAGAGGGAAAGCAGGTACAGTGTAAGTCGGGTGGCTAAGGAGGGGCTTAGTGAGAAAGTGGCACGGAGTGAGTGGACTTGAGTGAGGAAGTGAGTTGTGTGGGTAGCTGCGGGGAGAGCCTTCCAGAGAGAAAAGTCAAAGTGCTCCTGGTATGTGTGAGAAACAGCAAAGAAGACCAGGTAACTAGAAGATGATGAGTGAGGAGGCATGTCAGGCCTGCTGAGGGCAGAGGGCAACAGGGCCAGATCACAGGCCACCACCGTGGCCTTCACTTTGGAGCACGGTGAAGAGCCACTGGGAAGTTTTCAGCAGAGGAGTGACATCAGTGACTGAGATTCCACAGGCTCATTTGACCTAGATTAGACTGTAGAGGGGTGAGGAGGAAAGCAGACCATTTAGGCTGTGGGGTCATCCAGGTGCTGATGGTGGCTGGAGCTGGGCTGGTAGCATGGAGGTGGGAAGGAGGGATCAGGTTCTGGGTACTTTTGAAGGTAGAGCCAAGAGCAGGTATATGTGTGTTACAGAGAAAGGAGTCAAGGATAACTCGAGGCTTTAGGTCTGAGCCACTGATGTATGGAGTCGTGACTGGCTGGGGAGGAGAGAGGAGCAGATTTTAGGCAGGAGTTAGAACAGTTCAGCTTGGGCCATGTTAAGTTTCAGATGAAACATCTGAGAAAAGATACTGAGATAATTTCTTAGTGAAGTCTGGAGTTCAAAGGAGTATCTGGTTTGGATATATACATTGGGCATTGCCAACATCCATAAATGGTGTTCAAGCCATGAGATTGGCTTGAGATCACCACGAGGGTAAGTGTGACGGAAATGCTCAAGGCTTGAGAGCTTTCTGATGTGTTCCACCATGAAGAAACTGGGGAGATGTGGAAGAACCTCCAAAAGAGACTGAGAAGGAGAGGCCAGTAAAGTAGAAGGAGTGCTGGGCAGGGATGTTCTGGAAGCCAGGTGAGAAAATGTCGCAAGGAGGTAGTGATCACCTGCGTCACGTGGTACTAGTGGGTCAAGTAAGTTGAGGGCCAAGACTTAGCCACTGGATTTAGCGATGGGGAGGGGGGTGGTGACCCTCAGAAGAAAAATATCACTGCAGCATTTGTCCCTAGGTCAATGAGTGGGCAGACCTGGATTTTGTCTTGGGTTACCATTTGCTATCTGTGACTTGAAAAGCTGCTTAACTACTTTGGGACTTTTCTGCAAAATGTGGACCATAATAGCTACTCTGCAAGACTGTTTAAGGGATTAGATAAAATACAAGGTACCTGGCATGGCACCCAGTACCCAATGCACATAAAACAAGTGCAGTGATGAGAAATTCCAAACAGGAAGCTCTTTTCACCAGAAACCCTGATTCCTCTGCCAGGCTGGAGAGCTCCAGGTTGGTCTCACAGCACAGGAATGGAGTGTGTGATGAGTCGTCGTGGTTCTAAGGGAGGTTTTCTCTCTCTCTCCAGAGCCTGAACCCCAACCTGCTGGCCGTGGTGACAGAGAGCACAGACGCGCACCATGAGCGCACCTTTATTGGCATCTTCCTCATTGATGGCGTCACTGGGCGTATCATTCACTCCTCTGTGCAGAAGAAAGCCAAAGGCCCTGTCCATATCGTGCATTCAGAGAACTGGGTGGTGGTAAGCGGTCACTACCAGGGACCCAAGGTAGCTCCAGAGGTCTCCCTGCCTCCTGAGTCCTTTCCAGAAACCCAGTTGCTGCTTTGGTTTTCTTAGGATCTCAAATTCCCTGGATGGCAGCAAAGCGTGCCGGTTAGGGCACTGGGCTCAGGAATCAGATTGCCTAGGTTTAATCTTACCTCTTCCGTTTCCTGACTGTATAACCTTGAACTAGTTATGTACACGCTCTGTGTTGCATCATTGTTAAAATAGGGATAATAACAGTCACCTTCAGTCTAGCAAAGAACAATGCCTGGCACCTAGTAATGATTCAAAGGTTAGCTACTATTATGGCTTCTAAGACTCTTGAGAATTTCCTTTGTTTTGTGGTGAACTTTCGATAGCCTAGATAAAACTACTTTGAAAGTTAGTAAACTTGATAGTAAGGAAGAAAAGTGAGGTGCTAGTTGATGGTTCTCCTTCATGGATCTGTAGCTAATTAGAGGGGTGCCTTCCAGTGCAATTTCCCTTTCCAGTTGAAGCAGCTGCTAAGCCCTGAGCTGCCACCTCCTATCCCTGCAGTACCAGTACTGGAACACCAAGGCTCGGCGCAACGAGTTTACCGTACTGGAGCTCTATGAGGGCACTGAGCAATACAACGCCACCGCCTTCAGCTCCCTGGACCGCCCCCAGCTGCCCCAGGTCCTCCAGCAGTCCTATATCTTCCCGTCCTCCATCAGTGCCATGGAGGCCACCATCACCGAACGGGGCATCACCAGCCGACACCTGCTGAGTGAGTGACTGGGGAGCCTCTGGGATGGCTGGGTTCCCTTGGGCAACCACACTTAAGGACAGAGCAAGGGACACATTGCTGGCAGAGCCTTGTTGAACCACCTGTAAGGGAAAGGTGGTGAGGAGGGCTATATATCGGTGGAAAAAGTTTCTTAGTTCATCTTTGCCACCTATGAAGGTGACCACTTCTCTCTCAGTTCTCATCTTTTTTTTGTTTTTCGAGACAGGGTCTCACTCTGTCATCCAGGCTGGAGTGCAGTGGTGTGATCATGACTCACTGCAGCCTCAACCTCCTGAGCTCACCTGGCTAATTAAAAAAATTTTTTTTGGTAGAGACAGGGATTTGCCATGTTGCCCAGGCTGATCTAGACTCCTGGGCTCATGTGATCCTCCTGCCTTGGCCTCCTGAAGTGTTGGGATTACAGGTGTGAGCCATCGTGCCTGGCTGCCTGGCCTTCAGTCCTCATTTCTGATATACCACCTCTCTATTTGGCATTTTCACCTAGCTCAAAAAGTCAGTTCCTGATAGCATTGTTAACATAGCTAGCCTGTGCTGACAGCTTGCAGAAACTGGCAGGGTCTATTGCCCAGGCTGGAGTGCAGTGGCACGATCTTGGCTCACTGCAACCTCCGCCTCCTGGGTTCAAGTGATCCTCCTCCTCAGCCTCCCAAGTAGTTAACAGGCGTGCACCACCACGCCCGGCTAATTTTTGTATTTTTAGTAGAGATGGGGTTTCGCCATGTTGGCCAGGCTGGTCTTGAACTCCTGACCTCAAGTGATCCGCCTGCCTTGGCCTCCCAAAGTGTTGGGATTATATGTGTGAGCCACTGCGCCAGCCCTAAAATCTCATCCTTATGTAACCTAAGCCCAGGACTTAGGACTTAGTGGTTAACAGGTTCCTGTGTTTAGTTGATTTTACCGAAGATGTTTGGGACTCTCAGATCTGATGGGCACTTGGCATTGCTGTTGCTTTTTTTTTTTTTTTTTTGAGACAGAGTCTTGCTCTGTCACCCAGGCTGGAGTGCAGTGGTGCGATCTCAGCTCACTGCAACTTCAGCCTCCCTGGTTCAAGTGATTCTCCTGCCTCAGTCTGCTGAGTAGCTGGGACTACAGGTGCGTGCCACTGTGCCCAGCTCATTTTTAAATTTTTGGTAGAGACGGAGTTTCACCATGTTGGCCAGGATGGTCTCAATCTCCTGACCTTGTGATCCACACCTGCCTCGGCCTCCCAAAGTGCTGGGATTACAGGTGTGAGCCGCCGCGACTGGCCTATTGAATTCTTAAATATGAAGAAGCCAGCCCTGTTGGCAGTTTATCAGCTTTAATCACCATTACTGAAACTGGTGCTATGATTGATCATGCCTGGTCCTCCAGTCTTCCCTGGCCACTGTACCGCAGCTGCATGAACAGCTGCGTTTGCTCAATGGGAAGGAGACTTCCTGCTGGGGGAGGTATGGGAGGGAGGCCCCGGGGAGAGGCATGAGGAAATCCAAGTGGCCTTCTACATTTTTCTCTTTCATCATTATCCATATCTTGATTCTAGAACTTTATTTTCTGGTGTCTCAGAAAGTTAAGAAACCAGTGTCTTCAAAAGTGAGAACCTTCATTCAGACCCATGCGTATCATTGGATTATTATTTTTGGCTATGTAAGGGAGCCTCATTGACCCATTTTTTTGTTTTAAATTCTTATTTAAATGTCTGCAATAATGACATTTTTGTAACTGGCCCTTGCTGGACACTGGATCGGTGTGAACATTCACTTCCTCCTGTGTAGTTGGACTACCTTCTGGAGCAATTCTTTCCCTTCCTAAGGCTTTGCTGGATCCCCGCCGCCCCGAGATCCCAACAGAACAAAGCAGGTGAGACCCTCATGGGCAGTGCTGAAGGCTCTGACCTTACATAACTTAACCTCACTGATTAAGCTTGGTTCTTGGTCTCTGTGTGCCTTCATGCTGTGCTAGGGGCTGGGGATGTAGCAGGGGGCAAGTCTGAAAAAGTCACCTGCCCTCATGGAGCTTACAGTCTGCTGGGAAATGGACAATAAATACATAAGATAAACAAGTAAAATATATACTATGTTAGGTACTCAAATGCTAAGCAGAGTAAAACAGGAATGAGCTAGGAAGTGGGGATGGGGATGTGCGTGGGTGTAATTTGAGAGGTGGCCTGGGAAAGCCCCTTTGAGAAGGTGCATTTTGAGTGAAGGCCTGAAGGAGGTGAAGGAGCTAGCTGTGTAGATACCTGAGGAAGAACTTTCTAGGCAGAGGGAACAGGCAATGCAAATCCCCTGAGATCATGTCTGGTGAGTTTGCGGAGGGCAACGCTAGGAAATGAGATCACTGAGGTAATTCGGGCCAGACCATGTGGGCAAGCCAATATCTTATTCACTGTTGGTATTGTTGTATTAACAACCACCATCTTGTCGGGTTTTCTTACCTCCATCCTGAATTTCTTTGCCTAGGGGCATGAGGAATGGAGAGGAGTGTGTTTTGGAGAAGTATATGAGAGAGAGGAGGTTAAAGCTAGGAAAAGACACAGGATGATAATCAGGTTTCAGAGAAATGGGGACTGAGAGGCACCCTGGAGTGGAGAGCAGGAATTAGCTTAGTGGTTCAGTGTGTTGGCTTTAAAATGGTCGGCTTTCCTCTTGTGGTGTGAAGTGCCAGTCATCTGTATGTTCTTTCTTTTCAGATTTAGAACAAAGTAGGAATCTAGATCTCAGTCTTACTCTCCAGAGAGCTTCCTTTCTTGTAGTCCTTCCTAACATTCAGCTGCTAAATTTTTAACTACCTAATGCAAGCAGACCTCCTAGGAGATTTGAGGCTAGATATGTAGCCTGGAAACCTCCCAGGACTCAGGAAGGGCAGCCAAGAGATCCCTTTACAGCAGTGCTCAGACTGCCTGTCCCGGCTGGTGTTTTGCAGAGAGGAGAACTTAATCCCGTATTCTCCAGATGTACAGATACACGCAGAGCGATTCATCAACTATAACCAGACAGTTTCTCGAATGCGAGGTATCTACACAGCTCCCTCGGGTCTGGAGTCCACTTGTTTGGTGAGTAGAGCCCACAGCTGCCCTATTTCACCCTTGGTGGATCATTGGTTGTTTCTTTCCTAATTCTTATTCCATCTGCCTTCCAGGTTGTGGCCTATGGTTTGGACATTTACCAAACTCGAGTCTACCCATCCAAGCAGTTTGACGTTCTGAAGGATGACTATGACTACGTGTTAATCAGCAGCGTCCTCTTTGGCCTGGTTTTTGCCACCATGATCACTAAGAGACTGGCACAGGTGAAGCTCCTGAATCGGGCCTGGCGATAAAGAACAAAGACTGTGCCTAAAAGTGGAGAGCCAGGGGAGTGTGGGTCAGATAAGCAGCTACAGCTGCAGTTTGGTGGATTGGTGGAGTATGTGTGTGTGTCAGTGCTCAGCTAAGAACTGTAGGGAAGATGGATGACCTTCACGCAGAACTCCTTTTGGGATATACATGATGCAGAAAGGATCCTACATGGAGAGAGACAGAACTCTCTCAGCTGACACTCTCAGAGATTCCTGATGGGCTTTCTCTTGAAGTCCAAAGGCGTCTGCATTGTTTCCTTTCTTTGCCCATCCATGAATGTTCTGTTTTGTTTTTTTTAATAAGAATTCCGGCTGATTTTTGTGAGGCCTGTTTAAATTGACTTTACTTTGCCTTTTGTGTTTCTCAATTTTATCTAGAAATCTTTCTGACTTTTTCCATCTCTTGCTTCAAAGTAAGAGGGGAACTCTCCTTGCCGACTCCACCTTATAGGTACATTTGGTGTTTTGCACTGGGAAGAAATAGGATCCATCCTTAGCTGAGGCTTGAGGACTGATCCAGCCTCTCATGGCTTCCCTCCAAAGTAACTTAGGGTTGAGGGATCTATATGTGATGTCAAAACTTACTTTAAACCTCTAGTTTCGTGCTGTCATTTATTAGGCTGGGCCACCAAATCTTTGTTTCAATTTATCAGAAGCCAAGTGCATACTAGCGTCTTGTTTGTTGCCCATTGCCTATACTTTTCACCTGAGATGTGTGAGTTGGGGCCTTTTAAAAACTACTGAATTGTCTGAGCCTTGAAGACATTTCCAGGGAGAAGAGATAATCTCTCATTTCACCCACAGGCTGGTCTAATCATAACCTAGTTAAAGATGTCCTTGTTTAAGAACCCCATTATTTATTTTTAGTTTTTAATATAAATTAACATGTGGGTCATTATATTTCTCCTTAAATGAGGAAATTTTAAATTTTATTGATCTAACCTTTGAAGCTTTAAAAAAGGAGAAAGAGGGTAGGGGTGGGAAACTGGCATACTGTGTGTATAGCACTGCCGATTGGCTAGGCCACTGTGTCTCTGCTACAAATTAAAGAAATCCTAAAAGTTTTCCTTGGTCATAGAGTTGGGGAATGACAGAATTTTTCTTTGTTGTGAAATGTATGTACAGAGTAGACCATCTCTAGCCCTGTGGTGAAAGAGGTACACTCGAATGTTTGCATAAAGCAAGTGACAAATGACACTGTTTAAGTCCTCTTTTGTGTCTTAGAAGATCATTTTGAGGCTATTTTCACATTAGAGGGGATAAAAGCAGTGAAGACATGGAGTAAGTGTATTTTATTTTAGTAAGGAAAGGTCAGTTTAATCATATATGGGTTGGTTAGGTTATCTAAAAATTTGTCATCTTTCTATGGTCATATGCTGATGGTAGATTATGGCAGAGAAGGAAGAGGAAATGACAACCATTTTATTAATTGTCAGTTTGATATTGAGTGACTGAATGTCTAAGAATCTCCAGAAAAAAACAGGCATCTATCATCCTGACCCAAGGCATATTTTAACATAACCTGGGAGAAGAGAGTTAAGTACAAGTTAAAAAAAATTCTGCCCTAGTTTTGAGAAAGCCTGGCTGGAATTCTGACTGTCTTACATACATATGTGCAAGGTTAGCCTGCAAGATTCTAGTTTTTATTTACCAGTGTGCCAGAATCTGAAACAAGCTACTGGGAGGGAAGGTATTTGTCCTTTAGTAAAATTCCCTGTATTTCAGCTGTAATCAAAGTTACCTCAAAGCAGGTGCTTTTTTTTTTTTTGAGACAGAATCTCACTCTGTTGCCCAGGCTGGAGTGCAGTGGCACGATCTTGGCTCACGGCAACCTCCACCTCACAAGCAGCTGGGACTATAGGCATGTGCCACCACGCTCAGCTAATTTTTTGTATTTTTAGTAGAGACGGGGTTTCATTGTGTTGGCCAGGCTGGTCTCGAACTCCTGGCCTCAAGTGATCTGCTGGCCTTGGCCTCCCAAAGTGCTGGGATTACAGGTGTGAGCCACCGAGCTTGGCCAAGTGCTTAAAATAGTTAATGCTAATGCCACAGTCCAATTTAAATCTTTTCTTAGTTCTCAACTTTCCTTAATCTTAAAGCAGCATTCGGTTCTGAGCAGCTACACTCAGTCTCCACTAATGGCTGCTGAGACTATGTTTCCTCTCTCAATTCTCTGATCTATTTGCTTTCTTGTCATTCCTTGTTTTTTGTGTGTATTCCTTGACTTACCTCTTCTCCTGTCTTCATTAATTAGGTTAATTTTGGGGCCCCATGGTGTTTCACGTAAAAAGATTTGGCTGGGCGTGATGGCTCATGCCTATAATCCCAGCACTTTGGGAGGCCATAGTGGAGGATCTCTTGAGCCCAGGAGTTCCAGACCAGCCTGGGCAACATAGCAAGACTCTATCTACAAAAAATAAAAAAAAATTAGCCGGGCCTGGTGGCATGTGCCTGTGGTCCTAGCTACTCAGGAGGCTGAGGTAGGAGGATCACTTGAGCCTGGGAGGTCGAGGCTGCAGTGAGCCATGAACATGCTACTGCATTCCAGCCTGGGCAACAGAGTGAGACCCTGGCTCAAAAACAAAAACAAAAACTAGTTTGTTTTAGTATTCATTAATTACGTATATGAGCACTGGTAGTCTAGTGTTTGTTCTTGTATACAGTGTTTTCTTAAATGAGATGATGCTATTTAATTCTGTTACTTGTTTTTTCAACTAATGGATCTTTTAAAGTTTTTTATTTAAATTTTTTGTGGGTACATATTAGGTACATATACTTATGGGGTACATGAGATGTTTTTATAAAGGCTCAGCTAATGTATCTTGAATATCATGTATTCATAAAGATGACTGAAATAGTTTCTGGAACAAAGTCTGATAGAAAAAATACTCAATTCCTAATTTAAGTGTTAGAGACTTTAATGTAAGCTATCTAATCTGAACTAGTTTCATTATTTGTGTGTGGGTACATGTTATGTGCTCCGTAAGGCATCTTTCAATTTGAAAATTTCATAATTGTAATTTCACTGCCTTTATAAATTGCTTTTTTTTTGGAGGCAGGGTCTCTGTCACCCAGGCTGGAGAGCAGTGGCACAGTCATAGCTCACTGCAGCCTCGAACACCTGGGCTGAAGTGATCCTCCCTCCTTAGCCTCCCAAAGTGCCGGGATTACAGGCATGAGCTACTGCACCTGGCCCATAAATTGTCATACTTTTAAAGAGCCTATTACACAAAGTATCATCAGAATCATCCCAAGACTCATTTCCTGATTCCTAATTATTTAAAATTTTGCTTTTAGGCGAGGCATGGTGGCTCAAGCCTATAATCCCAGCACTTTGGGAGGCCAAGGCAGGCAGATCATTTGAGGTCAGGAGTTTAAGACCAGCCTGGCCAACATGGTGAAACCTGAAACCCCATCTCTACCAAAAAAATAAAAAAATTTAGCCAGGTGTGGTGGTGCATGCCTGTAATCCCAGCTACTTGGGAGGCTGAGGCAGGAGAATCGAACCCAGGAGGCAAAGGCTGCAGTAAGCCGAGATCATGCCTCTGCACTCCAGTCTGGGCAACACAGTGAGACCCTGTCTCAAAAATAAATAAAATGAAAAAATTGCTTTTAAATCATGAAACCATTCTGTTTTCTTTACTTGGAATGTTTTCTTCCCTGCTTAAAATCTGGCTTGTCTCAAATCTGAACTCCTCCATAAAGTCTTCCCTATTGGTTTCAGCTACTCAGGACCTTCAACCATCCTGGCTGCTTACCACGTAACTTCCTGAGTGATATACCACACCCCTTTATTATTTCAGATATTGTGTCTCTTAGGGACTGTTTTCTGAATTACCTATTGTCCCAGACATGAAGTTGCTCCTTGACAAATAGTTCCCCAAATGGCTGTACCTTCTTCTCCAGAACCCTTAGGAACTTTGTCCTCAGTTTCCCAAATTTCTAAGACTTCGGTGACTTAGTAAAGGATTTTTTTCCTTTTTTTGAGACAGAGTCTCATTCTGTCTCCCAGGCTGGAGTGCAGTGCCTTGATCTCGACTCACTGCAGTTTCCACCTCCCGGGTTCAAGAAATCCTCCTGCCTCAGCCTTCCGAGTAGCTGGGACTCCAGGAGTGTGCTACCACACCCAACTAATTTTTGTATTTTTAGTAAAGACAGGGTTTCACCATGTTGGCCAGGCTGGTCTCGAACTCCTGACTTCAGGTGGTCTGCCTGTGTGGCCTCCCAGAGTGCTGAGATTATAGGCGTGAGCCACCGTGCCTGGCCCCAATAATTCTTTTTTTTTTTTTTTTTTTTTTTTGAGACAGAGTCTCACTCTGTTGCCCAGGCTGGAGTGCAGTGGCGCAATCTCGGCTCACCACAACCTCTGCCTCCCTGGTTCAAGCGATTCTCCTGCCTCAGCCTCCCGAGTAGCTGGGGCTCAGGCGTGCGCCACCATGCCCGGCTAATTTTTGTATATTTATGGAAATGCCAAGAGATAGTTCAATCTGCCTCTCTGGCAAGCCATGGACACCAGGTCTGACAAACTCTCTTACTCCTTAAGACAAATGCTCACCTGATCAATATGGGGAAATAAGCTGCATGGTACCATAATTTCTATTCTAAAAGGGAAAAGTATCTCTTTGGTATTGCTTTGGAAAACATTCTTTATAACTATCTTGCTATTTAAAAATTGACAATTATCCTTCCATAATTAAAACAGGTAGACAACATCCTGTGCTCTTTCATTTTTTTGTAAAATGTAACAAACTATTCAGCATTCTTGAAGCAACCTTTCAATAATGGAGATACTGGTGCTTCATATCAATCAGCTGTTTTGATTTTGTGGCTAAGTTCTTTATTTTAAAAAGACTATGTAAGTAAAAAAAATTTTTTAACAATATCCCCAAATTAAGGTGAGTGTTGCCTTCAAAACCTCCCCCACCATGTTTCCCAGAGGTCACCACTGAACAATTTGGTATCTCTCCAGGTAATACAATCTTCTGCAGCTTGGTTTTATCACTTAGTCTATCGTGGAGAGTGCCTATGTGAGAGGTAATGGATCTACACCATTCTTAGTGGTCACACGGTTGAAATTCTTAAGTGCTGTTCCATTAGAGATTTTTATGAGACTCAATACTCTTTCGGGAAAGTCTAATATTTAGGTCACCTTTCCAGTAAGAAATTTGTAACATAAAGGATGTGTACACACCCACCTTCCCATTTTTTTTTAGGAATCAGAGTGTGAAGTTAGTTGAGACTGACCTCCAACGAAGAAGCCTGTTTTCCACCAGCACTAAGGCTTTTATATATTTCTGATCCAAGAAGGTGACTTTTGCAGGATAGAGACTAAGAACATTTAGCAAAGTGTGTTTGTAAAATAGCCAAAGGTTTATATTGAAGCACCCTCTTCTCTGTCCCCTAATGTGCAATCTGAATGAATGGAAGTCAAGAAAGCAAACTAAAACTATAATTAAAAGGCACAATTACTCATACAAACTCCATTATACCTCATGGTTTGTTCACATCATGGCTTTGATGATATCATATATCCCATGTGCTGTGATAAAATAAGAACTAGACTAGATCAATCAACCAGAGGCCAGTTTATTGATGATAATGAATGAAGACTGCAATTGCAAAGAGGGCTAAAATACTCATGCTGCTGGAATATATATCCGCTCCTATAAAAAAGGTGATATAAGTTAAAATGCTATTATAAGTTTGCTTGGTTGTTACGGAGTTAGGAGATGTGATATCTTACTCATGCTTTTTACTATAGGCACATACCTTCCAAGGAGACCAGAACAGTCCCTCTCTGCACCCTGACCCCCCATGTCCCCACCCCAAACAGTGCTAAAGGGTACACACAGTGTAATCATTTGGCTCCACTTTTCCCAGAGTTTACATATAAACTACTTTCCTTCTGTTAAGTATCTGGCATACAGTAGGCTCTCTCTGTCATCATACTCTGTACCTAATTATAAAGCAAATGGATGATAAAGTATTTATAAATTTTTTCTTTTGACTTTTGACAACACAATTTCAGACTTACAGAAAAGTTGCAATAGTACAAATAATTCCCAGATCCCCTCTACCCAGATCCCCCAAAGGTTAACATTTTACCACATTTGATTTATCCTTCTCCTTCTGTCTGTCTCTCTCTCTGGCTCTCAATCTGATAGGTCAAAACTTTTGAGAGTGTAAATCTTAAAGTGACATTGTATTCTAGTCCCTCCACAGCTAGCAAAATTGTTTTTTTCGCTCTTAAAGCAAGAAGGCTGCAATAAGCATTTTCTTCTTTTAAGTTCATGCCAGGTGAATTGTTCAGTATCATGGGAAAAATAATACTTGTGGGTTACAAATAATGTCTCATAATTCTAAATTGAATTAGGCTTCTAATCTAATTCCTTATATTCTTGGTAATTTGAAAACTAAGTCTGTTGTGAATTACCAAAAAGGAGCTGCTCTCCATTTGAAGTTTTCAGTATTGCAGTAGGAGTTTCAACAAAATATGCACTGATTACTTGTTCTTGTAACTTTGTAAAAGCTTGAGAACAGATTGACCTCTGTTGGCTCCTACGGGGTAACAGCTAAGGTTTATTCATTTACTTGTTTCTAGAAACACTGTATCTATTAGGATTTATTCCAAGCAACTCTGTATTAGATGGCTTAAAAGAAAAAAGAGATGTGCTATCTACCACTTTTGAAGCTCTGTAGTGAGGCACACTGACCTCATTTGTTTTTAGATTGCTGTACAATTTACAACCACCAAAGTGTGCAAATCATAAGTACAAATCATGGCTTAGTGACTACTGTGTGTGTATATCCATGTAAGCATAACTGTGTCAAGGTATAGAACTTTTCCAGCTCCCAGCAGGCCTCCTCATCACTACCTCTACACAAATCTTTAAACCATACCATTCATCAATGTCTGCCATTTTTACTTCATTGAATTCCCTGTAACATGACTGTATCATGTCTTTTATCATTTTAAATTTCAGTTCCTTGGCAGACACTTGGGATTAGAATGGAACAAGTATTTTAAGTCCTTCAGTTAATTCATAAAAGTTATTTATTGTTTTTTAGTTTCTATCTTATTTCCTGGACCAGAATATTAGAAGCTTGTGTTTCATCTAGAAGTCTTTTATTAGTCTCTTTTGTCATCTAAATTTATAACATAGATGCCATTCCAAATCTTTGTGGCAACACAAGACCAAACCTCCAGTACTGAAATAAATGTGGCATTTATAAAGGAAGTTCTTTATCTGGAGTGCTCTCTCCCAATCTATTAACCAGAAATATAAAGTATATAATAAATAATTTAGGTAAAGGTGAAAATCTCCCTGTGATAGTTTGCATTTGCCTTTTATTCTCCTGGAGAGGGAAGGGAGGACAGCAGATACATTTGATCTTTTATTTCCTGAAATTTCTCCAAGACAGCTTTTGCAGATTAATTTTGTCCTCTGGTTAAAATAAAATTCATGTCCCAAAGCCATTATAAAATTCTGGGTCTCCAGCCTTTCCTTAGGGCTCTGGTTCAGTATCTTGAAATACTGCAATATTTATAGTGTTATGGAAAGTTCTTTTTCATTTCTGATGTTTTTATGTTTAAGAAACTTGCTGTTATTATTATCCTCTGGTAAGTAGGCACTGAAGGAAAATCCCTACTGCTGTCATCAAAGCCACATTTTCCTCCAAGACCGGCTTTGACTTGACTGAATTTTATTTCGAATGTAAAGATGCAGGCTGGGCGCAGTGGGTCAAGCCTGTAATCCCAGCACTTTGGGAGTCCAAGGTGGGAGGAACCTAGGACTTCGAAAACAGCTTGGGCTACGTAGGGAGACCTGTCTCTTAAAAACAAACAAAAAAAATTAAGAGTGGTGGCCTGCACCTGTATAGTCTCAGCTACTGGGGAGGCTGAGGCTGGAAGATCACTTGAGCCAGGGAGGTGGAGGCTGCAGCCAGCTGCAACTCTGCCACTGCACTCCAGCCTGGGCTATTGGGCGACAGAGCAAGATCCTGTCTCAAAAAAGGTAAAGTAGGTCATATCTTAATAAAAGTGCAGATTAATCACTAGGTACCAATTCATTTATCAGTGTTACACACCAAGAACAAAAGCTCTTCCTAAACTTAGGGGGAGAATTTCAGGGCTTTAGGAATTTGAAACCGTCTTCACAGTTCCTTCCCAGTCTTATTTAGGCCAGCTGTAGGCCACAGGCTAGAGCTTGAAGCCGTCCACCAATATCTCACTCACAGGACTGTCCTTAATGCACGAATACCTTTCCTCGAGCAAACTGCTTTTCCCTCTTAGACCTTGTAGCCAGATCATTTTACCGGCAAAAGTCTCAGACATCTCCTGTGAATAAAAGCTTACATTCTTTCCTTGCCAGTAGAAAAAAGGGGAACACGTAAGCATACGTGGCAAATTGCAAAGAGGGATGCATTGTACGAGCTGGTCAGATTGTTAATGAGGGCAATCCAAACAGAAGAGATTTGAGTGCTAAGGGAATACGGATCAGTGATTAAAAGGTGTTGTGAGAGGGAGAAATCTTTGTAAACTATGGCGCTCTTTAGTATTACTATTGGGGGGATCTAGGCAGGGGAAGAAGCAGGTGAAAGCGTTTTAGGCTTCGGCCTCCTCTTGTCGTCCTTAGCTGTCCCAGGCCAGGGCCATTCTATACGCCGAGGCGTAGTCAACTCTGCTGCCCTAGACTTGCCCACTGAACCCATGCCCCAGACTCACCTTTACCCGCTGCCCGGAAGCCAAGTCGCTACCACCTGCTTGAGCAACTCCCACCGCGCAGGCTCAGAAGTTAACGCTCTCCCGCCTTTCCCCGCTGCGCTACCTTCTGAGCAGGCGCAGCGTCTCCGATCCGTTCCCTCGCCGCGGCTCGACCCCGGTGAGAGCAAAGGCCGCTCCGCGCGTCGCGTTTTTGACCCATGACGGCGGCGCGCAGTCTGACGCGACAGATTGCGTCACTTCCGCCCCCTCCTGGGAGGCGGCGCTGGGCCGGTGGCAAGCCCCCGGAGGGAGCCGCAGTAGTACGACGGAAGATGGCGACGAGCGGCGGCGAAGAGGCGGCGGCAGCGGCTCCGGCGCCGGGGACCCCGGCAACGGGGGCGGACACGACCCCGGGCTGGGAGGTGGCTGTGCGGCCCCTGCTGTCCGCGTCCTACTCCGCCTTCGAGATGAAGGAGTTGCCGCAGCTGGTGGCCTCAGTCATCGAGAGGTACCGGGCGGCGGCTCTGGCGGGCGACGCTGTTGTGGGGGGAGGGGATTTCGAGCCGGATCGTCTGGACCCGCTTTCCGGGCCGCCCCCTGCCCCCTTGAGGATCCCCGCCACAGCCACGGCTTCGGGGTCCCGGGCCCGGGGAGACTGGCTTGCCTGGGTTTCCCTCCGCCAACGCATGTAAATCACCTCTACCTCAGTTTCCCCTCTCGAGCAAAACTTTAGCGGCCTCCCTGCGGGAGGGCGTGGCCGGACATGGTTGAGAGTGAGATGCATTCGCCCTCTTAAGGGAATGTTCACGGGGCTGCCCCTTGGGTCAAGTCACAGATGAGTTTGCATTTCTCGCCCGCACTCATCCTCCTAGCCTGGGCCGGAGCGGAGCCGTACGGTATAATTTAATAACGGTCTCCCCGCGGTGCTGTAATCAGTGGGGGCACGTGCTATTTCTGTGACTGAAGCCACTAGCTACATTGATGACCTCTTTTTACGTTGCACTCCTTGTGCATTCCTACTGTATCGGTCTTTGATTAAAAACATTTCAGTGTGTGTCTGAGAGATCATTTTCCCAGAGGATGTGTGGTGTGTGTGTTCTCTTGCTGCCTCCCATCCCCCTCGCATTAAAATATCATCACATTCTTTTACAAACGGTACTATCTGTTGGTTTCCTTTTGTGTGTTTTTGTCTTTTTGCACAGCGATTCTTAGCTAGTGACAGTTATGTAGGTACAAAGATGGTGATCTCAGAGTGCCTGCCTTTTCCTGACATACTGTGCTCAGAGCAGTCTTTCATTAGTTTAATGGTAGACTTTTGCTTTTAAAGCCAGACTGACTTTCATTTTTCTAGCCATACCTCATTTCAGCAACTCCCTGCAATTGTTAACTGGGTCATTTTAGCTTCACGATGACAAGGGTATATCTAGCTGCTATCCAGAGGTTAAAAATTGCTATTTGTTACTCAAAGGAGGCCCACGGTTTGACAAATTGTTTTTGTGCTTTTTCTTGTTGTAGACTTGTAATCCTTTGGATGCAGAGTTTTTAACAAATTATAATAAAATAATGGTTGAGTTTGGTAACTTCACAGTCAGCTTTACAGACGGATTTTGCTATCTAATCATCAGGCCAGGAATGTTCTGAAGATGTAAACAGGTTTCAAATATACTACTTTCAAATTACGTGGCTGCTTTTTGTTTTAAACATTTGGATTGGCAGTATTTTTCCTGACTCATACTCATGTTACGTAGAATCAGTAACGTTCCAGTCTTTTTAGAGCATTTGCTTTTATGTTTTTCTGGACATGAGCTGGATAGGTTATAAAATATTAATAATTTGTTGACACCCTTCCATAAATCCTGTATTCTGGGGCCACCTTTAAAGCTGTAATACTTAAGGAACACCCTCCAACCAAATACATCACTAGGTTTGAATTTTGCCATGTATGTGGTAGTGGTCTTTGCCATACCCTCTGTTTGTACAAATAATCAAGAGTTGTATTTGTAGACATTAATAAGATCTCTCTTTATGGCTTAGAAAATAAGTCCAAACTGATGGGTCTTTGGTAACGCATTTATTGGAAGGCAAGATCTCTTTTTTTTTTTTTTTTTTTTTTTGAGATGGATTCTTGCTCTGTCACCCAGGCTGGAATGCAGTGGCGCCATCTCAGCTCACTGCAAGCTCCACCTCCCAGGTTCACACCATTCTCCTGCCTCAGCCTCCCAAGTAGCTGGGACTACAGGTGCCTGCCACCACGCCCAGCTAACTTTTTGTATTTTAAGTAGAGATGAGGTTTCACCATGTTAGCCAGAATGGTCTCCATATCCTGACCTTGTGATCCACCCGCCTTGGCCTCCCAAAGTGCTGGAATTACAGGCATGAGCTACCGTGCCCAGCCGGAAGGCAAGATCTTTTAAGTCTTCTGGTTTTTGGAGCTCAGTTAGCTTTGAAAGCCTATGTGTCCTCTGCAGGCTGTGTGAGAGGAGTATGATCTAAAGAAAAATTTCCAGAAGAAATACCTGGCTTACAAGTTCTTTACAGTGAGAACAGCTAAACGTATCAAGTGTTCAGTTTGTTATAAAGCAGGCGTTGGCAAACGTCCTGTAAATGGCCAGATAGTAGATAATTTTGGGACATGTGGTCTCTGTCTGGACTGTTTAACTCTGCCATCATTGTGTGAAAGCAGCCACACACCATATATAAATGAATGGGCATGGCTGTGTTTAAAATTATATCTATGGGCACTGAAATTTGAATTTCATGTAATATTTACATGTCACAAACTATTCTTTTGATTTTTTTTTTTTCAACCACTCTTAGCCATACAAAAACAGGTGACTTCCTGGATTTGGCCTGCAGGCCATAGTTTGCCAACCCCTAGCTTGGAGCACACAAATTATACCCTGCTATCATTATTCTGGTTTTCAAAAGTTTTATTTATTTATTTATTTTTTGGAGACAGAGTCTTGCTGTGTCACCCAGGCTGGAGTGCAGTGGCACGATTTTACCTCACTGCAACCTACGCCTCCCAGGTTCAAGTGATTCTCGTGCCTCAGCCTCCCAAGTAGCTGGGATTATAGATGTGCGCCACCAGACCCGGCTAATTTTTGTATTTGTAGTAGAGACGAGGTTTCACCATGCTGGTCAGGCTGGTCTTGAACTTCTGACCGCAGGTGATCCGCCCGCCTTGGCCTTCCAAAGTGCTGGGATTACAGGCGTGAGCCACTGCACCCAGCCCAAAGGTTTTATTTATTTGTCTTTCTAAAAAGTAAAGGTCTCAGAATTGTGGGAGTATGTCTTGCATAGGAAGCTATAGTACCAGATGAAAGCCAACACTGTAGATGCTGAGGTGGGCCTTGTTGTCTAGCTAATCAGAGGTTGAGATGTCTAGGCTGCCACTTTAGTTCTGTGTTGCCACTCCCATCTTCTGCAGTTTCCTGGTTTTTTTCTCTTGTTAAACCTGCCATGTTTTTCTTCCTTGTCACCGGGGACCATCTGTTTTTCTGTTGCAGTCTACTACTCTCTGCTTCCTTTTTTGATATCCTGGCTCCATCATGCCAACTCTTACTTTCGACCTGGTAGCCTGCTTAGCCATTGTATTTATCTCTTGACCATTGAGAATGATGACGTGCTTGAGACTCCTCAGTACACCACATTCTACCTTCTTTTATAGTTGAAATTGACCTTTTGAAGAAAAGGTAGATTAAACGTTCCTAGGTCTAACCCCTGTTTCTTAAGTTTGACTTTGCAACCAAACTGAAATAGAGGAGGAATTGATCAACATGGATGAGTTGGAAAGCATACTCTCAAGTCATTGGATGTTTTAAAAGAAAAAGATATCTGAATTTATTTAAAGGGAAGATTTTTCTCTATAGCATGTAGCTAGCTAGCATGTCTTTTAGTAGTAAAGGCTACTAAAATATTTTTTCTTTTTTAAGAGACAGGGTTGGCTGGGCGCAGTGGCTCACGCCTGTAATCTCAGCACTTTGGGAGGCCAAGGCAGGCGGATCACCTGAGGTCAGGAGTTTGAGACCAGCCTGGCTAACATGGTGAAACCCTGTTTCTACTAAAAATACAAAAAATTAGCTGGGCGTGGTGGCGCGCGCCTGTAATGCCCATAATCCCAGCTACTCGGGAGGCTGAGGCAGGAGAATTGATTGAACCAGGGAGGCGAAAGTTGCAGTGAGCTGAGATCGCACCATTGCTATGGCAACAAGAGCAAAACTCCATCTAAAAAAAAAAAAAGAGAGACAGGGTCTCCTTCTGTTGGCTGGGCTGGAGTACAGTGGGACGATTATAGCTGACTACAGCCTCAAACTCCTGGGCTCAAGGGATGCTCCTATTTCAGCCTCCTGAGTAGTTACAGTAGCTAGCTAGACTACAGGCTCCCACCACCGGGCCCAGCTTAAACTCTTTTTTAACACTGTTACTTATTACATAGTTTAAAGAACATTTTAAACACACTGTTACTTTTCCAAGCCAGAAATGGAGCAGAACTAGCTCAATGGAGCACATACCGTCCATGGGATTAGTTAGTATAATCATTGCTGAATGTAGCCTTCTCTGTTAAGGTACAGATAATTCCTTTCTTAACTCTGTGCAAGATACGCTGGTGAGCATGGTTATCATTCGACAATTTGATTGACTCTTTGTAGATAAAAAGAAATATGCTCCTTCTCTCTGAGCCAATTCTTTCTGAGCTGACCTGGCCTTTTTAATGATAAACCTGTTCGAGGTTTCTGTTTCCAGATATTCACTAGAATTTAGGGCAAAGACACCTACTTTGGAAGGGGGAGACTGTCACAACATTCCCATTAGATAATGCACAGTCATTTCCTAAAAGTCTTCAAAGGAAGAAAGGGATGCACTAATGCTGTGATCTTTTGAATTTGTAAGCAGTAGGATGCAAATTGATAATTGACCTACAGGAAAAAAAAAAAAAAAGCCCGCCACCAAAAGATAGATTATGATTGTGAGATTAGTCTTTGTGACTACTGTTTCTATGTCTTAGTATCACATTAACCACAGATTTTTCAAGAGTATGAGGGAAGTATCTGAAAGACAGTTTTCAGTTCTTTAGTCAACATGCAGCAGATTATAGATAGAAAGATAGGAATAAGCATAATGGATTCTATATATACTAGAGAGTACATGAAACTGATGAGGGGAAAGGAGCTTGTGGAATTTCTACCATTTACAAAAAAGATTGATAGTATGATATTGAAGAGGGAGAAGGGAGGTGAATCCTTAGTCTTTTATGATGCCCCTCCTCAGATTCCATTTCTTCCTAAAAAGCTAGATTTTTCCAGACCCTGCCAGTTCTTTTTTTACTTACACATCAAATTGGATTTCTCTGACCTGTCTGCTTAGCTGCTGTTTCCCTTTGTACTCTGCATCACATTTATTTGGTATAGAGTATAAAAGCTTCAGCTTCTCTGTCTATCCACAGTGTTTCACGCTCAGCGGTGCTGTTGTTGCAGTTCATTAGGAGCGACAGGTGATTCAGGAAGATGCTTGACCAACCAGAGCAAAGATGTACTTTCACCTCTATCTCTTTATTTTCCTTCCCGTGCTTATATTTGCTTCCATTTCTTCATTCTTCTCCTTCCTACTTAACTTTTTGTCCTTTGTTCCATTTTTCCATTTCTTATTCTCTGGTGTCTTGGTGTCTTAACATTTTCTCAGGGCATGAGGGTGAGGTTGGAAATTATGGCAGCACATCCCTATTAGCTGACTCATGCACACTGTTTCTTTAAAATCAAGAGATATGACAATGTCCATTACTTCTCTATTTCCTCCTTCAAGTCTTCAAAACCAATTTTTCCCAGGTTTATCCTTAGTTGCCCAGTGCACATTATAAGTAGAGCTGAAGACCGTTCCATTTTTCCTCTGCCAATGTCTATCTTTCCCCAAAATGCATTCTTCCTGTTTCTTTATTGGAATAAGGATGTTACGTATTTCTAGGGGAGGAAGTTGGGTTCATTAGATCACAATAGGATGACACTGAACCAGGCAATTAAATGAGTTTACTCCTATATATATATATATTTTTTTTTATATATTTCATTATCAGAATGGGTATGAAAGCAATAGGCTAAGTCCATCCTTTGGGTGGGCAGTATTTCTCTTAGATTTGGTAAACCTGTTCAGCTGGAAAAAGTGGGGATAAGCAGCTCTGAACTTTGGAAATAAATCAGGAACTTTGGAAATAAACCCAGTAAAATAACATCAAATGACAGAGTGGGAAAGCCTTAGAAAAACAAATAAGAAAGTATAAGGGTGGGGCCAGGCGTGGAGGCTCATGCCTGTAATCCCAGCACTTTGGGAGGCCAAGGCAGTGGATCACGAGGTCAGGAGTTTGAGACCAGCCTGACCAACATGGTGAAACCCCATCTCTACTAAAAAAAAAATACAAAAATTAGCCAGGCGTGGTGGCACGCACCTGTAATCCCAGCTACTCAGGAGGCTGAGGCAGGAGAATCGCTTGAACCTGGGAGGTGGAGGTTGCAGTGAGCTGAGATAGTGCCACTACATTGTAGCCTGGGCGACAGAGCGAGACTCTGTCTCAAAAAAATAAAGTATAAGGCTGGAAGTAAAGGAAAAACTAAGTATATGAGGTAGAAACAGGGGGATTTAGTAGGGAGTTTTCTGCTGTACATGTGAGCCTTAAAACTGTGTTTAGTCACCAGCAACTTTTGAGTGCTGCTTGTTGTGGAAAGGTTTTTATTTTCTCCTTTTTATGTACCCTGACAAATGGAAAAGGACCCTTAGTGGGCAGGAGGATCCTTGCACACATCATAGATGCTCCATAAATATTTTTTTCTTGGTGAAGGAGTTATTCTAAGGGACTAATCTTTGATACATACCCATTTATCCTTGATCTGCATATAGCAAAGTGCTCGCAATGCCAGACTCTCAAGTGTTATTCAAGGTGATTCATCACCGACATTGGCACCTTCCAAATAGTGACTTGTCCTTTTGGCTCCTGTGTTCATTTGGCAGGCAGATAGTCTTGCAGGCAGTGAATGGAGTGTTCACTCTGTTTACATTTCCCTTCTTAGGATGATACTTTTTTTTTTTTTTTGAGTTGGAGTCTTACTCTTTTGCCCAGGCTGGAGTGCAGTGGCACAATCTCAGCTCACTGCAATTCCACCTGCCGGGTTCAAGCAATTCTCGTGCCTCAGCCTCGTGAGTAGCTGGGACTACAGGTGGGTGCCACCACACCTGGCTAATTTTTGTATTTTTATTAGAGACGGGGTTTCACCATATTGGCCAGGCTGGTCTCGAACTCCTGGCCTCAGATAATCCACCAGCCTCTGTCTCCCAAACTGCTGGGATTACAGGCTTGAGCCACCAGCTACAATGCGTCCCACCATAGGTTGATACTTCTGCTGGGGATTGACTCACTAAGTAAACTGTTCAACCACACTGTTGTTCTTTCCATTTAATAAAATATATTTTAGTCTTTGCTTTACCTTCATGTTTCTTTCTTTTTTTTTTTCTCTGAGACGGAGTCTCGCTGTCACCCAGGCTGGAGTGCAGTGGCCCGATCTCGGCTCACTGCAGCCTCTACCTTCTGGGTTCAAGCAATTCTCTACCTCAGCCTTCTGAGTAGCTGGGATTACAGGCGCGTGCCACCACCTGCTAATTTTTGTAATTTTAGTAGAGACAGGGTTTCACCATCTTGGCCAGGCTGGTCTTGAACTCCTGATCTCGTCATCCACCTGCGTGGACCTCCCAAAGTGCTGGAATTGCAGGCATGAGCCACCACACCCGGCCAGCCACCGTGCCCGGCCCATGTTTCATCAATTGTGGATTAGCACCTGATTTGATACAATGACTTTAAATGTATCCAGCCTTTAAACCTAGTTGGTCTCTAGATTTTTTCAGAAGAGGGCATTTCCCCAGCTAAGGATAAGGGATGTGGTTAAAAAAAAAAATCACCGACTCTTTTGTGATCTCGCTTTAGTCTACAGTCAGGGGGATGGTGTAGGGGATAACTCTGTTATCCAGTGAATTTTGGACTTTAGCACTGATCATATGACTTCTTATCTTGAGTTGTTGATTCCTTTTAAGTTACTGCATTACAGGCCAGCCTTATTTGGTCTAAAATTGGTTACTTTAGTCTGTATTCCCACTAACAGTATATTGAGTATTCTGGTCTGCCCCTTTTTGGCTATCAATAATGAAGGCATATTAGCTGTTGGTCTTTGCCAGTCAGTAATATAGAACAGATTGATATCCTGTTAGGTCTTTACTTGCATTTCGTTAGTTCTGCTTGACTTTGAAAATGTTTTCTGTTTGTTAGTCTCTGCTTCTTCCCTAGCCTGATGACCTTGAATGAGATATTTAATTTTAATTCTCTAAGCTTCACCTTCCCAATCTTTTTTTGAGATGAAGTCTTGCTCTATCACCCAGGCTGGAGTGCAGTGGTTCAATATCGGCTCACTGCAACCTCTGCCTCCCAGGTTCAAGCAATTCTCCTGCCTCAGCCTCCTGAGGAGCTGAGACTATAGGCACGTGCCACCACGCCCAGCTGATTTTTGTATTTTTAGTGGTGACGGGTTTTCACCATACTGGCCAAGCTGGTCTTGAACTCCTGACCTCAGGTGATCCACCTGTCTCATCTTTCCCAGTCTTGAAGGGGAATAGGTTGATGATACTATCTACCAGGTAGTAAGGATTAAATAATGTAATATCCATAAAGGGGTATCTGGCACATAGTAAGCGCTAAGCAGATGCTGGCTGAATTATTATTATTTTTACAGTGAATCAGAAATCCTGCACCATGAGAAGCAGTACGAGCCATTCTACTCATCTTTTGTTGCACTTTCCACACACTATATTACAACAGTTTGCAGTCTCAGTAAGTATTCCACTCTTGTCCTTCCCTTCTGAGGGCTTGTGAATAGGGGGATTGTTTATCCTCTCGTTAGTGTATCTGAAAAAGTTGTTAATGAAGTCTAGGTTTTAGCACTCCTAAGCTGCTCACCCAAGAGTAGAGACAACTGTCAGCTAGGATGAGGCTCCAGAGGTTCCCTTACCTAGGCTAACCAAGTGGAATTTTAAAACTACTTGGCTTGGACACCTGCTTTATAAGTATTAAGTCCACCTCCTTTCCCTTCTTAATCCAAAGCATTTTATTGATTTCTCATGTAATTACTGGTGTGTTAATTTCCCTGGGGGGAAGGCGGTGGTGGATACTGACCTCTGGAGTTAGCAGCCACTCAAGGCTCTATTCCTTATTTGGTTTTGGTGAGGATGTGGATTCTCCTTTGTGTTCTCTGGTATATGAAGGGATTTCAACTTCAGTTCTCCATTTTCTTCATTTTTCTACCCCCAAAATGGCTAATCCCTATTTTACATTTCTGAATTTTTACATTTGTCTAAAATCTTGACTCAAATAGTTCTGAAGAATTCTAATTATTTTAAATTTGCTTTTTTAGAGACAGGGTCTTGCTCTGTCATCCAGGCTGGAGTGCAGTGGCGTGATCATAGCTCACTGCATCCTTGAACTCCTGGGCTCTAGTGATTCTCCTGCCTTAGCCTCCTCAGTCCTAGCTGGGACTACAGGCACAAGCCACCAAGCCCAATTAATATTTTATAGTGACAGGGTCTCTCTATGTTGCCCAGGCTGGTCTGGAAGTCCTGGGCTCAAGCAGTCCTCCCAGCTTAGCCTCCCAAAGTGCTGGGATTACAGGCAGGAGTCCCCATATTTGTTTATTTGAACAGTTTGCTAAGCAAGTAAACTGAAAGGACATTGAAGAATTAGTGTATTTTTTGTGTGGCCCAAGACAGTTCTTCCAGTTGCTGAGGAATCCTTCAGTGTCCAATACTGTTTATTATAAGCTCTGGCTACTGGCAGAAGAATCAGTTTTAGCTTGGAGAAACTTTATGTAAGGAAGTCATTTTATTTTTTTAAGTTATACTTAAAATTTTTATCCATTTATTTATTTATTTTGAGATCGGGTTATGAGACTAATTTTTGTATTTTTGGTAGAGATGGGGTTTGACCATGCTGGCCCAAGCTGGTCTCAAACTCCTGGGCTGAAGTGATCCACCCGCCTCAGCCTCCCGAAGTGATCCACCCACCTCAGCCTCCCGAAGTGCTGGGATTATAGGTGTGAGCCACTATGCCTGACCAGGACGTCATTTTAGAATCCATGGGAATACTACTACAATAGTAGTATTGTCTAGTGCAAGCTTGTCCAACCCACAGCCTGAGGACCATGTGATGGCTTTGAATTTGGCCCAACACAAATTCATAAACTTTCTTAAAACATTATGAGATTTTTTTTTTTGCCTTTTTTTTTTTAAAGCTCATCAGCTATTGTTACTGTTAGTGTATTTTTTGTGTGACCTAAGACAATTCTTCCAGTGTAGCCCAGGGAAGCCAAAAGATTGCACACTCCTGGTTTAGTGGTTAAGAGCATGAACTCTAGAGGCTGACTGCCTGGATTTAAACCTAGCTATGTGACTTTTGTCAAGTCATTTAGTTAGCTCAGCTGTTAAAAATGGACAGGGATAATATGAATATCTGCCTCATAGAATTGGTTTAAGAATTAAATGAGTTAATACCTTTGAAGTGCTTGGCACTGGTGTGATGTAAGTATTTCCTATTATAGTTATCCTGATTTCTAGTAAATATGAGATAAATTGATCTGGTAGTTATTGATGTCAAAATGCCTTTGTTTACCCCTTGGGTTTTTGGCTCTGAATAATTGTTACGATATTGGGAATGTTGGACATAGAGCTCAATACTTACTTTGCTTAATTTATTGACCAACGCTGAGCAGTCTGAAATTGAGTAATGTTTATTACTTTCTCAGTTCCCCGGAACCAACTTCAGTCAGTGGCAGCAGCCTGTAAAGTTCTAATTGAGTTTTCTCTCCTGCGTCTGGAGAATCCAGATGAGGCTTGTGCTGTGTCCCAGGTGAGAGTGATGGGCCCATTTCTTGCCCTATTCTGAAGCAGTGTTGTGACTGACTAGTGGAATAGAGTAGAGGTCAGTGAACTTTTTCTGTAATAGGCCAGATAGGAAATCATTTGCAGGCTGTATGTTATCTGTTGCAGCTAGTTAACTATGCCTTTTTAGTGTGAAAGCAGCCATAGATTAATATATAAATGATGAACATGGCTGTGTTCCAGTAAACTTTATTTACAAAAACAGGCAGTGTTTGAATTGGAGCTGTAGTTTGCCAACCTCTGGTACATGGGGCTACAGAGTCTTCTCAAGGATTGCAAACTTACATACCTGCAGGGGCCAGGTAGGTAACAGAAAATGAGTAAAGTGTGCTAGTTGAGAAGATTGCAGGTCCCAACTAAAGGGGCTAACCACTATTTGGCTCTGGGTTATTACTGCCATGCAGGAATGGAGGTGCAAGGTTGCTATACTGTGAATTATTTGAGCGTGAGAATTTCAGATTTGCATGTGAATCTTTTCATTCCCTTCAAATTTTAAAAAAATATTGTGAGAACAATAAGACAAATCTATAAGCTACATACGGTCTAAGGACATCAGCTTGCAGTCTTTGCTTTAGTGTTTATATGAACCTAAATTTGGCCCTGTGCCAGTTAGAATTTCCAAAAGAGTAGAATTTTCTGAAAGATCTATTTGTTTTTGTTTTCTTTTGTTTGCATTTGTTTTCTTTTCAGAAACACTTGATTCTCCTAATCAAGGGCCTGTGCACTGGCTGTAGCCGACTAGATAGAACTGAAATTATCACATTTACAGCAATGATGAAATCCGCCAAGCTGCCCCAAACAGTGAAGACACTTTCAGACGGTGGGTGTTCCTTTGACAGATCTGATCACATGACCACCCCCATGGCACCTTTTCCATGGCACCTTTGCCTTCTAGTGGCACTTTCCTCAGCCCTTTTTTTTGCCTTTGTATTTTACAGTGGAAGATCAGAAAGAGCTGGCCTCACCAGTAAGCCCTGAGTTGAGGCAAAAGGAGGTACAGATGAATTTTTTGAACCAGCTGACCTCAGTTTTTAACCCTAGAACTGTAGCATCACAACCTATCAGTACACAGACTCTGGTGAGTTTCTTTAGTCAAATGTCTTCTTCTCTGTGGGTTTTGTTAAGATGATAACACTAGGGGAGAAAAAGTGATGTATTTTATGTTTGTGATATAAAATGATATACATGTCTGTGGGACAAAAGAAATTGAGGAATACAAAATAAAACAAGTAAAATTCACCCCAACTCCTTCTTCTGTCCACGGTTATTACTGTTTTGACGACCATTCTAGGCTTCTCTCAATGCAAATTAACAAATGTAAGGTGTATGTACAGTTTTCTATATAAAGGCATCACTCCATTTTGGTTATAGAACATATATATATTTTAAAGCTGTATATTTTTTCCCTCCTCCTGAAAATGTAACCTGTATTTTCTCCAACATGAGTAAGGAATTTTCCCTTCACTAACTGGGGAGTCTGGAGAGTATCCGTGCAGCTACTGCTCACTTTTGACAGTTGGTTTGGTGAAGAGATAATAGTATCTTGACAGGCCTTATGTTTCTTTTCAGGTGGAAGGAGAAAATGATGAGCAGTCATCTACAGATCAAGCCTCAGCTATCAAAACCAAGAATGTGTTCATAGCTCAGAACGTGGCTAGTCTTCAAGAGCTTGGTAAGACTCCCAACTGTTATCAGAAAGCTGATTTCTGGGCTGTCAAAAATTCCTTAAGTGTGCTTCTGTCATATGGATAAGAATCAAGCATCAGACAAAGGCCTGTTTGTAAGGTTGTGGTTTTCATTCATTTAGGTGGCTCGGAGAAGCTACTGCGTGTATGTTTGAACCTGCCATATTTCCTACGCTATATCAATCGGTTCCAAGATGCAGTTTTAGCTAATTCCTTCTTCATAATGCCTGCAACAGTAGCAGATGCCACTGCTGTTCGTAATGGGTAAGGTGCTTCACAGTGCACATGCTTTACTTTTTTTGTTTTTGGGACAGGGTCTTGTTCTGTCACCCAGGCTGGAGTGCAGGGGTGCAGTCTCGGTTCACTGTAACCTCGTCTCCTGGTTCAAGCAGTTCTCCCACCTCAGCCTCCTGAGTAGCTGGGACTACAGGCACACACCACCATGGCTGGCTAATTTTTGTATTTTTTGTAGAGTCGGGGTTTTGCCTTGTTGCCCAGGCTGGTCTTGAACTCCTGGGCTCAAGCAATCCTCCTGCCTTGGCCTCCTGAAGTGTCGGAATTATAGGCGTGAGCCACTGTGCCGGGCCCATGCTGATAATTTCTTTAACTGTCACATTATAGAAGTGAATGATTCTAAGAGACACTTGTTGATCTCTGTCATGTTCCAGCTTTCATTCATTGGTGATTGATGTAACTATGGCATTGGATACCCTTTCTCTACCTGTGTTGGAACCTCTCAATCCTTCTCGTCTACAAGATGTGACAGTCCTCAGCCTAAGTTGTCTGTATGCAGGTGAGAAGTTATTATATCTGGTCTCATTTTCTCAGTCAAGCAGAGATATACTTTCAGGAAACCATGAAAATCCTCCTGAATACTCTACTCATCCCCCTTGCTTCCTTCTCTCAAGGATCATCTAACGTCGCATCAAGGTGAAATGAGGTCTCAATAGGAATCTTTGTAAATGGTCCTGTTGTTTCACTGCTGCCATTGCGTTATAGGCATATTTGATTTTATAGTATGTGCAGATACTAAATATTTACTATATGAAAAGCAAATTGCCTAAGACTGTTGAGATATTGAGATGAACTACATGTAGTCTCTGCCCTCAAGGAGCCTACATCTGAGCAGCAGAGAACACATAAAGCTAAATAGTATAATATAAAACAGTATTAAAGGCAATAGAAGTATAGAATATTTTCGGTACACAGAGAAGAGAGGGATTGAGTCTTGCTGTGGGATCAGGTTTGAAGAAGGCTTCGTGGAACAGGTGGTATCTGTTTATACTGATAAATGCGAAGAATGATATTCTTTAAGCTTCCATAAAATCCCCTTTTTTCCTGTTGATCTTACTGCCTTTGAAGCAGGGCCTGACAGCTGGTGTTTACTCTCTTTTAAGTTATTGTTAAAAGGACTTTTTAGCCCAGATCACTGATCCTTGGCTTTAAGTTCCGAGACATATCATATCTCTGGTATGTCTTGGAAGTTATAGCAATTTCAGAAGTTTACTTGGTTTTGCAAGTGAAGATTTGAGCAGATAGTCTTGGAGACCTGACCTTGGGGACACCATGAAATTACTGAGGTTGATCTCCCTACATTCTCTGAACAGTTTTAATTTGAACATCTGTGTGTGAATAGGAAGATAAAGATAAAGGCATTTGTGCTCTCAGAGACCTTACTGTCTTTTAGAGGATATTAGTAAATAACTTATAAGTGAAGAAACTGAATGAGAGATGAGAAAGTACTTTGGAAGTTTAGAGGAGGGAGAGCTCACTTTCAGTTGAGAAAGGCAGTAATCATGAAGGAGCTCTGATGTTGAATCTTAAGTCAGGTAGGATCTCGGCTTGGCTATTTCTAGGCAGAGGCAGAAGCAGACAAAACGTATCCAAGAGTTTGGGGGAACATACTACGTAAGTTTGTGTGTGTGTGTGTGTGTGTGTGTGTGTGTGTGTGTGTGTGTGTGTGTATAAGTAAGTCTGTAGGTTTTATGGCTGTTCGTGGGTGTTGTATAATTGGACAGAAAGTAAGACTCAATTAGAAATGCAGACTAAGTCATTTGGACCATATCCTGTAGATAGTAGAGACCATTAAAGATTCTGAGCTGTGAGAGGATCTGAGCTATATTTTAGGAAGAACATTCAGGCTGTACTGTACAAGGTATTTTGGTGTGGGGAAATATTGGAGGCAGGGAAACTACTTAGGAGGAATTGGCAGTCATTCAGGCAGCGTACATTTAGGGCCTCAGCTAGGGCAGCAGCATTAAGAGTAGAAAGTTAAGGATACATGTGAAAATATGTTCTCTCATAGCTAATTTCCAGTATTGAGCTTCCTCATGCTCTACCGTTGATTTTGCATTTTTAAATTTGGGGTTTATTTATTTTGATTTCCAGGGGATTTCATTACCCTCACATGGATCTCAATGTACTCAGTCAGTAAGTGATTAAAGTCAGTAAGGACTAGAGATTCTTTAAAAATTCATAGTCGGATTAAAGATCCCAAATCTGGTTTGTTAAAATTTGATCACTTGGGATTTGATTTAAGGAAAGGGATTTGGCTATGATGTCTTTGAGAAATTCCAGGTATAGGATTTTTTTTTCATAATCTTAAAATTTATTTTTAATTTTTTGAAATTATTAGATTTTACTATTATTATTATTATTATTATTATTTTGAGATGGAGTCTCGCTCAGTCGCCCAGGCTGGAGTTCAGTGGCACAGTCTTGGCTCACTGCAAGCTCCACCTCCTGGTTTCACGCCATTCTCCTGCCTCAGCCTCCCTTGTAGCTGGGACCACAGGTGCCCACTACCATGCCCGGCTAATTTTTTTTTTTGTATTTTTAGTAGAGACGGGGTTTCACCATGTCAGCCAGGATGGTCTCGATCTCCTGACCTCGTGATCCGCCCGCCTTGGCCTCCTAAAGTGCTGGGATTACAAGCGTGAGCCACCGTGCCTGGCCAGATTTCATTATTTATTTATTTATTTATTTAAGAAATACAGTCTTGCTATGTTGCCCAGGCTAGATTTGAACTGTTAGGCTCAAGTGATCTTCTCACCTCAGCCTCTGGAGTCGACTGTGCCTGCTTCTAGATTTTAAATTTAGTGAATGAATTAATTATTTAATTATAATTTTTTTGAGATGGCATTTCGCTCTTTTGCCCAGGCTGGAATGCAATGGCTCAATCTTAGCTCACTGTAACCTCTGCCCCCCAGGTTCAAGTGATTCTCCTGCTTCAGCTTCCCGAGTAGCTGGGATTATAGGCGCCTGCCACTTCGCCTGGCTAATTTTTGCATTTTTAGTAGAGATGGGGTTTCACCATGTTGGCGAGGCTGGTCTCAGACTCCTGACCTCAGGTGATCCACCCACCTGGGCCTCCCAAAGTGCTAAGATTACAGGCGTGAGCCACCGCGCCCAGCCTTAATTATTTATTTTTATTACTTTTTTAAAAAGAGACAGAATCTTAGTGTTTCAGCCAGGTGGGAGTGCAGTGGAGCGATTATAACTCACTGTAGCCTCAAACCCCTGGGTGCAAATGATCCTCCCACATCAACCTCCTGAGTAACTGGAACTAGAGGCATGCACCACCACACCTGGCTTAGATTTTATTTTTAAAGCAATTTTAGGTTCATAGAGTTCGCATATCCTCCTTCTCCCTTATAGCTAGTTTCTCTTATCAGTAATACTTTTAATTAGTACGGTGGATTTATTATTGATGAACCAGTATTGATATATTATTATTAACTGAAGTCCATAGTTTACATTGGGGTTTCATTTTTGTGTTGTACAGGTCTATGGGTTTTGACAAATGTATAGTGTCATGTGTCCATGATTACCATATTGTACAAAATAGTTTCACTATCCTAAAAATCCCCTTTGCCTATTCATTCCTTATCCCATCCCTCGACCCCTGGTAACACCACTGATCTCCACTGTCTCTCTAGTTTTACCTTTTCTAGAATGTCATGTAGTTGGAATCATACAATAAGCAGGATTTTCAGATTGGCTTCTTTCTCTTAGCAGTATGCATATAGTTCCTCCATGTCTTCTCATGGCTTAATAGTCCATTTCTTTTTATTGCTGAATTAATATTCCATTGTATGGATATACCACAGTTTGTTTCTGTGTTCTCCTATTGAAGGACATTCGTGTGTAGTGTGTGTGTGTGTGCGCGCGTGTAAGTTTTCAGCTTATTTGGATAAATACCTAGGAGTCTGGTTACTGAATTGTATGGTAAACCTATTTAGTCTTGCTCTTAATGGCATTTATTTTAAGTAGTCAAATCATGGAATTGCTTGTGGGTGGGGTGTGCTTTTGTGTTTCAGCTTTGGTGGATTCTTGGATGCACTCCATGGCTGAGACCTGTGCATCTTCTTTTTCAGGTGTGAGTGTGGCAACGTGCATGGCCATCCTCCATGTGGGTAGTGCCCAGCAAGTGCGGACAGGGTCCACGAGCTCCAAAGAAGATGACTATGAAAGTGACGCAGCTACAATTGTCCAGAAATGTGTAAGCCAAAGATCTGGGGATAAGGGAACCTTGATTGTTCAAATGAGGGAGTATGGCCAGTTCCACTTTCTTCCATGATAGAAGAAAGAACTTAGAGTATTCTCCACACTACTTTCCCTGGGCACTAGTAGGTCTAAGAGGTAGGCATCCAGCTTGTTGATTTGGTATATTGGTTGATCTGGTATATTGTTTCCCTATCTCTGTAGAACACACTTGAAAGATTAGCCATTAATTCAGCAAATATGTTTGAGGGCCTACTGTGTGTCAGTGTACTTTTAGGGAAATGCAGTAAACAGGAAAATTTCCGATAGTGATTAAGTGCGCTGAAACAATACATTGTGATTGATAGTGATCTGGGCCGGGTGTGGTGACTCACACCTGTGATCCCAGTACTTTGGGAGGTGGGTGGATCACCTGAGGTTAGGAGTTCAAAACCAGCCTGGCCAGCATGGTGAAACCCTGTCTCTACTAAAAATACAAAAATTAGCTGGGTGTGGTGGTGCATGCCTGTAATCCCCGCTACTCTGGAGGCTGAGGCAGGAGAATCGCTTGAGCCTGGGAGGTGGAGGTTTCAGTGAGCCGGGATCACGCCATCGTACTCCAGCCTGGACAACAAGAGTGAAACTCCGTCTTAAAAAAAAAAAAGTGATCTGATGTGGAGCTGGGCATGCTGCTTTTGATTCGGAGGAGGGATGGCTTCTGAGAAGGTGACATTTGATCCAAATGAAAAGAGGGAGTCAGCTCCATGTGAAGGTCAAGGAAAGTACGATGGAATGTATCATTGAAAAGAGGATATTGAACTCTTCAAGTTAAATTGTTTGGGTAGGATTTAGCATTTATGATGAAATCTGTCAGCTTGTTCAGATTTTTGTGTCTGTTTGATATTGTACAGCTCGAAATCTATGACATGATTGGACAAGCAATCAGCAGTTCTCGCCGGGCTGGTGGTGAGGTAAGAAGCGTATCTGTCTCTGCTGCATACTTCCTATCTTGTCCTCTCTGAGATGTAAATATCTCTATGATTATGTTTTTTATTTTGTGCCTTTCACAACAGCACTATCAGAATTTCCAATTGCTGGGTGCTTGGTGCTTGTTAAACAGCCTTTTCCTCATACTGAACCTCAGTCCTACTGCGTTGGCTGATAAGGGGAAAGAGAAGGACCCACTGGCTGCCCTCCGAGTCAGAGACATCCTTTCTCGTACTAAAGAGGGAGTGGGCTCCCCTAAACTGGGGCCTGGAAAAGGGTATGTGTCTACTTGATTATAACTTATATTTTGTTTTATTTCGCTAACATTTTATATTTACAGGGAGCTAGTATGACTTCATATCAATAGGAAAATTTGCCTTCCTACCTGGCTTGAATTTAGCAACTAAGATAATGATCATGACCTGTTATCTCCACAGCATAGCTTTGTGATTTTTAGATAAGTCACTCATTCTCTTTGATTCTATTTCCTCATCTGTCAAAGGGGAAAAATATCTGTGCAATGTGTATTTCAGGAATTTTATGAAGTTCACATCAGAAAAACATGTTTCTGTCTTGTAAAGCGGGCTTGTTTGACTTGGAGTTGAGTACTTGCGTGTATAACCTGTAAGATGAGAATATTGTCAGGGCCTCCTGGTTTGCTTCCTGTAATATTTGCTGTTGTTTTGATGAACTCTGAAAGAAGAGATATGACCAATGTACTGTTCAGGTTTCGTTTTCTAAGCCCAGGTGTTTCTGGATTTTATTTTTTCATTCAATCCCTATTATATACTAGGCCCTATTCTAGGCATTGAGGATATAGCACTAAACAAAGTGATGTCCTTGCCTTTATGGAGTTTATTTTATATCTGGAGAAACAATGAACAAATCTATTAACGAGTAGATTATAGATAATCATATATAAACGTTGTGAAGAAAAAGATGTCAGAGCGAGGGGCCGGAGAGTCATAGGGGCTTTTATTATTTTATTTTTTTTGAGACATAGTCTCCCTCTGTTGCCCATGCTGGAGTGCAGTGGCGTGATTGTGGCTCACTGTAACCTCCACTTCGCGGGTTCAAGCAATTCTCATGCCTCAGCCTCCCAAGTAGCTGGGATTACAGGTGAATGCCACCACACCCAGCTAATTTTTGTATTTTTAGTAGAGACGGGGTTTCACCATGTTGGCCAGGCAGGGTCTCGAACTCTTGGCCTCAAATGATCTGCCCACCTCAGCCTCCTAGAGTGCTGGGATTACAGGTGTGAGCCACTGCGCCCAGCCCAGGGCTATTATTTTAGTTATTTAGTTATTTAGGATGATCCAGAAAGGGCTCCAAAGACATGATGTAGAGACCATATGTGAAGTGACAGAGCTATGTAAGTATTTGGGGTAGAATTGTTCAGGTTTGAGATGGAAGTATCATTGACATTTCTGAGGGTCAGCAAGGTCAGTGTGGCTAAAATGGAGAAACCAAGGTGGGAGAGTGGTAGAAAATTAGGTCAGACAGGTAGCCAGTGGCCAGATCACCTAGGGCCAAGTGCAGTCAGTAACTGTTAGAAGGATTAAACAAGGGAGAGATGCAACCTGATTTATTGGTGATCTGAGGATAGACTGCAGGGCATAAGATAAGAAGGAGGGAGAACAGTTAGCAGCGAATGCATCATTCCAGATGAGATATGAAGGTGACTTGGATAGGGTGGTGCGGCAAAGGCTGAGAAAAGAGGCCGAATTGAAATATATTTGGAAGGTACAGCTGGCAGGATTTACTGATGGCTTGTATGTTGGGTGTGAAAAAGATGACATCACAATTTTTTGGCTTGAGGTCACTGGGTTGTATAATTTACTGATACTGGGAACACTTGTTTAGGAGTGGGTTGAATGGGAAGATGGGGAAGAAATAAAAACGTAATATTGGCCATGCTGAGTGTAAGATGACTGTCAGACCTCTATGTGAGATGTTGAGTGGGCAGTTGGATATGTGAGTCTGGAGTTTCAGGAAGAGGTCACAGCCTGGACTGCATTAACAAATTACCCTCTGAGCATCTTCTGTGTCCCAGGCTCTGTGTTAGTTCTGGATTGCTGTGATGAACATAAAAATGGACATATTCTCAAGAGACATGAACTAGGTATCCATACAAATATATATATATATATATTTTTTTTTTTTTTTTTTTTTGAGGCAGAGTCTCGCTCTGTTGCCCAGGCTGGAGTGTAGTGGTGCAGTCTCAACTCACTGCAACCTCTGCCTCCCAGGTTCAAGCAATTCTTGTGCCTCAGCCACCAGGTAGCTAGGATTACAGGTGTGTACCACCATGCCCAGCTGATTTTTTTTTTTTGTATTTTTAATAGAGTTGGGGTTTCGCCATGTTGGCTAGGCTGGTATTGAACTCCTGGCCTCAAGTGATCTGCCTGCCTCAGCATCCCAAAGTGCTGGGATTACAGGCATGAGCCAATCTGCCTGGCCATGTCAAATTGTATCTAGAGAGTATTAGAACAGGGGCATTTGACCTGGCTAGGGACATCAGAGCAGGCTTCCCCAAGGAATTGCTAATTAAGCTGAAATCTGAAGCCGGTATTGACATGGTAAGTTGATAGATACTAGGCGAAGTAAGGAGGTAAGAGTGTTCCAGAGCAAACGGTAGTTTGTGATTTTATGAGTGGCCATTTTCATTCTTGGCATTGTAAAGGGAAATGAAAGAATGCCAAGAAGTATATCCTTAGAAGTAGCAGTTATGCTTTTAAAATGGCTGTTGTTTCTTCATATTTTAAAAGAATACATGTATGTTGTATAAGTGACAAGCCATACAGATGGACATAAATAGGAAAGGTAAAAATGATCCCAAATTCTACCACTCAAATTGGTAAACATTCCTTCAGACATTTTTCTGTGCACATATAAAATATATATAAGTTTACAAAAATGGGATCAGTGTATATGAAATACTGCATCATCTTTTCAGTGACACTATTAAAATGTCTAAGTTTTTAATGGCCAGCAGTATTCCACTATGTAAATATACCGTAGTTGCCTAATTCCCCTATTGCTAAGCGCTTATTTAGATTGTTCCAAATGTCTTGTTTTGATAACTTCCTGAAATATAAACTTTTGGGAACTTAATTGTCCTGTTGGGATGAATTCCCAAAAGTACCGTTGTTAGGACAAAGGGCTCACATATTTAAACATTGGAAATGTTTTGTCAAACTACTCGTTAGAAAAGTAACACTAATCTGCATTGACACCAGCTGTGTGCTTATATGCCCATTTCCCCATGCTCTCTTTGACAATGGGCATCATTAGTCTTCATGTTTGCTTGTCTTAGAGGAGAGAATGCTATGATATTTCATGTATTTGTATTTCTTTGATTACTAATGTGATTGTATTTCCTTTCACCTATTTATTGGTCATTTGTATTTCTTTTGTAAACTGCCTTATGTCCTTTGCCTTGGTTTTCTTTTTGGTATTTGTCATTTTCTTTTTAATTTTTTTATTATTATTTTTACAGAGGTAGAGTCACTTTGTCTCCTAGGCTAGAGTGCAATGGTAGGATTATAGCTCACTGTAACCTTGAACTCCTGGGCTCTGGTGATCCTCCCACCTCAGCCTCCTGAGTAGCTAGGACTACAGGTGTGCACCACCATGCCCAGCTAATTTTTAAAATTTTTTGCAGAGATGGGATCTTGCTGTGTTGACCAGGCTGGTCTTGCACTCTTGGCCCCAAGCAATCCTCCTGCCTTGGCCTCCCAAAGTGCTGGGATAATAGATGTGAGCCACCGCATCTGGCCTGTGTTTGTTCTTTTTTCTTTTTGATTTATATGAACTTGCAAATCATATATATTAACCTTTTGTTATGTGGAGATTTTGGACAGGAGGAAAACACTTTACTTGAATGTAATTTTCTTTTCTCTCTTTTGTTTTAAACAAAACCTCACTCTATCGCCCAGGTTGGAGTGCAGTAGTATGAACACAGTTCACTGCAGCCTCCACCTCCTGGGCTCAAGTGATCCTTCTGCCCCGGCCTGTTGGGTAGCTGGCACCACAGGTGTGCCTCACCACTTCTGGCTAAGTTTTTCATATTTTGTAGAGATGGGGTCTTGCCATGTTGCCCAGGTTGGTCTTGAACTTCTGGGCTCAAGTGATCTTCCCACCTTGGCCTCCCCAAGTGCTGGGATTATAGGCATGAGCCACTGCTCCAGGCCTCTCTTTTTATTCTCTTAGATTTGTTTCCAGATATTTTATAGAAGTTGGTAATTCAAACCTTTTTCTTTTCAAAATAATGATTCTTTAAAAGTTCAATCTACATTTAAAAGTCAGCATCTTTGTATAACCCATTAGCCTTGAACTGATTGTTTAAATTCCAAAAATTTTTCCATTTGGGAGTTTCTTCTATTCCAGGAGGTTTTATTTATTTATTTATTTATTTATTTATTTATTTATTTAATTTTTTGTTTTGAGACAAGGTCTTGTTCTGTCACCCAGGCTGGAGTGCAGTGGTGCACCTCAGCCTCCCAAGTAGCTGGTACCATAGGTACATGCCACCATGCCTGGGTAACTTTTTAATTTTTTTGTAGAGACAGGGTCTCCCTCTCTAGGTTGCCAAGCTGGTCTAAAATTGCTGGGCATAAGTGATCCTCTCATCTCGGCCTCTCAAAAGTGTTGGGATTTAAGGTGTGAGCCACCGTGCCCAGCCTAGTCCAGGAGTTCTAAACCTGAAGCCTGCAGATCCTTAGGCCATCTGTGGATGGGGTTCAAGGAGATTGTGAACTTCAGAAATTATATGCAGATGTATGTATGTACAATTTTTTTTTTCTGAAGGTCCACAGAGTCTGAAAGGGGTCTGAAACCCCAAAATGGCAAGATCCACTGCTTCAGAAGTTGTAATTTATTGTTAATTATTTTAAGGATTGTGTTTTCCTTTTTCTTTGTGTAGGCATCAGGGATTTGGGGTACTCTCAGTAATATTGGCAAACCATGCCATCAAACTGCTAACGTCTCTCTTTCAAGACCTACAAGTGGAGGCCCTTCACAAGGTGAGGAGGTTATCCCCATGGTAATCAGCATATTGATTGCGGGATCCACTTCTGGCCAAGCAAGCTTGATCCATCAACTCAAGTTGTTTTTTCTGGCTGAGTAGTATCATTAATTGCCCTTTGATATCATTGCCTTCAGGGTTGGGAGACAGATGGCCCCCCTGCAGCCTTGAGCATTATGGCCCAGAGCACCTCCATACAGAGGATTCAACGGCTGATTGACTCTGTCCCACTGATGAACCTGCTCTTGACGTTACTTTCAACTTCCTACAGAAAGGTGGGTGGGAGTTAAGCCATTGATAATTTAGAAGAATGTCTCATTTTATATATATGATATATATATGTATATATATATATATATATAAAACTTTCTTGAAATGAATAAGACTGACTACACACCATGACCTTTATAGACCCAAAGTTTTGGTACTGGTGTTGAAGAAGTGAAAAATTCTTAGCGGGTTGAATCTATCCAAACATTTGAATCAGTTATTAATTATCAGTTTTGTGATACACGTGGCTACTTGGTGATTTGTGATGATTGGCATACTGAAGCAGAAGCATAGAGGACACTATGGAAACACTCCTGTTTTCAATTCTTGTCCACGTCTCTGGTTGGTAGTGTTTTTGTAGGGTAAAGTGATGAAAGTCCTTAATTAAGGGAGCTATTAAGAGGCATACTCTTGGATTTAGGAAAAAATAAAAGAGATTATGGAGAAAGTTTTCATGCGATGCATGAGATTAAATAGGATGGCTCCGGTTTTGTAATTGTCATTTTCCTAGGCATGTGTCCTGCAGCGGCAGAGGAAGGGCTCCATGAGCAGCGATGCCAGCGCCTCCACCGACTCCAATACTTACTATGAGGACGATTTCAGTAGCACGGAGGAGGACAGCAGCCAAGGTAGAGGCCGCTCTTTTCTCTCTCCCAGAGATAAGCTATAGAGTGCAACAGGAGTGTTCTCAGCAGATTCCTGTAGTTTCCTGACCAAACAAAAGTTTCCATTTTGTTTTCACCTGCTTAGCCTGGACCTTGGTTTTATGTGCATTCAAAGATGACATGTTATTTAAGAGCAAGTTGAGCTGTTGATGAATGAATGATGGAAACAACTTTCAGCCAAGCCTGGGTTACTTTTCATTCCTTTCCCTCCAAAATCAGAAAACATCTCAATTGTTCCATATTTCTTCCTGTGTTGACTCATTTTGTGACCTCTGCTCTAAGCTTTCTCAGTGAAACTCAAAAGGTCACATGTGAGGTGTTCGGTTTGGATGTTATCATAGTCATAGTTTAGGGAAGCTTGAGTAGAGAAACCTAATCCTGTTGTAGTGAACCCACTGGCATGCCCTCCTGCCTTAGTTTGATGAGAGAATGAATAAGGTAAGTACCTCAGATTCTTTCATAATCAGGTTTGTGGGAACAATGTGAAATACGAAGGGAGGTGTGATTCTTACCGTCCTGTGATTTATGGTTGATAAGGCAAGTATAAATTCGCTCTTGAAAATATTTGGCTTGTTACCAGTAAAATAATGTGAAGTTGTTTTTCTTTCTTTGTTGGGCTCCTTAAAGAAAAATTGGCTGGGCGCGGTGGCTCACACCTGTAATCCCAGCACTTTGGGAGGCTGAGGTGGGCAGATCACAAGGTCAGGAGTTCGAGACCAGCCTGGCCAATATGGTGAAACCCCATCTCTACTAAAAATCAAAAATTAGCCAGGCACATGCCTGTAGCCTGTAGTCCCAGCTACTCGGGAGACTGAGGCAGGAGAATCGCTTGAACCTGGGAGGTGGAGGTTGCGGCGAGCCAATATTGCACCACTGCACTCCAGCCTGGGTGACAGAGCGAGACTCCCTCTCAAAAAAAAAAAAAAAAAAGAAAAAAGAAATCAGTTTTATTGGGGTATAATTTACATGCAATAATGTGAGAAATTCTTAACGGGTTGAATCTATCCAAACATTTGAATCAGTTATTGATGATCAGTTTTGCTCTTATTTTATGTATGCATTTAGATGAGTTTTGATACACAAATGCAATCTTGTAACCATCATCACAATTGGGATATCCTTGTATTCCTTTTGACTTAAGTACTTTTAGGAAGCAGATGCACCAAAAACACTTTTAAAAAATATTTATTTTCGTTACTTTATCTTTCTCTATTCAGACGATGACAGTGAGCCTATTTTGGGGCAATGGTTTGAGGAGACTATTTCTCCCAGTAAAGAGAAAGCAGCACCTCCGCCTCCTCCCCCACCTCCTCCACTGGAAAGCTCTCCTCGGGTTAAAAGCCCCAGTAAGCAGGCCCCTGGTGAGAAGGGCAACATTCTGGCGAGTCGCAAAGATCCTGAGTTGGTAAGAGTAGGTTTCTAAGGTTTAGGGGAAGTGGACATGGGGAGCTAGGGGTATGAGAAGCAGATAATTTGAATGCAAACATTTTGTGGCTTGGATAACTGTAATGTTTAAAGATATTTTTGCTTAGGACTTATATGTCTTGATTATGTGTCATTAAATAACTTACGTGACTGTTACTGTTTCTCTGCTGGCCTTTAGAATCACTTAATGGCTTTGTGACTTTGGGCAAGAATCTGAATTTTTTCTAGCCTTAGTTTTGTCTCCTATCATATGGGAGTGATTGTACCTGCATCTAAAGGTGTTGTGACATCTTAAAGAGAGACTATTTATAAAGTGCTTAGCATAGGTCTGATATATCATCAGTGCTTGCTGTGGTTGAACTGTTGGTTCAACTAGTATTATCTAGTAAGTGTCAGTCCCCGTTCTGATGATGTGAGTGAGTCAGATACAGTTCTTGCCTTCATATATATAGCTTACAGTCAAGGATGTGGACAAAAAACATTTATACAATAATTCAATTTAATTTTAATAGAGAAGAGCTAGGAATTCTATATATGTGTAATAATCATTCATATAGGCTTCAGGATTGAATATATCAGTAGTGAATTGGAGCCGGACAAAGGACCTTAGGAGAACAAAAGAAATGGGTCAGTCTATTTGGAAATCCTGTTTTCATACACTGTTTTGTAACATCTGTTATATTAAACTGGAATGCCATTTTGTGTAAGTAGAATTAGGTGGGAAAGAGAGACTCATAATGAAACTTAGGCCCACTGTAAGTGATTTAAAATCTGATTCTTTCATTCATTGTGTTTATTGCAGGATACCTATGAGCATATTTTATTTTCTATTTGTAATCAGAGTTTATAGGAACGCTGGGCTTATGACCCTGATAAGAGCTTTTTTGTGTGTGTTCCTTTCAGTTCTTAGGTCTGGCTTCCAACATTTTGAACTTCATCACCTCTTCCATGCTGAACTCTCGGAACAATTTTATCCGAAACTATCTGAGTGTATCTCTTTCAGAACACCATATGGCCACCCTAGCCAGTATCATCAAGGAGGTGGACAAAGATGGACTCAAGGGTCAGTAGACAAGATATGTGCCTGATGGATTTTTTTTCTCATGGAGTTTGGCTGTTGGCAGGGAGGTGTGGTGCATTCAATAGCTGCTTAAATAATTGGCTTTTCTACTTGTCTTTAAGGTTCATCAGATGAAGAGTTTGCTGCAGCTCTCTATCACTTCAACCACTCACTGGTAACCTCTGACCTTCAGTCACCTAACCTGCAGGTTTGTGTGTGCTGTGACCATCTAGGCAAGAGCTCATGACACCAGCTTCCATAGGCTGCAGCTCCAATTGTTTGTTTGTTTGTTTTTTTGAGATGGAGTCTTGCTCTGTTACCCAGGCTGGAGTGCAGTGACACGGTCTTGGCTCACTGCAACCTCCACCTCCCAGGTTCAAGCGATTCTCCTGCCTCAGCCTCCAGAGTAGCTGGGATTACAGGTGTGTGCCACCATGGCTGGCTAATTTTTGTATTTTTAGTAGAGACAGGGTTTCACCTTGTTGGCCAGGCTGGTCTCAAACTCCTGACCTCAGGTGATCCGCCCGCCTCAGCCTCCCAAAGTGCTGGGATTATAGGCGTGAGCCACCGCGCCCGGCCTGTAGCTCCAATTGTTAAGGAACAGTTTGTCATTAAATCCCCTCCCTGGAAAGAGCGTTGAGAGGTGATTCTAATATGTCCCTGTGCCTTATATTTAGGATCATTTCCAGAAAAAAAAATATGTCTTTTATCTTAAGTCAGTAAGCTTAAAGAAAAGGAAAACCCACAAAAACAAACAGAAACTCCTGATGATTATGCTAGCAGAAAAGTGGACAAATACACAAGCAGGCAGTTTATATGAAAAGAAGTATAAGTGGTCAATAAACATAGGAAAAGTATTCAACATCCTTAGTAATTGAAGAAAGACAAATTAAAATGTGTGTTTTAAAAGAATCAATCAAATTATAGGAGATAGATGCTCTCATATACACTTGTACTTGCAAACTCACCACCAAAACAAAATCTAGGACGTTGACTGTGAACTTCCAATCTTATGGTTCTCTCTCCCCTCTGAAATAGCTGATGTCTTGAATCCTAAATCTCAAGTTCCTCATGTCCTTAGTCATATATGTATATGTATGTGTATGTACATATATAATCTATATTCCTTAAATTTAAAAAAAGTTTTAATAATTGCTTGTAGTTTTATAGCAAATGACATCATGCTGTATGTAATGTTTTCAAGCTCTCTCTTTTTTCATGTAGTATGATATAGTACTGTATTGCCAAGATTCATCTATATTGTTATATATTTCTATAGTTCTTGTTTGGACTACTGTATGATATTCCATTATGTTTGTGACTCAAAACCACAATGAGATACCACTTCGCTTACACGCATTAGGTGGCTGTTATTAAATGGAAAGTAAGTGTTGGTGAGGATGTGGAGAAAGTGGAATTCTTGATGCATTGCTGGTGGGAATGTAGAATGATACAGTAGCTGTGGAAAACAGTATGTCAATTCTGCAAAAATTACATATAGAATTACTATATGGTGGCACGTGCCTGTAGTCTCAGCTACTCGGGAGGCGAGGCAAGAGGATCACTTGAGCTCAGGAGTTTGAGGCTGTAGTATGCTATGATTGCGCCTGCAAATAGCCACTGTACTTTAGCCTGGGCAACATAGCAAGATCCCCATCTGCCAAAAAAAAAAAATAGAATTACTATATGATCCAGCAATTCTACTTATATACCCCAGAAGAAATGAAAGCCGGGGCTTGAACAGGTGTTTATCCACCCATGTTCATAGCAGTATTATTCACAGTAGCCAGAAGATGGAAGCAACCCTGGTGTCCATTGACATTTGAATGGATAAACAAAACATCCAGCCATACAATGAATGTTATACAGCCTTCAGAAGGAAGGAAATTGTGACACATGCTACAACATGGATAAACCGTAAAGACATGATACTAAATTAGTCAGTCACAGAAGCACAAATACAACCTTGTATGGTTCCACTTCTGAGGTACTTAGGTAGTCAAATTCATAGAGACAGAAAGTAGAATGGTGGTCGCGTGGGGCAGGGAGATGGGAAAATGGGGACTTGGTGTTTAGTGGGTACAGTGTTTCAGTTTGGAGAGATGAAAAAGTTCTGGACGTGGATGGTAGTAAGGGTTGCAGAATAATGTGTATGTGCTTAATGCCACAGAACTGTTCATGTAAAAATGGTTGAAATGGTAAATTTTATGTTGTGATACTTTACCACATAAGAAAAGTAAAACAAAAATAGTGCTTGGTACCTAGTACTAGTACCTTCTAAATGTTAGCTCTCTTAATAATTGTATTATTGTTTAATATTATTATTGCAGTCTCTTGGTTCATTTGTTCAATACATATTCATTGAGCACCTACTATGTGCCAGGTACTATTATAGACACTGAGGAAATAAAGATAACTTGAGTTAGTGTGGGATCATGAAAAAGGAGGGAGATAGGCATAGGACATTTTGCAGAGATCATGGGCCATTATTTGAATGGGGTGAAGAGCATGGAGAGGAAGGAGTCTTGGATATTGCCTGAGTTTAAAACTCAAATGAAACTAGAAGGATGCTATTGTCATTAATAGAGACAGGAAAGTCAGGAAGGGGAGTTGGTTTGGGGGTAAGAGAGATTGGGTTTTGTTTTGTTTTTTTTTAGAGGTGGGGATGTTACTGTATCTCCCAGGCTGGTCTTGAACTCTGGGCTCAAGCAGTACTCTTGCCCTCAGCCTTTTGGGACTATGTGTGTGTGCCATCATGCCCGGCTGGTCCGTCCTTCTTTCCTTCCTTCCTTCCATCCGTCCGTCTTCCTGATGGGGTCTCGCTATGTCGCCCAGGCTGCTCGAACTCCTGGCCCAAGTGATCTTACCACCTCAGTCTCCCGTATAGCTGGGACTGTAGGTGTGAGCCACTGTGCTCGGCCTAAGGTTTCAGTTTAACTATGATGAAGTTTTGGGGTGCCAGTGTCTAGAAAATAGTTTGGAATGTGAGTCTGAAATTGAGGAATTAAATTGGGGCAATTTTTGAAGTAATGAGAAACAGTGAGACTAGCAAGATAGCTGAAGGCTGAGGCTGAACCCTTAGAAATGCCAGTATGAAAGAGGAGTGGAGGAAGGGAGGACTCAGCCAGAGTTCTGCTGCTAGATGGACTGTGGTGCAGTTTGACTTCTTAGAGAGTCAGTTACCTTACTTAGAGCTGAGAAGGAAGGATAGGGGTGGAAGGGAAAGACCAGGTTCCTATGGAATGTTAACTCATTTTTGTGGCTCTGAGGACTGAAAAACTGACACAAAGATGAAAAATGAGCAAAAAAAAGCATTAAAAATAGCATTATAAGGAATATATGTTACTTATCCATATATATGGCTAGGTACGCCCCTTGATTTGAACATTTAGATTTTTTTTCCTGATTTTTCCATTATTAGAATTGTGCTACAGTTAGTATTTTTCATGTAGCTCAGGTAGGTTTTTTTTTTTTTTTGAATTGTTTCATTTAACTTAGGAATTAAGAAGTTGTTTATGACTTTGTTGAGCATGGTGGTTAAGAATGTGGTTTTAGAGGCTGGGCGCCGTGGCACTTGGGAGGTGGGTAGATCACCTGAGGCCAGAAGTTCGAGACCAGCCTGGCCAACATTGTGAAACCCCGTCTCTACTAAAAATAAAAAAATTAGCCAGGCATGGTGGCACACGCTTGTAATCCCAGCTACTCGGGAGGCTGAGGCACAAGAATTGCTTGAATCCGGGAGGTGGAGGTTGCAGTGAGCTGAGATCGTGCAACCGCACTCCTGCCTGGGTGATGGAGTGAGACTCTATCTCAAAAAAAAAATAAATAAATAAAGAACATGGTTTTAGAGATAAACCTGGCTTTACCACTTAGAGACCTTCACCATCCCTTATCAGTGACATGGAGCACATAATACTTCCTGTCTCTGCCTGGCACATCCGGTGTGACAACAAAGTATGCTCTGCATTTAGCTCAACCTATGGTAACTGTGTAGTCCACGGAAACTGCTCTTGAGGCCAGCGACATTTTGCGAAACATTCATTTCCAGGGAAGAGTCCTTGAGGATGTAGTATAAAAATATAATTTAATTTGGCAGACTTAGAAATTTATCCTACATCCCACAGTAACCATGCTTTGTGTCTTCTGAAGCCAAGTGAGAAAGCAGGCATTTGTCTGGTTTTCCATTGGCATCCTGCTCAGTGTGTGTGTGTGTGTTTGAGAAGATAATTTGCAGCTTAGTTACTGGGCTGAAAATGAAGCTCACTTGAAAGACATGCTCCACCTGGAGGTGAAGAACAGCCTTGTTGAGTTCTGGGTGCCTTGAGATCTCATAGGCAGAATTTCTCTGCGAATACTGCGGATCTCTAAATTGTTGGATCTTCCCCTTTTGGGTGTTATTTGTATTATGTAACTGATTATTAAAGAAAAACTATTAGCTATTACAGTTGTTCAAGAAGTTTGCTTTCAAAGGCAACAACTTCTCATGTTTTGTCCATTTACAAAATTATCCTGATTCTGGTATCTCAATGCTTTTCTCTTTTTTCAGGAGCCCATATCTGACACTCATTAACTATAAATGTTAATGAGGTTAGATCAGTAAGTTTTCACTTATGTTTTTCTCATTTGTTGACCTAAATGATCTTTATCCAAACTATTCCAAAATCTGAATTTCTGGGTCCTTCTTTCTTTAAAATATTCTGTTCAATATTAAACAAACAAACGTTTGAGAACATGAGTAACCTTTTGACTTTATCCCGTATCTGTTTGCTAATGTTCTGTTCCATGTCTTTCTTGTCAGAACACACTGTTGCAGCAGCTAGGAGTGGCTCCTTTTTCTGAGGGCCCTTGGCCCTTGTACATTCACCCTCAAAGCCTCTCTGTGCTTTCACGCCTCCTGCTCATCTGGCAACATAAAGCCAGTGCTCAAGGTGACCCTGACGTCCCAGAATGCCTTAAAGTTTGGGACAGGTAAGATGTCTGTAAGAGAAGGCCTATAGAGAAAGTTATTTCCTTTTTTATTTGTTTGACTTCTTTGTAGTTAATCTGTGGCTTTGAGGCTTTGCTGTAATGATAATGTTTAGAGTGGGGAGGGTAGAAGAGGGATGGACTTGGAGATGTGCTGTTAAAAAACAAGTATGTCAACTTTGGTCTGGAAATAAATCTCCCTGTAGCACATGGGGGATTTGGTTATAATTATGCGATGGAACCACAATCTTGAACAGAACCAATTTTATCCTGACCTGCTTTTTTGAAAGACAAGCAGGGAAGCCAGCTCTGTCCTTGGTTATTTTGCTTTCAACATGAAACCACTTAGGGGCACTTGCAGTGTTTTTTGGAGAAATTTTAAAGAATTTTTTTCCTTGGGGGAAGCTCAGATTAATCATCTAAATCCACTTTAGATGGACCTGTATTTGCCATTTTTGTTTACATGGTTAGAAGTCTTCAAAGCAGTTTGTTTTCCTAAAAGGCTTTGCTTTCTGTTCCCCATTGTAGGATCAAATAGCTCTAATGCTGGATTTGAGAAAGCATAAACCTTCTTGAGTGCCAAAGACCCGCTATATTTTTCCTGGTGGAATCTTGCAAAAAGGCTGAGAGGGTCGAGGGGTGCAATGAGGGAAACCCTTGTTAAACACACAAATCTCTTTCCTAATATTAAAACACAAATCTCTTTCCAAATAGCCAAAGGCAATGGAAACAGTTGGCTACATTCATTCCTTTTTTGCATTAAAGCTCTTCTGACAAATTCTCTGAATAGTATATTTTCTTTTTTATTGCTTTATAGTCTATCGAGTTATTTTTGACTATTATCATGCAGTGATTTTTAACCTGTAGTATAAACTCTCAAAACTAGAATTAAATGATAGAATCAAAATATGGGGAAAAGTAATTGAACTGGTTCACCTGTCCAAGTTTGTTAATCAGAAAGGAACAATAGCAACATTTTTGTGGGGGAGCTTGTAGTACTTTTCATGGCCACAAATGACAGGGTGGGCATTAACACGCCTGTGTTAAGGCTTGCCTCAAGCAATCCTCCCCTCGACCTCCCAAAGTGTTAGGATTATAGACTGAGCCACTGTGCCTGGCTGGCCAAGTCTGACTTTTTTTAGCCAAAATTTAGTTTCTGTCTTGTCTTTACCATGTAGCCTTTTTTTCTTCCTTAATTTGTTATCTTACTGCCTGGGTTTAGGAAATTTAACTCTTCTAGTGCTTGACATTATAACTCCTGGGGAATGCTCTTTTTCCCACCAGATATAGTCATCTTTTCTCTCTGGTAGGTTTTTGTCTACAATGAAGCAGAATGCCCTGCAAGGTGTGGTGCCCAGTGAGACAGAGGATCTGAATGTAGAACACCTGCAGATGCTCCTCCTCATTTTCCACAATTTCACCGAGACAGGCCGGCGGGCCATATTGTCGCTTTTTGTCCAGATCATCCAGGAGTTGAGCGTCAACATGGATGCTCAGATGCGCTTCGTGCCGCTTATCTTGGCTCGCCTCCTTCTCATCTTTGATTATCTGCTTCATCAGTACTCCAAAGCCCCTGTGTATCTATTTGAGCAGGTACAGACCAACACGTTCTTTTTTGCTTCACCATTACTGAGAACTTTATTCTTCTCAATGGTTACCATGATCCGCAGCCCAAATGACCTACCCACTTTAGGTTTTAGGTTTTGGTAGGTTGATGGGTAGGATTAGGAGGACCACTGAGACTTTGTACTTGATGTTTAGCCAGAAGTGATACATGTAGATTACTTGATTTGATGCATTTTTTGAAAGTGGAATGTAGGCTGTGTTCAAAGGCATTCTCCCACGAATTGCCCTGCTCTACCTGTGTCTGATGCAGTGCCCTGAGCATCGGCCCTTGATGAGTATTTGTTAGTGGTTGAATGACAGTCAAGTAGTAAATTTTATGGATTGGTAAATTCCTTTGTTGTAAGGATCCAAAATAAGGATAGGAGGATCCGTTCAGACTTAACTGTGTTCAGCATTTCTTAAAATGTTTCATTGAGCACTATACCCTTTATGTTGCACCAAAAATTGCATTCCAAAAGTAGTCACAGAAAAATCTTTAAATTTTTATTTTGGTTTGTGAGTTTCCCAGGCTTTGGTATACCAAGCTATTATCGTACCTGAGTGAAAAGCTGAATGGTGCCCAATAAAACAGAATATTTGAATGTAGAACACCCACATTCAGATTACCAAGATTCAGTGTACCGAGCTATTATCATGCCTGAGTGAAAAGCTGAATGGTGACTGTGTATCTTTCTTAATTTCAGTATTTGTGTTTTAAAAGGTACAGCATAACCTGCTAAGTCCTCCCTTTGGGTGGGCAAGTGGATCCCAGGACAGCAACAGCCGCCGGGCAACCACTCCTCTCTATCATGGATTCAAAGAAGTAGAAGAAAACTGGTCTAAGCATTTCTCATCAGGTCAGAAAGAAGACTGTTAATAAGAAACTGACTTACTGATTCTCATTGGTGGGGTTGAATTTGAAGCTTGGGGACTCTTGGAGGATCTTTGGTCATTTGCTTTAGTGTAATCCCTATGGGTGGCAAATCACCTATGGATTAAAACATTTCAGAAATGGACTCCCACATAGCCTACATTTATATTTTTTAAAAAATTGAAGCTGGGCACTGTGGCTCATGCCTGTAATCCCAGCACTTTGGGAGGCAGAGGCGGGCAGATCATTTGAGGTCAGGAGTTCGAGACCAGCCTGGCCAACATGGTGAAACCCCATCTCTACTGAAAAAATACAAACAACATTTAGCCAGGCTTGGTGGTGCCTACCTGTAATCCCAGCTACTCTGGTGGCTGAGGCAGGAGAATCACTTGCACCAGGAAGCAGAGGTTGCAGTGAGCTAAGATTGCACCACTGCACTCCAGCCTGGGCAGCAGAACAAGACTCTATTTCAAGGAAAAAAAAAAAATTGAGGCTGAGCATGGTGGCTCATGCCTGTAATCCCAGCACTTTGGGAGGGCAAAGTGGGAAGATCGCTTGAACCCAGGAATTTGAGATCAGCCTGAGTAGATCCCGTCTACCAAAAATTATTTTAATAAGTAGCCGGGCATGGTGGCACGTGCCTGTGGTGCCAGCTACTCGAGAGGCTAAGGTGGGAGGATCGTTTGAGCTTGGGAGGTTGAGGTTGCAGTGAGCTGTGATCACGCCACTGTACTCCAGCCTGGTTGACAGAGTGAGACCCCTGTCTCAAAAAAAACATAAAAACTAAAAAATAAATTGAGACACAAGAAATCAGAATCCTCGTGTCTGGCCATAGGGTACAGTATATGGATTCTTGCCACTCTGTGTCATTAATTTTCCTTATTTTCCCTTAGAGTTGTGGTTCTAATGTATAGCTAAATTTCCTTTTGGGTCTTGGTGATATGCTGGTCTGAAACGAATGTGAACATGAGATTATCTCTAGTGTTTTTCTCATATAGCAATTGTCTGTTCTTTGGATGAAGTGTTTGTTGTGTTCATTTTTAGTGTGTGTTTGCACTTACCCTGAGGATTATTAGATGTTAAGTGTGTTTTGTGGAAACTTTTGTGAAGCCTTAGTGTGAGTTTACTGTTATCTTTTACTATTTGATGTTAGGGAAACAGCATGTAAGTTTAATGTGTGCAGACTAATGATATAATTTGTTGATTGATTTGATTCTAGGGCACCCTACTTAACTCTTAGAGCAATGGTTCTCAATGGGTGATTTTGCCCTCTCCCCTCCAGGACATTTGGCAATGTCTAGATATTTTTGGTTGTCACAACTGGGGGTGCTACTGGCATTCAGGGGGTAGAGGCCAGGGCTGCTGTTAAGTCACCTAGAGTGCATAAGATGGCCTCCCACAGCAAACACTTATCTGGCTCCAGATGTCAATATTGTTAAGGTTGGGAAACCTTATTATAAAGTATTTTCTGAGTTTTACATTGCATACTAGTCAGATAGAGTTAAGAATGGAACCATTCTTTTAATCAGCATATTACTTTTCAGATGCTGTCCCACACCCCAGATTCTACTGTGTCCTGTCCCCAGAAGCCTCAGAGGATGATTTGAACCGACTTGATTCTGTGGTACTAGGAATTTTAAAACTGCATTTTATATGTGGGTCAGATGGTTTCCACCAGAATCAGCCTACTGGGGGGAAAGGGAATGACTGACTTTTTATAGTGAGGAAATGTGGTCTGTGTTACGATTTGAGCTTATTCTAATAGGAAAATGTTACTTGGATATTTATTTGTTGGGTGCACTTTTGCTGTGGGGTTTGTCCTTTCTGGATTGGCACCTCTGACACTTGATTTTTGAAGACAGTCTTTGTTAGCATTTTTCACATGCAAGTATTTTAATGGACAAAAATAATTGTCTTACTCCCTTATTCTAAAGCCAGCAGCTGTGTGCTCACAATAGCTTGCAAACAGTGTGAGTAATGTCCCAGAATGGGAATCTGTTCCAAGGAGAAATTAATGATTATGATTTGATGGGATATTTTGTCAATCATGAGGATAAGTGATAGTGTATAGGCAGTAGGAAAAAATACTTTAAAAGTAAGGAAATGACTCTCTTTCTTTCTTGATGTCAGGCATGTGACGTCCTTTTCTCCAAGCTTGTCAAGTATGATGAGCTTTATGCTGCACTGACAGCCCTGCTTGCAGCTGGGTCCCAGCTTGATACAGTTAGGAGAAAGGAAAACAAGAATGTAACAGCCTTGGTAAGACCATGGAACCCTGAGAAGTCTTTGGGTTGTGTTTGATCATTGATCATTTCTATCAGAAATTTCCTTCTGAAATGTAACCAGTTTATTGAATATTGATTTGCAAAACTGACTGATACTTGAGTATTTCTAGGTAGTTTGTGTAGCTATGTTCACCTTAAAGATAATTTAATCAGCTGTTGCATTTTTTTGGTTACCATTGAGAGAACTGTAATTTAAGAGTTAGTGGTCCCCCCCCAAGTGCTATATCTCCTGTCAATACTGGTTGATGTGTGATATTGAAAGCCTCACGCTTGAGATTTTTCCATGGCTCTGTTAATGTGTCTCTATATTCTAGAAGCAATTCCAGGCCACAAAAACGGATAGCTGATTGCAGGTCTGCTAAGCAGAATGTCCTGCCCTCTTTTGGTTAATTGGTAAATTATTGGGGAGCCAAAGTTGTCTTGGAATAGCCTTTTTGGTCTGTGAAATGTGCAGAATACGGAACAAATTATTTGTATGTGTGTTCTGCCATTTTCTGCTAGGTGCACTCTCTAGAAAGATCTGGAGAATGGACTTGGGGGCCAAATCTCAATTTAAAATCAGGACTCTATACAGTTCTGGTTTAAAAGTTGTATTTGGAGTAGTTCGTACTGTGAGGGAGATCTTGAGGCCATACCAAGTGCTACCTCTATGCTGCTTTTCCTTTCTCCAGGAGGCCTGTGCCCTTCAATATTACTTCTTGATACTGTGGAGGATCCTAGGAATTTTACCACCATCAAAGACTTACATTAACCAGCTATCCATGAACTCACCTGAGATGAGCGAATGTGACATCTTGCACACTCTGCGATGGTCTTCTCGGCTCCGGATCAGCTCCTATGTCAACTGGATAAAGGTAACACAGAGCTTGCTGCTAAGACTATTCAAAGCCAAAGTGCTTTGTGCTTACTGGAGCTTTTAAATTTGAAGATAATGAAAGCTTTGCCTATAGTCATCTCCTAAACACTTTTTCTTGCTGTCCAAATAGGATCACCTTATCAAACAGGGAATGAAGGCTGAGCATGCTAGCTCGCTTCTAGAACTGGCATCCACCACTAAGTGTAGCTCAGTGAAATATGATGTTGAAATAGTAGAGGAATACTTCGCTCGACAGGTATGTAATATTGGAACCTAAATGATAGAACTTGGTTTCTACCATAGCCCATTGCCACAGCTAATTATATTTTGCATATTTTTAAAGATCTCATCCTTCTGTAGTATCGACTGTACCACCATCTTGCAGCTGCATGAAATTCCCAGTCTGCAGTCCATCTACACCCTTGATGCCGCGATCTCAAAGGTCCAGGTCTCTTTGGATGAGCATTTTTCTAAGATGGCTGCTGAGACTGATCCTCATAAGTCGTCTGAGATTACCAAGAACCTACTTCCAGCCACGCTGCAACTCATTGACACCTATGCATCGTTCACCAGGTGTGGCGAACTGCCTGCCCAGAGATGCACATGCACTCTTCACTCCGTGCAGATCCCGCATTGACTCAGAATTTGACATTTTTCTCTTTCTTCAGCTTAGGGGTTTTTTTCCCCACGTATAATGCTTTCTTCTCTAGTATGAAGGGGTGCTTGATGAGGAAATTTTCAAATAGTGCAGGAGGAGTCAGGAGGAAGTTTAATGTCTATAATTCTTTAAATATTTTGTACGATTTTACTCGTAGGATACAGAGAAAGGTAATTTTTCAAAACACTGTCATTTCTGTTATTAACTGAGTTAAAGCTCCTTAAATGCTCTTTATTTATTATTATTAAAAAAATTTTTTTCTGAGATGGCATCTCGCTCTGTCGCCCAGGCTGGAGTGCAATGGTGCGATCTTGGCTCACTGCAACCTCCACCCCCTGGGTTCAAGTGATTCTCCTGCCTCAGCCTCCTGAGTAGCTGGGATTACAGGCATGCACCACCGTGCCTGGCTAATTTTTGTGTTTTTAGTAGAGACGGGGTTTCGCCATGTTGGCCAGGCTGGTCTTGAATTCCTAACCTCAGGTGATCTACCCACCTCAGCCTCCCAAAGTGCTGGGATTACAGGCATGAGCCACTGTGCCTGGCCCTTAAATGCTCTTTACATGTGATGATATGTAGTTGGAGAAAAAAAAAAATCTCTAAATGAGTTAGAAATTATTTGAAATTCAACTCTTTCTATAACAAACACTGCAAATTGCATGCCCTGTAGACTTTGGTCTGTATGATGTTTAAATATTTAAAGTTAATTTCAGTATATAAAATTGGGAGATTATTCACAAGTTTAGATTTCTGGCTTTTCTTAAATTGGAAGAACTGGCAAAACTGGGCCTGACTTCCCAAACAACAGTAACAGACTGGAGCTGAGAATTAGTTCCCTTTGCAGCAGTTTTCACCGGGCTCTCTTAAGCTTATTGACTTTATCTGGTCCCTGTAGGATCTCAGTGTTCACTCCTGTTCTATGGTGCTTTTTTGTTTTGAGATGGAATCTCACTGTGTCACCCAGGCCGGAGTGCAGTGGTGCGATCTCATCTCACTGTAACCTCCACCTCCTGGGTTCAAGTGATTCTCCTCAGTTTCCCGAGTGGCAGGGATGACAGGTGCATACCACCATGCCTGGCTAATTTTTGTATTTTTGTATTTTCAGTAGAAATGGGGTTTCTCCATGTTGGCCAGGCTGGTCTTGAACTCCCGACCTCAGGTGATCCACCTGCCTCAGCCTCCCAAAGTGCTGGGATTACAGGTGTGAGCCACCGTGCCCAGCTCTGTGGGCTTTATGCTGCTTTAAAGGGACCTAGATCTTTGTCAGACTTAACTAACCTTGTCTCTTAGTATGACTGCCTTGCAGAAGATAGAGGGCTGTTGTTTGAGGCAAATTTTTTTTTTGGCTCAAATTTGTTTGAGCCAAACAAATATGTATGGCTGCTACGTGCCAGGTACTTTTCTAGGTGCTAGGGTTATGGCAGTAGCCAAAGCAGACCAAGTCATTGCCCTCTGGGAATTTACAGACTCTAATCTGGCCTAATAGGCCAGTACTTTCCACACTGAGCTGTTAACGTTCCTGGTCAAGTAAGTTTGCAAAATGTTGGATAAACAGTTTTTTTTGTTTTGTTTTGTTTTAAAAAATATAGTATTCAGAGCCTTTACTGTATACATTGTCAATCTTCTGAGGTGGGGAAGGAGGATAGATATAGTATTCACTGTTTCTCAGGCTTACTTGTCAGGCAGTCATGTTTTGGGAGCATTTCAGAGGAGGGGACATTCTTTGGGAAATGATTACCCATTGGAATTCTTAGAGACCAGGAAGGGGCAGGCACTATCAACTACATTAAATAGATAGGAAACTGAGATATAGGGTTTTCAGCCAGTCTAGGGCCAGTTTTTCCTAACTGGTGGGATTAGAATCTTATGGCTTCACTTTCCCCCTGTTTTTTCCCCAGAGCCTATTTGCTGCAAAACTTTAATGAAGAGGGAACAACTGAGAAACCTTCCAAGGAGAAACTGCAAGGCTTTGCTGCTGTTTTGGCTATTGGCTCTAGCAGGTGCAAGGCAAATACTCTGGGTAAGAGAACAAATGTGCTTTTGAGTAATATTATTACAACAGCTACTACTGCTAGTACTATGGCTTCTCTCCCTTGGTGCCTACTGGCGTTTACTATTTATTGGAGCCTTTTTGTGTATCAAGCATTTAGGTAGGTTTGTCTATTTTGATCTTCACAATAACCCAAGAAGTGTTACTTTGATCCCCTTTTTACTCATTATAAATTAGGCCTAGAGAAGTTATTTGTCCACAATCCTGCATCTTGCAAGAGATAGAGCTGGGATCCAAACCAGGATCTGTTGGTTCCAAAGCATAAGGCTATTTTGTCTTTAGCACAGATCTTTGCTCTCCTCCCCTCCCCTCCCCACTCTCTTCTCTCTTCTCTTGGCAGGGTCTTGCCCTGTCACCCAGGCTGGAGTACAGTGGCGCTATCGCAGCTCACTGCGGCCTTCATCTCCTGTGTTGAAGCAGTCCCCCTGCCGCAGCCTCCCAAGTAGCTGGGATCCCAGGCACATAATACCATACCCGTATAATTTTTAAATTTTTTTGTAGAGATGAGGTCTTCCTATGTTGCCCAGGCTGGTGTTCTTTTCATTTATAGGGGACAGGAAGATTAGCAAGCTAGTACTTTGTGCCTGGAAAAATCTCTTTGCTGGGTTAGGAATGATCTGGTAGAAATTTAGGGTGGAAAATCAAAGGGCTTGATTGGAGTTAAGTACAGTAGTTACCGTTTAAAATTTACAATCAATCGTTTGTATTTTCCTTAATTTCAAGCTTTAAATATTCATTTAACATTCAGATAGTCTCACTTTGTACTGCTTCATTGAATGCTGTTCTTAATGTGTGTTATGATCCCTGCCCTTAAGATTCGTCTTAAAGAGAAAAGAGATCAAGAGAAAAGTGATACCTATTTATAGAAGGGGAGCAGATGTTTAATGGTGATTTCAGTCTGACTTGCAATGACTCACCCTCACTTTGCATCTTATTTTCAGTTGTCTTCTTTACTTGCAAGATTAGAAAGTGAACATGATGGGAAATGAAAACCTTACAATTGAGAGTGTTAGCTATTAAGCAATTAACTGGTTCTTGGACATAGTACTGCTATTGAAATATCTATCTAAGCTATCTTACTAATTATTTTGACAGCCTGGGCTGTACTGTTTCTTTCTGCATTTGGGCTTGGCTTTTAAAATGCTCTGTGTCGTTCCTTCTTTCTTGTGATGATTCCTTGTCCTTTCTGTCGCCTCCAGGTCCGACACTGGTTCAGAATTTGCCATCGTCAGTGCAGACTGTGTGTGAGTCCTGGAACAACATCAATACCAATGAATTTCCCAATATTGGATCCTGGGTGAGTCCCTATCTGTTCCAGGGTAGAAATACTGAGTGCTAGCCATTCTGTCTTTTGTTCTTAAGCCTAAAGGAATTAGGCTTAAACTAGCTACCAAGATATCTTCATATACTGCAGTAATATTGGCTATGGCTGAATCATTAATCAATGCATTTAATCACCTAGTTGGTTCTCATATGGCTTTTTGCTTAGAAGTTTGTGTTATCAAAAGACAAACCATTTTATTTATTTGAGCCTCAGTTTCTTCACCAATTGAATATTGGGCTGTGACGATTCAATGTATTGAATGTTAAGTGCCTAGCATATTACCTGGCACACGAATTCCCAATACGTGTTAACTCTGTTTCCTTTGTAGGTTGTATGTCAGGAACCTGCTCCTTTTGTAACAGTTTTACAGGGTCGCTTTTAGCTTCTCTAGGCTTTTAGATACTACTGAGTCTTCTTTTTTTTTTTTTTTGAGACGGAGTCTCGCTCTGTCACCCAGGATGGAGTGCAGTGTCGTGATCTCGGCTCACTGCAAGCTCCGCCTCCCGGGTTCACACCATTCTCCTGCCTCAGCCTCCCGAGTAGCTGGGACTACAGGCGCCCACCACCACGCCCAGCTAATTTTTTTGTATTTTTAGTAGAGACGGGGTTTCACTGTGTTAGCTAGGATGGTCTCGATCGCCTGACCTCCTGATCCGCCTGTCTCAGCCTCCCAAAGTGCTGGGATTACAGGCGTGAGCCACCATGCCCAGCCAATACTACTGAGTCTTCTGTCAGTTAACTTACTCTTTGTATATCCTCTGCTCACACTACCTCTATTAACAGATTATTTGCTTACTGAAGTTCTTTTCAAAAGCTAAATATTATAGTCTTGTTATCCCTGCTTTATGATCGTGACCTCTGTTTACACCACCCAGAACTTTAATAGAGACCAGATGCATTGCAAAATCCAGTTCCTTCTCAGTCATTATAGACAAACAATAGTTTTACTTTAGATATAGTGCATTATATTATACTCTAATCATTTGAAAGTGGTATTGGATATTCGTTGCATTTAACTGTTAACTTTGTACTAATTAAAATTTAACTGCTTCCTTTTCTGTACCCCACTTCCCTTCCCAGCATGAATAACAGTGTATACTGAGTAGAGGCTATTGTTTACAAACGTCAGTGGGGTCTTAGTTTATGTCAGTTTTTTTTTCCATGTGAGAATTTTTTCCAGGGTAGATGGTCTATCCATTTACATCTGCTTTGCTTCCTTTCAGCGCAATGCCTTTGCCAATGACACCATCCCTTCAGAGAGTTATATTAGTGCAGTGCAGGCTGCACACCTGGGGACTCTCTGTAGCCAAAGTCTGCCCCTGGCTGCTTCCCTGAAGCATACCCTCCTCTCACTGGTCAGGTTGACTGGAGATCTTATTGTGTAAGTACCTACTACCTAGCCCCAAGGACTCTATGTCTGTATTCTATTGTGGTTAAAGAGGGACAGTGAGAGTTTTATAACTATGTAGTAATGCTTTCTTATATACTTCTTTAGCAAAAAGAACCTGTTGCTTTAAAGTATAAGCACTTACCTAGAATGATTTTTTAACTTAGATCTGAAAGACAATAGAGTACTTCCTCCTTTGTGTAGTATTTTTCAGAAAAGACTTGCTGGCTTTAAGACATATTGCAATTTGGAGATGTCTTGGGTTTAAATTTTAAAGTGATAGTGACAGATTATTTGATAACGTTTCTCCAGAATCATAGTGGGATAAATTCCCACCATTGTAGGGACTAGGTCAGGCCAATGGAGGGACTATTGTCTTCTTATACATAGGTAACAGGTAAAGTCTTATATTGTATTGCCCTAAAAGTGATCCAGGTTCCTGGCAGTTCTTCTAGAAGGCTTGTCTGGGATGGAATACTTGCTTTGGTTTCAGTTAATTTTCTTTGTTGAATATTATAAAATGCAGCTCATTAATTTGACGTTTTAATAAATGGATTTTTCAAATGAAAATGATTTTTGTTTCTGATATAATAATGAAAAAGAAGAATATGAAATTGTATGATGATACCTGTGTATAAAATAGCTATCATGGGAAAAAGACTGGAATAAAGGCCCTTGCGCAATTCCCCTTCCCCTCTTCCCCGGCAAGTAATTGAATTACCCTGTCCTTGCTTTGCAGCTTTTTGGAGGAGTGTATTCACTAACTCGATTTCATTTTCTTTGCTGAAGTTGGTCAGATGAGATGAACCCACCACAGGTAATTCGGACACTGCTACCTCTTCTTTTGGAATCAAGCACTGAGAGTGTTGCCGAGATCAGTAGCAACTCCCTGGAACGCATCTTGGGCCCTGCTGAGTCTGATGAGTTCTTGGCTCGTGTTTATGAGAAGCTGATCACTGGTTGTTACAACATTCTGGCCAATCATGCAGATCCTAACAGGTGAGCCTGATGGAGAACAGTCAGGTTTCCTATGACCTACTGCTGCTATCAGTGAAATGTACTAACACTGCTGCCTTTAGGTCATTAATAGCTTATTGTTTTTGTGTGTGGTTTTTTTTTTATTCTGAGACATGGTCTCGCTCTGTCGCCCAGGGTGGAGTGCAGTGGGGTCACTGCAACCTCTGCCTCCGGGGCTCAAGCAATCCTCCTACCTTAGCCTTCTGTGTAGCTGGGACTACAGGTGCATGCCACCATGCCCAGCTGGTTTTTTTTTTTTTTTTTTTTTTTTTTTTTTTTTTTTTTTTTTGGTAGAGATGGAGTTTGCCATGTTGTGTAGGCTGGTCTTGAACTCCTGAGCTCAAGTGATCCTCCCATCTTGGCCTCCCAAAATGCTGGGATTACAGGCGTGAGCCACCACACATGGCCAGCTTATTGTTATTTGTGTTTTTCAACAGAAAATTCTGTACTTGTGTGCATTCTGCATTAATGTGGAAATGTGTGAAGAGTTTTTTGGAGTCGTTTTTTGTGATTAATTCTTAGGAATAGACATTAAGAAAATGGAAGACTTAGATGTTTAGATTTGGAGACTTAAAATTGTTTTTAATGACTATCAAGTGCTGCACTAGCTCTGATGAGATGGACAGAGGAGCTCACTGAAATTGATTTCTAATATTTTGTTGACTGTGCTGCTGAAATGAGTGTGGAATGGGCGGTCCCACAGCATAGCTGGACCTTGGTAGTTTAGGCCACATGGCTGTAGATGAGCTGTAAAGAACAGTTCTGTTTCACTTTCACCCCACGGAGAATTGTACAAATGAAGGTGCCACATGTTGGAATTTCCTGTCTCTTCGTTGTTGAGTAGTCCAGGTTTTCATCAAGGATTCCTTTTATTCCCTGTCTCCTCTTTTCTTTTTAACAGATAAATAATTTCAGACACTTTTAGCTGTGTAGAAATGATTTGTCCAAAGTGTCTTTTTCCCTAAATCACTGGCAGATCTGGATTAGGACTGAGCTTTAGATGCCTTTCCTGTTCATCTTCCTAATGAAGAGGATAGAAAAATAAAGTTGAGGGGCTGCTATTAATTCAGTAAACATGTATTGAACACCTACTTTGTGCCAGGCTTTATGTTAAGCTTTGCCAAAACAAAATTAGACATTGCCCTCAAGGTCAAACAGACAAACTTTGGATTTTAATAAATCACCATAAGGAGGACATTGAAACAGGTCTTAATACTGGTGGTTAAGTTTTCCGTTTGATCCTCAGTGGACTGGATGAATCCATCCTGGAGGAATGTCTCCAGTACTTGGAAAAGCAGCTGGAAAGTAGCCAGGCTCGTAAAGCTATGGAGGAGTTTTTCTCTGACAGGTGAGCCGTGTTTTGCTTTATTCAGTGAATATTTTTTGAATGCCTCTTGAAAGCAAGGAGCTATATATGTTGATTTAGGTACTTATTATCAGCAATATTTAAGGCCTGGTTAGGTGTCTGCACTTTGGGGAGTTAATTGCTGACTCCTTGGGGTTGTTGGTGAGGGGGTTAATTTCATGAACACCTTGTGCTATTGACTCATAAGTGGTCATTTTCCCCAGAGGAGATGAGATTGTGAAGAAAGGATGCTTTTTATGTGGGGCTTTAATGTGATTCTTTCCATTTTTCTCCCATCTTGCCTCCCAGTGGAGAACTTGTACAGATCATGATGGCAACAGCCAATGAGAACCTCTCTGCTAAATTCTGTAACCGAGTTTTGAAATTCTTCACCAAACTCTTCCAGCTGAGTGAGTGACAGCTTTTAGTAATCTTCTTATGGGAACTTTGATGTCCGGCTAATACTGTGCATATCTTCTGCCTGAGTTTAACTACAGCATGAAAATGCTAACGAGTGGAGAGAATCCCTCAGAGAAAGTTTGGAAGGAAGTTGAAAACTTGCTTTGAAGCCATTTCCCCTTTTCCTGGCTCAACAGTTTGCCCCTTCTTTCTCTTCCTCTTGCCCTTCTTTACTGACCCTGGCCTCTTGTTCTGCTCCTAGCTGAGAAGAGCCCTAACCCGAGCCTGTTGCATCTCTGTGGCTCCCTGGCACAACTGGCCTGTGTGGAACCTGTGCGCCTGCAGGCCTGGCTCACCCGCATGACTACATCGCCCCCAAAAGATTCTGATCAGCTGGATGTAATTCAGGAGAACCGGCAGCTGCTGCAGTTACTGACCACATACATTGTTCGGGAAAACAGGTAGAACAACTACATTTCTGTCGTGTTTCCCTAGCAACCCCAGAAACACGTTGATATTTGCAGTTATCTTTCCTTCGGGCACCAGTCTTAGCATTCTCAGCATTTTTGTATCTACCTCTCTCTAGACTCAAGGATTCTAGTGTAGCTCCTTGATTTTTTTCCCATGGAAAAACTTTTGGAATGACTTGGCCTGTCAGTTACAACCTGAATGAATGTTTTATGCTCTACTAGCCCAAGTCCAAAGCTGGGATTGGTATTGTAGTTATGTATTTAATGTTTAATTTAAAACTTCCTTTATAACACACAGAATGAGATTCCTGTTGATTATTCACCAACTTGCTCTTTCTTTTCTCCTAGCCAAGTTGGGGAAGGTGTGTGTGCTGTTCTTCTGGGCACCCTGACTCCCATGGCAACAGAGATGCTGGCCAACGGTGATGGGACTGGCTTCCCTGAACTTATGGTTGTGATGGCCACTCTGGCCAGTGCAGGTCAAGGTGCTGGTCACCTTCAGCTTCATAATGCTGCTGTGGATTGGCTGAGCAGATGGTAAGATGATGAAGTTGTATCTGTAGGTTACAACATTGATCTTGAGAAGTGGGTTACTTTCTTTATAGCTCAAAGTGAGTACAGAAGAAATTTGAATCTCTACCCTTTCATTGGAGTTTGGGAGTTGGGTGGGTAGCAAATAGCTCTGTTCACTTTAGACTTCATCTTCATCATTTTCTTAGTAGAGTTTCCTGTTCATTGTTCCCAAGATAATTCTTGGGGAAAGTATGCCAAGTGTTAATGATAATTCTAAGGCCAGAGCACCCCAAGCTATGTAACTATATAGTACTTATGGAGTTTTCTAAGAATGCTTCTGCTTCACAGTGTCCTCAGATTGATTCAAAGTTAATGAAGATGCCTCATTTCGTTGGTTTCTTCGATGATTTTGTGTCTCCTCTTTCCCCTCTTTTTTTTCTTTGGGACAGCAAGAAATACCTGTCACAGAAGAATGTAGTTGAAAAACTGAATGCCAATGTAATGCATGGAAAGGTAAGAAAAGTGAGGAATGACAATGGGGGGTGAAGGGAAAGGTGATTCTCACCTCTGTGGTCAGGTGGAAGTCTCTCGTTCCTATTGAGTTCTGTGCCTGGCTAGCCTACCAAGGATAAGGCTGATAATCTCAAAGACTGGAAATATGTAGTTGCTAACTGTGTGCCTTTAGGCATGTTTTGGCTGGCAAGAAGTGATGGGAAGGAAATATACTGGTAAATAAGCAGACAGAATCTTTCTTAAAACATAGAGTTCCTGCCATCCTAAGATATTGGAATGTTATGGGAAACTGTCTCCCTGCTCAGGCTTTGGAACTGTGCCACTCTGAGTCAGTGTTATAAAAGGCCAAATACAGCCTCCTCAGCTCTAGTCCAGATGCTAAGCTTTGTTTAATTTGCCTGAAGGTTCTGGTTACTCTGGTAAGAAAAGCGGTTTGAAACTGACAGAAATCCTGCATTCAGGCATTTTCTCCTCCTGCCCAACCCATGAACTGGCATAGGTGGCTAGGAACAGATAACTAGCTTCTGAGAACCACTTTGGTACCATTCATTACTCCCTCCTTTTTTGCTGATCTTTATCCTTTCAGCACTGACATGTCAGAGTGCAGAGCAAAGGAACTTAGAAATCTGAGTCTTTGATGCCAATTAATTGGGTTTTCTAGGCAAGCATGAACTATCTGCAATGATTTGCTAGAATTTTTTTCTCTTGATTTCTGAAGGTATTCCTCTCCTGCATTACTTTAAAGCCTGATAATTAAAATGACTTTCACTTAATGGTTAAAAAATGCTAATGTTAGGGGGGAAATGCTAATGGGAGTCTCTTCATACTCTAATCTGGTCTTTTCTTGAATGATTTTAATCAGTTTTTACTCTATTCTTCTAATTTCAATCCTACTTCATCTTACAAGACTTTGTAAAGAGCTGTCTTTGTGCCTAAGAATGAATGAATACATGTTACTTCAGTACAATTTACTGACCAGCTACGTGGGGACGGAGTGGTAAAACCTGGTTAATAAATAAAAACACACTGTTTTTCTTCTCTGCTCTCATACCATTTCTCTGATCTTGAGCTTTATTTGAAAAAGCTTGAGAAAACATGGTTTACATAATGAAACATGGAGAATCTGAAGTTGCTGTGGGGCTTCTCTTACAGCATGTGATGATCTTGGAGTGCACATGCCATATCATGTCTTACTTGGCTGATGTCACGAATGCCCTGAGCCAGAGTAATGGTCAAGGCCCAAGTCATCTCTCAGTGGATGGGGAAGAGCGGGCCATTGAAGTAGACTCAGACTGGGTGGAGGAGTTGGCGGTGGAAGAGGAAGATTCCCAGGCTGAGGATTCAGTAAGTACTAAGTAACCTCGAAGTTAACCTCTCAAGGTAATGACTAACTGGCATGGTACCAAGCTTTTGGCTCTGTTTTCCAGCCTCCTGTGAGCTTCAAAACTTCCTAGTCCTTGTTGCTGCCAGGCCCCAATTTTCTAGGCCTTCAGAGCAAGGCATGGGGATCTAATCTCTTGTGGAAAGGACTTTTTCATAAGCTTTTTCCAGAGTCACTTGTCCTGCTTTGTCAGTCTTTAATTCCAAATGGAATTTTAGGGATAAGTTCTTCATGGGGGGTAGTGGAAGCTCCCCTATAGAGAAAGCATAAGATGTTTTTTCTTAACCACAAACCCCTAAGATCTCACTCACCTGAAGTAACAACAGATTTTCAGCCAGCTAGCTATTTCCAGTTGTGGTAGATTTCCACGGGTCATTTGCGAGTCAACTATTCACCCCGCCATAGGGCGTTGAGGCACATGTGTTTTTGTGGGTGTTTATATGCAGGGATATATTTCGAATTAAAAAGACTTATTATTTTTGAAGGATGAAGATTCTCTTTGCAATAAACTCTGCACTTTTACGATCACACAGAAAGAATTCATGAACCAGCATTGGTAAGGGTAGTTCTTCCTTTAAGGTGAAGATTTGCTGGGCACCGATTGTTGGGACTTCTGAGCTTATTTGCTGGTTCTTGTTCTTTGTAGGTACCACTGTCACACCTGTAAAATGGTGGATGGCGTGGGTGTCTGCACAGTGTGTGCTAAGGTGTGCCACAAGGATCATGAGATTTCCTATGCCAAGTATGGATCCTTCTTCTGTGACTGTGGAGCCAAGGAAGATGGCAGCTGTTTGGTGAGAGGACCCTCCCTGAGCTATAAAGGGTGGCTTGTTAGTGACACGGGATTACTGAAGCCAAACTGGAAAATTCCCATCACCTCCAGGATACCTGAGTCTAGGAATATGTTCCAGCTCACTCATCGATGATCTGCACAGTTGTGGCCTAAGGACTTCATTTAGAATATCAGAACCAGCAGATTCCTTAGAGATCTTGTAGTTCGTTTTTCCTAAGACCTCCCCACAATTTCACACGTTATAATAAGGCCTGATACTGTGAGTGGGTAAAGAAGTTAGATATTAGGTGAATACTATGAAGATCAGAATTTAGGCTTTTGGATAACATTGAAACGCTTAGCCAGTTTCTTCTTTGGGTCAAATTTTCCTCGGAGATCTCAGGCAGTATTTCCTCTGTGCTTGAGGCAAGAACTTAGGGACTCTGACATTTTCTGTCCCTAGGCTCTGGTGAAGAGAACTCCTAGCAGTGGCATGAGCTCTACCATGAAGGAGTCGGCATTTCAGAGTGAACCCAGGATTTCAGAGAGTCTAGTGCGTCATGCCAGCACCTCCTCGCCAGCTGACAAAGCCAAGGTTACCATCAGTGATGGAAAGGTTGCTGACGAAGAGAAGCCCAAGAAGAGCAGCCTCTGCCGCACAGTAGAGGGCTGCCGGGAGGAATTACAGAACCAGGTGGGGCTGACTGATGCTCCCTAGTAAGCAGACAGAGTTCAGAGCCTGTTGAATTGGTGTGAGAGTAAATAATGCACATGGCTCCCCTTGCAACTCATTTTCTCCTTTACCCATTTTCATAGTGTGAATGCAAATACTATGTATTGTCGTCACGAGGGAAGGATTTATGACTGAGCACTATTAGGAGTATTATGGGGGGTGATGGAAGCATAAATTTTAGTTGTGTCATACTGTAGAGTACCCTTTCTTGGCCAGGGTTCCTTATCTGAAACACAGAAAACAAAACGATTTGAGTGTATATATTCTCAATTTTCCCATGGATGGTACAAAACCCAAACCATTCTAGAAACGTAAGAGAGAAGTTAGCTCATTTCATATGAGGGATGCCTTTGCGCATTAGGATATCTATGTGGGACCCCTGGTTTAGAAAGATTGCTCTGGAGTTAGTACCACAAATGCATATTGATTGGAATCAATGCCAGGATTATGAGAATGAGAAGATGGCTAGAATATCCAACTGGAAGTGAAGTAGCTGGATTCTGAAGGAAGTTACTGGCAAGATGATTTTTACAAGTATTATCCATTGTTTTTCTTTTTTTTTTTTTTCACTGGTGTATTTTTTCTATTTTTCTCAGGCCAATTTCTCCTTCGCTCCTCTCGTGTTAGACATGCTTAATTTCCTTATGGATGCCATTCAGACCAACTTCCAGCAAGCTTCAGCCGTCGGGAGCAGCAGCCGTGCTCAGCAAGCCCTCAGTGAGCTACACACTGTGGAGAAGGCAGTGGAGATGACAGACCAGCTGATGGTGAGTGTCTTGGGGCCATGATGTTTGGTGGCTGTGGGAACCAACAAATTTATTGAGATCCCAAAATGTGCTAGATGCTCTGAGGAGTATACTTAGAGCAGTTGATGCTTGGCCATCCAAAACTTAGAATCTAAGACATCATGACATGCCCAGAACATATTATGAACAGTGTGAAAATCAGCATACGAGGTTTGGCTTCAAAAGAAGAGAATTGGCCAAGGATGCACCTATAATCCCAGCACTTTGGGATGCCTGAAGCAGGTGGATTGCTTGAGCCTGGGAATTTAAGACCAGCCTTGGCAACATGGTGAAACCTCATCTCTACCCCAAAAAACACACAAAAAATTTAGCTTGGCATGGTGGCACAGCAACTATAGTCCCAGCTACTCGGAAGGCTAATGTGGGAGCATCACTTGAGCCCAGGAGGTTGCAGTGAGCTGAGATCGTAGCACTGCACTCCAGCCTGGGCGACGGAGTGAGACTCTCTCTCAAAAAAAAAAAAAAAAAGGAGTGGGGCTGGGGAATCCAGGGTCATTTTGGCCAATGAAGAGAATAAATCTCCTTTTTAGTTCATATAAATATATGAATCTCCAAGAGGTGGGGAACTCCATTTTGGGGCAATTAGAATAGTTAGAGAATTTTTATTTTTAGAAAATAGAACTTTATTGTATCTTCTCTAAAGTTCATCTAACTTACAAAATAATGTTTGTCCTCTTTTGCATATAGTCCTTTAGATAACTTTCCTTTAGTTTTTCATGTCACATGGGTTATAAGGTATAAGTCATTATTCACTTTAAAACCTGCTGCTCAGCACTGAATATAGACTTCTGATGTGGCCTTCCTGGCCTTTTTTAGCAGCAGAGTTAAGTAATAGAAAGTAAAGTGGTGGCGATTCCAAAAAGGAAGTGAACAAATATTGCGAATGAGATATATGAATAGATCTCATAAATTGGCTTTCTTTTTTGGAGATGGAGTCTTGCTCTGTCACCTAGGCTGGAGTGCAGTGGCATGATCTCAGCTTACTGCGACTTCCGCCTCACTGGTTCCAGCGATTCTCATGCCTCACTCAGCCTCCTGAGAAGCTGAGACTGGAGGCATGCACCATCATGCCTGGCTAATTTTTGTATTTTTAGTAGAGATAGGATTTCACCATGTTGCCCAGAATGGTCTCGAACAACTGTGCTCAAGTGATTTGTCCACCTCAGCCTCCCAAAGTGCTGGGATTATAGGTGTGAGCCACTGTGCCCAGCCAAAGTTGGCTATTTTTAAGGGAATAATAGTCAGTTGGAAATATACACATACATACCCATATATATTCTGGCATTTTATTAAAATCAGTCACAGTTTTTGCCAGGTGCAGTGGCTCATGCCTGTAATCCCCACACTTTGGGAGGCTGAGGTGGGCAAATCACTTGACCAGAGGAGTTCGGGACCATCCTGGGCAACATGGTGAAACCCTGTCTCTATAAAAAATATACAAAAATAATTAGCCAGACATGGTGGTGCATGCCTGTGGTCTCAGCTACCTGGGAGGCTGAGGCAGGAGGATTGCCTGAACCGGGGAATTCGAGGCTGTAGTGAGCTGATATCACATCACTGCACTCACCACTGAACTCCAACCTGGGTGACAGAGAGAAACCTTGTCTCAAAAAAAAAAATGAGTCACGGTTTTATTTGATACTCTTGGAATTAAAAGAAGTCGTAAAATCAGTCACACTTTTAGAGCATTGGTTTTTAGATATTAAAGATGAAGTGAAAAAATACTTGGGTTGGGGGCCCATAAAGTTGCTGATTTTTATGTTGCCAGGTTAGATCAATGAAAACAAATGTCATCTGTCACCACAATTTGTAAGAGATTGGACATTTTAACATTTTTTTAAAAGACCAGTACTTTGTATTTAAGTTTAGCTTTATGAAAACATTTACTATGTTATTCTTAATGGATTGATAATAACTTTAACACATTTACACAGCCATCCACGGTTTGGAGGCCGAAATCACTGCTTTTGAATGACTGAATTGTGCAGTGTCTCAGGCACATGAATAGTGCGTGAATCCACTTGATTTTATTTGCCTCATTACTGCCCACTTTCTCTGCTTCCTTCTTTGCCAGGTTCCCACCTTAGGGTCCCAGGAAGGTGCCTTTGAGAATGTGCGGATGAATTACAGTGGAGACCAGGGCCAGACCATCCGGCAGCTGATCAGTGCTCATGTGCTCAGGCGGGTGGCTATGTGTGTGCTCTCCTCTCCCCATGGGCGCCGCCAACATTTGGCTGTCAGCCATGAGAAGGGCAAGGTGGGTCCTCCAATTCTTGTGCGCTTACTTTAGGTCATATTGTCTTAAATGCTAAGCAAAACAAATTGATGACCACATTCGGATTAGCCCTCTGTGGGAAAAAGTCCACTGCGTTCTAAGAATGCTTCAGGGACAGATCTTGTTGAGCTTTTCAAATACTTGAACCCTGAATTGATTTGATTAGACCTAGAGCTGGTATGACTAGGACTGTTCCTAATTAGTAAATTTCCACTCAAAACGTATTCTTCAAAGCCCTCAGGAAAAAGTAATGATTAGCAGTTACCGAGGACGGCTTGGCTCCCAGTCTTGCCCTGTTTGGTCACTCTGGCGGGCATAAGCTGAGAGACAAAAGTTTTCATAGGAACACTCAGTGTTGCTTATGTAGTGCTGCCGTGCCATCCCAGCTCTGTTAAGCACATAAGTAAGTTTGTATTGTGTTATAGAGCTAGTAGAAGTTGGAAGAGTGCTAGGTATCTTAACTCACACTTTTCTGTATTCTGGCCTCTCCATCACCACTAATGTTGTTTTAACTTTTATTTTAAGTGAAAATATGGATAGTCCTTCAAACAACTCTAAAATCATTTTAAAAACAGTTTCCTAGAAAACTAGAAAAGGACAGTGGTACGTAGGTATTCTTAAACTATTTTGTGAACTATATAAAGAGAAATTGTTTTCATTACTTACCTGTTCTGTCCTCCATGGAAATACATTCCATAGCTTTTAGCCAGGAGTAATAGAGACTAATACTGATCTAGGATTTTCTACTAGACTTATCTGTAAAGAAAAAAGTGTGCAACCTGTTATCCCTATTGAAAGAGTTTTTGTTACTTGCTTTGACTTCTCTGAGAGGACCAGGAGTAGGAATAAATTAGTCATTGTTCCTTTGCAGATCACCGTTCTGCAGCTCTCTGCACTCCTGAAGCAAGCAGATTCCAGCAAAAGGAAGTTAACTCTGACCCGCTTGGCTTCTGCCCCAGTTCCTTTTACTGTGTTGAGCCTCACAGGAAATCCCTGCAAGGAAGACTACTTGGCGGTTTGTGGGCTAAAGGTAAAAATCCGGATCTAGGTTTGATTGCCTTGAGCTGTGGATTCTAGTCATTTTCTCTCCCCTGTTCTCAGAACTACTTTTTCTTATTCGTTGTGGAGATTAAAATTTAAAACCTACTGAAATGCAAAAGGAATTTTTCTTTGAATTTCTCCCAGATCTTTCAGATTTCTCCAATATTGGAAGTAATCTTTGTGTTCATGAAACCTGAATGTTACTAGACAGTCTAAATACTGTCTGAAGGCAGGGGATATTAGAGGAAAAAAGGGAACGTCATTACTCTGAAATGAATTAGCCCACTTTTCAGATCATCTTTTCACCATTTTGTTTCTTAAACATTGTCCAGGACTGTCATGTGCTCACCTTTAGTAGCTCAGGCTCTGTTTCGGATCACTTGGTTTTGCACCCTCAGTTGGCAACGGGGAACTTCATCATCAAAGCCGTGTGGTTACCTGGTTCACAGACCGAGTTAGCAATTGTCACCGCAGACTTTGTTAAGGTACAGTTACAGTTCTTTGATGATATGGTCCTAGAATTTTTCTACTTTTAAATCCAGAATCACTATGTGCTAGCTTCTCCCAGGAGTTAAAAAAATCAGCTGGGTGCCATGACTTTCACCTGTAGTACCAGCTACTTGGAAGGCTGAGGTGGAGAATTACTTGAGGCTTAGTTCAAGGGTGCAGTGAGCTGTGATCATGCCACGCCACTCCACTCCAATCTGGGTGATAGAGCAAGACCCTGTCTCTAAAAATGATAACAAGCCATATTTTGTCACTTTTGCTATGTTGCTGAGTAGGAGCTTTCTGTCTTTAGGCAATAGGGAATTGATTCTGGTTCTACCCTCACTGTACCAAGTGCACACCTATTACCATACTTGTTTCAGAATTTATTTATGTATGTCTGTCCCCTACTCATTCCTTGAAGGAGAGTGAAAGGTGTTCTGTTCATCTTTATAAGACCAGTGCCTAACACTCCATTTTTTTACTGAATGGAGAATGAATGCCTGTTATTGGTCAGTTCCGGCTATTTGGATTCACTAAGATATTTGGGGGATGGGACTGAGATAGATTTCCCTTATTTAATTTTTCTTCCATCCTGCAGATTTATGACCTGTGTGTTGATGCCTTGAGTCCAACCTTCTATTTTCTCCTGCCAAGCTCAAAGATAAGAGATGTTACCTTCCTTTTCAATGAGGAGGGAAAGAACATCATTGTTATAATGTCTTCGGCTGGGTACATCTATACTCAGCTTATGGAAGAGGCCAGCAGTGCCCAGCAGGGACCCTTCTATGTCACTAATGTGTTGGAAATCAATCATGAGGACCTGAAGGTTAGAGCACATGTTGCTATTTCCTTCTATTCCGGATTTAATTATTTAGCAACTCCTCTATTCTTTTTTCTTTGTTCTTTTATAACATTTTTCTGTGGACTTCATCTAACTGGATCTTTTTTTCTTTTTCTTTGTTTTTCCATCTAACTTTCTACCTAATAGCAAACTCTCTTATCCTTTAGGGCTAAATTAATTCAACTTCAAGTTCCATTTTTCTCAGGGTCTTTGTAAGATTTACCCACAGGGATCTCATGCTTAGAGTATGAGAGCACCTGATCATGATTGAAAATAATAACCAGTATAAACCGGAAGTTGGTAGCCAAGGCAACATGAATTACTGCAAATATGTGTCTTTGTGCCAGCAGGACAGTAACAGCCAGGTGGCGGGCGGTGGTGTGTCCGTGTACTACTCCCACGTGTTGCAGATGTTGTTCTTCAGCTATTGTCAAGGCAAATCATTCGCAGCCACCATCAGCAGGACAACCCTGGAGGTGTTGCAACTCTTCCCCATCAACATCAAAAGGTGGGAATGAACATTTAATGTTCAACTTCCGCAATGTCCACATTCAATGTGGGATCTCCACTCCCACTATCTGCTATCTGTTCTGAGTTTTGTGAAACTTAATTTTCTCCAGCCAACCTTTTTTTCTCCCCTGCTAGGTATCTTTAAAATCAAGGAACATCCGGGTTTGGCAGGTTGGGTTGTCTGCACGGTTTGTCCTCCACTGTGGAGACCCCAAGCTGTCAGAGGTAGTTTAGGGGTCCACTGTTACTCAGAAGGAAAACCTATAGTTAATGTTATAAATGTGATTTTAATGTGAGAAGGGAACCTAAATTTCTCTTAGACACTCATTCTGCCATAATGCCCTTTAAGTTTTTCTCCTGGGGAGACTTACTCTGTTAGCAAATAGAACGTATCAGTAATGGGGGCATGGTTGGATATGGGGGAGGAAGAGACTTTCAACAAGTTTGCAAATAATAGAGGGGTGTGTAAGGTAGTGAGAGTTTCATTTAGGGAGGAGGAAGAAGAGGCTTATGGTGTCTTCCCTTGTTTCTTATCTGCCATTGATGACCCATTGTAGCACTTTCTCTCAGACCTTTCTTTGGGAATTACATGGTTTGGGATGAAATAAAATGGATACCAGTTCACACTAACTCGATGTGTTTGGAGATCCTGATAGGACAATGGGTCATTAGCCTTAGGCAGCTCCATGGCCCTCTGCAGTTGATAGCCTCTAGGCACATAGGGCCACCTGTTCTTCGGACATGGAACCTCACAGTGGAGACTCCAAATGAGGACTGCCCTGCCATAAGCACGCATTGGGGTGTATGAGCATGTGTGCATGGCTTGGAATAAAACTAACCTGTGGATAATCTGAGTCCCTGGCCAAGGATATTGCTTTGGAGTCACGTAGCCAGTTAGAGGATGGTTTTTAGGTCAAGAAAAGAACTATTAAATGGTGACTGACACTCTAACTGTGGCCAGTTTTGTTGTCTGCAGTTCCAATGGTGGCAGTAAGACTTCTCCTGCTCTTTGCCAGTGGTCTGAGGTGATGAACCACCCTGGCTTGGTGTGCTGTGTCCAGCAAACTACAGGGGTGCCGCTGGTAGTTATGGTGAAACCAGACACTTTTCTTATCCAGGAGATTAAGACTCTTCCTGCTAAAGCGAAGGTCAGTGCCAGATTTTCCCATTCATTACTTTGCTGTGAACCTGGTCTCTTTTTATGTTTGTATATTCATTTCACTTTCCCAGCTCTTTCAATGGAGGCCCATAAAAGATTTTCAGTCCTTTTTCTTCTAGATGCCTTTTCTTTGCCACCCTTCTGTACAGCCCCTCAACTGACCATGAAACCAGTTGCATCTCTGCCTCTTTTTCTGTGAGGATGCTGATCTGTGGGTGTGGGAACGAAGACCCTCCTTTGTCCTCTCCTCCTAGATCCAAGACATGGTTGCTATTAGGCACACGGCCTGCAATGAGCAGCAGCGGACAACAATGATTCTGCTGTGTGAGGATGGCAGCCTGCGCATTTACATGGCCAACGTGGAGAACACCTCCTACTGGCTGCAGCCATCCCTGCAGCCCAGCAGTGTCATCAGCATCATGAAGCCTGTTCGAAAGCGCAAAACAGCTACAATCAGTAAGGCTCCTTCTCAGATGACTTGTGGGGGAGTAGGAATGGTGGTCTTCTAGACAGTGACTCAGAATAGACTGTTGAAAATATCTGTGAAGAAATGTGACTGTCCTACTTGCACATTTTGTAAAGTTAATTTCCCAAAAGCAGAGTTATGTTTCCAAATGTCAAGCACCCATTGGCTGCCTGTTTCAGGCCAGCAGTTCTTTGGTGCCTAGTAACGAGTTATGTCCTGGACCTTATTTGAGAGATTGTTCTCTCTAGGTTTAGGAGAATGACTTCCCTGAAGAACTGATTGAAGTATAGACCTCTTCAGCTGGTTAATTTCCCACTGAGTAGTGAAGAGCCCACCACAGGTCTCTGAGCTGGTGGTCTAGCACTTGACTGACTCAGGACTCTTCAGGAAAGTGAAAGCTTGAGTTTAGCAGTGAGCAAATCCAGCTAAGCAAAGACCATTACAGGGATCATCACATTACCTTAAATTTGCTCTACAGTCTATTTTGAAAGAATGGTTTATTCATTTACATTCATTAAAGAAGTAGCTCCTATTGTTTATTTTAAATAACCCAGTTACAGGAGAGCCTATTGTTATTAGCTGTACACCCAATACCAATGCCAGATTTCTTGGTATTGCTAGGACATGTCATAGTTAGGGATAACAACCATTGGAGAGCTAACCACATGTAGGCATCATGCCGATGCAAATGTTATAATCCAGAGTTTGCTTAGATTAGAGTGTGAGTGTGGGCTCTGTCTGGGAGGAGTCTTTACCAGTGGTGTTGGGGCAGAGGTGGGAGAGACTCTTGACGATCTGGTACCGTTCTCTGCAGCAACCCGCACGTCTAGCCAGGTGACTTTCCCCATTGACTTTTTTGAACACAACCAGCAGCTGACAGATGTGGAGTTTGGTGGTAACGACCTCCTACAGGTCTATAATGCACAACAGATAAAACACCGGCTGAATTCCACTGGCATGTATGTGGCCAACACCAAGGTAAGAATGGCACTGGGCTGGGATCAATCCCTGGGTAGAAGGACTCAAACAATATGGTTTGAGAACACATCTCCTTTTAGAAAGCAAGTATAGAGTATATACTCACAGTCACAACCCTCGGTTCTAGTTAAATGGTTCCTTAGAAAAATGGATATTCTTACTCACTTGGCAAAGGACTTGTACAGGTTGGGTTTCCACCAATACCAGCAGGATTACTGTGTAGAGGACATCAAAGAGGTGGTTAATACTGGGGAGAAGGAAGCCTGACATTGAAGAGAATCTGCTCTCTTTTCCTATTTTCCCATTTTTAGAAACAAGGAAGTCATTACCAGGGAGTTAAAAGGATAAGTTTTAATGAGCTTCACATGTTGAGACAATGTCAGAGAAGAAGGAGTCCTAGTTAAAACTTAAGAACTTCTGTAGTTTCTTGATGTGTGCCTTGTCTCCCTACAGCCCGGAGGCTTCACCATTGAGATTAGTAACAACAATAGCACTATGGTGATGACAGGCATGCGGATCCAGATTGGGACTCAAGCAATAGAACGGGCCCCGTCATATATCGAGATCTTCGGCAGAACTATGCAGCTCAACCTGAGTCGCTCACGCTGGTTTGACTTCCCCTTCACCAGAGAAGAAGCCCTGCAGGCTGATAAGAAGCTGAACCTCTTCAGTGAGTCACCAACCCCTGGTGCAGACTCTGTCCTCATTGTGACTGCGAAATTGGGAGCCACTGGCCTGTGGCTGTCCAACATTCTGGGATCTCTCCACTCTGCTGATTTTTCTGTCCTTTCATCAGGAAACTTTGAGCTTCATTTGATGTATTAAAGAGGCAAGGTGACAGGAAAGGAGTACACCGGAGCATGGTAGCAGTAAAGATAGGGCTGCACTGTGTTGAGTATTCATTTCAATAGTGTTGTGTCCACCTCACTAATGGGGCTACTTCTGTGTTTAGGCCGAGAGGAGGCAGATTGACATGAAATTGCAAGGCTTTCTTAACGCACAGAGGAAGACCTCAGGTCACACATGGCTGAGAGATGGTTGGCAATGGCTTGCTATGCCACTGAAAACTAAACTCTCAGAATACAAATCCTTGAGCCTTACTCAAGACTGCATTTCTCTGTCATTTATTGGCCACTGTCTGATATTCTTTCTTCTAGATATAGTTGCTGTTAGTGTGAATGATCATGATCTGTACTTTGAACAAAGAAAGTGTGTAGAGACCCCTGGGAGTGAGGGGTAGGGGATACAATACTCTGAAGCAGAAGAGGACCCTTGCAGTGATGGTTAGGGACTCTTCTGAGTAGGAGACGTAATCGGCTTTTGGTCCATGGAACTTTTACCACATGTATTCAGCATATATACACGATTAAAGTGCTGCAAATATCTCAGAAGATAAAGTTTCTCTATGTCTATAAAATTGACGTGATTTACTTCTTTGCTCCAACTGTTCTGGTCTTTGCTTTGGAGGGGTGGCTTTTTAGAGAATGTGCTTCCTAAAGGCCTCTCTTGCTTATTGCAGTTGGGGCCTCGGTGGATCCAGCAGGTGTCACCATGATAGATGCTGTAAAAATTTATGGCAAGACTAAGGAGCAGTTTGGCTGGCCTGATGAGCCCCCAGAAGAATTCCCTTCTGCCTCTGTCAGCAACATCTGCCCTTCAAATCTGAACCAGAGCAACGGCACTGGAGATAGCGACTCAGCTGCCCCCACTACGACCAGTGGAACTGTCCTGGAGAGGTACCAGTGCTGGCAGGGGTTGGCTTCAGTTTTTACATATTCCACTCACTGCAGAACCTTCCTGTGTCTTGAGAGAGCCAGCTTCTAATAACCATCTCAAGGCTAGCCTGGAATTTTTTTAAGTTTTCATACAACTCGCCCACATTCAGTGTCTCTTTAGCGTGCAAAGCCTGAAAAATGTGCTCAGAGTCATCTGACACCAGAGTCTCTCCCTGGACAGAAGTTCTGTCCCTTCTCTTAATAATGCTCAGGTACCCTTTAGAGTAGCCAGAGGCCACAGGCTAGACGATGCTCAAGCCAGTATTCTAGATTAGGATCCAGGCTTGCTGAAATGATAGGAAAACATCCTCCCTTCCATTCTGAGCTCATCATCTTTTCATCATCTTTCTCTGCGTAGCTACTTCTGTGATAATAACATTGCCAGCAAGAGAGGCTGTCTGCTGCCTCTTGTAGCAGAGTCTAGAGTTTCCTTAAGTCTCCCTACAGTGGCATATTCTTAAGCATTGTGCTTGGCTTCTTTGTGCTAGGTAGCTGCTGGTTTGCCATGGTAGATGAAATATTATAATTCATGATGTAAGATTTTGAGTTTCTTACATTGTAAGTCACAAGAATAGCCTTGCTTGGAATCACTGCCTCCCACCACCAGCCTCCTCCCTCCCTTCCTTTCTCTTTCTTTTTCCCCGATGCCCTATCCATACATGGTTTGCTTAGGATGTGTTTCCGGGTTTCTCTGAGCTTCACATTTTTTTCCTTTTTTTTTTTTCTTTGCTTCTCCCCCAAGTTCTGAAACTGAGTCCCTAACCAAGCTGGACCGGTTAGTATGCCCTCTTTCTTTTCTCTGCACGAGTGAGTGTGTGTCAGAGAGCCGTGTAACCAATGGTGTGGCTTTGCATTGATTCTGCTTCTGTTGAAGAGTCTTCCTGCTTCTTTCTGTTCTGGTCATTGCATGGCTACAGAGCTGTCCATGTGTAAAAATGGAGTATATGGAAGATCGTAAGTGCACTCTTGGTGTTGGCCATGTCGGACACTCTCTCAACTCTCTCTTCCTTACCCTAGTCCTCTCTGCTCCCTTTCTAAGTGGATGAAAAGGGGGTTTGGGGTAGAGGGATTAACAGCAAAGTCCTACCATCTGATAACCCACTAGAGAGCTCGTTCTATCCAAATTTGTTTTATGCCTCAGTTTCCTCTTCCCTAGTTCTTTATTGCCTTCCTCTACCCCTTAACCCCTTTCTTTCCAGTTACCTTCTGAATACTTTTCTTTCTCTGTCCAGAGCTTCAGCTGTCAGGATGTTGTTCTTTTTACTATGCCACATTAAATTGAAAGGAGTAAACCCTGGGGAGCATGTTACTTGGTACCTTTAATAGTAATAGTTGGGTTTCCTATTCCTTTCCTAAGGGGAAAAGTTTTCTAAAGATGCTTTGTATTTACCCCTTGAATGTTGGCAATTGGCATGCACCTAAAAAATAGTTTGTTCTCTCCCCCATACTTGGGACTCCTAGGAAATGCCTTTGTGCATATATAGCTTTAAACTTTCCAATATAAGAGGATGGTTTTTACCTTTCCCTTTGTGTGTCCTTTTGCCCACTGATCTCTGGGCAGCTGAGCTTTGGGTCCCATTGCATCAAGACTGTTAAGCCCATCTCAGTGATCCCTGCCACAGGCAGCAGAAGGAAGCACATTTATCCTCTTTGAGGAAGAAAAGCCCTGTCTTTGAGTTACGGATTACGAACATGGCCTCAGGTTGATCTCTGAGCAGGAGCCAGGTTTCTCCTGGCCTGTAACGTAGGAAACGATATGCATGGTGCCTGTGGCAGGTCTTATTGTGCTTTGATTTTGTATTTGGCATTCATTAGCTGTCCCCAAGGTCCTCATGACTATAGTTTGCTTAGGCTAAAGCGCAAGGCGGAGAGAACGGTGTTGTACTCAAGCCAGGTTTTCTGTCTCCCCAGGCTGGTTGTGAGTTCTTTAGAAGCCCTGGAAAGCTGCTTTGCCGTTGGCCCAATCATCGAGAAGGCAAGTCACTTTTTCAAAGCACATGGAAGCTTTCTGAAGAGGCAGGAAGTCAGTGGAGTTGCCCGAGGCCCTGAGGCCTCGAAGCTAAAGAACATTTATAGTAGCATAATCTTGATTTGCTAAGAAGCTCCAGAGAAGTCTTCAGCTTAAGGCCTATGTCCTACTTTTCGGGCCCATAGTGAGCGTGTGTCACAGAATAGGATGCGTGTTGGTACAAGAACACTGTTCTGGGAATCATGAGCTTGGATTCCATGTCTTCCTCTGGTAAGAAGGAGGATTATAATTTCTGAAACTTTTTTTTTTTTCTCTTTGCAGTCCATGGAGCATAACCTAGCCCTGGTGGCCTAGAAGGAAGGAAGGGCAGGCAGAGTGTAGATAGTTCATTCTGCCTTGAGTTGGTGGGGTTAGTGATAACCCTGCTGTCTTTTGCCTTAGGAGAGAAACAAGAATGCTGCTCAGGAGCTGGCCACTTTGCTGTTGTCCCTGCCAGCACCTGCCAGTGTCCAGCAGCAGTCCAAGAGCCTTCTGGCCAGCCTGCACACCAGCCGCTCGGCCTACCACAGCCACAAGGTAACTGTTCTCTCAGGGAAAGGAAATTGCAGTGCTGACAGGGAATCAAATAAGTTAGCTTTTCATTGTAAAGCAACAGCACAGCAAAGTAAGGTAGAGGGAGGATAGCATTCAGATTAGACCTACATTTTACAGAGTTTCTCCTGAGAAATTCTCAAGTGCCACTCAAAACCGAGGGTAAGCCAGTGACTGGGCCCCTGGTTTGTACTTATTTTTCTGTCACTCTAACAGGATCAACAAGACTTAAGAAAGAGAAGGAGGGATATTGAGCGTGGGTAGCCTTCTCGCTGGAAAAGGGTGAGGTGAGGGAGTCCCTCAGGAAATAGACTGCTAGTGTTTTCGCTCCCTCAGGTGTGGCACAGCACGAGAAGTGTACTGTACTTGTTGGTGAGACAAGTGTTGAATAGTTCTTGGAGTGCCTCTGATGGGAACATCTGGGGAAAGAGGGTATCACTTATAAAAGAAAGGCATTGCCAAAGGAGACAAACTGGGCCAATTTCTGTAGATGGAAAAGATGAGAGTTCAGACCCCTGAGGAGGAAGGCTCTGAGAGGAGCCATCAACCCAGAGCTTTGGTTAGCTTCTGTGCCTCCAACCCGGAGAACTGAGAAATGTGAGTTTAACCTGCTGTCTCTCAAGGAAAGACAATTTTGGAAACACTGTCCTTGGGTAATATGAATTTGCTAAGAAATGACTCTTCTATTGTAAGAGAAAGAAATCTAGCAGTTCTGGAGAACTGAGTAGATTTGAATTTTCCCATCATACTTTGATACTGCAGGGTTTTTATTTTTTAATGACATTAATATTTTATGTATTAAGAAACTTAACTATATGAGGCTGCTTTGAAGATCTGTTGTAGGTGATTGGTGTTCATTGGCCTGTTCTCTTGAGAGGAGGTAATAATCCTGGTGATCTGCCAGCTTTTCTCTCCTCTTTGCTTTTGTACCCAGCTCTTGCTTATGGCTGACCCTCTGTGCTCCTGTTGTTTTACAGGATCAGGCCTTGCTGAGCAAAGCTGTGCAGTGTCTCAACACATCTAGCAAAGAGGGCAAGGATTTGGACCCTGAGGTGTTCCAGAGGCTAGTGATCACAGCTCGCTCCATTGCCATCATGCGCCCCAACAACCTTGTCCACTTTACGGAGTCAAAGCTGCCCCAGATGGAAACAGGTGAACTTGGCCTCTGTGGCCGTGGTCCTGAGATCTGCTTCATATGCCTATTTACCCTCTCATTCTTACTGTTCTTACTGGCCTCTGACTGACTGCATGCTCAGAGACAGGGATTTTGCTTCCTGGTCTTTATACCTTGTAGGGCCTTTTGACATTGAGATTGTACAATTTTAAACACATTCTTTTTCCAGTGCTTATACTTTCGATTATCCTTGAGTTTATTTAGTGTTCTAGACATCAGATATAATCTGTCTCTGAAGTTATTACCTCTTAGGAGCTTCAGGGGAAAGCTAAGCTTGGTTGGGCCCTGGTTGCTTTAAAGCAACTATGGCATATCTTTCGCTTTCATGCCATTCTTTTGCCAGTGCTATTATTAATAATGTGTAGCAACTTTCTCAGTGCTCAGTGCTGTTTCCTCATCTCCTCTTCTGTTGGCTGGGTAGCAAACCTGTTTTGTCATTGTCAAATTGAGTTGATTGCTGCCTTTACAATTCTGTGTTATTTACATGCTCCCATATGCATCATCATTCTGTTCCTCCTTTTAATACTACAATCCCAGAATTGTTCTAGAGAGATCTCTAGAATGTTCAGATGTTCCTCTACGTTTTAGAAGTTGAACAGTTGGAACTGAGATCTTTGAATCTGCGGTAAACATCCTAAATGCTCCCCGTTCTACTTAATTCTAACATACAATGTTTTCTGCGATATTCCTTTCCCAGACTGTTTTTTTCCTAGATGTGCCTGCTGGAGTCTAGGGATAGTTGGCATATTGATTGGGGCCCCACTTGAAACTCCCTCCCCAGGCAAGCTTCCTTGACCTGAGTTAACCTTAAAACAAATTAAATTCCATCTCAGATTTACCATCGTTGATAATTTTCTTTCTCCTGCTTAGAAGGAATGGATGAAGGGAAGGAACCGCAGAAGCAGTTGGAAGGAGATTGCTGTAGTTTCATCACCCAGCTTGTGAACCACTTCTGGAAACTCCATGCATCCAAACCCAAGAATGCCTTCTTGGCACCTGCCTGCCTTCCAGGTATGTTAAAAGGGATATTTGAATCTTGGTAATGAAGCCTGATGTAAGTTCTGTCTTTGAACAGCTATGACCGTTAGCCATTAGCTTTCATTCTTCATAATCCATTTCTTCCAGAACTCATAATTGGGAAGTAGAAGTCTGCGAGATAAATGCAATGTTCCTGAGACAGGAATTTAGCAGTGTGGCAGAGTGGGATTTTCTTCTACCATATCTTTTCATCGGGGTTGAATATTTTACATAAAGAGGCACTGTGTGTGTGTGTGTGTGTGTGTGTGTGTGTGTGTCTCAGTGGTTTATAATTGTTTTTAAAAATCTTTGACAACTTGGCTTAAAGCCAGCTCAAAAGGCACAAGTATCTTGAGGATTATTCTATTTCTAAGCTATTTGGTCTCTAACTTCTTACACTATTGAAAATTCAGATGGAAGAGTAAAGGGTCTGAATAGCAATATAGAAAAGTAGGATGATCCTGGTGCTCATTCATGTTTGGAGGACATTTGGGTGGTAAACCTAAAAGGCAAGTCAAGGTCATGTTTTGTCATCACCTGAGGTTGGGGGATATTAGGGAACATTTAGTATCTGCCTTCCTCTTCATATTTCCTTGCCTTGTCTTTTGATATCCAGAGAGAGTGGACAGCTACTTATTTCTGTGACTCAAGATATCTGGAAAGACTTTTGAGGACAATTTGGGAGTTTAGGAAACTGTTAATGAAACAAATCATAAATAATACAGGCTACTGTGTGTGAATGAGTGTGTATGTGAGTGTTTGTCATTTTGTTTGCATGACCTTTTACATGGAGATAAAAGGTTACACTTTTGTCTCAGACTCTCAAGTAGTTAGAGTTTTTTCCTCCAGATTTTCAAATAATGTTTGTCTCTCCTTTAGGACTAACTCATATTGAAGCTACTGTCAATGCTCTGGTGGACATCATCCATGGCTACTGTACCTGTGAGCTGGATTGTATTAACACAGCATCCAAGATCTACATGCAGATGCTCTTGTGTCCTGTACGTAGCATTACAATCCCAGAGAGCTCGCAGCAGCCAGGGAATATCTGGAAAATTGTTTTTAGCTTGCTAAGCTAATGAAATAAAATATATTTAGAGGAAGCTGAAGGGAATGAAGTTTCAAATATCAATAAAAGCTTTAAGATCTTACTCCATGGAAGAGAAAGATTTGGAAAGGGGATGGGCTCAGTCTTTCTTATTCAGTGCTGAATCACCAGGGACAGCCTACTGCTTGCTACATAGTAAGTGCTAGGTAACTCGGTGAATTGTGACTTAAATGAGCACATGAATGAAAGTAGTACATCAAGATTTCTATTTCCAGTGACCCTTTCACAGAAGCTAAGTGTTAAAACTACTGATTTTAGCACAGAGCTAAGACGTGCGCTGGGGGCTTGATCATCTGATAAAAAGCCAGAACCATTTGTAAGGGGCCAAAATGGCCTCAGGAGCAAATGACCTGCCAGTCCATCCCCAGGAACTGAGAGACAGGAGGTTAGCGAATGGCTCTTAATGTGTGCCAGAACAGGAAGCGGGGATTAACTTAACCTGCTGAACTTGGTCCGCTGGGTTGCAGGTGAGAGTAGAGAGGTATTCCACTTGCATGTGAGTGAGTGACCAAGAAAGGAAAGTGTTTTATAGAGAGTTTCATGAATAATATGAGAGCAAAGCGTGACAGTTTCCTTTTAAACCTCAGGATCCTGCTGTGAGCTTCTCTTGTAAACAAGCTCTAATTCGAGTCCTAAGGCCCAGGAACAAACGGAGACATGTGACTTTACCCTCTTCCCCTCGAAGCAACACTCCAATGGGTAATATGAGGTCTGGGTTTAGGCTCAAGCCTGTATTTGGGAGGAGGGGAGAGAGGGAGGTACAGTAGCATTGGGCATGCTGCTCATGTTGACCAAGGTCCTGGAGACTTTATGTATCTGTCTTTTTTCTAATCCTACCTCACCCCATAAAGAATTTAGGTGGCACATCAAAATGTATATAGTAAGTAGGATAAAAATAAAGATTAAAGGCCATGGGAAAATAAAAGTACCATAGTAAAATCAAAATACAGAAAATTCACATCACAAAGGTCCTGCATGGTTGGTAAGCGAGGGTCTTATATTTGGCTGAAAGCTTCCTAAGAGCCATAGCAAAAATAAAATCACAGTGACCAAAGACAAAACAGAAACATAACTTTTCTTGGGATAGAAGCTCTTCATTAAATGTCCATTTTGTTGCCAAAGGGGCAGAATCCTTAGTGGACTTACCTACAATAAGTTGGATAGCAAATTTCACAGGAATTTCCCTCACAATACACAGTACACAATACACAATACACAATACAGTCAAGGGCATAACATTTTACGATTCAGTAAAAGCAATTCTAAAAGGTGTCTGAATAACAGAATTATATAATTCTGGTTACTTGGCTTGATTTAGAAGTAAATTTCAAATGAAAGTCACTATGTACTTTTAAATTTTCTTTCTTTCTTTCTTTCTTTCTTTCTTTCTTTCTTTCTTTCTTTCTTTCTTTCTTTCTTCCTTCCTTCCTTCCTTCCTTCCTGCCTTCCTTCCTTCCTTCCTTTCTTTCCTTCCTTCCTTCCTTCCTTTCTTTCTTTTTTCTTCCTTCCTTCCTTTCCTTTCCCTTCCTTCTTTCTTTTCTTTTCTTTTTTTCTTTTCTCTTTCTTTCTTTCTCTCTCTCTCTCGTCTTTTTTCAGAGTCTCACTGTGTCACCAAGGCTAGAGTGCAATGGTGCCATCTCAGCTCACTGCAATCTCTGCCTCCCTAGTAGCTGGGATTATAGGCGCGTGCCACCGTGCCCAGCTAATTTTTGTATTTTTAGTAGAGACAGGGTTTCACCATGTTGGCCAAGCTGGTCTCGAACTCCTGACCTCAAATGATCCGCCCGCCTCGGCCTCCCAAAGTGCTAGGATTATAGGCGCGAGCCACTGCTCGGCCTGTACTTTTAAATTTTCTAATAGCAATATTATAAAGAGTAAAAAGTAAAATTGATTTACTAATTATTTAATCCAGTATATCAAATATTATATCTACATCTTGTCAATATAAAAAATTTATTAGTGAAATATTTTGCCTGTTTTGGTACCATTTTGGGAATCCAGAATGTATTTTACACTAGTGGCACATCTCCTTTTAGACAGCCATGTTTTAAGTGCTCAGTAGTCACATGTGGCTGGTGGACAGTGCACATCTAGAGGATTGTACACAACTTTGTGACTTTCAGAAAATCTTCCTTGCATATCATTTATCTTGCCTAAGCTTTTGGGTTAGGCAGCAGTTTGTGGCTCTTTTCCCTAGCAAGAACCTAGAGTGGAGATAGTTTATGTTTCTAACGGACATATTTACAAGCTTTAGCAATCCATCGAGTGGAAGGTGAGGTCTCTATCCTCTTCTGACAATTAGGAGTCTCACCTGGACATCTTCCTTATTAGAAGGCCTTCTCACCTTCACACAAAAGTGGGCACAGGCAGGACCTGCAGTGGTGTCCTTGGTTTCCAGTCAATGGTTTTACACTTCAATTCTGGTTCTTCTCATAGTAATTACGTAGTGTGAAAATCTCACTGACCTAGTTGTTTTAGAAAAAAATAGTGAAATAAATTCTAATCTGCCATGACAGACAAAAGGTAAAGATCCCAATCATATGATTTTTCCTGTCTTATCCAAGGTCTCCTGAGAGTTAGCGTGAGTTTGGGAGGCCTACTGGTTTTAGATCTCTCACCTTTATGGAAATCCCTTTGGAATCCAAGTTTGTTTCCTTCACCAGCTGGAACATTTTATTTTTGTGGGGGGCAAGCTGTCGCAGCCAACTCCATCTTCCCAGATGCTGTAGGTCCAAGAAGTAAGAGAACAAGGCCAGGCATAGCACCCCGGAGTTCTCCCGCTAAAGCCCAGGGTGCTAGCTGGTAGCTTGTCTTGGGTTTTTGTTGCCACCTGACTTATGGCACCATGTGCCAAGGGAGGAAAGCAAGCACCTTCAGGTGACTGGGGTTTCTTTGACTCAGGAGACAAGGATGATGATGACGATGATGATGCAGATGAGAAAATGCAGTCATCAGGGATCCCGAATGGTGGTCACATCCGTCAGGAAAGCCAGGAACAGAGTGAGGTGGACCATGGAGATTTTGAGATGGTGGTGAGTCTCTGGCAGCAGGAGAAGGGGAGGAGGAGCTTCACAACTCTCCTCTAGCTCTTATTCAGTGGACTTCCAAAAGTTACCACTTACCATGGGACACTGACAGAGCTTTCTCTCTGCAGTCTGAGTCGATGGTCCTGGAGACAGCTGAAAATGTCAACAATGGCAACCCCTCTCCCCTGGAGGCCCTGCTGGCAGGCGCAGAGGGCTTCCCCCCCATGCTGGACATCCCACCTGATGCAGATGACGAGACCATGGTTGAACTAGCCATTGCCCTGAGCCTGCAGCAGGACCAACAAGGTAGAAGGCCATGCCAAGAACAAAGCGGCCCATTGGCCTTGCACAGGAAAAGAGGGTTTGGCAGTTACTGATATCCAGCTGACTTAGTTTGTCCCCAGATATGGGGAGAGGTTGATCTGGGTGAGAGCTGTTCAGAGATACAGGTGGAGAGTGAGAGGGATGTGGTGGGAATTTCAGTCTGAGTGCCAATCTCATAGTTTCTGCCAGTTTGGGTTATTTCCTCTTGAATCTTAGATTCCTCCAGCCTGTGTCCTGCCTGAGCTGAAGGAAGCATTCCACCATCTCTGTAACTGAACTTGGTGGGTGGACAGCAGTGGCTGCTAGCTAACTTCCTCTAGGCCAGAGGGGGTCACATGCTGGTGTTTGGAGACTCTTGAGGGCAGCAGGTGGCCAAAGCAGCGCTGTGGATGGGACCTGGAGGGGATGTTGTGCTCACTCTCCACTTGTTTCCCAGGCAGCAGCAGCAGTGCCCTGGGCCTGCAGAGCCTGGGACTGTCCGGCCAGGCACCCAGCTCTTCCTCTCTGGACGCAGGAACCCTCTCTGACACCACAGCATCAGGTAACTGTCCACAGCAAGGAGCACGGCTCAGGGCCCCAGGACCCTCAGGCCTTGTTTCCACTGCTGTGAGAGTGTAATGGGCAGCTGCTTTGACAGGCCATTCTGGACTTCCTGCTTCTGCCTTGGCTTTAGAAAGATGGGTGTGGAGGGTGTAGTGCTGTGGCTCGGCCCCGCCGCGCACAGCTCCGCTTCCTCACACTTTGCATGCTGCCTGGCTTCAGCTACTTCCCCACGGAAAAGCCGAGAGAGCGGCATGCAGGCTGATCAGCTACAGGGCTTCCACTTCAGCTTCCAGCGTTCTTTGTCAGAGTTCTAACATTTTAGACAGTATTAAAAGAGAGACAAGAAATAGAACTCATACCTTTTACCTTTTTTATCTTCATTTGCAAATAAAAGGAGAGCTATAAGAAGCTAGATTATACTTCAGAATTCTTGTTCAGTGTGACCAACCATCAGGATCTGTGAGCTTGAGAGAGAGGGTTTTTATGGACAATTAAAATCTATAGCAAATCTCCAGAACTCATCTTCTCTTTATTTTCAATCTTTTCCCTAATCTGATTAAAAAAAAAAAAATGTTTCCTGAATAGAGAGTTGGACCAAATGGAGATACCTGGTCAACCCCTGAGTAATTTAAGGGTTGATTTATAGTTTTTTAGACTGATGCTTCCTTGTGTTTGTTTTTTTTCTTTTCTTTTGGAAGTTTTAGCCTGGGTAGTTAAGAAAGGGAGAGAGCGGCTGGCCCCACCTGCTGCCATGGCTTGTTGCTTTTCTTAGGTCTCTTTAGTTGCTGTCATTTCAGGCTCTGAGGTTGCTGTTGTGTTGTGCCAGTCGTGTTCCCGCTGTGCTCTGTGGCTGTCTTGGCTTTCCTCCCCCATGTATCTCATCCAGCATTTTCCTCCTGTCTCAGCTCAGCCCTGATCCTGGATGCTGTGGCTGTCTCTGGGGAATTTCCTTGCTTCATTATTAGCATCTGATGAGGATGATTAGGAGGTGTGAAATTTCCCAATGAGCTCCCCTCTGGACCACTTGCTAAAAAAACCAAAACAGGGTTGATTCAAGAGCTCATGCTAAGTGATTTCCTAACATAAGCAAAACTTGACTGATTTCAAAACAAGTCTCATTAAAATTCAGAGTTCTATGCTTTGAATGGTAATGGCTAGTTTCAGATCTCTCAGCAGGTGTCAGTAACACCTAAACAATGGTGACCATGAAGCATTTTAGCTAGAAAACTCAGCGTCCATGTCACAGATTCTTACTGAATCTCTGCACTGTTCTACTTGCACTGTAATGTAAAACAGTGAAGGAAATACCCAGTGAACTGGGTTTTCTTCACTCCTGTCTAAGTACTGTTTGCAATGCACCGTGTATAGTGTTTGTTCCTGTTAGTGATTAACCAGCAAAGCAAATCTCTCCCTTTTTTCTTTGACGACAGGATATATAAACTGCATTGTGTCCTATGCACTATGTGGTTTGATGCTTTCATCCCAAGGAGGGGTTTTTTTTGTTTTTTGTTTGTTTGTTTGTTTGTTTGTTTTTTAACCTGTAACAGCTCTCGTTACTCTCTCAGCTCCAGCCTCAGACGACGAGGGCAGTACAGCAGCGACAGATGGTTCTACCCTTCGGACCTCTCCTGCTGACCACGGTGGTAGTGTGGGCTCGGAGAGCGGGGGCAGTGCAGTGGACTCAGTGGCTGGCGAGCACAGTGGTAATGTGCCATGGCGGGGGTCCTGTCTCCTTGGGCAGAGGGTGGGGACAAAACAGGAATCTCTGCTTGGGTCTTGGGGTTGGTTTTTGCAAAGAAAAGGTATAGAGACTCATTGAAAGTCTTGTGGACTCTCTGAAAGTCTTGTGGAATTCATTTGGCCTCAGTTTTCGAGTTTCAAATGTTTAGTGGCTTAAGCTCAGGGGGTTAGTATTGAAATATTTTACAGATATTTACTAATTATCTGTTAGTGGAAAAAAAGCAATGACATGCGTAAGTCTTTTTTTTCCTCTCTGAAACTGCGATAATATGCATAATTATAAGTCATGATTAGCCTAAAACAGTTATTATGTGACCTTGAAACCCATTATCCTATGGTTTCTCCTCATTTATTTGGGGAAGGGTTTTTTTTTAAGCGATCTTATTGTTAATGATCTGATGTGTTAACATAGCAGACCATCCCCACAGTCTACTAGCTGATGAGGTGGGGCTCTAGAATGAGGGAACATGACAAAGCCATTTTGGTTTGACCTTCCATATCAGTCTGTGGTTAGCAACTGGATACAATTTTTACAGAGGAGATGAAGAGCAGCTGATAATTTCTAGATTCCCCTATCAGTGTATGTTTCCTCTGAAGTATGAGATAGAAATGTATTAGCATCTGAGATTAAGATCATTCATATAGGTGGGTCTTACATACTGGGGAAGGGTGAATGGCTACTGTGAGAGTGATTTAACATAGTGCTGTGGGGTCTTACTTAGCTTTACATATAAGACAAAAATGCTACCAGTTATTGTCTAATGCTGTCAGTTACTGTCTTAACTATTGCTGCTGCTTTAGAATGCACTGGGTTCCTTCATGCTTTGGGAGTTGATTTGTGCTTTTTAAACCATTTCCCTCTAGTATCTGGCCGGAGCAGTGCTTATGGCGATGCTACAGCTGAGGGGCATCCGGCTGGACCAGGAAGTGTCAGCTCAAGCACTGGAGCCATCAGCACCACCACTGGGCACCAGGAGGGAGATGGCTCCGAGGGAGAAGGAGAAGGAGAAACTGAAGGAGATGTCCACACTAGCAACAGGTCAAGACCTAGTCCTTCACAGTTAAGAGGCTTGCCTATCTGAGACTATTTCAGGAATAGTAGGACTGATCAATTGCAGGAGGTAGAGTAGTGATAACAGCATATTTCTTTTGAAATATAAAGGTGTAAACTTCTGAAACAGTTTAAAGTCTTAGGAAGTGCTCTAGGTCTGTCTTTGTCTTCGAATTATATTAATTACGGAGAGAATAGAAAGTGGTATTTCTCTTAAGGCTCCTCTAAATATCTTAGTAACTGTAAAGTGATTGTCATAAAAACATGTCTTCCTTACTCAAATCTTTCCAGTTTCATCAATATCTGTACACTCAATATATGGCATCCTCTTTACAAATGGCACCGCTGGAGGCTCAACATTTAGGTATACGTATTAGGTGTCCTAGAAGCGCTCCTTGTTCAGCATGTTTGTAAGGTAAAGGAGAAATAAGACATAGCAAATATATGCATATGGCTAGAAATACCAGTGGTGGAGCATTTTGAAATTGAAAGTGGTCTATAAAATCCTAATCCATTTTTGTGTTGGGGTTTAGTACTAGATGGTGAAGTGAATGTATTCTTAACCCAGAGATAACTAGAGAAATAGAAGAAAAACCTGAAAATAAGACTCATGATACAATGTTTGTTGAATTTGTTGAGGTCAGCAGTTGTTACATTAGTGTAAAAATAGTAAGTCAGAATTTTTTTTTTTTTTTTCGAGACTGTCTCCCTCTGTCACCCTGGCTGGAGTGCAGTGGTGTGAACAGTGCTCACTGCAGCCTCAACCTCCCAGGCTCAGGTGATTCTCCTACCTCAGCCTCCCGAGTTGCTGGGACTACAGGTGTGCGGTACCACGCCCGGCCAATTTTTGTATTTTTTGTAGAGATGGAGTTTTGCCCTGTTGCCCAGGCCTGATCTGGAACTCCTGAGCTCAAGTGATCCACTCACCTCCACCTCCCCAAGTGCTGGGATTACAGGTGTGAGCCACTGTACCTGGCCCAGAATTTTGAACTATATGATTTCTATCAGGTAAAAAAAATGGTGCCTGATGCAGTCAGGCATCAGAGACATTTAAAGGGGGCATCAAAGAGTGCCTTCCACGTTCCCCGAATCCTACTGCTTGAACGTAAGCCGCTTAACATCTCTGGATGAATTTCTCTGGTTCTGTTAATAGATGATATTTTGATAGAGTTTTAAAAAAATCTTCTAACATTTTTCTTAATGTGATTTCTAGGTTAATTCCCTTATGTTCAGTTAATTTGGTCTCTATGATTTTTTAAAAAATTTACTTTAAACATTTAAAATCCAGCCTGCTTTTGTCTTCTATTTGATATAGTTGAGTTCATTTATAATTAATGTTGATTGCTAACAGATTTGGAATGGATGTATGTTATTACTTTGTGCTTCTTATTTGTTCTATGTGTGTCCTTTTCTTTGTGGCCTTCTTTTGAGTTGACTTGCTAGTTTTTTCTTCCTGTTTCTTTCCTTTTTTCCTCCAACTCTGCAAGTTTGGAAGTTGTTTACTCTGTTTTTAATCTTTCAGTGGTTATACTATGCATTTTAACATGCATACTTACCTTATCCAAAATGAAATTTAACTAATAGCTGTACCTTCTTCCTGAATAATATGAGGATCTTAGAAGACTTTACTCCTTTGTGTGTTTTAACTTTTTTAATGTCTTCTTAAAGCCTTTAGGATTTTATAGTTTATAAGGTCAGTGTTTGTTAAAGTTTTACTCATATGTTTACCATTTTCTGTGCCTAACATTTCTTTATGCCTCTGAGACCTCCCATCCAGGATTATTTTTTTCCTAAACGATATCATTTAGATTTTCCTTTAGGGAGGTTTTCTGATTTACACTATCTCAGATTTTGTTGGTCTGGAAATACCTTTATTGAACTTACATTTGGGGATGTATTTTTGATGGGTATAAAATTTTGTGTTGGCAGCACCCCCGACCTCCCCAGTTGAAAATGGTATTCTGTTATTTCCTCGCTTTTGTTATTTCCAATGAGAAATCACCTCCTATTTTAACTGTTGCTTCTTTGAAAGTAATGTCTTTACTGCTGCTTTTAAGATCTTCATTTGTCATTATTTTTGCAGTTTTACCAGGATATGTGATTTATTTCTTTACATTTATTTTGCTTAGTAGTCTTTGGGACTCTTGGATGTGTGGGCTAGTGTCTTTTATTTTGGAAAAATCTCATCTATTAATCTTATCAGATATTCTTTTTGTCTTATTTTCTGTTATTTCACTTATTTTCTGGGATTTCAGTTAAATAGATGTGAGACCATCATATTCTCTTCTTCATGTCTCTTAGAATCTCTTTTTCTTTTGTGTTTCTTGTGCTTAATTATTTATAAATTTCTTGATCTATTTGAGTAGCATTAAAAAACATCAAATAGGAATAAATTTGAAAGATATGTAAGACTTCTACTCTGAACACTGTACAATCTAAGAGAAATTAAAGACCTAAATAAGTGAAGAACTACATCATGTTTATGGATTGAAAGACTCATTGTGAAGATAATTGTCTTCAAATTGATATAGAGCCATATAATCCTAGTCATAAATTTTGGCTGGAGTTATGTGTTAAAATTGACAAGTTGATACTAACATTTATGTCGATTAGCCAAGGCAGTATTGAAGAAAATTCATAAATTTAGAGGACTTTATAGAATTATAGCTTATTATAAAGCTATGGTAATTAAGACAGTGTGATAATGGTATGAAGATAGACAAATAGATTAGTGGAATGGGCTGGAGTTCAGAAACAGCTTCTCACATACCTGATCATCTGATTTATAACAAAGGTGACACTTAGGTACAATGGAGGAAAGGAGGGTTTTTTCAATAAATAATAATGGGTCAGCTGGAAACGCACATAGAATAAAATGAATCTTGACTTGATCTTATATGCAAAAATCAGTTGAATTATAGATGTAAATACAAAGAGTAACATTTTATTGCCTTTAAAAGACAAAATGTCTTCATAACTTGGGTTTGGCAAAGATTTATTGAATAGGACACAAAAGCATTAAAAGGAAAAAAAAACCTATAAACTGGACTATATTCTCAGCAGCTATTCATTTTCTCCTCCCCTCTTCTCAGTATTAAGATTTCAGTTAGGTAGTTTTCCTTATAGGCTCCTAGGCTAGAGTGGGGTCGGGGGTGCAGGTGCAGGGAAGAGTGTGAAGGGAAGTCATGTATTACAGTTTACTTTTAAAATGAGGGTATAGCCTTCTGTGGTTCTTCTGTGAGGTTCTCTTTGAAGACCTTCCCCACTGTCCACAGAGGAGGTCTAAAGAAAAAAAAAAAAATGAAGACCTTCCCCACTTGAGGAAGATCCTTTGCTTTTATTTCTATTCCAAATGCCCTGTGAGGTCCTGGCAGCCAGAAGGTCAAGTTGCCTTCAGAACATCTTGGCCTTAACTTTTCAAATTTCAGATTTCCTAAACTTTGTCTCTGAGTTCTGCTTACATCTTTGGCCAGTAACTTTTTAATTGCTAGTGAGCTCATTATTACTTTTATTTTGACTATGTATCTGATAATCTTTCTTAGTTTACTTATTCTTGTTGTTTCTTGTTTTGTTTTCTTTTAAGACAGTCTCACCTGCCCAGGCTGGTATGCACAATCATAGCTAACTGCAACCTTGAATGCCTAGGCTCAAGGACTCCTCTTGCCTCAGCCTTCTGAGTAGCTAGGCACATGCCACCATGCCCAGCTATTTTTATTTATTTTTATTTATTTATTTATTTTTGAGACAGAGTCTCACTCTGTTGCCCAGGCTGGTGTGCAGTGGCACAATCATAGCTGATTGCAACTTCAAATGCCTAGGCTCAAGGAATCCTCCTGCCTGAGTAGCTAGGTGCTTGCCACCATGCCCAGCTGTTTTTAAATTTTTTTTTTTTTTTTTTTTTTTTTTTTAGAGACAGAGTCTCACTCTCTTGCCCAGGCTGGAGTGCAGTGGTACAATCTCAGCTCACTGCAATCTCCAGTTCCCAGGTTCAAGCAATTCTCAAGCCTCAGCCTCCTGAGTAGCTGGGATTACAGGCATGTGCCACCACACCTGGCACCCAGCTAATTATTGTATTTTTAGTAGAGACAGAGTTTTGTCATGTTGACGAGGCTGGTCTTGAACCCCCAACCTCAGGTGATCCACCCACCTTGGCCTCCCAAAGTGCTGGGATAACAGGTGTGAGCCACCGTACCCAGCCTAGTTTTTTTTTTTGTTGAGACAGCATCTCACTATTGCCCAAGCTGGTTTTGAACTCCTGGCCTCAAGTGATCCTCCTGCCTCAGCCTCCCAGTGTTGGGATTACATGTGTGAGCCACTGCACCCAGCTCATTTATTTATTCTAATGATAGATTCTAGTGGATTTTCTGTATCCACAATCTTATCACCTGCAAATAACAGTGTAACTTTTTTCGTTCCAATCTTTATACTTTTTAATTTTCTTTTCTTGCCTTATTGCGTTGGCTAAGACCTCTTGTACAATGTTGAAAGAAGTGATGATGATGAACATTATCTCATTCCCAAACTCAGGGTGTAAAGGTTCAATACTTTCTCATTAAGTATGATGTTAGCACAAGGGTTTTTTATGGATATTTATCAGATTAAGGAGATTTTGTTCCTAGTTTGCTGGGAGATTTTTATCTTAAATGGGTTTTTCAAGATTTCCAGTTTCTTGTGTTTCATGTATTGAATCACTTATATGGTTTTTCTTCTTTATTTTGTTTAAGGTTATAGATTACGTTAATTGATTTTTCTATTATTAAGCCTATTTAGTCATGATGTATTTTCCTTTATATCATGTGACCTGATTTGCTAATTTTTAGTTTAGGCTTAAAATTTTTCTTTGAGATGTCTTTGTCAGGGATTGGTATTCACATTATTCTGGCGTCATAAAATAAGTCAGGGCATGATCCCCTTTTCTCTTGCTCTAGAAGAGTTTGTATAAGATTAGTATTATTTCTTCCATAAATTCTTAGAGAAGTTCACCAGTCAGTGAAGTAATCTGAGTCTGGACTTTATTTAAGGGAAGATTTAAAATTAGGTGTATTCTTTAAATGCTAGAGAATTATTTTTATTTATTTTGGTTTCAATTTTGGTATATCGTATTTTACAAGGAATTTGTTGATTTTATTAAAGTTGTCAGTTTTACTGGCGTGAGCCTGTTCATATATTTTTCTCTCATCTTTTTAATGTCTTGACAATCTGTAGTGATTTGCTTTTTTTCATTTCTGACAATAGTAACTTATTCTTTGTCAGTCTTGCTCTAGGGGTTATCAACTTTATTTGAAAGAATTGGCTTTTGGTTCTGGTTTTTTTCTGTTGTATGTCTGCTTTCTATTCCTGCTTTTTATTATTTCCTTTCTTTTACTTACTTTTTTTTTTTTTTTTTTTTACCATTTTTTACTTTTTTTTTGTTGTTATTGTTCTATTGTTCCTGTTCTATTTCTGGCTCATGAGATACAAACCTAAATCATTTAATCATATGTATTTTAAACCTACTTTAAAAATACATATTCAGCCAGGTCCAGTGGCTCACACCTGTAATCCCATCACTTTGGGAGGCCGAGGCAGGCTGATCACTTGAGGCCAGGAGTTCAAAACCAGCCTGCTCAACATAGCAAAACCCTGTCTCTACTAAAAATATAAAAATTAGCCTTGTGTGGTGGCGTGCACCTGTAATCCCAGCTACTTGGGAGGCTGAGATAGGAGAATCACTTGAATGTGGGAGGTGGAGGTTGCTATGAGCCGAGATCACGCCACTGCACTCCAGCCTGGGTGACAGAGTGAGACTCTGTCTCAAAAAAACAAACAAACAAAAAACCATATTTGAAGCAATATATTTTTCTCTAAAATTCCATCTTAATCTTGCTTTGGCTGCAGCTCACATATTTTGATAATGTTGTGTTTTGATAATGCTGTATTTTCATTGCTATTCAATTCAAATTATTTTCTAAATTCTGTTGTAATTTAGTCTTTGGCCCATGGGATATTTAAAAGTATGTTACTAAATTTCTAAACATTTGGGAATTTTCTAGTTATCTTTTTGTTATTGGTTTATATTTTAATTTTACCATGGTTGGGAACATACTGGGTGTTTGTAGATTTTTTTGTTTGTTTGTTTTTTCAGACGTAGTTTCACTCTTGTTGCCCAGGCTGGAGTGCATTGGCATGATCTTGGCTCACTACAACCTCTGCCGCCCGGGTTCAAGCGATTCTCCTGCCTCAGCCTCCCAAATAGCTAGGATTACAGGCATGCGTGACCACGCCCGGCTAATTTTGTATTTTTAGTAGAGATGGGGTTTCTCCATGTTGGTCAGGCTGGTCTTGAACTTTTGACCTCAGATGATCTGCCCACCTTGGCCTCCCAAAGTGCTAGGATTACAGGCATGAGCCACCACGCCCAGTGTATTTTAGATTTTTTTTGAAATCTCTTGAGACTCATCACTGCTTCTAAAATGGTGTTATATCTTAGGATTTTCATTTGTTTTTAGGAGTAGGGTGAATTTAGGTAACCTAGCCATATTGACAATGGAATTCTCTATAGTGGTTTTAAATTAACCTTTTTTCATGAATAAGTTAATTAAATAATTGGTTAATGAATTATTTTTAAAAATTTTGGTTTTATTTTCAGTTTTTGCTTGGTTGAAACATGAATTATTTTAAATAAAACAGAATTTTACTTTAAGTCACTAAAGAAAAGGAAACTGCAGTTTTTGGTGCTGTGTTTATTTTTTTTTTTTTTTTTTTTTTTTTTAAGTTTCAAGAGTACTGTGTAAGAGTTTGAAAATAGGTTGGGTATGATGACTTAAACCTGTAATCCCAGCACTTTGGGAGGCTGAAGTGGGAGGATCTTTTGAGCCTAGGAGTTTGAGATCAGCCTGGGCAACATAGGGAGACCCTGTCTCTACAAAAAATAAAAAAATTAGCCTGGCATGATGGCATGCGCCAGTGGTACCAGCTACTCAGGAGGCTGAGGTGGGAGGATCTCTTGAGCCCAGGAAGTCAAGACTGCACGGAGCTGTGATTGTGCCACTGCACTCCAGCCTGGGCAACAGAGTGTCCCAGGCTCAAAAAAAAAATAACAAAATGAATGAATGAATGATGTTTGAAAATACTCTGCTGTGATCTTGGTCCAAGTCTAGACTCTGCTCATTTTGTTGACTTTTTTCTTCATGTGTGTGTATTCACTTGTATGTTCTCCAAATCTGAAGATATTAATCCATCTCAAAACAAAGCCGTCTTATGTTTTATGTTCAAACTATTGAACTGCTGCTGTCATCTCACCTTTCCTCACTTGTACCTTGTTCATCTTTGAGCAATTCTTAAACGTTTGTAGTCCCCACCTAGCTTGGCTAATTATTAACAGACACATGCGTGGTATTCTGAAGAACAGTTAGCTCATTCCTTTGAGTTCTTTTTAGAATGACAATAATTTATAATTCACGTAAGACCCCGTACTTTCTTTCATTCGTTCTATTTTTAGAGACAGGGACTTGCTCTGTTGTTCAGGCTGGAGTGCAGTGGCATGATCATGGCTCACTGTAACCTTGAACTCCTGGGATCAAGTGATCTTCCTGAGGCAGGACTACAGGCACATGGCACCACGTCTGGCTAATTTTTAAATTTTTTGTAGAGATGAGGTCTTGCTATGTTTCCCTGGCTGGTCTTGAACTCCTGCCTCAGCCTCCAAGTGTTGAAAGACGTGAGCTACCACACCCAACCCTAGACCCTGTACTTTCATCCAGACTTGTATTACTTTGAAAATATTCTGGGCTGGGGACAGTAGCTCACTTCAGCTCTGTTGCCCAGGCTAGTTTGCAGTGGTATGATCATAGCTCACTGCATCTTTGAATTCCTGGGCTCAACCAATCCTCCCTTCTTAGTCTCCTGAATTGCTGGGATGATAGGCACACCACCATGTCCAGCTATTTTCTTTAAAACAATTTTTTTGGTCCTTTTTTGTATTTAAAAACATTTTGTTTTTAAGAAAAGAAAAAGACAATATTCTGGATACCTGCTAAGATATGTAACACATGCCAATCACACATTAAAAAAAATAGGTATATGGTTTCTTACAAATAATCTGAAGATAAAAATGAGACAAGGACCATTTGCTAATTATGAAAGTGAATCCATTGATTTATTCAGCAACTAGATTCTTAATCTGTATGAGATTGTGTATTAGGTGAGACTAGCAACCAAATTGTCAGTAGGACTTTAATTAATTTTCATCATCCTCTTGAATCAGCATATTAGCTAGAGATCCAGGGGCACATACTTAGTACAGAAGGTCAGCTGTATATCTGCAGATGAAGGCTAGGTAATGGCCAGTTGATTATACGGGAAAACTCATGGGTCCAGTAGGACAGTGTGGCATTGAAACAGAACATTATATTAGGAAGATGGTGGACAAGGTGTGAGAGAGTAGAGCAGTGACTGGACTTTATAAGAATTTGGGAAACGTGAGAAAGAAAGGGCTGGGTCACTGTGCAGCTGGGTGATATAGAATTTGTATATAGCAGAATTCTAGAAAATAATGTCTGGAGGCAGAATAGGGCCACATATTAGAAAAAAGCCATAAATCTTGCAGTTGGAGGTTTGGTTTTGAAACTGAGAACTACTAGGGCCTGGAGGCTTGGGAAATACTTTGAACTTCCCTGTAGTAGGATTTAATTCAGTGCCATCAGTTGTATTTTAGAATAGTTTCACTTTCTTTTAACAGAGTGGGATCTCTCCTTCTGTGTTGCTGACTGGCATACCGATTAGGCAGTTCTTAACTTTTTTTTTTAATGCTGGAGATTGTTCCTAAGCATTAGGCTTCTTGTTGACCTTGGTAGCAGGGTGGGGTTGGGGAGGGAACTGTATTCAGCTGTGTCCTGTTGGAGTACAGCTCATATTTTCTATCTTTTCCCCACCCTTTTAGGCTGCACATGGTCCGTCTAATGCTGTTGGAGAGATTACTGCAGACCCTGCCTCAATTACGAAACGTTGGCGGTGTCCGGGCCATCCCATACATGCAGGTATCTCTTAGCTCACCTGGATCTCTGTCAGGTCATGATTGGACCGTCCTTAAGCATGCCCACATCTCTCTTCCAGAGGACCTGGAAGCCTTCGTTTGGTGTTAGGCCACAGAATAATGAAATCTAATTTTTGAGCTACAAATTATAGCTCTTCATTTTATAAATGAGAAAGCTAAGGGTCAGAGAATTTTTTAAATGCACAAGTTCATCCAGGTAGTTATTGACAGAGCCAGTGCAAAAGCCCACTTCTGAGATTCTGAGTCTCTAGTCTTTATGTTGATATTAGAGTGTGGGCCAATAGCTGTTCTTCCACTCACTAGCTGTCTTCCTCAGAGGCAAAACTGTTCTTTAATTCTTAGTTTGGTGTACCACCCTTTCTCAAGCTACTTGCTTGGATATAATATAGGTTAGTCCATTAATTTTACAAACTTTTTACAAAACATTTTTTTGTAATGTCAAGTGTGGCATATATCAGAATTTGACTTTTCTGACTCTGAACACTGAAGCTTTGGATACCTGGAATTTAGAACGCTATAATGGATTACAGTTATGATTGATAGGGATGTCAGGAAGATTAGGATTTCTTCTGAAACACCCCGTATTTCAAGTCGTTCTTCTTTAGGAAATTGGGTTTTGTGTTTTCTGTCTTTGACTTCTAGGTCATTCTAATGCTCACTACAGATCTGGATGGAGAAGATGAGAAAGACAAGGGGGCCCTAGACAACCTGCTCTCCCAGCTTATTGCTGAGTTGGGTATGGATAAAAAGGTAAAATCTGAGAGGCAGACTGTGTGAGAAACAGGATTGGCTGAGATCCTTTCTCAGGTTCCCATTCGTTTCATAGAGGAACTTCACCTCGTTTCAAGGGGTAACCATCCACTGAGGGCTGCATTCTGTTGAGTCAACAAAAGCGTATTCAGGGCCTGCTTTGGCCCGAGCATAGTTTTGGACCCTGAGCATAGTTGAGGGCAAAGATGAAGTTCTTACCCTCATGGCCCTTTTGTGCTCAGTGAGGTGAGAACATTAAATTAGTTGTTCGTATCTTAATATGGCCTCTTAAGTGTATCGGGCTCTAGGTACCCCAAGTATAGTCCATGGATATACTGGGGGTTGTTTTGTGTCTGATTCAATCTGAGGAACATTTTAGGGCTGATGGGCTTGACTTGAAGGGATCTTGTTCAGAGGATGCCTCAAGCATCGAGTAAGTAGAGGTTTCTGGACTTACGCTTTGGCCTGCAGGATGTCTCCAAGAAGAATGAGCGCAGCGCCCTGAATGAAGTCCATCTGGTAGTAATGAGACTCCTGAGTGTCTTCATGTCCCGCACCAAATCTGGATCCAAGTCTTCCATATGTGAGGTATTTTTGCTTTGGGTTCATGGGTTTGGGGAAAGGTAAGCGGATTGTCTGGGTAGTGCTAGGGCCAGCACAGAGGTGGTAGTCCTCTGTAAGAATAAAGCCATTGTTCCCTGAGGGGAGTAAGATTCTAAGCTGTCACCTTTTCAAGAGCAGAACCTCCACCTTTTCCCGAATCCCTTCCAAGCTCTGGTCTTTGGTAACAATCCCTCCAATGGAGGGGTAAAAGGGTTTGGAAGTTCCATTATTGAAGAGCAGGGCTCTCTTCTGCAAGGCACAGAGTGGCTAAGAGGATTCCCCTAGTGTATGTTGCTATAAGGTATGGTAATAAAGCAGAGAGAAAGCAATGTGTGTGTGGTGAAAGGAGATTAGCATAAAGCAGAGAAGGTAGAAATTGAGGCTGAACTGCATCCAATCTTAATGAGCTTAGGGAGCTGTGGGGTTTGCTGGGATTTGCAAGGCTCTTCTAATGGTCTTATTTACAGTAGCTTTTCTCCTTTTTTATGCATGTGATCACTCACCCCCAACTCCTTTGGAAGCTGGTTCTATGGAAGACTCTACAGGGGGTGGGGTGGGGTCGTTCAGAAGTGCCTATAATGGAAAGTTTTCTCTCTCCTTCTTGAATTGGGCTTCTTTTCTAGTTGCTCAAGATAAAAGAGGAAACGCGTCCCCTCCAGGGGGAAAGGTTATTTAATCCTTGCCTCCCTGGCTTCTGGCATATGTGCGTGTAGCAAGGTTAGAGTTGAGAACAGATGTGTTTCTTTGTTTGTCTTACCATGTGGTTGTTCAAAAAAGTTCTGAAAAACCTCACAAACTTCCTTGGGGAAGTTTCAGTGCAAGAGCCTGATTCACTCACTGCCATAAAAGCTAAGACTGTTGTGAGTGTGTTTCCCATCCCCAACACCCACCTGGATTTCACATTGTTTTTACAAGCCATTCTTCCCATCTCTGTATTTTCTCTGTCTCCCAGTCATCTTCCCTCATCTCCAGTGCCACAGCAGCAGCTCTACTGAGCTCTGGGGCTGTGGACTACTGCCTGCACGTGCTCAAATCACTGCTGGAATATTGGAAGAGCCAACAGAATGACGAGGAGCCTGTGGCTACCAGCCAGTTGCTGAAACCACATACTACCTCCTCCCCACCTGACATGAGCCCATTCTTTCTCCGCCAGTATGTGAAGGTGAGATCTTTCCCTCATCAAAGAAACACTCGTCCTTTGTTCAGAGCACTCTTCTCTTTCCTCGCGGTGCAGAGAGCTCAAGGGGCTGAGGGTGAAGAGCCATAGGAAGGAGCCGGCATTCCTTGGTGGGGGTTAATCTCGGCGTGATTGAATAAATGACCACTTCTCCCAACCTTCTGTGGGATTCTCATTCCTGCCTCTTTGTAAATTGGAGGAATTGAATGAGATCATGGTTATCTCGTTTCACATTAAGTTTAGAAAAAGATGAGAAGGTACAAGCTAATGTCATGAGTTGTGGGTCATGACATGTGTGTCAGATATTCCCTGTGCTGTCACCACTGAGAGGCCCTTTAACGTACTTATTAAGAAGATGGGCCTTCTGATCAGATTGATCTGGGATAAGTCCCATCTTGTGTTCTTACTTACCAGTCTTGAAGCATGGAGAAGTTCTGTCTGTCTAACCTCCCTAACCTTCAGCTTCTACAGCTGGAAAATGAGCATACAGATGGTATCTGCTTTACAGGGCTGTTGTGAGCATTGAATGAGGTGCCCTTTGTAAAGGACTTAGCACAATGCCTAGCATGTATCAATGCCCAGTCCGTATTAACTGATATCACCAGTCTCTTCCTCACTGCCCCCTCAGAATAGCTTTGAGTAGGGTAGGAATACGATAGGCATAGAGTGTGGATCTGATCGTTGTCTTGCTCTTTTTTCATGACTCTTTGGTGGTTTTCCATAACTTACAGGCCAAAGAGTTCTGGAGGACCCAGCCACCTGCTTGACTCTAGCTTTGTCACCTATAACACCCTACACGCAGCCCTGCCAGCCTGCACATTTCCCAAGGTGTGGCGTGTTGCCTTTGTTCATGCTGTCCCTTCTGGAATTCTTTCCTCTCCCTCTGCTCCCCTTTCTTCTCCTGTCTAGCGAATTCCTAGCCCATCTTCAAGATCCAGCACGAGCTTTGGATCCTTGGGAAAACTTCCCTAACATATACTCCCTGCCATCAAGTCTGCTCAAGAGAGCCTTGTCCTGGGTTCCCGGAGCACCCTGTGTGCTCCTTCACCTGTCTTCCCCTCTACACTCTCAGCAGAAACCATATTTTATTCCTGTTTACAACTCCAGTGCTTGATACAGAACTGATGAATAACTGGGAGTTGAATATGTGAGACACGTTGTGCCCTCAAACTCTTACAGATTCTTTTTATGGGACCACACAGCTTGCAGGATAGCTGTTGTTTCCACTGTCCTCACATCTCTCATTTACCTCTGCCTTTTTGTGTTACATGAAGCCAGGAATCTTGGCTGAGTTTAGTGATCTTGCCCACCTTGGTTTATTTAACAATTTCTTGTTATCATGGGAAATTTTGGTTCTAGGGATAGAATACATCTCATAGAAGTCAGAGATCCTTACTCCCTTTTTCTTTTTTTTTTCCAATTTTTTTGGCCTTTCTAGCACTCATCTTTATGTAGGCAGAGTACAATCAACCCAATGTCAAAAACCATAGAGTGAAATATTAGGACTTTTAGGAAGTGAGGTCTGCCTCCACTGTAACCTTTGCATGTAATTAAATTGGCCGCAGAAGCCTGGGCCTTCTGGGTTTATAGAATAAACTGTCAGTCAGTCTTGATTCCAGCTCTGAAAGGCACCCTTTACCACCTCCAACATGTAATACGTCTAATGAGCCAGGCTTTTTCCTAATTGTGGTCATGGAAAATCGATAGTCACAGGTTCTCATGCAAATTTTCTTCTCCCAGGGTCATGCTGCTGATGTGTTTGAGGCCTATACTCAGCTTCTAACAGAAATGGTACTGAGGCTTCCTTACCAAATCAAAAAGATTACTGACACCAATTCTCGAATCCCACCTCCTGTCTTTGACCACTCGTGGTTTTACTTTCTCTCCGAGGTAAGTGAAAGTCCCAAGCTGCATGCTTGTTGGGCTGAGGACACATCTGCATTCACCTCTGTGGGCCCCTTTCTTCCTCATCCTTACTTGGTATTTCCCCTTGCAGAGTCCCTTTCACCTTTGTAGGTCTTGGTCTTGCCCTTCTGGAACATACTGTGTGGTAGAACTGTGGGAGATGTGTATCAAACAAGCCATACTTTACCTTCTGATTCTGTGTGTTGAACTTCGCCTCACGTGCTGATAATGGGCAAGTTTAATAATTTAGGTTCTGTCAGAAAAACAAAGTATACTAGTTATCTTAATAGAGAGATTTCAATATGGGAAATTGGGTAAATGCTGTTGGACAACAAAAAAGATAAAAAGGAAACATGAGGTAACACAGGGATAGTAACTGCCTGAAGCAGTTATCAGGAAGTGGGTTCCCTGAGGGGATGTGATGCGGTTGATGCTGGGAGCAGTGAGAGAAGCTGATGATTAGAACTCACTGTGGCTGCCAGGGTGCAGGGCTGTTGCTAGGACTGCAGGCAGATGGGAAGAAGCAAGCCCCTTCTTCCTCCTGCTGCCAGTGTCCCTCCCTGTTGGCAGAACCTAAGAGGGAGCCAGCTGGCAAAGAAGTAGTGCATTGGCATAATTCTGGCCTCAGCATCACTGGGCAGTGTCAGTAGGGGTGGGTTGGGAACTGAGAGACAATGGCTTTAATAACCTTAGTAACCAGACAGCAACCCTGAGATAGATTAACTCTGGGAAGAATAATCTGTTAGCAAACCTCAGATGAGGATTTTGAGTTACATAGTTGTACCAACCCAATCTTCTCTTTAGCTCTTTTACCTGAAAAAGAGATTTGGAATGGTTTTTTTCTTGATAGTTTCCCTTTGGGTGGGCTGAAGTGGAGTCCAGCTTGCCTGTAGATTCCTAAGGGCACAAGGAAGAGATGCATGAATATTGGTATTTTCCTCTTTGATTTCTTTCTCTCCCTTTCTTTCTCCTGGTCTCATTAAAGGATATTTAAGTTTAAGAGAGGCTGGTTTGGTCAAGAGGAAATAGCTTGGTTTGTGTTTCTCCCCAGCCTTTGTTTTTTTTTTTTTTTTTAAGACCAAGTCTCACTCTGTTGACCCAGGTTGGAGTGCAGTGACACGATCTCTGCTCACTGCAACCTCCGCCCTCTGGGTTCAAGCAATTCTTCTGCCTCAGCCTCCCTAGTAGCTGGGATTACAGGCAGTGCTACCACGGCCAGCTAATTTTTGTATTGTTGGTAGAGATGGGGTTTCACCATGTTGGCCAGGCTGGTCTCAAATTCCTGACCTCAAGTGATCAGCCCACCTCGGCATTCCAAAGTGCTGGGATTACAGCTGTGAGCCACCGTGCCCGGCCTGTCCCCAGCTTTTAATAACAGTTTATTAAAACCCAGGGTGTGAGAGCCACAGTTGATATAGATACAGTCCCAGAGTCATTTACTCTTTGTGGTGTTTTTCTTCTCAAGTACCTCATGATCCAGCAGACTCCATTTGTGCGCCGTCAAGTCCGCAAACTTCTGCTCTTCATCTGTGGATCCAAAGAGAAGTACCGCCAGCTCCGGGATTTGCACACCCTGGACTCTCACGTGCGTGGGATCAAGAAGCTGCTAGAAGAGCAGGGGATATTCCTCCGGGCAAGTGTGGTTACAGCCAGCTCAGGCTCCGCCTTGCAATATGACACACTCATCAGCCTGGTACGAGGGCTGGGACCTGGTAGGGCAGGGAGGGGGGATGTGATAAGGCTTAGCCAAGTAGGTAATAGGGCTGGAGGTAATAATGCAGGACTTTTAACTGTGTTGACAATGGCATGGTTAGGGCTGAGATGAGGGTAAATCCATAACCCCTGTCTGGGTGCTGTACCATGTGTAGTTGGCTTCAGGATCTGGGATGTCCCCCTCAGCACTCTCATCCCACCTGGCAGCAGTTCCTCCACTGTGAGGTGAGTGGCCCGAGCTTCTTACCAGTGCCATTTGCTTACATCCTAGTCAGGACTGATCTCTTTGTGCACCTCTGGTTTTTACCCTTGAATACTAAAGAAATGATGAAGGTTCGAGTAGAAAAATGTATTGCTGCCTAAAGAGAAACTGTTTGGACTTAGAGGAGTAAACTGAGTATTTTGTATGTGAACAACCTAGAAAGAACGTCTTTAATCTAGCTGGCTCATGTTCTTGCTTATCGTTATATATCAAGAAAAGTAAACTGGATTATAGTTTCTTAGGTCATGGTCTACCTTTTGCTGTTGCCTTATTGAGTAGTCTGAAGGTTCCTGAAAACAGCGCCTTGCGTGGGGATGGGGTAGAACAAAGGCAGGTTCGGTAAGAGCTGCAGCGGTTGCAGCAGTGTGTGGGTCATGGTCCCAGGTTGACCAGACATCTCAGCAAGCATCTGCCTTGCTCAGAAGATCATGTTCAGGTGTAGTCCAAAGTCAGGGAGATGGCTCCAGGCAGCAGGTGTGGTGCTTGTCTGGGCAATGTGGTGGAGTTACTCCTTTCCCGTGGTTGGTTCCTATTTCAGATGGAGCACCTGAAAGCCTGTGCAGAGATTGCCGCCCAGCGAACCATCAACTGGCAGAAATTCTGCATCAAAGATGACTGTAAGCAATGCTGCTCCTTTTGATTGCTGTTATTCATTCATTCAGGAACTGTTAAGGCCTACTATATGCCAAGCACTGAACTGGATGCTGGAGATATAGCTGTGAACAAGATAGACTAGACAGAACTCTGTCTAGCAAAGAAGACAAGTAAAAATCTAAAAGAGTGGTGAGGGCTGGTCGTCAAAGTTTGGGGAGCTGTAGAAGCACAAAGTAGGAGTCTCTGACCTCCAGGTAGTGGCAGTAAAGTCAAAGAGGAGTAGGTGGAGTCTAGAGAACCCCTTATTCAAAGGAGCAGGGGGCTCTGGTCGGTGTGTAGTTAAAATACTTTTCAGAGATTTCCACAGAAAGTATAACTTCTTCACAATGTCCAGCAGAGAGAACATGGCAAAGAAAGCTGGTGAGAACAGGGCAGTCTCAGCTGTAGGGAGACGTTGTTTTGGTTCTCCTGAGTCTGGTTGAGGTCGTCTCAGAGGTGAGCCTCTGTCTCCTCTGCTTGCAGCCGTCCTGTACTTCCTCCTCCAAGTCAGTTTCCTTGTGGATGAGGGCGTGTCCCCAGTGCTGCTGCAACTGCTCTCCTGTGCTCTGTGCGGCAGCAAGGTGCTCGCTGCACTGGCAGCCTCTTCGGGATCCTCCAGTGCTTCTTCCTCCTCAGCCCCTGTGGCTGCCAGTTCTGGACAAGCCACAACACAGTCCAAGTCTTCCACTAAAAAGAGCAAGAAAGAAGAAAAAGAAAAGGAGAAAGATGGTAAGGGTCACCCTCTTGTCATTGTGACTACAATGATGTATGTAAATCTCTCTTGGAGCACATGGTTTGTCCTGTTGTAAAAGGTCTTTTAATCCTGATTTAGAGGGGACTTAAAGCCCAAATGTTCTCTAGTGTCTACTTTTGGTCTCATTTTCAATTATACTGAAGTGACACCTTAAACAGCATGACTTCTCATACCAAGTGACAGTAATAAGAAAAGTCAAAGTGCACTGAACATTTTTAGTAGACCAAATTTCTTATTCTGTGAAATAATAACACCTTCTCTATGGAGCTCCCATCAGAGTTCAGTGAAATGACACTGAGTACATTGGTAAATGCTCAGTAAATGTTAGCTCTCTTAGCTGACCCTCACCATCAGCTGCACTGCTTTCCATGGTCCTTGGAGACCTGAGATCAGTGGTCAGGGTTGAGAGCCATGGTGGTGGTTCACATTCCCCCAGTTAATGATCAGACATCTCTGTGTAGGCCTATTGCAAGCCCTTGAAAGGAAGTTCCTCCTCCTCCAGTGTCACTGTATTTGTTCAGTGCCAGCTTACATAGCACTTTATCCTGTGGTTTTTAGTGTCATTATTGTATGTCTTGTCTGGAAGGCAGCTGTGCTCACCACTGCATCACCAACGTTACACATATGTCTCATTTGGGGCTGACCTATTTGTCCCCCAGTAAACAACTAAAAATTGTTTTGCAGAATATCAGCATTCAGTAGAAACTTTTAGAAATGGACAGAATTCCCTCCCTCACCATTTGGTAGCCCAGGCCTTAGGACCCTGGAGGACTTCTTCCTACTCTTCAGCCCTTAGTCCTGTCCTAATCTTGCAGGTGAGACCTCTGGCAGCCAGGAGGACCAGCTGTGCACAGCTCTGGTGAACCAGCTGAACAAATTTGCCGATAAGGAAACCCTGATCCAGTTCCTGCGTTGTTTCCTGTTAGAGTCCAATTCTTCCTCGGTGCGCTGGCAGGCCCACTGTCTGACACTGCACATCTACAGGTAGGGCCAGGGCTTGGTTTGACAGATCTGCAAGGGTGTGAGGCCAGGGTGCGTAATGCAGTTCTATTTTGTTTTCGGTTACATATGGTCACAGAGTCAGTAGTTACGCCAGCCTGAATCCTCTTGTGCTTTAGAGATTTCTTTATTGTTGTCTGCTTTTTAGCCATTAAACTGACGTCATAGGCAGGAGACGATCTGTTTTCTACTCAGAAGGCTATGTATCGGGGTTTGTAACATGACCAAGCTTGACCCTTCAGGCTAAAAAAGCTCAGCTTCTGCTCTGGGATATGTTGGGTGATGGGTAGAGGCAGCAAATGACTATGCTGCATCTGGTAGGATTGATTGTCAAAAGTGAAACAAAACCGTTCAAACTTAACCCATAATTGTGGGGAAATTGAGGTACCAGAGCCTCAATGATAAACACAGGTGCCTCAGGGTTTTCTGCTGCTTGGTAACATGAGCTGTCATATATCCACAGAAATTCCAGCAAATCTCAACAGGAGCTCCTGCTAGATCTGATGTGGTCCATCTGGCCAGAACTCCCAGCCTATGGTCGTAAGGCTGCCCAGTTTGTGGACCTACTAGGATATTTCTCCCTGAAAACTCCACAAACAGAGAAGAAGGTAACAGTTGCTTTATGGTCAGAGGGGCCAACTTGCCATATTTAACCTTTTTTCTCTTGAGTTAAGAATATTATGAACAACCCAGATATAGGGAGTCCATATAGGAAACCTCTTTTAAATATATCTAGTTTTGCATTTCTTGGTAAGCACTCGTAATATGTCTGTGATGTAGACAGTATACACTAACAAATCTAACTTAACATAGGACGTAGGTCAAGGTCAGGTGGGGAAAGAAGATAGAACTCATTACAGTTCCTTGGAAAAGCAAGTGCTCCTTGTTTTGCTAGTAGCCCTGATTATACATACCAGAAAATGTTTCTGCAATTAGCTAACCATTTTATGGCTTCTCCATAAAAATAAAAATGATCTTCCTCCATCAGGTCAGAAAAGGGTACTACCTATCACTAAAGCTCATGGAAACTTCTAAAGGAGATAGAATCCATTTAAATGATTGAAATTAGGCCCAGCTTTGTATGATTCTGACTGAGAAGTCTGGTAGGTCTAGGGCAGTATTCAGCTAGAATGCAGAAGACAAAAGTCTTTTCCAATAAGACTTCACCTTGGGCTTTAAGTTGTTTCTTTACTGAATTCTGTTTCAGTTGAAGGAGTATTCACAGAAGGCTGTGGAGATTCTGCGGACTCAAAACCATATTCTTACCAACCACCCCAACTCGAACATTTATAAGTGAGCTTTGTTTTGCTTTCTACCTGTGGGAAGCTCAGTCAGCATTCTGAGGAGTTATTTGCATGGTGATAGGCTCTTACATAGGAATTGACAAGCGCCTGAGAGAAGAGCGAATCTGCCTAGTTGAGATTCCAATCCCCTCCATGTAGGCCAGGGTCTTGCAAATAGAAGGTACTCAAAATGTCATTGCTGAGTTCAGGGTTTGGTGAGTAGTAATGTAGAAAGGTCTGTATAGCCTGGGCAACATAGTGAGACTTCATCTCTTAAAAAAAAATTTAAAAAAGTTAGCCAGGCGTGGTGGCGTGTACCTGTGGTCCCAGCTGCTGGGGAGGCTGAGGCAGGAGGATGGCTTGGGGCCAGAAGTTCGAGGGTGCAATGAACTGTGATCCACGCCACTGCACTCCAGCCTGGGTGACAGAGTGAGACCCTGTCTCAAAAAAAAAAAAAAAAAAAGGTCTTTAGTTTCAAGGGTTTAAGTTAAATAAGGTGAAACAAATTTAAAGAAAATGTCTTCCTTTTTTTAAAAAAACTTCTAAAAGAGGATATTGGTTAAATTGACAGTTTATTATTTCTCTGGTTTAGTAGTGACTGTTCTTTAAAAAAAATTTAAAAAAACTTTATTGAGATAATTTATGTATTAACCTATTTTAAATGTACAGTTCAATGATTTTTAGTAAATTTAATTGTGACTCTTGAGTCAAATTTTACTACTTTTTAGAATTCCTCTGAAGGATAGATCAAAGATTAGGAAACATCTAAGGTCAGTTAGTTGAAATTTCTTTCCTGTGGCTTCGTAACCCTATTGGGATTTCTCCTGTGTCCTTGAGTTCTCACTAGGGTGGGGCTCACTTTGGGCTCACTTTGGCTCACATTGAGCCATGGCTTTGTCATGATTTTTTTGTGAAACTCAGTGCTTCCTAAGATGAAAATGTGTTCATGCTAAGACTGGTTTCTTCCTTAGCACTTTGTCTGGCTTAGTGGAGTTTGATGGCTATTACCTGGAGAGCGATCCCTGCCTGGTGTGTAATAACCCGGAAGTACCGTTCTGTGTAAGTAACATCTGTACATGGACAGTCCTGAGGCCAATAGGTCCAGTGGGATTCTTGTTTCCAGAGATGGATCATTATCACATAGATGTTCCTCTCCTAATGGTTGGTCACCGATAGTAGGAATTTTTATCTGCCACATTTATTACCTTAAATAGAAACTTGGCTGGGTGCAGTGGCTCAAGCCTATAATCCCAGTACTTTGGGAGGCTAAGATGGGAGGATCCCCTGAGCCCAGGGGTTTTAGACCAGCCTGGGCAAGATGGTGAGACCCCATCTCTACAAAATATTTTTTAAAAAATTAAATAGAAACTTCATCTTGTGGATGAAGAGTGGGTTACACTGATGAATTTTTAAAAAGGCAGTACGAGTCTTGAACTAATACCATGTTTTGTGAACTCTTGTATTTAGTATATCAAGCTGTCTTCCATTAAAGTGGACACGCGGTACACCACCACCCAGCAGGTTGTGAAGCTCATTGGCAGTCACACCATCAGCAAAGTGACAGTGAAAATCGGGGATCTGAAACGGACCAAGATGGTGCGGACCATCAACCTGTATTATAACAACCGAACCGTGCAGGCCATCGTGGAGTTGAAAAACAAGTACGGGCTTTTTAGGCCTCGGGAGGGGCAGCAGGTTGTAAGGCTGAAGCTCAGTTGCTGCCTTCGGTTCCTGGAATGGAGTAAGGCAGCACATCCCTAGAGGCCTAATACATCCTCTTGGCCCCTCCATTCATGACCAAAGGACAAAAGTGAAACAACAGTTCTAAGCATGTTGACAAAGATTATTTCTAAATTAGCCCAGTGGAGCCATAGGGGTCTGTGGAAGTTCCTCAACAGCCTGCCTAGGGAGGGGAAGCTGAGTGAGGGGACCTCCAGGCTTCTCATGCCCATTTTAACTATTCTTACACAAAGGTCTAGACTTAGATAAAACCTTCTGTATTGGGAAGTAATTGTCATTTCTTGGATTAAGACAGCTATGCTCTTGCTCACAGGGCAGAAAGTTATTTCTCAAGAAGCTTCTTTAGTACACACACTCTTCGATTTCCACATGGTGCCTTTTCTCTGTATCTGCTGATACTGGATCTTCCTAGCCCATGTATCCCAGTGACTGAACCAGGGCATGTCATATTTAGGCCAAGAGAGGCACTCACATGGGTTATAGTGTTGACTTTCACAGAGACAGATCGCCTTTTTTTGAACTCTCAGGCATTGCTACTGAAGGGAGAACACAGGTTGACACTACTTGAATAGTAAGACTTACAGAGCTGTTCTGCACACAGGATGGAAGTATTGCTGTTATTCCAAGAGGCAGAATAAGGCTCATGTACCACAGCAACACGTGGCCATGAAGGCTGCCTAGGGAGGTTTTCTCTTCTTGCCTTGAAAAGCCTAGTTTAACCTTGGTGACCTGAAAGTAGATGCTGCACATTAGGGTGGCCCATTCCCCTCCAGAGGAGGTGGGTTTGATTTTTCATTGTGTGGAGTCAGCAGAGCTACTGGTAGACTATTTGGGTTCAGATCCCAGCTCTGCTACATAGCTCTGTGACCTTAGAGAAGCTGCTTAACCTCAGTTTCTGTAACTATAAAATGGAGGTAGGACCCCACTTCCAGGGTTTAAGGATTAAATGAGTTAGTATGTGTCAGGTGCTGAGAACAGAGCCTAGTACATAGTAAGTACTCAGTAAATATTAGCTCTCATTGTGTTATATAATCACCCCAAAATTATTACATACCTTCCTCTTTATGACTTGACTTAGCACTTGGTTCAGACCCTGATTTTCTTCCTCTGCCTCTCTAAAATAGCCTGGGTTTATCTTTCCAAGGTTGCTGTCAGGATGGGAACTTGGCATGCATCATCATTGCACCTCTTACAGGCTTCAGTGTGGCATGCTTTTGGAGTCATGGTTTCCCTTGTTATATACTTCTGTTGTTTTCCTGGAATTTCAAAAGGTATCATGTATAACAGCTTAAAGCACTTGTATGTTCTTTCCTTTTTTTATAGAGAAAAGGTAGTAGAAAACTTTTTTAAAACTGGCTTCCTATTATATGCCAGATTTCTTTTCCTTAGAGTAACCACTTAATTGCCTTAGAAAAATACATGGGACAGTCTTCCTCTTTGTCTCATCAGACTGTTATCACTGAGGGTTAGATGAGAAAATCTCAAGGCTGTCTGTCTTTCCTAGGCCAGCTCGCTGGCACAAAGCCAAGAAGGTTCAGCTGACCCCTGGACAGACAGAGGTGAAGATTGACCTGCCGTTGCCCATTGTGGCCTCCAATCTGATGATTGAGTTTGCAGACTTCTATGAAAACTACCAGGCCTCCACAGAGACCCTGCAGTGCCCTCGCTGTAGTGCCTCGGTCCCTGCCAACCCAGGAGTCTGTGGCAACTGTGGAGAGAATGTGTACCAGTGTCACAAATGCAGGTAAGTCATTGGTCATCCCCTAGGCCAGGGCTGTGCACATTCCTTGTTATTTTTCTGTAGTAGTGTCAGTGTGAGCAATTACAGTGTCTGATTCCCTCAGAACATTTAGAGAATTATGGGTTTGTAGAGTGGGTTCAAGGGTAGAAAGGGAGGAGGAAGAAGAGAGAGTGAGTGAGTGTGTGTGTGTGTGTGTGTGTGCATGTGCACACGAGTGTGTCTGTCCTGTGGCAGGGGTGGAGGGTAAGGGCGGAGGGAGGTCCAGAAGTTTAGCTCTGGGTCTTGCTTTCTTGTTACCTGGCTGCTTAAGTCATTCATTTGTTATTGTCCCTTCAGTAGCCCCTGCAGTAGTTACCAGAGTATATAAATGTGGCACAATCCATTTCCTCAGAGTGACCCCCACCCCACCCAGCCTTGTCACCTTACTGACCCAAACGCTTTGGTTACTCAGATCCATCAACTACGATGAAAAGGATCCCTTCCTCTGCAATGCCTGTGGCTTCTGTAAATATGCCCGCTTCGACTTCATGCTCTATGCCAAGCCTTGCTGTGCAGTGGATCCCATTGAGAATGAAGAAGACCGGAAGAAGGTGAGGCCAGATCTGGCCTAGACTCAGGGCTGTGGCCTTGATCTGGACTTTGGGCAGACCTGGTGCAGTGCAGTGCACTTTACTTTCTAGCCTAAGCCTTCTTCGACTCAACACCAGTTTCAGGGCCCAGCTTTTGGGTGGGAGCAAAGAATGGCATGAGGTATATTGTATTGAAAGACATGGTTTGCATAGGATTTTAGAAAAGTGTTGATTGGTAATGAAACTAGAGTATCTCCAGGTACAGATAACTTTGGATTTGGATGCTTTGCCCTGCATTTCTTCCACAGACTGCTTCATATTGAGGCTGCTGGCCCTCCCTCAGTATTAGATTGTCCAGTGCTAGTTCCCAGCCTGCATAATATGGGCAGGGGCGGGGGGAGGTTCTAGATATTAAAGAACAGTGAAAAAGGGGCACCTATAGGGTTAACAGAAGAACATTTAGCTTTGGAGTCAGAAGGACAGAAATTCTAATTCCAGCCATACTTTTAATACTTGTGTAACCTAGTATAAGTTACTTCTCTCAGCATTGTATTATTATATATCACAGATGTGTATTGTATTTTTATTAGAAATAATATACCCACCTCACAGGAAAGATTATTGTGAAGAACAGAGATAATGTATGAAACACAGTGCCTGACCTATAGGAAATGTTCTGGTAAATGGTTAGCAGTGAGGATTACTCAGGGAAAGTCATCAGCCAAAAAGCCTTCACTCAGTCCCTGTCTTTTCCTGTCTAGGCTGTATCCAACATCAATACACTTTTGGACAAAGCTGATCGAGTGTATCATCAGCTGATGGGACACCGGCCACAGCTGGAGAACCTGCTCTGCAAAGTGAATGAGGCAGCTCCAGAAAAGCCACAGGTAGTCCCACGCTGCAAAGGGCATTTGGATAAGGGCTTGGGTCTTGATCAGAAGACTGCCTCCTAGGTGAGATCACCTTAGGTGGGGAGCCTGACAGCTTACCTCTTGGGGTTGCAGGATGACTCAGGAACAGCAGGGGGCATCAGCTCCACTTCTGCCAGTGTGAATCGTTACATCCTGCAGTTGGCTCAGGAGTATTGTGGAGACTGCAAGAACTCTTTTGATGAACTCTCCAAAATCATCCAGGTAGAGAGCGGGGAGCAGCTTTTGGGTGTGTTTTGTCCAAGTGTTACTGGTGTTGTTTTCACAGCAGTCCTGCTGCTCTCTCATCTAGCAGTCCAGGTCTTGGTGTTGTCCCTGCCCAATCTAGCTGAAAAGGCAGGCAGATGGCTGCACCAAACGGCATCTCCCCCACCGTGATTTATGGCGCTGGTCAGAATGCTGAGTTCATGCTAGATAACTGAACATACTGGTGATGGGAAGGTAACACAGATAAGGGTTTTTTTTAGCCATTAACAACCCATCTCTTAGTAGAGGGGTTACTGGTCTTAAAAAATTTGATGCCAAGATTCTGTTCCCTCTTCTGATAACGCCGTGTTTGCAGGCTGTAGGGTAAGGGCATACCAACTGCAATCAACCAGGGTGGGCCTTGTGTCAGTTGCAATGTCACAGACCTAATCTCCATGAGATGGGAGGCTGGCCATAGACAGAGGTACCTCATATAAGGAGAGCATCCAGTTTACCTTCCCCCTCAACCCCAAATTGCTGGAGTGCCATCTTTGCTACACGTGTATTAGCTTCTGACCTTTGTCTTTGTTACATGGGAGTTAAGAGCATAAGCCTGCCATCTGAGTCTGAGTTCTGACTCTGCCACTTATCTTGGTCAAGCCACTTTCTCCAAGCTTCAGTTTCCTTCTCTGTAAAATGGAGATAAAGCATCTAACCAGTTGGGTTATTGAGAAGATTAAGTTATATAATGCATGTAAAGTTTTTTCTAAAGCAAAACTAATTTTCTAATTAACATCCTCTTCTTATTTTAATTGCTAATTCCCATTATTGTTGCCTTTTTGTTCTTAGAAAGTCTTTGCTTCGCGCAAAGAGTTGTTGGAATATGACCTACAGCAGAGGGAAGCAGCCACTAAATCATCCCGGACCTCCGTGCAGCCCACATTCACTGCCAGCCAGTACCGTGCCTTATCCGTCCTGGGCTGTGGCCACACATCCTCCACCAAGTGCTATGGCTGCGCCTCGGCTGTCACAGAACATTGTATCACACTACTTCGGGCCCTGGCCACCAACCCAGCCTTGAGGCACATCCTTGTCTCCCAGGGCCTTATCCGGGAGCTCTTTGATTATAATCTTCGCCGAGGGGCTGCGGCCATGCGGGAGGAGGTCCGCCAGCTCATGTGCCTCCTAACTCGGTCAGTACCTACACCATGGTTATGGGCCTAGTGGTTCCTACTGACACTGGCAGCCATGCCAGGAGCGTTAGAGAGTGCACAGAATAGTGCTTCTGACCACCCAGCAAGTTAGGTAGCTTATAACAAAGGAAAGATGGAAAGAGACACAGGGTGTAGGTGAGCGAGCTTGGGGAGCATTGAAACCCAGGTTTCCTTGTAAATGGCATGATTGGCTTGTGCTTTTTTGGTTCCAGTACAGTGTCTTGAGGAAACTCTCCCTGAGGCCTTGTGAGGGAAGGGAAGGGAGACACTTGAACTCGAGAAAGACTCACATGAAAGAAGCAGAGCAGTGGGGCCTGGAGATTAAGAGCTTGGACTCTGGATTGGAAAGGCTCAGTTTCAGTATCTGATACCTTGTACTATACGCCTTGGACAGATTCCTTAATTTCTCTGAGTCTGTGTTTTCCTCATCTGAAAAATACTGACAGTAGGCTGGGCACAGTGGCTCTTGCCCGTAATCCCAGCACTTTGGCACCTGAGGCTGGCAGATCACTTGAGGTCAGGAGTTCAAGACCAGCCTGGCCAACATGGTAAAACCTCGTCTCCATTAAAAATACAAAAATAGGGCCAGGTGCTGTGGCTCATGCCTGTAATCCCAGCACTTTGGCAGGCCAAGGCGGGTGGATCACCTGAGGTCGGGAGTTCAAGACCAGCCTGACCAACATGGAGAAACCCCATCTCCACTGAAAATACAAAATTAGACAGGTGTAGTGGTGCATGCCTGTAATCTCAGCTACTTGGGAGGCTGAGACAGGAGAATCGCTTGAACCTGGGAGGCGGAGATTGTGGTGAGTCGAAATCGTGCCATTGCACTCCAGCCTGGGCAACAAGCGAGACTCCGTCTCAAAAAAAAAAAAAAAATACAAAAATAGGGCTGAACAGGCTCACACCTGTAATCCCAGCACTTTGGGAGGTCAAGGCAGGCAGATCACGAGGTCAGGAGTTGATCATGAGGTCATGGCAATGTCTCAGCAGTGGGCTGCATGCCTAGGAAGTAGCAAGTGGGTAGTTGAGAGCAGGCACCTGCCAGGAATGCTAGGGCATCACAAGGAACCCGTGTAGCTGGAGACAGGGATGCAGTAGGGAAGACTCGGGAGGAGGCTTAGGTCAGAGGGTGCGAGGGCCAGATCCCATAGGGTCTTGTGGGCCTCTGTAAGGACTTTGGGGCTTATTCAGTATGTTGGGAAGCAAGAGTGAGTGATACGGTTTGTGTTTTTTATTAATAGTGGGAACATTGTTACAAAGAGACGTAAACTGGAATATGAGGGCCTTGTGGAAAATGAAATGCAGGCAGATGGAGAAGACAGGGAAAGAGTTGTGACCAAGACTGAGAGTGGACGTCTAGGTTTTGGAGACTGTGTCACACCAGACAGCAGGGGCTCTGTCGCCTGGGACATGGGCCCCATAAGGTGGTGCTGCTCTTCCCTCAGTTAGCTTCTGTTCATAGGCAAGGCGGCTGTAATGGGCCCTTTATTATTACCGACCACGGTTTTGTGAAGCTAAAGTTCTAGTCTTGCCCCGGGAAGGAAGTAGAAAATTTGGGGCCAGGTAGCCTTAGACATTGATTTCATTTTCCCTGGGCCCCTTCAGGTGGAAAGGAGTGTCACACCTGATTGTGAATTATAGGACTCCATTTCTATTTGCTTCTGCAGAGACAACCCAGAAGCCACCCAACAGATGAATGACCTGATTATTGGCAAGGTCTCCACAGCCCTGAAGGGCCACTGGGCCAACCCCGATCTGGTGAGCCGGCCTAGCAGGCCCAGCTGTCCTCTCTGACTTCCCCTCACATGCCTTGTGTTTCTCAGCTTCCCCTCCCAGGTCCTGCGGTGACTGAGGAGGGAAGGAGCAGAACATTACCCCAGAATGGTTTTCCCAGGGAAGAGCCTGGAGCACAAGGGTCTCCGTCTGTCCTTTGTCTCTGTTGGAGCCACCTAGGACCAGAAATTGTATTAATAGTTAAGAGTCGCTGGACCGGAGCTGACCCTCTTGACTCATGTCTCTTCCCATTGCCTTCTAGGCAAGTAGCCTGCAGTATGAAATGCTGCTGCTGACGGATTCTATCTCCAAGGAGGACAGCTGCTGGGAGCTCCGGTTACGCTGTGGTGAGTTAGGGGATTTTCAGAGAAAGGAAAGGAGGCTCAAAGGAGCAGTCCTGGCCGGACTGGGAGGGGAGGAGGGAAACTGATGCTTGGGCGGCCTCTGCAGAGCAGATGTGTAGTGTTCCTGATTGTGACTCTGCCTTTCCTGACCATCCCTAGCTCTCAGCCTTTTCCTCATGGCTGTGAACATTAAGACTCCTGTGGTGGTTGAAAACATTACCCTCATGTGCCTGAGGATCTTGCAGAAGCTGATAAAACCACCTGCTCCCACTAGCAAGAAGAACAAGGTACTGGGCCAAGCAGGGGTCTAACAAGGAAGGGCAGGGCGGCCACCCTCCTCATTCCCTGGCAGTGTGCCCTGCCTCCTCATGGTCTCCGCTTTGCCTTGAGCCCACCTCCCCTGAGAGGCTCCAGTGCAGCCTTTGCCTTAGTTCAGCAGATATGGGTTGGGATTTTTGAGAAGGATGGTTCAAGTAAAATAAACATGAAACTGCAAAGCAGAGAGCAAAGTGGCTAGCTGTGAAGGATGAACTCTTTCCAGTCATGTTAGATAACTTGCAGCCCCCAGAAAGCATTGTGTCCTTCCTACCCCTGTGCCTTTGCACATGCAGTGCTGTGCGGTGATAGAAATCCCAGGCTCTGAAGCAGACTTCCTGAGTTCAAATTCCAGCGCTTCCATTTATTAGCATCATGATGTTGGGCAAGTTGTTCCTTAGTTTCCCCATCTATAAAATGGGAATATAGTCTCCACCTTGAAGTGTTGTGAAAAATAAATGACATAATGCAGACTAAGTGATCAAAACGGTGTCTGCCTAAGTTAATCCTTAACAAATGTTAGCTGTGGCTATCTCCTGCTTTCTTTGCCTAGAATGTTTTCCTTCACTTTGTTAGCTGCTCCTTAGAGGGTCAGTTCTCTACTAGGCTAGCTGTGAGCTCCTTGATTCCAGGAACTGGACCATCTTAGTAATACTTTTTATGTCTAGTATATAGGATGGTATAACATCTATAATAGCTGCTTAGTGAATTATTATTAAGTGAATAAATGAAACCAAGTTTTTATCCTAAAATAACTGTAGCTGAGCCACAGATTGACTTGCTTGTATCAGCTTTTGAATTGGGAGGCCATAGTTCTTTCTTTGGGCCATGCCTAAGGCTCTGCCACCAACTTGCCCTGGATTGGGCCTTGGGTCCTTCTGACTCCTGTTCTGTCTGATGGGCCATCCCTTTTGGGCAACAGAGTCCTCATGGCAGGAAGATTGCTTTTTGAGTGCTAAGCACTAGGGTTATGATGTGGGGAAGCTGGACATTGAAGCTGCCTTCAGAAAAGGCAGCACGGGGCACTCTGCTTCCTTCCCTTTGATGGAGGAATTATTTCCCCCCAGATTCCCAGCAACTAAAATCAGCCCTTGGTTGAGAAGAGGACACCCATCCCTATATGACCATCCTTGTTTCCACAGTGGGAGGCAAAGGGAGATTTTTCACGGAATTACTTGCCCTGTAAGGACTGAGGCCTGGTGTGGATGTTCACAATTTGCTCCGTGTAACTTAGCGAGAGCAGCAGTTCCTAAAATCTGGCTCACAGACTCCGGGGTGTTCTTGAGACTGTCAAAGATCTGTGAGGACAAAGTTATTTTCATAATTGTCCTAAGACACTATTTGCCCCTGTAATTCTTCTGATGTTTGTGCTGACGGTAGAAAACCTTTGCTGCTGGGGAGACAGCCAGTGCCTTAGGTTGACGAGGCGGTGGCCCTGTGCAGTTCTTCACTGCCACCCGGTTTCATCAAGAATATCCTTGATGAAACAGTACAAATTAATTTTATTAAATCTCCACTCTTGGGTACTAATCTATTTAATGCTCAGTGTGACAAAATGAGTACACAGAAAGCGCCTCTGCTGCACCCCAAGTACAGCAGTTGTGCTGAGAAAAGGCACTTGTGTGAGATGCAAGCCAAACCAGCTGCCTTTCCATGGATCTCCGCTTGTGCTTGAAAAAAATGGCTGATGGGCAAATTGTGGTTGTTCAGGCTTAGGTATTTGGCAGATTTTTCCTCAAAATGAATGAAGTGAGCTTTAAGAAGAACTGACATAACTGTGTAAACCAGTGTTTTCTAAATGACCAATGCATGTTATAGTATCCTGCCGGGTAAAAGATGAAGGTTAGTGTAATGAAGTATGAAAAGTTTATTGATGTGATTTCAGAGTCCATACTACAGCTAATCTTTCAGACCCTGTAATTTGTTGAGTTTTGGTATAGTCTCAATGAAAAAAATCCACAACTAGTTGAAAAAGGTATTAAAATATTCTTTCCTTTTCCAACTGTATATCTGTATGAGGCCAAATGTTTTTCATATACTTCAACCAAAACAACCTGTCATGACAATTTAACTATAGAAACCGATATGAGAATCCAGATGTCTTATAAAGCAGTCATTAAACAATTATCAAAAATGTAAAACAGTGCCACGTCTTTCTGTAGGTTATTTTTGTTTTGGAAAATATAAAATTTATGTTGACAAATAATAGATTTACTCTTCTTTTTCAATGAATTAACAAATATCTTCAGAATTTCTCAGTGTTTTATTTTTTATTTTTTTTTTGAGACAGGGTCCCATTCTGTCACCCAGGCTGGAGTGCAGTGGTATGATCTCGGCTCACTGCAAACCCTGCCTCCTGGGTGCAAGCAATCCTCCTGCCTCAGCCCCCTTAGTAGCTGGGACTACAGGCATATACTACCGTGCCCAGCTAATTTTTTTGTATTTTGTATCGAAATGGAGTTTCACCATATTAGCCAGGCTGGTCTCGAACTCCTGGACTAAAGCATCATCTGTCTGCCTTGGCCTCCCAAAGTGCTGGGATTATAGGCGTGAGTCACCGCGCCCGGCCAGTTTTAGTTTTTAACATGAGAAATGGCAATAGATACAACCATGTAAAGCAAAGCTCTCTGGAGTCCGTAATAATTTTTGAAGATTGTAACAGGGTTCTGAGGCCAAACAGCTTGAGACACGCTGGACTGGAGTGTCATCTGTGGCTCTCTCTCTGCAGGCTGCTTCTGGTTAGTGACAGTTTGCATTCTGGAGGCTGCTTGTGACCCTAGGAAGGTTTTTGCTTAGGAAACTGCAAATCAGCCGTGGGATAGGAATTAGTGTAAGTGCTATAGGATTGTAGGAAGCCAGCCACAGCTTCTGCTGCACAATAAAAATGAGTGACCTTAAGCTCAATGTGGAGATGCTGCTGCTAAATTGGATCAAAATGGTTTAACAGGAACACATATTTGGGCATAAGAGATACACGTGTTGATCCTCCTGATCTTCTTGCCTTTGCACATCACCCCCTGGGGCACCAGTGCCATGCTGTTGGGGCTATGGCTCAGGTGTGCCCTTGAGCGCCCTCACCTTGCTCCACTTGCCTCCTCCAGGATGTCCCCGTTGAGGCCCTCACCACGGTGAAGCCATACTGCAATGAGATCCATGCCCAGGCTCAACTGTGGCTCAAGAGAGACCCCAAGGCATCCTATGATGCCTGGAAGAAGTGTCTTCCTATCAGAGGTATATCTTTCTCTTCAAGACGCCGGGAAGTCCTGCCTGCGCTCTGACAGCCCTGCCTTCTGTCACTCTCATTTACTTACCTACTACCCCTGCAACCCTTGGCCTTGCAGGGATAGATGGCAATGGGAAAGCCCCCAGCAAATCAGAGCTCCGCCATCTCTATTTGACTGAGAAGTATGTGTGGAGGTGGAAACAGTTCCTGAGTCGTCGGGGGAAGAGGACCTCCCCCTTGGATCTCAAACTGGGGCATAACAACTGGCTGCGACAAGTGAGTGGCCACTTCTGGACTCTTCACCCCCTGCGCCCCTGACCCCAGACTCTGAGCAATATGTTTCTGCCCCTCACCATGTGTCTGCACTGCCATCTCTTCTTTCTCTTTGCTCTTCTTGCTTCCTTTCAAATAGGGAGTGAGTACAGGTTCTTGGTTGTAGCTGTTGGGCTAGCATGGTGGACTGGCCGAAACAGAACTTCCTCTGCTTATCTTAACACGCTCCTTGTGCTTTCTGCTTTCCTCCCTGACCATAGTCCCTTTTCTCCTTCCATTTTTCGTATCTTCTGCTGTCCTTTCTCTCCCTCCTCTCTCTAGCTAAAGTAATTCTATGTTAGGTAATCCATTTGTCCATTGATATATAAAATAAGAAATACTTGGTTTACATTTAAATGAAAGTATTCAGCATATAAGTGTCCCCAAAAAAGAATGATCAGCATCTTTGCTAAGGAAGATCCCTTTTTCCTACTTCACTTATTGTAGGTATGTTCTTCACATCTCCTGATGGAGAAGTCTCCAGGCAGAAGCAGGGCTCTTTCACAGCCCCTTTCCCCATCTAAAACAGTAGAGTCTTGTGTTAGCTGGTGATTTTTACCTCTTAACATTTTCCTAGAGAGGTGCCCAGAAGACCTCTCCTAGATGGGTGGCAGTTGACTGCCCTGCTGGGGGCCTGGTGAGGCAGGGCATCCTCTGAGTCTACGACCCCTTCTCTCCCCTGTCCTGCAGGTGCTTTTCACTCCAGCAACGCAGGCCGCACGGCAGGCAGCCTGTACCATTGTGGAAGCTCTAGCCACCATTCCCAGCCGCAAGCAGCAGGTCCTGGACCTGCTTACCAGGTACCATTTGGGAGTGGGATGAGGAGCGTGGTTAGACTTGCTCTAGAGCCTTTTCATCTTCCCCGGGGAATCCATGGATCAGGGTAATGAGAGGCACACCTCTGGGTAGAAGACCCCAGAAACAACAAAGTGTTAAAAAGCTGACTTTTAGTGATGGTAGTGGTGGTGGTCGTTGTGGTGAGGGTGTTAGCAGCAGCAGCAGCTAATATTTGAGATCTTATGCAGCTAATATTGATCGAGATTGAGTGCATAAATGCTTGGCATGCATTATCTTATTTAATTCTCTCATAGCAATCAGTGCCAAAATATGAATGCTTAGATTCTGTGGCATTCACTCCCTGCAGTGTGCTCTGAATGCTTCCTAGATGTGGGAAATTCCCATGTGGGAATTGGAGCTGTCTTGGATGCTGTTCCTCCACCCTCTAGGAAGCAGGAGAGACAGACAGCAGAAGATAGGAAAGATTGGGAGGAGAAAGGGGAGCCTTGGAGCTGTTCGAAATGCTAGAGTTCTTGACTAGAGTGCCCTGTCCCTCTTGGTGGCAGTTACCTGGATGAGCTGAGCATAGCTGGGGAGTGTGCAGCTGAGTACCTGGCTCTCTACCAGAAGCTCATCACTTCTGCGCACTGGAAAGTCTACTTGGCAGCTCGGGGAGTCCTACCCTATGTGGGCAACCTCATCACCAAGGTATCCTACCCTATTGCCCAAGAGAGCCCCTTCCCTAATTCCCCCTTGTACCTTGATGTAAACTCTACTATGGTGTTTTGTTTGTTTGTTTTTGCTGAGAAGAAATATTTGTTGAAGGTGTTTGGAAATATTTTTATGACTTCATTGTATTTATTATGTAGCTGTAGCAAACTCTTGGGAGCATTTGGACTGTTTACAGTTTTTAAGCAATCCCTTACCAGCGCTGTGACTGTTGGCTTCCTGGAAAGGAGTTCTGCAAGGGTTCGATTAAGAAGATGTAACTACAGAGTGTCTGGTGCTGCAAGCTCCTGGGACAGTGGTGGAGGTAACTGGTATCCTTGGCAGTGATATCACACTGACTGCACTTGTCATCCTGTTTAGGAAATAGCTCGTCTGCTGGCCCTGGAGGAGGCTACCCTGAGTACCGATCTGCAGCAGGGTTATGCCCTTAAAAGTCTCACAGGTAAAGAGCCACCTGGACCTTCCTTTAGGGCATCCTGAATCTGTTTAGGGACAACCCTTAGTTCCTTGGGTGCTGGGGTTGACTCTCTTCTCTCTGGTACTGACCTTAGTGCAGATTTAAGCTCTGCATTTTTTTTCTGTATTGATACGTTTATGATTTTGAGACCCTGTTTGCTATTGACTGTTTCCGCTTGTTGAACACCTGCTCTGTGCCATGCACAAAGATAGATTTTCCCTGCTTTTTGAGTTGCTCATAATCTTTTGAGACACAGACTGTCCTTATGTTTTCATCCAGAGCTCTCACAGCAACATTTTCCTGTCTCCACAGGCCTTCTCTCCTCCTTTGTTGAGGTGGAATCCATCAAAAGACATTTTAAAAGTCGCTTGGTGGGTACTGTGCTGAATGGATACCTGTGCTTGCGGAAGCTGGTGGTGCAGAGGACCAAGCTGATCGATGAGACGCAGGACATGCTGCTGGAGATGCTGGAGGACATGACCACAGGTAGCACTGCCCAGTGGCCTGGAGCCTAAGGCACTGTCCCTTCTGGGGCTGCCGAGGTGCATTCGACCAATTTCCCCCAGTTCCACAGATCCAGAGGAGGGGTGGCAAACATCTCCCTGCATTCAAAGGGAGACTCATTTCTTGACAAAGTGTTGGCTCTTGGAATTTTAAATTCTAGAGCTGGGCTCAGTCACTTTGGATTTTTCATGTTGAGCTTATAGAGTGGTGCAAGGTCAAAGGCTCTCTCATTGGTGTCTTCTATCAGTCTGGAAAATTCTCAGCCATTGTCTCTTTAATCCCCTCTGCTGTATTCTCTTTCTTTTCCTTGTGAAACTCCATTTTCACTCTGTCATCCATATCTCTCCATCTCTCATAATGTTCATCTCATTGTGTATTTATGCTGCATTTTTGACAATTTGTTCAATTCAGTTTTTCTTCACTGTGTGCAAATGTTTAATCTACCTGTTGAATTCTTGTGGTTCTAGATTTTATGGTCTCTTTTTTATTTTTCATTTTTTGAGACCAAGTTTCACTCTTGTTGCCCAGGCTGGAGTGCAGTGACGCGATCTTGGCTCACCGCAACCTCTGCCTCCAGGATTCAAGCGATTCGCCTGCCTCAGCCTTACTGAGTAGCTGGGATTACAGGCATGCACCACCACGCCCAGCTAATTTTGTATTTTTAGTAGAGACGGGATTTCTCCATTTTGGTCAGGCTGGTCTCGAACTCCCGACCCCAGATGATCCGCCTGCCTCGGCCTCCCAAAGTGCTGGGATTACAGGTGTGAGGTCTCTTTTTAAAAATTCACATTTCCCTCCTTTATATGATCTATAAGCATATTAAACATTTGTGTCTGATAATTCTAAAATTTGAGATATTTACATGCCTGATTCTGCAGTTTGTTATTTTGGCTCTTGCTGATGATACCTTAAAGTCTTGTTGTGTTTTATGAGTTTTGACTGTGACCTCATATTTTTTAGCTTTATCTGTGGAAATTCTTTAGGACTGGGCCAAAGATGGGTTTCTCCAGAGGAGGTAAAGAACTGCTTCTGTGAGGCAGTGCAGGGTACTGCTGTCCCAGTTCTGAGCCTCAGGATTTTCAGACCTCCTAGGTAGTGAGAGGTTTGAGCCGCAAACCCCTATAAGGGGACAGCTCATTACAAGTTTTCAGAGGAGATTTTTCCCTGCCACTTGATGGTAAAGTTTAAGGAAAGTCAATTTCCTCAGTTATTTGGTTGGGGGAAAGGGATAGCTGATCTCTGCACCAAGGGTGTAGCTCTTTGGGGTACTAGATTTGTATTTGTGGGGCATGGGGTTGGGGGTTCCTGCTAGACTCTTTGCCTCAGTGGATTCGGGGCTTTATCCACCTCTCAAATCTGGGCAGGGCATGGAAACCAAAGCTCAACGCAAAAACTGACTCGTGTTTTGCTTATCTCCCTGGCTTCCCGATTTCTCTTAGTTTATGGCTTTTGGCTGTTCTGTGTTAGTGTGGCAGTTCACTGATGGATTTTTATTCAACACTTTAAATTGTTTTTGAGTGGTGGAGAGTGAGGAGTAGGTCAGGGAACCTCGTTTGCCTTATTGCCCAAAATGGAACTCTTTCTGATGCCATTTTCATCGTGCCATACTGAGCTGGTTTGTGACTTCGTCAGGGACCTTTACCTTTTTTTTTAATTTTAATTCAGACCCACCCAGTAATGCAACAGTGGGACTTTTTTTTTTTCCCGAAGTTTCACTCTGTCACCCAGGCTGGGGTACAGTGGTGTGATCGAGGCTCACTGTAACCTCCGCCTTCTGGGCTCAAACCATCCTCCCACCTCAGCCTCCTGAGTAGCTGGGACTATAGGCGTGTGCCACCACGCCCAGCTAATTTTGTATTTTTTGTAGAGATGGCATTTCGCCACATTGCCTAGCCTGGTCTCCAGCTTTTGAGCTCAAAGTGCTCACAAGACCTTATTTTTTAAAGACCATATTTTCTCACCTTCATGTTACTTTAAGTTGTGTTTTTTCGCTTATAGAGGACAGTCTACCTAATCTTTTAGAATGAAGCTAAAAACTAACTGTAACTTCCTTTTGATTTGACTGGAACACAGGATTATTTGACATTTTCTGAGTGCCTGTTTTGGGCAAGGAGATGCTAGTTAAATAAGGCACAGTCCCTCTCCTTGAGGAGGTTATATCCTGAGAGAGAGCAAGACATGTACACAGCCAACCATGATGAAGTGTGTGGACTTGGGTGTTATGGGTTTCAAACTGAATGTGGTCTGAGGATAAAATCAATCAGCATCAAATTTCCAATTTGAACTATTGATATTGCCATGTAGGGCATTTAAAGACTTACCAGGCAGAAATAATTTGTCAGTGATGGTACTTCAGTTAGAATTCTCATTTCACCTTCCATGGGAGAGGCTCTTTCCTAACTTGGCCGCTTTGATTTCTGGCAGGTACAGAATCAGAAACCAAGGCCTTCATGGCTGTGTGCATTGAGACAGCCAAGCGCTACAATCTGGATGACTACCGGACCCCGGTGTTCATCTTCGAGAGGCTCTGCAGCATCATTTATCCTGTAAGCAGTGCGGTGCTTCCCATGGCTCTCGAGTGTCAGCACAGCCCACTTTGCCATGAAGCCTCTTGGTGATTCATTAAAGTTATGGGGAATTGTACCAGCTGTGGGCCACTTAGTCATTAGTGAAAGAAGATCCACCGCCATAAAAGTGAAGCAACCTCATAATTTTCCTCTTGCTAACGATGGGACATTTAATGACCTTCCTTGGTCTTATTTCCTAGATTCAAGTAAAGAATCATGTTTTTTTAAAAACTAGGTCTAACCTCCATTACCAAAATCCCATTGCATATCAATCCAACATACTGTGGAAGAAGCGGTATTGAGCTTGAATATAAAGATATTTTTACTCTCTTCCTTCTTTAGCTGCCCTGTATTTTGTGCACACATGCAGCGTGTGTTTTTTTCCCTAGCCTGAACTGTGTAGAAGCACAGTATCATCCAGAGAACCCTTCCTGCTATTGAGGAAAGATGAACACTAGTATCATGAGCTAGCAATGAGAGCTCATTGGGGGTGTGTACCTGAGTGTCATGTCCCATAGAGAAGCCCTTTTCTTGACTTCAGGGTCATCAGTGACAAAGTCCTCTGGCCCCAAATTGGTTAGCATCACATGAGACCAGCAGGAGGAGGAAGGAAAGTCCCTCCTCGCACCCCTTCCCCGATTTTTTAATATATCTCTCATATGTCACTCCTTGTCTGCTTGTTTTGTTAGGCTTTATCTCCTAATCCACCCTGGGGTTTCAGGGTAGATGCTTGATATTTTAGTCTACTTGAGTTTGTTTAGATTTTTGGAAGTACCTCTGAGTTTCCTGTCCTTTGTATCTTTAAATGTTTGGGGGGCTTGCTGAGTTTGGTGTGTTTTCCTCGAGTGTCCATGGAACAAGGTAGCATGGTATAAATCTCCACCTCTGCCATCCCTTCTGATGCACCCTTCTGTCTGTCCTCCAGGAGGAGAATGAAGTCACTGAGTTCTTTGTGACCCTGGAGAAGGATCCCCAACAAGAAGACTTCTTACAGGGCAGGATGCCTGGGAACCCGTATAGCAGCAATGAGCCAGGCATCGGGCCGCTGATGAGGGATATAAAGAACAAGATTTGCCAGGACTGTGACTTAGTGGCCCTCCTGGAAGATGACAGTGGCATGGAGGTAATGACCATAGGACAGTGCTGCCCACGTTTACGATTAGGGGCTTCCTCCTAGGCTAACCAAATCCAGGTGCTTCTTCCTAGTAGCTGATTAACTTGGGGCAGGTGGCCTTCAGTTTCTCCACTCTGTAAGTTGGGGTTAATGATTCCCACCTTTCTACCTCACCTAGTGCTAAGGTTAATAACCTGTAAAGGGCTCTGCCCAGTGCCTGGCAGGAAGTAAGCATATTGTTAATGGCTGTTGGTTGTAGTGGTGGTGGGTATTTATTATCGTTATTGCCTCTGGCAGAGACTTCTCGGTGAGTCTGAGTTACCTGAGCCCCCTAAATATTGGCGTTTTACCCCCTGTGCAGGTTTATGTCCCCGTGTCAGTTACTTTCTGGCAGACCGTTGAGGGTCTGACATTTTTACATAGTGAAAAGCCTTTTCTGGTGCTGAGCCTGCAGGAGAAGGTCCCCGGTGGGTGTGTCTAAGCTGGAGCCTGTGTGTGGGTTAGGGACGTTAGCAGCCCCTGAAATTGTGCACAAAATTCTGTGTGTTTTTCATACGTGCGGATTTTTTAAGAGTGGGAGAGTTGATAGGTCCATGACATATAAAAATTGTGAATTATCAACCATTGCCGTAAGGTGCCCTTTGCTCTTGGATTTTACTTGTCTTACAATTATTTGGAACAACAGCTTCACCTGCTTTTCTGTTCAGCTTCTAGTGAACAATAAAATCATTAGTTTGGACCTTCCTGTGGCTGAAGTTTACAAGAAAGTCTGGTGTACCACGAATGAGGTATGTGCCTGCTTTCTCGTTTGGAGGTGTGGTTTCACTTTTCTGACTTATGCAGACTTGTACCAGCAGGAGCCATTGTTCATCATCACTTACCTGGCTTGTAGCAGCTCTCTAAGGCTTTACTGTCCCTGTTTGGGGTTGTGTGGAGAAAACCAATCTTGTTTTCCTTTGGAGGCATCTGACTAATGGAGGGACATTTAATGACCTTCATGAAGCTTCAGGAAAGCAAAAGCATTTTGCTGGGCTGTGCAAGTTGTCAAACCCCAAGAACTGAAAGCCAGGGGGTGTCGAAGGAGGCTCTGTGCTGGGAATGCTTGCTGTCTTGTTCCCTTCAGTATGGACACCTCTCAGCTGAGATTAGTTCTCAGCTTTTATGGGCCTGCTCGCTTAGTAGAACATTTTTCCAGTAGCTGTGTCAAGGAGCATCATTTCTGTTTTACTAGTTGGGGAATGGAGGCTCAAACAGGCAGTTATTCTTGAGGAGGGGAAAAGGGAAATGAAGGAAGTCCAGCGCTCTGGGCCTTTTGGCCACCACGAGTGATGCTGTTTGTCCACTTATGGAAGTATTAGATGGTCCCCTTCACCTTTCCCTCCTTTCTTACTCTCTGTTCCTTCCATTCCTCTCTTCCTGTTTCTTTTTCTTCCCCTCCATTTCTCTCTCCCCCTGCCATTTCTTCCCTTCTCTTGTTTCTATTGGGAGGAGAGGTCTTTAGCACATGAATCAGATAAGTAACTTAATTACAGCAAACTAGTGTAGCAGGGATGCACAGCAAACTTTTCTAGACTTGGTCCCAAATACTTCTGTAGAGTTTGAGAAACTAAATTGGCAGTATACTATTTGTAGATTTTGATCTTCAATTTGTTACATATTTCCGCCTCTCTCCTTTCTTTTCTCCCACTGGGCTGGGAATCCTGCTTACTGTTGACTGTTGGTCTACTGCCAGTGGGGTCGTTGTTGCACTGTTGGCTGAGGGACAGGCAGAGAACTGTCCCAGCCAGTACCTCTTGTTACAGACATTGTAGCATCAAAACAGAACAATACAGATTTAATCCCTGATGCATATAAAAAATTAAGACCAAGCTTCTGTGGGCACTCTGGTAAATGGTGGTAGTGAACCCACAGAATGCACCAGGGTATCTCCCTTGAATGGTGAAGCAAGATAGAAGTTGAGAATCATTTGCCCCTCACATTGATGTGCTTAATCCAGTTAGAAGGTTTTCTGGCAAAGTTCTGAGTTTGTGATAGCCTATGTTCTGGGACTTCAGCTTCCCTTCTCTACCTTGCCCTCCATTTCCCTGATAAGCAGCCTACCTCTGTAGCTACTGACTAGAACTAGAACCTGCTCTGTGTTCAGTGTCTGTGGTGGTTCTCTCTGAGGAATTCTCACTGGGCTTCTATAGCCGGAAACACTTCTGCAACTGGCCTTTCTGGCAGGTTGTCTTCCTCCAGGGTGTCCTGTCCTGAAGCTCAGCATAGACTTGGAGGCAGGCTGCTTGAATTAGCGTGCTACCAAATCCCCCACTGGATTTCATCAGTGGTTACTTTGAGCTCCAATTTCTAGTCTGCAAAATGAGAATAATATTAATATATGTGCTCAGTGCCAGACATACAGGGAACTTTCCTTATTCTCCAATTTAGTGAAGTTGCTGTAATTTTGTCATTTATAAAAGACTTGATTCTTATCATTCTAGTCAGATTGTGGGTTTAGCTTAAAGAATTGTGGATGAACCCCCTCCTTGTATGGTTATATAAAGACGTCTGAATCTCTGTAGGTAAAGATTGATGTACTCTCTTTTCCTGTTTTGATTCCCGAGGCTTGAGTCAAAGCTCTTTGATTTAAATGGCCTTGTTTGTCCTGGGTAGTAGTCCCTATTGATTGGAGACAGTTTCTACTCCTGAGGAAGGTCCAGGCTTGGAATTAGACCTCCGCTTATAGCTTGGTAACCTTGAACAAGCTGTGTAACCTTATGTAAAAGGATCATAGAAAGTACTTAATTAGCATAGGACCTGGCACAGAGTAAAACATTCAATAAATATTTGTTAGATTATTACATAGTGTTCTAATGAAATTGAAGGAGATAGTGTCTTTAAAATGTTTCATACAATGTCTAGCTTCTAGTAGACACAAAATAAAATTAGCATTCTTTCCCCTAAGTGAATTGCTGTGCATTTGGATTCTAGATGTTGTGGTTGAGACTTTGTAGAAAAATAGAGGCTCTCCACATTGCTGGGGCTTTAAGCAAGACCAAGTATGGAGTCCTTTGCATTTGTCTGGGCCTGTTTTTAAGTACCTTTCTCCAACTTTCTCTGCTCAGGGAGAGCCCATGAGGATTGTTTATCGTATGCGGGGGCTGCTGGGCGATGCCACAGAGGAGTTCATTGAGTCCCTGGACTCTACTACAGGTAGATCATGGCACTGCACATTGGATCTGAGGCTTGGGACTCATGAGCGGCTCACGTCCCAGGACTTAGGGGCATTCTCAGTTGCTTCTCTCTTGTACCTCTGCATCAGAATTGTGGGGAGATTGTTTCTTCAATTGAGGAAAAAAAGAGGTGTCTGTGGCATGATGCAGATACCACTGAGTGTTCAAAAAAAAAAAAAAGAATACCAGCAAACTTTTAGAGGAAAATGCAATGAACAGTAAACTGGAGTTCAGATTTATTTTTAACTCCCTCTCCCCCCACTCCATTGATGGTATTGGTGCTCATACTTTGACATTTGAGTAAGTAATTTTAATTGACTTGAAACTTTAAAAAAGCTCCTACTGAGAGTGGGACAGTTTAATATCATCCATCATTGACCCCTTTTATTGGCCGTGTCTTTATTGGAGATACGGAAAAGGGCTGTCAGCCATCAGCCAGGAATAGGGCTGTCTTATCCTGGCCTATTTTATTCCCATCTTCACCTTACCCTCCATTTCTGCTTGGCTTCCCTTCTCCCCTAGATGAAGAAGAAGATGAAGAAGAAGTGTATAAAATGGCTGGTGTGATGGCCCAGTGTGGGGGCCTGGAATGCATGCTTAACAGACTCGCAGGGATCAGAGATTTCAAGCAGGGACGCCACCTTCTAACAGTGAGTTGGGGGCAGCAAGTTGTGGGGGCCAGCCTTTCTGCACTGGGAGAGGCCCCTGTGGAAAGAAGCTATGGCCACTGTGTCATTTTACCCTAGAGGGCAGCATGGTGCCGTGGAGCAGTGCGAGCCAGTGAAGGACCTGGCAGTTAGGACTACATTCTTAGGCACACCTTTTCCCGTCCTGCTGGCCCACTTCCCTTCTCCAATACCTCTCTATAGAGCCAGCATCTGACTGTCTTTCCCCAAATAGCTGCACTTGTGTTAACTATTATCATTGTTGTTGTTTTTAAAATGGATTTTGTAATGTAACTCATTTCTTGCATTGTAGGGTTTTGTTTGGGTATTCATCCAACTAATCTCCTTAGTGAGGATTAGAGCATTCCAGAGAGGCACCACAAATACTACACTGTTATTTTCACTACTCCCCACCCCCACTCCCCCAGGGTTTATGAGAATATGTATTATTGTTATTATTGTGCCTTTGTTTTAAATGACCTATGTGGTTCTGAGCTCTCACAGGCCACGAGCTTTGGGATCATTTTCTTTACTATTAGTTTAGGGTCTGAGTTGATGCTGGGATTTCCCCCAAGACAACAAACAGAGCATCACCTCTTCCATTAGGAACTGCTGTCATTGCCGTTGTATTAGAGATGGTAGAGATATATCCCGCCATTGGAGCTACCAGCCTAATGTGAGAGCCCAGCCATCTCACCATGTCCCCTGAAGAGCCGCTTCTCCCTCCTGTCCTCTTCATTTCAGGAGGAGCCCCTGCTGATGGTGTAGACCCTGCTTAGACATCCCTTTCCTACTGGCCCCCATGTCCTACACTCTCATGTGGCCTCATGGGTTTTGACTGGCTTTTCTTGTCAGGTGCTACTGAAATTGTTCAGTTACTGCGTGAAGGTGAAAGTCAACCGGCAGCAACTGGTCAAACTGGAAATGAACACCTTGAACGTCATGCTGGGGACCCTAAACCTGGTAAGGAGCATGGACTGCAGGTGAAGAAGAGTGGGCCTTGGAAGTCTGGGTGTGAAAGACCTCTCAGTTCTGGGCTCAGATGAAATGGACTCACGGCTTCTTCAAGCCCTTCATCTCTCTGGCTGACTGGTGCAGAGGCTTGGGTCATTCAGCTGCCCTTCTCCTCTGGCTGGCTCACCTCCTGCCCCCATGCTGCTGCCATGGCACTCAAGAGCTTCCTTGCTCCTTTCCTGAGTTCAGATCAGAGATAAGAGGAAGGCAGTCCCTTAAACAGTCTAGACTACACACCAGTGGGAAAGAAGTGCCCCTCTCCTTGGGGCAGCAAAGCTGCCTGTCATCAAAAGCTCACACGCTTGTCTCCCTCTCAGAACATGCATATACACGCACATACATACACACGGTCATACACACATGGTCTCTGGGGAGTAAGGCTGTGAGGGCATCCTTGAGAGCAATTGTCCTCAGCAGTTAGTGGCTGTGGTCTTATTCTGAGAGTGACTGAGTCTCCTTCTCCTACAGGCCCTTGTAGCTGAACAAGAAAGCAAGGACAGTGGGGGTGCAGCTGTGGCTGAGCAGGTGCTTAGCATCATGGAGATCATTCTAGATGAGTCCAATGCTGAGCCCCTGAGTGAGGACAAGGTGAGTGGGGCTCGGCCCCTCCATCTGCAGGCACTGAGAGCCTGCACTGTCTCATTGCCCACAACAGGCCTGTTTGTGTCTGGCTTAGCCCACCTGAGAATGGCGGAGCCTGCTTAAGCATTGGAATGTTAGGACTCAACTAATGATGACATAATTGTATCGAAATGTGAAATCTTTGGATTCAGAGCAAGCACAATTGCTAAGGATAGTCTTTCACTCAAAAGCTGCTCGTTAATGGAATCCTGGCATGTCTCAGTTGATAGACAGAGGCTTTAGTCCAACCTTTCATTTCATAGTTGAGGAATTGAATAGCCCACTTCATTTCCCTGGACTTGGCATTTCCTCAGCTGTGGTACATAGTTGGTTACTGGTGGAATCAGGCCTAGAACCCAGATCTCCAACTCCCAGAATTTCTCTCCACCTGCTATGCCTGTAATTTCCTCCATTCTTATTGGTGCTAATGATTTGGCTAGAGCTATGACCAAGTGAATGTCCAGCAGCCTGCATTCTTTTACAGGGAGGGAAGATTGTATTGGTATATTTTGACCACCTGAGACAATTAACAGCACTGTCACAGAAATTTAGAAACGAATTTCTCAAGTGAAACTCCGACTGTTTGTTATTCCCCAAGAAGTGCCGAGACATAGTTCTTCTAGGGGTATTCCTGATGACTCTGATGGAAGTGGTGACTTTTGGGGCTCAGATGTTGGCTGCAGCCACAGTCCTGACTGCATTAATGGCATGTTCACCCTCTTTTCTGTTGCAGGGCAACCTCCTCCTGACAGGTGACAAGGATCAACTGGTGATGCTCTTGGACCAGATCAACAGCACCTTTGTTCGCTCCAACCCCAGTGTGCTCCAGGGCCTGCTTCGCATCATCCCGTACCTTTCCTTTGGAGAGGTGGAGAAAATGCAGATCTTGGTGGAGCGATTCAAACCATACTGCAACTTTGATAAGTATGTTACTTTGATTTCATATAGTGAAATGAGAGTCTCCACTAAAACGCCGAACTAGGTCTGTGAGATGAGGAAGAATCCTCTGAATACCTATTAGATTTTTGTGTCCTCGTTCTGGCTTTTAAGGAGCTCAGTCTAGTTGGGAAGTGAATAGTTAAAATATACTGTATTAGAGTAGCAATTGGCTAGTCAGAGAAGGCAAAGTGGTTGGTGAGATGGGAGGAATATGACGAGATGGAGCCACGTGTGCGCAAATGTGAGTGCAAGAGAAGGCTGTGAGCGTGGGAGACATAGCAGGTAAACAGGGAGAGTGGCAGGAGCCGGGGCAGATAGGTCTTTGTGTCACGTTAGGGAATTTAGCCTTGATCTTCTATAGGCTGTTGACAGTTGTTAACCAAGAGGGTGACATGACTGGGTTTTGTCCCGCCTTTCACACCCTCAAACTCTGCTCTTTCCTCCTAGATATGATGAAGATCACAGTGGTGATGATAAAGTCTTCCTGGACTGCTTCTGTAAAATAGCTGCTGGCATCAAGAACAACAGCAATGGGCACCAGCTGAAGGATCTGATTCTCCAGAAGGGGATCACCCAGAATGCACTTGACTACATGAAAAAGCACATCCCTAGCGCCAAGAAGTATGAAGCCCTCCCGCAGCGGGGCTGCTTTGCCTTCGCTTTGCCCTTTCCTTTTCCTTCTCCATCAGCATCTTGGCATAAAGCTTCACGTGTGCCCCTTGCCCTCCTTGGGGCCTCCCAACCGCTTCTGGAAACTATGTGGGTGACCATTCAACCACTGCAGAGTCCTCGGGGCTTGCCGGAAAAGGATGGCAACTTTTTGGTTTCTACTTAGAGTACTCACTTCTTTCTGGCTTTTCAGCTGAGCTGGGTGGTTCTATGTGATTCTTTATGACACTCGGAGAGGGTCACGGTTAATCATGCCCTGGGGGTTTAAACAAGCCAGAGTCAACAACTGGTTTCTAGGTAGCCTTTGCTTCCCTGGCCTGCTAATAAGCCTTCCTTTGCTTTGCAGTTTGGATGCCGACATCTGGAAAAAGTTTTTGTCTCGCCCAGCCTTGCCATTTATCCTAAGGCTGCTTCGGGGCCTGGCCATCCAGCACCCTGGCACCCAGGTGGGTAGCCAGGACAGGTAGTGTGAGGGTACAGGGGTACAAGTATAACTACCCTAGTTTACCTTGAGACATGACTTACCCTAATATATGAGACTTCTAGAGTAGAAGTGAGCCTCAGAAGTCATCTACTTCATCTATGTGTGCTGAGAGAAGTAAGTTGTATTTGTGATTTCCTCATTCAACTCATTCTTAAGTGGGGCTTCATTGTCTAATGGGTCACCTGTGCAACTGTTGAACTGTGAGGGATTGGCTGACCAGAGAGTAAAACACTTGGGTGTCTGGCCACAGTCACTAGGACACTTATATTACCATCACCTCTATCTTCTCTGCCTCAAGCAGCTGAACCCCTTGTTCTTAGGGAGTCCCACCCATTCCACTCCGCAGCTCATTCCTGATTTCTCCCCACAGGGCTGAGCGTTAACCCCTCACAAATCCAATCCTAACTGGCCCTGGATAGATGGCCAGGGCTGGGTTTTTTTTTTAAATCAAAGTTTTAATTTGGAGATTATTATAAATTCACATGCAGTTGTTAAGAAACAATACAGAGAAATCATGTGGGTCCTTTCCCCACTCTCCCCCAGTGGTAACATCATGTGGAACCCGAGCACACACCACAACCAGGATATAGACATCAGTGCCATCAGGACGCAGGGCAGGTTCATCAGCACAAGGGTCCCTCTTGTTGGCCTTTTGTAGCCACATCTATCTTCCCCTGCTCCCCTGCCACAAGCCCCTGGCACCCACCGATGTGTTCTCCATTTCTGTAACTTTGGCATTTCAAGAATGTTGTATAAATGCAGTTGTACAGAATGTAACCTTTTGGGATTGTCTTTTTTTTTTTTCTCAGCATGATTTTCTGGAGTTTCATCCAGGTTTGTTTAACTGTTCACCCATTAAAGGACACCTGGATTGTTGCCAGTTTTTGGCTGTTATTTATAAAGCTGCCATGAACACTTGTGTGCAGGTTTTTGTGTGAATATAAGTTTTCATTTTTCTGGGATAAATGCCCAAGAGTGCAGTTGCTGCGTTGTATAGTAGTTGCATATTTTGTTTATAAGAAGCTGCCAAACTGTTCTCTAGAGTAGCTACAGCATTTTACATTTTACATTTCACCGGAAATGTATGGCTGCTCCAGTTTCTCTGCGTCTTAGCCAGCATTTGGTGACTATTTTTAGTTTGAACTGTTTGGAAGATGTGCAGTGATTCCGTGTGGTTCTGCGTTTTCCTAGTGGTTCATGATGTTGAACGTCTTTTCATGTGCCCTGTGTATCTTCAGTGAAATGTCTGTTCATGTCTTTTGCCCAATTTCTAACTGGATTGTTTGTTTTTTAATGTTGAGTTTTGAGAGTCCTCAGCATTGCGTTTTTTCTGTTTGTAGTGTTCTGCATTGAAAATAGTTCCACTGTCTCATTTGGTAATCTGTTTCGGTAACTCATTCCAAAAACATGGTAACTTGAGTACAGTAAAGATTCTTCACTGTGTCTCACTGAAATCCCTTTTCTAAACTTCTGTTCAACTCAGTGGAGTCATAATTGTATATATTTGTGGAGATACTTTTTCCTGCATAGGAATTTCACATGTATTGTTTTCCATATCCTTGTAACATCTCTCTTTTGTATATGGATAAATCAAGGAACACGGTTGTGATTTGGCCAAAGGCAACACAATGAGTTTGGAACTCAAAGTCAGCTGATTTCCAGGCTTATTCTTTTTTTTTTTTTTGAGATGAAGTTTTGCTCTTGTCACCCAGGCTGGAGTGCAGTGGCATGGTCTCGGCTCACTGCAACCTCTGCCTCCCGGGTTCAAGCGATTCTCCTGTCTCAGCCTCCCGAGTAGCTGGAACTAAAGGCACCTGCCACCACACCTGGCCAATTTTTTGTATTTTTAGTAGACTCGGGGTTTCACCATGTTGGCCAGGCTGGTCTCCAACTCCTGACCTCAGGTGATCCGCTCCCCTCAGCCTCCCAAAGTGCTGGGATTACAGACGTGAGCCATTGTGTCTGGCCATCCAGATTTATTCTTAGTTACCAAATTGAATTACTTTCTTTAGAATAAGGCTTTATCTAGTTAGATACTTGGCATTTATGCTATGGCCATTCATTTTTCTTGCAACACATCTTGTTGTGTAGCTGGTCCTGTGTTAGACTGAGGAGACAGCTGTCGCCTGTGCCTGTTGGGAGCTTACTGTCTGGTGGAAGATAGAGCCAAATACAGAGTAGTAACTAAACAGCGAGATAGATGCAGTGTGGAAGGGGCCTCAGGAAATAGGATTGTTAAGTAGAGGGCATGGCACCTGCAAAGGTTCAGAGGCCAAAGAGAGCTTAAAGCCTTCCAAGAATTGAAAGCAGCTGCAGTCGGAGGCGAGGCATGGCAAGAGCTGCCGATGGAGATCCAAGCAGGGGAAAGGCATGTTCTTTCTCCCAGAAGAGGAGTGTGGGTTTTCTCCTGAGGGCAGTGCCCTGGCCATATTACAGAGAGTGAATTGAAGGGAGGTGAGATTGGAGGTAGGAAGAACAGTTGACAGGCTTTTATCGTAATTGAAGTGAGAGAAATGGCAGCTTAAACTAGTTCATGGATAGATTCAACAGAGATTGAGCTGGGAGGAAGAATAAATGGGATTTGGAGAGTGACCGAACGTGAGAAGCTAAGAAGCTGAATGAATCAAGAACCTGCTCAGTTTCTGGAATGAGTGATGAGGTGAATGGTGGTGCCACTGAGATGGAGAAGATCAGAGGTTTGCGAGTAAGGTGGAGGAGAGTTCATTAGACTATGCTATGAATGTATGGTCTGTCCTATTAATAACTAGAATGTAAGTTAAATGAGAGCAAGGTCTTTGTTTTCCCAGCACCGAAAACACACATGTGCAAGCATGCACACACAGTAAACAGCCAGAATGTTGAGTTTGGGGTACCTGTGGAAAAGCTCAGTAGGAGTTGAAATATGGGCTCAGCATTTAGGAGCATGAGACATGAGGGAATAGGTAATTTCGCTGAGACACAGATTGGAAGTGGACTTGCTGTGAGAACAGATTTATGAGCTACTGAGTGATCTGCTGGCTGTGTTATTTTCAGCCTGTTGTCTCATATGTAATCATTGCTGTCAAGTCACTTGTGACAGGTTGGTGAGGATTTCAGGGATGTGGTAATATTTCTCAGTGAGCTCACCTGGAGTGCTTTTTCCAACTACACCTGTCTTTAGCCTTCTGATGTTCTCCACCCCCGTTTATCACATAGCGCTATACGTAGTGACTTCCAGCTTTTTCAGGCACAGAGGTTTCTTGTTAATATCTTTTTTGTTGTTAAAGTTTTTCATGTCCATACCTGCTTGTAGTCATTGCACCTCTAGTATCCCTAGCCTGAGAAAACTGTGCTCCTAGGTTTGGTGGACCCAGGGGCTCCCGTGGAGAACTCAGGGCAGGTCCTTAGGAGAACGTCCAGTGCCTGCTCTGGCTGCTGGTTCACCACTCAGTACACATCAGGTGTTGCTGCTTGTCTTACCAGAATACGGGGATCTTCTCCTGGCCCCTTTCCACATCCTCTGTGATGGATGCTTTGCATATGTTATCTAGTTTTTAGTCATCACAGCAGCCCTTGCACTATCCCCATTTTATAGATGGAAATACTGAGCTTAGAGCATAGGAATTGGTCAGAGGCAGTGGCAGAGCCAAACCCTCTTCCATTTGTCTGTGTCTGTCAAAGTGTGGAATCAAAGGACCTGATTGCAGCTGAGCAGGTGACATGAGATGGTGCATGCTGGTTGAGTTTCTAAACCTTTAAGCTCCCGGGAAGAAGGTTTGTCTACATAATTGGAGGCATGTGTCTCTCTGGTCTCTTACTGGCAGGTTCTGATTGGAACTGATTCCATCCCGAACCTGCATAAGCTGGAGCAGGTGTCCAGTGATGAGGGCATTGGGACCTTGGCAGAGAACCTGCTGGAAGCCCTGCGGGAACACCCTGACGTAAACAAGAAGATTGACGCAGCCCGCAGGGAGACCCGGGCAGAGAAGAAGCGCATGGCCATGGCAATGAGGCAGAAGGCCCTGGGCACCCTGGGCATGACGGTAAAGCTACCACCTAGAGTCCCCATATTTCTGCCCACACTGTTGATGAGGAGGTGGCCATGGGACAGCCCTGGGGTTGGCCATGGGGAAAGAGAAGGCTGGACAGAGTAGGAGGAAGGAACTAGGTGTGTTCGGCCCTCTCAGAGGTGGAACTACTATCGTTCTATCATACAGATGAGACTCGGAGTAAGTGACTTACGAAGTTTACCAAAACAGTAAACCAGTGATAATAGCCATTAAGTTTATTGAGGACTTATTTAAGCCCTCAAGTAGTTCTAGGAGGTTGATATTGTTATACCCATTTTCCAGATGAAGTAACTGAAACTGAGAGGTGAAGTAAATAGGCCAAGGCACATAACTAATAAGTGGTTGACACAAAGGGTTCTGTGCTCTTCTAACTGTCCCACCTTGGAGGAAGCAGAGTCCTACAAGCTCCTTTTCCAAAGCACAGACTTGAGTGTCAGCAGTTGAAAAGCTCACCTGGGAACAGTGAATGAATCATAGTGCAACAACCCTTGGAAGCTGAGACTTGGCATTGCTGGCACGAAGATGCTGGCATGAAGAAAGGGGGCTTTTCTGATGGCAGGTGGCACCTTGCCAGGGCTCCAGCTGGATGACTTCCTTTGCTTCAGTGGTTCCTGTAGGAAGAGAGAATAGCAGAAGGGCCTGGGTCTTTATCCTTATTAGAAGACAGCTCAAGGGCTTTCCTCTCATGCACCTGTCCTTTTAGTGGAGGTAGAAGGTTAGCCCTGTTCCTGAGCATCTCCAAGCTAGGGTGGGAGAGGGTGTGTGGAAATCCCCTTGACATGCCACCGGGGTTCCCCTACAGACAAATGAAAAGGGCCAGGTCGTGACCAAGACAGCACTCCTGAAGCAGATGGAAGAGCTGATCGAGGAGCCTGGCCTCACGTGCTGCATCTGCAGGGAGGGATACAAGTTCCAGGTACAGCTGCTGGGCCTACGGTCGGTCCTGAGGGCCCAGCCTGACCCCTTGTTCTAGGTAGCATCCCCCTCCTCCAGGCCATTTTGTTCTTAGCTAGGCAAGATCAAGGCCTGCATCTTAGGAGATTAACAAAAGGACCAGCTGTCCTCTTTAGAGGCAGGAAGGCGAGCTCATCCGAACTTTAGACTTTGTTATCTTTATCATCATCATGACAAATGCTGCTCATTGGATTCTTCCTATATGTGAGGCCTCATGCTCAGAGCTTTGTGTAAACTGGATAATTTTATTTAAACCTGTAAAAAGTCTCAACTTGTGGTTAAGCAAACAAAGGTCACATGGCAGAGCCAGAATTCCAGCCTAGGCTTCTCAGACTCCAGACCTGGGCTTTTAAAAACATACCATGCTGCCTCCATTCAGGGTAACTGGGGAGAAAATCAGAACTTTCTAGGCTTATCCAAACTAGATTCCACCTGAAAGGAGCAGAGCAGCCAGTGACCTGCTGGCTCTCCTGAAGGCTCAAAGGTGGCCTCTTCTTTCCAGCTGGAACTTACTGCTTAGAATACAGGCTGTGAAAGGGCAGGTGCCTGGGCCACAGGGCTCGTTAGTCCTGCGTAATGCAGGCTCTTCAGAGCTGCCCAGCAGGTTTTGAAAAGCAAGGGAATATCAAGAAGTCACTTCTGCATTTTCAGACAGATGAAGCACAAAGTAAAGAAAGATGGCCGAGGCTTGCTTATGTGTATGCCTCTGCATCTGCACCGCATCCCCTTCTTGCTGGTTGCTCCCATAATCCTTGTTTCACTAGGGCTGCGGCCAGCCAAGTGCTTCACCAACAGACTGAGGGGCTGGCCTTACCTGCTCTTCTGAACTTCCCTAGTGAGAGCAACCTGAAACCCAAGGCATTGCCCAAGAAGGGCGGCAGTTCCCCTCTATTCTGCTTCTCCTGAGCCTGACTTGGAGTTTCTCCTCCCCTCTCCTTATGTTGTCGTCTTTGCAGCCCACAAAGGTCCTGGGCATTTATACCTTCACGAAGCGGGTAGCCTTGGAGGAGATGGAGAATAAGCCCCGGAAACAGCAGGGCTACAGCACCGTGTCCCACTTCAACATTGTGCACTACGACTGCCATCTGGCTGCCGTCAGGTAGGCCCTGGCTCTTGCGGAATGGCTCCTTCAGTAGGCCTGCCTGTGGGCCTGGAGCGGGTGGGACTGCCATCCTCGTGGTTTTAAATCTGCTCCTTAGTCTCTGGAGAGTAGGGTGTTCTGCCTGACACCATATAGGTCCCCAAGCAGTTATTTGAATGATAGGAAAATATGCTTTGGCCTGGGCCCAAGGCTAGTGAGAACAGCCCTGCCTACCTGAGTCAGCAAAGCCAGTGTGTACCACATTGAGGCTACAAATAGCAAATTCTCTTCGCAGGGTCAGGAGCCTGGGCCGACTGACTTCTTAGTGTTGGCATGCCCCCACCCCCACCCCCGCCCCCCCGCCCAGGTGCCTGGTTGCCACGTTAATGCCAGCAGTCGCTTGTCCCTGCTCTCCTCCCTATCCAGGTTGGCTCGAGGCCGGGAAGAGTGGGAGAGTGCCGCCCTGCAGAATGCCAACACCAAGTGCAACGGGCTCCTTCCGGTCTGGGGACCTCATGTCCCTGAATCAGCTTTTGCCACTTGCTTGGCAAGGTGAGTGTTGAGTATTTTTCATGGTGGAATGGAGGGGATTTGCAGGGGATGGGACAAGACCCGCTATCAGCCCAATCCCCTGGTGACACCATTTCCTGTTACCTTCCTTGGGAATCCATGTCTGTCTGCTTGCTGACTGGGGAGCTGTCCAGAGCATACAGGGTGGGGGATGGAGGCTTACTCAAGGGGTGACCTGACATGGCCCACCACAGGGTGGGAGGAACCAGCACCCTTAGCTTCCAGGGTACCAGATGAAATTTCTGGGTCTTCACTATTCCTTTGCTGATCTTATGACAGAAGATGTGGGGCCAACTTGGTCCTTGAGGCCAGAATTTCTGAGTTCACTTCTACAGTGTGTGGCTCTGAGGTTTAAATACGAAAGTGGCTTAGTGGCAGGGGGGATGTTGGGCTCCTTAGAAGGCCTTCCTGGTCCTAAAAACCCAGATAAGAATAGCTAAAGCATCTGTGAGGTCCTCATGTCTTGCTGATGCCTTGTGGAGTGGTGCCCCACCCCAAGTCCTATTTCAAAGCTCAGGGATAAAAAGATGCCTGTCATAAAACAGGCAGCTGGCAGTGACAATGGAGAGCATGTTGAAATGCTTAACCTCTATTCTTTTGTTTTGAGACAGGGTTTTGCTCTTGTCACCCAGGCTGGAGTGCAGTGGCGTGATCTTGGCTCACTGCAGCCTCCGCCTCCCAGGTTAAAGCGATTCTCCCGCCTCAGCCTCCCAAGTAGCTGGAATTACAGGTGCCTGCCACCATGCCCAGCTAATTTTTGTATTTTTAGTAGAGACGGGGTTTTGCCATGTTGGCCAGGCTGGTCTGGAACTCCTGACCTCAGGTGATCCACCTGCCTCGGCCTCTCAAAGTGCTGGGATTACACGTGTGAGCCACTGTGCCCGGCCAGGCATGTATTCTTGTATACATTGTACAGATGAGATGCAGAGTTTGAGCAACTTGCTCGAGGTCACCCAGTTAATAAGAGGCACAGCCCAGATAGATGGGAATGTGTATTGACATAGGAAAAACAAAAGCAAAAACAAAAAACCCTTTTATTTGGAGATTGAAGAGCTCATTCTTATGGACAGGTCACTTTGTCAGTCAGAATGGATGAGTTCTACATTGCTTCCTCCAAAATGTACTCCACATGCAGCCACGGTATGTCCTACAACATTAGTTCATTAAGAAATGGGCGCCCAAGAGTGGTGGGCTCTCATCAAAACTTGGCGAGTGTCACGTTCAGTCACTGCAGAAATGAAAACGTCCTATGGCCTTGTCGTCCTGCTGGCCCCAGCCTTGGCCTCAACTTTCCCTTGTATTCTTGTCTCCGTTTGCAAACCTTTGCAGCCATCAGGCCTGGGAGTACTGGAAGGAGGCTCTGTCTCCCAAACTGGGTTTTCACCAGGAACTCACTTCCATTTCATTGTTTGTTCTGCTTCCCTCTAGACACAACACTTACCTCCAGGAATGTACAGGCCAGCGGGAGCCCACGTATCAGCTCAACATCCATGACATCAAACTGCTCTTCCTGCGCTTCGCCATGGAGCAGTCGTTCAGCGCAGACACTGGCGGGGGCGGCCGGGAGAGCAACATCCACCTGATCCCGTACATCATTCACACTGTGCTTTACGTCCTGAACACGTCAGTACCCTGTGTCCCAGGGGCGGCATCTCGCAGACCCACCCTGCATCCCTCTGCCCGAGATCCCCTCAGCTTTTTCATAGCCTCTCATGCTAGTTCCGGAGCAAGCGTCTGGCCTAAGGCAGCCTTTTTGCCGAGGTGGGGATGCTCATCTGCATTCTTTTAGGGCCATGCAGAAAAAGCAATAAAGGGAACTTCCTTCCCCCAAACTGCCCTGTCTCCCACCATGGGCAGCCCAAGACCGCATCCTTGGACTGACGTTCAGCTCACAGGGGAGCAGGAAGTGGGAAAAGTCAGGCCACTGAAGCCTCTACTTCGATGCAGCGGCTACTTCTACTTTCCAGACTGTTCTCTTGAATGGGGGGAGGCCACAGGTCGGAGCTGTGCCCACATCATTAGTCAAGGGCATATAGATTGTTACAGGTGATGGTTTCCCATCAAGGGGATGCAGCAGAGCTGAGGACCCAGTTCATAAATGGAAAACTGGATTTGTTATCCCTGTTTTCTCTACAGTGGGTAATGCTTCTGGCAAGTGTGAAGGGAAAGGGAATGTTCAAGATTATCTGGGAAAGTCAACCGACAAGGAAGGCAGCCAGGAAAAAAAAGAGATTGGTAGTTTTATCCATATGCACATTATGGGACAGTTAGGTTGGTACCTGGAAGTGTAATTTTAAAGAAGCACTTAGGCCAGGCACGGTGGCTCACGCCTGTCATCCCAGCACTTGGGAGGCCAAGGTAAGAGGATTGCTTGAGCCCAGCCTAAGCAACATAGCAAGACTCTGTCTTAATGAAAAAAACAATTGTTTTAAATTAGCCAGGCTCACACCTGTAGTCCCAGCTATTCGGGAGACTGAGGTGAGAGGATGGCTTGAGCCAAGGAGGTTGAGGCTGCAGTGAGTCGTGATCACACCACTGCACTCCAGCCTGTGTGACAGAGCAAGACCATGTCTCAAAGAAAAAAAAATTAGGAGATTGACTATCCTTTAGCTCTTCCATTTAATTCACTGTTTCATGCTTGTAGGCCCCATCTCCTAGCAAGAGGCTTACGGTTCCCTGTTGAAAGGTTGTGTACAGCTCACCCCGGGTAGCTGCAGCACAGTTTAGGCAACAGGACAATCTGTCTCTTGTCTTTTCTAGTTCTTTCTCTTCAACAATGTTATCTTTTCCTTCCCTCCCATTTCCTTGTGAGTTAAAAGGCTGACCTCGAGACCACAGGCTTCATTGTTAAAACACGCAGGGGCAGGTTGACATCAGAGTGCATTACATCATCTGCTGAACTGCTTAGACTGGCGGGAGCAGCACCTGGCAGCACTGATGGCGCAGACCTTCCCACTGTCCAAATTTCGCTCCTTCTCAGTGTTCCTGGGGCCCTGGACAGAGCCCTGGGTGACTAGGTGTCAGTATGTTTCTGAACAAGCCAGACATTTGTAATTGTCAGGTCCCTTCATTGGAAAGGGAATTGGCTGTCTCACAGTTTCTTTGGTCAGCCAGAGGCTGACCCAGAAGCTTCACAGAGAGGCCTTGCTTCTCGGCCCAGACTGCTTCCCAGTCGACAGCTATCCAATTGACATTGGTGGGAGCTTGGTCACAGTGGGGCTGAGTGCCTTTGGTGGAATATTTGTTTATGGAGGCAAGTATGTCACAGCATGGCCACCGTAAGCCAGACCAGAGCCTGAGCAGATCCTGCAGCAGCCAACAGCCTCAGATTCCCTACAGGGCTGGAAGATCAAGTTGAATGTATCCATCCATGCCCATCTGCAGGCAGCAGAAGCAGGCAGGGTGTCCTTGCACCCTCTCCTCCTGCTTTCCCAGAGTCCAGCATCTGTGCCAGTGCCACCTATAGACCTGGTAACTTTTTTTTCCCGGTTCTAGTGTTGTGTTTGTCCCCACCTCTCCCTACCAGTGCCCCATGGAGTTAGGATAGGGCATCAAGCATTCATGGCATGAGAGCACCATTCAGGATCTAAGGAGAGAGTGTACCCAGAAGCGTGTCATCAGGAAGGACTTAAGTCACCTCTCAGTGCTGATTCCGTGACCTTTTGTCAAAGCTTCAGCGTGGAGAAGGAGGTAGGGTTAAGATGGACAGGCTACCTGGCTTCAGAACACAGTTTTTTCCACGATGTGAGACTTGGGCAGAATCCTTACCTCCTCTGTACTGCAGTTTTCTGTTTCTTTAAAATTGGGATAGTGGTGGCACTATCCCATAGCATTCTTGTGAGTACTAAGTGAAATAATCCCGTAAAGCACTTAGAGCAGTGCCTGGCACTGAGTCTGGTGTGGTCATCATCATCATCATCATTGCAACTTAGGACGCATGAGGACAAGAAGCAGCGCTCATCTGGAAGAGGCTGTTCTAACGAAGGCGGGAGGATCCTAGATCAGAAGAAGACAAACCGGAAGAGGGAGCCTAGGAAAGGAACCACATGCACATTTAGTGCAAACCATGTAAACATAACATAACAAGACTATGTGGAGCAAGGGGGAGTCAGGCTGTGGACCCACCAGGGAATCTTGATTCATGTTTTTGGCCCCATCACTCACTAGCTTGCTGACTTTGGGCAAGTCACTTCACTTTTCTGGGCCTCTGGAGTTACTAGCACAGTTCCATGTTGGGGAGATTGTGAACGTCCCTGATATATGGTGCTCAGGAACCAGTAGTTGCTTGGAATTGTATTAGAGCTGGGGTAGGAGCTAGACATGGGGCCAGGGAAGAAGGGAAGATGCCGCGAAGAAGGGCCTGGAAGGGGACGAAGGGCGTGGATTATCAGAGGAAGTGGGAGTAGTCGGCAAGGATGGGTGGGGAGTGTTGAGTCATCCAAGCGTTCAGCAAATGTCACAAGACAACGACAAATTGAGCAAATTCTTCCTGCTCTTGCTGCCGGGTCCTGCTTCCACCCTGCTTTTATTTTATCATGCCGCTTTTCTTCTAGAACCCGAGCAACTTCCCGAGAAGAGAAGAACCTCCAAGGCTTTCTGGAACAGCCCAAGGAGAAGTGGGTGGAGAGTGCCTTTGAAGTGGACGGGCCCTACTATTTCACAGTCTTGGCCCTTCACATCCTGCCCCCTGAGCAGTGGAGAGCCACACGTGTGGAAATCTTGCGGAGGCTGTTGGTGACCTCGCAGGCTCGGGCAGTGGCTCCAGGTGGAGCCACCAGGTCAGTACCTGCTTCCGGAAGCTGCTGCTCACTATTTCCCATCATCAGTTTTGAAAAGCTGCTTAGTGGTACGCACGTGCTAGGTGAAGGCATGCTTTGTGACTGCGGTGGTTGACACCAGCCCTTCTCCCTTCTCAGTCTGTCATGTCAAGAGTCTAAGCTGATGGCTGGCAGGTTGCCTGGTCATTTCTGGGTTTTCTGTTCCGCTACTAGAAAGGTAGAGCCAGTCTTACCTACTGTAGAAAATGTTAGGAAGGCAGCCAGGCACAGGGTGATAAAACCAATGAGATGATCAGGGCTAAGAACAGTAATCAGGTTTTCCACATCTTGCTGGTGTTGGCATAAGCCAGGAAAGTTTCAGTGTGGCCACATGGGGTATTTTCTAATAATTAAAAACTCGTCTTCATTCTCTCTTCTTGGTTACATTCCTATCCCATGCGTCCCACATTCCATGAACCTTTCTTCCTCTAGACCACTCTCCTATACGTGTGGACACCTCCCCAAGAAAGAGCATGTCAGAAAGGAAGTGGTCTTTGATTTATGACCTTGGGCTGTGATTTGGGACAGATGGTCTCAAGAGAAACAGCTGGAAACTGCCACCACAGCATCTCTTTGAGGACCCCCATGGATTGCTGTGCGCAGAGGAGACCCCATGGGTACCACTCAGGCTGCCAATGGCCCCACACAGTCTCTACCTTTCCTGGGGAGCTACGGAGCAGGCTCTGGGTTTGGCATTTTGCTTCTGTCCCTCGAGTGAAATGTGCCTCTGCTTCATTTCTGGAAGATCGGGTTTGTGATTTTTGTGATTCTGCTTTAGCCCAGGATTCGAGGGATCATGTCCACATTTGTAGGCCATCCAGGGAGCAGAGAGAAACTTTTAGGGCCGTGATAAAGACAAGCCAAGTGGAAAATAGCCTGTGCCCTCATTGGCACACCTGGTGTCTTTATTTCCATTAGCCCTGATTGATCAAGCGTTGCTGGTCTGTGGGCACTTCACGCTCCCAGAGAGACCAGATTGGAGCTGTCCTGTTGAATCTGGCCTGTACCAGATCATCACTGGAGAGTGGGAGGGGGCGTCTTGTTAGATTCCTAGGTAACCCCTGCCCCCATTCCTAACATATCACTTTCCAGTATTTCCCAAGAGCCTGAATTAATAGTTAACTAGCTGCTGGAAATCAAAAGTTAGATCTTGAGAATACTAAGTTGATAAGTCAGGCTTGGCCAGTATCCATATGCTGCATCCACAGCAAATAGAGTGGCCATTTATTGGGCACAGTCTCTCCATGGCGGGTGTGCAATCTGAACCCACAGGAGCTGTTTTGCTCTCACTTAGGAGACTAGCATTCATTATTGTCCCAGGCAGTTCAGGAAAAGCTGATTTGGTCACAGCTTAATTAGGAAATCCAGTGTGAGCTACTACATTCATGAGTTGCTGTTTTCTCTGTAGCAGTTTCGTCACCTTTACTAATTGGCCTTAAATAATTAAGTTGGGCAGGGTCACTCAGGATTTCTGCTTACCAAAGCACAACAGCCACAGCAAAGGGCCAAATACGGCCGTGGTCCGGGGCCGTGAGCCCGGCACTCATCAGGCAGACTAGGAAAGGCACTGTGGGTTAGCCCGATACTGGGAGGAGACCCATGGGGGAGAGACCGCGGCTGGAAGGGCGTGTAGAGATATCATCCTGATGCTGGGGCAGCCTCACTGGCGGCAGGCTTTGTCCTAAGTCCTGTAAGTCATGGGGTAAGGGGTAGTAGCAGAGACACAGAAATGTAGCTCAGCAGAAGCTGGCCTCTTCTGCACACTTGACATTCAGAAAAAAAGTTCCTCTGCCAGGAACTTGCAAGTACAAAGCCTGGGACATTCTCAGGCGTCTGTCAGAACTTGATCTGTTATCTTGTCTGCCAGGGTAAAGAGCTGCAGAGAAATGGATTCTTGTCCTCATCCACGGGTCCACCTTCCAGGACTTTAGGCTGCAGCATCATCACACGTATGCGGGAGAGAAAGTGGGGGCTTGGGAAGGTACTGGGGCAGAGGGAGGCCACAGGAAGCATATTTCAGTAGAGAGGGAATTGTCCCCATTTAATATTATTTGTTTTTTGCGAGTTATTTATTGAATGCAGGTGTGGATAGCCTGTCTCATGCTAGGCAGCCCCTTCACTTGAGGCCCATATAGTTTTAGCTTCTATAATGAATACCATCTATGTTTCTTATTTTTATGATTCTTATATATACCCATGCATTTTAATACTAAACATTTTAATATATGTCCCTTTAGTCATGGGATGTGTTCCAGTGTGTTTTGAGGTGTAGAATACTCTGTGACAAGGGCTCACCTAGGCTTTACTTATTACAGATGTGATGGCTGTTGGCAAACAAAACCTCCGTAGAGCTTGGGTGGTAGAAACTGAATCCTGACACTGATATTTCACTGTCTGTGCCGAGGGGAGCCTGATATTTCTGTGTTTCATACTGGCTCTACCTGGTGTAATCATTCCTCAAACCTCAAACCAAGAATTCTGCTGAGAAGGCAGTGGACATTGTTAGAGGCAGTCTCCCCCTGCCTGTCGCTCCCCATATTCCAAGGAACTGGCTGGTCTTTAATCCTGAACTGAATCATTGGATTAAGTAGCAACGATACTGGTTAGAAACAATGGGGTGTGGTGAGCAACTTGGATTATCCCAGGATTTAGGTGATGTCAGGGTGGCTGCATGCTCCATCTTAGACATTACCATTGCTTGATACCAACTTCCTAGCAGCTTGCTGCCATTTAACACAGCACATGTTTGACAAGTTACCGTGTTTGACTGGTTTAGGTCTGCTGGCTTTTAAGAAATTTCTCCTAGTGGGAATGTAAAGACTGAATTAAAACCTTGTTTCCTACCTCATTTATTAGGTTCCATCAAATTCCAAGAGCTTGTCGGGGCCCAAACACAAGGGATACATAGGAATCCTTTGCCTTTCTTTAAGTCACTAGCCTTGCATTTGCCACGTCTGCCCTGGCGATGTCTCCCCCGGTTCCATTTTACCCTGATCTGGAAGATGAGCACTGAGAGAATCAGATGAATTTCATGGAGCATTTTTGTAACCAATAAACTTCTGGGTCCCAGGGCTCCAGAGGTTCTTGCCCACAGCTGCTTTTTTCCAAGCAGAAGGCTAGTCGCTGGAACTCCGAGATGCATACACCACTGTGACTCTTCCCTTGCTCCCAGCATGCCTTGCTCTGTCCTTGTGAGTATCCTCCTAGGGACTTCATGTGATGGAACTGGATTTTCTTTTCCAGGCTGACAGATAAGGCAGTGAAGGACTATTCCGCTTACCGTTCTTCCCTTCTCTTTTGGGCCCTCGTCGATCTCATTTACAACATGTTTAAGGTAAGGAGGCTGTCAGAGGCCCAGTGGGTTTTGGCAAGAGTGTAAAATGTCTGCACTCCTGTCCCTGACTCTGCCTCAGCACCCACATGGCTGCTCCTCCGCTGGGCCTGGGGGCGCTTTTTTCCTAGAAACAAACAACCCCAACTGTGGGAGGGATTGACACTGGCAGCCTGGAGCCTTGTGTCTGTGAGGTACATTTGTTTTGTTTGGTTTTGTTTGGTTTGGTTTGGTTTGGTTTTTTTGAGACGGAGTTTTGTTCTTGTTGCCCAGGCTGGAGTGCAATGGCGTGATCTCGGCTCACTGCAACCTCTGCATCCCGGGTTCAAGTGATTCTCCTGCCTCAGCCTCCCAAGTAGCTGGGATTACAGGCAGGCACCACCACGCCCGGCTAATTTTGTTTTTTTAGTAGAGATGAGGTTTAACCATGTTGGTCAGGCTGGTCTGAAACTCCTGACCTCAGGTGATCCGCCTGCCTTGGCCTCCCAAAGTGCTGCTATTACAGGCATGGGCCACTGTGCCTGGCCCACATTTGTAGCTGAGATCACTCCTGTCACCTGCTCCCGAGCCTGCTCCAGACTCGGCTGTGCAGGAAGACCTTCCCCGCCGGGTCTCTCTTTGCTGCTCTTGCCGTGCTATTGGGATAAGCTCTGTTGCCCTGAGTGAGTCTGACTTACCGCAGCCAGCTTATAACAGGACACTCCTCTCCGGAGAGAATCTGAGTTTTTGAGTTGGTTCCTTTCATCATCGGAATGAGACAGCTCATGGAAGCACATTGACAAGTCCCTTTGCTCTGGGGAATGCGAATGGGAAGTGTACGGGGAGGGAATGCAGCCACTTGTTGGAGCCTGTAGCTTCAGGTGACACAGTGCCTAATAAGGAGGGCCTAAGAGGAATGAAGTGAAATTGTGTCGTTCCTGGAGACAAAACGCACGCTCTAGGGTGCCTGTTGGTATGCTTTGGTGTAGGTTGGGAGGGCTGTCCTTTGAGGGGTTGAAATGGCCTGACTGACTTGAGGCGGAAGATGAGGCAGCAGTAAGTCACCCACCTCTCTTGTCTCCTGTTGATTCTCGTAGAAGGTGCCTACCAGTAACACAGAGGGAGGCTGGTCCTGCTCTCTCGCTGAGTACATCCGCCACAACGACATGCCCATCTACGAAGCTGCCGACAAAGCCCTGAAAACCTTCCAGGAGGAGTTCATGCCAGTGGAGACCTTCTCAGAGTTCCTCGATGTGGCCGGTTAGTGTCAAGGTTTTCTCTTTTAAAGATCCTCCGCAGCAAAGCCCCATGTCTTCCTCCGTGGGTCATCCGTAGCTTTATCTTCACGACCAGAGGAAACGCAGTATGAACCAGCCTGTCAGCTGCCACTGAAAGCCCTGGGAAAGATGCGTAAATAGCAAGTCACCGATAACGAGAACAGCAGCTCTAACATGTACTGAGCACCCCCTCTTTCCCCGACATGGGCTGTTCACTGTATGTGATCTCAGCCCTCGAGGCAGCCCTATATGAGGCAGGAGCTTTGGTTATCCCCATTTTATAGATGGGGTAAATGAGGCTCTGAAGATCAAATAAGTGGCCAAGGGAACATAGCTAGAAAGTGATAGCATCCCTGTTTGAGTCTGTTTTTTAATGGCAGTTCAGAGAATTAACATGCAAATTGGAATGCCCCTGTCTTCCTCCTGCGTCTTAGGTCACAGTTGACCCCAGGGAGGCATGGGCGACCCAGCAGGGCCGCTCTGAACTGTGGGTGTGGGAGACGTGGTCAGACAATTCCTTATCCTACTGCTAGTAAAATTGAAATTCTTTGTGTAACAAATTTGTCATTCTAATTGCAAACAAACACATTAGAATTGGTTTGTATTTCATAACCAAGCACCAAGTGACAGCAGGGGGAGGTGACTTGGCCCGTGCCTGGGAAATCCACCTAGGGTTAAAAGACAGTGCCCTGTGAGGTTGTGGGCGCCGCGGCATTACAGCCCCCATCAGAGCACCCGCCCTACAAAGGTCAGCTCCCCAGAGCCAACGCACAGGTAACCAAACCTGCCAGCTCTTTTTTATGATCTTGTTTCATTTTTTTATGGCATTCGTTGTGGGAATTTTGTAAAGTATAAAGAAGCAGGAAAACAAACTCCCCCCAGATCCCACTGTTAGGAGAACGCCTCTGCTAACATTTTCTCTATCTTGTTATCCTCTGGGAATGAGACCCACTAAAGGGCTAGAGTGTTGCTCAGTGTGAATTCCTCTTTCTTCCCAGCTCAGAGCCAGCTGACCGATTTTCCCAAACAGCTCTGTGCCTCCGCATTGGCTGCCCCTTGCAGTGTCCTCAGCGGAAGCTCTGTGCTGGGATGGTCTTCGTCGACCTGGTGCCTGCCTCCGCGTCTGGGCGGGCCTGTGCTAACACTGCTCACCTCTGTGTGTTTGTTAACTCCACCACCTCTTTACGGCTCCCACTGGCTCTGTTTCAGCCTAGATGTTTCACCAGCATCATACCTTAGCACATGCCTCGCGTTCTTCCCAGAAAGTCAGCCCTGGGACCAGGTGGGCTGGTAAAGTCCTCAGTGCTGGGCCCTGTGCCTGTTGCATGAGCCTGTGTCACTGTGACTGTGGAAGTTGGAGCTAGTGAGAGGAGGAGGAGGTGGGCAGAGGAAGGAGGGTCCCTTGGGCTCGAGCTCCACATCAGCCCTGAGCTGCTGGCAAGCACCCCTGGCCTGCAGCCAGGGAGAGCCAGAGCCTTTGCCAGGCAGCGAGCCTCCGTGCCTTCCACTCCTAGGTCAGGTTTTGACAGCACCACTTTATTACTTTGTTTAAGCTGTTAGAAAATTTCAGAACATCAGACACACCCTATTCAAATGTGAGAACAAAAACACCTTCCAGCAGTGCCTGCTTCTGGAACAGGACTCCTCCTGCGGAACAGGGTTTTGCTCAATGACTACCTCCCCGGTCATGCTGCTGTCCAGTGAGCAGCCGGGCCAGAGCTTGTCGGACCGCAGTGTGTTCTCTGCTAGATGCGGCAGCTGTGACTCAGGGGGAATGGGGGCTGTATGCCTGCTCCTGACACACCTCTGCCCGTTGTGCTTTGCAGGTCTTTTATCAGAAATCACCGATCCAGAGAGCTTCCTGAAGGACCTGTTGAACTCAGTCCCCTGACCACCACACAGCAGCTGCGGCGGCGAAGACGAAGCTGGCTTGCCTTCCACCCTCTGTTCTCCCTCCTTGTGCATTAAGTTCCCTCCGCGGGATGCTGCATTGTTACCCCGCCCTCCCCTCTCTCATTTTTCTTGGTGTGGCTTGGGGTTTTTAGGCTTCCTGTTTTATCTCGTGTGTGTGGTGCACCAGCTATGAGGTTGTCTGTAACCCAAGCCATCAAAGGGCCTGTACATACCTAGGAGCCATGAGTTGTCCCGGCCAGCTTCATACTTGAGTGTGCACATCTTGAGAAATAAACAAGTGACTTAACACACATTGAAAAGGAAGGTGTTGCCTGCTGCTTCAACTCGTCCTCAGTGGCGCAGGCCAAATGGTTTCCCTTGAATGCACAGCCATTTCCGGCGTCAGCCCGGGAAGACTCATGTCAGACCCGCTGTCTCCAGGCCTGTTGTCAGCGCTAAGTGCAACCTGTCTATTCTTGGCCAGCAAGTTGGGGCACCACATTGGATGGCTCTGATTTTTCCCAAAACAAAGCCCATGCCTTGCTCTTAATTTTTTGGCCTTAAGAGCTGGAACCCAAAGACACGTGGAGCCCAGAGCTTTCCTAGCCCTCGGCTGAAGGAAGGCTCGCGGAGTAGGGCACAGTCTTGTTGGACCACAGAGGCCTGGGGAGCATTTGACATTCTCATGCTGCTGTGAATCGGGAATCCCTTGGTGACTTCTCTCCAGGGTTGTCATGTTAAGAGAGGGCCTGGGGCAGACTTAGGATCAGGATAAAGAGAGTGGCTGCTATTGACATTGCCAAGCACCCAGTGTATCTTATTTCTAATCTCTTTGCCCATGAGCCAGAGCCGCTTGCCCAAGGGCTCCCAGCCAGGGGCTGTGGAGTTGTCAGGTTTGTGCCTCCGAAGCTGTGTCCTGACCACTGTGGCTGCCGCTCCTGGAGGCCTCAGACCTGCTCCCCTACACACGTGGGCAGCAGGACTCCCGAGGGCCTCTCCCCAGACTTCGGGAGAAGGCTCACCTCGTGGGAGGGAGGGCTCGCTCATGCCCATCTCCTTTCGTTCTTTGCGGGCCACTCGGCCAACTGACGTCGGCCTCTCCTGTCTGGATGTCCAGTTTCTGTGGCTCACTCCTCAAGCCAGATCATCTGGGACTGAGGGTGGCCTCTGGGCTCCTGTAGACTTCCACAGCCAGGATTTCACATCCCTCCCCAGAGCCTCGGACCGAACAGCCACAAGCAGCCATGAGTGTCGTGCCTGGACTAAGCTGGAGAGACAAAGGCGTTTGTGGCAAGGGCCCAGCTGGAAGCCCTGGCAGGCCAGAGCATGCATGTGCTGGCTTGCACGAGCATACTTTGGTGTTTGTGTTGGGGACACCGGGCTTCTGAGGGACTGGCGTGGCTCCAGGGTGGGGAGCAGCCTGGTTGAAGCGCGGCCAGGCACTCACTCTGTTGTTCAGATCCCAGCTCCACTGCCTGCTGTGTCCACAGTCTCCTCACCTGTCAAATGGGAATATCTATGTGGCGGGAGGGTGCTGAGGTTTCCACGAGCTAATCTGCCTGCTGTGTAGTAACTAGTAGCTTTTCTTACTGTTAGTGAACTTGTTTTAGTCTGAAGGAAGGCACCCATGCCCCAGGTGAAGTCCAGCTGAGTTCAGTGAGGACGATGGAGACCCTTGGTCTTGGCACCCTTCTGCCTTATACTGGGAATGCCTCAGGCTTGCTCCTGCTGTGTGTCTGTGGTTGCCCACTTTCTGCTGGTCTCCGAGAGACTGATTCAGGTGTTCAGGAGTCTGTTCGCTATTACATCACCTCCTTGTGAGAAATAAAGTGGAGCAGCCTCATCCAGACAGCAAAGCAAGGAGGGAGCGTGAGGAGCAGCCAGGTGAGCTGGTGGCATGGGGCCGCCTGTGCAGAGGCCGGCCTCGCTGCTTCATGTGGCTCAGGGAGGCTCAGCACGTCCGTCATCACACCTCAGGGCAGCGAGAGTGGACCTGGTGCCTTCAGAAGCCCACCCGAGGCCTGCTGCTCTGGCCTGCAAAGGTGGAGTCACCAAAGCTCATTACAAAGTGTTTGCTTATTTTTGTCTGCCCTGCATTTTTTTATTTCTTGCAAAGGCCTCAGAGGATGTGGGCCCCAGCCCAAACACATCTTGTTTTCACTAGTAGAGCTTTTCCTAGTGTCTGCACAGGGGTGCTTCCAGTGGCTCTGCCATAGCCCCAGACAAGCTGCTGACACGGCAGCCATGAGGTCTGGGACAGGTTCCAGGGGGTGCTTTTGGCCTGCTCCAGCAGGAGTGGAGGCTGGACTGGTCTCCAGCAGGAGTGGAGGCTGGACTGGTCTCCAGCAGGAGTGGAGGCTGGTCTGGGCTCCAGCAGGAGTGGAGGCTGGTCTGGGCTCCAGGAGTGGAGGCTGGTCTGGGCTCCAGCAGGAGTGGAGGCTGGTCTGGGGAGAGAGCTACACCTCCCCAGGCCCAGGTCTCACGAAAGGAGCATCGAAGGGCACCGAGGAAAAAGCCACTTAGCCCTCTCCTGTCCTGCACCATTATCTGGGCCCATTGGTTCTTGGGTCCCTGTCTTTCTCAACAGGCAGCCCCAGTTGGGGAATTAAGTTGATTCTGGACTGGCTATGCCTAATGATAGCTGCAATTTGAAACCCATAAAGTTCGAGTTCAGCAATAAAGTTGGGGAGGCAGTGTCAACACCTTCCTTGTAGAACGGCTGAAGCCTCTGGTGTTCCTCAGTCAGCAGCCGCCCTGGTTCCCAGCTGTCCAAGTTTGTTGCCCTTAGAGGTGAAAAGAGAGGCCCCCTGCCTGCACCTCCCCTCCCCAGGGGTGTTTGTTGGGACACCGGGGGCTGCGCTCGGTTCTCTGCATTTTACTCCTGCGTCAACCCTGTATGTTAGGTGGTGGAATTTCCGCCTTACCAATGGGGAGGCGGTAACCCAGAGGAGGTAACTCGCCTGCTAAGGAGTCAGGAGCTGAGGGGTCTGCGGGACTCCAAAGATTACTCTGGGTCATGCGACTTCATTTGTTCCTTCCAGGATGTAGCAAGTGTCTCCTCGGTGCCAGGGACTTACCAGAGGCCGGGGGCACAGCGTGCATCAAACAGGCTCTGTCCTCATGGAAAGGAGAGAATCAGAACTGAGGGGTTCCAGGGACATAAGGTGTGAGGTGGCAGTGTGAAGTGTAGACAGATCAATGTGGGGGACAGGCTGTAGTTGGCATGCTGCTTACGTGGGGTGGCCGGGTTGGTCAGCTCCCAGCTCCAAAGTGCCCATGGCCAGATTCTCATACCTGGTTGCAACAGGCATCCTCTTTGGTCACTTAGCAAACCTCAGCTGGGCACCTAGTCTGTGCTCCGCTGTCAGCATGGGGTCCCTGTAGGGGACTGGGAGGAGCCAGAAAAGAGACTCACTCTGCTCTCTAGGCTGCGGAATATAGCCCAGAGCTGGCCACTTCCCACCACCTTCGCACCCAGACCCAGCTCCTGGATCTCCCACTTCCTCCCACTCCGTAGTCCATTCTCCAAGCACCCAGAGCAGTCACTTAAAAACACGCTGCAGGCGGTTGCCTCTGAAACTCTTTTCACTTTCACATTTTGAAGGGCAGCTAAACTACCTCCCAGGCTCCCAGACCCTCTCCAGCCTCCCTCCTCCCCACTCCCTCTCATCCCCGCTCCACACACTTGCTCCCTGCTGTTCCCTCGCACAGGGCACATATCCACCGCCCAGGCTCTCACTTTGTCCCATTAGCCCAGATGTTTGCGTGGCTCATCTCCTCCCTCCACTCAGGTCTCAGAGATGCCCCTGAGCCCTGATCTGGGAGAGCAGTGCCCTCCGGGGCTCTCTCTGCCCCTGCCTGCCCTGTTTCGGTCCTTTCCTTCGGCCTCATGCAGCTGTGGTCAGCTCGCCTGTTCATCTCCCTCTGCTGCGTCCTGCTAGTAGCTTTCCTTTATTTGCTGCTGCATCTACAGTGCCTAGAACAGTGCTCAGTGCATAGAGGACGCTCGGGGAGTATTTGTTGGCTAAATGATGGGTCTATGTCAGCATCTCCCAGGGAACAGTCAGCCATCTCCACAACCCTATGCCTAACTCTGGGATGAAGGGCAATAAATCCAAACCTGATTCCAGTAAGAGGCTGGAGCAGGTGGGCCCATGAGGGCCCTTCCCCACCAACCCCTGCCCTTTGCTGTTCCTGCAGCAAGGCTGTGCTGAGACCCTGGAACATGCTGGAGGCAGAGCTGGCTCAGACGCAGGCTGGAGTGCCCAAGTCAGGGCTCCTGCCCGGCTCCTGCTCCGGGCCCTGCCCCTTCCTCCTCCTGTCATAGATCACCTCAGGGCAGGGCCATTCCTTTGCCTGGAGCTAGCTCTGGTCTCCGAGACCACAACAAGTCCTTTTCAAGCTGGAGCAGTTCCCAGCAGCACCAAGAGGATGGCAGAGAGGGACAAGGTAAATCCCCAGGCTGAGCTCCCTGGAGCTGGCTGCTGACGCTTACCTGGGGCGAGGCCTGGACGAATCCTCCGCCTTCTCTTGGTGCCCTTGGCCTTCTTTCTGACCCCATCCTGGCTGGTGGCTCAGATGCAATAGGGGGAGCAGAGTAGCCTCTGAACAGGAAGGGAGCCGAGAGCCAGCCTTTACTCAGGGCCCGCGGGAAGCTGGTGTTTCACCTGCAGCACGTCCTTCCATCCTTGCGGCCATCCCAAGTGGCAGGTGGTATTCCCTTCTCCACACAGGTAAACAGGTGCAGAGAGGCTAATGACCTACGCAGGCTCACACAGCGAAGTGTGGAGCCACGATGAGAACCCAGATGTGTTTGGCTCTGAAACCCCCTTTTCAGAGAGTGTTGCTGGCCTGGGGAGACTGGTTGCTGTTCATGCTGGGGTGCGGGGACCAGAAGGAGGAAGAGGGTGAAGGCTGACTTAGGGAGTGTGACCCAGTTTGCTCTCTCCTGTCCCCATGGCCAGCGGAGGCAGCCTCAGGGCCCTGTACCTGAGGATGCGGCTGAGAGGTACATGTCCTAGGACTAAACAGTTGCATTGCATGGGCTCTGAATTTGGGGTGCCACTTCCCATCAGAGGGCAAGGGCCGCATGGCATAGAGGCAAGACCGAGGGCTCCAGAGGGGGCCCAGCTCTGCTGTGGGACTTGAGCAAGTTTCCTAACCTCTCTGTGTGGGTGAAGATTCAAGGAACAAATACAGAAGGTCCTAGAACCTGGCACAGCCCCGGCACAGCTGGCCTTAGCTGTGACCGTCAGTGTTACTGTATCAGTGTGTCAAGGAATCACAGATGACTGGATGTGATGGCTCACGCTTGTAATCCCAGCACTTTGGGAGGCCGAGGCGGGTGGCTCACTTGAGGCCAGAAGTTTGAGACCAGCCTGGCCAACTTGACAAAACCCCATCTCTACTAAAAATACAAAAATTATCCGGGCATGGTGGTGGGTGCCTGTAATCCCAGCTACTTGGGAGGCTGAGGCAGGAGAATCGCTTGAACCCTGGGAGGCAGAGGTTGCAGTGAGCCGTGATCGCGCTACTGCACTCCAACCTGGGTGATAGAGCAAGATTCCATCTCAAAACAACAGCAGCAACAACAACAAAAACCAGGAATCACAGAATGTCTGGGGGAGGATCTCTTAGGCTCCACAGCACCCCTCTCCTTATCTTACGGGTGTCAGGACAGATACCCAACCTGACATGCACACACACATGTACACGCCTTCCAGGCACTCACGAGTTCAGTTGCTTTGGTGACATCTGTTTGCTTTCCATGCTTTATTTCTGTCTCTCTGCTCTGTGTTTCCTGCCCTGGGGGGGCTACTCCCTTCCTCCCCATCCTTATCTGTTGCTCAGTCTTGGAGCTTGGCCTGGTACCCATGAGTTGCCAACCTGCCCCCTTTGGCCTCCTTAACAGGCCTGGAGAAGCTGAGCAAGGCATGTGCAGAGGCAGAACCGTTTCTGCTGCCGCCTGGCCGGGTCAGAGGGACCCTGCCCTCCAGAGCATCAGGGCCCCAGCCTGGGATGGGAGGGCTACCGGCTGCCATCCGCCCTGGGAGCTGCCCCTGGCCAAGGGTGCCGGGGTCGGCACCCACTGCGTTTCACTCTGTGCCCCTTTGCCCTGACTTCAGAGCTTGAAGGTGAACTCTGACCCCTTCACTCTAGGGTTGGGGACAGTGGGCATGGAGAGCAGGAGCGGAGTTGCCTGAGGCCCCCAACTTGCAGTCCATCACTTTCCCACATCGCACACAGGCCAACAGGGTCCCGGGCACGTGGGGCCTGGCAGCACTCCAGGTGGGCACCCAGCAGTGTGATGACTTCCTGGAGGAAAGAGTGGGGTGGGAGGTGCCTGGCTTGAAGTGTGGGGGGAGCTGGTGCTCTGTTTTAGGGGTCAAAGTGACGATGGAGTATGAAGACAAGTATCCCGCCAGCTCACCTCCTCTGGCTACTCCTGGCTCTGAGTCGGTGCCGATCTCCGGCCACTGCCACAAGCCCCAGTGACCTTCAGCATCTGCAGCAGGTTGCGGGCTTCCTCCTGAGGGGTGTGGGGTGCCAGCCTCTGGCAGCCTCTCGGGACATTGCCAGAGGTTGGGCAGGCCTCTCAGGAAAAGGGAGATGAGCTTCTGGGGCGCTGGGGTGAGGAAGCTGTGGTGGGAGGTATCTAAGGTCACCACCTCTGACGGTGGTGGGACCCACAGTGGGTATGGGGCAGCAGGATCTGTGCTTTGCTGAGTTTCTGAGTCAGGGGGCTGGGACAGGACCAGAATTAGCCCCAGGTGCCAAGTTTACAGGGGGAAGTCATCCAGAGCCCCGAACTCTCACGCAGGATGGGAGGTGGGGGTGTTCTGGGCATGGGCAGGAGTGAAGGGCACAGGGTCTCAGGCTCATTGTTCTTTGGACTCTGTTCCTTAGATCCCTCTGCTGCCTTTGGCCAATGACCTTGACACCCCATCCACCCCTTCTGTCCACAAGCCAGCTTGGTCCCGACAAGGAGTCCTGGCTGGACCCCTTGTTAGGCTGTTCCCGGCTTCAGAGATCTGGGAACTGTACCAGAGTTGTATTTACTGAGCACCCACTCCAGCAGGATCACCATGCCTCACGTGATCTCCAGTCCTTTTACTGTTGTTCTTCCTGTTTTACAGATGAGGAACCTTAGGCTCAGAGAGGCAAACTCACCTACCCAAGGCTGCACAGCACGTAAGTGAGATGCAGCCTCCCTGTCCAGCCAGCCTGAGCCCTGCTTCTTCACCTGGCCCTGCTCCCCATCTGGTCTGGGCACGGATTGGGTTAGATCATCCCAGCTCCCAGCAGGAGGGCACAGCTCTGGGATCCAGGGTTTGGCCAGGTGCCCAGCAGGCAGGCAGGGCAGCCACAGCCAAGGGTTAACTGGCCGCAGGCTGGGAGCCGTGCTCGGGGCTGGGCGGACAAGGTGCAAGGCCCTGGGAACCAGCTCCAGGCCGGGCTGACAGGGAGCTCCGCAGGCACCCCCATCAGCCCTCGTGCCAGAACAAACAGGGCAATTAGGAGGTGGCTTTTGTTTGGTGGGGCCTGAATGCTGGGCATGGAGCTGCTGGCGCTTCAGCCCCTACCCCCTCATGTGGCGGGAATCTGCTCGTTCACGGGACAGGGTCACATGCGGAGTGTCACAGCAGACAAAAGGACAATGCCACTCTGTTTCCTCGCCCAGTTTCAGAAGTGATGGCTGGAGGGCTGCTGCTTTTCACAGCACAGTGTGAATGGGGCCACCAGTCCCTCCCTCCCTTCCTGTCCCGGCAGCCAAAAGGGCTCCAGTCACCTCAAGAGCCATCGATCACAGGGGTGGCCCAGGCCATGGGACGCGGGCCCAGCACCTTCCCATTTCCCTCGCTCTGGGTTCTGCCTTGGGGCCCCACTTGGAACCCACTGTGCAGGGCTGGATTCCATACCCGACGGTCGTGTCCCGAGTCACCTCTCTGAGGCAGGCACTGTTAATCCCATTCCAATGAGGGAATCGGGGCTCGAGGATGAGGTTGCTTCACCCAAAGGAGGGGCTTGGGTTAGGGCTGCTGGGTGAAATTCAAGGTGCCAAGTTAAATCTGAATCTCACATAAACACCAAATACATGTAAACCTCTGACGGTGGCGGGACCCACAACGGGTATCGGGCAGTGGGATCTGTGCTTTGCTAGGTTCCTGAGCCCAGTGGGCTGGGACAGGACCAGAATTAGATCCAGGTGCCAAGTTTACAGGGGGCTCAGCCAGCGCCCTGAACTATTACAGTCTTTAGTATGGAGTATACTAAAAAAACATGACTCACCATTTCTCTGAAATACAAACTTCCCTGGACAGCCTGTATTTTTATTGACTAAATCTGGCAGTCCTGGCACAGGTGCTCACAGGACGTGCTGAGTTAAGCCAGCTCAGGCCCTGACCTCAGGGAGCCCCCTCTGCTTCAGAGAGACAAGTCCCAGACACAGGTTCCCACATGGAGGCCGTCGGAGCAGCAGGTGCCCTTGCCTGGAAGCCAGGACAGGCCTGGAGTGTCAGGAACAGGGACGTCGAGGGGCTGGTGAAGGGGCCAATCTGAGCGCCACGAGGGCCCTGAAGTGCTGTGAGCAGGGGAGGCAGGTTCCAGAAGCCTCAGGACCCCGCCTTTCTGCAGCGTTTCCTCTCCACAGGACTGTGCTGAGTCCTGGGGAGGGGGTGGGGGCTGCTCCAGGCGGCTCCCCAGCCCCTCCCTGCCTCGTCTCTCTGAGGCCGCTCCCTCCTCTGCCCCACCACACCTGCCAGCTCTGCATGGGGCCCCGAAGCCAGGGCTGGGTGGAAAGTGGTTGAGGTTGGAGTCTGGGGCCAGATTGGGTTCAGGGCTGGCTGGGCAACAGCCCTTCACCTGGCCAGGCCTTCGGTTTCATGTGTAAAGCAAACATGCCTCATTGGATTCACCAAGAGCCTGGCACAGAGGCGGCGCTGGAAGTGCGTCATTGGAGTTATGAAGGACCTACTCCCAGGAAGGGTCTTCACAGAAGCGGTTTCCGTTCCGTCTAAGGAAAACACAGCTGACAGCAGGGCTCCCACAGTGACAAGAGCTGTTTGGAGGTAGTGAGTCCCCTGTCATTGGAGGTATCCAAGCAGAGGCCAGTCTACTGGCCGTGCCTCAGATGTGTCACTTGGGAGGTGACAATGTCAACGGTCATTTCCAACTCTATGGGCTGGGTGGCAGGTGGAAAGTTCAAGGGCTTTGGTGTCAGACAGTCCTGGGTTCTAATTCTGGCTATGCGACCTTGGACAAGCTGCTTCCCCAGCAACCTCAGTTTTGCCCCTTGTAAAAGGCAGTCAGCAGCCTTGCCTCACAGGATAGATGTGACATGTTTGTTTGCAAAGTGCCCAGCTCTGAGCAGATGCCAAGGAGTTGTGGGTTCTAAGACACATCTCCCTGATGTGGGAACAGAGGCTTCTGAGAAGCCTTCCAGGGCCCGGCTGGGAACCACCCCGTCCTCCTCCCGGTTACCCTGGCTGGCACCCCAGCCGCAGGGTTGGACTGCGGTAAGAATGGCAGACAGGTTTCTCAGAATCCAAACGGACCCTGGGGACAGCGGTGGCTCAGAGGGGAGAGCCCTCTGCCTCCCTGGGGCCTGACGTTCCAGGGTTGGGATGGTGGGGCCCGGAGCCTGGACTGCGCTTGCCTACCTGCCAGGGAAGGCAAGGCAGCCTTGAACCAGAGGGGCGGGCAGGGATGGGCCCAGGCTGGGCTTCCTTCCCTGCCATGTCGTGCTGCTCTGAGCACCACACAGGGTGGCGTCCGGCCTGGGAGAGCCATCAGCACAAGACGGCTGGCATGCCCATGGCTGTTTTCATTCCATTAACTCCTGAAGGGTGGCGGACCCTCAGGGGTCAGATCCAACCAACCTCAGACAGGGAAACTGAGGCCCAGGAGGGGCAGGGCCTTGCACAAGATCATGGTATCAGGCACTACCAGGCCCACAGCCTCATCAAGAAGCGGGCGTAGGTGCTGTTCAGACCAGGGCTGGGCCGCCAGGTGCTTCCCACACCGCAATTACCTGCCAAGGTGTGCCTCGCTCCGTGGGAAGTGCTTACGGGGAGTTTCATCCTATAACCACCCCGTGAGGCCGGCACTATTACTTGCATCTTCCAGACAAGGAAACTGAGGCCACTCCGTCCAAAGTGACAAACAGGGATTTAAGTCCAAATCCAAGACCATCCCCTTTGCCACCTCATCTTGGTCCGCAGTCCAGCTGGACATTACCTGGGAAATATACAGACTTGACTGGCCAGGACTGTGGGGACAGACACAAAGAACTTATTGTCCCAGAGGCTGACCTGGCTGAAAATGGCAGATCAATTCCAGCAGAGCTTACCAAACTGGGGTGGCAAATCCTGCCTGCTTTTGGACAGCCAGCAAGGAAGAATGGTTTTCACATTTGTAAAGGGCTGGAAGAATATGCGACAGATACCAGAGGTGGCCCTCAAAGCCCAAGACATTTCCTGCTTGGCCCTTTCTAGGAAAAGTTGCTAAGCCCTGGCTGAGAAAAAGGCTGGCCCAGGGATCTCTGGAGGATTACAGGAGAGAGACACAGGCCTGGGAACCACCGCGCCTGCCCCAGCGCCCATCCTCCAGGCCACCTGCCCATCTCTCTGCCAATGCTAGGGAGGGAGGCAGCTTAGGTGGGAGGACACTGGCCTTGGGAGTCAGACAGACTGAGTTCCAGGTGGAACTCTGCCTCTTGCTGACTGTGTGGCCTTGGGCACTTGAATTCACCTCTCTGAACCTCACTTTCTTCATCTGTAAAATGGAGATGTTAATACCTACCTCGAAGGGTTGGCCAGGTGCGGTGGCTCACGCCTGTAATCCCAGCACTTTGGGAGGTCAAGGTGGGCAGATCACTTGAGGTCAGGAGTTCAAGACCAGCCTGGCCAACATGGCAAAACCCTGTCTCTACTAAAAATATAAAAATTACCCAGGTGTAGTGGTGCGCGCCTATAATCCCAGCTACTTGGGAGGCTGAGGCAGGAGAATTGCTTGAACCCAGGAGGCGGAGGTTGCAGTGAGCTAAGATGGTACCACTGCACTCCAGCCTGGGCGACAGAGCAAGACTCCATCTCAAACAAACAAACAAACAAAAAACAAAACAAAAAAGAGTTGTTGTAAGAATAGAGATGATTACCGGTAACAGCAGCAGCCGGGGAGCTGGCGGGGCTACTCTGAGAGCTTCGCGTTTGACCTCCTGGGCTTCATAGCCACCTTAGGAGCCCACTCTCCAGGTGAGGAAACTGAGCTTTGGAGAGCTCTAAGGACTTGGTGGCTGACTGCCAAGCTTACCCACTGCACCCTCACTGAGACAGCGTCCAGGCTCTGTCCCAGGGAACAAGAGGACATTGGTGTCACCGCCGGAGGGTGGGGCGCTGAGAGGCGTGTGGTAGCAAGTGGCAGAAGACCCAATGCAAAGCGGCCTGGACAGTGAGGGGAACTTACTGTGGTCTTGGGCACGTGTCAGCAAGTCTAGGGGCAGGTTGGCCCCAGGAGTCTGACCCGGCAGCTCAGGCCTGCAGGGACCCGGGCCTTTGAGGAGTCTGTGGGCTCTGTCCCCAGGCCGGTGTCCTTCAGAGTCCCTAGCAGGTCCAGAGGAAGCAGGGTTTGCTGGTCCCTGAGTCCTCTTCTCAGGACAGCTCTCCTGGAAGCCCCTGTGAGCGTCCCCTCACCCCACGTCCTGGGGTTGGGCAGGGCAGGGCAGGTCCCTGAAGCCCCTGGGAATGCCTGTGGCTGTGCAGCGATGCCAGTGACTGTCCACCCCGGCTACCCAGCATCCCTCCCTCCCTTCCTTCTTGTTAAAAGAACTGGTCAACACAGGCTGCCACACTCTAGACACAGAACATGGCTGTGCCCACAGCCACCACCATGCCACCTGCCCCTACCTAGATCCTGCTTCTTTGCATCACTGGCTCTGGGGTCAAATCTGCACAAGTGCATCTGATTGGCTGAGCTAGGTCCCATGACCATGCAGCTGCAAGAGAGGCTGGGAAAGCACTAGAGGATCCTGTGGGCGTGGCCTCCTGCAAGTTGCAGGTGGGTGGGTCCCAGACCAGGAGGTGGTTTCAGAGGCTGGGTTGCCAGCCCAGCTTATCCAGGCACGAGCTTGAAAAACAGAGATGGGATTTTACAGGGGAGCTTTGGTGTCAGACTGGCTCTGCCATCTGCCATGCTGTGTACCCTGGGCAAATTGCTCAGCCTCTCTGGGCCTCAGTTTCTTCATCCCTACAGAGGGAGTACTACTACCTATGGGAGGACTGACTGAGATTATGGCTGCTAAGCACTTAACACAACGCCTGGACAAGCCAGCAGGACCTGTCATTAACCACCACACGACCGTTATTGTGAGCCACCCACAGCACCTGGCACAGGGCGCGACCAGCAGACATCCACTGAACCTGTTCCCAGTCCTGCAGCACGAGACTCAAAGCCAGGTGTCCCTGGATGAAGGGATTTTAAGGGAAGGAGAAATCACATCTGGTTGGAGGATGGTGTCCAGGCATCAGGAAGGACTTCCTGTAGGAGGTGGTGTTCAAGACAGGGGTTCCTAAGTAGAGAAAGCTGAATCTCAGAGGGGTCGAGGAGGGCTGTTGTGGAGGGTTCTGGAGGGAGGCCAGCCCCTGAGGGCCTAGGTGTGTCTTGCAGCCAGTGTAGGCTACCAGGTGAATTTCTTGGGTAAGGCCTGGTGCCAGGTGTTTTGGTGGTGGGAGCTGGGAGGGGCTGCAGATGCAGGGTGTGGCTGGGAGAGGCTGGGAGGCAGGAAGAGGGAGACAGCAGAACAAGGGAAGGCTTGAGGAGGTGGCCTGGCTGCAGTGGACGGCTGCCCTGGCTCCCTGCATGACCTCGCCCCTCTCCAGGCCCTGCCTATCTCTAACACAAGGGGATTGGAAGAGACCAGCCCTTCCCCTGGTGCTCCTGGGAGCCCTTGGAGGCCTCCCCTTCCTTCTCCAAGAGAGCCACCTGGAGGGCTGGGCAATGATGCAGATTCTTGGCCTTCCCCAGCCCTGCCCCCTGAGAGAACTGCCCCCAGCACTAGTGATCATTAGCCCCTTCTGTTCGTATTTTGGATTAAACCAACTCAACCCACACTTGCTGAGCACCTACTGGGTGCCAAGTGCTGGGATGGACAAGGGCCATTCCTGCCCGTGACAGGGTGAGTGGGTCTCAGAGCACCTGACCCCTGCTCTAAGTGGGGCCAGCACAGGTAGTGTGTCAGTTTCTTTCCCCAGGGACTCTTCCCTGCTTTTCAGATGATGATGATGATGATGATGATGATGATGATGATGATGATGGTAATGATGATAATATGATAGTGGTGGTGGAGATGATGGTGGTTCTAGTTGTGGTGATGATTGTGGTAGTGGTGATGTTGGTGGTGGTGATGATGGTGGTGGTGGTGGTGATGGTGGTGGTGGTGATGGTGATGGTGGGGATGATGGTGGTGGTGGTGATGATGATGATGGTGGTGATGATGATGGTGGTGGTGGTGGTGGTGGTGGCGATGATGTTGATAGGGGTTTTAAGCCCTCACTATGCCAGGCTCACTTTCTGTGCTTCAACTTATTTGACTTCTCTATTCTTACAGTAGCTCTTCAAAGTAGATGTATCATTCCCACTTTACGGATGAGGAAGCTGAGACTCAGAGACGGTAAGTATTTTCCCTGAGTTCACAAGCAGGGAAGTAGTAGAGCAGCAATATCAGATAAATGTAATTCAGATATTTATCTGATGCCAGAGATTTATCTCATTGCAGAGCCTGAAGTCTTGGGCCCCTTTTTTGAAGGGTTCATTCCACAACAAGGTAAGAGCCCAGAAGCCCTGCCTCTGAGCCTGACTCCCTGCCCTGTTCTGGCCCGGAGATCCCCAGCCTCTTTCCTGCTCCTAGCATCCCCCAAAGGTGCTGAGCCACCTGTCCTGCCCAGCTCAGCAGTGAGGCTGTACAGGTAGGACTTTGTCTTGGAGGGGGGCTGCCCAGGATGGACAAGTCCCTGCTACCAGAGACAGGAGCAAGTGGCTCTCCTTCAGCCAACAACCCACCCAAAGGCTAGGGCATGGCGCCTGCTACCCAGGAATCTGTGTTGGAGTAGAAGGTGGGGGGCATGGTGGCCCAGGGATCTGTGATGTACTGGGAGGTGGGGGGCATGGTGGTCCTGGGATCTGTGATGGAGTTGGGGGTGGAGATGGTGATCCAGGAATCTGTGGTGGAGTGGGGGGTGGGGGGGATGGTGGTCCAGGGATCTGTGGTGGAGTGGGGGGTGGGGGAATGGTGGTCCTGGGATCTGTGGTGGAGTAGGGTGTGGGGGGGATGGTGGTCCTGGGATCTGTGGTGGAGCGGCGGGTGGGGAATATGGTGGTCCAGGGATCTGTGGTGGAATGGGGGTGGGGGGCATAGTGGTCCTGGGATCCGTGGTGGAGTGGGGGTTGGGGATATGGTGGTCCTGGGATCTGTGGTGGAGTAGGGGGTGGCGGGGATGGTGGTCCCAGGGATCTGTGGTGGAGAGGGAGGTGGGGGAATGGTGGTCCAGGGATCTGTGGTGGAGTGGGGGTGGGGAATATGGTGATCCAGGGATCTGTGGTGGAATGGGGGTGGGGGATATGGTGGTCCTGGGATCCGTGGTGGAGTGGGGGTTGGGGACATGGTGGTCTAGGGACTATGGTGGAGTTGGGGTGGGGGCATGGTGGTCCTGGGATCTGTGGTGGAGTGGGGGTGGGGGCATGGTTGTCCCAGTCCTGAGCCAGCTGAGTTTGTCTGGAGCCTGGGTGAGTTCTGGGCTTAGTGTTGAAGGCCACCCGTGCAGCCAAAGGCTTTGACAAATGTCAGTGACACAGAAATGTGACCACATTAGTCAGATGTCACTCTCCCCTGAATAAGCTCGCCTGGATCTTGTGAGGAATGAGAAAGCAGGAGCCCATCCTCGGTGCCCCCAGCCTGATAGAGGAGCCCCCAATGTGATGGAGGAGATGGGACCCTGATGTTAAAACTTTCCCAAACCCCAAACCATAGCGATCTGCTCAATATATACACACAGGTCACTGAGGTGCGCTGTGGCAGGTGAGGTGAGTGCCCCGCAGCCCAGCAAAGCTCCTCCTTGGGAGTTGCAAGCTGCTGTGAGATGGGAGGTGCAGGGGTCCTGCTTTGGGGTGCAGCCCTGGCTCCCATGGTTCTCCTGGGTGTCCAGCCATGACCCCCCAGTAGCCAGCTTCGGAGTGGGTTTGGGAGCTGCTGCCGTGACTCTGGTCAATGTCAGAGTCTTTCCTTGTCAGCCCCCAGGGGTGGAAGTGGAAACCCTGCATTAACCTGCCACCTACACTCGCCTCTCCTTCAAGGCCTGGCTCAGACTCATCCCAGAGCCCTGTCCCCGTCCTCCAGCCTGGCTCAACCACACTCCCCTCCACACTTCCTCCTCCCACCATGAAGCCCCACCCCCTTCCTCCTCCCACCCCCCCCTTGAACCCTGGGCTCCAGCTCCCTCTTTCCAGAGCCCTCTAGCTTCCCACGTGTTCTGCCTGCTCTTCTGTGGCTTCATGGCGCAGCCTATTCCCCCATTTTATAGATGAGCAAACAGGGTTGGGGTCATAAAGGGACCTTGCAGGGCAGGGCACAATGAGTGGTTTCCAGAGAAACACTGATGTCCTTTTTCCTTCACACACGGCATTTAGTTGTCTTTTCATTCTCTTTTATTCGAAAAGAGCTCCCCCTGCTATTCCCCCCGGCTTTTCCCCATAGCAATGAGCCGGTTCCTCTACCTGGGGGTTTTCTGTAAACTGGAAGTCAGGTCCTACTGCTTGGCTGGGGTCGTGTTAAAATGTTGGCCAGCCTGGACGATGCTGTGTGGTTTGTTTGGCACATGTCCCGCCAGGCTGCCCACGCTGGGTGATGCCAAGTTTGATCACTTGGTTGAGGGGTGGGCATCAGGTTGACTGGTGGCTTCTTGGATCCCTCATTTCTTCGTTCATCTGATGTCTCCTGAGCAGCTTCTCTGTGCCAGGCACGGGGATGTGGACATGAATTAGACATGTCCCCCTTGGGGTCTGCCCTGGAGGACACAGCACAGTCAGCCCAGCGAGGAGCAGACAAGAGCTGTCGCTTGTGCTGGAGGACGGAGGGGACAGGACGGAGCCAATGCAGGAGAGAGGGAGGGACCAGGGAGGCTTCTGGGGCTGAGTCCCAAACACCTAGCAGGAGGTGGACAGGGCTTAGACAGGCAGAGGTGGGTGTTAGGCTCGGGAAGGACGTTCCAGGCAGGATGGCCAGGGAAAGGTGTGAGGTCGAGCAGCATGGAGTCACTGGGGTGTCACAAGCGTGAGAGGGGCTGTTGGATTTGCCCCTGTGGAGGGAAGTGTGGCCCAAAGGCAGGGGCAGGTACCTGACACCTTGGTGTTCATCAAGGGGCTGCCAGACACACCCAGCTACCTCTTCCCAAGGCAGTGGGCAGGTGTGAAGCCTGCCGGGCTGAGCTGCCTGCTCTGCCACCTCCGGGGTGGGTACCCTCCGCCCGCCCGACTGTCTCCACCAAGACATCTCAATCCAAAACCCCTGCCAACCGGGTGGAGCTGCCAACCGTCATAAAACCTGCTTAAAGAGGTGCTCCTGCCCCTCCCCTCCCCCTCCCCCTCCCCCTTTCCAGCCTCTTTCTCTTCCCCCTCCCCCTTCCCTCAGGTCTCCAGACAGGCCTGGGGAGGGTGGGATAGCCGTGAGCCCCTGACAAAGCTCCTGCCTTTCTCTGAGCAGGGGCGGCCTGGCCCCCTGCCCCGCGGCTGTGACACGCTGCCCCATCACCTCGGCAGAGCTGGTCTCTGGGCCAGGAGGCCATGGCATCATCTCCTCTTGGGTAAGCTCTGTTTGCCAGGGCACCCCACCCCAGGTAGAGACTGGCACATGTCTGGACACCTGAGCCCAGGCAGGCGGGGGTGGGGGCACAGGGAGGCAGCCCCGCAGCCTGAGGTCCCTGTCTCTTGGGGATTTTCCCAGCCTGCCCTGGGGTGGGCCATGGTCCTTCCCATGGCCTGGTCTCCATGAGGCAGGAATCCTCATCTTGTGACCCTGGATCCGAAGTTCAGAGTCAAAGACGGCTGAGTTTCAGGAGACAGGGGAAGCAGAGAATTCACTGTGTTGGTGTTCCTAAGTGGCAGGGTGGGGTCAGAGGGCTGGGCTGGTGCCCCCAAAAGGCAGTGAGATCACTGGCCTGTGAGGAAGCAGCGCCACCTACCCTGGCCTTTCTGTTCCTCCAACAGCCAAGCCTGCACCACCCCAGGGCCTCTGCTCAGGCTGTCCCTCTGCCTCGCATGGTCATAGACTCCTTCAAGTCACCCAGGTCTCTGTTCATGTCTGCTGGGCGAGGTGACATGTCGCCCAAGGGGCCTTTCCCAGGCATCCGTCCAATATCGCCCCTTCCCTCTCTATCCTAGGGTCTTGTTTCATTGTCTCTGTAGCACTCATCAGTCTCCGAAAGGACCGTGCTTATCTACTTGCTCACGTGTTGACAGCTTGACAGCTGGCCTCCCCCTGGTCATCGCTTGGTCACAACCCTCTCCAGTTTGAGTATAACGATCTCTTTCTCTCTCTCTCTTTTTTTTTTTTTGGAGACAGAGTCTCGCTCTCTCACCCAGGCTGGAGTGCAGTGGCTCAATCTTGGCTCACTGCAACCTCTGCCTCCCGGGTTCAAGCGATTCTCCTGCCTCAGCCCCCCTAGTAGCTGGGATTACAGGCACGTACCACCATGCCCAGCTAATTTTTGTATTTTTAGTAGAGATGGGGTTTCCTCATGTTGGCCAGGCTGGTCTCGAACTCCTGACCTCCGGTGATCCACCCGCCTTGGCCTCCCAAAGTGCTGGGATTACAGGCATGAGCCACTGCGCCCGGCCTCTCTCTCTTTTTGAGACAGGGTTTTGCTCTGTTGCCCGTAGGCTGGAGTGCAGTGGCATGATCAAGGCTCACTGCAGCCTCAACCTCCTGGGCTCAAGAGATCCTCCCGTCCCAGCCTCCCAAGTAGCTGAGACTACAGGCATGCGCCACCACACCTGGCTAATTTTTAAATTTTTTGTGGAGATGGGGTTACTATGTTGCCTAGGCGGGTCTCGAACTCCTGGGTTCAAGTAATCTTCCTGCCTCAGCCTTCCAGAGTGTACGCATGCACCACCAAGCCCAGCCTCTTTCTCTCTTTTTAATTTACCATTAAAAATCGTACATATTGATGGTGCGCAGCATGATATTTTGATTACATTGTGGAATGGTTCAATCAAGCTAATTATGCATTATCTCACAGGCTTATTTTTTTTTTTCTGGTTGAAAACACTTAAAATCTAATCTCTTAGAAATGTTCTTTCTTTTCTTTTTTTTTTTTTGTTTGGATGGCGGGGGAGAGGGTCTTGCTCTGTTGCCCAGGCTGGAGGGCAGTGGCACCATCACAGCTCACTATAGACTCAAGTGATCCTCCTGCCTCAGCCTCCTGAGTAGCTGGGACCGCAGGCACGTGCCACCATACACGGCTAACTTTTTTGATGTTTTTGTAGAGATGAGCTCTCACTTTGTTGCCCAGGCTGGTCTCAAACTCCTGGGTGCAAGCAATCCTCCTGCCTCAGCCTCCCGAGTGTCTTTTAGTAATTTTCAAGAAGACAATACATTGCTATTCACCAGAGTCACCATGTGATACGTGAGATCTTTTGACCTGGTTCCTCCTGTCTAACTGAAATTTTGTGTCCTTTGACCAACATCTCCCCAGCCCTCCACCCCCAGCCCATGACGACTACCGTTCTGCTCACTGCTTCTGTGAGTGCGACTTTTGTAGATTCTACATATAAGTGAGATCATGTGGTATTTGTCTCTCTGTGTCTGGCTTATTTTGCTTAACATAATGTCCTTCAGGTTCAGCCACGCTGTGGCTAATGACAGGATTTCCTTCTTTTTTTGAGGCTGAATAGTCTCCTGTTGTGAATGTGGCCCACATTTTCTTTATCCATTCTTTCATCTGCGGACACAGATTGATGCCGTCTCTCAGCTGTTGTGAACAGTGCTCATGAACATGGGGTGCAGCTGTCTCTTTGATACATCGATTTCATATCCTTTGGATATATACCCAGCAGTGGGATTGCTGGATCTTATGGTAGTTCTAATTGTGGCTTTTTGAGGAGTAATTATCCTTTAAGTATCAGATCCTGGTGACCTGAGATCCCCAAGGATAGAACAAAAAACTGTTTTCCTTGTAGCCCTGGTATTGAAGTAGATATAACCTTGAGGATTTTTCTCTCGGCAGCCTCACGGTTCGTTATATCTTTGACCTTTTGAGGACATGCACTTTAGGGAAACCGAGGCAGGTATCAACTCATTTCTGTCCCCAGCCCCATCTCCTGGTCCTGGGCTTATCCCTACCTGTTCACAATACCTTCCCAATGATCCTGGGCGGGGACCACATGACTGTCATGTCTGAAGATGCCCCAGTGCCCGACTAGTACCCTGTGGACAGCAGGTCTGCGCCGTCTGGTTGTTGAAAGAGGTTAGTGGAAGGGAGGAGGGAACGGCAGCGCTGAGGGGCTCCTGGGCTCCTCTCAATTTTCACATCCTGTTATTTCCTTAAACGGAAGCCCCTCCCAAGCCTCACCCCCGGAGCTGCTCAAGGTCCAGCCCTGGGGACATTGTCTCACTCGCTCCCCCAAGAGGGGCCACAGAGGTGCTTTTGCAGAATTCCCAGGCTCCCTGGAGAACAACATAGAAACCACTGATCCGAAACAACAGACGCCTTTTGCAGGTGGGGAAGCTGAGGCCCCAACATGGGGAGTAACGAGGGGAGCATGGTGAGCAGGTGTTGAGCTGGCCAGCGCCCCCAGGGACCTCTCCACAAGCCCCTCACCCTTCCAGGTGGTTCTCTGCCCCTTGGCTCACGTGTGCCCACCCTCCAGCAGAAGGCGCTTTGTGCATTGCCCCGCCTTTACCATGGCCACAGAGGGCTCTCAAAGCCAAGGTCCTGTCCCCAGTCGCCTCTCAGCTGCCCATGACTTGTCCTCTGTCCTGGGGGAGAGGGGCTGCGAACCTCAAGAATGCACTGGGGAGGGTGGGGGACCCTATAGTTTTCTGGGGTGGGCAGAGGCTTCAGAAACACCCAGCAGTCCCTCCTCATGGGCACTGGTCTGCTGCCTTGGGAGGCACCACATACCTGGCAGAGCCAAGACTCAGTTCCCCTTCTGTGGAATCTGGGGGGCACAAAGGCTGTTCCCACTGTGGGGAGTGGCGTCCCTGGCGGGGCCGGGTAAGGAGTTCTGTGCTGAGCTCAGCTCGGCTGACTCACTGCAGGTGCCTCTCCCCTGGACCAGTGGAGTTGCTCCAGCTGCAGAGCCCAGCTTCCCTGGGGCTCCCACGAGGCAGTGCTGTGTGGCTCAGGGGCCCGGTCCACGTGGTACACGTGTGGGGCTAATGAGGGTGCCTGCCTTCCTTCCCGGCCAGCCCCGCCTGCCATGAGTCCTGAGAAGAGCTGCAAATGCTGGGCTTGGGGAGCCGCCCTTACCCTCGGGCGGGCCCTGGCACCAGTTCCTGCTGACCTTGGGGGTCTTGTCCTATGCTGGGGCTGGGTGTCTCTCGTGAGACTCGGATGGGCTGAGCCCACCTGTTTGAGAGAGGATGTCTGACCTGGGTGCTAATGGGACACTGGGACAGTGAAACAAATGAGTTAACCCCCCACAACGCAGACTCACCCCCTAGTTTGCTGGTCCCAGTTAAAGGGGAGGGTGGCCGGGCTTCTAGGAGGAGAGGGTGTGGGCACCAAACTGCCCCCCGCAGGATGTCTGCTTCAGACTGTGAGTGCTGAAGGGCAGGGAAGGAACCACCTGGTCCCACATGGTCCAGAGCCACACACCTGAGCGTCCTTAGGAGAGGTTCAGGGGAGATAGGAGCCTTTCAGAGCTAAGCCATCCCCCAAAGAGGGAAGCAGAGGGTGCGGGGTGGCAGAAGGGGTGTGTGAAGGGTGGAGCCTGGCTCGGTCTGTCTTGGATGAGCTTTCAGCTCTGACTCCAGGGGCTGTATGATATGGACTTGGATGAAGTCTCTTCCCCACTGTGAGCCTCTGTTTCACTGACTGTAAAGTGTGTTTACTCATCTGGCCCTGGGAGGACTGTTGTGAGGACCCAGCACCTCTACCAAGGGCTTTGCAAACTGTAGAGCGCTGTGAACATGACAAGCTGTTTTTATCACCTGCCATAGGCGGGTGGATCCCTCCCAATTCCTGAGTTCCCCATCAGGGAGGCACGAGGGCCCTGCTGAGGCCAGGAGCCGGCAGGAGGGCTGGGGGCTGGTCTGCAGCCCTGCGGAAGGAAGATCTAGAGGCGGGGGTGCCTTCCTTCACCCTCAAGGGGAATCAGTCCAGGCTGAGGCTGAGAACTCCCTTGATTCCCTTGATGTTCCTGCTGGGAAAAAATCACTTGGCAGACAAAATGGGCTCATTCTCAGTTTTAGAGAACATGGCGATCAAGAGCTTAGGGCAGCCGGGCTCAGTGGCTCATACCCGTAATCTCAGCACTTTGGGAGGCTGAGGCGGGTGGACCATTTGAGGTCAGGAGTTCGAGACCAGCCTGGCCAACACAGCGAAACCCATCTCTACTAAAAATACAAAAAATTAGCTGGGCATGATGATGTGTGCCTATAATCCCAGCTACTCAGGAGGCTGAGGCAGGAGAATCGCTTAAATTGCGGAGGTTGCAGTGAGCTGAGATTACACCACTGCACTCCAGCATGGGCAACAGAGTGAGACTCCATAAAAAAAAAAAAAAAAAAAAGCTCAGGGTGTGGAGCAGACACACCTGGGTTTGCATCTTAGCTTTGCCATTTGGTAGCTCTGGCGAGGATCATGTCTGAGTGGGGACAGTGGCTGGTCGGGGGGTCAGGGCCTGAGCTGGGGAGAAGGTCACCCATGGAGGGGTTAGAAAGGTGTCCACATAGGTGGGGGAGTGGCCCACAGAGGATGCCTGAGCTCTGGCAACGAATGGAAGGTGACCCGGTGGGGAGGAGGTCTGGCGTGGAGGGCCAAGCCCGAGTTGAGGGTGTCCCTGCACGTGTGTGTGTGTATGGAGAAGGGGCTATTGAGGGAATTGGTAAATTAAATACGTGAAGCATAAAGGAAGCTGGAATGTCACATCAGAGCCGCTGGAATGTCACATCAGAGCCGCTGGAATGTCACATCAGAGCCGCTGGAATGTCACATTGGAGCTGCTGGAATGTCACATCAGAGCTGCTGGAATGTCACATCAGAGCCGGAGTTACACATATGGAGAGGGAGAAAACGCAAAGGAGCCCCGTGCTGTTGGACTGGAATTTGAAATATCAGTGTGAACTCAGGGTTTTCTTTTTCTTTCTTTCTTTTTTTTTTTTTTTGAGATGGAATCTCACTCTGTCACCCAGGCTGGAGTGCAATGGCGCAATCTCGGCTCTCTGCAACCTCTGCCTCCTGGGTTCCAGCGATTCTCCTACCTCAGCCTCCTGAGTAGCTGGGACTACAGGCGCACGCCACCACGCCTGGCTAATTTTTGTATTTTTAGTAGAGACGGGGTTTCACCATGTTGGTCGGGTTGGTCTTGAGCTCCTGACCTTGTGATCCGCTCACCTTGGCCACCCAAAGTGCTGGGATTACAGGCATGAGCCACCGCACCTGGCCAGGGTTTTCAATATAAGAGAGCAATAAATACAAACATATACACATGCAAATGTGTATATTAGATATTTACTATACATATACACATATGTGAGTGTGTGTGGACATATGTACAGTCTATATGTACAGTTGACCCTTGAATGATGTGGGGGTTAGGGGTCCCCATGGCCTTGTCTACTGAGAGGGACTGGAAGCAGCAACTCCCCAGTAGCAGTGAGCACACCTGGCACCCAGATGTTGGCCTCTGTATACCGTTCCCCACTAAAGAATCAGGCTTCCTTGGAGCCATGGCTGATTCTAGGGCTGGGGCAGGGAAGGGGCAGAATGAGCCTGGAATATCTTTTTGTGCCAGAAATTCAGGACATGGTCAAAGAATGATGGAGATAAGTCAAAATGCCCCTGGAGCTACTTGAAAGGGCAACCACTGGCCAAATCTGGGTCGATCTGAGCATTAAAATAAACAATGGGCCGGGCACAGTGGCTCACGCCTGTAATCCCAACAGTTTGGGAGGCTGAGGCGGGCAGATCACAAGGTCAAGAGATCGAGACCATCCTGGCCAACATGATGAAACCCCATCTCTACTAAAAATGCGAAAAAAAAAAAAATTAGCTGGGTGTGGTGGTGTGTGCCTGTAGTCCTAGCTACTCGGGAGGTTGAGGCAGGAGAACCACTTGAACCCGGGAGGTGGAAGTTGCAGTGAGCCAAGATCACGCCACTGCACTCCAGCCTGGGGACAGAACGAGACTCCGTCTCAAAAAAACAAAAAGCAAAACAAAAAAACCAGTGATAGTCATGGATGATAACCTGTTGAATTCCCTAAGAAAACACAGGTCCGTATTGCGACAAATAAATAAGTGAATAAACTGGAAGTTGATGAGAAAAGGGATATTGACATAGTCTCAGAGTATCTTCTCACAAAATACTTATTAATTACAAAGAGAGAAGGAATAACTTTGCAGTGGAGAAACTTGGCAGACACCACCTTAAGTGATCAAATTTAACATCACCTTTATTGAAACTGATCCAAAGCGCCCCATAACTGCCACTTAGGATAGTCCTGCCACAAACGCATGACCTGAATCTAACCACGAGGAAACACCAGCCAAACCCCAATTTGATGAAGTAAGTGATCTGTAATCTTCAAAATGTCAAGGCCGTGAAGGAAGTACTGAGTAACTGTTCCAGACCGAAGGAGACCTGACAATTTCATGCAACGCAGGAGACTGAACCGGGTCCTTTTGCTACCGAGGCATTGTTGAGATAGTTGGCAAAACTGGCGCCAGGTCTGTGGAGTGGAAGGTAGGAATGGATCAGTGCTAGCTCCCTGATTTGATGGTTTTACTGCGGTTGTGTAGGGAAAGGCTTTTGTTGGTAGAAAATAGGTCGGCAATTTACAGTTCAATGGTTGCAGAGAAACAATTCTGGCCGGTCGCGGTGGCTTATGTCTGTGATCCCAGCACTTTGGGAGGCCGAGGCAGGCAGATCACAAGGTCAGGAGATCGAGACCAGCCTGGCCAACATAGTGAAACCCCGTCTCTACTAAAAATACAAAAAATTAGCTGGGTGTGGTGGCAGGCGCCTGTAATCCCAGCTACTCGGGAGGCTGAGGCAGGAGATTTGCTTGAATCCGGGAGGCGGAGGTTGCAGTGAGCTGAGATTGCACCATTGCACTCCAGCCTGGGCAACAGTGTGAGACTCCATCTCAAAAACAAACAAACAAACCAAAAACAATTCTTAGTATTATACATGCAAATTTTCTATAAGTTTGCCACTGTTTCTAAGCTTAAAAAACTATTAGTATAGGCCCTGGGCACAGTGGCACACACCTGTAATCCCAGCATTTTAGGAGGCTGAGGTGGGAGGATCACCTGAGTCCAGGAGTTCAAAACCAGCCTGGGAAGCATAGTGAGACTTGTCTCTACAAAAAATAAAAAGACAAAAACTAGCTGGGTGTGGTGGTGTGTGCCCATAGTCCTAGTTATTTGGGAGGCTGAGGTGGGAGGATTGCTTGAGCTCGGGAGGTGGAGGCTGCAGTGAGCCAAGATCACACCACTGCACTCTAGCCTGGGCAACAGAGTGAGATACTGCCTCAAAAAAGGAGAAATTATTAGCACAAAAACAAATAACAACCAAAGAATTCCAAAAATGAGAGTGTCTGAGGGCAGCGCTTAGGCTAGTTCCGACGTAGTATGTGCTCATCTAATGTCCATAATTAAGTGCATGACTGCAGAGCTTCCTGCGTCTGCTGGACTTGCTGTTTCTTTCTGCTGACCTGTAACTTCTCTCCCTGCTCTGAAGTAACCTCCTCCAGGAGGTCCTCCATAGAAGTGTCATGTGCATTGGTGACTCTGGTCACCCATCACCTTCCAGGGTCTCACCTCCAGCTTTGTTTTAATTCATAATTGCTTGCAGCACAGGAAGTGAAGTTTGGACTGGATGTCGCGCTGTTCCCATCCCAGCTCTCATCCTGCTCGAACCTTCCAGCATCCTCTAATCTGGGCATCCACCCCCTTCCTCAGAACAGGCTCCTTCTCAGAAATCACTGCCCAAGGTCAAGTCCATTCTTGTTACTTCTGTCCCAGATTTGCAACAAATCTGGTTCATTGGATCCATTCCCCTGCTTCTTGGCAGGGCTGTTCTTAAATCGGCTTGGTGAAAGAGGGTCTTATCTCTTTCCAGTATTTCCAGGAAACACAGTTTCAAAAGCATGTGTCCCATTGCCACGCAATCTTCGAAGGCTGGGCTGCCTCAAGAAGCCGTGCGTTCTGTCACTCATGCGCTGGCTCTTGCACTTGTCCACAATTATTCATTGATGGGAGCCATGTTCCCCTGCCAGTGACAGTTGCAGTAGTCAGTACTTGGAGGGCATTTGCCCTGTGCCAAGCCCTGAGCTGGGTGCGTCACCTGTATTAGCTCATTTCATGCTCAAACCACGTGAGGAGGTAGCTATGGTTGCACCTGCATTTTACGGATGAGAAAACAGCGGTGCAGGGGGATCAAGCCCCTTGCCCAGGGCGCTTTCTCCGTGGTGGGGTTTTAGGCACTGTGCTGCCAGCTTTGTTTACATTTCGCTCGGTTATTCTCACAATAACCACTCGAGGTCCTTAAAATTCTTCTTAAAAAAAAAGTTTTTTTTTAGAGACAGGGTTTTGCTCTGTTGCCCAGGCTGGAGTACAGTGGTACAATCATGATTCACTGCAACCTCCGCCTTCCGGTTCAAGCAATCCTCCGGTCTCGGTCTCCTGAAGCACTGGGATTACAGATGTGAGCCACTGCACCTGGCCTATTCTCATTTTTTTTTTTCTTTTTTTCTTCGAGACAGAGTTTCGCTCTTGCTACCCAGGCTGGAGTGCCGTGGCACGATCTCAGCTCACTGCAACCTCTGCCTCCCAGGTTCAAACGATTCTCCTGCCTCAGCCTCCCAAGTAGCTGGGATTACAGGCACATGCCACCAAGCCCAGCTAATTTTTGTGTTATTAGTAGAGATGGGGTTTCACCATGTTGGCCAGGCTGGTCTTGAACTCCCGACCTCATGATCCTCCTGCCTCGGCCGCTCAAAGTGCTGGAATTATAGCTGTGAGCCACTGCGCCCGGCCTCTCCTCATTTTTTAAGGGAGTTTGAGGCTTATACAATTTGGTGGTGGTGGGGTGCTCTTTAAGAAAAAGAATAAAAAGATAATCTTACTTTCATTTTCTTTCTTTTCCCCTTCCTTCTTTCCTTCCTTCCTTCCTAGCTTCCTTCCTTCCTTCCTTCCTTCCTTCCTTCCTTCCTTCCTTCCTTCCTTCCTTTTTCTTTCCTTTTGTTTTTGAGATAAGGTCTCGCTCTGTCACACAGGCTGCAGTGCAGTGGCACAATCTCGGCTTACTGCAACCTCTACCTCCTGGCCTCAAGCAATCCTCCTGCCTCAGCCTCCTGAGTAGCTGGGATTACAGGCATGTGTCACCACACTCAGCTAATTTTTGTATTTTTAGTAGAGGTGGGATTTCGCCATGTTGGTCTCAAACTCCTTGACTCAGCCTCCCAAAGTGCTGGGACTACAGGCGTGAGCTGCCATGTGCCTAGGCTAAGATATCTTACTTTCACAAATTGTACACAAATCTCCAAGCAAGTGAGCCCATTGCTAGGGCTCCTCCCAGGGCCTTGCAGAGACTGTGAAGTTTGAGGTCTCTCAGCTTCCTGGGAAACCCACCTATGTTTAGAAAGGTGCACTAACTTGACCTGGGTCTCTCAGCTCATGAGAAGACCTGACCTCTGTTCCTGGGTGAGGCTTCTGTCATCTCCACCCTTCTCCCCTAAACAGGTTCATTTTCTGAATCTTGCCACATTGTCGGGGTGAGCTGGGCTAGGTGTGGAAGGTCTCTGTCTGGCTTTGGGGTGGGGATGGGATCAGAAACCCTAGGCCTAGGCTGGGCTTCACAATCCCCTTGGGGGCTTGTCAAGAATGCCTATCCCTGGAGACTCAGCCCCTCAGATATAGACTTAGTGGTTCTGGGGCAGGGCCTGGGAATCTGTATTTGTAATAGGCCTCCAGGAGAGGCAGCTGCAGTCACGCTTTTGGGACCCACTGCTCCAGGGACACCCCTCCTGCCCCAGTAAACTCTGTGTCTGGCCCCCTTCCAGGCTGGGCCTGGCGCTATGGGCAGAAGTTAGCGGTGACATGCTGCAGGCTGAGTGGGCCTCACTGCGGAGGCATGCAATTAGCAGCACCCAGAACAATGCCTTGGTTTCCATCATTAGCCCCCAAGCCTGGCTGGTAATTTGTTGCTTCTTTCATTGCAGTAACAAGCTCTGGCTTGGGAACGAGGAAAAGAGCTTTTCCCTTCCCCCAGGCATTCCCAAACACCTGCTTGGGGTAGAGTGGGGGCACCGTGGGAGCACAGGAGAGACACCTAATGCTTTCAGGTGCAATCCAGGAAGACTTCTTGTGGGAGGAGGCTGCCAGCAGGACCCAGAAAGGGACTGGCATTTGGCCAGGTGCCAGGGATATCACAGTAGATGGGGTAGACCCTATCCACGCCCTTGGGGCTTGCAGTCTGTTGGAGACCAATCAGTAGAGAAGCCACCGTATCCCAAGAGACAAATGTGGTCATGGATTGGAGAGACTCCCACTCAGCTGGATGTGGGCAGGGTCAGGGCAGGCTTCCTGGGCGAGGAGGCGATATCTCTGTTGAGCCCTGAAGGGTGAGTAGAGGTGGGCCAGGTGAAGCGGGTGGAGGTGGGATGTGTGCACAAGTTTTCTGGTCAGAAGGAACAGCATGTGCAAAACCCAGGGAGGCTGGAGATGTGAACAGGGCCTCATCAGCTGTGTCGAGTGATGGCTTGGACCCCTTTTGAAGAGTGACATGTGGTAGGTAGATTATATTTCCCAAATGTGGCTGCAACCCTGGCTACTGTTCCACTTGCTCTTCTTGCAAAATGGCCTTGACACTCCGCCCATCCAGCACTGGGGTCTGTCCCCTTCCCTTGAGCCTGGGTGGAGCTTTGTGTATAATGGATACTTTGTGTGTACGGTGGCGCTTTTTGTGTGATGCTCTGTGACCTCCAAGCTTAGGTCACACAAATACCTTTCTGTCTTGCTGTCTTGGGATAGTCACTCTTTGGACCCGGCCACCATGCAGTGAGGAATCCCAAACTAATCCATCCATGCAGAGAGGCCACAGGTGAGACTGTATCTAGGTGTCCAACCAACAGCCCTGCTGTGGTCCCGACTATGCCATCATCGACAGCCAGATGGGAAGAGGACTCTTCCAGTTAACCCCAGCTCCTACCCATCTAATCTTCCCAGGACATCATGGAGCAGAGTCATCTGAATTCCCGACCCACAGACTGAGCGTCAGGTGGTTGTTTTAAGTCACTAAGTTTTGGAAGGGGTTGTTAGCCAGCAGTGGTAACTGGAACAGGTGGTGAGCCGCCCGAGGACTTCTGCAGGGACAGCACGCTGGAGGGGTGTTTTGGAAAGCTTACAGTCTGCAGCATGGAGAGTGGATTGGAGGGGCTGAGATTGCAGGCAGGGGGCCCATTACATAAATCAACTTGAAATCCCAGCACCTCAGAGCCAAACGGAAGCTCTTAGGCTGTTTGTCCAACCCTCAGCAGTGTGGAAATTCCCGCCACATTGTTCCAAATGACCTTCAGCCCCTGCCTGGGCACTTCCAGTAATAGATGGCTCATTCCACACCACCAGGCTGCCCTGGCCCTCGGAGTGCCACGAAGTTCTTTCCTGGGTCGAGTTGAAATCTGCTGCCCAGACACACCCCCGTGTTAGACATTGTTCTGTCCTCTGAATTCTCATGGAATTCTCTTCCATTCCACCCTTGGAAGATTTGATGATGGTGACCAAATAGTGTCGTCTTCTGCAAAATTAATGGCTGCAGTGTGTCAACTGCAGGCTTTGAGTTGCACAGACCCGGGTCCACCTACCACTTCTAGCTGAGTGGCTCGGGCAGGTGCTGTTGCCTCTCTGAGCCTCATGCAGGTCAGGCATAACTCACGTCCCACCTCACGTCACTGTCGTGAGGGTGAGATGAGTCAGTACATGTACGGCCTTTACACCGAGCAGGGGCTCAGTAAGTGTCAGTTCATATAACAGAGCCGCAACCCTGCACGCCTCTCTATTCTCTATTCTATGACTGCATCGCTAGTCTATTATTATTTTGAAATAACTCAGCATTGGCCCAAACCGCTCTGAGGGAGCAGACAGTGACTCAACAGCAAGGGCCAGCCTCAGGGGACACTGGGGGGGCATTGTCCTCTGGAGTCAAAGGCAGCTCTGTTCATGGCTATCACCCTGTCTTCCCCAGCCTGGTTTCTGGCCCGATCACCCACAGCGGTGATGGCTTCGACTGTGCTGCCCCGACTGGCACCACTTCCTCACCACCCTCACCCACACCACTTCAGCTGTGAGGTTGTGGTCGGGGGCGGGGGCTTTCTGAGGAGGCTGAGGGTGCTGAGGGGTGGCGGTGATGGTGGGAGTGGAGTTTATGGATCCCCTTCTCTCCTTGATGACAAGCCCGTCGGGCTGCCACCTTGAGGTCGCATTTCCTTGGATGTTGCCTGGTTGGTTTAACCAGCCGAGATCGGGTGCTGGCAACTGTGCTGGACTCCATGTTGACTCTGGTGACCCATGTCTTCTGGGGACAGAGGGAGCAGCAGAGGCCCTTGGGGTCCCCTGCAGGGAGCAGGGATCAGGACCCTCACCCCCACGTCAACCACGGCGTCTCCACTTGGATTTGATTTCTTTTTTTTTTAAATTATACTTTAAGTTTTAGGGTACACGTGCACAACTTGCAGGTTAGTTACATATGTATACATGTGCCATATTGGTGTGCTGCACCCAGTAACTCGTCATGAGCCTCCCTGTCCCCTCCAGCAGGAGAGAGAAGCTCCTGCTGGCTCCTGGCCCACCCACCTTTCTCACTGAGGCCACTCCTGTCAGCCTACCCCACTGCCCCAGAGCCAGGAGCCCCAGGTACTTCAGACCCTGAACCACCCGCCTCCAGAGCCCTCTGCATCTGAGCTATGAGGAAGATGCCTTCTCAGCCAAATTCCCCTCTCGGCTTCCGGCTGGGGGTGGGACAAGGAAGGCTCCGCAAGGGCTGTCCCCTCCCTGCTATAATATATCTCCAAATGCTATCCCTCCCTACTCATTGGAGCTTTACCATCAGGGTTCTTTACCGAAAATGAAGGTCAGAAGCATTTTCTCTAGTCCACCGAGGCCTGAGAGGAGACTGCCCAGGTCACACAGCCAGACAGACATGGAACCGGAGGCCGATGGGCAGACATCTGCTCACTGCCTGCCCAGAGCCCCTATCTGCCCTTTCCCATCTCCCCTTCCCAAGAAGGCGGTGGGGAACCAGGTACAGCGTGTGATCCAAACAGCCAGTCAGTGTATGCCATGCCTCTGGCCACAGGGTTGGACGTGTGACCAAAGCCAGCCCTGGTCGGAGTGAGTCTCAGGCCTTGGGCTGGCGATGCTAAGGTGAGAGCTTCTCTCTCCTGCTGGAGGGGACAGGGAGGCTCATAGCCCTGGGAGCTGCCTGGGGTCAGAACTCTGCAGCCGGAAGTGGAGCCAACTCTGCAGCAGGCCGGGGAAAAATGGGGGAAAAGGGTGGATTGGGGTGATTTTTATTTTATTTTTAAATTTTATTTATTTATTTTTTTCAGAAAGGGTCTTGCTTTGTCACCCGGGCTGGAGTGCAGTGGTGTGATCACGGCTCACTGTAACCTTGAACTCCTGGGCTCCAGTGATCCTCCCATCTCAGCTTCCTGAGTAGCCGGGACTACAGGCATGAGCCGCAGTGCCTGGCTAATTTTTAAATTTTTTGTCAAGACGGATCTTGCTCTGTTGCCTAGGCTGGTGTTGAACTCCTGGGCTCCAGCGATCCCCCCTCCACCCCCTCCCACCCAGTCTCAGCCTCCTGAGTAGCTGGGATTACAGGTGTGAGCCATCACACCTGGCCCTTGGTGATATTTAGACCAGCTGTGTCCAGTCTCACCTAAAGGCAGAATCACTTCTGGACTTTTCAGCTAAAGAACCCTCTTTATTGTTGAGGCCAGTTTGAGTCTGATTTTGAGTTAGTGGTGGCCGAGCTCCTCCTCCTGCCAAGACCTGGCTACTGCGATGGCCCCCAGGTGAGCCCCTCCCCCAGGTTGCTTTCATCCTCCGCCCTCTAAGATGCTGGCGGTGGGACCTAGATGAGGCACCCCCATCTGGCTCCTGGCCCACCCACCTTTCTCGCCAGGGCCACCCCTGTCAGCCTACCCCACTGCCCCAGAGCCAGGAGCCCCAGGCACTTCAGACCCTGAATCACCCGCCTCCAGAGCCCTCTGCATCTAAGCTATGAGGAAGATGCCTTCTCAGCCAAATTCCCCTCTCGGCTTCCGACTGGGGGCGGGACAAGGAAGGCTCAGCAGGGGCTGTCCCCTCCCCGCTATAACTGTGCTGTGTCCCAGGTGTTTGGAAGTCACCCAGGGGGCTCTTCCCACGTCCTTTCTTGCCCCATTTGAGGGCAGCAGCAACAACAATTTCTTCCCTGCCTGCCTGCCCGACGCCGTGCCATGCACTTTCAGGGCAGCCTTAAACTCAGTCATTAGGGCCACCCCAGGCTGGCAGTGTGGACCTGGGGTTCAGCACAGGGACTCTGGAGCCAGGCAGTTGGGTTCGGATCCCAGCTCTACCACATAATTGCTGCGTGACCTTGGGCAAGTTATTTAACCTCTCTGTGCCTCCATGCTCCTTCCTACAAATTAGGAGGAATGATAGATGCTGAATGAGGAACTAATACGCATAAAAGTGGTAGAACAATGCCCGGCACATAGTAGGTGCTTTGTAATGCTAGCTATTATTATTCCCAATTTACAGATAGAACAACTGAGGCTTGAGAAGATGACTTCCCTAGAGCACACAGCTCAGTAAGCCAGGTCTGAGCAATTCAGAATCAAGGATCCATTTTATTGTCACTTGAAGTAACTCCCCAAACGTGTCACCTGAATGGTTTTCTACAGCTGGGACCAGCCAGGGTCTCAGGGTTTAGCAGGAAACAAATGTGTGGGCAATCGAGCCTGGCCTTTGGAATCCAGCCACAGCATTTTAGAGGAGACCCTAGACATTATCTACATCAGCACTGCCCAATCTGGTAGCCACTAACCACAGATGCTATTGAGCCCTGGGTCTGTAAGTAGCTCAAGTTGAGATGTGCTACGGGTATGAAATACACGCTGGACTTCATACGCAAAAAACAATGTAAAGTCTCATTCATAGATTTTTGTATTGACTACATGTTGAATTGATAATATTTTGGATGGATGGGTTAAATAACACAGTATTTAAATTAACGACACCTGTTTAATTTTACAAGTTTATGTGGCTGCTAGAATATTTATGGTTCACATTATATTTCTACTGGGGAGCGCTGAGCTAGGCCATTGTTCCATTTCACAGATGAGGAAAATGGGGCTCATAGGTGTGGTTTGCTTTGGTTCCAGGGTTTTTGTTGGGTGAACCGGGCCTCCAGAGTCCTACTCCATATCCCTCATGCTGCCTGGAGACTGCCTACGCCTTTGGCTGGTTCCTAAATCTCCTCAAGAACCAGCTGGACATGGAGGTTACATAAAGACCACCCTGAACCTGCTGGGTAGGAGGAGCTCTTAGCTCTAGTGCTGGGTGCTAGAGCCCTCTCTCACTCTACGCATCCCAGAGGAGTTGTTAAATAGGGGTGATCTCACCCTGTGGCCTCCTGAGCCCTCCCTTCTGAGTGCTCAAAGCACACTGTCACCCCATCCCTTCCCAGGAAGAAAGGGAGCCACTTCACATTAGCATCATATAGACAACAGCGTAGGGTGTTGGCTTCTGAACATTTGGCTCACATCTCTCAGTAAGAAATATACCGGCCGGGTGCAGTGGCTCACGCCTGTAATCCCAGCAATTTGGGAGGCTGAGGCGGGCGGATCACCTGAGGTCAGGAGTTTCAGACCAGCCTGGCCAACATGGCAAAACCCTGCCTCTACTAAAAATACAAAAATTAGCTGGGTGTGGTGCCGTGCACCTGTAATCCCAGCTACTCGGGAGGCTGAGGCAGGAGAATCACTTGAACCCAGGAGGTGGATGTTGCAGTGAGCCAAGATTGTGCCACTGCACTCCAGCCTGAGCAACAAGAGTGAGACTCTGTCTCAAAAAAATAAATAAATAAAATAAATATATATTCTACATTGGGACCCCGCACACCACACGCGTGCACACACACACACACACACACATGCACACACACATACAACTGAAACAAAAGTTTCGTGAAACAAGTCTTCTCTTTTATGCATTATTTTCTCCTCTCTTTCCTACCCCATTTGATTTCATTAAAAAACATTGCTCAGGGCCCCCTACATTGACTCCACATCCCGCTCATGGGTCACAACCTGCAGCTTGAAAAACGCTGGTCTTGGTGGAGAGGAACCCAGGATCAGAAGACAGATTTGTCTCTGTTTTGTTTCTGTCTGGAAAAATAGCATCATAATCTGGCTTTGCAGGGTTGCTGTGAGGGCTGGGGTCATGGAGGGAAAGCGCCTGGCACACAGTAGGTGTGCAAAAAATGGCAGCTGCTGTTACTGCCACATAGGTGACCCATCCAGGGCGTTACCTCTGGGCTAGGATTTGAGAATGCCCAGGATGGGTCTTCCCTGCCCACAGGACCTCACTGTCACCATCAGTCAGTCCTCAGGCTGAGCATTACTCTGCTCAGCTTGGTCCTTTTATATGTAAGTGCCACTTTCTGGAGGGGTGACTCAGGTCCCCAATTCTCTGGGGAAATTAAGTTTGTTAGAATCTCTCCCAGCTCAGGGCCAAGAGGGGGAAGCATGTGTCCAGAATGTGGAGGTTAGTAAGTCAACCTCCATATTAACTTCCTAACAGGGCACTTTGGGAGGCTGAGGCAGGAGGATTGTTTGAGGCCAGGAGTTCGAGACCAGCCTGAGTAACATAGTGAGACCCTGTCCCTACAAAACTATATTAAAAAAATAGCCAGGTGTAGTAGTGCATGCCTGTGCTCTCAGCTACTCAGGAGGCTGAGGTGGGAGGATCACTTGAGTCCAGAAGGTCAAGGCTGCAGTGAGCTTTGACTGCATCACCGCACTTCAGCCTAATGCAGTGCACTCTTTCTGGACATCTGGGCATGATCCCCGGATGGGATCCCCTGCCTGACCTGTGTTCCCTCTCCCCCAACCAGCCCCAACTCCCCACAAAAGTGACACCCTGGGATGTGGACCTTGCTCTGCCACACACAAACTGAGTGGTCTTGGATGGGCCCCTTATCCTCTCTGAGCCTCAGTTTCCTCATCTGCAATACTGTGATTGTATCTCCTATCTCACTGGATAGAAGTGTGTAAAGTTTCAGAGAAGCAGTTCCTGTGAAATTTCCCACACCATTGCTGGCACATAGTAGGACCCAATGCATCTCAGCTGCCCGTTCTCAACCCATCTCTCCTCTCTACACACCACTGCAAACCAGATCTTGGGCAGAGTTCTGCCTCATGTGGCAGTGAGTTCGCCATCACTTCAAGTATCCAAGAAAAGGCTAGAAAACCAACAAACAGATTCTGAGACAGCCCTGGTTTCAGGCACTGAGTAGGTGCTTTATATATACTTATTGAATGAATCAATGATTGTGATTCCTGTATTGGGTAGGAAGTCGTTCTAGAACACTGCTGAAGCTTGATTACATGCCAGAGTCACCCCGGGGGGATTTATTTACTTATTTAGAGACAGAGTCTTGCTCTGTTGCCCAGGCTGGAGTGCAGAGGTGCAATCTTGGCTCATTGCAGCCTCAACCTCCTGGGCTTGAACAATTCTCCCAACTCAGTCTCCTGAGTAGCTGGGATTACAGGCACACACCACCATGCCCAGCTAATTTTTGTATTTTTTTGTAGAGATGGGGTTTTGCCATATTGCCCAGGCTGGTCTTGAACTCCTGAACTGAAGCCTCCCGCTCTCGGCCTCCCGAAGTGTTGGGATTACAGACGTGAGCCACTGTGATCCGGGGAATTTAAAGAGTACAGATATGTAGATCCCACTCTCATGGATTCCGATCTAATTGGTCTGAAGTGCAGCCTGGTGCTTTTGAAAGCTCTCCAAGTGATCCCTGTGCAGACAAGTTTGAGAACCAGAGCACCCGGCTTCCTTCTAACTCCAAGATGATAAGATTTTGTTATAGTACGACGTGGTGACTATAGTAAACAACAATGTATCGTGTCCTTGAAAATTGCTAAGAGAGCAGATTTTAAATGTTCTCATCATATACAAAAAATAAATATGTAGGGTAATGCATATAGTAGTTAGCTAGATTTAGCCATTTCATAATATACACTTGTATCAAAACTACACCATAAATATACACAATTTTTATTTGTCAGTTAAAAAAAAGTTAAAGATCTTCTTGTATAGTCATTTACAAACTAGTATAAATTTAGGTCAAAGTTACCCTTATACACTATGTGATATATATAGTAAGGGGTTTAATAAATGGTTTAAAATTATGATCTCAGATGTCAGAGTACAGCTAGGATTTTCTTTGTAAGAGACAGAAGGGGTTCAGGTGCATCAGCTCAGCCTTAATTCTGGAGCATCCATGTAACTGGAGGAAGAGGGTTCACTAAGCATGCCCCAGATGCAGAAGCTTCTGGGACTACAGAATTAAAACAGGGGCCTCCAGTCAGACGGAGGAGGCACAGCCCTTGCCTTCAGGAGGCTCCCAGTCTAGTGACGACCATCTCTGCTTCCAAGCTCCCAACTTCATCCAAAGCTTTCCAGTTTGCAAAGTGTTTTTGCACCCGTCAGTTTTGTTCAGCGATTTGTCTAATGAGAAGGAGACATGGTCCCAGCTCTCAAGGAACCCACTTGCAAAGCCGATCTTCCCAGCCTTGGGGAGGCTTTTGCAGAATTCCTGTCCCCATTATTTCCAGGGCAGTCTGAAGAGACAATTGCTGCGTGTCCTTAGGGAGCCCTTGGTCTCATGCCTTCCAGGGTCCCCACCCTCAGTGTCTGGGCGGGGGACAGGGAGGCTGGGTGTCTGTTCCCTGGGAACCCCCCTGGGCTACTGTGGGAGTCAGCAGCTCCATGGTGCCTTTCGCAAGCCCAGCTGTAATTGTTTCTTTGGTTGTTTGTCTCCTCTAAAACAAGGACTCCTAATGGGCAGGGACTCTGTTGTACTTTTCCCTGGATCCCCAGAAGGTGTGCTGATGGACATCTAAGTAAATGAATAAATGAATAGGGATGTGGGGGGCGGGAGTTGCATGCAAACCCTCACGGAGGCAGCACTGTTTGCTCATTTGCCCTGGACAACCTCGAAGCCCTCTTGACCCCCTCCTTGGAGAGCCAGAGAGCCCCATGAGGATTGCACACACCTGTGCAGGTGTGGACTGTTGCATCAGCCTTGTAAAAATGTACCCAGAGAGCAGGTGGAGTCCTGAGACCCACGCGGCAAGGGTCACAACTCTGCCATCAGAGATGCTGTGCCCCTCTAAGATTGAATTGTGTGGGGCCCAAGAATAGGGTGGTGGGGCAGCCTCCTTCAGTGGGGGCCCCTTGCCTCTCCATTCCCCTGTACAGAAAACCATACCTAGAACGATCCAGAAGGAAAGCACCTGAATAAAACAGCCATTGTCTTGGGAAGCATGGTGGGAGGTGGTAAGTTACTACCTCCTTGTTGTTTGCAAAATTCCCAAGCATGACCTTGATAATGAAGCAAACCCCAATACTTTGATGCTCCCGTGCAAAGTCCCCCCTGGCGGTCCCCACAGGCCTCTGCCTGTGCCCTTGGTTTTGTTTGATTGCTTGAGATTCACGGGAACTAATTCAGGCACTGCCAGCAAGCTGCCCATGGCTGCCTTGTTTCCTGGTCGGACTGAGCTCTTTGAATGGAGGGCTGGAGGTAACTTGGGGAGTATCTGTTCCTTCCCCTCCTGGCATGGGGTCCATGCCAAGAATAGGCTCAAAAGAGCCACAGAGGTTACCCAATAAATGCCACTATCTGACTTTGCTTCCGAGGGAGCCACATCCATTCCAGGTTGCTGAGATCCTGGGTTGGAAGAAGCAAAAGTTACCTGCCTGCCCTCTGCCCTTGCCATTCTCTCACCAGCACCACCACCAAAATGGGTTTAAGCTTGTGTCTCCACTGGGCCCCAAGATCTTTCTCTATTTTGGCAATCCATCCATTTCTTTGTTCATCCATATACCTAACATCTGACCACGCTCACCAGACCTGCAGTGACCCCCTAGTGTAAGCACGCCATCTCTTGCCAGGCCATCCTGAGTGGTTTTTGAGTCTCCTCTCTTGCCTCCTTAGAGACTTCCCCTCCCAAAAGTGTCCAGCACATACGTCCTCCTCCTCAGCACTAGGTTCCATATAAGGCAGAGAGGCAAGTCGTTCAATCAAAGGCTCCAACAAGACGGCGGGGCTGATCATCCAGGTAAAATGTTTAACACTTTTTTTCTTTTTTTAAAGACAGGGTCTCAGTCTGTCACCCAGGCCGGAGTACAGTGATGTGATAATGGCGGCTCACTGCAGCCTCGACCTCCTAGGGTCAGGCAATCTTCCTGCCTCAGCCTCCTAAGTAGCTGGGACTATAGGTGAGCACCACCGTGACTGGCTAATATAAAATTTTTTTTTTTTTTTTTAGTAGAGACTTGAGTCTCGCTATGTTGCCCAGGCTGGTCTTAAGCTCCCAGGCTCAAGCGATCCTCCCACCTTGGCCTCCCAAAGTGCTGGGATTACAGGCTTCATGAACACATCGTAAAGGAACGGAGCAAGAGACAGGCTGGGGTGGGTGATGTTGATATCAGGACGGGCATCCCAGAGGAGGCAAGGCATGGTGGAGTCTTCAAGGGTGCCAGGAGGAGTTGGCTGGGTGAAGGGAGGGAACAGATAGGCTGGGCCAGGGGACACTGTAATTGGCTGAGAGAGGTACAGCCAACTCCACCCTACTCAGGGCAGGTGGGCTGGTTTTTTTTGTGAGTTACCATCACCACCAGGATCATCCTCTCCCTCTCCTCCCTCCATTCGGCCCCTTGCGTCCTCCCTTGGCCACTGTACTAGCTCACTGGGTGGGGGCAAGATGAGAAGAGGAGCTCTCGCTAGCCGACATGAATGAGTAAAAGGTTGCTGCACCGTGAAACTCAGCGCTAAAGTCGGATTTGGAATGATCTGTGGGCCTCAATTATCCTGGCTTTATTTTATCTCTCTCTCTCTCCCTGGCTTTGTTGTAGGGAGTTAATATGATGATACGCGATATTGCTTTTGGCAGGAGCCGGCCGCCCAGAGAATCAGGCCCTTCTTCCCCTTGCCAGCCCCTCCTCCTCCCTGCTCAGGCTCTCTCTGACCACCGGGTGAAGGGAGTGGACCCAGCTCCTGTCACCCTGGGTGTCAGGGACACAGTGCTTTGGCTCTCTCCAGAGCTGCCAACACAACTCCCGCCCAATGAGGTGACCTGCCTGCTGGGAGGGTCTGTTTGGTTTTTAAAGAATAAATAAATAGGAGCTGCTTCTTATCCCCTACAGCTAGTTCCCAGAAGGCTGAGTGTCCTGTGCAGAATCGCGAGGCTGTGATGCCGAGCGCCAGGCAGGAGTCTAGACATGCTGGCTGCTGTGACCTGAGTTAGCACAAAGTCAAGAAAAGATTGAGGGGCTTTAGGGAGGGCATGGGGTGTGTGGCCATGTCTAGGGACTCCTCCTGATTTAAGGGCCATGATGGGGACCTCCCATCCTTGAGCAGGTCTTTGGGGAACTGAGGTGGCAGGAGGCCAAGTTGGAGCCATCCCCTGGGATTCTGACCTTGCTGGGGCTGGGTCTCACCGAATTCAAAACCTAGTGCTGAGCTGCGCCCTGGCTCTGGGGAGGTATCTGGGCCCCTGACAGGGGCTTGCCAGGGAGGTCTGAAAACAGGACCAGCTACACCCTTAGTGGGGCTCTATGCAACATGAAAACGTGCATCCCTCATTCAAAAGTTAAGAAATTCAGGACAGGGAATGCAGAGCATTAAACCAAGGGTGGGTCCTTCTGAGCCCTGTGTAACTGCAGGTGTCACACATCCAGGAAGCCAGCTGGGAGTCTGCTAGGGCTGCCGTAACACAGTACCATATACTGGGTGGCTGAAATGAACAGGAAATTGTTTCACTCTTCTGGAGGCCAGAGATCTGAGACCAAGAGCAGGCTTGGCTCCTGCGGAGGGCTCAGAGGGAGGCCCCAGCACAGGCCCCTGTCCCCACTCTTTGACGTTCCCAGGGTTGTCGAAGCATAACCCCATCTTTGCCTTCATCACGTCCTCTTTGCTCTGAGCATGTCTGTCTCTGTGCCCAAGATTCCCCTTTTAAAATGACACTGGTCATACTGGATTAGGGGCCACTACCATAACCTCATTTTAACCTGGTGCCCTCTATGAAGACTGTTTCCAGATAAGCCCACATTCTGAGGTTCTGGGGTTAGAACATCAATTTTTTTTTGTTTTGGGGGGAGGGCAGGGAACACGATTCAGCCTCTAACTGTGGCCCCACTGAGCAGCCTCCTTCAGTTCAGTTCAGCTTGGTGGACATGGACAGACACTAGTTCTGTGCCCGGCTCCCTCCTGGGGCAAGTGACCCTGCCCTGCAGGAACCTCCTGTCCCCACGGAACTCCCTGGCAGGAGGCAGGGTGGACCCTCTGGACCTGATGGCTCACAGGTCTCTGCCCTGCCTCCGTGGACTGGGGGTCCCCAGTGTGACTTTGGGAGGGTACCAACCCTGGCGACCCAGGTCATAACCCAGCTGTCACCTGAGGGCTGGCAACTCTGCTCTCGACACCCTCACTTGGGTCCTGCGATGGGGCTCCGGTGGGGGCAGTCACTGCCGGGAGTGACAACTGATGGCGTCCCTTTCTCCAGGAGGATGACACCAAGGGGGCTGCATTGTGAGTCCCTTGTCTCCTGGCGCTGTCACTCACTAATGGTGTAGGCTGAGCACCCCTCTCTTCCTCGGGCCTCTGTCTCTTTGCCTGTGGCATCTTGTCCCTAGGACCCACCTCGTGGTTCTGCTGTGACCTCCGGAAGTCCCCGCAGAACCTGGAGCTCTGTGGGCTCGGGAAGAGGCAGCGCCTGGATCCAGATCCTCCTGGGAGGTGTGGAACCTCACACAGGCCCCTCCGGGGCAGACGTGTTTGGGGCATGACTGGTGGGGATAGGGACGGGAGGAGTGGGCTGGGTCCTGGGTCCTCCCCCTGGGGGACACCTGAGGCCCTTGTGTTTTGGCTCACGCCAGGGATGGTGTCATCCATTCTTTCCGAATGAGCACTAATCACCTCCGAGAAAAAGTGCCAGCTGTGGGATTTGGGCCCGTTCCCTCTGATTGCTTTTCTTTTCCTTTTTTCTCTTTATGAGTGTGATGTGCTCAGGAGGGACAGGTGAGAAGGAGGCTGTTCTCCTTTTAAGGGCAAGGCATCTCCCCTGCCCTGACTCACCCGCCTCGCTTTTTGGCCCCCAAGCACGCTCCTTGCCTGTTAAAACTGTCCCAGGTACCGCCCCTCCTAGGAGGGCGGCCCCCACCCCCCGCCCTGCATGTTTGGGAGGCTGACTTGGCGGTGAAGTCATCCTTGGCTCGGTCCTCAGACAAGCATCTTCTTGCTTGTCTTACTGGGTTCTCACTGGCACCCCGGCTCCACCCAGGCTGGCACATGGGCTGGGACCCTGCACAAGGGGTGGGTGAGCGGGGCTGGGCACCAGGCCCCTCTGGTGCTGGCTTTTATCTGGTCCCTAACTCAGCCCCTGCAGGCTGGAGCTGATGCTGGGCCAGATCCTGGTGTGGGTCCTGGGGATACGGGGATGAGGGTCTTCCCAGACCCTGATGGGCAAGGGGAAGTGTACGCGCAGAGAGTTCCAAGCCCTGGACTATTTGTGCAAAGCATGTGGTGCACTGAGGAGGGACCTGACTACCCAGGAGTCGGGGGGAGGCCTTCTGGGAAGGCGATACTTGGAAGAATCTTCAAGGATGTACTGGAAGTCACCGGGAAAGGAGAGGGGGCGGATTGATCAGAGGGAATGGCATGTGCTAAGGCTCAGAGGTACGTGTTGGGAGCAAGAGCAGGGAGAGATGAGTGAGCGGGGAGGCATGGCTGGGCAGTAGAGGGCTCTTTGCCATGCCATGTAGCTCAGACCACGACACTGGGGCCACAGAAGGATTTGGAGCCAGAGAGTGAAATGACCAGGTTCAGTTTTTAGGTCAGTGATGCTGGCGGCTGGGTGGGGAGGGTGGACGGAGGGTGGTGACAGGTGGCAGGAAGCCCAGCGGGAAGCTGTTGAAATAGTTCAGGGGAGACGGGAGAGGTTCTGGACCAGGGCAGGGCAAGGGCAGAGGGGAGGGTTCAGGACCTGGAGCTCAGGTGGTGCTGATGGAGCAGAGAAGGGAGACAGACCCGCATGTGCTTTCACTCGCAGGCTGGGCTGGAGAGCGATGCCATTGGACTCAACAGCAGCCCAGTTGATTGGGGCCTGGTGGAGAGGTCCCTGGCTGGAGAGGAGGGCAGGTGCCTTTCTCAGCTGACAGTGCTTTTATCTTGCTTCTGACCTCAGTGCCACTTCTCTGAGATGTCCCCCATCGGCCAGCTTGCCCAGCTGTCACCCCTCACATCACATGACCCAAAGTGCGTGCATGTCCATGCTCTGGGTTGTGTCTCCCAGCACCCCTCCTGGAGGATGAGGAGGGAAGCGCAATGCCCCCCATTGCACAGATGAGATGCAGCTCACAGAGGCCGGGGGACTCCCCACGCTCTCCTGCTTCTAGAGGGTGGGGGGCTCACGTGGCTTTCCCACTGCACGGCAGCATCCCCAACATGGGTGCTTTTGGTTTGCACAGGAGAATACAGGCCCTGTCGCACTGTTCGAGAGCACTAGAGTCCGAGCCGGGTGGAGGGGTCAGCTCTGGGGTTTCCCGCTTCCCACAATGTGACCTTGGGCAAATTACTTGACTGCTCTGTGCTTTAAGTTCCTCACCTGTAAGGAGGGGCTGTTCTCATTGGGCAGGGGGAGACTTAAATGAAGTTGCATTGGCCTGCACATGGCTGACACATTCCATTGTGTATTATCACTATGCACGAAGCCTCCGCCACCCTGGTGCCTTAGGATGTGTTGAAAAGACTCCCATCTCCCGTCCTCTGAGGTCTTGTCTGCCGGGGCATCCAACCCCCACCTGCAAAGTGAAGGACCCCGACTCCCAGAGTCTCTAAATTGTGGCCACACTCATGCTGGAGAAACCTCTGTGTGACTGGGTGAGTCAGTGTCACCTGGCCTGAAAGGCCCATCAAAGAGCTCCGAGGCTGGGGCCTGGCAGCTTTGTCGCCTCCACCAGGCCCCGATCAACTGGGCTCCTGTTCAGTCCAACAGCATCGCTCTCCAGCCCAGCCCGGGGGTGAAGGCTCACATGGGTCTGTGTGTCTCTTCTCTGCTCCGTCAGCGCCACCTGAGACTTCCTGCCCTTGCTGGAAAGCGGTGGGTGAAAATAAATGCATAATAAAGTCATCAGAGAGAGGCATTTCATGCTGGGTGCGGTGGCTCATGCCTGTAATCCCAGAACTTTGGGAGGCTGAGGTGGGCAGATCGCTTGAGGCCAGGAGTTCGAGACCAGCCTGGCCAACATGGTGAAACCCCATCGCTACTAAAAATACAAAAATTAGCCGGGTATGGTGGCGCACGCCTCTGGTCTCAGTTAATTGGGAGGCTGAGACATGAAAATCTCTTGAACCTGAGAGGCGGAGGTTACAGTGAGCCGAGCTCGTGCTACTGCATTCCAACCTGGGTGACAGAATGAGACTGTCTCAAAAAAAACCAAAGAGGCATTTCTGTGTGTCTGCCGTAGGAGGGCTGCTGTGTATCCAGGTCACTAAACTCCGTCATTCATTCATCGTTTTGATCTCTTTGAATAAGCTGAGCAAGGACTTAGAAGCCATAACTCTTCTACTCTCAAGATATGCCTAAGAAATGGTTAGGCTCATGCAATGCGGCTCTACCCATCCATAAGAACGATGTCCTAGGTACATATTCAGGAGTGTGGCGCTAGGTCCACATAATATTGTTGAATTTAAAGAAGACAGTTGCTAAACAGAATCTAGAGTTTGACCCTATTTCAGTAAAATATTCATCACCAAAACTCCCAGAGAGAGTCCAGAGAGAAACCCACCAACATGGTGTCAGGGGTTCTTTCTGGATGAGGGCTTTACAGGTGATCTTTGCTTTCTGATTTATACCTTTCAGGATTATCTAGAATAGGGGTTGCAAACTATGGCCCATGGGCCAAATGCAGCTGATGGTCTGTTTTCATACAGCCCATGAGCTAAGGATGGCTTTTACCTTTTGAAATGATTGTAAAAACAAACAAACAAAAACAGAAGAATTTGCTATAGCGAGCATGTGATCCACAAAACCTAAATTATTTAGGCTCTGCATAGAAAAATAATTTGCCAATCTTTGATCTAGAAAAACATTAACATTGACATGTGCTAACGCTATCATAAAAACAACAAAATGTTTCCTTTTCAGAAGGTAATACATTTAGCAAGCAGATGCATCAGAATCCTCTTTCTTTTTCTTTCTTTCTTTCTTTCTTTCTTTCTTTCTTTCTTTCTTTCTCTCTCTTTCCTTCCTTCCTTCCTCCCTCCCTCTCTTTCTCTTCTCTCTTTCTCTCTCTCTCTTTCTTTCCTTCCTTCCTTTCTTTCTTTTCTTTCTTTTTCTCTTTCTTTCTTTCTTTCTTTTTCTTTCTTTCCTTCCTTCCTTCCTTCCTTCCTTCCTTCCTTCTTTCTTTCCTTCCTTCCTTCCTTCCTTCTTTCTTTCCTTCTTGCTTTCTTTCTCTCTCTCTCTTTCCATCTCTCTTTCCCTCCCTCTCTCTCTTTCTTTCTTCTTTCTTTCCTTCCTTCTTTCTTTCCTTCTTGCTTTCTTTCTCTCTCTCTCTCCCCCTCCCCTCCCCTCCCTCCCTCCCTCCCTCCCTTCCTTCCTTCCCCCATCTCTCCCTTTTTTTTAGACAGGTCTTTTTCTGTCACTCAGGCTGGAGTGCAACGGTGCGATCTGGGCTCACTGCAACCTCTGCCTCCTGGTTCAAGTGATTCTCCCATCTCAGCCTTCCCAGTAGCTGGGATTACAGGCTCATGCCACCATGCCCAGCTAATTTTTGTATTTTTTGGTAGAGACACGGTTTCACCATGTTGGCTAGGCTGGTCTCGAACTCCTGACCTCACGTGATCCACTCTTCCCGGCCTCCCAAAGTGCTGGGATTACAGATGTGAGCCCAGAATCATTTATTTCTATTCAACAACACCCCTATGGGTTGAGCACTGTGCTAGACTCACCCCTCCTTCCCTCCTTCTCCTTTCTTTCCCACTTTCCTTCCTTCCTCTCTCCCCTGCTCCAGCCTCCCACTTTTTCTCCCTTGCTTCTTCTCTCCTCCCTCCCTCCCTCCTTCTCTCCTCCCTCCCTCTCTCCTCCCTCCCTCCCTCCTTCCCTTCTGTCTCCAGACTTTTCCCGAGCACCTTCTATGTGCCAGAGGCTTACAAACTGATGGGAGGCAAATCAGGAACAAGTCATCATCACACATCATCCTCAGGGCCACAGTGTGCCTGTTCAAGGGGGAGAGGCCACCAGGGTGGGGACACTGGCTGTGCCTGGAGTTGGCGAAGGGTGCTCCAAGGGCATAGCTCAGGATCTCCCACAGTCACCTGGGAGCCAGGACAGGCCCTCAGAAAGGCGATTCGAAACATCAGGCCCCTGAGCCTGGCCCCCAGCAAAGAGTGCTTGGAGTCCTCCAGACCTGAGTGACCAGGGGGGTACTTTGTGACCACATAGGGGCTTGTTTGAGGACTTTCAGAGTTGAACATCCACAAACAGGAGCAGAATGTTGGGCTAGTAGAGGACCAGCAGGATCCAAGGCCAATCCCAGGGGGTGGGTATCCCCGAGGGGTCCCAGTAGCAATGACAGACACACAGGCAGCCTCACACGGCCGCCAGGCAGGATGGAGCAAGGCAGGCGGCAGGCGGCAGGCGGCAGGTGGCTGGCGGCAGGGTGCTGTTGCAATCGTGCCCTGCTCCTGCCCAGCCTGCTTCCTGCAGCCATGCCTGAGGCCAGCACCTCCCTCCTGTCAACTGGACTGGTTCCTTCTGTCAAACCAGTAGAAGGAATTGGGAAACGACAGTGGGGCAGGGGTGGGAAGCTGGGGGACACCCCTTCCGTCTTCTTAATCACTGCATCTAACTTTCAGTACATCTTTCGAGCCTTACTCATGCATGAGATTACCATGACGTTCCTAGCACCCAGGACACCTGAGGCACACAGCCAAGCAGGCAGGGAGGCACTGACCTCAGGATGCCCGCCTGCTGCCCCATCTCCGGGGTGCCGGGTTTTGGGGAATGAACCAGATGAGGAGGCTAGTCGCAGCGGTGCCCTCACTGGCCCAGGATTTCCAAGCGGGGGCTTTGGTGAAACAAACTGTGGTTGGAATCCCAGATCTGCCTCTGTGTGACCTCGGACAAGTTACTTCACCTCTCTGGGCCTCAGTTTCCTTATCTTCAAATGGGGATAATGTCCCCATGTAGACACAAAGACTGAATGCATACATAATGCCCATAAGCACTCAGCAGGCTTGCAATAGATGTTCGTTCCCTCCTTTCTAGGCGCATAAGGAAACTATGTGAAGCCAAATTCTGCCCGCCAGGAGTTGCCAATGTTGCTGGGACAAAGCTACGCCCTTGAGACAATTAGATGCACTCACAGAGCTGAATAACCACCCCAAGACTTTGCCCTGCCCTTGGACACAGATGTTTACCTCCCAGACTTCTGTGGCTCCCTGAGGTCTCTGCTAATGATGCCCTGGTCACACAGGGTCTCTGGACAGTTCAACACACCGGGCACCATGGCAGGGCCTTTGTGCAGGGGCTTTTGTTTTCTTCTATGAAGACAGCACCGGGTGGGCACAGGTCCCTCTATGCACCTGGAACACTGTCCTTGCCACCTAGTCCTGCCCCCAACCCCACTGAGACCAAACTCGCATCCGGGAGGGTGGTCCCCACAGTTGCCCTCAGAGTTTAGAATACAGATGCCCAACCCAGTTTTTGCAACACCCCAGCAAGACTCTATTCCAAGAGGTATCAGGAAACTCTCTAGGCAAGATTGAATTGGGTTCACTTTAATTAAAAAAGAAATCACAGTCACCTGGCACTCTAGTGGGTGGGAAGAGGAGGGAGGGAATGGCAGGAAGTGAAGCTAATAGCTTCAAGTCTCCACCGTCTGGGCTCCCAGGAGGCTCCACCCTCTGGCACTTCGTTTCCTGGGAAGCCTCCCCTCTCCCAGAAGGGGTTGATGGCCCCCTCCTCAGTGTGCCCACAGAGCTGGGAGCCCTTGTGGAGCCTGTCACAGTGCTCTGCAATGACTGGGTCACATGCCTCTCTGCCCTGTTGGGCGGGGCTCCGTCTCCATGGAAGCCCATCTTCTCCGCCAATCTCGGCCAGAAGGTTGGTGGTTTGTAGCACACAGATGTCAAACCAGCCGTGAATATAGGTCAGAGTATCCATCCTTGTTCTCACAGTCCTTCCTCCGCAGCAACTTCCTTGTCCCCCATTTTTTTTTCCTGCTTTACTGGGTAGAGTCAGGTGTTTTGTTTTGTTTATCTCAGCCATTCAAATGGCACAGTGTGGAGTAGCCATGGTGAGAGCAGACATCCTTATCTTGTTTCCGATTTTAGGTAGGAAGCATTTAGTCTTTCACCATTAAATATGATGTTAGCTGTAGGTTTTTAATAGGTGTTTTTTGTTGTTGTTGTTTTGTTTGTTTTTTTTTTTTTTGAGATAGTCTCGCTCTGTCACCCAGGCTGCAGTGCAATGGCATGATCTCAGCTCACTGCAACCTCGTCTCCCGGGTTCATACAATTCTCCTGCCTCAGCCTCCTGAGTAGCTGGGATTACAGGTGCCTGCCATCATGGCCAGCTAATTTTTTTTTTTTTTTGTATTTAATAGATACAGGGTTTCACCATGTTGGCGAGGCTGGTCTCGAACTCCTAACCTCTAGTGATCCACCCACCTTGGCCTCCCAAAGTGTTGGGATTACAGGCATGAGCCACTGCACCCAGTCCATAGATGTTCTTTATCAGGTTAAGGAAGTTCCCTTCTATTCCTAGTTTACTGAGAGTTTTTGTTATGAATGGTTGTTGAATTTTGTTGAATGCTTTTCCTGCATCTATTGAGATGGCTTTATAATTTTTTTTCCTTTATCTGATCATATGGTGTAGAACAGGAATTGATTTCTGGATGTTACACCAACCTTGCATTACTGGGATAAATCTTACTTGGCCATGATGTATTATCTTCTGTAAATATTGCTGGGCTTGATTTGCTCTTTGTTAAAGATTTTTGTATCTGTGCTCATGAGGAATATTGAGGTATAGTTTTCTTTCTTGTGATTTCTTTGTCTGGCTTTGGTATCAGGGTAATACTAGCTTCAGAAAATGAATTTGGAATTGCTTCTTCCCCCTGTATTTTCTGAGTTTCCATAGAACTGGTAGCATTTCTTCCTTAAATATTTGATAGGATTCACCAGTGAAACCATCTGGGCCTGGACTTTTCTTTGTGGAAAAGTTTTTAATTGCCAATTCAATTTGTTTACTTGATACAGGTATATTTAGATCTTCTATGTCTTCTTGAGTCAGTTTTGGTAATTTTTATTTTTCTGTATGTTTGCCCATTTTATGTTTTCAAATTTGTTGGTATAAAATTTTTTACAATATTCTCTTGTCCTTTTTTAAATTTATATTATTTTATAATAGCTTTATAGAGGCACAATTAGCAGACAATAAACTACACATATTCAAAGGGCACAATTTTATATATTTTGACATACAAACATGTGAAGCTATCACCACATCATAATAACAAATTCACCACCCCAAAAGTTTTCTATCCCATTGTATATTCCGTTATAGTTTTCATCTCTTAAAATTCCCCACTTAGGCCAGGCATGGTGGCTCATGTCTGTAATCCCAACATTTTGGGAGGCCGAGGCGGGTGGATCACTGAGGTCGGGAGTTTGAGATCAGCCTGACCAACGTGGAGAAACCCCGTCTGTATTAAAAATACAAAAATTAGCCGGGCGTGGTGGCGCATACCTGTAATCCCAGCTACTCAGGAGGCTGAGGCGGGAGAATCGCTTCAACCTGGGAGGCAGAGGTCGCAGTGAGCCAAGATTGCGTCATTGCACTCCAGCCTGGGCAATAAGAGTGAAACTCCTTCAAAAAAAAAAAAAAAAGAAAAAAGAAAAAATCCCCACTTAACATGTTCAATCTTTCCTCTAGTTTTTAAACATATGGAATACAGCTATATGTTTTCAGGTCATTATCTGCAATTCTAACATCTATGTCAATTCTGGGTCCATTTCAATGGAATGATTTTTCTGTCCATCATGAGTGGTATTTTCTTTCCTTATGCATGCCTAGTAATTTTTAAAATTTATTTTTGGGCCTGTAATCCCAGCACTTTGGGAGGCTGAGGGGCAGATGACCTGAGGTCATGAGTTCGAGACCAGTCTGGGCAACATGGTGAAACCCCATGTCTACTAAAAATACAAAAAATTAGCCGGTCGTGGTAGCGGGCACCTGCAATCCCAGCTACTCAAGAGAATGAGACAGGAGAATTGCTTGAACCCAGGAGGTGGAGGTTGCAGTAAGCCGAGATTGCACCACTACACTTCAGCCTGGGCAAGAGTGAGACTCTGTCTCAAAATATATATATGTATATTTGATTTTTTTTTCTGTGACACAGCCTCAGGAGGTCCTGACAACATGTGCCCCATCCCTAATAATTTTTGACTGGAAAATTTTACCTCGTTGGATGCTAAATACTTTGTATTCCTGTAAGTATTCTTGAGTTTGTTCATTTTTTCTGGGACACAGTTAAGCTACTTGGAAGCAGCTTCATCCTTTTGGGTCTTGCCCTTAAGGTTTGTAAAATGAGACCAGAGCAGCATTACTACCAAGTCGAGACCCTTCTGAATACTTTACACAATGTCCAATGAATTCTGAGGCTTTTCAGTCTGGCCAATGGAAACAGGCACTATTCCCAGCCTGTGTGATCTCAAGTTACTATTTCCTCTAGTCCATTGTGATGGTTCTTTCCATGGTCTTAGGTAGTTTTCCAGCACTCATATACCAATCGATTCTCAAATGCATATTTGATGGGGACCCTCTGCAGAACGCTGAGATTCCTTCTCTGGGCAGCTCTCTTCAGTACTCTGTCCTGCAACTCTGGCCAACTTAGTCTTCCCGGACTTTCAGCTCTATATTCTCAACTCAGGGAGTCTGCTGAGCTCCACTTGGGTCTCCCTTCCCTGTGCTGCAGCCGGGAAACTCATTCAAGGCAATGAGCTGCAGTAATTGCAGGGCTCATGTCATTTGTTCCCTATCTTTTTTTTTTTTTTTTTTTTTTTGAGATAGAGTCTCATTCTGTTGCCCAGGCTGGAGTGCAATGGTGTAATTTCAGCTCACTGCAACCTCTGCCCCCCGGATTGAAGCAATTCTCCCATCTCAGCCTCCCAAGTGGCTGGGATTATAGGCACCCACCATCATGCCTGGCTAATTTTTGTATTTTTGAAGAGATGGGGTTTCACCATTTTGGCCAAGCTGGTCTTGAACTACTGACCTCAGGTGATCTGCCCCCTTTGGCCTCCCAAAGTGCTGGGATTACAGGTGTGAGCCACTGTGCCCAGCCTGTTCTCTATCTTTCAGGGATCAGGGATCTTTGTTGCCTACTATCCAATGTCTTGAGAACTTTTATTTCATACATTTTGTCTGCAACTTCAGTTGTTTTCAGTAGGAGAGTAAATCGGGCTCCTGTGATTTCATTTTGGTTGTAAGTGGAAGTCATTCTTTTAATGTCTGTAGGATTCGTAGTGATGTCACCATTTTATTCCTGATATTGGTAATTTATGACGTCTTCCCCCACTTGTTTTTTTGGATCAGTTTAACTAAAGGTTTATCAATTTTATTAATCTTTACAAAAAATGAGCTTTTAGTTTCATTATGTTTTTAAAAATTATTTGTTTTCTACCTTATTAATTTCTGCGCTTCTCTTTATTCCTTTCTTTCACTTATTTCAGATTTAATTTGCTTTCCTTTTTCTAGCTTCCTAACTTGAAAGCTTAGATACTTATTTTTATGCTTTCTTCTTTTCTAGTATAAGCATTTAAAGGTATAAATTTCCCTGCATAGTCTGCTTTAACTAAATCCTGCAAAATTTGATATGTTGTGTTTTTAGGGCAACATATTTTTCTAATTTCCCTTGTGATATCTTGTTTTGACCATGAGTTATTTAAAAGTATATTGTTTAATTTTCATGTTTGGGGGATTTCCCATATTCCTTTTTGTGATATACACTTTAGAATAACTATATTCTGCTTTTGTTAGGTGGAGTTTTATGAATGCCAATTAGGTCAAGTTTCTTGATAGTGTTATTTTATATCCTTTCTGATTTTCTGACTACTTTTTCTATTAATTACTAAGAAAGGAATATCAAAATCGTCGTGTATTTGGGGGCATTGTTATCATAAGTATATAGATTTATAATTGCTATATCTTGATGCCATATTGACCCTTTCATTATTATGAACTGTTCTTCTTTTGTCTATAGTAATACTGCTTGTCTCTAAGTCTATTTTGTTTGTTGTTAATATGGCCAGCCCAGCTCTCTTGCACCTATTTGCATGGTATATCCTTTTCCATCCTTTTACTTTCTTGTAGACAGAATATAGTTGGGTCTTGCTTTCTAATTCAATCTGAAATATCTCTGCCTTTTGGTGGGAGGTTTAGTTCATATTCACATTTATTGTAATTATTGACATGGTTAGAATTGGTCCACAATTTTGCTATTTGTTTTCTACTTGTCTTATCTCCTTGTTGTTCCTCTGTTCCTTCTAAACTACTTTCTTTTGTGTTAAACAAATATTTTAAGTACATCATTTAAATTCTCTTCTTTGATATTTTTGTGGATTTTTAGTGATCATTCTAGGCATTGTAATATGCATCTTTATCTTATCAAAATCTACTTTATATTAATAATGACTAACTCCCACCAACTTTGTGTCAGCATATTCCCTCACCCTCCTTTATGCTATTGTTGTCATACATATGACATCCATTTACGCTATAAACCCAATGGTATGCTGTTGTAATTTTTGCTTTAAATAGTCATATATCTTTTAAGGAAATTAAGAAAACAAAAGAAAAAAACAGATCACATATTTACCACTTTCATTCCTACCTGTGGAGCTGGATGACCCTCAGATATGATTTTTCTTTAGTTTATAGTTTTTATTCAATTTTCTTTTAGTCTTTAACCTTTTGAGTTTTACTGCAATGAAATGTGTCACCAACATACTTTTTTTAGATGTATATTTTACCTTGCTCTGTCACCCAGGCCAAAGTGCAGTGGTGTGGTCTCGACTCATTGCAACCTCCACCTCCCAGGTTCAAATGATTCTCCTGCCTCAGCCTCACAAGTAGCTGGGATTATAGGCACACGCCACCATGCCCAGCTACTTTTTTTTGTGTGTGTTTTTAGTAGAGATGGGGTTTCACCATGTTGGCCAGGCTGGTCTCAAACTCCTGACCTCAAGTGATCCACTCGCCTCAGCCTCCCAAAGTGCTGGGATGACAGGCGTGAGCCACCACACCTGGTCCCACCAACACATTGTAATTTTTCTGTAAATGTCTTTATTTTACCCTTATTTTGAATGATAGTTTTACTATATAGAGAATTTTTTTGTTGACAAGATTTTTTTTCTTCCAGTACTGTGAATACTTCATCCCATGTCATCCCAATGTCTTCTGGCCTGTATTGTCTCTGGTGAGAACTCAGCTGCTTATCTTTTTTTTTTCTTTTTTTTTTTTTTGAGATGGAGTTTTGCTCTGTCGCCCAGGCTGGAGTGCAGTGGCACAATCTCGGCTCACTGCAACCTCCGCCTCCCGGGTTCAAGCGATTCTCTTGCCTCGGCTTCCCAGTAGCTGGGGTTACAGGTGTGTGCCATCATGCCTGGCTAATTTTTGTATCTTTAGTAGAGATGGGGTTTCACTGTGTTGGCCAGGCTGGTCTCAGCAGCTCATCATATCATTACCTTCTGTATGTGATGTGTGGCTGTTCTGTTGCTGCTGTCAGGACTATGTCTTTCAGCAGTTTGACCATGATGTATCTATGTGTGATTCTCGTTGTGTTTCACCTTCTTGTTTAGCTTGTTTAGCTTCCTGGATCTGTTCCTGGATCTCACCAAATTTGGAAAGAAACTGGCCATTGTGCTTCCAATCCTTTTCCACCCACTTCTCTCTTTTCTCTCCTTTTGGGACTCAACTCTCTGCCACCTGAACTCTGCAGGGGTTGAGGAGTTCATGCAAAGATTCTAGTTTCAGGCATGCTGAGGAGAGGGAGGAAGTTTCCAAGTGTCCCAGGCTTTTCATTTTCCCTGGGCCTTCCCACATTTATGCTTAATTTAGCAGTCACCTGAAGATGTGTGAAGAGTTTATTGTCTCAGCCCTACTATGGCTCTATCACCTTCAACATCTCCCTGTGAAATATGCCACCTTTGAACCATGTTCACCGGTGCCCAGTAAAGCTGTAGGTTTTTATTACCCTTACTGGAAGAATAGGAACACCCCCAGGTGTGAAGGTCAAAAATTCGGTTCCTATTCTTAGCAGCCATTTTTCCTGAGAGTGAAGACTTGTTAAGTTGGTATCTGCCTTTGGTCATTTTCCAGTGCCTTGAAATAGTTATTTTCAAAATAATTTTTTCCAGTTTATACTTGTTTTATGTGGAAGAGAATTGTTTAATGCTGACATTACTGGAAATCTTGCTGTCTGTATTTTTTCAGGATTGTATTTTATTATATAATTAAATTCACTGTAAACTTTTAGAAAATAAGGTAACTTCCTCAAATCACTCATAATCGATTGCCTAGAGGTAATTACTATTGGCATTATAAATATATCCTTTCATATATTTTTAAACATAGGCATTTATAAAAAACAAAAATGAGACCATTTGATACACACTTAAAAAAAAATTGAGGTGGCCAGGCGCGGTGGCTCACGCCTGTAATCCCAGTACTTTGGGAGGCTGAGGTGGGTGGATCACGAGGTCAGGAGCTCGAGACCAGCCTGGGTAACACAGTGAGACCTCATCACTACAAAAATAAAGATAAACTAATAAACGGCCCTCCCCACCAAACACAAAGCACTAAGTCCACATTCTCCCTCACCCCAGCTCCTGGCAACCACCATTCTATTTTCTGACTCTATGAATGTGGCTACTCTGGACATTTCGTATAAGTGGAATCATGCAGTATTTGTCTTTTTATTTTATTTTTGTTTTGTTTTGAGACAGGATCTCTGTCACCCAGGCTGGAGTACAGTGGCACGATCTTGGCTCGCTGCAGCCTCAACCTCTCGGGCTCAAGTGATCCTCCCACCTCAGCCTTCTAAGGAGCTGGGACTACAGGTGTGTGCCACCACACCCAGGTAATTTTTTGTAGAGAAGGGGTTTTGCCTTGTTGCCCTGGCTGGTCTCGAACTCCTGACCTCAAGTGATCTGCCTGCCTCGTCCTCCCAAAGTGTTAGGATTTCAGGCATGAGCCACTGCACTCAGCCCTTTTGCCCATTTATTTTTATTTTTATTTTACTTTAAGTTCTGGGACACATGCAGAATGTGCAGGTTTGCCCCTTTCTTTTCTTTTCTTTTCTTTTCTTTTCTTTTCTTTTCTTTCTTTCTCTCTCTCTCTCTTTCTTTCTTTCTTTCTTTCTTTCCTTCTTTCTTTCTCTTCCTTCCTTCCTTCCTTCTTTCTTTTTTATTTTATTTTATTTTTTTTTCTGACAGAGTCTCGCCCTGTCCCCCAGGCTGCAGTGCAGTGGCGCCATCTTGGCTCACTGCAACCTCCGCCTCCTGGGTTCCAGCGATTCTCCTGCCTCAGCCTCCTGAGTAGCTGGGATTACAGGCACCTGCCACCAGGCCCAGCTAATTTTTGTATTTTTAGTAGAGATGGGGTTTCACTGTGTTGGTAAGGCTGGTCTCGAACTCCTGACCTCCTGATGTGCCTGCCTTGGCCTTCCAAAGTGCTGGGATTACAAGTGTGAGCCACCGCACCCGGCCAGTTTTGCCCATTTCTTAATCAGATCATTTGAATTTTTGTTGTTGAGGTGTGGGAGTTATTTATATTCTAGATATTAATCCCTTATCACATGGATGATTTACAAATATCTTCCTTCTCCCATTCCATGTATTGTCTTTTCAGTCTGTACACAGTGCCCTTTGATGCACAAGAGTTTTTTATTTTACTGAAATCCAACTTATCTGTTTTTTCTTTTGTGCTTTTTGTGTCAAATCCAAGAAACCACTGCCAAATCCAGTGTCACGAAGCTTTCCCCCCATGTTTTCTTCTAAGAATCTTAAAGTTCTAGCTCTCACGTTTAGGTCTTTGATTTATTTTTAGTTAATTTTTTGTATATAAGGTAAGGTAAGGGTCCAACTTCATTTTTTTTTTTTTTGCGTGTAGGTATCCAGTTTTACCAACATCATTTATTGAAAAGTCTCCTTTCCCTATTGAATGGTCTTGGTACCCTTGCTGAAAACCAATCCGGCACCTATAAGGAACTTAAACAAATTTACAAGAAAAAGCCACACAATCCCCTTAAAAAAGTGGGCAAAGGACATGAATAGACACTTCTCAAAAGAAGACATACATGTGGCCAACAATCATATGAAAAAAAGCTCAACATCACTGATTATTACAGAAATGTAAATCAAAACCACAATGAGATACCATCTCACACCAGTCAGAATAGCTATTATTAAAAAGTCAAAAAAAATAGCAGATGCTGGCAAGTTTGTGGAGAAAAAGGAACTCTTATACACTGTTGGTGGGAGTATAAATTAGTTCAACTAATTGGAAGACAGTGTGGCGATTCTTCAAAGACCAAAATACCATTCGACTCAGCACTCTCATTACTGGGTATATACGCAAAGGAATATAAATTGTTCTATTATAAAGACACATGCACGCATATGTTCACTGCAGCACTATTCACAATAGCAAAGACATGGAATCAACCTCAATGCCCATCAGTGATAGACTGGCAGTACATATACACTGTGGAATACTATGCAGCCATAAAAAAGAACGAGCTCATGTCCTTTGCAGGGACATGGATGGAGCTGGAGGCCATATCCTCAGCAAACTAATGCAGGAACAGAAAACCAAACACCCCATGTTCTTACTTATAAGTGGGAGCCAAATGATGAGAACACATGGACACATAGAGGGGAACAACACATGCTGGGGCTTATCAGAGGGTGGAGGATGGGAAGAAGGAGAGGATCTGGAAAAATAACTAATGGGTACTAGGCTTGATACCTGGGTGATGAAATAATCTGCACAACTAACCCCCATGACACATGTTTATCTGTGAAGCAAAGCTGCACATGTACCCCTGACCTTAAAAATTTTTTTTTTTTAAAAAAGAAAATCATTTGACTATTTTTGCAGGGGTTTATTTCTGGACTCTCTATTCTATTTCATTGGTCTAGATGTCTATCTTTATGCCAGTACCACACTGTTTTGATTACTGTATCTTTGTAGTGTTTTGAAATCAAGAAATGTATTATCTCCAACTTTGTGCCTGTTCAAGATTGTTTTGGTTATTCAGAGTCCCTTAAGATTCAATATGACTTCTAGGATGGATTTTTCTATTTCCGTAAAAAATGTCATTGGGATTTTGATCGGGGTTGGATTGAACCTGTAGATGATATACATTATTTTAAACTATGTTTTCTGCAAAATATTAGGAATATATGAACAACATGTCATACATATATTTATGTTCATAATATACTTTAACAACATCATTTGTAATGGCTGAATAGTCTTCAATTGTATGGGTATATTCTAATTTATTTAATCAGACCTTATTTTTTGGCATTTACGTTAGTTCCCACTTTTTTTTTTTTTTTTTTTTTGAGGTGGAGTCTTGCTCTGTTGCTCAGGCTAGAGTGCAGTGGCACAATCTTGGCTCACTGCAACCTCTGCCTCCCAGGTTCAAGAGATTCTCCTGCCACAGCTTCCCAAGTAGCTGGGACTACAGGCACACGCCACCATACCTGGCTAATTTTTTTTGTTGTTGTTTTCGTTTTTGGTAGAGACAAGTTTTCACCATGTTGCCCAGGCTGGTCTCGAACTCCTGACCTCAGGTGATCCACCTGCCTCCGGCTCCCAAAGCTCTGGGATTACAGGCATGAGCCACCACACCTGGCTCCACTTTTGATATTATAAAGAATGTATAATGACTATCCTTGTCCCATTATCTTTTCATATATTGTCTTTGGTGGGGAGGAAATTCATCACTGAGCTTTAATTATGAGAGAAAACTGGCATAAGAAAGAACTTTAAAACTATTAAGTTGGTGCAAAAATTTGCCATTTTTTTTAAAATGGCAAAAACTACGATTACTTTTGTGCCAACCTAATATTTTGTTGTATTTCCTCTATTTTACAAGTAAAAGACAAAAGCTCCTAAAGGGTGGGTGTTTTACAGATGGCCACGCACCTAGCTGTGGCTGGGTTTGAATCCTGGCTCTGCTCCTAATCAGCGAGATGAGCTTAGGCAACCACCTTAAACCTCTCTTCATGAGTAACGGTAACAGTTCTTGGCTTATACAGTAAATGAGGTAACTTGGAGCCCAGCACAAAATAGGCACTCAGCAAATACTTCTCCCTCTCCTTCTCAGCATTTTTGAAACTAGAACCCAGGATCTATCTTTCTTTTTTTTTTTTTTTTTTTTTTTTTAGACAGGGCCTCACTTTGTTGCCCAGGCTGGAGCACAGTGGCGTGGTCACTTGTTCCTGCAGCTTCAACCTCCCCAGGATCATGTGATCCTCCCACCTCAGCCTCCAGAGTAGACTGGCTGATTTTGTATTTTTTTGTAGAGATAGAGTTTCACCATATTGACCAGGCAGGTCTCGAACTCCTGAGCTCAAGCGATCTGCTCACCTCGGCCTCCCAAAGTGCTGGGATTACAGGCATGAGCCACCACCCGGCCTCTTCTTCTTTTTATGTAACCATAATCCTTATTACTTTAATTAGTTAATTAATATTTGTACTAATTATAACATTATATTATGTATTATATTTACTTATATTAGTTCATGTTTATGTAATATGAATTATACTTTATGTTAATTATTTGTCACACTTTTCTAAGTAATTTATGAATGTTAACTTGTTTAATACCTTCTAGCCAAGAAAGTAAAAAAATTAGCTTGGATCGAGAAAATATAAACCTGGCCAGCTGTTGGTCAGTCTGGAAGGACAGACATCGATAAAGCTGGCTGCAAAGTTACCAGGAAACGTATTTCTCCCAAGGACACGCTGCAGCTGTACAAGGTCATAGCAGCTCGCATCTTTGAGTGACAACTGCTTTTTTACTCAATGAGAAGAAGCCTTGTTCTCTAAAATCAGACTACCGGAAACTTTGCTGTTTGAAATGTTGTAGGTAGGAATTTTGATGAGGGATGAAATGTATGAATGAAACACCAGGCTCTTGCCCTGAGGGTCTTAGTCACGTTGACAGAGGGGAAGCCCTGATTTCCAGCCCAGGTGCAGAGCTTCAGATAGCGCTTTCTGGATCCAACATTCCGAACCTAGCTTAATTTTGTAGTTTTCAAGGAAATAGAGCTCTGGGTCTAATTTGTGGTCCAGACTTGATGTTGATTTTTTAACACACAGTTCTGCTTTGCTTTGAGCCAATCAAAACATTGTTTCATTTACATTTTACCTGAATTCCATGCTGCTCCAAAATTCCATGATAGTACCATCCTGTCCTTTGTTTGGTTCCTCTGGTGTGTGTTATCCTTCATTGCAATGGGCCGATAAATCTGATTTTGTCAGGCTACAGGTGGTCTTACGTTGATTGGGCTAGAACGGAACTTTTTTTTTTCTTTTTTTGAGATGGAGTCTTGCTCTGTCGCCAGGCTGGAGTGCAGTGGCACCATCTTGGCTCACTGCAACCTCCGCCTCCCGGGTTCAAGCGATTCTCCTGCCTCAGCCTCCCGAGTAGCTAGGATTATAGGCACGTGCCTCCATGCCTGGCTAATTTTTTGTATTTTTAGTAGAGACGGGGTCTCACCATGTTAGCCAGGGTGATCTCGATCTCCTGACCTCGTGATCCGCCTGTCTCGGCCTCCCAAAGTGCTGGGATTACAGGCGTGAGCCACCACGCCCGGCCCAGGACAGAACTTTTAATCCTCAAGTTCAAGGCTGCCCTCAATAACCCTGAGCTGCCTGTTACCCCTAGTCCAGGCTTCTCAAACTTGAGTTTGCATCAGGAGAACCTGGAGAGCTGGGTCAAGCATAGATTGCTGGCTCCTGACTCCCAGGGTTTCTGATTCAGTAGGTCTGGGTAGAACCTTAGAAGTTGCATTTCCAGCAAATTCCTAGGTGATGCTGATGCTGCTGGTTCCAGGGACCACATTTTGAGAACACTGCCCTAATTAACCGCATCATCCTACATAGTAGAGTTGTAAGGGTTAAGCGACAAGTGTGTGAAGAACTCAGTTCAGAACTTGGCATTTACTAAATACTCACTCATGTATGCTATTACTATTATTTTAAAATAAAGGACTCAGATTCTCCGATAATCCACTTCCCCCCTCCCAACACTCCATTCTTTCTTTTAATACAGTGACAAGTTACTCTTGTGGTCCTTTAACAGTTTATAGCTGGGGGGCAGGAGGGCACAGGCAATCAGCTAATTACAACACAAGGCTGAATGAAATAAGCTCCTTGCACACATTTTGTTGAAAACACAAATTTGGGCTAAGCTCAGTGGCTCACGCCTGTAATCCAGGCACTTTGGGAGGCTGAAGTGGGCGGATCAATGGAGCTCAGGAATCTGAGACCAGTCTGGGCAACATAGTGAAACCCTGTCGCTACAAGAAAATAAAAAATCAGCTGGGCGTAGTGGTGCATGCCTGTAGTTCTGCCTACTCCGGAGGCTGAGGTGGGAGGATCACTTGAGCCTGGGAGTCAGAGGTTGCAGTGAGCCGGGATCACACCATTGCACTCTAGCCTGGGTGACAGAGCAAGACTCTGTCTCAAAAAAAAGAAAAAAAACACAAATTTGGAGACATATTTTAAATATATAATGTTGTGTATTTGCCCCTACTGAGTATTTTTATCACCAACAGTTCACCATATCATTATTAGAAAACCTCCTAACTTTTGTATTTTTAGTAGAGATGGGGTTTTGCCATGTTGGCCAGGCTGGTTTCGAACTCCTGACCTCAAGTGATCCGCCTGCCTTAGCATCCCATAGGTATCTCTATGCTGAATTTTGAACAAATTCTATTGTTGTCCATTCTATTGTCGGAGATTTAATTTCTTCCAATTATTACTAATAAATAACTCTCCTCTGAAGGTTCTTGATATCTAAACTATTTGCTAGAACCACTAGTGACTTCCTTTGTTTGTTTGAGACAGGGTCTCCCTCTGTCACTCAGGCTGGAGTGCAGTGGCACGATCACAGCTCACTACAGCCTCAATCTAATATGTTGATATTTTTGTAAAGATGGGGTTTCACCATGTTGCCCAAGATGGGTCTCAAACTCCTGGGCGCAAGCGATCCTTCCACCTCTGCCTCGCAGAGTGCTGGGATTACATATGTGAGTTACCGAGCCCGGCCTACAAATGACTTCTTAGGAAGAAGCCTTCAAATAGGGAAGAGGACTGGGCCAAAGGGCATGAACTTTAAAAAGTCTCTTGACAGCTGTAGTCAAATTTATTTTCATCGTGGAACAGAAAGGTTGCTGGTCAAAGCTTCCAGATGGTGATATCTGTGCTCCTTTTGGCATATTTCATTCATCCTAAGCACCAGGCAAAGATGGCGGGGGTCTGAGCCGCAGCCCTCTGTCTGTTACCTGTCCATCTGTGCTCTTCCCTCCCTCTTGCTGCAAACAAATTAACATAGAGACCCGAAATCTCCCGCATCTATCTACCCTTTGAGTCCCTGCTCAGAGGGCAATCTTGGGCCAGTAGTTGCAGCTCAGTGAAGGCCTGAGTTTGGCTTCCTCTCACCGGTCCTTAATGGTGCATGAATTTTTTTAATGGGTTTCCTATGAAGCGCGAGGCAGTTATTTCCTGGTGACTTTTATTGAACCCAAAGCTTGACTGAAGTTTGAATAAACCGAGGCAGGTGGTAACAGAGCATGAAGTGGCTTAGTCTGTGGTCAGCCCTCATTTTAAAAATAAATCACTTTTCAAAGGGCGTAGTCACCTCCGCTACCATCATCAACGACAAACCAGACTTACCTGTGCACAGAGAGCCCTCACTGTGGGTGTGCAGCCGCCCTCCCCTGCCCTGTGCCTCGCCTGTTCAGTCCCGCCCTGATTCTAGTGACATGTCAATCCCACCCGAAAAACCATCCCAGTTGCCCCAGCTGAAATTAATCTCTCCACCCGTGAGAGCTGTACTTGGTGCTGAGGTCTTTATACAGCTCATCCCACTCATTGCTCACACAGCCCTACCAACACTTGGTGGTCCCATTTGATAGCCAAGAAAACCCAGGCTCTGAGCAGAGCGGGAACTTGCTCAAACAAGAAAGCAACAGAGCCGGGATTGGAAGGCAGGTCATCTGTCTCTAGAGGTCAGCTGCCTGTCCCTGCCCATGTCCAAGGGTCATTTGTGAATCATGTGCATGGCTTGGAATCTTTTCCTGCTTACGTTGCGGATGGAGCCCTGGTATGGGAACCCATGTCTGTTGTGTTTAATTATTATCTGGTACCTAGAATGCCCCACTGGCCATTCCCTGGATAACCTGGGCTTAGCACAGGGCTGGGCACAGAGCGGGTGCCAGAGATGCTTGAGGAATTGCTTTTTGCTTTTCCTTTTCCTTCCTTCTTCCATCCCTTTGTTCCCAAGGAATGATCTTGGATGATGATGGTTGTTGCAAGAAAAATATATCGAGGAAGGGGAAATGTCTTCATCTCCACCCTTATAGATCAACTTTTTGTTATTTTTTTTTTTGAGACAGAATCTTGCTCTGTCGCCAGGCTGGAGTGCAGTGGTGGCATCTCAGCTCACTGTAAGCTCCGCCTCCCAGGTTCAAGTGATTCTTCTGCCTCAGCCTCGGGAGTAGCTGGGATTACAGGCGCGTGCCACCACATCCAGCTAATTTTTGTATTTTTAGTAGAGACGGGGTTTCACCATGTTGGCCGGGATGGTCTTGATCTCTTGACCTTGTGATCTGCCTGCCTCAGCCTCCCAAAGTGCTGGGATTACAGGTGTGAACCACCGTGCCTGGCCTGTAGATCAACTTTTTATATAGAGAGAGACCTGAGTTATCTAAATCACTCATCCCTAAACCTACTATGATCTTAAAGAAAGCAATACAAACTTTAGGTAGTTCAATATCTAATATTCGTAAAAGTTGATGTAGCAGTTTAAGCGGTGACATGATACTTCCCAGAGTTCCATATGACAAGCACCATCCCCTCCCTTTTCCTATTTTCCTTTCCTTATGTATTTTCGGAGTGGCCCTCTGTGCCAAACACCAACCAGGCTGGGGATACAGTGGTGACATAGCCTCAGTTTTCTTGGTGCTCACTATTGGGTCAGGATGACAGATGGCTACTAGTCAGGGACCACCCAATAAGAGGTCATTATTGGCTGGGCGTGGTGGCTCATGCCTGTAATCCTAGCACTTTGGGAGGCCGAGGCAGGTGGATCACCTGAGGTCAGGAGCTCAAGACAAGCCTGGCCAACATAGTGAAACCACGTCTCTACTAAAAATACAAAAAAAGTAGCCAGGTGTGGTGGCAGATGCCTGTAATCCCAGCTACTAGGAGGCTGAGGCAGGAGAATCGCTTGAACCTGGGAGGCGGAGGTTGTAGTGAGCCGAGATTGCGCCATTGGCAACAAGAGTCTGGGCAACGAGAGCGAAACTGTGTCTCAAAAAAAAAAAGTCATTATTTAGCATATTTGTAAGACAAATATTGTCTGGATCGCGGACCTGAATTTTCTTCTACTTCTGGAACAAAAGGGTAGGCACCATCGCCAGTGTGTGATTTGCTTTTCAGCAGTCGTCCAGGAATTCCACTGCCCCTCCTAGGCTACCCCCTGGTGGCCTCACGGATGCCGTTTCCTGGAAAGGCAAGTGCTGAGTTTAGCTGGGCTCAGGGAGGCCTCCCATGGGAAACTGTTGTTCTGTGTGTTGGGCTGAAGTTTACTGTTAACTCAAACCCAACCATGGTATTGTTTTTCAAATAACAGAAAAATAAAACTGATGGGTAGAATATTTTCAGTGATCAGTTTTTCGGTACCCACTGCTCTTTGTGTAGGTATATGATAGTGTCTCATCTAGCCCCAAATTAAGTTTAATCCATTGATGTTTCATAACGTTTGCTGCAAAGCCACTTGATCACACTGGGAGCTGCTGGTCTGGGATATCGGAGCAGGAAGCTGCCCTCAGGGCTGCCAGCTCAGTCATCTTCCCATCTTTCCTATGTCCGCAGTCCTCCTGGCCCCTCACTGCTCTGCCCCTGGTAAGCTGACCTTCCTGGCCTGGGATAAGCCACGGTTCTGCAGGGGCTCTGCTTGCCCCTTCTCTCTGCCTGGGTGATGGCTGGTCGTCTTTCCCATCTCCCACTCTGTTTGTGCCCTGGGAAGTCTTCCCTGTCCCACCCCTGCTCACCTCAGACTGGCTCAAGCCCCCATTGCAAGCTCTTAGAGCACCAGAGAGCTCCGCACTAATCACAGCTGTATTTTAATATTCACTGATGGGATCATTTGATTCACGTCTGTCTTTCCCACCAGAATATGAAACGTCTGAGGGCAAGAATCAGGAAAGCATGTGTGTGTGTCTGTGCTAATGTATGTATACACGTCGCATATACATGCTTGTATATGTGTATGTGTGTGTGTGTATGTATGTGCATATGTGCATATGTGTGTACATGTGCATATGTGTGTGTATGTGTGTTTCCTTACCATAATTTCCATTTTCTGGCATGGTACTTAACACTCACTAAGAACTCAGTAAATATTTTTGATTACATGAGTGCGTAGCATTGTATTTCTTTAGGATACTTTTGATAGTAGTGACTTCATTTTAGACACAGAGAAACTAAAGCCCAAAGATGTGACTTACATCCATCAAGATCCCGAAACTAGAAAGAGGCTGGGCTGGGATTTAAACCCAGGCCTCCAACTCAGCCCAGTGACCTTTGCACGACTCTGACTGCCAGCTCGCCTTGAGGTTTGGCGAGTTAAACAGAAGCAGAAAGTTCAGAGGAAATTTACCGCAAGGCAGAGCGTTTACCAGCCGATGACTTCACCTCCGCGGCAGTGAAAGGCTTTGCAGAAAAGCACTGAAAAGAAAATACTTTCGCAATGAATGAGCTGGGCCCGCCTGGCTCGGGCTGACTCACCAAGAAGTCTTCACTTTATAAGGACTTTACTGGGGCTCCCATAGGCATGCCTTTTTGCCCTGTATCTAGGTCTGGACAAGGGTAAGTGGTTGAACACAGGCTGCAGGGCGCCCAGCCTCGGCTGGACGCGGGCTCTGGTGGCTGCGTGTCTGGAGCCCTTGCCATCTCCTCCTGGTGTGTGCCTCCTCTATGCGGTGCCCGTCTCTCCAGCCATCCCCAGCCTGTACTTATAAACGGGTTGCGTTAATAGCACCCACCCAATTTCAGTGGATCTGGTTGCCAGATGCTCTCCTACATGTCTGGCTTCTGCAAAACCTTACCTGGTTAGGTCTGAGAGTCGAGTGTGTCCTGAGTGCTCACAAACCCCAGCCACAACCACCACCGACCCCTGCCCACTCCTCCTTTCTTTTGGCCACCCCTCTCCTCTTCTATGCTGTTTGCCCTTCAGGTCACTAAACAGGTCTGGCCACTGTGGCCGGTGTCCTCTGTGGAAATGTGGAGATTCATGCCAAGAGACTGTTTACTGAAGCTCCCCTCCCTCCCTGGGGCCATGGAGGTGTGTTCTCTGCAGATTTGGGGCAAATATTCCTCCCTGGGCAGCACTGCCCAGCCCCTGCCTGGGTCTCCCAAGAGCCACCTCTTCATGTGGCACACACCGGGCCCAATCCCATTTCCCTCCTCTCCTTCCAAGTGACCCCTGTCCCTGCGAGCTGCTCATACAAATGGATGCTCGTGTGCTGCCCAGTCCCGCTGGCTGACCCATCAGACAGTCCTGGGCCATGTTTTGATTGCTGGCAGTGAGAGATACAGAAGGCCCAGCCACTTCCATGCACCCTGAATGCTCCTTACAAACACCTTGGGAGGTCCGATTATTACCCGCCCCTCTCAGAGATGGAGAAGCTGAGGCTCAGACAGGCAAAGGAATCTGCCAAGGTCTCACATCCAGAACAGGCAGGGCATCACTGATCCCACTCTCCTGCCCCAGTCACCACGGTGTGATGCATTTGCCTGTGAGCCCAGCCTGCAGCGGAGGTTCACATGTGGGGTCAGAAAGGAGAGCCCTGTGACAAGAACGCTAGGAATGCAGGAAGGGGCCTTGAGGTGACCTCAGGAATTCTTGGCGCCCGCCAGGACAAATGATGGGAATAGCTGGGAGGGTGACATCCCACCTTGGTAGCCAGTCGTCACCAGCAGCATGCATTTGTGCTCCATCAGGGCTGGAGAATGACTAAGCTGAGGGCTGAGGGTTAGGAAGAAAAAGAAAGCATGGATGTGGCCCAAGGCCACAAGCTCTCTCAGGGGAGAGAAAGGACAGGTGTGAGCTAAGCAGTGACCCCGCAGTCCCCTGAGAGCCAGTGCCTGCTGCCGAGCGAGGGCACTATATGTCGTCACCTGGTGTCCATTCCCCAGGTTGGGGAGCAGACTTCCAGCTTTGCGCCCCATTTCAGCTGTTTCCCAGCTGTGGACCTTGGGCAAGTCACCTCCCCTTCCTGCGCCTCGGAGTCTCATCTGTAAAACGAGAATGTGAGATCCCCTACTTCATAAGGGAGTGGGGAAGATGAAATGAGACAGAGTCGTACGGGACTTGGCACATTGTGGGTGTTCAGTAAATGCAGGTTTCTCTCCTTTCACCACATGGATAGCAGCGTCAATTTCCATCTGCTTTGAAGAGAGACAAACCCAAGTTTGAATCCCACCTCTACCATTTCCTGGCTGTTTAATCTTGAGAAGCTATCTCCCCTCCCTGAACCCCAGCTTCATCTGTAGCGATGTGAATAACGCCAGCACACTTTAGGTCTTGTAGCAAGGCTCACCTAAGACAGTATGTCACGATTTCTAACAGTTTTCAGGCTCTCAGCCCAGGGTCCCGGGGTCTGGGGGGGACGGAGTTGTTCCATTTCCAACAAGCTCTTGGTGATGCTGGTACTGTGGATCTGGGGACCACACTTTGAGTCAAGTGGTGACGGAGGAAGGCCAGTGGGAGGGTGGGGGGGGGTGGAACAGAGGCAGCAGCTGGGAGACTTTTAGGTGGGCCATTGCCTTCAGGATGCCACCTGACTGAATTGGAGCTCAAGAGTATTTGGCAATGAATTAATTAATCTACTTATTTGTTTGTGCAACAAATAGATATTAAGTATCTTTTGCCATTACTTTTAATGCAAAACTAATTGCATGAATTACAATGAAAAGTAATGGCTGGCTGGGTGCAGGGGCTCACGCCTGTAATCCCAGCACTTTGGGAGGCTGAGGTGGGTTGATCATGAGGTCAGGAGTTCGAGACCAGCCTGACCAATATGGTGAAACCCTATCTCTACTAAAATACAAAAATTAGCCAGGCGTGGTGGTGCGCATCTGTAATCCCAGCTACTCAGGAGGCTGAGGCAGGAGAATCGCTTGAACCCGGGAGGCAGAGGTTGCAGTGAGCCAAGATTGTGCCATTGCACTCCAGCCTGGGCAATAGAGTGAGACTTTGTCTAAAAAAAAAAAAAAAAAGTAATGGCAAAAACTACTTAATGTTTTCGTTTTTGCCATGACTTTTAATGCAATTAATGCAATTACTTTTGCACCAACCTAATATATCAGTGCTGGGGTAGGGAGTCAGTTCCTGTCCTCTTGGGGTCTTAGTGCAGAAGGGGTCAGGAGGTGCTTTTTACACCCCAATCCCCACGAACTGTGGTTGCCCCAGCAGAGGCCACCATGAGTTCTAAGACAGGGCACTCACCCCAGCCTGAAGGTCAGGGGAGGCCAAGCTTGAGGTCCTAGGACGAGGACAAATCACCCTGTGGAGGAGGGTGGGAGAGGTGTCCGGGCAGGAGAGGTGTCTGGGCAGGTGTGGTGTGGTAAGCAAGTCACAGAGACACGCAGCCAAGACAGAGTCTATGTCTCCACCATTGTTTGACAGTCTCGTGAGGAGGCTTGGGAGGCAGGGAGAGTTGGAGTCACTGCTGTGCCCTGGCCGCCCTGTGTCACCGACATGCTATGTGACTTCTCTAAGGGACATCCCCTCCGCTTCTGTAAGGTAGAGGTGAGGATGCCTGTCTGAGTGCTTTAGGGAGGAGAAGGTTGAAAGAGACCACAGCAGTCAGGAGTCTGGCTCCTAGCAGGAGGTCAGCTACTCTCAAATCCCCTCGTGACGACAGGGAAATCCACTGTCCAAGTGTGGGGTCCTCATCTCCCTGTGGCCTCCATGGGTGGGCAGGGGTCCCCTGCCCTGTGGTGCTCACCATGCCTCCTCGACCCCGATCAGGTTGTCAGATGAGGAGGGAGAGCATGCCAGGGTCCCAGGGAGACTGGTTTGGTCAGAGCCTCAGCCCCTAAACCCCTTGTCACAGCCTGGCAAGAGACCAGAGACCTGGCTGAGATAACAGGGTTATTGCCACAAACAGACTCCTCCAGATAAAGAGGGAAGAATAAGAACCTTGTTTGTCCTCTCCTGGCCTGACACCCAGTAGCATTCTACCTCCCAGATGGCTGGGCTGCTGTGACCCAGGGCTGACCTGACTTCAGAACTGCCTCTTGGTGCCCACCCTCCTCTGGCCCACTTCCCACTCCCCACTCCTGACCCCACCTGCTTATCTGTTTATTTTTCCCATGAGAGTTTATGTATTTTCCCAGAGGGTGCAGTGTGGTGTAGGAGAAAGGGCATGGAAATCCACAGGAGGTCTGAGCTTGGATCTCTGGGATCCAGTCCTCTGGGTGGGCTGCTTACCTCGGGGGTGACCCACTGTCCTGGTTTGCCTGGGACTAAAGGGGTTCCTGAGACATGGGACTTCCAGTTTTAGAACTGGGACAGTGCCAAGAAACTGGGGATGTGTTGATCGCTCTGTTTACCTCTCTGAACCTCAATTTGCTCATATCTAAAACCAGGATAGTTACTATCTGTCGGAGGACGAAATGGGATAATGCAGGGAAGCATCTAGCACATGGTGAGTCCTCAGTGATGGTTTTGGTTATTTATTTCCCTGCCTGGAGGAAATTGCAGGGCCTTGACCTTGCATTTCTCACCTCCCTATTCCCAGGAACTTTTCTCAACAGTGCATTTGAGAACTCACTAAACCCATCTGTTGTACTTTGCCCCGAATGGCTTTCGATTGACAAAGTTCAAGCAATAGAGACAGCTTAGTAAAGGGAGACAGATGGAAAATCAGGAGACTGGGCCCACTCTTGACTCTGCCACTAACTTGCTGTGTGACCTTGGGGAAATTGCTTTGCCTCTCTGGGCCTCCATTTTTCCATCTACAAAATGGAAGATTGGACTGGATAGTGCTAAGTGTACCTTCCAGCTGTAACATGCAGTGATTCTGCAGTACTGATGCTCATTACCCTGTGAGCTGCAATGGGGGAGTTAGGAAGGGAGGGAGATCTGGTTGATCCTGGTACAGGGGTGAAGGGGGAGGAGGGACAAACTTCTGGTGCCTCCACAGGCAGCAACTAAAATATGAAAAATGGCATCAGATGGACAATGACAAGGGCAACTTAAAGACAGTGCAATTGGTTGATGTCTGCAAAGCAGCCCGGGACCAGGCCCCTGGGCATTCCTTTACTTAAATTATTCCTTTGCTCATTCATTTGTTCCCTCCTTCATTCCTATCTTTATTTGTTCATTCATTTATTCATTCATTCTTCTGCTGAGTGACATCGTAGCATAACGATGGATAGCATGGACTCTGAAGCCAGTTTGCCTGGGTTTGAAGCCCAGCTCTGCCATTTAGTTCTGTGACCCTGACAAGTACCTTGACTTCTCCGTGCCTCTGTTTCCTGATCTGTAATCAGTGTCTGGCATTTGGAAAGTGCTACATACATGTTTGCAATTATTGTTTGTTTATTCTTTCACCATTTGCTAGAAGATGGCTATGTGACAGGCACTGGGCTGGGTGGCCACCAGCGAATCAGGGGAAGTCACAAAGGGTTAAATAGGTAATTACTAAGTCATGTGGTCAGCGTTGTGGTGCGGGTAAGCACAGGGTGCTATGGAAATGCAGAGGAAGGGCACCTAACCTGGATGGGTTGGGCTAGAGAGGAGGAGTGTTCCAGAGAGACTTCCTGGCAGAGGTGATATCTGACCTGGGTTAGCCTGTGAGCTGCAGTGGAGGAACTGAGGAGGTTAGCCAGGAGGTGAAGGGGGTGGGGTGATGGGAACCTCTTGGAGGGGAATGGCTTGGAGGGGAGAATACGGATATTCAGGGAACAGATATGGTTTGGTGCGGCTTGCTGGGGGATGGGTGTGTTACTCCGTTTTCATGCTGCTGATAAAGACTACCCGAGACTGGGTAATTTATAAAGAAAAAGAGGTTTAATGGACTCACAGTTCTATGTGGCTGGGGAGGCCTCACAATCATGGCAGAAGGCAAAAGGCATGTCTTACATGGTAGCAGACAAGACAAAATGAAAACCAAGCCAAAGGGGTTTCTTCTTATAAAATCATCAGATCTCGTGAGACTTATTCACTATCACGAGAACACTATGAGAGAAGCCACCTCCGTGATTCAATTATCTCCCACCAGGTCCCTCCCACAACACATGGGAATTATGGGAGCCACAATTCAACATGAGATTTGGGTGGGGACACAGCCAAACCATATCAGTGAGGGAGGTGGCAGATGAAACTGGAGGGAGAAGCAAAGCCTTGACTATGCTGGACATTCCAGGACTGCTAAAGAGGAAATATTTTATCAGCTGGACTAGTGTTTCCAACCTTTAGAAGCATGCTGGAAATAAACCCTCCATTATATGGAGATTTATTTATAACTAAGTTATATACGTGCACTACTGTACACTTGTATCATATACACTATAAGACACACAAAAATAGAAAAATGAAAAACATGAGATAAAAAAAAAATACATGTAGGTTGGGCATGGTGGCTAACAGCTGTAATCCCAGTGCTTTGGGAGGCAAAGGTGGGAGGATCACTTGAGGCCAGGAGTTCAAGACCAGCCTGGGCAATATAGGGAGACTCCATCTCTACAAAATAAATAAATAAATAAAATTAGCCAGGCATAGTTGCATGCACCTGTAGTCCTAGCAACTCGGGAGGTTGAGGCAGAAGGATTGCTTGAGCCCAGGAGTTTAAGGCTACAGCGAGCTATGATGAGAAAAAAAGGAATACATATAAATAGAACCTCTGCTACTCTTTCTCCCTAAGCCGATGGCTTTTCCTACGCGTCCCCTGGATTCCCCTCCACCCCACTTTTGAGCTTACTACTTAATACCATGGGGTGCCTGAAGGGATGGAAATGGAAGAGAGCAGGTTTTTTACCTTTAAAAGACCACTTAGATATTTATATTCACTGGTATTCCTATAGTCATTAAAATGAAGACATAGCTGTCTATTATTAACATCAAAAGGTGCTAATCTATTAAACAGACAAGTTGTAGGGAGACCAACCATCCCGGTTTGCCCAGGACTGAGTGGTTTTCTGGAACACAGGAGCTTCAGTGCAAAAGCCAGGACAGTCCCAGGTAAACTGGGTCACCCTAGTTGTATGTCTGGAATAATCCCATTTGGTGAAAAACATAAATGTGGCCAATGCGGTGGCTCATGCCTGTAATCCCAGCACTTTGGGAGGCTGAGGCGGGCGGATCACAAGGTTAGGAGTTCGAGGCCAGCCTGGCCAACATGGTGAAACCCAGTCTCTATTAAAAATACAAAAATTAGCTGGGTGTGGTGGCTACTCCGGAGGCTGAGGCAGGAGAATCGCTTAAACCTGGGAGGTGGAGGTTGCAGTGAGCCGAGATCTCTCCACGGCACTCCAGCCTAGGAGACAAGAGCAAAACTCTGTCTTGGAAAAAAAAAGAAAAAAGAAAAACATAAATGAACATTTAGGAAAGGGTCAGAAGTCTGGTGATCCAAAATGTTAACATTGGTTATTGCTGGATGGTGATGGGCTTTTGATTTAAGTTAAAATTTGTTTTTACTTCTATTTATTAATGTATTTTGAGTTTTGCTTGCTTGTATTACACATTTTTTGACATGATATATGTACTGTTGTGTGACTTTTAAGACCTGAAAAACAAAGTTGAGAGTCCATTGGCCAGCGGGGCTGAGCATGGTGGGGAGGCAGGACCAGCTGCCGGGGAGGGATGAGGAGGCTGGAGAAGATGACGAGAAATGAGAAGGGGCTTGGACTTGGCAGTGGCGGTGAGGAGGGAAGAGAAGACGGGTTGGAGAGATCAATGAGAGAGAGACTTCACAGGGCTCAGTGACTGACTAACCAAGGGGAGACTGAAGGAGAGGCAGAGTTGAGGATACCTGTAAGTTTCTGGGTGGTGTCATTAACTAAGATGGATCATTCAGGATAAACAACTGTTTTGAGAAGGAGGTTATATAAAGGCGGAGGCTCTGGGAGGCTGGGGACATGCTGTTGGTTTGGTTTTGGACACACTGAGGTGCCCAGGGGACACCCAAGATGAGGTAGAGGAGTGGGATTTATCACAGGACTCAGGGAACTGGCTATATACTGGCCAGTTTCTTTAACGCCACTATTATCAGTGCTTTCTCTTTGAAAGTCCTCCATTGACGTGCTCCTCTGGCCTGGAAGTCCTGTCTGATTCATGGCCTGGTTTGAAAGAAGTTAGGTCTTAAGGCACACTAGAGTAATCCATCGCTATCACTCCTCCGCAGCAAAGATGACTCATTTGCATCACATACAAAATTTCTCTTTTCTATCTTTGAGTTGAAAGAACTTGTGCATTCTCTTATCTTTTTTTTTTTCTTCTCCAGAATCAGTGTGGTGACTTCAGTCCTTTGAAATATATTGAGACTTGTTTACAGCCCAGCCTTTGGCGTATCTTGTTGGATGCTTTGTGTGCCCTTGAAAATAATGTGTACTCTGTTGTTGGGTGGGGTGTTCTATAAATGTCACTTAATTCAAGTTGGTTGACAGTGTTCAAGTCTTCTGGATCCTTGGTGACTTTCTGTCTACCTGTTCTATCAATGACAGAAATGTTGACATTTCAGACTCCAAGTATGGATTTGTCTGTTTCTCTTTTCAGGTGTGTCAGTTTTTGCTTCAAGTATTTTGAAGCTCTGTTATTAGGTGCATACATATTTAGAAGGGTTATATCCTCTTGATTAATTGATCCCTTTTTCATTAATAAATGTCTTTCTTAATCTCTGATAATAACCCTCGTTCTTAAGTCTACTATATCTGGTGTTATTATAGCCACTCCAGCTTTCTTAAAATTAGTGTTTTCCTAGTATATACTTTCTCATCTTTTTACGTTTAACTCATCTGTGTCTTTATATTTAAAGTGGGTTTCTTGTAGACAGCATATAACTAGGTCTTGTTTTTTTTTAAACTCCGATGTGACAATCTCCACCTTTAAATGTAACTATTTAGATAATTTGCTTTTAATGTAATTATTGATATGATTGGGTTTAAATACTCCATCTTTCCATTTGCCTTCTGTTTATCCCATATCTTCTTTGTTCCTTAATTTCCATTTGCTTGGCTCCTTTTTATTAATTATTTTAAAAAAAGATTCCATTTTATTTTCACTGTTTCACTGTTTTTTGTTTTTTTTTTTTGGTGGTTGCTTTAGGGTTAATGATATGCATCTTTAGGATCCAGGTGCGTGGCTCATGCCTGTAGTCCCAGCAACTCAGGAGTCTGAGACAGGAGGATCACTTGAGCAGAGGAGGTTGAGGCTGCAGTGAGCCATGATCATGCCACTGCACTCCTGCCTGGGTGAAGGAGGGAGATCCTGACTCTAAAATAATAATAATGATAATGATAATAATAATAACATGCACTTTAACTTATAATGTTCACAAAATATTATGCCATTTTACATATTTGTTAGTCAAGGCTCAATCAGAGAAACAGAATTGCTGAGAGAGATTTATTATAGGAATTTGTCCTTATACAATGATATGGAGTTGGCTAAACAGTCTATAAAAGGCTATTTTTTATGTGTCTGGTGCTGCTATACTGACAGTGCAGAGGAGGCAACTAGGAAGGGGAGATGTGTTTAAATTGGGAAAGAATAGGAAAAGAGCCGCAACAAACTAGAACTTGCGTGTGGTCTCTCACCTCTTCCATGAGGCCAACTTCAATGATAACATAGCCTATAAGAGAGGGTGAGGCTTTTCATCATGAAGCTAAACACACACTTGGTCTGGAGTCAGGGATACTGAAGGATGACCCAGCAGGAACTGGGAGAGCTGTGGGCCCAGCTGCTGCCTCATGACAATGAGGTGACCCAGCAGTTAAGTGCCAGTATATGTGAGCTGCAACAGCACCTGGTGTCCCTGCCCCAGCTTTCTGAGATTAAAAAAAAACAAAAACAAAAACAAAATGTAAGCTGCTACTGCTTTGCTCTACCTTGCAAATGTTGTGTGAATGTCTCTAGTGATCCATGCTCATTCAAAACTATACAGAGAAAGGAATTCTAAGAAATGTAGCTAAGCTTAATTGACACAACAAAAATAAACTACAACAGATGTTGTAAGAAACTTAGAAATACTTCCATTCCCCATTCTATTTTGTGTGATATTGTTGTAATATATTTTGCTTTTATGTACCTTATAAACCCCCATACACTGATATTATTTTTGCTTTAAATAGGTATATTTTTAAGAAGTTGAAAAATGAGGGAGAAACCTTTTACATCTACTGACATGTTTCCCATCTCTGGCACTCTTTAGCCCTTTGTGTTGATTCATGTTTCCACCCAGTATCATTTATCTTTCACTTGAAAAATTTCCTTTACCATTTCCTGTAGTGCAGGTCTGCTGGTGACAAATTCTCTCAGCTTTTGTTTTCCTGAAAGAGTTTTTATTTCTCTGTCTCTCTCTCTTTTTTTTTTTTAAAGGGTATTTTTGCTGGATGTAGAATGCTAGGTTGACAGTTTTTTTTTTCAACACTTTACAGAGGTTCCATTGTCTTCTGGCTTGCATAGTTTTTGATGAGAAATCTGTGAATTTTTGTCATAATTTCTCCATATGTAACATGTCTTTTTTTCCTGTGTACTCTTAAGATTTTCTAGCTGAGTGTGGTGGCTCACGCCTGTAATCCCAGCACTTTGGGAGGCCGAGGCAGGTGGATCACGAGGTCAGGAGATGGAGAACATCCTGGCTAACACGGTGAAACCCTGTCTCTACTAAAAATACAAAAAATTAGCTGGGCCTGGTGGTGGGCGCCTGTAGTCCCAGCTACTTGGGAGGCTGAGGCAGGAGAATGGCATGAACCCGGGAGGCAGAGCTTGATATACTTTGGTGTGGAGTTTTATGTTTATTCTGATTGGGGTTTGTTGAGCTTCTGGGATCTGTGGGTTTATTGTTTTTATCAAATTTAGAATATTTCCAGCCATTATTTCTTCAAATATATTTCCTGTTACTTTCTCTTCCCCTCTCCTTCTTGAATTTCAATTACATATATGTTAAACCATTTAATGTCTTATTTCAGGTCACTAAGCTCTGCTCATTTTTCCCTCCAGGCTTTTTTATTCTCTCTGTGCCTCACTTTAGATAAATTCTATTGCTATAACTACAGGGCCAATGAGCTTTTCTTCTGCAGTGTCTGATTTCCTGGGAATTCCATTTAATGAATTTTTCATTTTAGACTTATATTTTTTTCCCCTCTAGAAATTTCACTTAATTCTTTTTTATATTTTCAATTTTCCTTCTCATTATGATGATCTTTTCCCATAAATACTTCAACATACTTGTGATAACTATTTTGACATATTTGTGTACTAGTTCCATCATTTCTGTTATTTCTGGGTACACTTCTATTGACTCATTTTTCTTCTGACCATGGGTCACATTTTTCTGCTTCTTGGTATATATAGTAAGTTTTGACCGGATGCTAGATTTTGTGAATGTTACATTGTTGAGAGTCTCAATTCTGTTGCCTTCCTTTAAAAGAATGCTGGGCTTTGTTCTAACAGGCACCTAAGTTATTTGCAAGTCAGTGTGAGCCCTTTGAAGCCTGTTTTTAAGCTTTGGTATGGCTGGTCTGAACTGGCCTTCATGCTAGGGATAGCTCAGCTTGTGGCTAAGGCCTGACCTCTATGGATTCTCTGCTGAATAGGTTTTTTCTTCTCCTTCTCCTCCATCTCTTCCATCTCCTCCTTCTCCTCCCGCTCCCCTCCCCCTCCCCTTTCCTCCTCCTCCTCCTCCTCCTCCTCCTCCTTCTTCTTCTTCTTCTTCTTCTTCTTCTTCTTCTTCTTCTTCTTCTTCTTCTTCTTCTTCTTCTTCTTCCTCTTCTTCTTCTTCTTCTTCTTCTCCATCTTCTCCTTCTTCTTCTCCTTCTTCTTCTTCTCCTCCTTCTTCTCCTTCTTCTTCTTTTTTTTAATAGAGACAGGGTCTTACTATGTTGCCCAGGCTGGTCTCAAGCTCCTGGGCTCAAGTGATCCTTCATCCTTGGCCTCCCAAAGTGCTAGGATTATAGGTGTGAGCTACCATGCCCAGCCTTGACTGGGTTTTCAATGAGTTCTAACCACTCTAAATGACTGCAGTGTCTCCTGGTCTGTGCCAACTCTGGAAATTGTTCAGCTTGCAACTTTCCAGCTGTTCTTTGCCCAGTCTCATAGGGTTTGATCCCATGTATGTGTGACCTAGGACTCAGAAACAACTCAAAAACATCCCATGCAGATTTCTGGAGTTTATTTTCTGCATAGTGTTTTCCTTTCTGGAACTGTGCCACGCAACTTCTGGCTGAATCCCTGAATTCCAGTCTCCAAATCCTCAGTTCTGCAAGAGTACTATATTCTGCTTGGTATGCCTCGCCCCAAGCCATGATCTGGAATATAACTTCAGGAAGAAAACCAAGGCAAACATAGGGCTCCTTTCATTTGTTTATCTTCTCTTAGGAGTCACATTAAGTCATTCCTGTTTTTCAATGATTGAAAAAAGTTATTTCATGGACTGTTTTTTTGTTTGTTTGTTTTGTTTTGTTTTCTTTTTGAGACAGAGTTTTACTCTTGTCACCCAGGCTGGAGTGCAGTGGCACAATCTCAGCTCACTGCAACCTCCACCTCTCTGGTTCAAATGATTCTCATACCTCAGCCTCCAAGTAGCTGAGATTACAGGCATGTGCCACCATGCCCCCCCAATTTTTTTTTGTATTTTTAGTAGAAACGGGGTTTCACCATGTTAGCCAGGCTGGTCTCCAACTCCTGACCTCAGGTGATCTGCCCACCTCAGCCTCTCAGAGTGTTGGGATTACAGGCGTGAGCCACCGCGCCTGGCTGGTTTTGTTCAGTTTTTTAGTTGCTTAGGGTGGGAAGGTAAGTCCAGTCCTTGTTACTCCATCACAGCCAGAAGCAGAAGTCAGGAACTGATATGTAGAAAAGCCATTGAATGACTCCATTTAAATGATGCCCCTCTCTCATGAAGCTTTTCTTAATTTCTGTCTCTTCTGTGTGTATTACCATCACATTCTGCTTTGACATATTAATATAATCACATACATATCTGACTGTCTCAGTGGACTCTAAGGGGCTCAAAGGTGGGGATGGGGTCTCTCTCTTCTTAGTATTAGTAACTTTCTTGAACCTAGCATGTGATAGGCCTTTAGAAAGTGAGGTTGGATTTCCTTCTGTGGCTTAGCAGTGAACTGAAGTGACCCTGATGAGGCAATGGGTATCTCAAGCTGAAACCCAGGAGGACTGGCTCGCTCTCCTGTGTAATCACCAGTAGGCAGAGCCCCAGGTAAAATCACAAGGGTGCATGATTCTCCCTTATTAGGCGAGGAAGTGGAGGATTGGTTAAAAGAATCCAGGCCTGTCCAGACTTGCAAAACACATCATCCTCACATTAGAATCCACGAAGCCTCTGGTTTTGATGCAGTGGAAGGGCTTGACCACAAGTGCCCTGACAGTGTCAGATAATCTTCTACGGGGGGACCAGACCAACCTCCGAGGAGCCTAGCGTCCACGAGCTGAGGCTGCTGCCGCTCCTGCGCCCTTCTTTAGAATGGAGTGAGGACAGGGAGTAGCAAGGCCTGGCCACTAGTCCTAGCTTTGTGACCTTGATCAGCTGACTGGGTTCCCCTAACTGCAGAATGAAGCCTCAGACAGGATGGTCTCTAAGGCTCTTTTCCCACCCTAAACAGCTGAGTTCTGGCAACTGATGATTGATGGTCCTGGAAGCCTGTGGTTCCTTGAGCTACTGATTCTAGGATGCTAGTAATTGATGGTTCTGAGACACTGGATTTCTGTGGCTCTGTGACTAGAACAATCTGTGGCTCAAACAATCCATGAGGCTGCGGCCCTCACACTCTATGGTTCGGATGACCACAGTCAGTAATGATTCTGTGCACCCTGCAGCATGCCTCCGTGACCCTGGAGCATCCACTGCTCTGGTCTTCATCAGTGGCCATGGAATGGGTATTCCTAGGATCCAGTCTTCTGTCTGCTCAAGAAGAACCCAAACCTGCTCCCCATTCATTGTTCCCAGGGTCATTAATTCTGAGTGATTCACTTACAGGAGGCAGAGAGAAACAGAGGTGCAGGGAATGCCAGCCCGGCTGCCCTTGGCCTGAAAGGGTTGAATTGTCTGCCTGCCTGAGAGAGCCATTGTGCTTGGTTGTCTGGTGCGGGCCGGGCTGGGTTGGGCTGGCAGCAGGGCCAGGCACCGCAGCACCATGCCCATTCTAGGGAAAGGTTCTGCCCTCCCAGCCCATCATCCGGCATGTGGCTTCTTTAGTGATACTGTGCCCCACCAGGAGGGGTGAGCAGGAGGGCAGAGGAAGAGCCCATTGCTGATTCTGCTTGCCAAGGTTCTTGGGTCTACTTCTTACTGGGTTGTGCCTGTTTTGCCATCCCTGGGTGATGCCCCTGATTCTTCCTGGTTCCTAGCCTGACTCTGCCTGGGACACACCCTGTGGCTCTCTGGAGGTCTCTGGACCTGGCTGTGCTGCCTAGCTGGGATCCCTTGCCGTGTGTTTATTTCCATGTTATTTCTGCCTAAATGAGGAGTAGGATGCTGTTTCCTGACCTGTGGATTTGGGACAAACCCCTAACGATTCCATCCCTGAACCATGGTGACTTAAGGTTAGATCCCAATACACAGAAGTAGGCTGAAGGAGAAAGTGAGAAGAATAGGTAAGCCCCTGACTCTGCCACCCATTTCCTGTGTGACCTTGGGCAATTCACTTCCCCTCTCTATGTTGCAGGCTCTTCAACCTGTAAAATGGGAGGGTAGTGCCTACTTCACCATAGCCGTGGGGAGAAGCCCGTGAAAACGTGAGTAAAAACAGGCTCTGTGGACCAAGGGTGGGTTATTGTTGCGGAAACAACGGGGCTTGTTCTCCAGAAACACACGTGGTGAGCCCACATCCTAGACCACACCTCTTAGGTGGTGTCCAGATATTGTGGAAGTGTTGGTGGGCACCCAGATCTGCCTCTCATGGTAGGAATCACAGACTCTTTCTTTCTGAGAGGACAGAATGTGATCAGGGGAAATTCATTCATCCATTCATCTCTATGTTCTGTAGTTCACTCTTTCATTCATTCATTCATTCATTCATTCATTCATTCATCATCATTCATCAAGCTCTGACTATTTGCCAGTCACTGTTTTAGATGCTTGTTTGTGTCTGAGAAATTCAACCTAGAGAAGAACTTACTGTACTCTGGACTCAGAGATGGGGGTAGTGGGTGGAAGTGGCCAAACTGACCCAGACTTCAGTCCTGCCTGGGAAAACAGTCCTCATAGGAGAATGTTGGAATCGGATAGGTGTGGGTCTCTGCCATTACTTACCTCTCTGTGTGACCTAGGGCAGATTACTTAGCCTTTCTGAGTCTCTGCTCCTCTGTAAGATGTGAAAAGCAATGGTGATCCCCTGCCAGGGTTTCTGTGAGGACTGAATCTAAATCGGGGCAGCCCCAAGTGTCTGAGTTTGGACTCTATAAATGATGCCTGTAAAGTGGAGGTTAAGGTCACAGGAATCAGATGAGCTGTGTTGAATCTCAGCTCTGCCACTTGTTGGCCAAGGGGACTTTGGTAAGTCACTTGGCCTGCCCTGCCTCAGTTTCCTCTTCTGTCAGATGGGGCTCATAGGTATTGTGAGGATTCAATTGTTAAAAATGTAGATCATGTAGCACAAACCCTGGCACATGGTAGACCTCAATCAATGGTGGCCAGTGGTATTAAATATTCCTCGTGATACCTGCGGGCCCAGCCATGAAGGAGCTTAGACTTCCTTCATAAACTTCTCAGGGAGGTGTGTGCTGCTGAGGGTATGCAAGATGAGCTTTGGTTTTTATGTGCATACATATTTAAAAATGGAATTTTTCTATAACTTATAGATACATAAATCTATACATTTTGAGAGTGAATAAAAAGGTTGGGGAACAACTACTCTCTGGGTGGAAGAGCCCCTCACCCCCTGCCCCTGCCCCATAAAGAATGTGGGTAGGATTCTGCGGCCTTGGACAAAGACTCTGGCCACATGGAAAACGGGGACTCATCTTGGAGCCTGGGATTTCTTTCTATGGAATGAGGCTGGGTGTCCCGCACCCCTTGCTCAGTTGGCCCCACCGGAATTTCTAGATTCCTAAGTCACTGGTGGAGTAGATACCTCTCCTCGCCCCTTGAGTTTCCTGGGATGGGTTTGGTCTCTGTTTGGGTGCCTTGTTGTGGGGTTTCCATGGGGCTGTCTGAGCTTGGTGATTGCACTGATCTCGGGGGCAACACCCCTGCTACCAAAGCCATCTTTGAGGAGGCTGCAGCCTTCCTTCCCGGGAGAGGTGGAGGGAGGAGGAGGAGGAGGAGGTAGGCACTCCCTGAGCGGTGTAGCAGTAACGGATCCTGACCTGTAGCCTTGGGCTCAGGATGAGCAAGAGGGGAGCCCCCTCCAGGGCCCTGTTGGTCTCTTGGGGAGCCGAGCGCTTAGCCTTCCTTGCTCTGAGGCCAGCTTTCTTTTCCCTGTCTGTTCCAATGTCTGACATCTCAGGCACCCAAGGGATCTGAGAGTGAATATGGGCCTGGTTTCCAGGCTCCAAAAGCATGCATGCATTCATTCACTCACTCATTCATTTGTCATTCATTCAAGATTTCACTGAGATTCACCTATCACATGGCAGGCCCTCCACTAGCATTTTGGGAAACAGTGGTGGACTCAGCAGATTCCAGCTCTGGAGCAGCCTACGGTCTGGAGAACCTGGTCCAGTTATAACCCAAATGGAAAGAGGATAGTGTTACAAAAATGATTTCATGTGTTTGTGTCATAGATGCCTTTAAGAAAATGATGCAAACTGAGAACCCTGGCCCCAGAAGAGGTAATAAGCACATGCACATGAAATTCTGCCTATGAGTTTAGAATGTTTATGGGCTCCCCAGACATCTATTTGAGAACCCCAGATTAAGGGTTCCTGAATTAGGCCAGGTGCGGTGGCTCACGCCTGTAATCCCAGCACTTTGGGAGGCCGAGGAAGGTGGATCACTTGAGGTCAGGAGCTCGAGACCAGCCTGACAAACATGGTGAAACCCCATCTCCACTAAAAATACAACAATTAGCCAGGTATGGTGGTGTATGCCTGTAATCCCACCAAATCAGGAGGCTGAGGTGGTAGAATTGCTTAAATCAGGGAAGCGGAAGTTGCAGTGAGCTGAGATCGTGCCACTGCACTCCAGCCTGGATGACAGAGCAAGACTCCTTCTCAGAAAAAGAGTTCCTGAATCGTAGTGGGAAAATTGCTGAGAAAGCCAAGCCAGGAGGCTGTAGGAGTGCAGATTTGGGGAAATGTTTCTTAGCCTATGAATTCGGGAAAGACTTCTTGAAGGAAGTCACATCTATTCATTCAACAAGCGATTATTGAGGGCCTACTAAATGCCATCCCTTGAGGATACACCACTGAAAAGGAAAGGCAGCATTCCCATTTTTCTGACGCTTACTATCTACTGGGGGTAAACAAGGAAATGAACAAGGAAATAGATGGACAAACACGAGAATGTCTGGAGGTGATGGAGAGGCTTAGGGGAAGATCAAGGTTAAATGCCAGGCAGAGGCAGTGAGGTTCAAGGAAAGGCCCGATGATGGGCATGAAAATGCTGTACTAAAGGATGTTTGAAAGGCCAGTGTGGCCAGAGCTTAGGGGATGGGATAAGATGGAGTTAGAGAGATAGGCAAAGACCTTGTGCCCCAGGGCAGGAAGTTAGGATTTTACCCCAAGCATAAAAAGAAGCCATTTTCCCTCTTTTTTCTTTTTTTCTTTTGAGACAGAGTCTCATTCTGTCACCCAGGCTGGAGTGCAGTTGTGGGATCTCAGCTCACTGCAACCTCCACCTTCTGGGTTCAAGTGATTCTCCTGCTTCAGCCTCCCAAGTAGCTGGGACAGGAATGCACAACCACATCCAGCTAATTTTTGTATTTTTAGTAGAGACAGGGTTTCACCCTATTAGCCAGGCTGGTCTTGAACTCCTGATTTCAAGTGATCCACCTGCCTCAGCCTCCCGAAGTGTTGGGATTACAGGCGTGAGCCACCGCACTTGGCTATTTTTCTTTTTTAAGTTTAGAATTTTAAATTTGCACAAATGGAAGCAGTGTGCACCTCCTGTCTTTTGATGGCCCACCTCTTTTCATCTGACAGTGTTTTATAGGTATAATTTTAAATTAGTTAATTTCTTTTTACCTACTATATAGAATTATATGGCACACACACATCATATTTTATTCATCCATTCTCATATTGATAGATGCTGAGGTCATACTTTGTTTTTTACCATTACAACTGATTCTGAAATGGAAAATTAATAGGTTGCAGAGTGTGCAGATGTTCAACATTATGAGAAGTTGTCACTCAGCTCTTCAAAGTTGTCATACTAATTTATATTCCCACTGGCAGCATCCAAAAGATCCCATTTCTTTATATCCTTGCCAACAGTTGGTAGAGTCAGCCTTTAAAATGTTTGACAATGTTTTGGATATAAAATGGTAACTCGTTTTCATTTGTATTTCCCTGATTACTAGCGTGGTTAAACATGTAATTTTATATTTATTGGCTCTTGGAATTTCTTCTCTTGTGAATTGTCAGTGTATATCCCTTGCCCAGTTTTCTAAAAGGTTGTCTTTTTCTAATCGATTTGTGAGAGTTGTTTATATATTCAAATTATGAATCCATTGTCTTTTATACATGTTGTAAATAGTCCACGCTCTTTACTGGAAGGTTTTAAGGAGACGAGTGACACCTGATTTACATGGTTAAAAGATCACTCTGGCTATGATATGAAGAATTGAAGGGAGGGGTGGGCATGAATGGAAGAGGGGAAAGCAGTTTGGAGGTCATGATAGTGGCCCAGGGAGCAATGATGGTGGCTTGGACTAGGGTGATGGGAGCGGAAATAGGGAAAAGTGACAGTTCCAGGGTCCGTTTTGGAGGCAGAGCTGTCAGCACTTGCTGACGGATGGGAAGTGGGTGAGGAGAACAGATAAGAATCAGGATGACTCTTGGTTTTTGGCCTGAGCAACTGGGTGGATGTGATACCATTGACTGGGATGGAGGATGACAAGTGGAGAAACAGGTTGAGGCTGGCAATAGAGGAATCAATAGTTATGTTTTGAACACATTAAGCTGAGACAGCCTGTTGATAATCCAGTGGTTAAGTCAAGTAGCCAGTTGGATCTATGAGTCTGGAGTTCAGGGCCCCAGCCAGGGCTACGGATAGACATTTGGGAGTCATTGATATGTGGATGGAATTTAAAGCCACGAGATAGGATAAGATGGAAAAGGCCTGGGGTTCTCAGTGGAGCCTCAGTACATGACAATATTTCGAGGCTGAGCAGAAGTGGAGAATCAATAAAGAAGACTTGCCCCAGAATGTCACTCTCTGAGGGCAGGAGTTTTGCTCTGTTGACTGCCTACTACACAGCATAAGGCTTGGCACATAGAAGCCTCTTAGTAAATACTTGCAGAAAGAACACATAAATGAAAGAAGATACTGAGAAGTGGCCAATGAGGTAGGAGGAGGAGCATAAGGCATCATGGAAGCCAAGAGAGGGAGAAAGCTTTCAAGAGGGTGGGAATGGCCAATTATGTTGAATGTTGTCAAGAAGTTATGCAGGAGCTAGACAGAGAAGTGACCCCTGGATCTGGCAACATAGAGGTCACTGGTGACCTTGACAAGGGCAGCTGAAGCTGGAAGGATGAAGAGTTTGCCAGGTTCTGGGAGGTAGCGGGCAAGGTGGTGTGGGAGGGCCATGTGAAAATGCCAGAAGAGAAAGTGGGGCCGGTCATGACTCTCTTCACTCTTGGTTTTCCTCTTCTCTGCAGTGGTTTCCTTCTCAGGCAGGCTGCTCACTCATGGCGGCAAGATGGCCCCCTCTAGGTCTGGGGCTCCATCCCTTCCTTAACAACTCCAGCGGAAAAGCCAAACTCATTTCCAAACTTTCAATCAAATGAAGTCTCATTGGCTGTGCCTGCTGGTCACGTGTCATTTCTGAACCAATCATGATGGTCAAAGGAGAGTGCTCTGCTCTGATTGGCCAGGCCTGGGCCATATGCCCTTCCCTATAGCTGGGGTGAAGATTTTACAGAGGCAATTTTCCTTTGGAAAATCAAGGTGCCAACATAAGAAAGGGATGAGGAAGGGTATGATGGCAGATAGGCAAACCCACAGAAGTTAATGATTCCTGGTAGATTTGTAGAGTATCAGAATAACAAAAATAAAAAGGAAGTACCTTAAGAGATTCCTTAATCTAGTGAAGTTCAATGGCAGTAGAATATGAAGCACATAGGTAACTTTCTTTTTTTTCTTTCCTTTTTTTTTTTTTTTTTTTTTTTTTTTAGATAAGAGTCTCACTCTGTCACCAGGCCAGAGTGCAGTGGCACGATCTCGGCTCACTGCAACCTCTGCCTCCCAGCTTCAAGCGATTCTCCTGCCTCAGCCTCCCTAGTAGCTGGGATTACAGGCGCCTGCCACCGTGCCTGGCTAATTTTTTTATTTTTGGTAGAGACAGGGCTTCACCATCTTGGCCAGGCCAGGCTGGTCTTGAATTCCTGACCTCGTGATCCACCTGCCTCGGCCCCTCAAAGTGCTGGGATTACAGGCGTGAGCCACCGCGCCCGGCCGCACATAGGTAATTTTCAATTTTCTAGTACCCATACTAGAAATGAAGAAGAGAAACAAGTGAAATTAATCTTAATAATAAATTTTATGTAACCCATTCTGTCTAAAATATTATAATTTCAATATGTAACCAATATAAAGTATTACCTTTTTTTTCAAATAAGTCTTCAAAATCTGTTACGCTTACAGCATATCTTAGTCCCAATGCTACATTTTTCTCAGAAAATACTTCTTTTATTTTGAGACAGGGCCTTGCTCTTTTGCCCAGGCTGGAGTGCAGTGGCATGATCACAACTCACCACAGCCTTGACCTCCTGGACTCAAACCATCCTTTCACTTTAACCTCCCTAGTAGCTGGGACTACAGGTGCACCCCACCACCCCTGGCTAATTTATTTTTTGTAGAGACAGTGTCTCCCTATGTTGCCAGGCTGCGACATACTTGATCTGTGTTCAGATTTTATTACATTTACAGTTGAGAATGATAGGTTCATGTATGTAAGTTATTCCAAATGCACTTAAAAATTTGGCCAGGTGCGGTGGCTCACGCTTGTAATCCTAGCACTTTGGGAGACCAAGGGGGTGCGGATCACTTGAGGTCAGGAGATTGAGACCAGCCTGGCCAACATGGTGAAACCCTGTCTTTACTAAAAATACAAAAATTAGCTGGGCTTGGTGGCACGTGCCTGTAGTCCCAGCTACTTGAGAGGCTGAGGCAGAAGAATTGTTTGAACTTGGGAGGCGGAGGTTGCAGTGAGCTGAGATTGCACCACCGCACTCCAGCCTGGGTAACAGACCAAGATTCTGTCTTAAAAAAAAAAAAATTCTCCTGTCTGAAGCTTGTATCTGGTTTTAAATTTAAATTAATTAAAAATAAATGAAGTTTCCAATTCAGTTCCTGAGGGTCACCAGCCACATTTGAAGCGAGCAGCTACCGGATTGGATAGTGCAGCCCTGCCTCCAACACGTTCACCTGACCCACGGGCAACCGAGGTCCAAGGAGGGCGTGGTCTGCCCAAGGTCACTGAGCTGAGTGGGACCAGGACCCAGGTCCCCTGACTCCATCACAGCTGTTCCGCTCCACTTCACTGCCTGCCCTATTTTCATCAGGACAGCAAGCAGCGACCCAAGAAGCAGCAGTTTCAGCAGTGGAGTCAGAAGGCACAGCCTAACAACATATTCCTGCTCAGACAGTAAACTTCTTAGCGTTTCTTTATTTTATGTGAATCTTGCCTGTGACCATTCTCCACCACTGGATGATATACATATGTGTGGAAAGAGTGCATAAACGACTTTAGCAAGCATCTATTGAGCACCTACTGTGTTTCCAGCCCTGCACCTGGCCTTAAAGATACGGAGATGAAGACAGCCCAGCTCTGGTCCTCGGGCAGCTCACCTCTGGTCCAGGGAGGGCAGAGTGGTCAGCCCCTCACTTAGGGTGTGCAGAGGGTGGCGTGGGGTCTGATACAGAGCCGTGCAGAAGTGCTGTGGGAGTGAGCAGATTGCATGCCTAGTGTATGAAAACCCCAGCAAGCAGCCTCCTGGGCTGGCGGAACCAGCTGGAAGGGACCTTGGGAAAATCCGTGGGGAGCCCACATGTGGAGCTGCTGGGCCTCGGCCTGTGGGTGTGTGGTGTTTGGGTAACAGCCCAAAGGCTAGGAGGGTTTGTTTTTGTTGTTGATTGGAACTGAGAGGGGCTATTGTCAGGCAAAGCCTCAGCTTATTGGTGTGTGGTGTTGGCTCAGGACTGTGGGGTGGGTACTTGCTGGGGTGCAGTTGCTGTCAGTAACATCCCTTCATGGAGCACCCATTGCAGCATCCCTCTCCCCCTCCTTCACACATGTACACACTTGCACGCTCCCACACACACGTGTGCATCGCCAGTTATAAAATTTAATTTGCAGAGCCCAGGACAAAATGAAAATGCAAAGTCCCTTGATCAAAAGTTAAGAATTTTAAGGCCGCGACAGTAGATTGTTTAGACAAGCACAGGGGCCTTCTAATGGGCCCCGGGTGGCTGCACAGGACACACGTCGGAGAAGCTGGCCCTGCACACACACAGACACACAAGGTCCCCCACTGTTTGCACTGGCCTGTATCTTCCCTTCTCTCCACCCACTGTGAGGGAGGCCAAAGGCATGCCAGCTAGTGCTTTAGAGGTTTATTATCTCATGTCATCTGTCAACATCCGATGTCAATAATGGCTATCATGCCCACTCTCCATATGAGGAAGTGAAGATGAGAAGGAAGATCTGGGATTCGAACCCAAAACTTACCTGAGTCCAAAGCCCAGGCTTGTTCCATGCACACCCTGCCCCCACACCACACAAAGAGGAATGAGCCACCTCCTTTTTTGTGTTATTTCTGATGTTTTTCTTTCTGTTTCTTCCTTCCTTCCTTCCTTCCTTCCATCCTTCCTTCCTTCCCCCCTTCCTTCCTTCCTTCTTTCTTTCTTTCTTTCTTTCTTTCTTTCTTTCTTTCTTTCTTTCTTTCTTTCTTTCTTTCTTTCCTCCCTCTCTCTCTCTCTCTCTTTCTTTCTTTCTTTTCTTTCCTTTTGAGACAGAGTCTCACTCTTTCACCCAGGCTGGAGGGCAGTGGAGCAATCTCGGCTCACTGCAACCTCCACCTCCTCAGTTCAAGTGATTCTCCTGCCTCAGCCTCCCAAGTAACTGGGATTACAGGCATGCACCACCACGCCTGGCTAATCTTTTGTATTTTTAGTAGAGATGGGGTTTCACTATGTTGGTCAGGCTGGTCTCGAACTTCTGACCTTGAGTGATCCACCGCCTTGGCCTCCCAAATTGTTGGGATTACAGGCATGAGCCACTGTACCTGGCTTATTTCTGATTTTTTTCTAATATTCTTTTCCTCTGAAGTTTTAGGTGATGAATCTGGTAGAAAAATGGTGTCACCAAATTCCTCTAGACTTGTGGGGTCACCCTTCCCTTCCATGAGTCCCTATCATGAAGACCCGTGGTGTCCCCACCCGGCCCAGATTCCCAGGGATTCCCAGAGGCTTATGTTTCTCCGGGCCCTGCAATTGTTCTCTTCTCTCCACCTGACGTGTACTCACGAGCAGCTCGATTTTTCCTTTATCTGCTTCTCAAGGCATCACTCACTTGAGCAGCACAGGCTTCTTATTGAGATTTGGGGTCAAGGTTTGGGGATGAAAATAGATGTTCATCTTCTTAGCAATTTCTGGGCCACCACCACCTCCCAGGACTCCTTCCTGGTGGGGTTTCCCCTGAGCTCTCCTTCCATGGTAAAGGACTTCCTTAACCCTCTCCATACTGTCTTACTTCTGTATCTTTTCTCTGGTTTCCAGGCTGCCTCTTCTCCCTCTTTCTGGAGGATACCTCCTTCCTTCCTTCCTTCCTTCCTTCTTTCCTTCCTTCCTTCCTTCCTTCCTTCCTTCATTCATTCATTCATCAGTCCTTACAGAGCATCTAGTATGTGCCAGGCACTGTATTTGGTACTGAAGACACAGAGAAGAACATGATGGACAAGGCCCTGCCCTCATGGGCTCCCAGCCTGATGGGAAGATGGACCTGAAATGCCTGAAACAACCACACAGATTAACTTCTGTGTTTCTGGTCTGATAAGTGCTATGAAGGCAGAGGATGGAAAATTAGGACAAGAAAGGGAAGACTCATTTTAGATAGTGTGGCATTTAAGCCAAGACTTGAAAGAGGAGCAGGAGCCAACCTGGGAAGAGGAGGGTCTTTAACCTGGGAATAACCTGGGCAAGAACCCGAGGCAAGAAGGGGCTGGGGATCTATGCGGAATAGGAAGGGGGGCCAGGGTGCTTGGCCTGGAGTGAGCAGGGGGCAGTGAGCGAGATGCACAGAAGAAGGACTGAGAGGAATGACATTAAACTTGGGACAGTGGTCACACATGAGGAGGGACAGGTACTGGGGTGGGCAGCGGGTGGTTAAAGGTGAAGCTGACCTTCTGTGTTTTGTTTGAATATTTCACCATGAGTCTGCCTTCATGCATTACTTGTGCAATGAAAAAGTTAAAATTAGACCTAATATATATTCATTGCTGATCCTTTGAAAATGCAGCCTTGCCAAACGAAGGGGAAAAAAACACAACACTACACCCGAAGATAATCATGTTAAGATCTTACTGACTGGGTGCGGTGGCTCATGCCTGTAATCCTAGCACTTTGGGAGGCCGAGGCAGGTGGATCGCTTGAGCTCAGGAATTTGAGACCAGCCTGTGTAATATGGCGAACCCCCGTTTCTGTTAAAAATACAAAAATTAGGCTGGCTCGGTGACTCACGCCTGTAATCCCAGCACTTCGGGAGGCTGAGGCAGGCAGATCACTGGAGGTCGGGAGTTCGAGACCAGCCTGGGCAACATGGTGAAACCCCTGTCTCTACTAAAAATATGACAATTAACCAGGCGTGGTGGTGCACGCCTATAATCCCAGATACTTGGGAGGCTGAGGCATGAGAATTGCTTGGGCCTGGGAGGCGGAGGTTGCAGTGAGCCAAGATTGCGCCACTGCAGTCCAGCCTGGGCGACGTACAAGACTCTGTCTCAAAAAACAAAACAAAACAAAACAAAAAAATTAGCCAGGTGTGGTGGCATGCGTCTATAGTCCCAGCTACTCTAGAGACTGAGTAAGGAGCATCACTTAAGCCTGGGAGGTCAAGGCTGCAGTGAGCAGTAATGGCACTACTGCACTCCAGCCTGGATGACAGAGAGACCCTGTCTAAAAAAAAAATCTTATTACATCTTTCCAAATCTTTTCTATATTTTTCTATGCTTAAAAAGTAAACATATGACTCCGTTGAATATACTGTCTTACAATCTGCTTTTTTTAACGCTTTATGCTATATTGAAGATATCTTTCCATGCCATTAAATATTCTCCCAAGACAGGTTTTCTTTTTTTTCTTAATGAACGCGTTGCATCATGCTGCTTGGATTTATATTATATATTTAAATCCCTTCATGTTGACACACAGCTCATTTAAAAATTTCCTTTATTATATACAGCCTTGGAAATGCATCTTGATACAGCTGTCCCATTGCTCATTTAGGATAGTTTTATTAGGAAAGTGTGCCAGGCTAAAGCCACTTTAAAGCTTTTGATAGACATTGTCCATATGCCTTCCGCAAATGGGGAGCTCACTGAAGTCTGAACAAGGCAGTATGTTCCCAATAAACCCCTTTGCCTCAAGCTTTTCAAGAGGAACTTCTGATGTAGATGGAGAAAATATTCCTAAGGGAATCAATGGCCTCTCCCCGACAGGAAACATTCAGAGAGGGAAGAGATCAAGATCTGTCTGAGTTGGTCTCCAGAGGCAGAGCTGCTCAGGCGGTCTTTTGAGGTCCCTTCCAGAACTGGATTTTAGGTTTCAATGACAACAAGACAAACTGTGGAAGCAGCATCAAGGATCAAGATTAACCTTGACCTCTGCTGTGAGTGCCAGGGACTCTGGGTGGGTCTCCAAAGACTTTGCCTCCAAGAGCTCAGGCAGGAGTTTCCACAGATATCCACAAGATGCCAGGCATTTTTGTTTGTTTGTTTGTTTGTTTGTTTTTTGACAGCGTCTCACTTTGTCACCCAGGCTGGAGTGTAGTGGCGCAATCACGCTCACTGCAGCCTTGACTTCCGGGGCTCAGGTGATCCTCCCACCTCAGCCTCCTGAGTAGCTGGGAACATAGGCATGCACCACCATGCCCAGCTAATTTTTTGTATTTTTTTTTTGTAGAGGTGAGGTTTTACCATGTTACCCAGGCTGGTTTTGAACTCCTGAGCTCAAGGCCACCACCCACCTGATTGCCTCCTTGGCCTCCCAAAGTGCTGGGATTACAGGCGTGAGCCATCGCCTGGGCATTTTTAAGAGACAATGAAAAAGCCTCATGATAGAAAGGTTCTATGAACCAAAAAGGTGACAGCAAACTCTTTGGCGTTGCCTTGGGGCTGAAGCAGCCTTGCCCTCAAGCTATGGAGTCTGCACATGGCTCCAAGGGTGGGTCTAGGGGCAGCTCCTCCAGTGAGTCCTCAATTCTCCTCCTTTATACAAAGTCTCCATCTAACTTTCTTCACTCTGCTTCTTCAGTCCAGTGCACACAGCATATTAATAACAACAACCTTCCGTGTGACCCAAACATGCATCAGAAGCAGCCATCACCCCTGAGACCTTCAATTGCTTCTCCCTACTAGTCCCTGCTTTTTCTGCAAATACTAAGTATATTAACACACACAATGAAATAATGATATCATTATTGGCTCTCTCATCCCACAATCACTTCCTTGATAAAATTAAGAACATCCATCCATATAAAACATATCATATGTGTGACATATAAATAATAATAATAATAATAATAATAATAATAATAATAATAATAATAAATCCATGTACCTGCGATTCAGCTTTGGAGAGCTGACATTACAAGTTTGTGAAATCTTTCCCCATGACTTCCTCAAGCTCTCCTCTCCCTCTTATCCAGAGGTAATGATTGCTTTGATTTTTATGTTTATTATTTCTTTGCCCTTTTCTTTACTGATTCCTCACAGATAGTTGCGTTCCTGAACAATATATTGTCTAGTTTTGCATGCCTTTGAACTTTGGAGAAATAGTCTCATATGTAACATACGCATTTTTTTCATTTGGAGAATTTCTACCATATGTGTTTTCTTATAGCGTGTGTGTTTTTGCTACACATTTTTCATTCACGTTGTTGAGTATAGCTGTGATTCATTCATTTTCGCTGCCATGAAGTAGTTTATTGTATTTTTGTTTGTGTGTTCGTGTAGAGACAGGGTCTTGCTCTGTCAGCCAGGCTGGAGTGCAGTGGTGTGATCATAGCTCACTGCAGCCTGGAACTCCTGCCTTCAAGGACTCTTTCTGCCTCAGCCTCCTGAGTAGCTAGGACTACAGGTACGTGCCACCATGCCTGGGTAATTTTTGAAATATTTTGTGAAGATGAGGTCTTGCTATGTTGCTCAGGCTGGTCTCAAACTCCTGGACTTAAATAATCCTCCTACCTCCACCTTCCAAAGTGCTGGGATTACAGGCATGAGCCACTGCGCCTGGCCCTGTACTGTATTAATAAACCACAGATTATGGATCCATTCTCCTCTTGATGGATATAGGATTGCTCTCATCAATATCTGTTATATCTCTTGATACAAGTGTGTAAGGGTCTGCAGGTGAAGTACACAGAAATAGAAATTCTGGATAGGAAGTTATGTGCATTTGAACTTGACCGGACAATACCATGTTGCTTTCCAAAATGTTTATATGAATTTACACTCCCCTAAGCAATACATAAGAGCTTGCATTGTTCCACAGCCCTTACAACACTTGAGGTTGCCAGACTTTAACATTTTTGCCAACTTGGTGGGTGTAAGTTGGCATAAAATGGAGGCTTTAAACTTGCATTTCCCTAATTTCTAATGAGCTTGGGCATCTTTTCATGTTTATTGGCAATACTTGTTTCCTTGTCTCCACAAGGTCTAGCTATGTTTTTAGTCCTTTTTCTTTTGTGTTGCTTTTTTTGTATTGATTCTTCAGGAGCATTTTACATATTCTTATCCTAATCTTAGGTAAATTATATGCATTCTAAGTATCATTTCCCAACCTGTGACTTGTCTTTTCATTTTCTAGATGGTGTTTTTGTGTGTGTGAACAGAAGTTATTTTTTGGGGGGGAGGGGTGGGGGGATGGAGTCTCACTCTGTTGCCAGGCTGGAGTGCAGTGGCACCATCTTGGCTCACTGCAACCTCTGCCTCTCAGGTTCAAGCAATTCTCTTGCTTCAGCTTCCCGAGTAGTTGGGACTACAGGTGCATGCCACCATGCCCGCCTAATTTTTTGTGTTTTTAGTAGAGAGAGGGTTTCACCATGTTAGCCAGGCTGGTTTTAATCTCCTGACCTTGTGATCCACCCGCCTCGGCCTCCCAAAGTGCTGAGATTACAGGCATGAGCCACCACACCTAGCCGAAGTTCTTATTTTTAATGTAGTAGAGTTTGTTGATACTTTCCTTTATTATTTGTGCTTTTTGTGTCCTTTAAAAGAAATTCCTCCTTCCCCTGAGGTTACAGAAGTACTTTTCCTTTATTTTCTTCTAAAAGTTGTGCCTTATGCATTTAAGACTTTAATCCATCTGGAATTGATTTTGTATAGAGAAGGATACAATTTCAGTTTTTTTCCATATGGATAAGTAACTACATAAGCTATGTTTATTGAATAGTTCATATTTTACCTTATTTTGCAAAACCATGTCATCTACAGATCACATTTTCATTTATTCTTGAGTCTGCTTCTGGACTCTCTAGTCTCATTCACTGTCTATGTGTCTATCCCTGGGCCAATTCCACACTATCTTGATCACAAGTGCTTTAAAGCAAGTCTTAATTATCACTTTATGTTCTCTTGAGACCTGGTAGACCAAGCCCTACTCCTTGCTATTCTTCTTCAGGAATGTCTTGGCTCCTTTTGACCCTTTGCTTCTAAATTATAGAAAGAGATTGTCATATGCCATGAACACCTTGTTGGGGTTTAATTTGGAGCTGCATTGAATAATAAATTAATTTGTACAGATACTATTTTTATAGTTAATATTTACTAATAGTTACCTATCTCTTTGCCTCTTTTTGCCTCTTATTGTTTTATCTTGCATTTTAGACCTTACATTGGGATCATTTTCCTTCCTCCTGAGGTGTATCTAATAAACTCCTTTGATGAAGGTTTGTTGGTGGCCAACACACTCAACATTGCTTTGTTTGAATATTTTGTCCTTGTTCTTGAGAGATAGTTTTGCTGGGTACATCATTCTAGACTCTTATTTTCTATTAGCCCTTTCAAAATATTGTTACACTGTCTTCTGGCTACAGTTGTTACTGTTGAAAAGTCAGCTGCCCACTAGTCCCTGTTACTTTGTTGGTAATCTGTTGTTTGTCTCTCTGACTTTCTTTCTCTCTTCCTTCCTTCTTTCTCTTTCTTTCTTTTTCTTTCTTCTTTCTTTCTTTCTTTCTTTCTTTCTTTCTTTCTTTCTTTCTTTCTTTCTTTCTTTCTCTTTCTTTCTTTCTTTTCCTTCCTTCCTTCCTTCCTTCTTTCTCTTTCTTTTTCTTTCTTCTTTCTCTTTCTTTCTTTCTTCCTCTCTCTCTCTTTCTTTTCCTTCCTTCTTTCCTTCCTTCCTCTCTTTCCTTCCTTCCTTCCTCCCTCCCTCCCTCTTTCTTTCTTTCTTTCTTTCTTTCTTTCTTTCTTTCTTTCTTTCTTTCTTTCTTTCTTTCTTTTTCTTTCTTTCTTTCTTTCTTTCATTCCTGTCTCACTCTGTCACCAAGGCTGGAGTGCAGTTGTGTGATCGTGGCTCACTGCAGCCTCAACCTCCCATGTTCAAGCAATCCTCCTGCCTCAGCCTCCCAAGTAGCTGGAACCTCAGGCATGCATCACCATGCCTGGCTAATTTTTTAAATTTTCTGTAGAGATGGGGTATCCCTATATTGCGCAGGCTGGTCTTTAACTCCTGGGTTCAAGCAATCCTCCTGCCTCAGCCTACAAAAGTGCTGGTATTACAGGCATGAGCCATCATGCCTGGCCTATGTTTCATTTTTGACCACACGCTCCTGCAGGTTCATTATATTTAGATGTGGCTTTAAACTGTCATCTTGCTCTTTATTTCCTGCACTTCTTGAATCTGACAATTCATGTCTTTCATCAGTTCTGAACATTTTTTAGCTATCATCCTTTTGAATATTGCTTCTCTCCCATTGTATTAGTTTCCTGTAGTTGCTGTAACAAATTTCCACAGACTTGATGGCTTAAAACCGAAATGTATTCTTTCATTATTCTGAAGGTCAGAAGTACTAGATCAAAATTATTGGGTTGAAATCAAGATGTTGACAGGGCCATGCTTTCTTTGGAGGCTCTAGGGGCAAATTTATTCCTTGGCTCTTCCTGCTTCTGATGACTGTCAACATTTCTTAGTTGGTGGCAGCTCCATTTCAATCTTCAGGGGCAGCATTTTCAAATCTCTCCCTGTTCTGTCTTCATACAGACCTCTTTTCTGTGTGTTGTTGAGTCTCCATCTCTCTCTTACAAGGACTCATATGATTGCCTTTAAGGTCTACCCAGATGACCCAAGCTAATTTCCCCATCTTATGACCCTTAACTTAATCACCTCTGCAAAGATCCCCTTCCCTGTTTTGCTGCATAAGGTAACATTCACAGGTTGTAGTGATTAGGACATGGATATCTGGAGGGAGGGGATTTTTAATCCTACCACACCCATCTTTTCTGAAAATTTCTGAATTTTTAATCCTACCACACTCATTTCCTTCTGAAACTTCAATGAGATACATGTTAGATATTCCCACTCTGTCCTCTATGTCTTTAATCTCTTTTTCATAGTTTATAATTCTGTCTCTGTGCTGCATTCTGGACAGTTTCTTCCAATCTATCTTCCATTTTCTCCATTATCTTTTCAACCCTATATCATCTGCTTTTTAATCTAGCCACTGATTTTTAAATTTCAATTAATATATTTTTATTTCTAAAAATGTTATTGGGTTCTTAAAAATGATCAGAGAAATGAGCCAGTACCTGGAGGGACATGTAGGGTCAAAAAAAAAAAAAAAGTGAGGATTGAGAAATTATCTTAAGGTAAGAGTATTAGTCTGTTCTCATGGTGCTATGAAGAAATACCTGAGACTAGGTAATTTATAAAGAAAAGAGGTTTAATTGGCTCACAGTTCTGCAGGGCTGGGGAGGCCTCAGGAAACTTACAATCATGGTGGAAGGGGAAGCAAACATGTCCTTCTTCACATGGTGGCAGGAAAGAGAAGTGTAGAGCGAAGTGGGGAAAACTCCTTATAAAACCATCAGATCTCTCGATAACTCACTCACTATCATGAGAACAGCATGGAGGTAACTGCCTCTGTGATTTAATTATCTCCCACTGGGTCCCTCCCAAGACACATGGGGATTATGGGAACTACAATTCAAGATGAGATTTGGATGGGGACAAGGCAAAACCATATCAGTAAGGTAGAGATTTGTATGGTGAGGAGAATGACCCAGCAGACAGGGGCCAGCTGATGGATGTCCTTCCTAGCTGAAGAGGTCCAATACACAAGAGGAGGAATTGGTCTCAGGCAAGAGTGGGAGAGTTCACTCATAGCAACAAAAGGAACCACAGAGCACAGAGGCACATAGGTTGGGAATGAGGGGATGGATGGGTGTGGGCTGTCTCTTCTGGTTGCTTCTCTTCTTCATAAGTAGCAAGGAAGGTCATTAGCTGAGATGGGGGATGGGGAGGAGGTGTCAGAGCTATGGGAGAGGGAAGGTGTGAAACGGTCATTTAGGAGAGTGGGAGTGTGAATGGATTGGGAAATGTAGTGGAATTACCTGGCAGCACGAGAGACCCCAGGGAGCAGCAGAGGGCTGCATTTAAAGAGATACTGTGCTGGGCTTGGTGGCTCACACCTGTAATCCCAGCACTTTGGGAGGCCGAGGCGGGTGGATCACTCGAGGTCAGGAGTTTGAGATCAGCCTGGCCAACATGGTGAAACCCTGTCTGTACTAAAAATACAAAAATCAGCCGGGCATGGTGGCAGGCACCTGTAATCTCAGCTGTGAGCTGAGATCATGCCATTGCACTCCAGCTTGGGTGACAGAGTGAGACTCCACCTCAAAATAAACAAATTAAATAAATAAATAAATAGAAACTGATCTACATAGTTGTGTTTTTCCAGACTACAGATTTGAACAGCCCCTTCCCTGCTTAAATCCCTCATTCACTCCCCCTGTTCCAAACTCCTTTGCATGGCACTCAAGACCCTCTATGACCCCAGCCCTACTAGGTCCCCACTCCTTCCTTTTATGATCCAACAACTCAGAGCAACCTGTATTTCCCTAAACATATTTTGCACCTCTCTGCCATGGTCTTGCTGTTCCCTCTGCCTGGAACGCCCTTTCCCAAGCCGACCCTCCAACAGTGAGGCTGTCCATGAAACTGGCTTCACTTCTGCCTCCTACCCCTCACCCCACAATTTTCCAACAGACTTTTCATGCCTAATATTCCTCCCATAAAACTTCATTGCCATCAATCATTGATGGTTCTGCCTCCTCCACCAGGCTGGGGGTTTGTCAGGGGCACAGACTGTCCTGTTCTCTCCATGTCCCCAGCATCCTGCACCAAGCAGGTGCTAAGACAATGTCCATTGAGAGGACTGACTGATGACTTCTAGAGGAGAGCTGGGTCAGCCCAGCAGGGGTGTTACCCACAGGGCCATTAGTGCAATCATTGCACTGTGGAGAAGAGCCGAGAATAGTAGCTAGAAGTAGAGCCAAGACCTGAGGTCAGAAGAAAGCAGGCCATGCTCTTAAGTGGAGGGCAGGGAGGGATGGGGGTAGGAGGCTGAAGGAGCCACATGGTTCACAACACACGTCTGCAAACTCAGAGCACCTGGCAGGATGGGCCTGGGCTGTGACCTGGTCCCTCGTTCTGGAAGAGGTGCAGGCTTATCTGGGTGAGGGGAGCAGGCTGAAGCAAAGCACTTTCCTCTGGGACTTCTCTGGTAATTACAGGCCTCTGAAAGCAGGAGTGATGTGGAATCTCCCAGCCCGTTTCCAAAGAATCAAAAGTTCGACTCTCATCCAGCGTTTAACTCTGCCCTCAGGCAATCAGGTCAAATGGGGATCTGAAGACAGCTTGGGGTAGGGCAGTGCCCAGGGGTCAGGCTGCTTGGTCCCCACAAGCTGCTCTGCATAAAAGGGAGATGGTAAAAATGACATATCACCCAATTACAAAATGGACAAAGGATTTGAATAGTCATTTCCAAAGAAGATTTTCACATGGAAAGCTGCTCCACTTGCTTAGTGCTTTGCATCCTTAGGGAAATGCAAATCAAAACCGCAGTGAGATACCACTTCACACCCACCAGGACGGCTACACTGGAAAGACAGATAATAACAAGTGGTGACAAGGTGGTCAAGAATTGGAGGCTTCATCCATTGTGGTGGGAATGTCAAATGGTGCAGTGTCTTTGAAAAAGCATTTTCACAAAATAGTAAACAGAGTTACCATATGATCAGGCAATTCCACTCCTAAGTCTGCTCAAGGAAAGTGAAAACAGATGTCCACACAAGTACTTGTATGTGAATGTCCATAGCATGTTGGCTATTCACAATAGCCAGAGAGTGGGAACAATTCAAATTCTATCAATAGATGAAGGGATAGACAGAATGTGGTGCATCCATATGATGGAATACCACTTAGCAATAAAAAAGAATGAAGTGTTGAAACATTTACAACATGGACGAACCTCAGAAGCATTATGCTAGGTGAAAGAAGCCAGACACAAAAGACCCTATGTTGTATGTGATATGGTTTGGATGTTTGTCCCCTCCAAATCTCATGTTGAATTGTAATCCCCAATGTTGGAGGTGGGGCCTGGTGGGGGGTGTTTGGATTGTGCGGGGTGGATCCCTCATAAATGGCTTAGTGCCATCCCCTTGGTGATGAGTAAGTTCTCGCTCAGTGAGTTCACACGAGATCTGGTAGTTTAAGAGTGGCATTAACCACCCCCCGGCCCCGTTACACCCTCTCTCACTCCTGCTGTTACCATGTGACTCACATCCTCCCCCTTTGCCTCTGCCATGATGGAAGCTTCTTGAGACCCTCACCAGAAGCAGATGCTGGTACCGTGCTTCCGTACAGCCTGAAGAACCATGAGCCAATTAAACCTCCTTTCTTGATAAATTACACAGTTGCAGATATTCCTCTATGACATAGCAAAAACAGACTAACACAGTATGACTCCATGTATATAAAATGTCCAGAATAGATAGATGTATGGAGACAGGAAATAGTGAAATAAGTGAAATTGGAAATTAATGAGTGCCTAGGACTGGTGGGAGGTGTCCATGGTGGGAAAATGGGGAGTGACTGCAAATGGGCAATGTTCTAACATTAGATTGTGGCGATGGTGGCCAAACTCTGCAAATAGACTAAAAAAAGTTGAATTGTCCACTTAAAATGGGTGAATTTTGTGGTATATAAAGCGGTTTTTTTTTTAATGAGTAAGAGTTTTTTTTTTTTTTTTAATGTTGCCTATGTTGGCCTCAAACACGTAGCCTCACCTCTTTATGCACCAGGATAACTGGCTTGAGCCACCGTGGCTTCCTATTTTTTATTTTTTATTTTTGAGACAGAGTCTTGCTCTGTCTCCCAGGCTGGAGTGCAATGGCATGATCTTGGCTCACTGCAACCTCCACCTCCCAGATTCAAGTGATTCTCCTGCCTCAGCCTCCTGAGTAACTGGGATTACAGGCATGCGCCACCACCCCTGGTTAATTTTTATATTTTTAGTAGAGACGAGGTTTCACCATGTTGGCCAGGCTGGTCTCCAACTCCTGACCTCAGGTGATACGCCTGCCTCAGCCTCGCAGTGCTGGGATTACAGGTATGAGCCACCGTGCCCGGCCAATAAAGCTGCTTTAAAAAGAGAGGAGAGAAAAAAAATAAGAAAAAATAAATAAATAAATAAAAAGAAAGGAGATAGTGATGCCCATCTTTCAAGGTTGTTGGGGGGATTAAGTGAGAAATCATGTGGATGGTGCCTGAGTGCCTGGAACACAGTAGGAGCTTGTAGCAGGTGCAGTGGGTGCCTCCACTGTCCCTCACCCTCATTGGCAACAGCACACACCCCATTTCCAGCTGCCAGCCCCTTCCACCTTTTGCCTGGGATTTTTTCATGCTGCCTCCGCAGGTATAAAGTGATGGGGAATTAACACTCCTCCATCACATATGTAGATAGCAGCCCTCTGTAAAGTGGCAAACGGGAGTTGGTGTACGAAGACCCCAGATCCCTCGGCTCATGTTCTCCAGTGGCTCCCAGGATCCCCCCATTGGGAAGGAATGAACACTAGCTGTCCGCGGAGGTGGCTGTCTGCCTTCCTTTTTCTGTCTCACTTCCTCATCCTGGGATCACCTCCCCAGTTTCACCATATTGGGGGGTTTCACCATATTGGCCAGGCTGGTCTCAAACTTCTGACCTCAAACTTCTCACCCCAGTAAGCGACATATTCAGGTACACGAAGCCTTGTATCAGATCAGCTTTTGGGGGCACCCTGGCTTAGGCAGTGCTCCCAAGCACTAGTTGTGATTATGGTCCTATGGGGGCCAGATGAGTCTCATGACCCCTGCTGGCCCATCCACATCTTGTTCCCAGTGTGCCCCACAAGCCTGGTCTTTCTATTCTCCACCCTGAGGAGGTGAATATAAGGAATGACTTACGCTGAAGGAGCTGAGGCCTGGAGAAGGAAAGACGGGGTCCCAAGGATTCCCGTGAGTCACTGGAAGTGCCTACACTGAGGATAAGGGCCGGTTTGGCTGGGTGCGTTGGCTCATGCCTGTAATCCTAGCACTTTGGGAGGCTGAGGCAGGCAGATTGCTTGAGCCTGGGAGTTTGAGACCAGCCTGGGCAACATGGCAAAACTCTATCTCTACAAAAAATACAAAAATTAGCCTGGCGTGGTAGCGTGAGCCTGTAGTCCCAGCTACTGGGGAGGCTGAGGTGGGAGGATAGCTTGAGTCCGGGAGGTCGAGGCTGTAGTGAGCCGTGATCACACCACTGTACTCCAGCCTGAGAGACAGAGAGAGATCTTTTCCCAATAAATAAATAGATAAATAAATAAAAGAGCTGGGTGAAGTAAAGACTTACAATTGTCCCCCTTATCTGAGAGGGCTACATTCCAAGACCCCCAGTGGATGCCTGAAACTGCAGATAGTACTAAACCCTATATATACTGTGTTTTTTTCTATACATACATACCTATGATAAAGTTTAATTTATAAGTTAGGCACAGTAAGATATTAACAACAGTAAAAGTAAAAGAGAATAATTATAACCGTATCCTGTGATAAAAGTTACGTAAATGTGATCTTTCTCGTTCCCTCAACAACTCTTATTGTGCTGTACATATTCACCTGTGTTCAGGCCACTGTTGACCAGGGGTAACCAAAACTGCGGAAGGTGAAGCTACAGGGAAGGGCGGATGACAGTACTTTGTGCCTGGCTCTGTGTGCAAAGCACTTTCCAGTGCTTGTTCATCCTCATGGCCACTCTGTGAGACAGGATGCTACTATTCCCATTTTACTGAAGCTCAGAGAGGTGAAGTGCCTTGCCCAAGGTTATACAGCTATTAAGTTGTGAGGTTCACATTTGAACCCAGGGCCGGAGCTCTTCGCTATGGTGTTATACCCGGGCTTTCAGGCCTGTTTTGCAGCTGACCCACCTCCTTTCCATTTAGACGGATGGGGACTCTGGTTTGACTGGGGAGGCTCGGCCTTGCTCTGCCTCCTGCTACCTTGGCCCCCAGCCCAGCTGCGAGGACACCATTCAGGCATGTCTTTGGCTGGGTTTTTTTTTTTTTTTTTTAACAGATTTATGTTTAGCAGGGAAGCCCACTCACAGGAGAGAGGCTGGGGCTGGACCAGGAACAAGGACGCTGCTGTGGCCTTGTTTGAGGTCCCACTGACTCAGGAACAAGGCAAGCCTCTTAGTCTGTTTCCTGGCTCATAAACCAGTGTTTATAGGGTACTCTTCTCTGATTTCCTTCCCTTCCTTCCTCTCTCTCTCTCTTTCTTTCTTTCCTTTCTTTTTATTTTATTTTTTTTTTATTTTTTGAGATGGAGTCTCTCTCTGACGCTCCGGCTGGAGTGCAGTGGCATGATCTTGGCTCACCACCACCTCTGCCTTCCAGGTTGAAGCGATTCTCTTGCCTGAGCCTTCCGAGCAGCTGGGATTACAGGGACCCACTACCATGCCTGGCTATTTTTTTTTGTTGTTGTTGTATTTTTAGTACGACGGGGTTTTACCATATTGGCCAGGCTGGTCTCAAACTTCTGACCTCAAGTGATCCACCTGCCTCGACCTCCCAAAGTGCTAGGATTACAGACGTGAGCCATGGCGTCCGGCCTGTCCTCTGATTTTCAAGGGGCTGGAAGGGACACCGCAGGGGCAGCTCCTGGCATGGCCCTGGGACCCCCGTGAGAAAGCAGACTTGTACTTGGGCAGGCTAGTACAAGTTTGCTTGTGCTCAGTTTGCTTGATTCAGCTGGGAGCAGGGGTAGGGTGGAGGTGAGGAGGAAAAAGATGGGAGGGAACTCACCTTTACTGAGTATCTATCCCATATCTGACACTGCATTAGGCACTGGGGAGTTGTCCCCTTAGGCAAGAGCCAGTCTCCAGTCCCACAGAACCCCTGATCGATCAACTCCAGGGTGTGTGGGAGGGGAAAGAAACTGACAACTGCAAATACAGTGCAGTATAACAGCAAAAATTTATCGAGCACTTACTATGTGCAGGGGTTTCACGGGTGTTATTCAATCCTAACACTGATGCCAGGCACAATCTACTGTCACTGCACCCATTTTACAGATGAAGCAGCTGAGGCAAAGAGAGGCTCAGTCACTTGTCTAAGAACACACAGTTAGAACTAGGAGGAGCCAGACTGGAACCCAGGCTGTTTGGCTCCAGAACTTGCAGTCTAAGCTGCCCGTTCTACGGTCTTATCAATAACAGGAGGCACGGAGGCAGCACGGGGGACAGATCTCCTCTGTTGGGAGTGAGACTGGAGAACACAGTGGTTTCCATACTGATGCCTGATTGAGGCTTTGAAAAATGAATAGGAGTTAGGTATAAAAGAGGCAGGGAGGGTTTTCAGCAGAAGGAACAGCCTGTGTAAAGGTAGAATCCTGAGCTAGCACATTAGGCTGGGGAAGTTGTAACTGGTAGTGATATTACTTGGGGACGGGTTTGGGAGTTACAATTCAGGATCGCTGGAGCATCAAACATAAGCAAGGGAGAGGTGAGGTGAGGCTGGAGACCAGGCTCAAGCCGCAGAGGACCTCTCCTGTCCTGCTAAAGTGTGTGAACTTTGTATAAGACACAGTTCCCTCCCCAGGGGCCTGTCCTGAGCTTGAGGAGACGAGCCACATTATTAGGAAATGATGATGAATCCACGGCTTCCTCCCATAGAGTGAGGGCAGAAGAGGAAGGGCTGCAGTCCCAGCTACTCGAGAGGATGAGGCGGCAGCATCTCTTGAGCCTAGGACTTCAAATCCAGCCTGGACAACATAGAGAGATATCATCTCTTAAAAAATAAAAATAAAAAATAAAAATAAAAAAGAGAGATAGTGGGAAGTGTGTGGGGGACATGCAGAACGGAGCGGGTGTGAGTTGTGGAAAGAAAGCTCAGTAAAGCATATGTTATTTTTAGCCCTGTGTATCCTCCTGCCCCTTTCAAATCTAACTTGATTTCAAATCCCTGCTTGCTGCTGACTAGCTGTGTGACCTTGGGGAAGCCACTGAACCTCGCTGAGCCTTAGTTTCCTCCTCACCTATAAACTGGGTGGAAATAAATGATGACAATCTCCCAGAGTTTCAGTGACGAGTTCACTGGATCTTTGCCATATCACCAAGATCTTTGCCATATTAGCTAACCACCTCCACCAGGAGGTGGCAAACTCTTTCCATAAAGGATTAAATAATAAATATTTTAGACTTTGCAGCCCATTGTCTGTTGCAACTACTCAACTGTGCCATTGTAGCAGGAAAGAAGCCTTACACAAGAAGTAAACTAATGAACCTGGATGTATGCCAATTAAACTTTATTTATGGACCCTGAAATTTGAACTTCATATATTTGTCACTACCACAAAATATTATTATTTTTAGAGACAGGGTCTTGTTGTGTCACCCAAGCTGAAGTGTGTGGTGTGCTCATAACTCACTGTAACCTCAACCTCCTGGGCTCAAGTGATCCTCCCACCTCAGCCTCCCAGGTAGCTGGGACCACAGATGTACTCCACCATGCCCAACTAATTTTTAAATTGTTTGTAGCAATGGTGTCTTGCTATGTTGCCTAGGCTGGTCTTGAACCCCAGGCCTCAAGCTATCCTCCTGCCTCAGCCTTCCAAAATGCTGGGATTACAGGTGTGAGTCACCATGGCTGACTCACACAAAATAGTATTCTTCCTTTGATCTTTGTTCCAGCCATTAAAAAATGTAAAATCCATTTTTTTTTTTTTTGAGGCAGAGTCTCGCTCCATCACCAGACTGGAGTGCAGTGGTGTGATCTCGGCTCACTGCAACCTCTGCCTCCCGGGTTCAAGCAATTCTCCTGCCTCAGCCTCCCAAGTAGCTGGGACTAAAGGTGACCGCCACCACGCCCAGCTAATTTTTGTATTTTTAGTAGAGATGGGGTTCCACCATGTTGAGCAGGATGGTCTCGATCTCTTGACCTGGTGATCTGCCTGCCTTGGCTTCCCAAAGTGCTAGGATTACAGACGTAAGCCACCATGTCTGGCCATAAAATCCATTCTTAGTTTGTGAACGGTGCATAAACAGGCAGTTGGCCAGATTTGACTCGACTCATAGTTTGCAGACCTGTGACCTAAATTATTATATATTTTTTAGATTCACCTTTTACTTACTTAAACAATTCCTTTGAAAAGGAAATTTTCATCATACCAACGTCACTTAACATAGATACAAGATGGCCATGTAACTATGATAGGCAGGGTGCGGTGGCTCATACCTGTAATCCCAGCACTCTGGGAGGCTGATGCAGGCGGATCACCTGAGGTTGGGAGTTTGAGACCAGCCTGGCCAACACAGTGAAACCCCGTCTCTACTAAAAATACAAAAATTAGCCGGGCATGGTGTCACGTGCCTGTAATCCTAGCTACTCAGGAGGCTGAGGCAGGAGAATCGCTTGAACCCGGGAGGCAGAGGTTTCAGTGAGCCAAGATCGCACCATTGCACTCCAGCCTGGGCAACAGAGTGAGACTCCGACTCAAAAAAAAAAATGATTAATGCAAATTTACATTATTAAATTCTCGACAGACCTCTCATCTGAGCCTGGGGCTTGTTCTTTCTTTGTTGAAGAGGAATACAGAGGTGTCAAGGACAGATGAGAACAAGACTGAGACTTTCTACTTGTTGAAATCTGCGAGAAAAAATGGGAAAGGAATGAATGAGAGGTTATCTCTTAATGTAAGTCAATGTTTATTCAATGCTTTGCCTTGTACAGCCTCAAATCATCTTGGGATCCACGGTGGGAGGCAGCACTGATGTGATGTCATCCAGTGCCTAGAGATGAGCCTGGCTCTATTACTGGAGACCGCTGGTGGCTGCATGGTGCCCTGAGTTATAACCAAGATTGCTGAATATCTGGGGAGAAAATTTCTGTCTCTGATCAGCCTCGGGGGCATGAGTCAACCTCTGCTAAGTGTTTTGAGCTTGCCTACTGACAAGTTGATGGCCAATGCAGAGAATTATTATTCTTAAGAAGATTGTAATCACAACTATGATGAATCCAGGTTGATGAGACATTAATGCCTGAAAGCTTTGGAGTATTTTTGAAAAGCATCGCTAAAATAATAATTGAAATCGCAACAAGGGGGAATCAAGAACATAAAAGCTGACTGAGATAACCTCGCAACCCCGCCTGCCTTTTCTAGACACCAGCTTGCTGGGGGGCTTCATGAGGCTTGTGAAGAAGACAGGACAAAAGAGTCAGGCTGTTGGGAATTTTAAGGTCCCAAGTGACATGATGCCTTCTGATGTTCCGGGCCTCAGTGGCCTCATCTGAGAAATGGGAATGATAATAGCATATGTGCATGGACCAGATGAGCTCTTCTGGTCCTGTTCCAATTCTGCCAGCTCTTACTCGATGAGATTCTTAACTCCTGGTACCCAGGTGATTGCAGCATGCCAGGTGCTCTCGTTCTGGGAGGAGTACCTAACTCAGGGGTAGTAAACGCACTGCCTGGGGGCCAGATCTGGTCCTTAGATGTTTTTTATTTGACTTGTATAGTTAAATACTTATAAACAGCTTTTGAGATTTATTACATATGGTAAAGTAATAACACAGACAGAAACAAGTACAATACTTTATTAACTGGCTCAGTGAACTGTCACCTAGCAGACACTGGGGTAACCACCAACCAAGCATGGCTGGCCCCTCAGGATTCACCCTGGGCCTCCTTCAGTCACTTGACACTGTGCTGTACTTTTTTTATTTTTTTTGAGACAGAGTCTTGCTCTATCGCCCAGGCTGGAGTGCTGTGGTGTGATCATAGCTCACTGCAGCCTTCACCTCTTGGATTCAAGAGATCCTCCCGCCTCAGCCTCCTGAGTAGCTAGAACTATGGGTGTGCACCACCATGCCTGGCTGATTTGTAAATTTTTTGTGGGGACAGGGTCTTGCCATGTTGCCCAGGCTGGTCAACTCCTGGACTCAAGCAATCATCCCACCTTGGCCTCCTGAAGCACTGGGATTACGAGTATGAGCCACTGCACCCAGCCTGTACTTTAAAATATTATTATTATTTTTAGTTTGGCCATGTGCTACCTTGCTGTCTTCTTAAGCTGACACTAAATTATGTTGTTGTTTTTTCACACCTATTCTGCAATTCTCCGACACCAACTGAGGGTCCAATAATTCAATTCAATTCCGACAGTAACTACTTGGAATGCATGCGGACTGCACAAGTGAAGGGCTCAGTCCCCCAAAACTGCCTGACTTCAGACACTGGTCCCAGGAGATCACCCAGACTTCTGACCAATTGGCTACAAATCGAGAGTTCTCCTGACCCCGCCTCAGGCTCAATATTTCACTTGCATGACTCGCAGATTTTAGGAAAACACTTCATTTATGTTTGCTGGCTTGTTACAAAGGGTACAACTCCGGAACAGCCAGATGGAAGGTACTGGTGGAGGGGCGCAGAGCTTCTGTGTCCTCTCCCGGCCCCCTACCCTCCCACCCAGCACCTCCATGTGTTTACCAACTCAGAAACTCTCTGAACCCCATTGTTAAGGGGTTTTTATGGAGGTTCCATTATTTAGGCATGATTGATTACAATCTTTGGCCATGGGTGATTAAATTCCATCTCCAGCCCCTCTCCGCTTCCCAGAGATGAGTGGTGGTGCTGAAAGTTTCAACCCTCTAATCATGGCTTGGTCTTTTTGGTGACTAGCTCTCATCCTGAAGCTCTTTGGGAGTCCCCTCACTAGCAAGCAAAGTACAGTAAATTCCGAGAAACTCAGAAACCCTGCTGAGAACTAGAAACCAGACAAAAAGATTAAATATTTATTTTTTAATTATTTCACAGAGTGCCTTTAAGCAAAGGCATGCACACTCCAATTTGCCACAGACTCCACCATGCCCCATTATTGCTCACTGCCCTATTCATAGATTTGTGTTGCCTGTTCAGCCTCTGTAGGCATTTGAAATTGTGATGCCTGCTTAATAGATATTATTTGCCTTAATAATAATTGAAACAGTCATTGTCATAATAATAGCAATGATAATGTATTAGTCCATTCTCACACTGTTATAAAGAACTACCTGACACCAGGTAATTTATAAAGAAAAGAGGTATAATTGACTCACAGCTCCACAGGCTGTACAGGAGGCATGGCTGGGGAGGCCTCAGGAAACTTACATCAAGGCGGAAGGTTGAAGGGGAAGCAAGCACACCTTCACATGGCAGCAGGAGAGAGAGAGCAAAGCAGGGAGCGCTGCACATTTTTAAACAACCAGATCTCATGAGAGCTCACAAGAACAGCGAGAACAGCAAGGGGGAAGTCTGCCCCCATGATCCAATCACCTCCCACCAGGTCCTGCAACACGTGGGGATTACAATTTGACATGAGATTTAGGTGGGGACACAGAGCCAAACCATGTCAAATAACAAAGTAGCTATCAACTGTTGGGTATTTATACTATTCCAGGGGCTGTGCTGAGCATGTCAGATATAGCATCTTGTTTAATCTTCACAGAAATTCTTCTAAGTTGGCCAGGCACGGTGGCTCATGCCTGTAATCCCAGCACTTTGGGAGGCCGAGGCAGGTGGATCACAAGGTCAGGAGATTGAGACCATCCTGGCTAACACGGTGAAACCCCGTCTCTACTAAAAAAAAAAAAAAAGAAATAGAAAAATTAGCCAGGCGTGGTGGCGGGCGCCTGTAGTCCCAGATACTCGGAAGGCTGAGGCAGGAGAATGGCGTGAACCCAGGAGGCAGAGCTTGCAGTGAGCTGAGATTGCGCCACTGCACTCCAGCCTGGGACACAGAGCGAGACTCTGTCTCAAAAAAAAAAAAAAAAAAAAAAAAAAAAACCCAAAAAGAAATTCTTCTAAGTAAGCATTCTTACTTAAGGACTCCCTTGGTCCATTTGTCTATTTTTCAGATAAGGAACCCAAGGATCAGAAAATTGGGGTACATTTTCTAAGGTAACACAGCAAGTAAGGCAGAAAGCTGGATTGAGCCCAGGCTGTGAAGTCGGATGGGGTCATGTGGGGAGTGGGACCAGCTCTAACCTTCGGGGACTGGGTTTTTACTGTATGAGTGGCACAGGTTTGGTGGTCAGATGCGCCTGGCGTCAACCTTCATGCCACCACCCTAGACACATTACTTAGTCTTTTGAGCTTCAAGTTCCCTATCTAAAACATGAGCATAGTGACAGCCACCTCACAGGGTCACAGTTAGGATTGTATGTCTTAAGCACTGGGTAGAAGTTCCATAAATGATTCTTTGCTGCATCTGGCTGAAGCAGAGTGATTGCTACAAGGTGCAGGGTCCCCAAGGGGTGCCCTAGCTCCACCACCTGCAAGACCCAGTTCAAGGCTACCTCCTCCAGGAAGCCTCCCCAGGTTCTCAGAACCCATGCGGCCTGATTCCAGAACCCATACAGCTTCTATGTCACCAAACACTCCCCCTGGCCAGGCATATTATCCAGGTGCTTTAAGCTCAGGATTATCTCTACTGCATCTGCCCTGCAATACCTTGGATTTCTCCTTTAATCCTCACACCAACCCTATGAAGTAGGTATGAGTACCCCCAATTTAAAGGTGGGAAAACTGAGGCTTGGAGAGAGAATTGCCTTCTTTTCCTCTCCTGCTGTTGAAACATGACCTATGAAGCAAGGTTGGCCTCGAAAGCTGCTTTGTCCTTAATATATCCCCAGGGATTTTGGGAATGGTGAGGGCAGGAGAGATGGCATCAGATTTGGAGACAGAAGTTTGAATCCCATCTCCACTACTACTAATTTCATAGCCCTGGAAAAAGCCAGGAGCTTGCATTTCCTCAAGGGTACAAGGGTGGAAGTTACATTAACCTCGAAGGCTGTTGTGAGCCCAAAATGAGACAAAGTGCTCAGAGCAGTAGGCACATAGTAGCTGCCCAATAAATATTTGTTTCATTGCCCTTAAAGCCATGTCTTGTTCTGTGTTCTCATAACACATCTCCGGTTTCTCCCTTGGTCCACTTACCAAGTGTGAACAGGTATTCTTGTTATTTAGACACCTGGGGCTGGAAACTTCTTGAAGTCAAGGGCCACTCCCAAACATCTTTAGATTTCCCACTTGGCCTAGTACATTTGATGCAGTCATATCCAACCAATGTGTTTTTTTAAAAAAGTGCAAATAGCTTTTCCATTTTTTTCTCCTAATAAAAGTAATCAGTGCTCATTGTAAAATAGGGAAAGAATTTTACCTCCCTCCATCATCTTGATGCGAGGATTACCTGTGATAAAGCTGGTAAGGTGCCTGCCATTGTGTCTGTCACAGAGCCTTCCAAGTATTGTCATTTTCATTAGTTCAAAAAACACATAGGGCATTTCAAAAAGTAAAAAAACATCTGCTGATCTTCTGGGATGTCCTCACTGATGTTTTTCCATGTATATAAATTTAGACAACTCACAGATATAAAACACACACACTTTTTAAAATGGTCGTTCTGTGTTTTACAGTGTGCCTTCTTACTTTATTGATAAGTGGAGGAACTCTTTCTCCACCAATAACTACAGATGTGTTTTATCCTGCTGGATGGCCCTGAGTATTGTACGGTATGGATGTGCCATGACTTATTTAGTCAATCTCCTGTTGATGGCACTCGGTGATTCCCATAATCTGTTCTGGGTAGGGCTGGAAAGTGCTGGGCAGGTGTAGACCAAGGAAGCCTCCCACCGGCGGAGGCCTCTGCAGTTACAAATCAGCCATCAGGGATGTCACCAGGCTGACACAGTGACTTCTGGCTGGCAAGTAATTTTGAAGTTGTGTTAAGGACAATTAGGGAGACATTCCTGTCGTGGGGCTGGGATGAGCTCAGCCGCATTCCTCCTTTTCATAGCGTTGGACGGGGCAGTCCTCCGGGAAGAAGGCCTTTTGACTCACCCTTTCCTTTCAGTCACCTCCCAGGAGGTGTCTCCATTGCTGCGACTTCTGTTTCAGCAGAAATAAGATGATGAAACTTCAGGGGACCTGCCCTGATTCCCTTGGAGGGTTTTCCCTGACACGTGAGAGAGTCATTTGTAAACCAGCAGTCAGAGGTGAGGTAAGTGGGGATTTACCGGGCTCGCCTTCAGCAAGCTGGTGGAGAAGACAGGAGGGACCCCCAGGGCAAGGATGCCCTTGTCCTCCTTTGCCCTGGGGTTTGTGGAACTCCCAGGGTCTCCCTGGCAACAACCCACTTATCCTGGTCCTGCATTCAGCTGTGGATTCATCCATTGCCCTGAGGCTGGTGTGGACATTGCAGTCTCTAGGCAGGACCTGGCTTACTATTTTGGACCTATGATGTCCAGGCCCTGGAATCTTCCCTCGGCCAGGGAGCTTCTCCTCTCCAAGCCTCAGCGTCTCCATGTGTAAGATGGGAATGATGGGCCTTCCTGAAATTGATGAGGTTAGGATGGAATGAAATGATGCATGTGAAGCCTCCATCTGATGCCTGGCACTCGATTTGATGTCTAGGTGCTCCATAAACCACTGCCGTTAGAACTGGTCCGAGCAGGGTGAGGTGAGGATGAATGAGAGATGGTGTGTGGAGCAATGAGAAGGAGCTCAGGGGTGTTGGTTCCTGAGGTCAGGGAGTCATCTCTTTGGACAGAGATAGATGCATCGATTCACACTGTTGGGCACTTTACAGTGCTTTCCCATGATGATAAGAATGAGGCAGGAGAGGCCGTCTCTGCTGAGAGAGGGCTGCAGGCTCTGGAGTGGCCTCAGAGAGTCATCCTGATGCAGCACTTGCCCTCTGCCAGGCATCCTTCCAAGGACTTGGACAGCATTTCATTTAGCCCTCACCAAAACCCTAAGGGGCAGAGGTGCCTTTCCTATTTTATAGATGGGGAAACTGAGGCTGGGAGAGGCCTCTGGAAGAAGCTGTCTTGTTAAGCATTGGGCTTTAAATTAATTAGGGGCTGGGCACTGTGGCTCATGCCTGTAACCCAGCACTTTGGGAGGCCGAGGTGGGCGGATCACTTGAGGTTAGAAGTACGAGCCCAGCCTGGCCAACATGGCAAAACCCCGTCTCCACTAAAAATACAAAATTTAGCTGGGCAGGGTGGTGCACACCTGTAGTCCCAGCTGCTTGGAAGGTGTGAGAATTGTTTAAACCAGGGAGGCGGAGGTTGCAGTGAGCCGAGATTGTGCCACTGCCCTCCAGCCTGGGCGACAGAGCGAGTAAGACTGACTCAAAAAAATAAATAAATAAATAAATTAGGGCACATCAAAGACAGGGGTACTGTGTCCTCAGGGCAGGACTTCTGGCTGTAGAGAGAAGAGTCAGAAGGTGAGTGCTTGGGGCTGGGGCCATAGGGTCTGGCTTCTCCCTCCGGAAGGAGCTGTGAGTCGGGCAGATAGTGTCCTTCCCTCCCTCAATGAGCCCTCCCTTCCTGAGATGGGGAAGACAGTGAACTGGTGGAAATGCTACAGAGAAATGAATGCTTACAATGGAGAAGAACAGGAGGTCCCTACCCTGGGTTACGGGGTGTGGGGTGGCTTCTAGGAAAAAGTGCTGCCCTCACCTTCACCAGAAAGTCTAACATAAAAGGGACTGACTTATTAAATGTTAGCTGGGAGGTGGAGCAATCAGAACCCTCATGCATTGCCGGTGGGGAGGTAAAATTGCATGGCTACTTGAAAATCTGTTTGGCAGTATTTGCCAATGTTAAAAATGTGCGTCCCCTGTGACACAGCAATCCTGCCCCTGGGGCGAGTCCCAAGACGAACAAGTACTGTGTTCACCAAAAGACATATATGAGAAGGTTCCAGCTTGACTCCTAGTAGCCCCAAACTAAGAAACAGCCCAAATCAGCAGTAGAATGGATAAATAAATGGTGATGCTCACACCATCTAACTTTATGTAGCAGAGAAAAAGAGCAAAACACAACACACAACTAAATGGATGAAGCAAAACACAACACACAACTAAATGGATGAATCTCATACACGTAGGGTTGAACAAAAGAAGCCAAAACTAGACCGTATGATTCCATTTAATGAAGCCTAGAAAGGAATCTGGGGAAAGAAAAGTCAGCACCTGGTTACCTTTGGGAAGTATCAACTGAGAAGGAGCATGAAGGGACCTTCTGGTGTGTGGGAAATGACCTGGTGAGCTCATCGGGGGTGCATATGTAGGAATTCATAGAGCTCTACGATTAGTATTTGTGCACTCTACCTATATACGCACCTCTATGCAAAGTCAAAACAAGACAACAAAAGAGAAGGAGAAGGGCTCCCAAAGCTAAGTTCTGGCCAATAAGCAAGGGCCAGCCAGTGAGGAGGGGGATGGTGTCTTGGAGGAGAAGCCAGAAGGTGCAAAGACCCAGGGGCCCGAGTGTGTGGTGTTGCTTCTCTGCCTGGTTCCAGGGTTGCCGATGGTGCTCCTGTCCTTCTCTTCTCTATGCCCCCTTCCACTCATTTGGAGGTTTCCACTGACACAGTGAACTAGGTTGACAGAAGTCATTTCAAAACACGCTCCTCCAGTCCATGTTTAATGTTCTACTTTTGAGTTGTTGAGGGAGGAGCTACAGTCAGAGCAGGAGAGGGGCTGGCCTTGGAATTCAAAGCTGGATTCAAAGCTTAGCTATGCCATGAACTGTGTGTTCTTGGAGAAGCCCTTTCTCCCCTATGAGCCTCAGTTTCCCCATCAGTAAGAAGGTCTTCTTAACATACAGAGTTTTAGTGAGAGAGTTGGCTGCAGGAGGTGTTCAACAGGTGCCCATCATATGGGAATGAGGGAATAAGGTCTGAAGGCAAGGGCCCCATGCCAGGCCCAGGGCTCCCCCTAAAGTGATTGAGTGTGGCCCTGATAAGGCCTCTGCAAACCCCGGCATTGATCATCTGTCACATAGAACTTAAACCACCACCTCAAACAGTGCCTGGCACATACCAGGGATTCAAGAAGCATTGGGTTATAATAGCTAGTGCCTAATATGTGCCAGGCATTGCTCCAAATGTGTCATACCTGTGGACTTCTGTTTTGATCCTCCCAGCAGACCTATGGATGTCTACCTTCCCGTTTTACAGAGGGGAAACTGAGGCACAGAGCGTTTGAGTGACTTGCTCAAAATCACTCTGTTAATATTTGATGGAGCCTGGCCCTCGTCCCCTGTACCTAACGACACTACCACACGGCCAGAACAGATGAGGCCGCCTAAGCTGCCTCTACCGGGAGGCCTGGAGAAGGTGCCAAAGGCAACCAGGGCTCCCCCAGGGCTGCTGACCAAGATCAGTGCTGTCAGGGCAGCCAGGGGGACACTCCAATGCCCTGACTTTGGCAAAATCCACGCCCTTTTTGAGGAAGGCAAACCCACCCAGAATAATTGTTGAGCCAACAAGCAGCTTAAGCCGCTCATAAGCCCTGAGGTGCCTGTGAAGGCTGAGGCCCAGCAATGAGCTGCCACTGCCAAAACCAGTAAGAGTCACTGTTTTTGCCAAGCTTTTTTTTTTTTTTTTTTCTTAGCTGTTGTCATTGTTTTTTGGGAGGAGAGATGGGACATCTCAGGAATTCGCCTGTGCTGCTGAATTCTCACGTGCAGCCTCATGTGGACTCACAGCCACTCCCTATCCTCTGTACCATCATGTTTTACTGTTCTCTTTAATTCCACCATGAAGAGACTTGATAGGAATGTTCTGGAAACTGCAGCCTAGGGGTGGGGACGGGGGATGCGAGGAGTGGGGAGCAGTTTATTCTCCCTGGCAGCAGGACTGAACTTTGGTGCCAGAGGGCCACTGGGTGTGAGACTGTGGGAGATGTTTGTTTTTTTCCTGCCTCTTTATACATTTTATGGGCTTTCCATATTTGCTTAAGCAAAAAAGTTAAAAAATGACAATGATAATAGTTAACATTTATTGAGCATTGCTGGCATCGATTGAGCATTTATCGAACATACTGACTTTCCATGTATGAACTCACTTAACCCTTACAACCACCTTTTTTTTTTTTTTTTTTGGAGGCAGTCTCACTCTGTCACCCAGGCTGGAGTGCAGTGGCAAGATTATAGCTCATTGCAGACTCTACCTCCCAGGCTTACATGATCCTCCCACCTCAGCCTCCCAAGTAGCTAGGACCCCATAGGCATGTGCCACCATGCTCAGCTAATTTTTAAAAAATTTTTTTTGTAGAGATGGGGTCTCACTACGTTGCCCAGGCTGGACTCGAACTCCTGGGCTCAAGCGATCCTCCCACTTCGGCCTCCCAAAGTCCTGGGATTATAGGTGTGAGCCACTGCACCAGGTCAGATATTCTTTTTTTTATACCAGGTCTCACTCTCACCCAGGCTGGCCTGGAGTGTAGTGGTGCAATCTTGGCCTCTGGGGGTTCAAGTGATTCTTGTGCCTCAGCCTCCTGAGTAGCTGGGACTACAGGCACATGCCACCATGCCCAGCTAATTTTTTTGCATTTTTACTAGAGACGGTGTTAAGCCTTTGGCCAGGCTGGTCTCAAACTCCTGGTCTCAAGTGATCCACTCGCTTCGGTCTCCCAAAGTGTTGGGATTACAGGTGTGAGCCACTGCACCTGGCCCCAGGTCAGATAGTCCTATAGTCTTATTTCCAGATGAAGAACTGAGTACAGAAAAGGAAAAATTAAAACTATTGAAATTTAAAAAGAGATCATTTATAAAGAGGAACAAACTACTGATACATGCTACCACATGGATGAGCCTCAAAGACATTGTGCTCAATGAAAGTGGCCAGACACAAGAGATCACATATTGTAAAATGTCATTTATCTGATATATGTAGAAAAGGCAACTCCATAGAGACAGATCCCAGATTAGCGGTTGTCTGGGGCAGGGGGTAGGAGTGGGGATGATGAAATATTCTAAAACTGGTTTATAGCGTTGTTTGCACAACTTGGTAAATTTATTAAAAACCATTGACATGGGTGAATTACATAATATGTAAAATATTCCTCAATAAAGTAAAAAAAAGAAATGCAATTACGTTCTGCAAATATAACATTTCCTAAGCAGCCATGATCCACTTTACAGGAATTTCTCCAGTAACTAACAGCTCATTCATTTGTTCACCTGAACTCATCTTTGTTGAGCACCTATTATGTGCCAGGTACCATGCCAGGATATGGGTTCCAGGGTGAATCTGATCAAGTGCTTCTGCTCTAATAGAGAATATGGGTTAGCAAGTGTTAGAAGGCTGGGCTAGAAGGGGTGGAGATGCAGATGAGAAATCCAGCAATGACAAGAGCGTATACTTGGGGCTGCCACAGGGTGGGCAGTGCTGGCAGAGCCTGGAGGAAGCACCCTCCACCCAGACCTGGCAGGTACTTGAGAAGGTTCCGAGAAGAGAAGTTTCCGAGAAGAGAAGGTTCCGTGCTTGAGGCTGGGACCTGAAGGATGAGGAGTTGTTAGCAGGTGAAATGGCTGGGGAGTGGGGCAGGAAGAATAAAAGTCATTTTCTCATTCATTTCTTAATTCTTTTATTCATTCATTCAGCAACTGTTCATTGAGAGCAGTTATGCCCATTTCCCTGATGAGGAAATAGAGCCTCAGAGAGGTAAAGTGACTTAGATACAAACCTTAGCCAATCTCTTGTCTTAAAAGCCCACCTTTTTCCACTCCCCACTCTTGCCTCCAAAAACAGTCTGGACAGGTTAGACACACCGCTGTGACTTTGAGGGTCAAGGGGAGGTACCCTGCCAAAAAACAAAAACCTAATTATCCTTGTTTAGTGAGAGGAGGCTGGCGTCCCCCACAGGGATGTTCCTTTGTCTGTTGGAACTCTTCCGCTGCCTTGAGGACCCACCTTTAGCCCCCTTTGGATCTTGAATGGGGGAGCCAGCCTGCCAGTGTCTGGGGTTAAGGGGAGGAGACCACTGAATTCATTGTCTGGGCCAGGGAGGACCTACCATTGGAAAGGGAATGGGACCAGAATTCCAGACCAGGCTTTGATACCAATTATTCAGGAGACCTGGGTCAGTCCTTACCTCTCTGTGGTCCTCAGTTTTCTGGTCCCTGAAACAAGAAATCTGGGCTGGCTGTATCCTGAACTATAGGACTTCTGGCCTCAGATGCCTCCAGATTGATATGGGCTGGAAGTAGGGTGACACATTTGTTCTGATTTGCTCGTTCTGATTTACTTTCCAGGTTTTAGCATCAAGAGAAACCTTCTCAGTTCCTGATAAATTGGGATGGTTGGTCACCCTAGCTGGAGGACTGTTAGGTTAACCTAACCTCACATTTTACCCACAAAGAGCAAGACACGCAGCACCCGCCTTTATTCCTATGTGGCCACGAAGCTATTTTCAAGCCATTTTGTTTGCACATATCATGTTTCTAGGGTTCAGCTGAAAACCCTCTCAGGTCCAGCTACCACTTCCCTCAATTCCTTCAGATCTTCTGGGCTCTGCTTGGCCATCTCCTTTTCCCCCCTCTGCACCCACTCCCATGCCTCAGGATGGTCTTTTTTGGTTGTCTCCATCAGCTCCCCTGGAGCCCCTTTAGCTCCTTCCTCTGCATTTAATGCAGGATTTGTGCCGAAGCAGGTGCTCCACAAGTCATCACGGAAAGTCTGAATATCTCCAGGGCCCAGGGCAGGGCTGCCCCCACCCTCAAGGAGGGCTGCACACCCCAATTCCAGGGCAACTTTGTTGGAAGGACAGATCCTTCCTGGAAGAGGTTGCAGGGAGCCACTCCCCAGGTGTGACTTCTTAACCCTTTCTCTTCCATGGGACCACTCAGGCATTGGGTGGAGCCTGTGGACCCCTTCTGAGAATAATTTTTTTAAAAAGGCATTAGGATTACTATGAAAAGTCATTTTACTAAAAATAGATATCAAACTATTAACAATTTCTCATATAGTAACATACGTTCTCTTTTACTAATACATTAAATAAGATTTAGTGGTCGGTCTAATATGACTTTAATTTCACAGTTCTCGTAGCTTAGATGATATCTTGAGATGTTTACAATAACTGTAGTGTGTTACATAAATACCTGTGATTTCTACTAGTGACAAAATCACAGGGACATCTACTTGCTGCCTACATTCATAATCAAAGGATATGTTAAAAACCATTGGCTGGGCACGGTGGCTTACGTCTGTAATCCCAGAACTTCGGGAGGTCAAGGTGGGCGGATCACCTGAGGTTGGGGGTTCAAGACCAGCCTGACCAACATAGAGAAACCCCCATCTCTACTAAGAATACAAAAAAATTAGCCGGGTGTGGTGGCGCATGCCTGTAATCCCAGCTACTTGGGAGGCTGAGGCAGGATAATCTCTTGAACCCCGGAGGTGGAGGTTGTGATGAGCCAAGATCGCACCATTGCACTCTAGCCTGGGCAACAAGAGTGAAACTCTGTTTCAAACAAACAAATAAACAAACAGACAACAAAGCCTTTAGAGATTAGTGAGGCTAAAGGTATAACTTTTGTCCACCCCTGTGTCATGGACCCCCCAGAATTCTATCCTCAGTCCTCTTGGGGGTCCATGAACCTCTGCTTCAAGGCAAAGGGGTTTTGATTCCTTAGGTTAGATAAACAAGAACATCATCAAGAGACGAGAGAACGAAGAGTAAAGGGCAGTGTCCAGACTGGGTTGGGTTAAGCAGAGAAAGGTTTCTAGATGAGTGAGTTTCAGAGCTGGGTGTTTAAGGTGAGTCCGTGTTGGCAGGAAGCAAGGAACTGTGGTTGAGGGAAGGAACTATGGGGAAGGTTTGCTTTTGTGGCTAAATCAAAAACACAGCAGACTAACATCACAGCCACATCACTCCAGGGCAAGCCCGTGTCTCCTTTGTCACCAAGAACACCAAGGCATTGTCCATGTAAGACAGTGTGCCTGTCCTCAAGCTTACATACAAAGAGACAAAACAAACACAAAAGTTAATAACAAGACAAAAATTAAACTGCTAGTAAAAAATGCAGTCGGAAGTATCTGAAACATGCCACATATCTGGTTAAGTGCATACAATGCAAGCCACAGGCGTTCAAAGGTGGGGGTTCAAGGTGGGGGTCACCTCCCCTCTGAGGTTTGCGGTGAGGACCAAATGCGGAAATGGACACGAGGCCCGAGGCCAGCATTGTGGAAGGCCGGTTAGAGCATGCACTTTGGACCATTGTGGCTACTTAACGTCTCAGTGACCTTCTCTGTAAAATGGGGATAATAAATAAGTATGGCGCCTGACATATACTAATGTTTGCAACACGGTTCAGGAGACACCAGAGACTGGAGAACTTGGCCTTTAACGTGGTAGGTGTGAAAACATTTGAATGAATGAATGAATGAATGAATGGGTCCTCGGGTTGCCTCGGTCTGCCCCAGGCGGCCCGCTAAGCCCCATGTCTGTGAAATGAATCCCCAGCTCTCGGGGTCAGCTTCATCTCAGCGTGTGGGTGTGGGTGGTGGGGAGGTGCTGAGCAGCTCAGCAGAGGCGAGGCCCAGGCCGAGTTTGTGGGTGTCATCCCGGGAGGGTCTTGCTCGGCCTCCCCAACCCCCATGCTGCTCGGCTCCTCAGTGGGCGGGGGAACCAGCGGGCTTAGCTGTGCCCGGGCCGATCTCGAGAGGACAAGGCCCGCAGCTAGCATTCGAGGAGCCCACCCCCGGGTCCGCAGCGTGGGGCACGGGCGCCCTCTTATCCCCGAAAGGTCGATCTGGGCCTCCCCAGGCTAGAGTGGGGGTGGGGTGCCGATGCACCTTCGGATACTGTGGTCCCCCAGCCCTTCCAGCCGCGGTCGCGCACATCCGAAGGAATTTGGGGCCAGGGGCATTGCGGGCAGAGAGGACAGAGAAACGGAGCCCTCTCGGCAGGCGACGTGGGAGAGGAGCGCCCTAAAAAGTGGAAAGCGAGCGTTGCCGAGGCTGCTGGCCCCTTTAAGAGGCCCGGCTGGCTCTGCGGCGGTTCCAGCTAACCCGGTCCCTGGTGCAGCTCTGCGGTCCGGGTCCCCCAGCAGAGAATCGGCACCCGGCGGGGAGGCAGGACCAGACGCAGGAGAGGGCGTGGCCCCGCCGGGGAGCTGGGCGGAGTCTATGCTGCGGAGAAAGCGGGAGAACCCGGAGGTGGGCGGAGCCGAGGGTCTGTGGGTGGGGCCCGGCGCTGCGGGCCTCGTGGGGCGGAGCCTCGGGCTCGGGGAACGCCGCAGAGGGAGGAGGGGTGGGCGGGGCCGCGGCGGGGGCGGGGCCAGTGTCTGCAGTGGGCGGGGCCCGCCGCAGAAGGGGCAGTGCCGGCCGAGAGTCCTCTGCGTGCGGCTGCCGCGGCCCCTCCACAGCGTCTCTGACAGCCCGGGCGGTGAGACCCGCGACCCTTCTGGCCCCGCGCAGATACCGCGGCCTCCACCGCGTCCCGAGGAGCGGCCGAGTGCCCTCTCTCGCCTCGGCGCCCGCATCCGGGGCCATCCGTCCTGCCGTCTCTGCGGAGGCCGCATCTGGCGCGCATCTGGAACCGCCCGGCCGGCCGCGCTGGAGCCCGCGCCCACCCTGGCCCGGCCGCGCCGGGAGCCCTGCCCGGAGCTGGAGCCGCACCTGGAGCCGCGGGCCCGGGGCCCTGAGCCGCGCAGCCGGCGCATGGTGAACTCGCTGCTGTTCGGGGAGATGGCCTTGGCCTTCGGCTGCCCGCCGGGCGGCGGCGGCGGGGGCTGCCCTGGCGGGGGCGGCGGCGGCGGCGGGGCAGGGCCGGGTCCGTCGCCGGTGACGGCGGCGCTGCGGGACGACCTGGGCTCCAACATCCACCTCTTGAAGGGGCTCAACGTGCGCTTCCGCTGCTTCCTGGCTAAGGTGCACGAGCTGGAGCGGCGCAACCGGCTGCTGGAGAAGCAGCTGGAGCAGCAGCAGAGCGAGCGCGAGCGGCGGCTGCGCTACAAGACCTTCTCCCGCGAGCAGGCCGTGCAGACCGGGCCCGAGTTGCTGCGGCCCCCGGCGCCCGGCGGCGGGCACGGCCTCAGCAGTGGCGCGGCGGCCGGCGCCAACGCCAATGCCGTGGCCCTGGGCGGCCTGCCCCCCGGCGGCGGCTCGCACCCGCAGCACTACGGCCGCCTGCCCGGGACCATCTGGAGCTACACGCAGGTGCGGCGCACGGGCGGCGGCGGCGTGGAGACCGTGCAGGGCCCCGGCGTGTCGTGGGTGCACCCCGACGGCGTGGGCGTGCAGATCGACACCATCACGCCGGAGATCCGCGCGCTCTACAACGTGCTGGCCAAGGTGAAGCGCGAGCGCGACGAGTATAAGCGGAGGTGAGTGGCCGCCCCTCCCCCGCCGCCCTGGGACGGGGCGCCCAGGTCCAGGCTGCCGCGGAATGCGTATGCGGGACGGGGGCCGGGCGGGCAGCTGGTACTGGCAGGTGGGCTGGAAGCTGTGTTTGCAGAGCGTCTTACGTACGCCAGGAAGGCCCAGTTATCTAGATCCCAGGATGGGGGCGGGCGCTGGCTACCGTGGGGGCCACCTCGATGCTGTCACTGGTGAGGCACATTGTTTTCTAGGTGACATAATAACTGTCTGTGTTTTATGCGATCTCATTTAATTCTCAGCACAATACAGCGTATTGTGTAAGGCAGTCTTATCCTCATCTCGCAGATGAGGAAACCGAGGTGCAGAAATGCTAAGTGATTTGCCTAAGGTGGCTTGGCGAGTAAGTGGTGAAACCGGGATTTCAACCAGAGATTTTAACCACTCCTGGCTAGTCTGTCTCCTAGCATAAGTATTTTTACCAAGGAAGTAGGAAATATGCTCCCCTCCCTCAACATATGAAAAGAAAAACTCTAACCAACCCACTGCCTTTTTATTTCTTGAATTAAATGAGATCACGTTTTTGAAAATGGATGGATCTGCCCCTACCCCCTGGGGCCAGTGTCTGCCGTCTTGCTCCAGCTCTGTAAGGTCCAGCTTGCTGGGTTGGATAACCACAACTACAACAGACTGCTCACAAGCTTTTATAAAATGCCTCCTTTCATCCCTCTTCTCCCCACTCCCTGAGTCTCATGGTTTATTGAGCCCTAACAAACTCAGCCTTAAAAGCCCCCAGGAGAAGATAATGTTGGGCTGGAGACTGGACATTGAATGGACTGAGACCACAATCTCTGGCTAGAACTGGGGTCCAGACTCTGCAAGACTGGCCAGTGCATTCCTGCCTAGCCCAGATTCCCCAGCTGGGAAACTGTCATTGCTTCCTGTCTGCAGTCTGGCCGACAATACTGTCTGCTTGGCTTTCCGATAAGAGGAGAGGGGTCTCCTATCCTCCTCCTCTTCCCATAAGAGAAGAAGGGTCTGTCTTTGGCATCTCAGGCCTGGCTGGGGAAGGGGCCCTCTGGCCCTGGCAATCGCTGTTCCAGGCACAGGCAGCCTTCCATTCGGAGCTATTGGCTCTGAACTCCAGGGCTTGGAGGATGTACTGAGAAGGACCCTTCCTTCCATCTCTAAAGGTCTGTCCAGGGAGCTGGGCATAGGTCTCCTTCCGTATTCTCCCATTGGACAGGCTAGCAACTGGGTAGGATTCAAATGCCAGCCTTATACCTGCTGGTGAGATTATCAAATCACTTGAAAGCCTGTTTGCTCATCAGAGAAATGGGAATAATAAAATCTGCCCACAGTTGCTCGAGGAGACAGCAGGATGGTGATGCTCTTTGGGAGGTATAAAGTAATCATGCTGGTGTTATTAAAGATGATAGGCACTTTGTCAAGCTAGCAGGGAGTAGAAATGCTGAGAGTCCTCAAGCTCTCTCATGTGGCGCCTAGCTTCCTGGGGGTAGGTCTTACACTCCACTGGGAGACGGGCTTCTCTCCTGGGTTACCTGTTTCTCTGGAGGACTTGAGAATGGCCCGCCTGGTGCCTTGCCACAGGGAGGCCACCTCGCCGCCCCTCATGGTCAATGTCATTGGGGCAGGCTAGGGAAGCAGGCACTTGCTCTCAATGGTGAAACTGGGGAGGGATGGGCCGGGCCCTCCTGTCTGCCACTGTTGATTGTGTTGTCATGCCTCAGGCTTGTGTTGTGTTTGTTTTATTGTGTGTGTGCTTTTTGGACCTGGCTACTAAGGTGATGGAAAAACCGTGCCCAGTCTTGGAGGGAGATGGGTTGGCATTGAGCAACGATCTATTCAAGTTGCACCCAGGGCGTGGGGTGTGATGTCAGCTTCTGGCGCTGGCCTGGAATGAGACGGTGCTGCTGAGACAGGTGGAGTGCGGGCGTCTCTCTTCCCGCCCTTCTGGGATGCGTGCACACCTTGTCTTCCATTTATTTTCTGAAGTTAACTCAAGACTCATGTTGGATTTTTCCAAAGCAGGTATATTCCTTTCCTGGGGCCTCAGTTTCCCCGTCTGTGAAGTGAGGTTGAGGGGGGGCTAGAATTGCGGTCCTTGAAACCCCAGGCTTTCTTAGAGATGCTTTAGGGTTTCCTTGAATATCTAATAAAAATGATCATTTAAAAGAACATTAAGACGTTAATACAGTGATAAAAATGTGCTCACCCACCTTTAAGTTCTTAATATTAACTCACTGGGTTCTACTAACATGCTAACTTGTTAGTAGTATGTTTTGGGTATCCCTAAGAATTTTCTTTGGGGAGGAGGGCAGACATTTGATAAACATTTTTTAAAAAGTTGAAAAACCACTGGGCTAGATGATCTCAAAGGGTCTTCCCAGCCTTGGCAATATATAAATCTGAGTTTGAGCTCCCAGCCCGCTTCTGATCCCCTGGCCATAAGAGAAGTCACCGTCTAAGGGATGAGACCCAGGTGTCTGCCTGGACTGTTGTGGCCATGAAGGGCTTTAAATCATCCCAGGATATCTATTACAGAACTCCAAGCAATGATGCCCAGAAGGAGCCTAACCCAGAAGGGAAAGGTTCCAGGGTTTCCCCTGGTCCACCTGGAGGAAGCTGCAGCTCCAGAGACCCCCACTTGCTTCCCCAAAGGACAACTTAGGCTGCGAGGCTCAGCGATCTTCAAGCCGGACGCTTGTTGAGTTCCACCTCCATGATTTCTGGCCACATCCATGTACTACCGCCTGTGCTATTACGTACATAAAATATTTTAACAACTTCATTGAGGTACAACTTGCATATCACAAAAACTGCCCATTTTAAGTGTACAAGTCAAGATGAGTAAATTCACAGAGTTGTGCAGTCATTACCACAATCCCGTTTTAGGGCATTGCATCAGCCCCCAAAAAGATCCTTCATGTCCATTTACAGAAAATTCCAATTCCAAGCCCAGCCCAGGTAATCACTGACCTGCTCTGTCTCTAGAAACTAGCCTTTTCCGGACATTTCATAGAAATAGAAACATACACTCTGCAGTCTTTTGTGTTTGGCTTTTTTCACTTAGAGAATTTTTTTTGAAGTTCATCCATGTTGTAGCATGTATTTGTAGGCTGTTCCTTTTTATAGCTAAAAATATTCCTCTGTAGTATAGACCATATTGTGTTTATGAATCCACCCAGGTATTCAATGTATTTTAAATTTAAAACGTCAACTGTATACCACCGAGCATCATCTCATGTGCCATCAGTGGTCCACAAACTGTGCTTTGGAAACACCAACCCAAACCAGAGCCCCTGGCCTGGGGTGCCTGGGTCCTGGCCCCAGTCACCACTGCTTTGGTTTTCCCTTGGCCCAACCAGGTCTTTACCACGTGGGAAATGTGGTCGCTGAAGCCGCAATGAGGACGAGGTTGTCAAGCGTTGATTTGGAAACCAAAACAAACATCTCTACTCTGTCACCACCCAGGGCCACTAAAATATCTTGTTCTGACTTTGCAAGCTGGGGGCTTTTCCCTGGAGTTTCCCACTGAGTTTATCTGAACTCAACAGTGGAGAGTTCCCTGAGTTGGCATCCAGGAGACCTGGACTTTAGGTCCAGCTCTGCCACTAGGTGCTGTGTGACCTCTGGCCAACCGCTGCCCTCTCTGGGCCTCAGCTCCTCCACCTTTACATGCAGGAGTTCCTGTGGGTGATCTCTCTCAGCTTGCTCTCTACTTTAGGTCAGTGACTCCAAGAGGCCCGTGTTGTGGCTGATCTTTCTGCCTCTGGAGACCACACTGTGTTCGCTGAAGCCTTTCTCTGTTCTGGGCTTCCCCTTCCCTCTCCTATCTCTGCCCCAGATAACTAGGGTCCAGGCTCCAGGCATAGGCAGCGCTGGCCATCCCATCCCCAGGCTTAACCGGTTCAACCGTTTCCCCTGTCTTCATTGGCTCCAAGGAAGGATGCAGGAAATCTTTAAGGCTGTCAAGAAAAAGGTCCCTCCAGCCTGGCAGCTGTCACAAAGTTGCCATGGACTGGTAGGGGAAGTTGCCCTGGGCTGGTAGAGGAAGTTGCCCGGCGCTAGTAGTGCTGGCCTAGCTGCCTATCAGACAGGGCGACTCTTTTGGGGGCCTGGTGTCCCTGTCCAGAAGCCTGTCCAGCCATCCTGGCCCCCTCAGGCCTAGTGTGATTTGCAGCTGGCTGGCCTGGTTCCCTCCCGTGCGAGTGGCTGACTGTATGCGCCCCCCAGTTGAAGTCAGCCTGGAGGCTAGGTTTCTTTTTTTCCTGGTGCCTGGGGTGATTGGAGGGTGGTTTGGGAGCCTGGAGAGACCACTGTGATCATTCAGCCTGGTGGCTTTCAGGTGGGCTTTTTAGAGCCCTGGAGTCCATAGCAGGGCGCCTTGGGAGACTCGGGGGACAGTGGGAGGCTGAGTACCTGAGATTTGACCCATGTTGCCCACCATAGCTCCATGCCTCTCTGACTCCCAGACTGTCCAAAAAGTATTCCATTTTAAAAAGGGTTCTGCTGTTTTAAAAAGAAAGAAACCGCTGATTCAGCTGAGTACTTTCATTTTAAAGGTGGGGAAACCAAGGCCCAGAGGGGGGCTGGCCCTCAGTGCTGAGCTGGACAGACCTTCCATCTGCCGTGCAGAGCTGGCCTCCCCGCCTCGACATGATGCCCGCATCATCCGCCAGCAGTCGAGGCTTTGTTATGTTCTTTCCACCTTTTTGTATGTCTGTTTTAAACATTTTTTTAAAAAGCCACTTTCTGGGATGGGAGGGACTTTTGTCACAGCTATTTCTGACTGTGAGCCGGAAGGGGCTGGGCTGTCGGCTGGAATGGAGGACTCCAAAAAGGGATGGTGGGTGGGTCAGCTGGAGTGTCCCCCGCCCATTCCCGTCACACCCCAGGGGGGCCCTCAAGCAGGTGGGTGCTGGCCCCTGAATGTCCCGAAGCCCGAAGGCTGCCCTGGAATAGAAAGCTGAGGGCTTTGTTCCCTGCCACTCCCATTGACACTTTCGTTATTTCTGAAGCTGGCACCGATACGGATTCTTTATTTCTGATTTTCCAGTGAGGCAGCCTTCGATGGTGGAAAAGGGTTTTGCATCCTGGCTCTGCCACTGTCTGTGTGAACATGGGCAAGTGGCTTGGCCTCTCTGAGCTGCCCGTGGAGCTCCCCGCTTCGTCCTCTGTAAAAGAGGGATCATCTTGTTGCTCTCCCAGGGATTGAGAAGGAACAAATGAGGTCTGGTGTTAAGGTACCTGGGGCTTGGCAGATTTTGGGCATACCTACCTCCACCCCAGCCCAGCCCCCTTCCCCTGGCAAAGTCTGTTCCTTTAATTTACAAGGATTTCTCAGCATGGCCCTGACTGCCTAACAAGTCCATTTCAGGGCATGTCGCCGCTCTCTCTGTCCCATGGAGGCGCCAGAGATGGTGTTGGGGGTGGAGGGAGAACGGCTGCTTCTTTGTCCGGCATCTAAGAAGGCTGTTTGACCTACTCTTAGCAGTTGATTTGTGCCTCCGGAAATCTCTCGCCATCCCCCAGCCCTTTCTCCCAACTTCCTTTAAGAGAAACACACAAACCCCTCCATCTAGCGCCTCGGGTCCCTTGAGAACTATATTACAGAATCCCTTGGCTGGGTTGGCATTCTCACTGGGGACAAATTTGGGAGCGATTCTCAGAGCCTCAAGCTAGAGGGAGGGGAATGAGGTCCCAGAAAAGAAAAGGAAGCAGGGAGACAGCTGACGCTGAAGATTCCTTCTCAGAGGAATGCGAGGCGGGGCTTTGCCTTGGCAAACGAGACCGGATGCGGGTCCCCGGGTCCCCCTTCCCCCCACGTGTATGCACACTCACACTCACACACATGTACGTGCACACACACACATTCACATACACATGCAGATGCACACACCAGACTCTCCGTTCAGTCCTGTGGCCCACGTCCCCACACATGACCGTGTTTGAAGGACACAGAAGGGTAGACCCGGAATTTGAACACGCCCTTTGCTGCAACGAGATGCGTTGCCTTCCAGGAGAATTGATTTAAACTGTGCCATGTGTCAGTGACACCGGAGGCTGTGGGCTTTGCATTTGCAGTCCTGGCTTTTGATCGCATTGAGAGGTGAAGGCCGGCTGGCATTCCATTTATTTCCTATGTCGCGGATGGCTGAAGGCCCGGGACGGGAAGGAGGCAGCCCTGTCATGTCCCTGTGCTCAGGATTAGGGATGTGTTGCTTTTTCCTGACTTTCTGCTGTCAGGCGGTCCTAAGCACCCACCACCTCCCGATCACAGCCCCCCACACCCGGAGTTGTAACTACCTGGCATGTGTCTGCCCCTGCATCGACTGGAAGCTCTGTGGGGGCCGGCTCCAACTCTGGCTTCGTCTCCCACTGGCAGATCCCAGCCAGGACCTGGCCAAGGTCCATGCTGAGTAAATACTCATGCAGCAGGGAGGCCTCTGTGTCTGGCTGCTGTGAGCTAGTAGGCCTCCAGGAGGATGGGACAGAAGACGGACAACACAGACCACGTCCAGGGATTCGGCTGTTTGTGGAGGGGAGGGCCTGCACTTGGAATCAGAAGGCCTGGGCCAAAGTTCAAAGTTTGAATGAACCCCCAAGCCTGGCAGTGCAGGGTGCTGGGGCCCCAGGGCAGGAGTTAAAAGCCGAGTGAGCTTGGGCTAGTCACTGCCTCTCGAGCCTCAGTTTCTTCATCTGTAAAACAGGGATGCTAAGCTCTGTGTCCGGAGGTTGTGGAAGAAGTAGACAGGCTCGCCTAGCTACAGCACAGGGCGTGTAAACAGTCAAGTTCAGAATGATTTCACAGGGCAGAGAGTGGGTGCCCTACAGAGGCAGATCTGTGCTGGCCCTGTGGGGTGGGCAGAGGTTGAGAACCAAGCTGGAAACTGGGAGAGGGTGTCCCGTGCCCTTTGCTGGCAGCATCTGTGAGTTGCACAGCCCTTTGAGCATTGCCAGACTGTGAGGTGTTTAGAAAATTCCAGGCCAGATGGGAGACTGCTGAAGGTTTGTGATGTTGCCGCCGCCTGCCCACGAGGGGAGTGTCCTCCCACCCACACTGGGCACCGGGTGCTTGGCTTCCTGAGCAGGATGTGGTTTCTCATTCTAGACCTGGTACAAGAGAGGGTAGTTTTCACCCAACAGTAAACCTGGCAAATGGCAATGCCTGGTTCTCTGGAGGGTCCGTGGAGCCCAGGTCCTGGTCTGGGTTTGCCTGCGATGTGGTCTGAGCTTCACTATGCCCACGTGGGAATGGGGACAGTGGGAAGGTGGGCTTGCCCAGCAACCCTATGAAGACTACGTTCTCTCCGTAATGTAGCACAACTCTGTGCATGCCATTTAATCTCTTGCACCTCAGTTTGTCGCTCTGTACAATGGGGGTGTGGTTTCTTACGAGTTCTGCTTCCCAGGGTTGAGGTAAAAGTCAATTAAAACAGTGCAGTAGGAAAACATTTTGCAAAAGGATTTGAAAATAAATCAATATGGCTTAATGCTTCCGTTTATTGAGCACCTACTTTGTGCTAGGTGCAGTGATGACTTCTTTAAATATGTGATAATTATGGGAGCAGTCCCAAGCAGTGGGAAGTGATTATGCTCATTTTACAAATGAGAGGTTCAGAGAGGTGAAGACTTCTGTCCCAGATCTCGCCACGAGTCCGTCTGGGTCTCTGGACCCCAAGGTCAGTGCTCCTCCCAGGAGGTGGCCTTGTCCCATGCCCCTGGAGGTTGCCAAAGGCTGGCTCAGGGTGAGGAGGCAGGCAGGAGGCACGGGGTCTCCCCAGCACCTGTCACAATATTGCCATGGCGGGTGGCAGAATAGGAGGCGGCTGCTGCGCTGGGAAGACTCCCTGCTGTCACTTTACAGAAATTATTTCTTGAGAAGCAAATGAATCACTGGCAGTAGCAGGCAGATGAGGCTCCCGGGCCACTGTAGCAGGCCTGTCCAGGCCCCTGCTCTTTGGAGAAGGTCTCAATGGGGGCTGGCAGGGCTGGCAGGGGAGGAGTTGGGGAACAGGGAACACATATTATGACCCGTCTGGTGATTTCCACGCGGTCTCATTTAAACCCGGTGGTGGCACTGCAGGATGGAAACCGAGGCTCAGAGAGGAGAAGTAACTTGGAAGTCAGGCTCCAGATCCAACCTTTATCCTGTGCTGTACCCAGAAAGGGCCATGCCCATTGCAAGCCGCTTTCCTGCTGTGAGCCTCAGTTTTCATTTCTGTGAAATGTTGCCTAGCAAAGCTGGGGCAGGCTGTGGATCTCAGGCTCTCAATTAATGCTCCATTTATCTTGCCCGGCCCCTGAGTGTCCTCAGGGCACAGCCAGCCCGAGGTTCTCATCCACGGATCACCAGCAGCAGAGGGCCTCGGGCATTCTGGTGGCTGTTTGGGAGCTCGCCTCCGCCCTGGGCTGGAGTATCCCTAGCTTTTGCTTTCAGTCAGTGCTGTGAACTTTGCCAGGGAACAGGGAAGTTGTTACAATCGTTTGGTGCCTCTTGTTGGGGAAGATGAGACTGCTGGGTGTGGATGTCTGAGAAGCCAAAGTGGTGGTGGTTTCAGAACAGTGGCTGAGTACCCACCGTGGGCCAGGCCCCTGCCCTCGAGAACTCAGAATCTGGGGACATAGACAAATGTGTCATGCCATGTGGCAGCATCATGTGACAACAGCATGTGCCCAGTACCTTCTCCAACAGTGCTTGCGGATAGTAGGAACACAATAAACATGTGTTAGTTAATGAATTTCATTAAATATTTATACAACATTTACTCTTTGCCAGGCTTCATTCAAAGTGGTTTGCAAACATTTAATTCATGGAAGCTGTAATAACCCTGTGAGTTGGGTGCTATCATTAGCCCATTTTAGAGATGCTAAAACTGAGCCACAGAGGCAGGGGAGGGAACTGGGCCAAGACACCTTGAAAGTGGCAAGCCCAGGCCCGGTGCGGTAGCTCATGCCTGTAATCCCAGCACTTTAGGAGGCCGAGGCGGGTAGATCATGAGGTCAGGAGTTCAAGACCAGCCTGGCCAAGATGGTGAAACCCTGTCTCTACAAAAAAAATACAAAAAAATTAGCCGGGCATGGTGGCAGGCACCTGTAATCCCAGCTACTCAGGAAGCTGAGGCAGGAGAATGGCTTGAACTTGGAGGGCGGAGGTTGCAGTGAACCGAGATCTCGCCACTGCACTCCAGCCTGGGCAACAGAGTGAGCCTCCATCTCAAAAAAAAAAAAAAAAAAAAAAAGAAAGTGGCAAGCCCAGATCTGACCGCAGGAAGTCAGGTTCCAGTTCCAACCTTAAACCTGTGTAGTACCAGAAAGGGCCGTGCCCATTGCAAGTAGCTTCCCTGCTTGAGCCTCAGTTTTCACTTCTATGAAATGGAAGTAATAAATCTGACCTCATGAGGCTGTTTGGAGGGCTGTCTAAAATGATACCCGTGGAGCACTTTGTAAACTGGCAAGCGGAGTGCCTGTGGGGACCAAATCCTTGGGAGCCCTGAGCTCTACCCACACTGCGGTTTCTTTTCCAACTTCCCATGCAGGCTGAAGCTCCTTGAAGCTCCATGCAATGCCTTGTCCTCTCTTGCCTTTACATTCACACCTCCCCTAGATCCTGGGACGGGAGGTTGGACAGAAACCTGCTATGTTAGACAGCTTAGAGCAGAACGTTTGTGTGGAACCCAAAAGCTGGGAAGAGAGGAACCTGCAGGGTTTATTTCTGCTGCCTGTCAGCTCTGAGACCTTGGGAGAGTCACTGTGCCTCTCTGAGCCTCCGTTTCTTATCTGGAAATGGGAATGGTCATGTTGCGTGGATGGCAAGTGCGATGATGGTGCTCCGATTCTGGCTGCTGTGGCAAAAATCACTAAATAAGGCTGGGGGTTCTGGGGAGAGGAGCTGGGCAGGAATCGAATGGCGTTTGGGCCTTGGCCCTGGCAGAAGCCCCTCCATGTGGCTGTGCTGGGGGTGGGGCCTGTCTCTGAGCTGTCTCTGAGATGCTTGCTCAGCGCCCTCTGGCCTGCGTGCTCCGACTCTGGGATGTGTGTTCACACAGACCCTGCTCATCTGCTGCTCGATGGAGAGAGGCCCCTGCAGCGGAGACAGCGCCTTCCGCCCTCTTAATTGGCTATCTTTATTACTTGAGTTATTTAAGACGGTTCTTGGCTCACTGCCGCCTGTTTGCTGTCTTGGGGGAGGGGAAGAGCTACTGGTCTAAGTAGATCTTGTGAAGTTCCCCAGCAGACAGGCTCCTCTCTGTATAGGGTCAGCCCATCTTCCCAGGGCCCGTTGGCACCCCCGTTTTGCTCCTGGCCCACTGTGGCAATAGGCAGAAGGCCATCTTGGGGGGTGGTAGTGGAAGATTTAGGGAAAGCTTGTTGCAAAGTCACGACCAGAGAGTCTCGGAGGTCTGGGTGGGACACTGGTGAGACCCTAGGGTGCCCAAAACCCAGGGATTCTGGAAGGTACCCAAGCCAGTTCAGGGCCAGTCAAGAAAGGTTTCCTGGAGGTGACATCACCTAGGTTGTATCTGGAAGGTTCAGTAAGAGTGGAAGAGAAGGAGAGAGGGTGTTCCAGATAGAGAGGACAGCGTGTACAAGGGCCTGGAGTTGAGCTGCTGTGCAGAACAGTGTGGAGCTGCTCCTGGTGCCCGGGCTTGAGCCTGGCACTGCCAGAACTTGGCCTGTCCTGTGCTTGCTTCTGCCCTGTCTTGTCCCCTCCTCCCTCCTCATGCTCTTCTTGGCTCTCATTTTCTGTCTTGCTCTCCTTTCCTCTCCCTCTTTCCTTTCTTTCTTGTTTTGATCTCTACTCTTTATGGCTGGCTGTCTCACTCCCATCCTGCTTGGGGCAGGGCTCTGAGGGACATCCTGTCCCCCATCCCTCAGCCAGATGCTGGGCCCTGGTGAGTGGCTCTTACTGCTGGGGCCTTGTGAGCCCATGAGTGTGCATGTATGTACGTGTGTGTGTGTATACACGCATGTGAGCACAGGTCTGGAGCCTCTGGATTTGGAGCCCTTAAGGTCATTGCCCTGCCTGTGGCGGGCCCTGCAGACCCCTTGTACTATGGGGCTGGGGGTAGGGTCTTGACATCATGGTGGGGGGCAAGGGAGGCTGCCTAGTGAGAGAGAAGCTGCTGGTTTGGAGCTCAATGCTGGCCACTGGAGACCCTCAGCCTCCCCATCCCCCATTATGGTCCAGGGCCTAGGATTAGACACAGGTCAGGAATTGGGGCTGGGGGGAGGCTTGGCTGCTCCCCTTACCTCTCCCCGCCCCGGCCCCCGATCGCCCTGGCTGTCCCTTCTCCCTCACACCTATGACTTCCTCTCATCCCCTGGATGCCCCAGAGGACTTGAGGTACCCTTCAAGCTCATCTCATCCATCCTCCTGCTTCCAGGCAAAATCATTCCCTGACATCCCAACCAAGTTAGCTATGCCTTCTGTCTTTCAAAGCGACCTTCAGCCATTCTGTAGTGGTTTCTATTTCTCTCTCACCCCTATTTGCATATTCACGACCATTTTATAGATGAGAAAACTGAGGCCCAGCGAAGGAGAGCAGCTACCTTGAGGTCACGCAACAGAGCAGGGGCCGGAACCCAGGTATTTTCACCCTGTCCCCTCCACAGGACTCCCCTTAAACCCTTGAGCTCAGGGCTCCCTCTGGGGGCTGCTGGCACTTTCAGGAGGGGTTTGGAAAACTCCCAGAGGACAGAGCACTTGGAGCAGAGAAGCAACTGCCAAAGGCATGACTCGGAGCCTGTACAGTGGGGTCCGCAGAGACAGGGCCCTGCTCCTTGACCAGACATCTGGGTCCCTGGCGCTGTGGATGAAGCTCCCTCCACCTACAAAAGAGACATCTGAGGTTGCCCGTGGGGTTTGTCTCCATGTCGCAAAAGGCACTTCTCCAGCCTCTGGCCTGGTTTTGAGGTCTTGGGATGCTGACACTGATCTGCCTTCCCGATCTGCCAGCCCTGTGCTTGGCTGCACCATTTCTCTGTGCCTCGTTTTCCTTTTGTATGGGATGGGATGGGATGATGATACCCACAGGGTGTTGGTGAGCCTGATTCAGGAAAGGCTGCCCTGTCTCCTTATCTCTGGGTTAAGCCCTGGAGCTGGAAGTCTTGAGAACTTTGCCTAGAATGTTGGAGTTGGGTGAACCGTAGAGGCTGATCTTTCATTCCCCATAAAGACCATGTTTCCAGGGCTCCTTGTCTGGGCATGTGGCCTGACAAATAGTACTTTGGGATTTGCACATGTTTTTATATGGAAAGACATTTTTTTTAAGACAGGGTCTTGCTCTGTTGCCCTGCCTGGAGTGCTGTTGAATAGTCACTGCTTGCTGCATCCTTCAACTCCTTAGGCACAAGCAATCCTCCTGCCTCAGCCTCCCGAGGAGCTAGGACTTCAGACACACACCACTACACCCAGCTAATTTTTTTTTAAAAAAAATAATTTTTGTTGAGATAGGGGTCTCGCTATGTTGCCGGGGCTGGTCTTGAACTCCTGGCCTCAAGTGATCCTCCTGCCTTGGCCTCCCAAAGTACTGGGCTTACAGATGTGAGCCACCATGGCTGGCTGAGTCTTAATATTACATTGCTGTTGGTTTCACACTTACCTTTAAATAAAATATTAGCATTTAAAACATCAGGACTTAAATTTGCCGGGTGTGGTGGCACGAGCCTGTAATCCCAGCTACTTGGGAGGCAGAGGCAGGAGAATGGCTTGAACCCGCAAGGTGGAGGTTGCAGTGAGCCAAGATCTTGCCACTGCACTCCAGCCTAGGCGACAGAATGAGACTCCATCTCAAAAAAAAAAAAAAAAGAAATAATATAAAATAAAACATCAGGACTTATCTGACTTGGAGACTGATGGCCTGAACTCAGCAAGCTACTGCTGGCAGAGCCAGAATTAACCTGATGCCAAGTTGAGGGACCTCCAACTTGTAGGTTATTCCTTTTCTGAGCCCTAAGACATAATTCAATTGTGGGGAATTAAAAAGAAATTGCTTCATTTGCTCTTGCTTCATGTTTCCTGTTGGCCCGTGATTTGGGCCTTCTCTTGGGTGGGAACTCTGGCTCTGAGGTGACACTGCTTGGAGTTGTGTTACTGCTCTGAGCCTCAGTTCTCTCATCTGTAAAATGGGGATGACAATCTTAGCTGATGAGGTTGCGAGGATTTGATGTTGCCTGCAGAGTGCTACGTGTGCTGCTGGCCCCTCAGCTGTTACCGCTCCCTCCCTCCTGCCCTGGCCTGGCTCCCACCAGCCCCCAGGCCCCAATTTGTACACATAAAAATGTGAACAAATGCCAAAGTACTATTTGTCAGGCCACATCCCCAGACAAGGAGCTCTGGAAACATAGTCTTTGTGGGGGAATGAAGGATCAGCCTCTATGGTTCACCCAACTCCAACATTCTAGGCAAAGTTCTCAAGCCTTCCAGCTCCAGGGCTTACCCCGGAGATAAGGAGACAGGGCAGCCTTTCCTGGGTCAGGCTCACCAACACCCTGTGGTTCTCATCATCCCATCCCATCTCATACAAAAGGAAAACGCGGCACAGTGAGAACTGCCTGCTCCCTCCCGCTTTGGCTGAAGACTGGCCTTTTGTGTTCTGAGCACTTCCTCTCCCCGGTAGAGCCGCCTGGGCAGCCAGGAGGAGGTCATGTCCCCTCTCTTCTCGAGCAGACTGTCAGCACAGGGTGACTGGGAAGGCAAGACCTGGCATTCAAGGCTGTGTCCAGTGCAGGGTGTCACCTGGAGCCTGTGGCTCCTAGGAGGGCCTGATGGAATGTGGACATGAATGGGGGAATCTTTCCCTGTCCCCGCCTCCCTGGGGATCATGGACTGTCTCAGCCTCCCCGTTGTGTGGATTTGGAAGCAGCCTCAGGGGGTCACATTGCTGGTCTGAGGTCTCACTATGAGGTAGGGCCAGGATCAGGATTCGAACCTGCCTCTTGCAGACTGTTACCCAAAGTACTCTCTGCCACACATGCAAGCTCATTCTGGCAGGCTGAGATAGGGGAATTGGAAGACAGGGGTTCAAGCCCTGCCCTGCACCCAGCAGCAGCAAGGCAGCCGTTCCTCCTTCTGGGCCCCTGTAGGCGATGGGTAGATGGTTTCTGTGTTTTCATAGACTGCCTTGCGAGGCCTTGTGGGTGAAGGGCCCAATCCCAGACCTTGGCAGAGGAGTGACGTTGAAGGCTGGCTTGGCATTGTTTTTCCAGAGTTGACGTCAGGGCAGCTGGTTTAGGGTTTCATCTGTGAGACAAAGGCTGCTTTGTAGCTTCTGCCCGGTTTAAGTCCAAGCACATCACCCCCCAAGGTGGGAAACGAGGTGGAAGGGATTGCAGGGCCCAAACAGAGAAGCCTTGGGAGGCTTGGCTTGCGCTCAGCCCCTCCAAGAAGGGAGCCAAGATCTCATAATTCTATCGCCATCTTGCTCACTTCCCGAGAGCACTCTGTATGCCCACTGCAGTGTTTGAAGCCGCACACATGTGTTCTCTGGAACATCGCACCACTCCAGCAAGGTGGCTGTGGGTATGTCCATTGTACAGATGAGAAAACTTTGAGTCGTGCCAGGTGAAATGACTTGTTCCTTGTCAAAGCTAGAGAGTGGCAGAGTGGGCATGTGACCTCAGGTCTCTTTGGCTTCCAAGATCACCACTGGGTTCCACCACTAGAGTCTCGTGTTGCACCCAGCTTTGGAAAGGGAATTCTAAAAGCCAAGATACCCTGGAATCAGACTGGAGCAGATAAACCTCATGGCTTTTGGGGGGGACTTGGAGCTTTCTCTTGTCAGGATTCAGAGTTGGGTCACTGCTTTGAGCACGTGTTGCGTATTTGTATCTGCATGTTTAGGTATTTGCACGTGTACGTACAAGTTAAAGAAGGGATTTGGATACTGGAGGGTCTGTATCACTGGCAAGTGATTCCAGGGAGGCCTTGTGGGCAGGTGTAAAGAGTCATCCCAGGGGACACCTAGGACCTTCTGCTCTTCTTTGCCAGGATTACCCTACTTGATCATTTATTCTTCCATCCGTCTGTCCGTCCGTCTGTCCATCCATCCATCCATCCATCCATCCATCCATCCATCCATCCATCCGTTTGTCCATCAGTCTGTCCATCCATCCATCCTTTTCTGGGCCACGGTGCTCAGTCCCTATGCTTGGGCTTTGGGGATGATGCTGCATGAACTGGGAGCTTGCAGAATCTGGGGAGCTTGCCAAGGAACTGTTAAATCAGGGCTGGAAGAGTCCTTAGAGATTGGTTAGATATTTTCTCTCCCTTTTGTCAGAGAGGGGCAGTGACTTGCCCAAAGTTGCACGGGGCGAGTGGCGGAGCTAGGGCTCAAAGTCAGGTCTGTAGGTCCCAGCCCCAAGTTTCTGCTTCTCTGCTGTGTCAACAGACAGCTCTCACTCCTGGCCGGCAGCTCCCTTACCTAGCTCTTCCTCCTCTGCTGTTTTCATGGGTTCTTGGCTTTTCGGGAGTTGCTGGCAGCCTCTGTTCTGAGAGACTTCTAGAGGTGTCTACTGAACCAGCATGCAGGCCCCAGACTGGGGCCAAGCTTGGCTATGCTCTGCCCTGAGATGACACCCTCCCGCATCTGGAACAGCAGGTTGGCTGAGCCCCTGAGGGGAGAGACTCCAAGGCCCTGTTTACTTTACCCTACTGGACACTGGCTTCTTTTCCTCCAAGGGTCTCCAGAGGTCATCTGTTTCTTCCTCATCTTGGGGCTAGGACCACTGCAAATCCTGCCTGAAGATCTTACTGCCTAGGAAGCACATTCCAGAACCCTTTCTGAGACGGGCCGTCCAGTGTCCTTGTGGCCTTTTCCATTGGGAAGTGCTTCCTGGTGTCTAACCATGATCCCTACTGCTTCATTTCCCCCTTTGTTTAGCCTTTCACAGAGGAGGAAAGTGGTTGGATATCAATTGCCTGGTGGTTCTCAAGGCAGCACCATTACCTTGCTGCGTACCCTCTTCCCACCTACAATCTCCCTTTTCTCCACTTCCTGAGAGACTGTGCCTTGACTCAGATACAAGTTGAGACACAATCTTCATGCAGAAAAGATCTGGCTGGTCCCTGTAGTATCCCACAAGTTTCTGGGAGGGAGGCACATTCCTTTTCTAGGAGTCAGGGAGCCCTCTGAGCTAGAAGTGGCCTGAATCCCAGGGATCACTCTGGTCCCATCTTTCCTGATGGGGAAACTGAGGCCCAGAGAGGTTGAGCAACATGTCCACAGCCATTCAGCCAGCCTGTCCGAGTTGGGTGTCCTCCTTCATGTGGCAATGCTGTTTCTATGGTTTGGGCAGGGGGCTTGATAAAGGTGGCCGGTGGCCTCTGGCCTGGTGGTCCCTGCCGCAGACAGATGTCCTGGAAGCAGAACAGCCAGCCCCATGTGGCCCCAGAGGGCTCCCTGGCCTGGAATCAGTGCTCCTGCCTGCTGGTTCCCTGGGTTGGCAGATTCCTGGCGGTCCTGGGCTGCCCTCAGGGCCAAGCAGTGGCATCTTCTCCGCTCCCACCCACCCTGTGGCTTCCTCTCTCCCACAGCCTCCCAGCCTCCCTTTTGGCCCTAGAGGTGCCAGGGAGGCCCCTCACCTCCAAGGGGAGAGGACAGGAGGCCTGAGTGTACACCAGTAATTAAGTTGCCAGGGGGACACTAGCTCCTGTGGCTGGGGCAAGAAGGGGTTAAGCAGTGTTGCCTGCCAGGGCTGGACTCCCAGCTGGTGTCCCGGCCCCTGGGGCCAACCAGGCCATCTGGCCTGACAGATACCACACTGTGTCCCATCTGTCCCAAGGCAAAATCACCAGGAGGAGACTGCCTACTGCCTTTGAGGGCCTGCAGGGGTGGGCGTGGCCCCTGCTGTCTGTCCCTGGGGGGGCCAGGCCAGTTGGGAGGGGCTCCCCACTGGGCAGGCTGTCCTCTGGCCACCCTCCCTGCAGGGTCTCCCTAGGTGTGAGGTGGGGGAGTCTCAGTCCCTGGTGTGGTCGGAGCTTCCTTGTGCAGAAGGTCTAGAGAGGTGCAGGGATGGGCTCAAGGCCACACAGTAAGTCAGCACAGGCAGAGCTGGGCTTCCCCCGAGGCCTGCTGGTGGTTACGCCCAGTGGCTCCAGCTCACAAGCTCATTCATCCAGTCAGTAGCGGTTGAGGGCCTACGGTGTGCTGGGCACTTGGTCACTCTGGATACCAGACAGTTCCCCAGTCCCAGCATGGGAGAGGGAACCCAGAGACAGAGCCTCTAAGGGGAAGCATGGTGCAGCTCAGCCAAGCCCGGGGCCCTGGACGCTGTAGCAGCCCTCCCAGTAGCCTCCCTCCCAGCCTTCCCAGCAGCTGGAGGTGGGGCTTGCTCACTAGGAGGAGCAAAATAATGTTAGGCACTGGTGTTTATGATCTTATGGGGTCTTCACCATCCAGGGAGGTGTAGGTACTATTGTTATTCCCATTTTACAGATGAGGAAACTGAGGCTCAGAGAGGTAAAGTCGCTTTAGCAGATCACCAGCTGCGGAGCGGCTGAGTTGGACGCCCATCCCAGCTCTGCCTGACGTCAAAGTGTTTTGGGATAAGGGACAGGGGGTGGCTGCAAGTGGCCTCCCACTTTGCCCCAAGCCGGCTTCTTCTCGCCATGCTGGCCTGGACCATCTCCTTTTTGGCTTTTTGCTGAGTCCGGGCTGGGAATCCTGTGGCTGGAGGCCCAAATCTCAGGGGGAAGAGAGCCCCCGCTGGGTTGGAGTTGAGAAGAGAGGCTGTGCTGGTGCCGGTTCTTTTGCATAGCTGGGGCTAGTGACCCTCTGCATCCCATGTGTGGGGTGCTCGGCAGCATCTGGGCAGCGCTTGAGGGATTCCCCTCGGAGGACCCTCCATCCATCTGAGAGCCCCAAGGCTCTGCCCTCCAGTGGCGGCTGGGCCAGGCCGTTGGGAGCCTCCATAATGCTGTTATGATTATGTGACCCTGGATGAGTCACTGCACCTTGGTGAGCCTCACTTTCCCCATCAGCAGAATGAGGGTGAGGAGATGACAAGCTCCAATAAAGATGCCCTCCGAGGGGCTTTGCAGTCATGGAAGGGTCCCTGGGAGGCTTTGCTCCATTTCATTCCCCGTCTCATCTTAAGGGGACTGACTTCTCTCTCCAGCCCCATGGGTAGTTGGGAGGAACACTCTTGTTTGTGTGTTGTGGGGTTGCCTGGTGCTCAGCCTCCACACTCCCCAGTGGTTCACATCAGGTGGAATGCCAGGGCCCGCCATGATGACAGGAGCCTGGGATTAAGTAATGAGTCCATCCCCTTGAGCTGTATTTAGTCACTAATTCTTTTGGTGCGCGTGTTTGCAGTCTAATTACCTGCCTCAGCTGCGCTGGAACCTGCCCCTTCCCAGCTAGTGAGGACCATGACGGCTCTGCACAGACAGGTGACCGTTGCCCTGTTACCCATCCTTGGTTGCACAAGCCCCACGTGTCTTTTGTTAGCTGGGTCCTTGTCACTCTTCCCTCCTCCCTCCTGGAGATTGCTCTGGAATGTTCTCCTCCCCTTACCAGCGGCATGGCAGGCAGCTCCTAGTCTCTGGAGTTGCACTGAGCCAGCCGCTGCCTGTGTGGGACCTTGGACATATCACCTCCCACCTCTGAGCTTCAGACTTCTCATTTATGAATGACCTGGACTTCCCCGTCTGATGTCCTAGGATCCTGTGTTCTGTGCTTTTTTTTTTTTTTTGCCCCACCTGCAGCCAGTTTGTGTTTGCACATCCTCATTGAATCCAGGTGGGGTCATTCTCACCCATTTTACAGGTGAGGAGACTGAGCCCTAGAGAAGTGACTTGGCTTAAGGCCGCAGAGCCTTGCTTTCAACCCAGGTGTGCTGACTCTTGCCTGGTGGGCTCTGCCTGGCTGCCAGCCCCTCATTTTTTCAGGCTGCACATGATAAGGAAAATCTGGGCTCCCAGGCAGCTGGCTCCAGGGCGGCTGCGGGTGAGTAAGTATGCGGGAGATTACCCTGAGGTGCCCTACATTTACCTCCAGGGCAGCACAGTCACTTGGAATAAACAGTGGAGAGACCCAAAGTACATATTAGGTTTCCAAAATAGCCTTGGGAGTTGCTGTTTTTCTCAAAGCTGTAAACATAACCCTGGGCCTGGGGGCCCCCACACTCTCCTGGGCACAGACCCCCTGGGCCTCCTGCCTCTTGACCTGAGTGCCCAAAGACCTGCTGCCCAGACCCCCTGCTGGCTTCCACTTAAGCAAGAGCCAGCAGACACGGGATGGGGATGGGGTGGAGGGTCCATGGGGGCTTGGCCAGGCCTAGGCAGAAAGACAATGTCCCAGGGATGGAGAGCCGTGGACACCAACTTTCCCATCATCTGCTCCATGCAAGGTAGGCCCAGGCTTCAAGGTGCAGAGAAGAGAGTAGCAGAGTTGGCCTGGACTGTGGAGGTTGTTTGGGGAAACTGAGGCTGGCAGGGAGGGGCTGGCAGGGTGGCCATATCTAAGGCGACAGGGCTGCATTGGCCTAGATTGGATCTCCTAGAGAAGGCCCTGGAGATGACACTTACTGGGCCTTTTTAATCCAGTGAATATTTATGGGGCCTCCTATGTGCCAGGCTCTGTGCTGGGCACTGGAGTTGCAGCTGTGACCCATAGATGGGCCTGATCTTGAAAGAGATGAGGGCCGGGCGCAGTGGCTCACACCTGTAATGCCAGCACTTTGGGAGTCTGAGGCGAGAGGATCGCTTCAGCCCAGGAGTTTGAGACCAATCTGGGCAACATAGTGAGACCTTGTCTCTACAAAAAAAAAAAAAAAAAAAAAAATAGAAAAATTAGCCAGGTGTGGTGGCATGCACCTATAATCCCAGCTACTTGGGAGGCTAAGGCAGGAGGATCCCTTGAGCCTAGGAGGTCGAGAGAGCTGTTGTTGCACCCCTGTGCTCCAGCCTGGGCACACAGCGAGATCTTATCTCAAAAAAAAAAAAAAAGACAGAAGGAGAGAGAGAAAAGAAAGATGAGTTAAGCAGAGGAGACCAGCAGGGGATCAGTAACCTCAATACCAAGTGGCCCAGAGCCTTTGTAGTACAGAATAGTGGCACTTGACCCTGACCAAGGAGTCGGGTCAGCCTCCTGGAGGGGGTTATAAGCTGGGTCCTGAAGTCACATTAGGTAAGGGAGAGAGAGAGGAAAAGGACAAAGGGGAAGGGGTGTAGAACCTGTTGGGCAGAGAATGCAGCCCATGCCTTGGAGGTGTGATGGAGCTTGGCACAGGGGGGCTGGAGGTGTTGGGGGGATGCTATTCAGCCTTACTCTACCCTAGCACGTGGCCTTGTTCTCCAGGGCTTATCACCCACCAGGTGAGACCTCTGTCTACCCTTTTGGAGAAGAAGTGTCTGGCCCATTTCTCAGATGAGCCTGATCTCCCAACCCTTGCTCCTTGGGGAAGGTAGAGGGCCACTGGTGAGGAAGAACAGTATTTATAGCGGAGTCTTCCTGCACCCAACGGAGGCAATCTTTTGACTAATGAGGAAACTAAGGCACAAAACATTGTTGCTGCAGGAACTGGAGTAAGGGCCCAGGACCCTGCTTTTCCTTGGCTCCCTGGGCAACTGGGAGCCTGTGGTAGAGAATGCCAGAGAGCGTTCTCTCTAACACGTCACACATGGCTCTTTAGAGGGGCACAAAAGCCTTTTCTACATCTGCACACTTGATCCAGAAACCCAATCTGGGTATCCCAGAGGGATACCTGGACACATATGCAAATGTGAGGGTACAAAGGTGTTCACAGTCTTGTTTAGATTGCAAGGACTCTGCGCTGACAGTGGAGGACCCATCAAACCAGTGGCCCTGCAGCCACCTGCTGTGTCACCTGCTCGGGAGGATGCTGCCGTATATTGTTAGGTGGAAAAAATGCATTTGAAAACCACATATGGTCGCATCCCGTTGTCGTTAAAAACCAATCTCATAAGAAGAGAAAATCTCATAAGAAAAAGTTGGGAAGGATATAGAGCCGATGTTAACCGTAATTCTCTCAGGGAGGGGGATTCATTTGGGTGGGTTTTACATTGGTTTTATCTGGCTTACCTGTTTTTTTCTTTTTCTATTTCTTGTGTAATCATTGTAAACACTCATGCAATTTAAAGCAAGGGGAAAACGAGCAGGTATTTTTGTCTTTTAAAAATTTAAGTGGTTTTGATGTTTTGAGCAGGTATACATGACATCATTCAAAATTAAAAAGATACAGAAGGAGGGGAAATTCTGACACACACTACAACATGGATGAACCTTGAGGATATTATGCTAAATGAAATCAGCCAGGCTGGGCGCGGTGGCTCACACCTGTCATCTCAATACTTTGGGAGGCCAAGGTGGGAGAATTGCTTGAGCCCGGGAGTTCGAGACCTGCTGGACAGCATGGTGAAACCCCGTCTCTACAAAAAATAATTTTTAAAAATTAACTGGGCATGGTGGCTCATGCCTATAGTCCCAGCTGCTCCAGAGGCTGAGGCAGGGGGATTGCTTGAGCCCAGGAGGTGGAGGTGCAGTGAGTTGTGTGATTGTACCACTGCACTCCAGCCTGGGCAACAGAGTGAGACGCTGTCTCAAAAAAAAAAAAAAAAAAAAAAAAAAAGAAATAAGAGAAATAAGCTATTCACAGAAGGACAGATACTATCTGATTCTATTTATACAAAGTACCCAGAAGTCGAATCCACAGAGACAGAAAGTAGAAGGGTGGTTGCCAGGGGCTGCGGGGAGAGGGGTACGGGGTACTACTGCTTAACAGGCACAGTTGCAGTTTTGCAAGATGAAAGAGTTCTGGAGATGGATGGAGGTGATGGTTGCACAGCAGTGTGAATGCACTTAATGCCACTTTAAAAATGGTTAAGATGGTAAATTCTATGTTATATGGTTTATTTATTTATTTATTTTTGAGACAGGGTCTTGCTCTGTCACCCAGGCTGGAGTGCAGTGGCGCGATCTTGGCTCACTGCAGCCTTGAGGTCCTGGGCTCAAGCAATCCTCCCACCTCAGCCTCCTGAGTATCTGGGACTATAAGCGGTGCCACCACACCTGGCTAAATTTTTTGTAGAGATGGGGTTTCGCCATGTTGCCCAGGCTGGTCTGGAACTCCTGGGCTCAAGTGATCCACCTGCCCAAAGTGCTGGGATTACAGGCGTGAGCCAACGTGCCTGGCCTGTTATGTGTATTAAGAAAAGATACAGAGGGGACAGAGTGACAGTTCTACCCCATAATCCCCAGCCACCCACGTCGCTGCTGAAGGGAACCAATGTTTTCAGTGTGATGGTGGATGCTTGGTTTCCTTTCTCGTGCCCCTGGGTACAAATGGGCAGTGGCAACTTGGATGGGGCCCCTTCACTCATGGACGGAGGAAGATGCCCCCTGTCCCAGGGTGAGCATTCCCTTCCATCCCTGCTTGCCTGGCACAAGGCAGCCAGTGCCCAGAACTTCCCACACTTCTTGGGTTGAAGGGATTGAGGATCTGAGGCTGGAGGAGCCAGAGGTCCTGCCCCAGCGAGAGCTCCGGAACTCGCCTCCCCTCTCTCAGCAGGAAGAGAATACTCTTAATCCACTTCTGTGTCCCCAGCACTTGGCTCCTGGGTGAGCACTTGGGAAATGTTTGTTGATTCTGTCCTGGGGGAAGAAGATGAAATGTAAGCCGGCAGCCAGCCTGAGTTGGGCTGTGGGAGATATTCTGGGCTGCCGGGCCTGGGTGTCTCCAGAAACACCCAACGCTCGCTCATGAAGGCTCTCTTGGTGCCAGGTCTTGTGCCAGGCACTGGGATATGGTGCCGAATTGGATACAAGGGAGATGGGACGTCCTCCTGTGTGTCTTGACTGTCGGTGTGTTGCCGAGCATTGGTAGCAGAGGGGGCTGGTTTGGCACCCAGGTACCCTGCCTCATCCCCGGGGCCTTGGCCAGTCTACACAGAGGAACTGCCCTCCAGCTGAGTTACCCATTTTCCATGGCAGGGAGGACAGCAGAAAGGCCGTGTTCCATGACTAATCATAGCTTCCATCTATTGAGCATTTACTGGGAGCTGGGCACTGTGCTAAGTGTGAAACGTGTGTTGACTCATTTACTACAACAACCTGGCAAGGCAGGTTCTTCCGTTAGCCCCTGCTCAAAGCTAGGGGACCTGGAGCACAGGCGGTCAAGTGCTTGGCTCAAGGCACACAGCTCAGAAGTGCAGATCCTCTGCCCCTCCTGGCATCCCAGTCTGGGGGGGTCAGGGGTGGGATCTCTGCAGTCAGTGCCTGGGGGCTGGATGACAAGCTGCAGCCTCCCCGCAACCCCACGATTTCCATAGCGCAGTGGAGCCAGAAAGAAACAGACCATTTTACAGACCAGAGAAACAAGGTTGCTGCTCTCTCAGACCCTGGAGCCAGTGACAGGGAAGGCGGAGAAGGGACGAGAGCCTCCGTTTATTCGGAGCCTGTGTATACCCTCCTTTTCACAAACTGTAGCAGCCTCCAGAGGCAGGGGGGATCTTTATGATGACCAAATGGGGAGGCTTAGGGATTGGAAATCACTTGCCCGGGAGCGTGTGGTTGGTACCACTGGGATTTGAGCCTTGTTCCGTCCAGCTCCAGAGCTTGGTGCCTTTCTTGCTCACCACGTGCCGGCCCCAGCTCGTTGCCTTGGCAGTGGAGGTGGTGGTGTGCCGAGGCCTTCCTGCACCCTGGGTTCTCTGGCGCTGAGAAATAAGTGCATGGGCAAAGTGGCTTTGTTTCCAGGTCAGTGACTGTGACCCCATGTGTACACATCTGTGCATCTGACCGTGGCACTGTAACCCAGGGGCATTTTCTAAGTGATGTGCTGGGGGTGTGGGCAGGGAGTGGGGCTTATGGAGCCGACGAGACACCATCAGACCATAGAGAGGCTGCCCAGGCTTGGGAGCCATATGGACCTGGATTTGACCTTGAACAGGTCATTTCACCTGAGTGTGTATAGTGGGAATGATAACATCCGGCTCACAGAACTGTGGTGAGAATTAGAGATGGTGGGTGTCGAATGATTAGCACCTAATCAGCATTTTACAATAAATGCAAATTCTTCCCTTCTCGTAGAAGAGTGGAGTCTGATGAGAGAGACAGGGAAGTGAAAATTCACAGCCCCTGGATGCCAGTGCTGAAGGAGTGGGTTCAGGACTGGGAACATCAGAATGGGCATAGTGACTTATTCTGGGGAAGTCATGAAAAGCTCCCTGGAGGAGGTGATGAAGGGGTACCCAAGCCTGGAAGAGGCTGGCAGTGGTACTCCAGAAACTTCATGGTGGCCTGCAATTTGTGATGCAGATTTTTCCTCACTGTGAGATGCTGGTTGAGACAATTTCCTCCTTGGAGTGGCCTGGTTTTTTAGGGGTAGGGGGAGTGCCCACGTGGGTGTAGTTTCTAGACAGAAGCAGTGGGAGGAGGGCACTGCCAAGCATGCTGCTTGGGATTATGGGTGTCCACAGAGCTGCAGTTTCTCCAAAGGTGTTTTTTGTTTGTTTTTGAGACAGGGTCACACTCTGTCACCCAGGATGGAGTGCAGTGGCCCGATCCTAGCTCACTGCAACCTTGAACTACTAGGCTCGAGGGATCCTCCAACCTCAGCCTCCCAAGTAGCTAGGACTACAGGTGCGTGCCACCATGCCTGGCTAATTTTTAAAATTTTTTGTAGGGATGGGATCTCACTATGTTGTTCAGGCTGGTGTTGAACTCTTGGCTTCAAATGATCCTCCTGCCTCAGCCTCCCAAAGTGTTGGGATTACAGCCGTGAGCCACCATGTTCAGCCTCTCCAAAGTTGTGTTCAATAAGCAATACCAAGTGGCAGTGATGCTGGGAACCTGGGCAAATATAGACAGGAGGGAATTGGACAGGTGGCTCAGAAAACAACTGAAACCTCAGATTGGCATTGGGGCAGGTGACCCGGGGGTTCCCTGGGCCCCATGTTGCCCAAAAGAGCCAGCAGCTGGCCTGGGTGAATACCCTTAAATGCCTTGTGTGTGTTGGAAGGTGCCATGAGACCAGCTGGGCTCTCCTGCCCTGGACCCACCTGCTGCCACAGTGGCCCTTGTTAGGACAGACCTCAAAGGGCTGGGCATGCCCATTAGTTCCTGGGGTATGTCTATGGGGTGTGGACGGTGAAAGCAGGGTTTTCAGTGGGTTTTGCTGACGGGGGTTCTGTGGCATTAGCATCTGGCTTCTTTCCTTCTGCCACCCTGTCCCCTTGTACTGCCAGCCACCCAGCCAGGTGAAGGCGGCATCTAGCTCATTACCATGACTATCAACAACATGACTGTTATGCAGACAGTGGCTCTGGGGTCAGATGGCCTTGGGTTCAAGTCTGACCCCCTCACTTACGATGTGGTCCAAGAGCATTCTCCCAGCCTCTCCCCACCTCTCTGAGCAGCTGTCATTGGGAGGTCGTGAGGATGAGAATGACACCAATGGCATGCTCATGGTAGACCAGGCACTATTCTGGGCACTTTTCATATGCTATTCCATGGAATGTGGGCAAAACCCCTCGGAGCTGGGAGGTATTACCAAGGCCCAGAGAGGGTCATAGCTTGCTCAAGGTCACAGAACTGCAAGATGGATAGCTGGGATTTGATCCCAGGACCCTCTGGCTCCAGAGTCCCTGCTCCCCTCTCCACTACACACACTGGTTGGAACGCAAGGACAGACGTCTCAGCTGGCTTTTGAGCATTTGTGGTTTGTCAGGCGGCTTTGTGGTCAGTGTAGGATGCTTGTCCAGGGATCATGGCAGTTGTTTTCTGGCTTGGCTGGGTGGGCCCTTAGAATTCATCCAGTTTGACATCATTGCATTACTGATGGGAAAGTGGTGCCAGAGGAGGGGAAGGGACTTGCCCAAGATCACGGAGCCAGCTGGGGCAGAGGCAGGACTAGCTTCAGGACTTCCAGCACAAGGCTGCTGCCTCGTTGCCTGAAGGGGTGTGTGGCTGGGGGGCCGGAGCCCAGTTAGGGGCTTGCCGTTCTTTCCCACTCACCTCTCACCTCTCAAGTCACCACAGAGAGCCCAGAGACCAGCTAGCTGCCCTGCAAAGGGCCCCTTGGTCACCAGGAAACAAGTGGGGGGAATGTCAGGTGAGGGGAATGTCAGGTGGGGGAATGTGATGACCCCACACAGCTCATCCCCCCTGCCTGGCGATGGGACTCACTTTCACCTCCTTGCTGGGAAAACTCCTTAGCAACTCGATTTCAGTGCTGCCTCTCTCAGTTGCTCCTGGGTCCCCAGAGGGCCAGGACAGGTTGGAGAAGTGTCCTTGCTGAGGGGGCCCAGACTTTCACCCACCCATTTGCCCCTCCCTCCCCCAGGTGGGTAGAGCCAGGGTGACACCGGTGAAGAGCATGGGCATCATCTGTCAAGGGCATCTGTGTGCCTCACTTGAGCCTGCTCTCCTGATCCATCCATGAGCCCTACAAGGTGGGATTGCTATCCCCGTTTTACAGAAGTGGAGACTGAGGCTCCTAGCTTGAGGTAGGCAGGCCCTCAGGGGATCACACAGAGGCAGATGACTTTCTCAGCTCACCTGCCCTTCCTTCTGCAGAATTGCCTACAACCTTTGACTCTCTAAGGCCTGCGGGGCTCGTGGCAAGCCCTCAGGAACTGTTTATGGAATGAATGAGTGAGGGGCAAACGAATGAATGCATGCTCCCACACCACGCTGCTGCTTCTTCTGGGAGAGGGCACCCAGCGGGTGTCTGCTGTTGAGTGCAGGCTGTCAGAGCCCTGATGGCACCCAGGATAACTCCGGATGGAGTTGGTATCCCTGAGGCTGTCACCACTTCTGGACTCCAAGGAAGGGCCCTATCCAGGGCGTGCAAATAACACTGCAAATGTCATGTCCCGAGGGATTTTGGGAGATCCTATTATAGATGGGGAGACTGAGGCCCAGGGCAGAGAAGGGACTTGCTCAGGGTCATGCAGCAAATTAGCAACGCAGCCAGGGCATGAACCAGGACCTCCTGCTTCCTAGCCCAGTACCCGCTCTTCCACAGGGAACTTCCCTATGGATGTCAGACCCCTCTGCCTCTCCCCTGAGCAGCCTTGCGCAGACCTGGCACGCTGGGATCCCTGGAGGAGGCTGCCGTTTCTGGTTGAAAGCAGCTCTGTGTGTCTGTGTGGGTGGCAGTGTTCTGGGGGCACACTTGATTAGTGGCTTCTCAAACCTGGCCCCCATCCTCAGTGTACAGCCTGTGCTCCGTCCTGCTCAGGCCATTACTGCCCGCCTGTAATGGAATCGGCTGCCCTGGTTAAGTGTTCACATTAAATTAATACCTCCTCCGTGGAGACAATCAGTTGGCATTTAATTTGTCTTTCCTTCCGAGAGCTGGAGAGTACAGCTGGGCAGCCGGGCTCTGATGGGCACGTCTGCGAGACAGCCTTTCCTTGGGATCAGGGGCTCCATGGAGATGGGAGCCGGGAGGCCACAAGAGGTGGTGCCAGGTGTCCCCAGGGGGTGGGGCTTGGGGCAGGCAGGAGGGGGCCTCTTTCATGCGCAGGGGCTAGAGCTTATTGGCTGTCCATTTTCGGGGGAGAAGACGGGCTTGCAGCGTGCCATGTGGGAGAGAAAGTCAGGAGGCAAGGCATCCACACGTGCATCAGTGCTGAGCTGCCCAGGAGGTGAGCCCTGTGTTAGCAGTGGTGGCGGGATTTCCACATTGTATTCCCAGCCCTGCCCCACTCCCACTCCCTTATCGGATTTTCTTTCTGCCTTAAATATGAATTGTCTGTGGTATTCGAGGGGGATGGTGTGCAAGGAGGAAGTTGACTCGGTTGTGGTTTTCAGGTTCTCTAGAAGGGCTCAGAAGAAGCAAGTGGAGGCTGTTGGGGGCACGCAGCCCTGACCCCACCGGGGAGCCTGCTCTGGTCTTCCCAATCCATCAGCTTCTGCAAAACTGCATTTGCAGAAAGGGCTCCCCTGGTCTACCACTGTGCCTGCAGCCTCTTCTTCCAGCTCAGATATTATTTTAGAGAAGAACAGCTGATTGGGGCCCCCAGGCTTGGCCCTGGCTCTGCTGTGAGGATGCCTCTGTGCATCTGCAGGTGGGCAAACACAGGAGCTAGGGCAGCGCAGAGCTGAGGGGCATTGGCTGGGCCAAATCTGTGGTTTGAGCAGCCGGGCTCCAGCACAGCTCCCTGGCCACCTGCATCCAGCCCTGCTGCAGTGGGGTGAGCTCCCCGAGGCCAGGGTGGAGCTGAGAAGGTGCCAGCCCTCCACCCGCCGGGAAGGAAGCTGCTCTCTGCCCCCACCTGCCCTCTGCCAGAGGCCAGGCCCACGCTTGGCCCAGAATGAAGTCTTCCACTGAGGGCTCCAGCCCAGCCTCACCTGAGCTCATTTCCCTTCACCTGAGTGAGTCGGCCTAGGCGTGCCGGCCGCTCGCCTTCCCGCAAGGTGTGGGCCATTTCCACACCTCCCTCCCAACTCTGGAGGTGGGAGGCAGCCATGCGCTGTGCCGTTGACGTGGAGCTGCTGAACACCCATGGTCTGCTGGATGCCAGGGTGCTTTTACCCACACCATCCCCTTCCTGTAGTTCTCACAGCCACCTTCGAAAGGGGGTGGCTGGTTTCCCAACTCACAGAGGGGACAACTGAGGCCCAGAGAGGGTAACTGACTTGCTCAAGATCACGCAACTGGGAAGTGATGGGGCAGGATTTGAACCCGTCTCTTGCTGCCCTGGTGTCTTGGGATGCTCACTCCAGGAGCCCCAGGTTCGTCCCTGGAGGGCTTCATTGTTTTGCTGGGCCTGCACCTACTTTCCTCCTGAGCGGGAGCCTCGAGCCTCTTTTTCTGACTGCACAGGAAGTGAAAAATCTGTGAGTCAGCCCCTCTGCTGGTGACTTCAGCTTGGGTTTCCGCCCCTCTGTAGGGCAGGCTTGTCGGTCCCTTTCCTGCGGGTCTGTGTGTCATCTTGAGCTGACGGGAGAGGGGGAGGCACTGGCCCTGAGTGGGGTGGGGGTGGGGACTGGCATAGAATCTGCCCACCCCTTTTCCCCAGAGGCCAGCAGAGACTTCTCGTCCCTCACGTGGTTCCAGTGGTGGCTCCTCAGGAATGCGGAGAGACCACATCTGGCTGGGGTGGTGCTGCCACCTCTCCCTCCTGGCCACCAGCCTCAGAGAGTGCTTGTTCTGCTAAGATGGTGGCCGAGGCCCCTGATCTCAGCTGCTTTGTGCTTTTGTGGAGTCATTTCCTCTCCCTGCACTCTTTGTTCTGACATCCCTGCCTCCCCTCCCTGGCCCAGGGCTGTGGGAAGTGGGAAAGGGAAGGTTTCTCCTTCTCCTGCCTGCTTCCTGCCCTGGCCATCCCTCCCCCTGGCCTGGCCTGGCCTCTCCCAGGAGAGGCTCTGGAGCCGAATGGATGAAGCTGAGTGCAGGGGCTATGCTGGGAATTTGCCTCCTGTGAGCCCCTGGGCTGGGATGTTCAGTCTAAGGATGCTCTGGGGGAAAGGAGTTCTGTCTGGAGGCGAGGGCCATCAGGGCACTGAGGAGTAAGTGCAGCTTTGGATCCATCCATCCATCCATCCATCCATCCATCCATCTATCCATCCAACCAATCCATCCATCCATCCATCCATCCATCCATCCATCCATCCATCCAACCAATCCATCCATCCATCCATCCATCCATCCATCCATCCATCCATCCATCCAACCAATCCATCCATCCATCCATCCATCCATCCATCCATCCATCCAACCAATCCATCCATCCATCCATCCAACCATCCATCCATCCATCCATCCATCCAACCAATCCATCCAATCCATCCATCCATCCATCCATCCATCCATCCATCCAACCAATCCATCCATCCATCCATCCATCCATCCATCCATCCATCCATCCAACCAATCCATCCATCCATCCAACCAATCCATCCATCCATCCATCCATCCAACCAATCCATTCGATAAATGTCTGACTCCTTAGCAAGTGCCCAGCCAGTTTGAGGTGCAGGGAATACAGTAGCAAGCACAGGAATGATCATCATAACCAGCTCTCTGGGCCTGCAGAAGGACTGGACCCCCGACCTGAGACCCGGCTCCTGTGCCTGTTTTCCCACCTAGACCAGGGAACTTGCCTCTTGCTTCCTCTTTGCCCCATCTCTGTGCCTGAGACCTCCCGAGATGAGTGCCAGCCCCCGGTGGCGGTGGGGAAGGTGGAAGTGGCGGTGACCACACAATGGAGCCATCACTGGCCCTGGCGTCACGGGACTGGCTCCTTTGGGCAAGAGCTGTGTGCCGTGGGATCCCACAACCATGCCACTGGGGAAGAGGAGATCCTGGGGCCTCCACTGCTTTAAGCTGTGGGGCAAACAATGGAAGTGGATGTGAGGCTTGGGGAAGAGATGACATTTGAGACAAGCCTGGGAGAATGGCTAGGGTTTCAGGAGGCTGAGGAGGAGAGAGGAAGAGGGGAAATGAGTTACCTGACCTCTGAGCCTCATCTGCAACATGGGGATGATCCCCAGGGGAGGGCTCAGCGGGATTTTATAGAGGGAAGTATGAGTGCCTAATGTGGTGGATACCACCGAGAAGGTAATCAATAAATGTCCCTTCTCTCATCCAGCGCTAGAAAAGAGAAGGATTTGGAAGTTTTATGAGCTGTTGGGTCAGGGTGGGCAGGGGCGGCTCTCAGTGATTCAGGCCGTGTCAGCCGTGGCTGGAGTTGTCCATAGGCCCTGGGTCTTCATTTTCCCACTTGTAAAGTGGGGACAGGGTAGCTTTCCAGCCCAGTGCATGTGCAGTATGATGGAGGGGATCTATGGAAAGGCCCTGCAGAGAGCACTGGGATGTGTTTGTCACCTCATTTTCTGCCAGTGGCAGGCCTGTCAATATTCTGGAGTCTTCAAAAGACCAGAAAGGACCCCTCCCCAGCCAACAGAACAGCTCCTGGACTGCTGAGGGAGACTCGAGGAAAATGGCCTTTGTGCCCCAAAAGTGATCTCTTTATGTTCACTCCAGCCTTCCTTCCCCTTTCAGCCTTAAAGGGCCCGGGCGTAGGATTCTGTCAGACCTGGGTTCGAATCCAGGCGCTGCCACTTCCTAGGCAGTCTTTGGGCAAGTCGTTTGCTCAGCCATGGGCTGGGGCTGGGAGAGGGGATGGTGCAGGCTGAAAGGAAACGATGTCTGCAAACCGCTGATCCAAAGTAGGTGCACCCGCCTCTTGGTGGCAGACAGCGCCTGGCCTGTCCCTTCCTGCTGCCCTCTTTGTTTCTGTTGGTCCCTCTGCCTGAAACACCCTCCCCACTGAAACCTTACTCTTGTGGGCAGACCCAGGGAAGAGGGAGGGTTGTGCTTGGGAAGCTGGTGTTGAAATCTCTGTGCCAGCAACTTGGTTCACCAGTTCTCAGTTAAGCTGAGTGCTCCCTGGCTCTGGGTGGGTGGGCAGGGAATACAGGTGTCTGGAGTGCCGTAAGAAACACATCGCCCACCTGGCCCTTCATGCCAGTCCTCAGAACGATCCAAGGACAGAGCTTTTCTGCATTGTCAACACTGGAGCTGGCGGAGCCAGGTTTTCTCCACCACCGCCGGGAGGGATGTCAGGGCGGGCGACAGGCTCTTCAGTCAAGCCAGCTGCTGTCCACATGCGGGGTCTGTCCTCAACCTCCTGGGAGCAGGCCAGCCGGCTGCCTCCCCCGTCTGGCTTTGGAAATAAAAAGCCCGTGAAATCATTTGTGCAAGCTCATCCTGGGGGTGTGGTATGTGCAGTCAGGAAACACGATTGAGATGTGGGGTTGGGAGGGTGCAGAACTCGGGGCAGGAAGGGAGAGGTGAGGTGGAGGGGCTGGGTTGTGTGGTCTTCAGAGCCTGGCCACTCAGTGCCATCTGTAGCCCAGCATCACTGGGGAGCTGTCTGCCCCAGCCCTCGCCTGCGGAACCAGCTTCTGCATGTTAATAAGATGCCCAGGTGATTGGTATGCACATTCTAGGCTGAGACACGCTGCTTTAGAGACTGGACTAGCTTTGAGTCCCAGCTCCCTGCTTGCTAGCTCTGTGACCTTAGACAAGTTACTTTACCTCTTTGAACCTCAGCTCCCTCATCTGCAAGATGGGCTTAGTTAGAAATTCTTTCCCCAAGAGGGTTAATAATTCACATTCAAGCCAGTGATGTGTGTGTCCAAGGCAGTGAGCCGGGTGTGTGGGGCCCAGAACGTACCCCCCAGTTAATGGTTGCTGGTGCTGTTGCTGTTATTGTGTCTGGAAAGCCAAAGATCTGGGCTCCTGCTGTCACCTTGGGTGGATTTGGGGCAAGTCTCATTCCCTCTCTGGTCCTCGTTTTCTCCGTCTGTACAAGGGTTCTATTGGCCCCTGCCTCGCCTTCCTCATGAGATGGTTGCTCAAAGGAGAAGTGAGGGGTGCTGGGCCTCATTCCCAAGGGCCCCTCTGGGGAATGGGGAGTGTCGGGGAGGTGCCCCTGGGTGCCTGCGTCCAAGGGAGGAGCCATGCCATTCTTTATTTTTTGTGCCCTTCTTTGCTACTCCTGCTCTTGCTGCAAGATGTGTTAGCAGGTTCGCTCTAGACTCCAGGCTGCAGCCAGAGGCTTGCCGGGGCTCGCCCTTGCACCTGCCCTGCTCAGCGGCTTTGGAATTGAGTCGCCTTCCCCGCTCTGAGCCGTGTGGCCAGGAGAGATGATTCAGCTCGGGACCTGTGCTCCAGCCTTTACCCCCCAGAGAAGCCCCAGATGCCCTGTGCTCCTGGGCAGGGATGGGGTGGCCTGGGAACTTTCCCCCCATTGTGATTCCTGTCCCCAACATGGGGCCTGCTCTTCTCGGTGAGAGGTGGCCTGGGACCGGACTCCTAGCCTTGCTCCTGATATACTGGGTGATGTGGGCAAATGGCTTGACCACTCGGCTTCAGTTGCCCCATCTGTACAATGAGGGGAGGTTCAGTGAGATGGTCCTGGCTGGATTAGGCCCTTAGGTTCCCTCCCTGCCCCCTCTTAGCTTTCTCTGTGCCCTCCAGCCCTGGAAGGAATCCCAGCCCCTTGCCCTCCAGGTCCGGGCCCGGGAGCCCACGCAGATCTCAGCCTAACAGCTAATGCTGGGGCTGGGAAAGGCTGGAGAAAAGGGGGAGAGGGAGAGAGTGTGTGTCCTCCAGGAGCCCTGGCTGGGCTGTCTCCTGTGGGAGAGAGGAGGAATTTTCCTCTGTGTGTGCAAACAGTATCCGTTTTCTCTTGTTTCCAAAAGCCGGTGACGTAACCGGCTCTCCACCCCTCCCTCCCCTCTGGCCTATTTTTAGCTGGCCCTGACAGCATCCTAAAAGGGTTCCAGACTGCCCTGCTCCGAGGCCATGTAGGGAGGGTAGCAGTGGGGTGAGGAAGGAAAGAAACTCCTCTGTCTGTCCCAGGATGGACAGACATCCGAGGAGGGAAAGAACCTGCCCCCAGCTTCCTCCAGGGAGGGAGGAACTCTGTTGGAGGAGCTGGGTTAGGGCCTTTAGGCTTTGACAGTTCCTGGGTCTATGAGGAGCTCCGCAAGGGGATTCTGAGCAACCAGTCTGGAGCGTCCCCACCTGGGTTTCAGTCCTAGTTCCACACTATCTCACCCTGGCCTTGGGTTCAGCTTGTGCCTCTGGGCCTTGCTTTCTGCACCTGGGGATAATGACGGTGCCTACGTCATAGGTTGTTACGAGGATTGAATTAACTTCATGTAGAACAGTGCCTGGTACAAAGTAAGTCCCAGTGAAGGTGGTTCTGGAATTGGTAATATCATCCAGTCCCAGGGAACTGCTCCCACCCCTTCCTGCAGTTAAGGGCGGGGGTCCACTGAACCCTCCTTTGCCTTCTCCCCTCCCGCCCGCGTTTCCTATTCAGCTTCGGGCAGTACTCGTGTCAAAGTAGTGGTGTGGAAGCCCTTGGAACAACAGGGCTTGGCACATAGTAAACGCTAAATCAGTGGGAACTGTATTTATTGAGTTTTGTTTCAATGTAATAAAACAGCCCCACCTGCTGACTCGCTGTGTGTCTTTGGGTTAGATGTTTATTTAACCTCTCCGAGCCTCAGTTTCCACTTCTGTAAAATGGAATGATAACACCTACGTAGGAGAGATCTGTGTTGGTTTGGGTAGGCTGTCGGGCATCGCAATGCTTAGCACAATAAAAGTTTGTTTCTTGTGGGTGCAAAGAACAGCCTGAGAGTGGAGCTGGCTGCAGCCTGGCTCCTAAGGACTGGCTTTGCTACTGCATCTTGCAGCAACAACAGGAGCAGCAGTGCTTGCACAGCACTTTACAGTTTGCATGCAGGCAGGGTGGTGGTCCCTCCCACCTCTGTCTTCACGAAGTGCTGGGCTCATACCTTAACGTGGCACTTGTCACCACCACCTGATACTCTGGTTATATGTCAGCCTGGCTGTCCTCTCACACCACCTCCCCTAGGCTGGGAGCTCCCAGAGGGCAGGCAGGGATGGATGCCCCAATGCACCTTCCTTGCCCAGCTCAAGATAGTCCCTGGGTGGGTGTTGGGGTTGTGTCTGAGGGCTGGACTGGCACAGGGAACTCACCTTCTGACCACCTGTTCCTCTTGGCTTTTGCAGGTGGGAGGAGGAGCTCGCCAAGCGCATGAACCTTCAGACCATGGTGGACACGCTGCAGGAGGTAAGAGCCCTCCGATATCCCGACCAGGAGAGGCACGCCAGAGAGCCATGTGGCCAAGGGGCACAGTCTTCATGCGGCAAAGCCAGGAAATTCTTGCACAGCCCCTACTCTGTTACCTCCTACCACCTCAGTCTCTCCTTTATGGAGCCAAGAGATCCCTTCCACTTCCTCTGCTTGGAAGCTAGGAATGGACCAGCACAGTGTTGCACAAGAGCTCTGATGCAGGGGTTGAGAAGCCTGGGTCCAGGTCCCGGGGTGCAAGTCCCAGCTGCTGTATGACCTGGGACCAGCGACCCTTCTCACCCGTCACTGTCTCCCCACCTGAGGCTTGGACTAGGTGGTTTGTAAGCCCCCAAGCAAGAAGGGTGCCCTCGGTTGGGGCTGAAGGCCTTGGAGAGGGCAGGTGGGCACGTCGCAGGTGGGCTCCCAGCCTGAGCAGGCTCTCTGTGGTGGGCATTTGGGAACATTCCCCTTGCTGCTCTAGCTGGAATCTCTGCATTCTGGGCTCTGCAACTCCCCCACCTGCGGTGTAACCTGGGCAGCAAACTTCATCTTCTCAGCCTCTATTTTCCTCTCTGACAAGTGGGAGCAAGAGTAGCAACCCCATGAGAAGGCATGAAAAGTTCTTCCAAAAATGTCTAGAAATTGCGTTCTGATACTGAAAGCATTTGTCGTCTAAGACAGTTAGAGACAGATTAAGATAATTGTCAATGCGTAGAAGGAAAAGGTTGAATATCTCCCTTTCTTTTATAATGAAAGGGCTTTTTTCTTTATAAATTTAACGGGTTCATCGTCAAATATGTGGAAACTATAGAAAAGCCCAAAAATAAAAATTATTTCCAGTTCCTCCTTCCACAGTTGAAAAACTGGCGTGTGACCTTCCGATCTTGTCTGTGTGGACACACACCCACGCTCTTCAGACGCATGTTAGGTCGACACACATGACATTGTCATTTTTGAAAGCAGAGATGGCCCAATACTGGCAGTTTCACACGGATTGATCTCATATTTTTAACGTAATAGGATTGCTTGTTAATTAACCTGCTCTTTTAATACCTTCCATGGATTTTCCCACGTAATAGATAACGCTTTGAAAAGTGTTTTAAGCAGTCAACAGTGTTCAGTGGGAAGTCAGGCTGGGATGAGGTCCTTGGTGCCCCTTCCCTGGCTGCAGGTGCCCAGCTGGGGTGGACATCGGGTGCCTAGGGCTCTGGACTCAGGTGTCCAGACCCTCCTATCCCCAGAGGACCCGGCCCCTCTGAAGCCTCCCCATCTCCGTCCCCGCAGGCAGCACAGGAGGCTGATGCCATCCAGGAGGAGATGAATGAGAAGATCGAGCGGCTCAAGGCCGAGCTGGTGGTGTTTAAGGGGCTTATGAGTGACGTAAGTGCCGCCCGCCGCCCCTGGGTGTCATGACCTCCCCCACACCCATCATGCAAAATGCTTCATTCCCTCCGAGGCTCCGGGGCTCGGCTTCTAGTTAGAATCCTGGCTGGCTGTGTTTGACCATGAGGATGACGGATGCATTGGATGCATCGGAGACCAGGCACCCTCCTCCCGCCCCCTCCCCACTTCTGCTTCCCTCGGTCTGAGTAGAGATGCATTAATCTGCCGCTTAACCTATCCCGCCCTCCCCCGGGCTCCCCTGATGGTCTGTGTGTGTTTGCTCCCACTCCTTCCCAGCTCGCCTTGATGAGGGCAGGCCTCGGTGTCTGGGCGTAGCAGGGCGTCTGGCAGGTTGGGCCAGGTGCCGTCTGGTCTGTGCGGGCCTGAGAGACTCGCAGGCCCAGCGGCCTTTGGCAGGGTTGCTCCATGAGGTCAGGAAAGGCCAGTGCGCGTGTCTTTTTGACAATCTGGGGCCCCTCTAAGTATCTGTGGGTGGGGGGAGCTGTTGGCAGCAAAGGGCTCCTTGCTGCTGGGGACCCAGGTCTCCTCCCCTTCAAACAGTGGGCAGTACAGGGGGAGACCCCACCAGAAGGCAGAAGGGGCCAGAACGTGGGTGACTGAGCCTGGCATGGCTCCTGGTGTGGAGGGACGTGAAGCTGGGTGTGGTTGGTAGAAGCCTCCCAGGACCCTAGTTGGAGGCCACTGGGCTCCCTCTCACTTGTGTCCAAGGGGATCAACCCTGTGGTCCTCAGTGACTCCCACTGCCGGCCTTGGGAGGCATCCAGGAGAGAGAGCTGCCTGTGTGGGGGACAGGTGGGGTGTGCCGGTGGGAAAAGAAGGGCTGTCTTTCTCCAGCGGGAGTTGTCTTTTTTCTTCGCTCTAACAAAGTGAACACGGACCCTGTGTCTGCTGGGAGGATGCCTTCCAGCCCTTAGGGAGAGCAGCACACACGGCGTCACACTGGCCCCTGACTCCCAAGGCCCCAACCCCATCCCACCCTGACCAGTGCCGCCGCAGCCCTCCACTCCACGGAAAAGCCCAAGGCACCCTCGGACTCTGGAGGCCTCCCCGCACCACCCCTGCTGACACCTAGGGGTCTCCCCACCTCTCTGCCAAGCCCCCCAGGCTTGCTCCATCCCTCGCTCATGTAAACCCTGCTGTCCTCCCTGCAGCCCATGACAGACCTGGACACAAAGATCCAAGAAAAGGCCATGAAGGTGGACATGGACATCTGCCGCCGAATCGATATCACGGCCAAGCTGTGCGATGTCGCACAGCAGCGGAACTCAGAAGACGTGTCCAAGATCTTCCAGGTGACTAGGGCTGCCCTGCTCACCAGCCAACCCCCCACTCTCCCAGAGCAGCCCTGGCCTCCACCCCTGCCCGGCCAACCCGTTTGCCTCCACATCCCACTCACTCCCTCCCCTTCCCCGAGAGGTAGCACTACCTGACCCTGTGGCCTCCCCAGGAAAACGTAGAATCAGGCACCCGTGGACTCATAGGCTCGTCTGACTGCTTCATCCTATGGCTGGGGAGACCGAGGCCCAGAGGGTGATGTGCTGTGCTCACGGAAGGAAGTGGCAGAAATCAGTCTCCTGCCCCTCCAGGGCTTGGTTCACCAGCCCACACTGTACCCATTGTCCCGCTTCCTGCCCCTTCCTCTGGGTGCCAGAACTGGGCATCATCCCCACGGTTGGGGAACCCTGGCCAGGTTATGGGGAGAAGTGGGGGAGCTGGCCTGAGCTCTGGTAGAGGGGCCTCAGAGTTCAGAAGAGGAGCTGTTGGCCTTTGACTATTTTTCATTCCACCCCAAAGAGGCTCTCGATACCCCCCCGACCTAACGTGCAAGTGTGGGTGCCCCCGAGAGACGGCGATCAGGTTAGCGCCAGTGAGGCTGTCTTCCAGAGAGGGCTTGGGGGGCCAGTCCAGCCGAATGAGGCACATGTCATTCTCCGAAGGCTGCTTCTTGAGTTTCGGGTTGTGGTTTGGCTTTTGCTTGAGCCCAGGGCAATACGGTGTGTTGTCGCTCTGTGTGTGTGACTTTGACGTCGCTGGGCCAGATCTGGGCCTCCCTGGGGCCCTCTCTCCACCTCCATGCCTTCTTGCTGTCCCTCTGCCGGGAAGCAGGGGAGGCCAACGCAGCCTTCGTTTGCTCGTGGCTTGTCTGCTTGGAGTGGAAGCTTTCGGTGAACCTTGGGCCGTCTGTCCTTTGCCTTTGCATGTGAGCAGGAGGGCTCTGGTCAGCATGGGGCCGTATAGCCTTTGTCAGGGGTTCTCCATCTCTCTGGCTGGCTCTGAGATATCCCAGGCAACTCTGTGTCCCGGTCTGGCCTGCTCCTCTCCCCAAACTGTGGGGCTGCTTCTGTGGTAAAAGGGCGAGCCGAGCCGGCGCACCCACCAGGCCGCCCAGGGCAGGGAAGAGTCCAGGCCGTCTGTGTCCCCCTGCATGTCTCCCACCTCGCGCTTCCTGCTAACGCCGCCTGCTTCTTAGAGGACCTGCACCTTTCCTGGCACTGGCCGGCCCCAGTCACGCTCATCATCCTGTGAGATGCCGGCTCCCTTCCCAGTTCACCCCTACCTTCCATCCTAGCCGAGCCCCCCAGTTACCTTGATTGCTTCCTTTCCGGTTCAGGTGGTCCCCAAAAAGAAAGAGCGTAAGGTGGCTTCCGATGATGACATCTCTGAGCAGGACGGGGAGGTGAACCGGTTCTCGGACGATGAGGTCGGCTCCATGAACATCACCGATGAGATGAAGCGCATGTTTAACCAGCTGTGAGTATCCCCGTGGCCCGCACACTCTCCGTTTCCCCGGATTGCTTGCACAGGGGCGGTGAATGGGAGGCTTGGGCTGAGAGTAGCCTGCAGCACTGGAAGAATTTGAATTCATTTCCTTTTTTTTTTTGAGACAGGGTCTCACTTTGTCACCCAGGCTGGAGGCTGGAGTGCGGCGGCATGGTCACAGCTCACTGCAGCCTCAACCTCTTGGGTTTAGGGATCCTTTCATCTCAGCCTCCCAAGTAGTTGGGAGCACAGGCATGTGCCACCATGCCCAGCTAATTTTTAAATTTTTTTGTAGAGACAGGGTCTCACTGTGTTGCCCAGGCTGGTCTCAAATTCCTGAGCTCAAGCGATGCTTCTGCCTTGGCCTCCCAAAGTGCTGGGATTACAGGCGTGAACCACTGCACACAGCCAAGACTCATTTTCAACATTTGTAATTTGGGAAATTTCATATGTTCAGCCTCTCTTGGAAGCTCGAGGAGGTCAGGCATTGCTGAGCCTGGGGCACAGTTGACAGGGCTGGATGGCAGCTGCTGAATCTGGACAGGCGCATACTCTTCCATTCGCCAGCATCCTTTATGTTCCCTGTCTGCCATTCTCCTGCCTTTCCTTCGAAAGCTTCCTCCAAAAAAGCGGTGGGAGAAGGGGTGTTCTTGCCCATGAGATACAGGGGCTGGGCTGTCCTCTCTCTGGACATGTCTGTGTCTGAGGATGTCATGAACCCAGAAGGGGCAATGGCAGATGTGGTCTTATTTGTAGGCTATTTTTTTTTTTGAGACAGTCTCACTCTGTCACCCAGACTGGAGTATAGCGGCCAGATCTCGGCTCACTGCAACCTCTGCCTCCCGGGTTCCAGTGTTTCTCCTGCCTCAGCCTCCCAAGTAGCTGGAATCACAGGCATGCACCATGATGCCCGGCTAATTTTTGCATGTTTAGTAGAGGCAGGGTTTTACCACGTTGGCCAGGCTGGTCTCGAACTCCTGACCTCCAGTGATCTGCCTACCTCTGCCTCCCAAAGTGCTGGGATTACTGGCATGAGCTACCGTTCCTAGCCTGTGGGCCGTTCTTGAGCAGACCTTAACCAGACCCACCTGCACTAGTTTCCCTTGGTGGGCTGGCTGTGTTGACCGCACGGCTTGCAGAAATGGCTCCTGATGTTCGCTTGGAGGGGGCTTCACAAATGTCACTTTGCTCACTCCAGACGCCCATCCTAGGAGATGGGGTATCACTCCCCTTTTGTAGACAGGGAAACTGAGACTCTGAGAGGAGAAGGGACTTGGGTAACACCACTCAGCTAGTATGTGGCTGAGCTGGGATTCAGAGCCAGGCTGCCTCCCACGCTAGTACGCTGTCAGTAGGAAACACTGCTTGGGGTGGTGGCAGGGTCTGGGCTGGGTATGATCAGTGGTGGGCGAGCCTGCTGGCGCCAGCTCTTAGAAGCTGCTATACCCACTCCAGGCTCAGTGATGTCATATTAGTACCTTAAAATTTGCCATTGCAGGAAATCAGAGCTACCAATCAGAGCTCTGGGAGGCTCTGCCACCTCCCGGAAGCCCCCCAGAGAGGGCATGCTCCTTCTAGCAGATGCCTTTGACATCATTTGTTTCAAAAGCCCAGGGCACGGGCTCTCCTAACCTCCCTGCAGAGCTCTGAGGCTGGCTCAGAATTCCATAGTCCAGAGCTCACTCTGCCCAGCCACTTCATTGTACAAATGAGAGAATGGACTCAGAGGGGCACACAGAGCCAGGCCCCCAACTCTTGGTCCAGTGCTTTGTCCCCCACGCCATGCCTGGAAGAGAATTCTCTCTTCTGTCCCTATTCTAGGCTGACTTTTAAGGTAGACAGGAGGCAGAGGCAGGGTTGGAACTGGGTGGGGACAGGAACTCTTTTGCCTGATACTTCCTGGACCTGCCATTCCCTTGAAACAGAACTGGGATCGGAGCTGTATTTTGGGGGTTTGCTATTTAAGGGTGATAAGGAGACCCCTAGATTCTTGATTCCTCTTTTGATACCCCCCATCTCATATTCTCATCTTTTGCTGCCTGCCAAGAGGGGCTTTTTTTTTTTTTTTTTTGAGATGGAGCCTTGTTCTGTTGCCCAGGCTGGAGTGTGGTGGTGCGATCTCAGCTCACTGCAGCTTCCACCTCCTGGGTTCAAGCAATTCTCCTGCCTCAGTCTCCGAAGTAGCTGAGACTACAGGCACACACCACCACACCCAGCTAATTTTTTTTTGTATTTTTTTAGTAGAGACTGGGTTTTACCGTGTTGCCCAGGCTAGTCTCAAACTCCTGTCCTAAAGTGATCCGCCCACCTTGGCCTCCCGAAGTCCTGGAATTACAGGCATGAGCCACTGCACCTGGCCAATAGGGGCTTTTGGAAAGAAGCAGTGGTTGGGTCTAGGTTTTCTGAACGTTGCCCTGGGCACTTCTGAGCCCTAAGACAGGATTGTATGTCCCGGAGATCCCAGGCTGGGTCCATGTGGTTAAATTAAAGGACTTATCTGAAGAAATTGTTGTCCCTGCTTTTATAAAGTCCCCAGGGCATTGTTAAGCTGACCAGCAATGGAGTGAGCTAAAAAGGAGACAGATCAGAGTGGAAGCCAGGGGGCCCCATGGGCAAAGGCTCCAGTGTGTAGAAAGAGCATTCAGATCCAAGTCAGGCGAGACTGGCTGCAGGAGTGGGCGCCTCTGTGTTGATAGAGCTAAATTGGGTTCAGTATGGAATTCGATTTAGCTGGTTGTAAAGTTACCTAAGTTAAAACAAACAGGCCGGGCGCGGTGGCTCACGCCTGTAATCCCAGCACTTTGGGAGGCCGAGGCAGGCGGATCACGAGGTCAGGAGATCGAGACCATCCTGGCTAACACGGTGAAACGCTGTCTCTACTAAAAATACAAAAAATTAGCCGGGCGTGGTGGCGGGCGCCTGTAGTCCCAGCTACGCAGGAGGCTGAGGCAGGAGAATGGCGTGAACCCCAGGGGGCGGAGCCTGCAGTGAGCCGAGATCGCACCACTGCACTCCAGCCTGGGCGACAGCGAGACTCCGTCTCAAACAAACAAACAAACAAACAAAAAAACAACAACAACAACAAACAACGAAACCTCTGATCACTTTGATCACCCCCCACCCCCATTCTGCAGTTCTGTGTGGGCCGCCCTGACCCCACCCCAGGCGGGGCCCTGGGCCTTTCCCATGGACATCTCCACCAGCTGTGGGCAGGACCCTAGCCAGGCTGCCCCTGGCCAGATCTGATGAAGTGTTTGAATAATGCAGCCGTGTTACAGTTGTGTTTTGTTTTGATCCAAGTCGGTTGTTTGGGCTTCAGACCAAGGAGAAGAGGGGGAACGTGTGGGTCTCCCCCGCTGGGGCCAAGGCTCCTCCTCAGCCCCACTCCGCAGATTTGTGAAGTGGAGGCCTCTTCCGAGTCCCTTCTCTTGCCCGTCTTTCTGTCCTTTCCAGCTTCCTGTCCCTCGGCTGGGGTTTCCTTCAGATCCCAGACGCTGGGAAGGAAGTGAAGTCAGGAATTGAGTGTGTGATGCAGTGACCACTGGACCCTGGCGGCTCCGGGCCACACGGCCCTCTCCAGCACCCACCCCCTACCAGCTCAGGACCCTGGACTCGGGGAGCCACCTATGGGCTCCTGTGGGAATGGCTTTTGGAGGGGAGCCGGCCCGGCCTGACTCCAGGGGGCGCTCGAGGCAGCTTTTTACCAGACGGCCTTCTTGGGACCGGCCCAGTCCCCAACCCAGTCCATTGGGAACACTCATTGTTGCTCTGGAGGATCCAGGAAGGAGTTGAGGGAGGGCAGGCAATGGGGAGAGCCCTGGGATGGCAGCCTGGAGACAGGGTCCACATTGTCCTGTGCTACCGATGCACTGAGTCAAGTGATTTCACTCCTACAGACTCAGCCTTCCCCTTGGAAATAGGGGTATGTTGGATGAGCTGATCTTTAGGTCTCCTCCAGTTGGGGTAACCAAGGCATCTTGGGAACCCCTTAGTCCCAGGCAAACCTGCCTGGTTGGTCAACCTACTTCTAGTTCTAGCCAATAGGGAGGTCTTGACATCTCCCAGGCTTTGAATTCAAATCTCATTTCCAGCATGTATTGGTCTAGAAGGCCACTGAATCCCTCTGAGCCTCTGTTTCCTCACCTGCAAAATGGGAACGATAGTTATGCTTACCTCATAGGATTGTTTTGAGGGTGGAATTGTTTTGAGGGCGTTGCATTTTGCTGCATGCTTAGTGGCTGGTCCAGTGCCCAGCACCTAATGGGTGCTTGGGGAGTGTCTTGATGGGGAGGAAAAAGCTGTAGGAAACAGAAACATTCGGCATTCTAGCCTATTTCTGCTACATGCTAGCTGTGTGGCTTTAGACAGTTGAGTTATCCTTTCTGAGCCACCATTTCTTCATCTGTAAAATAGGTATAATACCAACCTTTCCAAATTGCAGAGAAGATGATATTATATTGAACATCTCACTCAAACTAGAGGCTCAAGAAATAGCTGTTAAATGAATGAGGAAAATTGCAAGATTGGACTTGGAGGAAAATATCTTTAGTCCCAATTAATTAAAGCCTGACATTAAAAAAAAAATACACATTTTTAATTGTACAAGCAATACATAAATACATTCTGCATTTTAAAAGAGTTAAACTCCTTTTGGATAAGGCGAATGTCCCCTTTGGCTTACTACCCCTGTCTTTCCTGAGGACAGCCTTGAAGCTGTGTACCTGCTGGGCAGCTGCCCCTTTCTGTCCCCTGTATGGGTCCCTGGAGCCTGCCTTCTGTTCAGTCATGCCCTCTGGTGTCACCCCCACAGGCGGGAGACCTTTGACTTTGACGACGACTGTGACAGCCTGACGTGGGAAGAGAATGAAGACACGCTGCTGCTCTGGGAGGATTTCACCAACTGCAATCCGACCATCGACCTGCAGGGCGAGGTAAGCCCAGCGCCTGGCTTCCCAAAGGCCAGGACTAGGGGTCTGGGGGACACCGCCTTTCAATGGTCCCTCATCCCTGTTATTTTTCTACAGCCCCCACCACACAGCTAAACTGTCCCCTTTGGGCCAGGCGCAGTGGCTCATGCCTGTAATCCCAGCACTTTGGGAGGCCGAGGTGGGCGGATCACCTGAGGTTGGGAGTTCGAGACCAGCCTGGCCAATATGGCGAAATCTCATCTCTACTAAAAATATAAAAATTAGCCAGGCCTGGTGGTGGGCACCTGTAATCCCAGCTATTCGGGAGGCTGAGGCAGGAGAATCGCTTGAATTCAGGAGGCAGAGGTTGTAGTGAGCCGAGATCATACCTCTGCACTCCAGCCTGGGTGACAGAGCGAGACTCCGTCTCAAGAATAAATAAATAAATAAATAAATAAATAAATAAATAAATAAATAAAATAAACTGTCCCGTTTGTTCTATTTCCCCAGCAAGAGGAAAACTTGGGCAACTTGATCCATGAGACCGAATCCTTCTTCAAGACGAGAGACAAGGAGTACCAGGAAACGATAGGTCAGATCGAGGTGAGGGCTCGGGACGTGGAGCCCACTCGTGAGGCTCTCCTGAGGTCCACATGGTTGAGATCCTGGCGATCAAACACCCATGTGTCATGGGCAGGGGCTGGTAGAGTGGGGCAGGCGCAGGATCGGGAGTCAGGAGGCCTCGGGGCGAGTAATGTCTTTCTTAGGGCCTCAGTTTCCTAATCTGTCAAATGGGGGTGGTGATCCTTGCCTGCCTCAGAGAATTAGAAAGAATATATGTAGCTGAGATGATCCCATAATAACCACAGAGCTGACATTCGAGTGATAGTGAGTGACACAAGGTGCTGAGTATGCCCGGTATCCTTACCTGTGCCCTATGCAGTAGGCACCGTGCACCCCTTTTACAGAGGAGGAGATGAGGCTGGAAAGGACCAAGTGACTTGCCCAAGGCCTTGCGGCCAGGAAGCAGCATTGAAGTATAATTCTCTCTGGCTCCAGAGGCTGTGCATGTGATCACTTCTATAAACGATAGTCATTGCTATTATGCAGGAGAAAGGGAAGCCCAGCTCCTTCCCTAGAGGAAGTATCACTTGATAGAGGACAAGAGTCAGAAACATGAAAAAGCCTTCAGGATTTTTGTAATCAGGTCTGGATAAAGGAACCCAAAGATGTTGAGTTCTCAGAACCGGGTGGGGTGCATCAGAGCCAGGCTGCTGCTGGGGTTGCTAAGCAACCATTCCCCTTTGGCCAGAAGGAGTTCTAGGGGAAGTGGACCCATGTGCAGAGAGCAGAGGGTGAGGGAGGTTGATGTCCGGAGGCAGGGTCCTGATGGCATGGTGTCCAATGGTGGCCTTGATGGCACCATCCCTGAGGAATCCAGGAGGAGAGGTTGCCGAGGCTTCTGTCACGAGGATGACTTGCCCTCACCCTTATTCCTCATTGGTTCCTCCCAGCTCGAGCTGGCCACAGCCAAAAGTGACATGAACCGACACCTGCACGAGTACATGGAGATGTGCAGCATGAAGCGAGGCCTGGACGTGCAGATGGAGACCTGCCGCCGGCTCATCAAAGGCTCCGCAGACAGGTACCCGCCCATCCTCCCAGGGGATTCAGCTATGGCATCCTTGGAGGGGAATTCCCAAGGCTGCAACTCGGCCATGTGTCATGCTCCCAACCTGTCTCTCTGTCCGTCCATCTGTCCGTCCGTCCGTCCATCCATCCATCCATCCATCCATCCAGTGACTATTAGCACACCTATGTGCCAGATGCCTTACATATCTAACCTCATGCAAGTCCCACCACCACCCTGCCCTTTGTTGATTCAATAGATACTTGCCAAAGGCCTGCTCTGTGCAAGACGGTGGGGCCAGTAAGTATAGCCCCTGCCCTCAAGGAGCTTAAGCCCCATTTTCTGCTGAAATGGGGAGCAGAGGTGGACAGGGCATGCTCCCATTTGCTCACAGGAAGTGATTTCCCTTCCTTTCCCATCTGTTAGTCTGTTCTCATGGTGCTATAAAGAATTGCCTGAGGCTGGGCGTGGTGGCTCACACCTGTAATCCCAGCACTTTGGGAGGCTGAGGTGGGAGGATTGCTTGAGCCCAGGAGTTCACAGCTAGCTTGGGCAACATAGCAAGACCCCGTCTCAAAAAAAAAGAAATGCCTGAGACTGGGTAATTTATAAAGGAAAGAGGTTTCGTTGACTCACCGTTCCACATGGCTGAGGAGGCCTCAGGAAACTTATAGTCATGGCAGAAGGCACCTCTTCACAGGGCGGCAGGGGAGAGAATGAGTGCCTAGCAAAGGGGAAACCCCCCCTTATAAAACCATCAGATCTCGTGAGAACTAACTCCCTATCACAAGAACAGGATGGGGGAAACCGCCCCCACGATTCAATTATCTCTAACTGGTCCCTCTCATGACACGTGGGGATTATGGGAGCTACAATTCCAGATGCAATTTGGGTGGGAACACAGCCAAACCATAGCATCCTCTTCCAACCCAGGGCCTGTCCCCAGGAGACTGACAAGTGTCAGGCATGGCACATAAAGCAGAGCCCCTGCCTTCAAAGACACACAGCCTTATCGGGGGACAGCCACGCTGAGAATGAGCTAATATGAGGAGAATGCCTGCCACACAGCACAAATACGTTGTCACTGTTTTCCTCGTTTTGCTGCATTACTGTACGAGAGGGAGGGACAGCTCTGTGGGGGCCAGATCTGTGTGCAGGGCCGTAGCCTTGCCTTTCAGACCTTTAACTCCTCAAACCCCCAGAACCCAGTGTGGTTATCTCCATTATCCAGACAGAAGAGCAGACGCTCAGGCAGGTTAAACGGTTTGCCCAAGTTCCCCCACCCCCAGCTCATCCGAGATAGAATCAGAACTGCACCCCAGTGATGTTAACCATATCCCGCATGGCCTCCTTTTGAGCTCTGAGTCATTCAGGTTTTACTTAGCACCTACTATATGCCCAGACATGGGTTAGGTGCTTGGAGAGTAACAGCCAAACTTGATCCACGGTCCAGCTCCCAAGGGGCTTTCTTCCTAGAGAAGCCAACACAGCCAGACCAAGTAGGGGCTGGTGCAGGGGGTTACCTCGTGAGCTTAAAGGATCTTAAGGATAGCTGAGTGAGGCAGGAGCTCAGGACCAGGCCCCTCTGAGAGTAGATCTTATAGAAGTGGCAGCTCAGCCTTCCCACTCCTTGACCCTTCAGAGGCCCAGGGCTGCTCTCTGAATTTCCCCACTCTCTTGTGCTTCTCAGGAATTCACCGTCCCCCAGCTCCGTGGCCAGCAGCGACTCAGGAAGTACAGATGAGATCCAGGATGAGTTCGAGCGCGAGGCGGATGTGGAGCCCATGGTCAGCTGATGACTGAGGCCCTGCGAGCCTGGTGGTCTTGGTGATGGGGCCCTGCCACCTCTCCTCATGGGGCCAGGAAGGCCCCTCGGAGTGGGGTTCGAAGCCACACCACACAGACTTTCTCTGCCCTCCCTTCTCTGGAGGCCCTGAGGGACTGCTGCTTCCTTCCTTCCTTCCACACCACCAACGGGTGCCCCGTCTCCATCCCCCACCCACCCAAGGAATGGTGCTGTCAATTTCTATTGTTCTCCACATTACAAATGCAGACTTCTGTGCGGACTTTGCAGTGTTAACTGTGCCTTCTCCCTTAAGCTGAGCCACTTTGAGCTCCAAAGAATTATTCCTAGCAGGTGTTTTTATACAGAACTCTAAGCTGAGGGCCGGGCCAACCGGCCGTGGTGTAATGTGGTTTCTGCCGTCCGTCCCACCTGCTCCTCTGATTGGCCATGGGCTATGCCCTCCCTTCCTCCTGAGCCAGCCCAGACTCGGCCTGGAGCTTGGGGTGCTCTGCCAACCCCCAGGAAGGAGCCGCTTGCCTCTGTGAGCTTTCTAGGCCTGGGTAGGGACCACCCCAATTTTCTCACTCCCTGAAGGAGAGAAAGGTGGAAGGAAGGGAAGGAGGACACATTTTAATTTTTTGGGGGGATCGAGTGGCAAAGTTGAAGGGACAAGGCACTGTGAGGGGAAGGCAGAGCCTCACTGTGTTTAAACTACTATGCAAAAAACAAAACAAACAACAAAAGCAGCTTGCCTTATATCATTGTGGAAGGCAGGACCTCTCCTGGGCTCCTGGCTTCCCCCTGGAGCTGGGAGAGAGGCCGGGGTTAGGGTGATCTGTGTGGCAGCACTGACTGGGTAGTGTGGGTTTGGCCGAGGTTGGTCATGAGGCTGGGGTTCCCGCAAGGCACTGGCCTCCCTGACCGCTTGCTTCCTTCCGGACCTCTGGGTTCAGGGCGGGGGCGGAGGGATCCTTGATTTCCCTGATAACTTGATGTTCTTCCCTCCCTCGCCAGCCAACAATAGAGGCTTAGAGATCTGTAATTTCTCTGTGAGAAAGTCTGAAGGGGCCAGGCCTGGTCTCTGCTCCCTTCTACCCGCCTTGGGTTAGGACTGTCCGGCAGTTGCCTGCTTTTGGCTGCTGGCAGGAGAGAAGCAGGGTGGGCTGCTGGCAGTGCAGGAGCTGGAGTGAGGGCCATCCTCTTTCTGCTCCTCGACACACGCAAGCCGCTCTCAGCAGTTCCCTCGACTGGCCAGTCGGGGTATTGATCTGAGCCAGCATCCCCCAAGACTTGAATGGCTTGAGTGGGACTGCGTTGAAGGGCACTGTGTGGCCCCCTTCCAAATCTCAGCTTGGAGCCAGCTGAGCAGGCTTTGCTTTATTATTATTTTTTAAGCCTACTGCAGTGGGTCTGTTGCCAATTTTAATTTTTTATTGTCCCAGGAGCTCCCTCTAGTGGTCAAGGTAGCAAAATGTGCCCAAGGACTAGAACTTGGGTCCCTCTGCCTTGCCTGGAGGCAGAAGGAGGGGGCTCTGGGTTTGACTGGGATTGTGGTCCCCAGGGGTCCGTGGCCTTTAAGGCTCTTCTCTCTTTTCTGTTTCCCCCACCTGTGTTACAGTCTTAAAAATACTGTACATAAAAGATATATGTAGAGAGAGAGAGAGAGCGTGAGAATGTGTTAGTGACTATGTGTGATGTAATTTATCACGATTTGGTGGCCTTCGTCATGAGTTTTTTCCTTTGTTTTCTTTTGCTGGGGGCACCTCCCACGGGTCCCCTGTGGCAGTCTGGCTGTGACACTTCCATAGTCAGCATCTCTTGTTAGCCAAACAGTTCCCTTTGACAGGTACTTGGAGGGACAATGGTTTTGGAAGAGAGACGGCCCTTCTCTCTCCTCACTCACCCTTGTTCTAAAGGTTACAGGGTTCAAACATACCTGATTCTTGTTGTTATTGTTGTTGAATTTTTATTTTAACCAAAGGTTATCAGAGCCAGTTGGGCTTGGACCTCAGCTGCTAAAAAGATTTTCCGTTTCCTCGAGGGCAGGAAAACATCCACCCTCGTGGGTCTCCTCCGTCCAGGGCCGAGGGAGGCATTGGACAATGTGGTATGGGAGTTTCGTGGGCAGCGTGGAAGCCGGCCCTGGGTTGTTCCCCAAGGTGGTGGGAGGGTGACAGATATATCTTTAGACTTAAGACTGTAAGGCAGCAGTGTTAGCATGGGAGTAACTAAGGTTACTGTGGTTATCGGTGTCCGGCGGTATTATTTTTACTTTCCTCCTTGTATACATAGGTCATTTGTCTTTGAGGACTAGGGTACTCTAGGGAGTTTGAAAACTGCAGGAGCCAGAAAGAGATCCTGGCCTGAGAGTCCCTTCTGGCTGGCTTTTAATATCTGCTCTCCTCTTGGGAGTGAGGACTTGGGGCAGGTGGGTAGGAGAGGGAAAGCCAGAGTGTGATGGGCCTGCCTCCTGGGCTGGTTCCTGGGTCCGGCCTGCCTGCCTGCCTGCCTGCCTCTCCACCACATGCTTTTTTCAGTTAATGTCAGTGGGCCCTGCTTGTCCCCTCACCATGAGCCCACAGCTTGCCAAGAAAGACCCCAACGCTCGCTGGGGCAGCACCAGTCCTAGCTGGGACGAATTGGTCCATCCTTTGTAAAGCTGTAAATACTTAATTTTGACTTTCTATTTCTAAGCCCAGTGTCATATTGACACTGGTATTTTAGAATTTTCTCAGATGGGCTCTCCTGCGCTGCCCTCTGTCTCCTGTTTTTGGGGGTTTTATACAAACAGAGGATTGGGGAGGGATAGGAAGACTAGCATCCTTTTGGCTCCCTGGTTGGTTGTGAAATACACACACACACACACACACACACACACACACTCGCACTCCTCTGAGACTCCGAACAGAGAAAAAAATTATTGGCAAATCAACACATTTTTCTTTCTCGTCTTGAGAAAATGTCTTGAGGTCCCTGAAGGGCCAAATCCATCGTGGACTAACTCTGTGGGTAGAGCTCAGATGACCTAGGGAGAATTAAACCACTTAAGCTTGGAGTGGGAGGAGAGGGGGTGGGGTGGGGGAGAATATAAGATGTAACTTAAGCTAAATGTAATCTATTTATAAAGCAAGAGACTCTCATCTATTTTTATGAAAGGAAGGGTTTTTTAATCTAGGGTAGGCAGTTGTGGTAGCCCAGCATTTTCCTGTGGACGAGACATGGTGCATGTTGTTGCTGGATTGAATGGAACCCATTCCTGTCCCCCGGCCTCGTCTTCTGTCCTCACTTTTGGTCATCCACACCCATGAGCAGCTTCAGCAGAGTGTAGGTCCCACTTCACCCCATTCTCCTCTCCTCTGACCCCTCAGCTCCTTGGAAGTCTTGGGGTGGGGATCTGAGGGGGTGGGTGGGCTGCAGGAAATTCAGAAATGTGGTGGGTGGGGGAAGGGACAAGGCGCATTAGGGAGGGAACAAGCTGGGCTCTGGGGATAGGCTCTGATTAATTAGTTACTCTGACTCTGGTCTGCCGAGATCCATTTCCAACCCAGTTGCGTTGGGAGAGGGTTGGGAGGCAGCAGAGCATGGGTGACAGTGGGAGCACACGACTTCCTTGGAGCCTGGGCCTTTGCGGGTCCCAGGTGGTCAGGCAGCTGGAGCAGAAGTGGAAATGGCTTAAGATGCTCATAGCCCAGCCCCGGCTGTGTCTACTCCAGGCCAAGCCTGGGCTGCAGTCCTTGCTATGTTCCCCCCAGGGCCCTGGGGGGAGGGATCAGGGTGCTGGGGGTTTCCTAGGACAGGGGTCTTCCCCCTTGAGACACCAAGCTCTGGCTCTAGAAGAGCTCTCTCCTGGAGTGGGGAGTCTGGAGGGGACTGGGTGGGTGCAGGTAAAGCCAGATTCTCTCTGGAAGGGAATTTTCTATGAATGGATGATTTCCAGGCTCAGGGTGGGCTGTGTGTTAGTTCTGAGCAAATCCCTCACCAAGACCCTTCCCTCCCAAGCCCTCAAAGAAATGAGGCAAAGCCCTTCCCTGCAAGACCCCTTGTGGATGTTTTTGCATCTACCTGATTTTTAGCCCCACCCAGGGAGACTTTATACCCCATGATCCTGCCCCACCGTTGCTGTTGTCTGCCAGCTGGGTCTAGCATCACAGGGAAGGGGGGGATTTATACTCATGGAAAGACTACTGATCCTACCGGAAACCAACCTGTTTACTGTACTGTTGTAAATATCATGCCCTTTATATCCTGTATATTGGCTTCTTTTAAATAAAGTGAAATGTCTTAGAACTGATGGTGCTTTTTTTTGTTTTTGTTTTTAAACAGAAGATGAATCTGGTGTTGGGGGAGGGGTAGGAGGACGGAAGGCCACAGAAACCCTCAAACTCATTAGTTAATTAGCCATAAAATAGGGGATTTCATATCACCTGTTACATTTGTAGCTCACAATAAAAGCTTTGGAAGATGACAAAGCAGGAATCATTACACACATTTTACTGAAGGGGAAGAGAGGACATGAGACATCACAGGCTCAGTAACTGGCTTGGCCTGGTTTGGAACTGATGTCCTTTTAACCACAAAGCCCCCATTTTTCCAGGCTCTCCAACGTGCCCACAGGAGGTCACCTTCCCAGGCTCTGGATTTGACAGTAACCAATGTTCTAGTTTTTCTTGTCAATGGGCATGTTCAGGGCAACATTGCCCAAATGTGAACTGAGCCCACCTGTCTAGGGTTTTCTCCAAAGGTGAAGACAAATAGCCGCCACCAATTCCAATTTGCTTTTTGCCATTCCTAATACTTGGCATTTAGGTAATCTCCCTCTCCTACTCTTCATTTAAATGTTTACATTCTCCCAAAGTACCTCAAATGGTGTAATCTGGAGAAAAATAAGTGGCTTAAGATCACGGGGGCTTTGTGAGTTGGGTACTATTACTTCCGTTTTACAGATGAGGAAACTGAGGCCCGGAAAGGATATGTAGTCTGCCTAGTGCCCTGCTTGAGGAACCAAAATCAGCATGGGAACTGACTCCTAAGCAGGTGCGCGGTTCATGCTGCTGGAAGAAATATAAACAAATTAGAACAGAGAGTAAGGAAACGTAACATTACTTTAGGAATAGATTGGGTCCCTGAGACCTCGTCATCAGAGAAGACTTCAGAATCCAAGTTTTAAATAGCATTCTAGTGTTTACCAAGCACACAACATTTTGCAAAGAAAGCTGAAATTTTTACTTGGGGGTAAAAGGCTCAGGAACAACTGGTTTTGCGGCCAAAGGCTTTAAATGAAAAGCTAAGCGTTGGCCAGCTCAGGTTTTATCTTGCATTGATCGTAATCTGCAAGGAAGCTAAGAAGCTGGCCGGCCCCGCGCCTGGAGGGTAGGTGGAGAGCGGCTGGGTCCTGGCCAAGAAGCTGGAAGGCAGGCTCATTCCAGGGGCCGCAGCCCCCGGGAAGAAGCAGGGGGCTGGCCGCGCTGTGGCCCTGCGGGGTCGAGGAGTCTGGTAGCGGACAGGTTTCCAGCCTTGTACAAGCCACCGGCAGCCCGAGAGAAGTCAGTCGGACTCCCATCGAACCCGGGGCGCACGCCAGAGGGCCGGACGCAGCGAGTCCTTCTGCCCCGCTTCAGCACGTGTCCCATTTCGGTTATCTCATTGGCTCTATTCAGCCCCTCTCTGCTCCGCTTTGGAAGGCTGCCGCAGGACCGCCCCGCTGATTGGTTCAGAAGCTTTGGTGTGTCACTCTGACTGGTCGACAGAGTTCACGCCCTCTCTCCCGGGTCATACCATAAAGAGAGGAGGGGAAAACGCATGCATTTCAGGACTTCGCTTTCGGGTTCCCTTGTCCTGTGTTGTGTAATGCCCCCGTTATGGCACTAGAAATATTTTTTATTAGCCGAAGCTAAATATAGTGGGACTTTGGCTGATCCCGAGCTCGGAGGACAGCCGGGGTGATCCGTTTCCCCCCGAGGATCGAGGTGGTGCGCTCTGGACGGGGTTGTGCATTCTCGCCGCGCCCGGGCGGACGATCCAGCGAACAGCCCCGCTTCTAACCCGAGATGCTGCTGCCGGCGCCCGCGCTCCGCCGCGCCCTGCTGTCCCGCCCCTGGACCGGGGCCGGGTGAGTGAGCACGGGGCCCGGGGCGGCCCGAGCGCGCGCCTGGGGCCCGGGAGCCTGAGAGTCACTGGGCGTCCCCCGCGCCGCACTCCCTCCCTGCCGGACCCCCAAGCTGCCTCGGTCAACGCCGGGTTCCTCAGGGGCTCCCCTCCGACCCCCACCCAGGCCTTTCTCCCACTGAGATCCCTTAGCCTCCTCCCTCAGGTAGTCACCTTCCTTTAGCGAGGGGACCCCTCTTCCCGAATCCTGCGACCGAGTAGGGTGCCTCGGTGGCCCTGCCGGTTCCCACGCTCGGAAAGTAGCCTCTGTAGTCACTCACCTCACTCCTAATACTGGATCTTCGCAATTTGCTGGCTTCCCCTGAGGGGCCCTTCTATTTTTAGCACACCACACATCTCACTTCCCCACCCTCGTCTCACGTTCAGTGTCCCCATCCCGCCCCGGATTCCCCGAGTCCTCTCCTTCTACCAGGATTTCTACCTCTCTCTTTTCCGCTCCCCACACACCCCGCCGCCCGTTTTTTTTTTTTTTTTTCAAGTTAAATGTTGGACAGAAAAAAGGATTCCTTTCTTCTTGTAGGTGGAATAATCATATTTATAGAGTGCTTATAATGAACCAAATGCTGGCCGGGCAATTGGCAGGTGTCTTATGAGGATTAAATGAGTTAATACATGGGGAGTGCACTGAACAGTGCCCAGCACAAAGGCAGCGCCCGGTTATTATTATTGCCACGATCATCATCATTATCACCTCTATTTAAACTTCTCACTCCTGTGAGGCAGGTCATTATTCCAAATAATGAAGAAACCCAGGAGCAGTTCAGGGGTGGACCTGCCCTTCAAATCCCGATTTGCAAACCTGACATTGTGGAGCCAGGTGCCTGGACCCTTGCCCACTCAATGACAAATATTCTCAGAGCCCCTCCAGCTCGGAGCTAGGTTTGGAGAGGTAGGTGGGACACAGACCCTGCCCCAGAGGGGTTCCTAGTCTGGTGGGGCTGCCCACCTGTGGATCAGCCCCCCCTCCCATTTGAGGTTTGTTTGCTTGACCCCTGGGGCTGTTAGTGGCAGTGTCTTTCCTGATGAGCTGTGCCCTTTCTGAGTTAATCAGTGGCCCTCTCCCTTCCCCCAAGGGATGGCATGGTGGTGCTCTGAGCACAAGTGAGTTGCAACACTGCTGTGTGTCCTCTGTGGGTGAAGAGGGGATAGGAAAGGGCGCAGGAAGAGGACATGGGACAGAGGGGTTCCTCTTCTAGGCTGAGACTGGGGCCACACTTGCCATACTCCCTGTGTGATCCCGTTTGCAGGCCTTCCCTGCACTCTGAGACTCAGGAAGATGGAGCTTATAGAGTCCTGTGTTTACTGAGTGCCTACTGTGAGCTGGTGCTCTGCCAAACACCCTAGAGATGAGGGGTACCCAGGGAATTTACATGGGGTGGGGCCTTTGAGGAGTTTTCGGCTTAATAGGGGAGAAATGCATAGGAAAACCCTCCAATATCTAGTAGAAAGCAATCCATATTCTAAAAGATAAGCCCATGATAACAATAATGATTATCAAGCAATCAAGCACCATGGGCCTAACACCGAGCCGGTAAGTACTGTCTCATTCCTGTATTATCATGGGAAACGATCTGCCATCAGAGATATATGACTGAAATTACATTTGGTCTAAATCCAGATTTATGCTCTGAATTATGAGGCCTCCTGAATTGAGAGGGGAAAGAGAAAGAGCATTTTGCAGCTGGTTCCCTGGGCTCAAGTTACCCCTTTGATACAGCAGCTGGCCGCATGCCCTAGACAGGATTTCTCAACCTCACCACTATTCGCATTTGGGGCTACATTTTGGTTGCTGTGGAGTCTGTCCTGTGCACTGTAGAATGTTTAGCAGCGTCTCTGGCCTTTACCCGCTGCATGTCAGGGGCACCCCCGGCCCTGACAATTACGAAAAAAACCCTGGCCCTGACAGGAAACACAAGTTCCCAGACATTGTCAGATGTTACCTGGGGGACAAAAGTCACCTCCGGTTGAGAGCCAGTGCTCTAGAGGAACAGCTTTGATGTTTGATCACTTGTTCATTTACTCAGTGAACATTTAGAGCACACCCGTGACATGCCATGTCTGCATTTATGGAGAAACAGTCGCAGGGCATTTTCAGTGACATCCCTCAGTGTCCTACGTGTAAAACTCTAGTCCTGAGAAAAACCGCTGCTTTTGAGGAACGGGTATAGGAGATGCTTCTTAGTGTTTTCTTTTTTGCCTTGAGTGCCAGGAATCTCTGCTAGTTTTAAAAAATACCCTTGATACATGTTTTCTTTTAGTTTAATACATGTCAACTGTGAAAAGTACAGATAAGGCAAAAAAATAGAAAAATCACCTGGAATTGTACCACACAGAGGTACCCACTGTTAACATTTTGATTCATGTCCTTTAACTTTCCATGAATAGATATGCTTTTAAAAAAAACCTCATAGAAACAAGCTCATCTGCCCATACTTTATTGTAGCTTGTTTTTTCCCTTTATACACTTGTCTGCCTTACAGTATGTTCCCAGGCCCTGGAACTGTGTCTGGCACCTGGTAAGCCCTTGGCAAACATTTAGGGAATGAATGAACTAATCATGTGAGCCCTTCCTTGTCAATCGATATTTATCACGGCCAGCCTCAGGACAATCACCATAAAGTGTGGCCTTTATAGGTGGGCCCAGGGATGGCAGCTGGTGACAATGACTGCCATTTACTTTTCATGTGGATTATTTTACTCAGCCTCTCAGCAACCTATGATGTAGGGGTTACCACCCCCATTTCACAGATTAAACAACTGAGGCCCATGGAAATTAAGGAAAACTTGTCCGAGGCCTTGAGCTGGTGAACACCAGGCCTCCCAACTGACTGTCTCTTTCCTCCTTTAACCCTGACTTCCTGTTTTTTTCTCAATCAACTTTACCATCAGTATCCTCAGTTCTCTTTGGAAACAGGCAGGATACAGATTAATAGCCAGCCCAGGCATGTAGTAGGCTTATAAGAGTTCACTTCTGTTCCTTATTTCTTGTGCCAAGCCCAGACATGACTCCAGCTCAGCCCGTCTGACATCAGGGGGCTTGTGGGCCGGAATTGGTTACTACCGTGTCCCCTGCAGTGATCCTGGGTGGTTTTGGACTCTTCTCAGGCTACCTGATGGTTTAATTTTCAAAATATCAAAAGCACACAATGCTTTTCCTAGTCTGCCCAGCCCTTGGATGGGCACAGCTTGCCCTGGGTCGAGGGCTGGCATTTCCCACCATTCCTTAGACATTCTCTGCTCTTGAACTCCTCCAACCAGTGGCTGGGGCAGTGCCTTTGGCCTGGAATGTCCTGCTGGCCACCTCGGTGAGCCCATCCAGTGCTTTGTGGCCTTGGCAAGGCAGCTTCTGTCCCTTCAGTATCCTCGTCTGCAAAATGGGGATGATTGTATTAACAGCCACGTAGCAGGTGGCTGCAAGGATTAGCGGTGATGTGATCAGTGGTTTCCTGGATGCTGGTACCGAATGCGTGCTCTGTGAGTATTTGAGTTGGAGAATAATTAAAACCTGTGATTATCATCACACTTCTAAAGTAGTGAAAGCGCCATTGAGGCAGTGCTTGGCAGTGGCACCCCTGGGAGCAGCCTGCCTCCTGTGCCCTGCATCTGGCCCGGCACACAGTAGGCGTTGAACGGTTGCTGTTGAGATGGTCCAGAACACAGCATGGCTTGGATCCTGGCTCCAACTCTTGGCAGCTCTGTGGCCCCGGGCAGGTTACTCACCCTCTCTGGGCTCCCTTATGTTCTCATATGGAAAATAAAGATGACAGTAGTAGTCACCTCATAGGATTGTCCTGCGTGTTAAATGGTCTCATACATGGAAAGCACTTTGGAGTGCCCAGCACCTGAAATGCTCAGTAAGTGCTGCTGTGGTTATGATGATCCCCCTCTCCCACCAATGGGCTTCCTGGAGTGATCATCTTCGATCAGGAATATCAAGACAGCAGGGCCCAGCAGTGAAGGATGGTGGCAGGAGGGGAGGTATGGAACTCAGATGTCCTCGGTCTCTTCTGTTTATTCCAATTAAGTACCCCAGATGCCAAACCTCTTCTGTTATTATTGTTGGTTTGTTTGTTTGTTTGTTTTGGAGACAGAGTCTCACTCTGTTGTCCAGGCTGGAGTACAGTGTCATGATCTCAGCTCACTACAGCCTCAACCTCCTGGGCTCAGTCATCCTCCCACCTCAGCCTCCCAAGTAGCTGGAACTACAGGCGCACATCACCATACCCAGCTAATTTTTGTATTTTTTTTTTTTCGTAGAGACGGGGTTTCACCATGTTGGCCAGGATGATCTCAACCTCCTGGGCTGAAGTGATCCTCCTGCCTCAGCCTCCCAAAGTGCTGGGATTATAGGCGTGAGCCACTGCGTCCGACCTTCTGTTAGGGTTTTGACCCTGCTCACCTCAGGGGATGGAAAAGACTTCTCCCTTTCTTGCAGCCTCCTTAATCCCCAAACCTTCCCTTTCCTGGCAGAGGTCATGGCATGGAGTGAAGAGTCCCTGGGCTGAGCTGCTGTGCCAGTGGACAGCTGAGTGACCTTGGGCAAGTCACTGCCCACCTTGGGGCGGCGGCTTTCCTCAGGTGGAAATGAGGTTCTAGCTGTATGGTGAGGAGGATGAACGTGTCCCATCAGCCCCACCTGACCATGGGCCTCTGAGATGTTCCAGGTGCTTCAGCCATACTGTAAGTCTCCTGAGTAAGGAACAGCTGGGGTCAAATCCTGCTCTGTCACTCATGAGCTGTGACCCTGAGCCAGGAGTGAGTAACTCTGAACCTCATCCGTAAACAGATCATTCTACGGTCGAGTGTCCCTCATCTGAAATGCTTCAGAACAGAGTGTTTCGTTTTTTGGGTTTTTGTTTTTTTGAGACGGAGTCTCGCTCTACCTCCCAGGCTGGAGTATAGTGGCCAGATCTTGGCTCACTGCAACCTTCACCTCCTGGGCTCAAGCCATCCTCCTACCTCAGCCTCCTAAGTAGCTGAGACTACAGGCACACGCCACCACGTCCAGCTAATTTTTGTACTTTTAGTAGAGATGGGGTTTTGCCATGTTGGCCAGGCTGGTCTAGAACTCCTGACCTCAAGTGATCCGCCCTCTTCCGCCTCCCAAAGCGCTGGGATTATAGGCATGAGCCACTGCGCCTGGCCGGAAGTGTTTTGTATATTGGACTTGCTTGGATTTTGGAGAATTTGCCGAACAAGTTGAGCATCCCTACTCCCAAGTTCCAAAGTCCAAAATGCTCCAATGAGCATTTCCTTTGAGCGTCACGTTGACACTCAAAAAGTTTCAGATTTTGGAACATTTCGGATTTTGGATTTTTGGATCAGGGATGCTCAACTTGTCATGCGTTCCTCATACGCTTATGTGGTGGATTCAGTGAGATGATCCTGTCTCACTTAGGTTAATGCTTGGCATGTGGTGGCAAGTGCTTGACAAATGTTGCCTGATGTTTGCTGGGCAGTGGCTGAAGCAGCTCATCCCTGGCATTGGGTCTTTCTTTCTTTTTTTTTTTTTTGAGACATCGTCTCACTCTGTTGCCCAGGCTGGAGTGCAGTGGCACGATTTTGGCTCACTCCAACCTCTTCTTCCCGGGTACAAGCAATTCCTCTTCCTCAGCCTCCCAAGTAGATGGGATTACAGGCATGTGCCACCATGTCCAGCTAATTTTTGTATTTTTAGTAGAGACGGGGTTTCACCATGTTGGCCAGGCTGGTCTCAAACTCCTGACCTCAAGTGATCCACCCTCCTCAGCCTCCCAAAGTGTTGGGATTACAGGTGTGAGCCACTTTGCCTGGCTGGGCCTTTCTTTCCCTCCAGGCCCCGCCCTGGGCCCTGCACTTTCTCTGCTCACCTAGTGTTGCCTTTATGTCGGTGATAGGGAGGATTAGCCTTATCAGGCTCCAGATAATGGCTGGAAAAGTCAGGAGGCTGCATGAAGCAAAGATAATTTCCTTTCTATTTCTCCTCTCCTTGTCCTTGGCCACCCCTCACCTTAGCCACTGGGGAACCCAAGGGGCCAGTGTCCAGCCCCAGGTGATAGCAGAAGAGCACTGGCCTTGGAGTCCAGTCCTGGGGGCCTGGTGTCAGCTCTGACACTCATGCATTGATTGTATTTCTCAGGTGCTTACTGTGGCCAGTCAGTGTGTTAGGCTTGGGGTGCCTGGTGGTGAATGGGATGGGTACGGGCTGGCTGTGTGGAGCCTGTGGCCTGGCGGGCACACAGATGGTCAGTCAGAGCTCTATAATAGGGTTTTCACTAGTGCTTCCAGAAAAGTCTAGAGCTATGAGAGGAATCCGATAGGAGCCCCATTCCGGCTATGTGAGGTTGGACCAGTGGAGGACATCTCAAGCAGAGAGGACCCCAGAAGAGACCGGGGTGACCGGATTGCACCAAATGGGGCAGGGTGATGGGGAATACATTTGGAGGCCTTGGTAAGGATTCTGATGTCTTTATTTTAGAAGAAATGAGAAGCCACTGAGTAGTTTCTCACTGAGCTCCCCACTGTGCCATCTCTCTGATGATCAGATTTTCATGTTAACTTTGGTTGCGGTGTGGACCTGAGTGACTTGGAGACTGGAGCAGGGCTGGCATGGCGTGAGTCCAGGTTGAAGTGACTAGTACCTCGGACGAGGTGTCTTGGGCAAGGTGGAGTCTGGGCCCTCTGTGTCTTTTCAGTTTTTCCCTCTATAGATTTCTGAAGCTGCATTGGCTGGCCCACAGCTCCTTGCAACCCTGACATCTCCTGGTGCAGAAGGTGAAATGGTGCCTGGCCTTTGTAGATCAGATCCCAGTACTTGCAACCCTGACATCTGGTGCAGGAGGTGAAATGGTGCATGTCCTTTGTAGATCATATCTCAGTACTTGTAGCCCTGACATCTCCTGCCACAGGAGGTGAAATGGTGCATGGCCTTCATGGATCGGATCCCAGTACTTGCAGCCCTGACATGTCCCGCTGCAGGAGGTGAAACGGTACATGGCCTTCGTGGATCAGATCCCAGCATTTGTAGCCCTGACAACTTCCAGTGCAGGAGGTGAAACGGTGCATGGCCTTCGTAGATTAGATCCCACTTGTAGAGGGTGAGGGGGACCAACTTGAGGTCTCAGGCTCAGGGCATGAGCAGAAAGGGCACTGCAGATTTTCAGGGAAACCTGAGTCAGATTCAGACTCTGTCTTGTGCCGCCTTCCCTAAGTGGGAGGACTGAGGGCTGCTCTGAGAAAGGTTGGGTTGGATCCATATCTGCCTCCCAGAGCCAGGCACTTCCTGGGTGCTTGGAAAACGCATGCTGAATAATTGAGTGAGCTGTTATTGACCTGATCCAATTTATCTCTGCATCGTTGCCATGTGGAATAAATGTGTACTGACTGCATAAATGCGTGAATGGATGAGGAATGCTGTCCTGCCAAGAAGGTCCTCATGGATCCTCAGAGAGGCCCCAAGTCCTGTGACTGATTCATCTCTGCCTTCACCCGAGCAGCCAGTGGATGGATACTCCTGTTAGCCCAAAATTGTTCATGAACCAAAAAAAAAAAAAAAAAAAAAGAAAGAAAGAAAGAAAAAAGAAAGCACTGATGGGTGGGAGTCCTTAGGTTATTTTTAGCTGCAGTCGACTCAGGCTGAACTTTGAACTAGTGTCTGTTCTCCAGGCCACACTCAGACTGATGGACGGACAGCTGGGCCAGTGCTTGGAGACTTCCAGGCACAGGGAAAGCCGTGGGGGCATGTGATCCTGAGGTCACAGTGGGCATCTGGGCCTCTGCCCTGTGGAAGGAGGAGGGAGGCCTGCAGGATCTCTGACTCTGACATTTCCTGGGAGGGAACGGAGAAAGGAGAACTGGCCGCTACTACATTTATTTATATATTTTGAGATGGAGTCTTGCTCTCTTGCCCAGGCTGGAGTGCAGTGGCACGATCTGGGCTCACTGCTACCTCTACCTCCCAGGTTCAAGTGATTCTCCTGCCTCAGCCTCCTGAGTAGCTGGGTGTATAGGCGCGTGCCACCACGTCTGGCTAATTTTTTTGTAGTTTTAGTAGAGATGGTGTTTTGCCATGTTGGCCAGGCTGGTCTCGAACTCCTGACCTCAAGCAATCCGCCCACCTCAGCCTCCCAAAGTGCTGGGATTACAGGCGTGAGCCACTGCAACCGGCCTACTCCGTTTTAACCTGGGGATGGAATATGGTGCTGTGTATTCCTCCAGCAGTTGCTGAGTACCTGGGCCAGTCCCCGAGGCTGTGATTTTTGGGGGCATCTGGGAGCCCATTTGTCTCTGAAAGCCTGATCTACTGAAATAGCATTCTGAGACCTTTACAGTTTTCTTTGGAAAGCAAGAGCAGGAGGGGTGAGGAAAGGCCAACACTTGTAATCCTCCTGATGGCCCTGCAAGGTGCATCATGTCAACCTTAAATAGTGAGATTCAGAAAGAAGGATTAAGTAGTTTATTCGAGCTCAGAACTTGAGGATGGCCACCGGGGAGCATAGATTCAAGTTACCTCGAATATACACTCCGATTAGCTGCAGTAACAAGTGGGATTTTAAGGTGCGGAGGAAAGAGGCAGTTTCTAAGTCATTTACCAAAAATTTATATTAAAATAATATAAGCTACCGGCTGGGCACAGTGGCTCACGCCTGTAATCCCAGCACTTTGGGAGGCCAAGGCGGGTGGATCACTTGAGGTCAGGAGTTCGAGACCAGCCTGGCCAACATGGTGAAACCCCATCTCTACTAAAAATACAAAAAATGAGCTGGGTGTGGTGGCGGGCACCTGTAATCCCAGCTACTTGGGAGGCTGAGGCAGGAGAATTGCTTGAATTCGGGAGGCGGAGGTTGCAGTGAGCTGAGATCGCACCACTGCACTTCAGCCTGGGTGACAGAGTAAGACTCCGACTCAAAAAAGAAAAAAAAAAGCTACTGATTTGCTGTGCATTGTTCTTTGTGTGACGCTTTCCAGGATCATGAAGTTAATGGATGAGGCAGCTAGTCAGAAACAAAATGCCTTGAAATAATTGCCATCGGGTGTGGATGCAAAGGGCATGACTCAGGTCCCATATTCGTGTCTCCCTGGGCCTGATACATTTTGCATACTTCACATAGCTCACGCTGCTCTGAGCTATTTTTCTCTTTTCGGTAGTATTGTACCCATTTTCCAGGTGAGGAAACTGAGGCTCGCAGACTTTCTAAGAATGCACTGAGGTCATGGAGCAGGTGTGAGCTTTGCCTCCGGATTTGTCCACTTCTGGGGCCTGTGCTTTTCCCATCCACTGGGACCTGGGCTCCAAAGAGGGGCTGGGACAGACTCAGTTATTTGGAGTCCCGCTTCTCGGCTGAAAGAGTTGATGGTGATATCTGGCTCACCATCTTTGGTGGGTGTGGTGCTGTTGAGGCCTGGAGCGCAGCTTGAATGCAGGGTCAGGAGCTTAGCTGAGGTCCCTGTCAGAAGCTTCCAGATGGTCCCAGGGGATTGACACTGCCTTGTCCCTTCCTGAGGGACTGTGGAGACTCGTGGCTGCCTCTCCATTCTTCTCATGATGGTAGATGGAAGAGGGCCGTGCAGATTTTAATGTATTTATCGTTATCAAATCTCCATATTAACCCCATGAGGGGGTGTCAGTGTTTTAGGGAGGGAGGGAAACTGGCTTCAAGACATGTGACTTGCCCAAGGTCACACAGCTAGTGGGAGGCAGAGTGGGGGTGGGGAGTGCAGAGCTACCGGCTCAGGGTGGAGGTTGGTGGGGAGGGGAGGGGAGTGGAGAGAAGGTCCTATGTGCTCACTTTACCTGTCAGGATCTTGGGTGCCCTGCCCCTGCCTCTCCCTCTCCCTCTACCACGCAGGCCCCTCTCAGCCCCCCCCCGCCTCCTTCTACCTGGGATGCTCTTCCCAGCTCCTCTCAAGCCTCCTTTAAGTCCCTCTCAGGGTCACCTCCTCAGAGAGGCCTTCCCTGACCACCCTGGCTGAAGCAGCCCTATTCTCCCCCTTGTTTGCCATGCTCACCATCTGCGGTTACCTTGCTTATTTCCTGACCAGGCCTCACACTGAAGGTCACCTGTGTGCAGCCAGGGGCCTCGCTGTCTCTGTCACTGCTTTATCTCCAGGGTCTGAGACGGCACCAGAGACCCAGCAGGTCCTCAGTCAACCTCAAGTCAAGTGGAATGAACACAGGGCCTGGCCACACTCCTTTGGTTTTGTGTCCTTCCTTCAGGCTTCCCAGGCTGGGTCTTTGAGCCCCAGACTCCTTCTGGCCCCCGACACTCATAGCCGGGCCAGTCTGTCTCCCATAGGGCAAAAACAATCCCGCAGAACACTAGCCTCAGGCCACGTCCCTCTGAGACCATGATCAGATGAGACACAATAAGCCCTCTTCCTGATTTTTTTTTTTTTCCTTGAGATGGAATCTTGCTCTGTCATCCAGGCTGGAGTGCAGTGGCGTGATCTCAGCTCACTGCAACCTCTGCCTCCCGGGTTCATGTGATTCTTCTGCCTCAGCCTCCCAAGTAGCTGGGAGTACAGGAGTGGGCCACTACGCCCAGCTAATTTTTGTATTTTTAGTAGAGACGGGGTTTTACCATATTGGCCAGGCTGGTCTCACACTCCTGACCTCAAGTGATCCGCCCACCTTGGCCTCCCAAAGTCCTGTGATTACAGGTGTGAGCCACCATGCCGGGCCTTCTCTTCATGATTTTTGTCTAAGCACGGACAAAAACAAGGTCTCTGTGCCACCCACAAAGCTCTGCACATCTTGGTAAATGTTCCTTTTTTCCCAGTCAGCCTCACCCCCACTTTCTGATGGCAGCCAATCCAGAGCTAACCGTGGCTTCCTTAAACCCTCCCCAAGTCACCCTGCCAAACCCCATGGGTTTCCTAACAGCATCTTACTGAGATGCCCTGTGGTTCCCTACGCTGTGTGTTTTCCCTCATTGCGCCGACCAGTGAACCCCACCTGTGCACTTCCAGCTGTTCGGGTTGTCTGGGGCCATTGACACCAGAGAGAGATGGTATCTGGGCCTTCTGGACTCAAGTGCAGGTTTCCCCTACTCTTGATCTTGAACTAGTCATTTTCCTTTTAGGACCAAAATGACCTTATTTCTGTAGAGAGGTGGCTGGTGAGGCCCGTCCTATGCCACGGTAGATGGGAAGTTTGTCAATTTCAAGTGCCCTTTGGGCATTAGTTGACTTTGTCATCATCATTCTTCTCATTTACAGAGGGGGAAACAGGCCTGAAGGGGAAGCCCCACAGCTGGGAGGTGGCAGGGCTGAGGCTCCAGCTCTGGAATGACTGACCCCAGCGTCCTAGCTTTGAGCCACCTGACCTCCCACCTTGTGACCCTCAGATGTGGTAGGGGGTGGTGGAAAGAGGTCAGAGGATTTGAGCAAGGAGTTCTTGAGACTCAGTGTCCTGGAATCAGGCACCTCACCCCCAGGGCCAGCCCTCCCGGGGCTGTGAGCTGAGCTCAGGGCAGCTCTCCAAGTTCATGGTCCACATCTTGGACATTCCTGCCCAGCCAGAGCTCTCAGCCCTTTGTGCCAAGGGGATCTCAGCTGGTTCACATTCTGAGACTGTGTTCTGGAATGTGCTGCCCTTTCAGCTTAGAGAGAGGAGTTTGGGTCTTTTTGGGATAAAGCCTGCCTTGTGGGAGAAGAAAGGGAGAGTAACGCTTTGCATGTGGAAAATACTTCAACGTGGTTTTGCATCTGTGTGTTTAAACTTCAAACAACCGCGTGAGTTCGGTGCGATTATTCTTACTTGATAGACGTAGAACCACGTTCACAGGAGGCAACTCACAGGCTCAAGGACACACAACCGTGGGACTGGGACTTGAACCTTGGGTTGTGGACCCCCAAGGTGGGTTTTTGTTGTTGTTTTGAGATGGAGTTTTTCGCTCTCTCACCCAGGCTGGAGTGCAGTGGCACGATCTCGGCTCACTGCAACCTCTGCCTCCTGGGTTCAAGCAATTCTCTTGCCTCAGCCTCCTGAGTAGCTCAGACTACAGGCACACATGCCACCACACCTGGCTAACGTTTAAAATATTTTTAGTAGAGACGGGATTTCACCGTGTTGGCCAGGCTGGTCTCGAACTCCTGACCTCAAGTGATTTGCCCGCCTTGGTCTCCCAAAGTGCTGGGATTACAGGTGTGAGCCACCATGCCCAGCCCAAGGTGGGGTTTTGACCCCCCACTTTCTAGTTGCATTGGATTTCAGGCTCTGGGTGCCCACCTAGGACCCCCTGTCGGAGGTAGAGGGGCTGGGGTCTGGTGGTGGGGCCGCTGCTGACCTCTCTGCCTCTGTCCCCTGCCCTTGTGTTCCAGCCTGCGGTGGAAGCACACCTCCTCCCTGAAGGTGGCCAACGAGCCCGTCTTAGCCTTCACGCAGGGCAGCCCTGAGCGAGATGCCCTGCAAAAGGTAATGGGAGGGTGGGAGGCACCCGAGAGGTGCAGGGCATGGAGCAGAGGCCATCCCCAGCAGCCCTGAGATAGCGCCCCGTGCCTGCAGCCATCACCCGCTTCTACCCTTGCTCCCAGCCTTGGGTGGAAGCCTGGGAGGGCTGTGGGTCTGGAGTGTGGGAACAGCTGGGAGGACCAAGGTGGCAGCCTGGAGCTACTCTGGGGCTTCTCAGGCCAGGTCAGATGTCATAAACCTAGTTGTTTTATAGTTAAACATGTTTTCCAGTTAATTGCCAGCATTTTAAAAATCATGAGATTTCATATAAGTTTCAGGTGCAGTTTTTTTATCTCTGTGTCATGGGTAGACCTCACCTTCCTGCAGGGTGACAATGGCTGGAGCAGAGTCCGGCTGTCCCCGAGGGCAGCACATGTTCTCTGATGGCCACCGACCTGGCCTGGCCCCCTTCTCATTTCTGTATTGCCTGGGCACCTCCGTCTGTGGACTCTGCGTTAGGGTTTTAGATGGGAGGAAGCGAGGAAGGCGGTGACCATACCCACTCTTGTCCCTCTCCCCAGGCCTTGAAGGACCTGAAGGGCCGGATGGAAGCCATCCCATGCGTGGTGGGGGATGAGGAGGTGTGGACGTCGGACGTGCAGTACCAAGTGTCGGTATGTCCAGCGGGTGGGCAGAGCTCAGCCCCTCCCCTGAATATGTGACCTCTTTCTCTGACAGCTCGTAAGCTTATAATGTGTGGGCTCTGACTTCAAGGCCTTTATAGTGCCCCTCCCCACCCCAGATTTTGAATTCTGTGGACCAGTAAAACTCCCAAAGCAAAGGACGGCACCCACACTGCATCCAGCCCATAGCGGCATCCTGTGTCTGGGCAAGAAAGGCCATGAGGGGGCCACACAGCATCTTCTGTTATTCCTCATAGATTTCTTGCCAAGGGGGTTTGGGAGCTAATGACAAAAAGCTGGGCCCCGGGCCCCGAGCACCTCAGATGGCATTGGCCTAAGAAGCCCCCATGCTTGGAGTTTATCCATCCAGAAACTGGCATGCACTTTACGTGGGCCAGGAAACTCATAGGTCTGTGATTTGAGGGAGAATAAAAGGTCAGCCCTTTTGCAAACAGGGCAAGCACATTCTGGCTCTGTCCGGCTGAAACCCTGGGCAGACGTGTGCAGGGGGAGGGGTGACTGAGGGGGAGGACCCAGGTCCCCCACTCTGAAGGTTCCCAGGACAGCCTGGGGCAGGAGTTGACCACAGCAGTGTCCTGGAGCTCTAGTTGCTGGGTCAGGACTACCTGGAGCTGTCCAAGCATGGCCTGGGGTCTGCAGGCATTGGCCAGGTCACTCTGTCTGTCACTGGGTGTGTGTGCAGGTGCCAGCTGACAGCAGCACCTGCCACCCAGCTCCCTGGTTGTCTCTGTAGCTGCCTAGAGCTTGCCCTCACCTGTAGCTCCGCAGGCGTCTGAGGCTGCATGGCAGCTGGGATTTTTCCAGGCAGCGAGGCTCCGGCATTCTGATAAGCCCCTGGGTGGATACTGCTGATTTTCATTTCCCACATTGCCTTGCCGACCTGGCTGGAGATTCTGGCCATGTGCTGATCACTGTGGCACGAGACATTTGGGGTTCTGGGGCATGTGAGGGCAGGATCTATGTTTGCCGGGACATAGTGCTGACGGGGTTCTGCAGTCCACTGGGGCCCAGGTCGCAGCCACCTTCTCTGCCCTTAAGCATCACAGGCCAATCTCAGGTGTGGCCCGAATACAGAGTGACTGTGCCAAGCTTTAACATGAAGGAGAATGGTCACTTTCTACTCAAGCCTAGACCAGCGCCGGCCAGTAGAATTTCCTGCAGTGAGGACAGAAATGTTCCAGATCTGCATTGTCCGTTCCAGCGGCCATGAGCCGCCACGTGTGGTTGTTGAGCATGTGAAATGTGGCTCGTGGCTACTCTTTTAGACAGGAAAGCTCCAATAACCCACCAGAAGACGGATAGGTAGCAAAAGTGTCAGCTATTACGATATAAACTATCTTGCCAGCCCTAGGAAGGAAAGAAGTGAAATTTCTCCCTGCTTCATTGGTCATGCTAGCGTTCACCACTGCCGGGCATTAGGTTTTGAAGGGAAGACAGGGGTTAAAGAAAGACACACACACAGAGAGAGGGCAGCTGAAACAGCAACACCAGTATATTGCAGAAACCTGAGGAAGTGGGGGACCAGCTTAATGCCAGGGCCCACCGCTGCTTACAGGCTGAGGTACTCATCGGTATGGGTGAGACGGGTCTGGGCAGTATGGCTTGCTGCCTGGCAGGATATTGATAAGATGTTGTTATGATCAGGTGGTTTGGCCCTCTCCGGTGGGATGTCATCGTGGTGTTCCTTGTACCTTTACCCAGCAAGATATGATAGGGATGGTTTTTTTTTTTCTGAGACGGAGTCTCGCTCTGTCGCCCAGGCTGGAGTGCAGTGGTGCGATCTCGGCTCACTGCAAGCTCCGCCTCCCAGGTTCATGCCATTCTCCTGCCTCAGCCTCCCCAGTAGCTGGGATTACAGGCATCCGCCACCACGCCCAGCTAATTTTTTGTATTTTTAGTAGAGAGAGGGTTTCACCATGTTAGCCAGGATGGTCTCGATCTCCTGACCTTGTGATCCGCCCGCCTTGGCCTCCCAAAGTGCTGGGATCACAGGTGTGAGCCACCGCGCCCGGCCAACAGGGAAGTTTCTTTAGGTGGGCCTTCGTCCGCCTTGCGGTCAGGCGGCTGAGCCGGATGGTTCTCATGGCCTGAGCTCCTGTGAAATGTTTCACTTGGCCCGAGGTCTGCAAAATAGCGGGGAGCTGACAAAATGGTGCGGTTTGGACCAACACCAGGTTGTGTTTATAAATGTTTGTTGAGGATCTTCCTATTTAGATTAGTAAATCTGGGGCTTAGGAAACAATTGCTCTGTCCATGATGGCTTCGGGGCAGGGCGGAAGTCCCAAGCATGTCACAACACCGGTGCATTCTTTTGGGCCTCACCTGGTTTTGTTGCCCATAGTCGCAGCCTCATACTGGACCAAAGAATTTTCATCCATGATCCCCTTTGGTTCTCCTGTCCATGCTAAGAGACAGGGAGGGCAGTCCCCATTTCCTAGATGAAGAGACTTAGGGAAGGAAGTGAGCTTACCTGGGGCCCCACAGCTAGTAGGTGGCAGAGCCAGGATTCGAACCCATGTCTCTCTGACCACAAAGGTCCGTGCTTTCCTGGAAAGACCCTGGGGTCTATGCCTTTCTCCTGGACTCTGAGCCTTCTGGAGAAGGAGCCATGTCTTACTCATGGTATAGCGGGTACACCAGCACCCTTAACAGGGAGCAACCTGTGGGCCGGGCACTGGGGAGGGTTTCATGGGAGCGGGGGAGGGGGGACAGCAGGCGTGTCCAGGACTTTCCTGGAAAACCGGCTCTGAGTCCAGTCCTCTTCATCCTTATCCTGGCACCTCCCTCCCGGGCAAGGACCTCACTCTTCTCTCCTTTCAGCCTTTTAACCATGGACATAAGGTGGCCAAGTTCTGTTATGCAGACAAGGTGAGTGAGCCTGTGTGCCTGGTGACCCGGGGTTAGGGTTGCTGCCCCTGCTCTGCCCTGCCAGCTGCTGATATGGCGGGGGCAGGGGGCATCAGTTGCTGTGTCCTTCTTTGGCCATGGTGGGTAGGTGGGCAGGGGGTGGCTGACACTGAGGGAGTCCCTGGGTGATGTCTTTGACTGGGCCAGGCATACAAAGGTTAACTTGAGCCAAACACAAGCTGCCTCAGCCAGGGCTGAGACATTCCCAGACATGCCCATTGTGGTGGGGCAGACCTTGGACTGGGGAGGAGGTGGATTCTGGAAGGCTGAGTCAGGGCAATTGGAGACACCATTGATGGAAAGCTAGGCCAAGAATTGGCACTGGAAAGGGCCAGCAGGAGGGGCTGGGGTGGCTGGGGGTCCAGGAACTGGCATTGTGTGGCGATGAGGGCAGTTGGGGTCTGGGAGGCCAGCAGCAGAGCCGTGTCTCAGGCTCCAGTTGACCTCAAGTTTCTGGATGGTGGGTTAAGGGGCACCAGGTCCCAAGAATAAGGTAAGGTTTTGATTAGACCATGAGAGAAAGTGGAGCCAGTGTAACAGCTGCGGGACTCAGTGCCAAGGCCTCGGAGAGCTGACCAACCTGGCCGGGCCCTTCAGGCTTCAGACTGGCAGCCACTACAGGCTCTGATGGGACGCTGTTGTTGGCAGCTATGGTGGCAGGGGGCTGAGGGCCCAGGGAGACAGGCATTGTCCCCGGATGGAAGAGAGTGGCCTCCCAGGTCTCTCCTCCCTCGCTCACTCCCCAGGGCCTTTCCCGCTGCAGGTGGCAGTCCCCAACCTCTCCCTCTCCCTTTAGAGCCTGCTCAACAAAGCCATTGAGGCTGCCCTGGCTGCCCGGAAAGAGTGGGACCTGAAGCCTATTGCAGACCGGGCCCAGATCTTCCTGAAGGCGGCAGACATGCTGAGTGGGCCGCGCAGGGCTGAGATCCTCGCCAAGACCATGGTGGGACAGGTGAGGTGCTGGTGGGCCCGGGTGGGTGGGGCGGGGTGGGGTGGGAGTCAGGTGTGCCCTACCCATGGCAGCAGACATCAGCTGAAGCGCTTCTGGGTCCTAAGCCCTTTTGGGGACCCAGAGATGTCCTCAAGGGACAAGGCCTAGGAGCTGGGATGGATGATCACAGATTATTAGGCGAGACAGATTGTGCAGAGCCCATGTGTCCTGCCTCGGAAATGTCCCCTCTCCTCCATCCCTCTGTCCTCGCTCCTAGGCCTTTGTCATGCTTTGCCTGGACTGGTGGTGGCCTGCACTGTCTCCCTGCCTCCTAGCTTGGTCAGCCCCTCGCCGCCCTCAGAGTGGTCTTTCCAACACCTCCAGGATGTTACTCCTGGCTTATGACCCACCCAGACCTCTCCACCACTGAGAGGCAAGTCCCAAGACCTGAGCCCCATACCCAGGGCCCTTCTGCCCACCTCTGTCCAGCTCGCCCACTGCTCTGCATTTCCCTGCCAAGCTGTCCTGCCCATAGTGTAGCCATTTGGCACTTAGCAGGACTCCCCGGCCATGGCAGGCATCCTCTCTGCCTCTGCCCACGTGTCCTCCTGCCTGGAATGCCTGCTGTCTCTTCCGTGCTCAGTGAACTCTTACCTCCTGGTCCAGCCCAGATGTCACCCCCTCCGTGAGACTTCCTGAGCCTTCTCCAGCCGAAAGGACTATTCCTGCCTCTGTTTCCCCAGAGCATGTTGTTCCTGCATCAGTTACAGCTCAGATTGCACTGGAGTGTATTGAGTTCCTAGGTACTGCCCCTTTACAAGCTTTTTGGACATAGTAAACATGTCTTGACATTCTCGGTCTTTTTCTGGGCTTTGCATGATACCTTTCAGGAGGCATAGCAAGCCCCTGATCAATGGTTTTCTCTGCACAGAGCTGGCATGACAGCTCCTCACCCTGCTAAATGCAAGTTGAGTGAGGAGTGGCTCTAGCAGGCAGAGTGTGCGGGGGACAGGAGTCGAGGGAGAAAGGGTTATTTCACCACCTCCAGGACCTGAGCCCTACGCTGCCAACTAACCTGGGTTCCTGAAGGGTAAATTGCAGGAGCCAGAACCCAGGCTGCTTTCTGGATCAGGCATTTGCCACTGCCTGCTCCTCGGTCCCCATGGTGAGCGCCCCCTCTGCTGCACAGAGCTGGTATGACAGCCCCTCAGCCTGCTAAATGCCTTCTTAGATTGGCTCAGCAGCCCTCTGGGGTGGGCGTCAGCTCTGCGTGTTCCTGGTGAGCCGCACGTTGCTGGGAAGACAGTCTAGGATCAGTTTAGGCTTTCTCTGTATTTGGCCTAAGACTCAGGAACTTCTAGGAAGCAAGGTACACATCTTAGCTCAGCTTCATGGGCTGTGTGTCTCTAATAGGTCGTGCACCTGCCAGTGACCTTGGGTGCCAAGAGGAGGCCACGTCAATCTGGAAAAGCCCCGTTCTTGGCTGTCCACAGTTCTTTTCCCTGCAGCTCACATTTGCTGTTATTAAGAATTGACGGTTTAAGGGAATCACAGTCACTCGCCTCTTGGTTTTTGGCCCAAACTAACCAGCAAGGCCGAACATCATTCCTGGGGAAGGAGCCATCCACCTCCCACACACCGAGTCTCTCTCCTGGTTTTCCAGTGACCAATCTCCAGCTCATGCTAATCTGCCCTTCTGTCTGGAAGGCTCTGATCCTGAATTTAGTCTGAGGCTTGACCATAGATCCTTTGCCATGCACCACCATTCAGAGTTGCTATGAAATGAAGACAGTGCATGGCAAGTACCTGGCCTGCTACAGAGGATCACTAAAATTCTTCTGATCCCCGTCCAGCCCAGAGGGCCGGCTACAGGAGGTGCTAGCTCAGGGGCTTGAGAATCCTTTCCCCCTCAGCCCCTGGGATGGGACCTGGTGAGCCCTCCAAATGTTTCCTGGTCCCTCCTGGGGCCCGGCTCAGTGCTCGCTTTGGGCACAGCGTCAGATGTGAGAAGAGGATGGACAGGAGGCTGTTGGCTGCTCCTGACCCCCGGCCCTCTGCCTTGCAGGGTAAGACCGTGATCCAAGCGGAGATTGACGCTGCAGCGGAACTCATCGACTTCTTCCGGTTCAATGCCAAGTATGCGGTGGAGCTGGAGGGGCAGCAGCCCATCAGCGTGCCCCCGAGCACCAACAGCACGGTGTACCGGGGTCTGGAGGTACCTGCAGGAGGCAGTGGGCGAGCAGGCGGGGCAGCCCAATGCCATGGGCCTGATCTCACCGCTGCCTCCTTCCCCAGGGCTTCGTGGCGGCCATCTCGCCCTTTAACTTCACTGCAATCGGCGGCAACCTGGCGGGGGCACCGGCCCTGATGGTGAGATGTGGGCACAGGTGGGACAGCGGCAGCTGGTTGTCCTCCTGGTCCCAACAGACAGACAGAGGCCACCCTGAGCCCCTTGGGTCTCAGCCTAGTCATGGGGAGAGGCACAGAAGGTGGAGGCAGCTTGGGGCTGTGGGTAGGCTTTGGGACCAGAGACCCAGTTTGAATCCCAGCGTCGTGCCTCTCTGCCTGGGAGACCCTGGCAATCCCTGAACTTCTCTGAGGCACAGTTTCCTCATCTGCAAAGTGGAAATAATAGGAAAGCCTCCATGACTGGGTTGTGAGGCTCAAATGAGACACATCCAGCAGCAGGCAGGGCTGGCCCGGAGCTGGCTGAGTGTTGGTGGCTCTGTTGATGATCATTACCGCTGACCTTCAGTGCTCACCACGTGCCTGCTGCTGTCAAGCACGGCATGGAGATGATCTCATTTCATCCTCTCAGCAGCTTCGAGAGGGAGTTGTGACTCTGCCTCTTTGCCAGATGACAAAACTGAGACACACAGCCGTGACTTACTTGGCAAGACTGAGTGACTAGTAAATAAATGATGGAGCAGAGAAAGATTTGGATGTAGTCTCTCTCGGGGTTGATGGTATTCAAGTCACTCCTCTGCCATTATCGGAGTGAGGTTGGCTATTACTGGATGAAGTCCCAGGCCTGTGGGGGAGGTGCAGCCCAGCTCCCAGACAGCCTGGGTGGGAGAGGTCCACATAGTTGTCGGGAACCCCGAGCCCCAGACAGGGGCACTGGATGCTGATGCCGGAGTGTGTACTAGGGACATGGATGGGGACGTCCTCATGCATCTGTGCACAGACAAACACGGTGCATGGCCAGGCGCCCACGTGCCTGGCTGCTGCACATGCCTGACCCAGGACATGTGCTGAGAGAGCCCGTGTGTACTTGCCCCGCCGCGCCCGGTGAGCACTCAGTGACTCTAGCAGTAAGAACAGACCTGCCTAGGTGATGGCAGGACCGGTTGGTGCAGGCTTCTGGGGAAAGGGAGCCTTGGCCAGAGCGTGGGGCAGATTGGGCTGTGCCGTGGCCTCCTTGGCAGGGACTTTTGGAGATAGGGCCAGACGCCTTGGAGGAGTGGGGTCGGGTAGGGGATGTCCTGGTTGGCACAGAGTCTGGTGGTTCCAGGTGAGGGACAACCATGCTGTAGGGTAGGGTGGGGTGGGGGTTGGGGGCTGGTGGCGCCATCCTCATGCATCACTGAAACACCTCCCGGGCAGGGCAACGTGGTCCTATGGAAGCCCAGTGACACTGCCATGCTGGCCAGCTATGCTGTCTACCGCATCCTTCGGGAGGCTGGCCTGCCCCCCAACATCATCCAGTTTGTGCCAGCTGATGGGCCCCTATTTGGGGACACTGTCACCAGCTCAGAGCACCTCTGTGGCATCAACTTCACAGGCAGTGTGCCGTAAGTCCCTGGGGATGGTGTAGGCTGTGGTGGCTAGGGGACGTTCACCTGCTCACCTGCTGTCTGCCTGGGGATGGGGCTGTGAACCCAGGGGTCATGCACGGACTCTACTCCCTTACTTGCTGTGTGGCTATGAGTGAGCCACTTCACCTCTCTGAGCTTCCATTTCTTCACCTGTACAGGGAGTGATTATCCTTAATTTGCAGAGTCATTGCAAGGATTAAACATGTTAATGAACAGGAAAGAGCTTCGCAGACTGGAAGTGCACCCTACAGCTGTGGGTAATATTGATTTCAGTGCTACCTCTGCTACTGGAAAGGGCACAGGGGAGCACAGAATGAACTGGAGGAGTCAGGAAGCCTTCCTGGAGGAGGTGACATCTAAGCAGAGGAGTTGGCCAGGCAGAGGGGAAGAGGCAGGAGAAGAATATATATGTTGGGAGAGGGAATAGCACATACAATGTTGCCAAGCCAAAAACTTGTGCTCTGGGGCATGGCAGGATCCTGTGTGGCTGGAGTGTGGAGTTTGGGGGCGACAGGGCAAGAGAGTGAGGGCAGGGCATGGTTTGAGTTGAGGTAGGGGAGGCAGGCCACTACCTGATCTCGACCATCCATGCACTCACTGGCTGAGCAGGAAATTTGGAGCTCACACTAAGGCTCAGTGGTGAGCACACACCAGGGACAAGGTCCCGGCTCTCAGGCTGGAGGTGGCGGCAGGGAGTGGTTCAGTGACCATAAGATACTTAGGAGTCTGCAAAGGTGTCTGGCCTTTATCCTGAAGGTGATGGGAGCCATGGAAGGCTTCAAGCAGGGAGAGTGGCTGAGTCAGAGTTCTGTGTCAGGCAGAGATTGCAAATAATGGCCCCCAAATTGGATCTGGCAAGAGGCTCTACTTTCTTTGACTCCTAACAGTGATGGCCCAACTTTGTATAATTGGGACAATTTCATAGATAAATCCAAATATTGGCCTGTCTTGGTCCCCTGGACCTGGATGCTCTGATCTTGCATTTCCTGGTGGTACCACTGGCTGGAAGTGGGTGGGTGCCCTCTGGCTCCCTGCATACCTGATCCACGCTGTTTCCTTTCCCTGCTGGCTCCTCTGGGCCCCTGTGTTGGCACCCTCATTCTCAGTGATCTCTCTGTGACCTGATGCAGGAGACTGGCCAGGGACTGTTGACCTCCAGGGAGGGGTGGTAGGGGCTTGAACCAGGGGAGAGATGGGGGATGTGGAGAAGGGGGCAGGTTCAGGTGAGAAGGATGCAGGGAGGCACAGTGGCCATTGCCTGTCCTGGAGTTGGGGTTGGGGTGCGTGTGGGGATGAGGGGGGTTGTCAGCGAGAATGTTCAAGATGGGCACCTGGGAGGGCGAGCGGGCTCGGGGGAAGATGAATCTCCTGTTGGTCACTTCGGGTGTTATCTGGGTGGAGATGCCTGGAGGCAGCCAGACGCCCGGGTCTGCAGCTCAGGGTCCTTCTTACCTCCTCTTCCAGGCCCCAGGCTCTGCCACCCCCTTCCCCGCAGCTTTGCTGGGGGTGGGAGTGGGTGGTGGCAGCGTTAGAACTGCTGAGAAGGGCCGTTTTCCAAAAGGCCTGCTCTGCCAGCCACGGGCCCCTGGGCTCCCCGCCTATCAGCGGGCGGAGCGGGCCTGGACCCCATTCTCCACGCTCTGATGAGCAGCGGGCTTAAAGGTGGGAAGGCCATAAATTAGTATTAGCTACTGTGTCGCTGGCTCCCGGGTGATTAGCATTTTTATTGTTTTGTGGTGCTGAGGTTGGTCACACTTGGAGCCTGGGGAGGAGGCGAGGCCCTCCAGGGTGGTGGCTTCGGGCGGGGCCTGAGCTCCCTCTCCCAGGACTCTCCTCGGTTTGGCCTCTCAGGCCTGGGCGCTGGGCTTGGGGGGGATCCTTCGCAGACCACAGCGGGGTCTGTTCCCTGCCAGGTACCTGCAGTGTGCCCAGCATGTCTTAAGCACATGCCTCACACTTGAACTCATCACAAAACAACCCTGCCAGGTCAGGATTGTTCTCCCTGTTTCCCAGATGAGGTGCAGAATTCGAGGCTCAGAGAGGTTAAGTAATGAACCCAGGATCACACAGCCCTTAGTGTCCTCCTGGCTGCAGAACATGGACCTCCTCTGCAGCATCTTGCTGCCTAGCCCCCCGTTGCCCGCTCCCCGTAGTCTTGGAATGCAGCCTGTTCCCAGCCGCCATCCCCGACTTGGCTCCCACCTCCTGCTGGGCTGCCCCCGGCAATGCTCCTCCCTGGGCTTTTCCGCCCCCTTCCTCTGGCCTGGCTCCCTGAACCCCACCCTTTCTCCTGTGGTTCCAGCACCTTCAAACACCTGTGGAAGCAGGTGGCCCAGAACCTGGACCGGTTCCACACCTTCCCACGCCTGGCTGGAGGTAAGGCCTGCCTCACCTCCTCCTCCCGTGTGGCCCCAGGGACCCCTCCCCTGGCCATTATGAAAGAGGAGGGAGGTAGAGGGGATCCAGCCACAAGTCAGGTGGATGAACCATTTCAGGCACCAGCACTGCCCAGTAGAACTTTTTGTGATGAGGGATGCGTCCAGTACCTTCACTCTCCAATATGCAGCCACCAGCCACACATGGCCATGGAGCCCTTGAAGGGTGGCCTGTGCGACTGAGGAACTGCATTATCTAGTTTTCTTTCATTTTAATTAAGTTAAATCTTAGTAGCCAGTCGTGGCTGGTGGCTGCCGTGTCGGGCATTGCAGCTGTAAGCGGAGGCAAGTGCAAATGCAGAGACCAGAAGTGGGAATGAACTTGTATTTGAAGAAACAAAGCAAGGCCCATGAGTAGGGAGGGAGGAGGGCTGGTAGGAGAAGACGGGCTGAGACGTAGGCAGGGCTGGACCTTGTTGGCATATTAAAGTTTTCCCACAAAGAAACAGTTTCATGGTCAAGGAAATTTGGCATGTGTGGTGTTAAAGCAAAATGGACTCCTCCCGTGCAGAACTTCTCAGAGCCTTGAATGCTCTAATACGCATGGCACATCTTCAAGGACAAGGTCTGCCATGTAGTGTTTCCCACACGCATTGGGCCATGGAACCCCGTTTCTGCAAAGACCCCCATGGACCAAGTGTTTTGTGGAGCACATTTTGGGAATGTGCTGAGGCCTAGAGGGAGGGAGAGTTGCAGCCAGCACGTGACCAGCAGAGCTGGGACCGGTGGTCCAGCATGTTTCTCTGTGGCGTGAATTGGGGCCCACTGGGGAGTCTGGACCCTGTTCCTGGACTGGTGGGAGTTCGGATGGGGGTGTCAGGGAAGGTGAGCGCTCCTCAGGGTCAGCTGTGTGGCTTTCTGCTCTCAGAGCCTCCTTCCCTGCCTCCCTGAGGGAGAGAGGCCGCTGGTTACCACTTTCCAACCTGGAGCAGGTGACTTCATCTCTCTGTGCCTCAGTTTTCTTGGCTTGAAATTGGGGATAGTAATGGGAGGTTGTTGTGAGGCTTTGGTCAGACAAAGCACAGCGTACTTCGTCCAGAGTTGGGCAGCTGTTAAGTGCTTTCAGCTGCTGTTAGCTGCTGCTTCCCACGGAGGGAGGAAACTGAGGCCGGGAGAGTGAAGTGACCTGTCTGAAGCTCCCTCCCACTGGGGAAATGGGGGAGCGGTTTCCAGCACGCGTGGGGAGGAGGGGCCCAACCCTGGCAGCCGACATAGGGTAGGCTCCAATGTCCCTCGTGGACGAGGGCTCAGGAGAACCTCACAAAAAGCTGTGCCCACTTCTGGGAATGGCTGGCTCTCGGGGGCCTTGGGTTCTCATCTGTCCTCTGCTGTTGTGTTGGGTAGTTTCAGTTTTCCCATCAGTGTAATGGGGCTGTTGGACCTGATCACCTCTGATGCCCTTCACCCCTCCCTGGGCCTCAGTTTCCTCATCTGTGGAGTGGGAGAATGGGCCTGGCCCGTGGGTCTCTGGGATGTTGGCCAGCGCTCACTCTGAGCCTCCGCCCGCTCTGGGCTGCTCCGTGCTCGTGTTGGTCCCGGGCCATGGATGGCGTAGGTGGTGTTTTGGGCCCCTGGGCAACCGGGGGAGCCAGCTCCTCTGGTCATTTCCCCACCCCCGACCCCTGTAGAGTGCGGCGGAAAGAACTTCCACTTCGTGCACCGCTCGGCCGACGTGGAGAGCGTGGTGAGCGGGACCCTCCGCTCAGCCTTCGAGTACGGTGGCCAGAAGTGTTCCGCGTGCTCGCGTCTCTACGTGCCGCACTCGCTGTGGCCGCAGATCAAAGGGCGGCTGCTGGAGGAGCACAGTCGGATCAAAGTGGGCGACGTGAGTGGCACCGTCACCCCCGCCGCGGCCCAGCGGGGGGCTGATGGGATTGGGTCCCTGGGAGGCTCCTCTGCAGCCGGGGCTGGGGTGTGCGGGGAGGGGTCTCCCTTGGTCTCGGCCTGCAGTGACTCGTCTCTTCTGGCGCCTCCCTTGCCTCCAGCCTGCAGAGGATTTTGGGACCTTCTTCTCTGCAGTGATTGATGCCAAGGTACGGGGTGGGAAGTGGGCGTTCCTGGGTGGGGGCAAGCCCTGGAGTGGGTGGAAGAGGGAGGAAGAGATACAGGGTACCCTGACCCAGGGCATGACCCAGCCCCACTGCTTTGATCAAGGCAGCTCAGCAGCCACACACGCACCTCCAGCTTCAGAAAGGGCAGAATCAGCCGTAGCCAGACAAGAGCTCATCTTGCGGCCACCCTGGAACCAGGCTCAGCGAGCTCCTAATAGCATTTGCATGAGTGCATGTACACGTGTGTTTGTGAATGTGTTCATATAGGGCTCCGTGTGGCTCCACATGTAGGTCTTTCCATATAAACACGTACATATCCATTTGCACATAAGCACACACACGCATATGTCGATAAGTCCACCCACACGCATGTACATGGAGAAGGCATGCAGATCCCTACATGCTTAGACATGTGACCATGCATATGCCTATATATGCATTGATTGATGTGTGTCTGTGTTTATATGCGAGTGCACCTGTAGTACTAACACACGTACACTTGTGTGTGTACACACACACACACACACAGTGTTCATGTCTGTCCTTGTCTCTGCTGTGGCTCAGCCAGACCCTGGCTTTTGCCCTTGGCGTCCCCTACCCCTGCCCCTGTTTCAGGAGTTGGGCCCTTCAGGTGCAGGTGTTTCGGGGTGAGTGTGTTGTGGGGGCTGCCGCAGGGATGCCTTCCCAGCCTCTTAGACCTCCCTCCTCCCTGCCCACCCCAGTCCTTTGCCCGTATCAAGAAGTGGCTGGAGCACGCACGCTCCTCACCCAGCCTCACCATCCTGGCCGGGGGCAAGTGTGATGACTCCGTGGGCTACTTTGTGGAGCCCTGCATCGTGGAGAGCAAGGACCCTCAGGAGCCCATCATGAAGGAGGTGACTGGGGTGGGCAGCCTGGGGTCCAGAGGAGGACAATCCCACCGGAGCACAGCACACACACAGTTCTCCTGGAGACATTCTCCCATTTCACAGATGAGGCCCTAAAGGGAGACCCTAAAAGGGAATGCCTCCGACCGGGAGAGAGTAGAGCCAGGTTTTGAGCTCAGGCTGCCTAACTCCAAATCCGGGGCTGTGTCCTTGACCCTGGCTGGGGTCTGAGCATTTCCAGTGCCCTCAGCAACCACGTCCACTGCAGCCATCATAATGGCTGACACTGATAGACTTTTACTGTGGGGCCAGCTGTGGCTGAGCACTTGGCTGAGATGACGTGGGTGTTACTGTTCCCATTTTACAGATGAGAAACTGAGGTCAAGGCACTTGCCCAAGTTGGTAGTGCAGGGCTGGAGTGTGCCTGAGAAGATCTTCCCCCCAGCCCCTTGGTGGCAGAGGGAACCATGAACCCTTCTGGAGGGAATGGTATCTCTGGGCAACTCTCATGCCAGCTGCTGCTGGAAGCCTCTGGGACCTGGACCCTTAGTTCTCCGGGTGTGGGTTTGGCAGGGAGAGCCAGAAAATGTTTGCATCTTTTGCCGGCTTGTGGTGGGATGGACAGGACAGGGAGCTGGGCACGTTGCTGTCCTGGAGGGAACCCAGGAGGAGGCGACACCTGACCCTTCTTGCAGACACTGAAGTGTAAACTGAGGCCCAGGGACTGGGGAGAGGGTGAGCCAGAGCAGGGGCACTGGGAGGGCTCAGGGCCCTGGTCCCTGGTCCCGTGGAGGGTCTGACGCCGGGGCCTCTCTCCTAGGAGATCTTCGGGCCTGTACTGTCTGTGTACGTCTACCCGGATGACAAGTACAAGGAGACGCTGCAGCTGGTTGACAGCACCACCAGCTATGGCCTCACGGGGGCAGTGTTCTCCCAGGATAAGTGAGTGGCCAGGCCGCAGCCCTGGTGCTGTGCTCCGGGTGTCCTGTCCGTGTCCCCATCCCCACCTCCTGGACGTGGTTCCCAGTAATAATGCTGCCCCTACCTTCTCTCTGTCCCCTCCCCTCAGCCCAGACAGGCAGCCAGGGCTCGCCACATGGGCCCACAGCAGCAGGCTCTTTGTTGCCGGTACTGGTGGTGCCGGTGCCAGGGTGCCACTGGGGACCAGTGGATCTGAACCTCTAGGGGCAGGGCTAGGAATTGGTGTCTTCGACTGGCTCTGCGGGATCTGGTGTTGCCCCACTGAGTGAGGTGATTGTCCCATGCTACAAAGCAGGGCAGGCCAGGGGCTGCAGAGGCAGGATTCGAACCTGGGTCACATGAGGCTAAACTTGAGGCTTCGCCTCTTCTTTCCTCCGTGGCACTGGTTGCCCCCATGTCTGCCTCTATGAGAAAGTGGAGGTGAGCTTGGAGAGGGAGGAAGGGTGTGGGCCTGGGAGCTGGAGTTTCCGCTGCTCCTGAGGGACAGGAACATTGGACCAGGACAGGCCACTCCCTTCAACTTCGCAGTAGCCCTGTAACGAGGCGTGCCAAGCCCCTCCCCAGAGGAGGAAGCTGGGCTCAGAGACTGGGTAACCTGACCGAAGGCCCACAGCCAACAGCTGGCAGCATCCCTCATCCCTGACTCGGCCTCCTGTTGAACCTGGAAAGCCAGTGTGGGCTGGAGCAGGGGTGTTGAGGCTGGAGCTGGGGCTGGAGGGGAGATGAGCTGGTTGCTCTGTCACCACTGCTCTGCTTTGTAGGGACGTCGTGCAGGAGGCCACAAAGGTGCTGAGGAATGCTGCCGGCAACTTCTACATCAACGACAAGTCCACTGGCTCGATAGTGGGCCAGCAGCCCTTTGGGGGGGCCCGAGCCTCTGGTGAGTGGGTCCCCCTTCCCACAGGGGAGCTGAGTTCCTGGTGGGAGACCCTAGATGTTACGTCTCGAGGGGCTTCAGAGTAATAGGAAGGATACCATTTACTGAGCACTTATTGTGGGCCAAGCAAGTGCACTAGCTCAGGGTCCTTTCAGCAAACTCGTGAGCAAAGGGACTATTCTTCCCATTTTACAGAGGAGGAAACTGAGGCTCAAGGCCACATGACCCTGGTGGGATTGTAATTTTGGCTCCAGCAGCCGCACTTTCTGCACCATAGCCAGTGTCCCTTAAGTCCAACAACCTCTACTTCACAATGGGGAACTGAGGCTCAGGAGGAGCAATGGCTTGCCAAAGGTGACTGCTCCTGAGTGGCAGAGCCAGGGCTGAACCCAGGCGTGCTGGGGTTTCCCACACCGACCAGTTCTCCAGCTCTTGATGGATGCTGGCTGGGTGTCCTACAGTTTAACTTGATGCTCACTGCCTGGGGTTAGTGCAGACCCCACAGGTTAAGAACTCAGTCCCGTAAGACTGACCCCCCAACTTCAGATGCCAATCACAAGTACTGGGACCCCAGGTTACCCACACCTTGTCTGACTTTGCGACGCATTAGAAGCTCCCATGATGCCCTCTTGAGTTTTGATACGTTGTTAGAACAGCTCACGGAACCGAGGGGAAGCGTGCTTACTATTACCCATGTATTGCAGAGGGTATTTTAAAGGATACAGATGAACAGCCAGATGCGCAGACACATAGGGCAAAGACTGGAAGGGTCCCCGGCAGGGGCACCGCCGTCCCCCTGGAGTTCGGGCTGTGCCACCCCCTTGGCATGTGGACGTGTTCACCAATCTGGAAGCTCTCCCGACCCTGTCCTTTTAGGTTTTTATGGAGGCTGCATTACACAGGCACGATTGATTCAATCATTGGCCATTGGGGTCGACTCAACCTCCAGCCCCTCTGCCCTCCCTGGGGCTGAAGGTTCCAAGCCTCTAATCACAGGGTTGGTTCCTTTGCCAATCAGTGCCATCCTGCAAGAGCCCTCATTAGCATAAACTCATGTGTGATTAGAAGGGGCTTGTTATGAATAACGGAAGACACTCCTTTCACCCCCATCACTCTGGAAATTCCAAGAGCTTTAGGAATTCTGGCTAGGAACCAGGGGTGAAGGCTAGATATGTACCTCTTATGGCACCCCAGGACCATGCCAAGTCCCTGCCTCTCAGTCTAGTGTTCTCTCCACGCCACACCCTGCCTCTTAGACATCCTCGCATCCCAGCAAGGATGCAAGGCTGGGTGCGACTGGAGAGAACAATGGAGGCTCCCCACAGACTGGAGACTGGAGGCAGGGTCTCCTGTCCATCCCTCTGGCTCTTCTGCATGCCCCAAGCTTGGCAGCAGGCTCGCTGCTGGCCGCTACACTGCTGGTCCGTTGATTCCATCATCTCCTCCCTTCCCCTTCTGCCCAGGCTGTTGCATCTTTTCAGAGAAAAACAGAAGTGTCTTTTCCGCAGGAACCAATGACAAGCCAGGGGGCCCACACTACATCCTGCGCTGGACGTCGCCGCAGGTCATCAAGGAGACACATAAGCCCCTGGGGGACTGGAGCTACGCGTACATGCAGTGAGCCCCTCTCGGGCTCCACCGTCCAGCTGTCTGTCCGTCCAGGTGGCCGACCTCACTGCACAGACCCCACTCCAGCCCCTCCACCCCTTCTTCATGCACAGCTGCCTTTCTATAATCCGGGCTTGACTCCCTTCTTACCACTGTATTCTGGCCTCTCCCATGCCTCAGGCTCTGGTTTGAGATCGTGCTGGGGAGGAACATGGCCACTACCCCTTATCCCATCGGCCATGTGGGAGGTATGACCCTGGTGCCTGGCAGGTTCTCCCTCTGCCCTCCACTGGGCCCAGTGGCTCAGGGACCTGGGGAAAGGAGATGGAGCAGCTCTTGGGATCCTTTGGGGAAAAGGAGGCCATTCTGGGCCCCTTGGCAAACCTCACCACTCACAGAGGCTCCTGGCCTTGATCCCTGCCCCTCCAGGTGTCCAGGGTAAAGTGTAACTCAGACTGACCTGTGGGGCACAGGGGGCACCAGCTGGCCTTGCCCTCTCTGGTCTGGGCTGTCTACCTTCCTCACTGTATCTTTGCCCAGACCCACCTGGGCCAGTAGGCCCCTGTCCCCAGCCACACACCTTAGATGCTGGCATGCCTTACTCCAGGTGCCTGTGTTTGGCCGAGGCCTGTGTGATTCCCGGTCTGCACCACATGGCGGGGTTGGGGGGCCGCTGGAGGCCACCTGCCAAGGCGTGGGATGGGATGGTCCTGCCGGTTTAGGCCGTGATTCTGGAAAACCTTGGATGGGCCTTCGTCCTATGTCAGCCTTCCCTTTGATCCTCAGGCCCTACCTGTAGAGACCTCCACTCCTAGAGCCAGTCTCAGGGTCTGGGATTTCCCTGCAGGAGCTCAGCCACCACTGTGCCATGGTGACACAGGCCAAGGCAGACATTGGCCCTCCCTTCTCCCAGCCCCCAGAGGCCTGGCCTTGGGTTCGTCAGCATGGGCCGAGGACGTTGCCTGTAGAATCCTCCTCTGCCTGGGAGTGGCTCTGTGTGGACCAGTCCCTCACTGGCCCATTCTTTTTTTGACGCAGCCAATCTGTGACCACGATTCCTCCCACAGATGCCTCCTGCTTGGATTCTGAGTGGTCAGAGATCTGTAAAGCATGACTTTCAAGGATGGTTCTTAGGGGACTGTGAAAGTGTTGGGTCTTCCTCCAGGATGCCTGCATGGGACCCCACCCGGAGCTGGTGTGGCCATTCCCCAAGTGCCACTGGCCCATGGATGGGGGTGGGTGCTGGTGCCAGCTGGGCTGGGTGTGGGTTCTGTGTCCTTCCAGGATATGTGTCATTTCCCATGAGGGGCCGGGGCAGGTGGCTGGGTGGGGGCACAGGCTGGAGTATTCTTAGTTCTACTGGTTCTACACTGTGAGGTGGCAATGGGATTTGCTCAGATGCCACCCAATAAAATGCCTGTTACTTAATCACAGTGGTGGATGGTCTTTCTGGAGGGGATGGTGGGGGCAGCCAACATCTTTTAAGTCTGGTGTCATTGCCAATGTGTCACCTGGTCATGGGCACAGTGCTCTCAGTGTGACAGAAGGAACAGTAGGTGCTGATGTTTGAAATTGTCTGTTGGAGGCGGTGGGGCTGGGTTCACATCCTGGCTCACTGCCCCCCCGCCAGCCAGATGATTGCCACAAAGTTATGCAACCTCTCTGACCTTCCATCTCTTCATCCATAAGATGGGGTAACCGCCCCCTCTCCCCGCCATGGGTCATCATGAGAATTGAATGAGTTAACACTTCCACATGCTTAGAATAGTGCCAGACACATGATGATTCAAAAATATTACCCATAAGGCCGGGTGCGGTGGCTCACGCCCGTAACCCCAGCACTTTGGGAGGCCGAGATAGGCGGATCACTTGAAGCCTGGAGTTTGAGACCTGGCTGGCCAACATGGTGAAACCCCATCTCTACTAAAAATAAAAAAATTAACCAGGCATGGCAGCATGCACCTGTAATCCCAGCTACTTGGGGAGGCTGAGACAGGAGAATCTCTTGAACCTGGAAAGCAGAGGTTGCAGTGAGCTGAGATCACGCCACTGTACTCCAGCCTGGGTGACAAAGTGAGACTCTGCCTCAAAAAAAAAAAAAAAAAATACCCGTTACCCATTTTCGTTGTAAGAACCACTATCCTGTGTGGTGATGGTTAATTTTATGTGTCACTTTGGCTGGGCATGGTGCCCAGGTATTTGGTCAAACATTCTGGGTGTTTCTGTGAAGGTGTATTTGGATGAGATTAACATTTAAATCAGTGGAGTTTTAAAAGTAAAAAGCAAGGCAGGTGACCGTTCATCCTGTGGGTGGGCGTGGTCTAATCAGCTGAAGGTCTTCATAAAGTGAAGAATGAGCTCTCCACGCGGGAAGGAATTCTGCCAGCAGATTCCCCTTGCACTGAATCGCTGCAGCTCTTCCTTGGGCCTCCAGCCTGCTGGGCTGCCATGCAGATTTTGGACTTAGTAAGCCTCCATAATCACATGAGCAAATTCTTAAAACCTCTCTCTTGCTCCTGTTCTGTGTCTCTGGAGGATCCTGATGAATATGTGTGCTGAAGGCCCAGTATGTTTCCTTACAACAGCCTTTGGAAGGAATTCTGCCACCCTCCCATTTTGGAGAGAAGGAAATTTAGGTACAGAGGTCAGGGGCCTTCCTGGGGGTATGGTATTGCTGAGACGTAAACCCTGGTCTGTTGGGGAAGGATTCGTTCCTGGTACAGCCACAAGAAGGCACATATGACTGCTGTCTTGGAAAGACACGCTCAGCTGGCCAAACGATGACTGAGAGGAGCCACTGCAGCCAGTTAGCTTGAGCCCAGGTCTGTGGGCCCTAGCCCATGCAGGCCAGGTGACTTGTGGAGGGGTGGAAACATGTGACCTGGCCTGTTCCCACCTGCCCATGATGTAAAAGGGGCTGTTTTGTAAACCACACTGACACCTCCAGGGACAATAGGCAATACCCAGAGTGCCCCAGGCTGGAGCACAGAAGGGAAGGGTGGCAACTGCATTTATAGTCGTGGGACCAGCAGGCTGTGGATGTGTTTGAACCATTGGTGTGACTTGCTTAAGATCACACTGAGACAGAGTTGGCTAATTACTAAATGCTTTACCTACCTGGTCACTTAGAGCCTTGGCAGTGACCTTACCAGGTAACTGTGGCAGGACCCACAGAGGTCAGAGGTGGGATAACTAGCTCAAGCTCACGCAGCTGGTTAGGAGGAAGGCTCGGGCTTGCACCCGGGTCTGCAGCTGCCCACGGCCCACGCTCTTCGCCACCTGCTCCATTGGGCTCCTGACTTCCAAGCTCCTCCTCTCCTAATATTATTTTATCCAACCTTCCTCAACCTGTCACCTTTGCCTCCTTTTGGACTAGGGGTGACTCAAAGCTGTTGCTTACCCTGTTCTCTCTCCTCTACCTCGTCCCCTAGACTTGGGGCTGGTGGCTCTTGAGGGCCCAGTGCCTGCTCGGGGACCTGAGGCCTCTTTGCATGGTCACCACAATAAGTCCCTGTGTCTGCGGTGGCCCAAGGAGCCCCTTCATTTCCCTGCTGTGGCCAGGGCCAGGGCTTGGAGCGTGAACCATTTGACTGAGGCCGGATGTCCCTGCCACCACTGTCCCACGGGCCGCCAGTGGAGCATGCCCTCTAAGGAAATGAGGGGCCACCTGTGCTGGCTGCAGGCCACCAGGCTGACCCAGAGCTCCTGGCGGGGGGAGTCAGGGGAAGTGGCAGGAGGCAGACCCACCCTCTCCAGAGAGTCTTCATTTTCACTAGTTCGTCCCCGACCCATTCATCGTCTTACTTCCTGGGTGTTCTGTTTAGGGGCCAGATTAGTAAATAACAAGAGCCACCATTGTTTGAATGCAGGCTGTGTGCCAGGCATTGGGCTAAATGCTTCGGGCATCATGGCCTCGGATCCTCATGGAAGTCTCATAAAGTAGGTGCTGTTACTCCCATTTTACAAAGGAGGAAACTGACACCAATGGGTTAAGTAACTAACATGCCAGTAGGAAATGAACAAACTGGGTTTTAGTCCCACACCTCTGACTCCCAAGCCCCTGGCCATAACCACCACTGCACAGTGCCCTGGAGCTGGACAGGCGCTGGGCTCAGATCCCAACCTTAGCGTCTTGTTCCTGTGCCTTGACCTCCCAGCTTCAGACTCCTCCAGGAGCTGAGGACCAAATGAAATATTTAAAAACAAAACGCTGCATCCCATGGCCTGCCAGGGTGAGGTGCCCAATCAATGTGAACTTTTAATTTTCAACCTCAACACTTCTTCATCCTAGATATGTGTGTTCCCCAGGAAAGAGGAGAAGCCAGATTTAAATGAGCACCTATCAATAGGCCAATCGTTCCTACAAATTCTCTTGGACCACACCGGCCTGTGAGATAGTATTTTAGCACCATTTCACAGATGAGGACTGAGGCTTAAAGAGGTGAAGAGAGACCTGCTTAGTAAGGGACGGGGGCAAGAGAAGAACTTGTTTCTGATGAACATACCAGCAACCCCTTGTCATTGTCCCTCACAGGAATCCATCCTTCCGGGTGTTCTGTGCATGGGTGGGAGGAGGCACTGCTGCTGTCATGGCTCTGAACACAACCAGCCAGCCTTGTCCTGTGTCCGGGGGGCTGCCAGCCCCCCTGGATGACGGAGCAGGTACCACATGCCCCTCAGGCACCCAAGGTAAAGCAGAAGGCTGTTCCAGGCCTCTGCCATGCTTTCCCTCAGCCCTATGTGCCCAGGCAGTTGCCCTCATCCCCGAAGCATCTGGTCCATAGAGGTTGGAGGGAGCTGACGTTCAGTTGGGCACCTGCTCCAGGATGTGCATCGGGGCAGGCGTCGCTGGAGGGAGAGTGAGCCTCAGCGAGGGAAATGCCCGGAAGAGGCCACACAGCAAGTGGCAGAGCCAGAATTGGAACCCCAGTGAGTCAGATTAGAGTGTTAGTCGACAGCCATAGAGTCACAGACCCCAGCCTTTTACTAGGGCTAAAATTGAGGGTCCCGGCCAGGCGTGCTGGCTCACGCCTGTAACCCCAGCACTTTGGGAAGCTGAGGCGGGAGGATCACTTGAGGTCGAGAGTTCGAGACCAGCCTGGCCAACACGGTGAAACCCCGTGTCTACTAAAAATACAAAAATTAACCGGATGTGGTGGTGAGCACCTGTAATCCCAGCTACACAGGAGGCTGAGGCAGGAGAATCTCTTGAACCCGGGAGACAGAGGTTGCAGTGATCTGAGATTGTGCCATTGCACTCCAGCCGGGGTGACAGAGTAAGACTCCGTCTCAAAAATAAAAATTAAAAAAAATTGAGGGTCCCTTGCCAGTACCATGCCAGGCACAAAGCCATCGGCACTGGAGGGCATCATTTATTGGTGATCATTTACTAAGCAGGTGCTTGATATATTAACCTCATTTAATCACCATTTGAGGGTGCCTGTGGCCGTTTTACAGGTGGGGAAGCTTCGAGGAGTCAAAGCCTGCTTGTTGTCCCCTGTCCCTTGGGCCAGGCTGGGGCCTCAGGAGCCCCACAGAACAGGACCACTCCCTTGTCCTCATCCCAGCCCTTTATTTTCCATCAAGAGCTCCCTGAGCCTCTTCCTTCCCAGGCTGAACATCTTTTATTCCTTCAGCTACTCTCTGTGGGATGTAGTTTCTGGATCTTTGTCTACCTAGTGAGCTGCTCTGGTGATGCCAGGGAGTAGAGTCTGGAATCATCCTGAACTGGGATCCAGGCTGTGTGACATTGGCTGAATCACATCCCCTCTCTGGGCCTCAGTCTACTCTGCTGTCAAATGGGGACATAATGTTGATAGTACTCATCCCTTACAATTGTTAGGAGGACTGAATGGTCTGAAATGTGAAAACAGATTTTGTGCTGGGCCTGGTGGCCAGGAACAGGTCAGTCAACATGAGCCAGTACTGTTAAGGTCATGCACCCGTGTGAGGTCTGATCACAACATCACACGGCAGGACGATCACCTCTCTTGTTCTGGACAATCTGCTCCTTTGGCTATAACCTTAAATTTCACTTGGCTTACACGAATACAGTGGAAAGATTAAGAACTCTGGAGTGCAATGAAAGTGGATTCAGGCCGGGCGCGGTGGTTCTTGCCGTAATCCCAGTGCTTTGGGAGGCCGAGGAGGGAGATCACTTGAGGACAGGAATTTCAGACCAGCCTGGGCAACGTAGTGAGACCCGACTTCTACCAAAAAAAAAAAAAAAAAAAAAGAGAAGTTTAAAAATTAGCCAGGAATGCTGGCATGTGACTGTGCTCCCAGCTACTTGAGAGGCTGAGGCAAGAGATCTCTTGAGCCCGGAAGGTTGAAGCTACAGTGAGCCATGATCACGCCACTGCACTCCAGCTTGGGCAACAGAGCAAGAGAGCAAGATCTTTCTCTTAAAAAAAAAAAAGTCAATTCCCAGGGACTTTGGACAAGCCACTTAACCTCCTGAGCCCTGGTTTCTTCATCTGTACAATGGTGATACAAAATCCTTCACGGAGTTCTGGAGAGCAGATGCGGTGATGTTTGAAAGCATTGCAGAGGCTCCATAAAAGCTGCTTCCTTTCCTTTAGGCTTTAGTCATTATTACCCTTTTGGCTCTTATTGAGCTTGTGGTCATTTGAGACCTCCAGCTCTTTTTCTGGTTGAGAGGCAAACTGCTCACCGTCACTCAGCAAAGTTTGGTGAGGAGGCTTGAGTGGATCCCTGGGTGCGAAAGAGTATCCCAACCACAGCAGAGTCCCTTCCTGAGGTCTTAGCCGATCCCTGGCTTCCCAACTTTAGGAGCCCACACCACTCCACTCCTTGGACTTCTTGTTTCAGAGGGGTCGGATGAGGAGTGCCGATGAGGCTGGGCCCTCTGAGAACTGGCTTTGAGGCCTTCCCAGCAACCCTCCTCCGAGGTGCTTCTGAACCAAGTGGGTTGGCTTAGGAACTGCCCATCTCCCAGAACTTTCTTGGGGTGGCCCTGCATGCCCACCCTCTCCCCATCATAAGCCAGACTGGAGGTGGGTTTCTAGCGGCCCAGTTTTGTCCTGGAGTATGGAGTGCTGGTGAGAAAGAGGGAGAGAGAATGGTGGGTGGGGAAGGAGGAGACAGGAGTGAATGGAGAGATATGCAAGTAGAGAGACAGAGACAGATCAGAGGGTGGGGCAGGGGCAGCAGCTGATGTATCCCCCAGTCCCTAGGGTCAGGATCCTCTTGGGGGCTCCCCCTGTGCCCCATCCTCCATCCAACCGCAGGGCAGGGGGAGGAAGGACGTTCAGGGCAGTCCCTTCCAGCCGACATGCCCATTTCCTTTCCCTGCACCTCAGGGGAAGCAGATGCCAAGGCAAATGGGCAGCTCCTGGCTGGCTGTTTCCATGGCTCACCCCTCTCTCCTTCCCCCGTGGACTTTGCATAAGTCTGTCATGGCTGTTGGTCACCTTGGCAGCCACACAGGTATGAGCATGGGGACGGCAGGCCCTGGACCAGGCGGTGAGGGTGATGGCTGGGGCTGGCCTGCGCTGTGTCCAGCCACGCGGGGGCATGTGCTGTGTGTGTGGCACTGAAGGAGAATCCCAGTGACATTCCCAGGCATTCCCATAGCATTCCCAGGCATCTGTCCTCAGGGAAGCCAGTGCTCTGGATGGTGTCCGCTTGCCCCTCCTAGATAAACGTCAGGGCCTGAGGGGACCTTGCAGATCATCTCAGTCCAGAGTTCTCAGATGAGCCTCAAGGGCTGGCAATGCCCTGGATGTGGGTGCATGGCTGCATTTGTTGGGGGCGTGTTGGCATGCAGGGCTGTCGTCAGAATCTCAAAAGGATGCTCATCTCAAAACCATTAAGAAGCACTGAGTCCATTTTACAGATGGGAGGATGAGGCCCAGAGAATGGAAGTGACTTGTTCAAGGGCAGCATCGCAAGTTGGGGCAGAGCTGGACCAGGATTTTGGCTCTCTGTCCAGTGTGCCTTCAGATTTCGGTCTTCAGGGACATCATCTATCCATACTGGCAGCCCACTCTAAAAAAAGCTCTCCCTGTCAATGGGACCCCCATTATTTCTTCCTCGTTGGAGCCCCTGCATCTCTACCACTCCCATTAGCCCCCATTAGGGTGCTGGGTTGTTCCAATCCACATACTTGCTATGTGCTTTTGAATAAGTTACTGGTCCTCGCTGAACCTCAATTTCCTCTTCTGCAAAATGAGGACATAGTAGCACCTTAAAAGGTAGAATAGGCCAGGCGCAGTGGCTCACTCCTGTATTCCCAGCACTTTGAGAGGCCAAGGTGTGTGGATCACCTGAGGTCAGGAGTTTGAGACCAGCCTGACCAATATGGCGAAACCCCATCTCTCCTAAAAATACAAAAATCAGCCAGACATGGTGGCACATGCCTGTAATCCCAGCTACCCGGGAGGTTGAGGCATGGAAATCGCTTGAACCGGGAGGTGGGGGTTGCAGTGAGCCGAGATCGCGTCACTGCACTCCAGCCTGGGTGTCAGAGCAAGACTCCATCTCAAAAAAAAAAAAAAAAAAGAGGTAGAATAAAACAGAATGGCGGAGCATAACAAGGGCTCAGCGCAGCACCTGGTGGAGAGTGAGCACTCAAATCACGTTAACAACATAAATCACTCGTGCTCACTATCACCATCATTGTCCCATGTTTCAAGGCACAGACCCTGCCTTCCCCAAGGAGCTCTTGGCTGGTCGGTGCCTTCCTTCCTCTTTACTCTATCCCGGTGGCATCACACACCGTCCTGATGTACTTTTGATTGACTTTATTAGAGCAGAGGTCTCAAATCCCAGCCTTAGCCCCTTGTTCCTGAAAGAAATCTGCCTTTCTGGACTTGGTCCAGAAAGAACTTGGTCCTGAAAGTCAATATGCCTTTCTGGACTTGGGTGACTGCCCCTTTCCAGGCCTCAGTTTCCCTATCTGTATACTGGGTGGGTTTGTGGGTCTCCGTAGGCTCTCTCAGCTCTGACACAGTACATCACACTGCGGATGGGCCTGGTTCCCCGGTGTCTTCCAGTGTGCACTGCCCTCACCCGGGCCCTGGTTTCTGTCTCCGGATGGTAAACCCTGTCACACAGTGGGCTCAGCTGGTGCCCACTGGATAAACAGCTTGCTTAACCATTCTTGTTTTCTACCACCCTCCCCGTCCCAAACCCTGAGACTGGGGCTTTGGGCCGACTGACATGGAGGCAGATGAAGACAGTGCAAAGAGGGCAAAGAGGGCCTCCCCACTCTATAGATGAGGAAACTGAGACCCAGAGAAGGGAGAGTCAGGCCCAGAGCCCACACGTCCCAACACCCCACGCAAGGTGCTTCCTTTTGTTTTATGAGTCCCCACCTCCCATCCAGTGGTTTACCCAAAGAGGGGCAGGGACAGGCCCTGATCACACAGCCAATTCTGCCTCTTCCTGCAGCACCAGGAGGCCTCCCCATCTTGACTTAAAGGCCCACAGGATGGCCCTGCCCCAGGGGTGGTCAGGGGCAGGGAGGGGCGTGCCCTGAGATCAGGGCTACATCCTGGGCTTCCCAGTTAACTTAGATGCTCTCTCTCTCTCTCTGGCATACCCCCACCCCTAAGCTTTGCCAAATAATGTGCCTTTTCTAGAAGTCTTCAGGACATCCCAGTGCCTCCTGGCCTCTTTATTCCCCAATTCAGAACTGACATGTGCAGTCATATGTGCCTTCTTGTGGCTGTACCAGGAACGAATCCTTCCCCAACAGCTGGGGTGGGACCTGAGTTGAGGGAGGGCAGGGCCATCCCAGAACCCCCATGGCAGGAGGTGCAGTGACAGCTTCTGTAGGCAGAACACACTTAGCACAGGGGCTAAGAGCTTGGGCAGCGTGGATTTACATTCTGGCTTCACCACCTAGTAGCTTTGTGACTTCTGGAAAGTTGCTTAGCCTCTTTGAGCCTCAGTTTCCTCATCTTCAAAATGGTAGTAAAAATGGCTACTTTGAAGGGGAGTTGTAAGAATTAAATGATAATGTATATAAAATGCTTGGCACAATGCCTGGTGTTTAATAGACTCTGGGTGGATTTAATACACACCAGGCGTGGTGATTTACACCTGTCATCCCAGCACTTTAGCAGGCAGAGGAGGGAGAACCTCTTGAGGCCAGGAGTTCATGACCATTCTGGGCAACATAAAGAGACTCCATCTCTACAAAAAATTAAAAAAACTTAGCTGGGTGTGGTGGCACGTGCCTGTAGCCCTAGCTACTCAGGAGGCTGAGGTGGGAGGATCACTTGAGCCCAGAAGGTCAAGACTGCAGTGAGTTTTCATCATGCCACTGCACTCCAGCCTGGGTGACAGAGTGAGACCCTGTCTCTAAAAAACAGAAACAATACATCACACTCTGGGAAAGGCGCTATTTGTTGTTACAACCCACTCATAAACCCCTAGGTATTTGGCAGGGCGGGCGTCTATGGTCTCGGAGGCCCCTAGAATGCCACCCCAGGAAGATCCTCCAGGGACCCAGACCCAAGGAGGCCAGTGTGGCTGTGGTTTGTGGCACGTGGTGCAGGAGAGACCAGGCTGGAAAGGCCAGGAAAGGGAGGATGAGTGAGCTGGGGCTGGGCTGGGGAGGCCTCAAATGCCAGGACAAGGAGCTCAGACTTGATCCAGCTGGTGACGGGGAGCCCCGGCGGGTATTAGAGCAGAGGAGTGATTAGCTGACAGCTGTGGTTTGGGGTTTTAAACAGTCAGTGTGGGGCAGATGGAGAGGTGCAGAAAGGGGGTGATGAGGGTCTGCGGGGGTTGTGGCGTGGAAAGTGGGAGGGCATGGAGAGAACCCATGGGGCAGTGGTGACGGGTCAGTGCTGGGGTTTTGGGCCAGCTGACATGGAGGCAGACACGGGCAGTGCAAAGAGGGGCTCCCCACTGTACAGATGAGGGGACTGAGACCCAGAGAGAGGAGAGTCAGGCCCAGAACCCACACCTCCAAACACCCCTTGCAGGGCGCTTCCTTTTATTTTATGAGTCCCCACCTCCAATCCACTGGTTTACACAGGCCCAGAGAGGGGCAGGGACAAGCCCAGATCACACAGCCAATTCTGCCTCTTCCTGCAGCACCAGGAGGCCTCCCCTTGTTGGCTTACAGGCCCACGGGATGACCCCGTCCCAGGAGAGGTCAGGGGCAGGGGAGGAGGCGCCACTTCGGCTCTGCAGTAGCTAAAGACATCCAACATCCTTCAGGGTAACTTCGAGAGGCTTTGGGACACAAAGGGGCAATTTCAGCTGGTCATGGAGCCCACGGTGCCCCCTGCGGCAGTTGATTTCGTTGTAAAAAGAAACAACCTCGCACTTTGGCAAACTCACCTTTCTCCAAGCCTGCTCCACACCCCCCAGTTTTATTTAACTTAATTCCCACACCAAGTCCATGAGGCTGAAATTGTTATCCTTGTTTCAACGGGGAAGAAACAGAGCCTCAGAGAGATTAAGGAACCTGCCCATGCTCATCCAGCAAACAGCTGATGTCAAATCCAGGTGGGTCCACGTCACGTGGTTTCAAGGGTCCTCAAGTAGAGTGGACACACGCAGCAGGATCCGGTTAACGGTGTAAGGCTGGTAGCCAGTGCCCAGCGATGACGCAGACAGGAGGCTTGTTGCTGCTCAGAGCCGGGGAGGTTCCCTTGAACTGGGGGCAGGAGTGGTTCCTAGGAGGAGGAGAAGCTCAGACTGGGCCCTGAAGGAGGAGCAGGGCTTGGCTGGGGTGGGGCAGGAGAGAGCATGTTTTTATTTGTTTTTATTTTTTATTTTTTGAGATGGAGTCTCACTCTGTAGCCCAAGCTGGAGTGCAGTGGCATGACCTCAGCTCACTGCAACCTCTGCCTCCTAGGCTCAAGCGATTCTCGATTCTTGTGCCTCAGCCTCTCGAGTAGCTGGGATTACAGTGTGTGCCACCATACCCAGCTAATTTTTTGTATTTTTAGTAGAGACCGGGTTTCACCACGTTGCCCAAGGTGGTCTCAAACTCTTGAGCTCAGATGATCTTCCTGTCTCGGCCTCCCAAAGTGCTGGGATTACAGGCGTAAGCCACCGTGCCCAGCCGATCATGGGGTTTTTGATCACCTTTTTCTACCTTGAAGCCTCTGCCCATCAGAACCATGGAGCGCAGCAGCCGGGTATGTGCCTGTGACAGACCCATTCCAGCCATGTGGTGTGTGGCAGGTTCCCTAGGGCTCGGCCACATGTTGGTAGGCCTGGAAAGGAGCAAAACAGCACTAAATGGACAGGGGTCTCTGATTCAAATGGGTCCCTAATTCACTGGAGCCACCTCCCCGCTTCTGACTCCTTGGGCGTATTCACCTTTGAATTTAGGAATTTTCAACTTTCTGTTTTGCCAACAACCCTGCCCTTTGGTGTGGGGTCCAAGGGGTCGGGGACCCAGAGTGGGTGTTGCTAGGCTGACTGATGGCAGCCTTCAGAGGGAGTGAGACCACCCCTCCCTTCCCTCCTTCCCCCACCCTCTTTGACACCGCTGGGTTTTTTTTTTTTTTTTTTTTTTATCAAAAGCACTAATTTTGTGATGTAATGTGATGTAGCGATGAAGGACCCAGCCCCGGAGTCAGACCATGTGGTTTGAATCTCAGCTCTGCTAGTCAGGAAGCCTGGGCTGGATTTCTTAATTTCTCAGTGCCTCCATTTCTTCATCTTTGAAATGGGGTTAGTAATAGTCCCGGTTACTGCAACCATTATATGAGATGATGAACCGCGACACCAGCATGATGCCTGGTTCTTATTGACAATGGCTACCACTTTCTCCACACCTATACATCACTACATGCCTGGCCTAACTTGGCTGGACTCCAGAGCTTGGGCTCTTTTGGCCACAGTACTCTGTTTCCTGACAGCACTTATGTCCTTTACTCCTGAAATATTTGAAATGTCAGGAAGATGAGACTTGTCCTTGGACAAGTGGCAGAAGGCCAGGGCATGGCCAAGTTATCAGGATGCTCTCTCTTTCCAAATAGGGTTCCCCTAGACCACCTAGCCCCTCTATGCTCTAAGAAAGAATCATCATAATTCCACCCTCCTTTCCTCCCTCTGGGCCCCCAAACCTCTCCACCTGCTCCAGGTGCCCCACAGTCGGTGGCAGGACCATCGCTATGTAAATGTCTGTGCAAATACCCTGGTGTCAAGCTGCCAATTCTCCAGTGAGGCAGGACTACCTCCTGAGACCATCACTTCCCAGCCATGGGGCCCAGGGCAAAGACCATCTCCTCCCTGTTCTTCCTCCTATGGGTCCTGGCTGAGCCGGCTGAGAACTCGGACTTCTACCTGCCTGGGGATTACCTCCTGGGTGGCCTCTTCTCCCTCCATGCCAACATGAAGGGCATTGTTCACCTTAACTTCCTGCAGGTGCCCATGTGCAAGGAGTGAGTCTCCAGTGTGGGGCTGGAAGTGGCAGTGGGGATGGGGTGGGAGGCCAGGCCTGGTCCTGTGGGTCCTTGGGAGCCAGACCAGGACCAAGGGCTTAAAGCACTCCTCCCCATTCATTGCCAACCCCCTTATTCTGGATCCATGCCCCTAGTCCTCAGGGAGGCCCCGTATAATATGGGTTACCAAAATCTTTGGCGACTGTGCTCTGAAACACTGAGACTGGGGTCATCTCAGTGCCATTTTTTTTAAATAGAGTTACAGAATGTTTGAGCCTAGAGGGCTCTTAGAGGCCATCAAGACTGCTCCCACCCACTTTGGCAACTGGGGGACTCCCAATGGGTCCATGTCAAAGCCCATTCTGAAAACCTTTGGGAGGCAGAATGTGATTTTTCTGTAGCAGGTTCTGTGGTGGGTAGGGGTGCTTTTGGGCCGAGAGGGAAGTTCCTCTTCCCCCACCTCCTCCCTGAGCCCCTTGGGGTGGCAGCATCACTTGGAGATTGTGGGGGCTGTGTGCATCTGCATGCAAGCACGAAGGACATGGAGCCAGCCTGGGACTAAAAAAGAGTGACCTCTTGCAGAGAGGGTGAAGGTATTGCGGGAGACAAGGAGAAAGGAAGAACAGTGCAAAAGATGATTAAGGGTTGAGTATGAGAAATGCATCATTTATGACACTGGGGAAGATTATATGCTGGCTTGAGAATGGTGAAGGTGATGGCACCAGGCATGATGCTGGGTTTTCTAATGCTTGTGATCATGGTGGGGTGTATAATGATGGTGATAGTTGTGATGAAAGTAATGGTGGTGATGCTGATAATGTTGATAACAGTAATACTGGTGATGATGACAATGATAAAAAGTATGATGGTGATGATGATGATGATAGTGGTAATGGTGGTGATGATGGTGATGGTAGTGATGATGATGGCAGTGGTGGTAATAGTGTTGGCAGTGATGGTGCTGGTAGTGATAATGGTGATGGTTGCGTTGATGATGGTGATGGTTTTAACGATAGTGTTGGTGATGATGGTGATGGTAGTGATGATGGTGTTGGTGGTGATGATAGTGATGCTGAAGATGGTGCTGATGGTGGTGATGGTGTTGGTGATGATGGCGATGGTAGTGATGCTGGTGATGGTGTTAGTGATGGTGTTGGTGATGGTGGTGATCGTAGTGATGCTGATGATGGTGCTGATGGTGTTAGTGATGACGTTGGTGATGGTAGTGATGATGGTGATGGGGGTGGTGATGATGGTGATGCTGATAATGATGGTGCTGATGATGGTGATGGTGGTGAGGGTGTTACTGATGGCGTTGGTGATGGTAGTGATGATGATGTTGGTGGTGGTGATGGTGGAAATGGTGGTGGTGATGGTGGTGATGATGGCTGTGATAATGGTCGTGCTGATAGTGATGGTGGTGACGGTGATGATGGTGGTGATGATGGTCACAAGGTTGTGGTGACAGTGATGGCCCTGGTGGTGATATTGGTAATATGGGTAGTGGGTGATGATGGTGATAGTGGTGATGGTGGTGATGGAAGTCTTAGTGGATAATGATGGTCACATTGGTGGACATTGGTAGAGTGGTGATGGAGGTTATAGGGATAGTAGTGATGATGGCCACATGGATAACAGTATCAGTGGTGGCCATATGGGCAATGGTGACCCTAGAGATGTGGTATGGTGACAATGACATGGTGAAAATGCCCGAGTCTTCTGGAGTGGCTCTTCTCAGTCAATGCCTTGGCTTTCCTGTGGCAGGAAGGAGGAGTGGGCTGGTTCTCTTATCTCTTCCTTCCTCATTCTGGATCTGCTTCCACCTCATGATGCTGTGGCCCCTCCAGGTATGAAGTGAAGGTGATAGGCTACAACCTCATGCAGGCCATGCGCTTTGCGGTGGAGGAGATCAACAATGACAGCAGCCTGCTGCCTGGTGTGCTGCTGGGCTATGAGATCGTGGATGTGTGCTACATCTCCAACAATGTCCAGCCGGTGCTCTACTTCCTGGCACACGAGGACAACCTCCTTCCCATCCAAGAGGACTACAGTAACTACATTTCCCGTGTGGTGGCTGTCATTGGCCCTGACAACTCCGAGTCTGTCATGACTGTGGCCAACTTCCTCTCCCTATTTCTCCTTCCACAGGTGAGGCCCCTGGGCCCTGGAGAAGGACCTGGGGAGGGGGGCAGAGGAATGGCTGTCTAGAGGCCTCAGAAGCCACTTCCTCCATCAATCATGGGAGGTGATGATAGGACCAGAAGCAGGGTCAGGACATCAGCCCAAATCTTGAGAAGGTAGCCCAGCTTATGGAGTAAGGGCTCAGGCTTTGGAAGCGGGCAGATCTGGTTGTGCAACTTGGCACCGAGCCTTGGCCACAGTGAAGCCTTTGGCAAATCTCTTGACTCTTCTAGCCTCAGTTTCCTCACCTGTAAAGTGGGATGATAAGCGTTCCATCCCAGGACTGTCTGAAGGTTAGTGTTCAACCTGTGTAAATTTCTGGCACACAGTAGGTAGTAAATAATGTTGTTTTATAAAGCATCTTGCACAGGAATAAAAACTTGAAGTGCTTAGTATTATTCTGTACAGCTGCCTAGCACAAGGTCTGCCTCGTAGTAGGTCCTCACAAAAGGGTGATTTGTATTACTACTATTATTATAACTATTATCATAATCATGATTGAAAGTGCCAAGTGCAGTACTGGTACAGGCTATATATTCATTAAAGATCAGCTAGCAAAAGACTTGGCACACAGTAGGTAGTCACAAATATTGTGATTGTTACTGTTTAATGTTAGTACTTTTACATGAAGCATCTAGCTGAGGACTGAATTCATTCTTTCATTCATGTAACAGATATTTATTGAGCACCTACTATGTGCCAGGTACTGTTGTAGGTGCTGGGATACAGCTGGCAACAACTTAGAAATCATCGCCCTCATGGAGTTTCTCTTCTAGTGGAGAGAGACAGAAAATAAATGTAAACAATAATAGGTGATGCAGGATGTTAGAGGTGAGAAGTGCAATGAATAAAATAAAAATGTGGGCAGGGTGGGGGTGTCTGGCATGTCAGTGGAAAGGAGGAGTTGGTAGAAGGAGATTGCAATTTTCAACAGGGTGGTCAGGTGGGTGTCACTGACAATTGGGCGAAGACTTGAGGGAGGTGAAGGAGTGAGGGAGCCATGAGGGACCTAGCAGAAGAACATTCCAAGAAGAGGGGTTAGCAAGTGCCAAGGCCAGGAGGTGCCTGGTATGTTTGCGGAACTAGATGAGCAGAACTGGAACCAGAGGGAGAGGAGAAGGAGATGAAATCAGACAGGCGAGAGTTGTGCAGATAAATGACGGAGCCCTTAGGGGCCATTCAAGGACTGGCTTTTCCTGGGTGACGTTAGGAGCTGTTGAGGAGTTCTGAGAAGAGGAGTAAAGTGACCTGACATGTGTGTGAGCAGGGTCACTGGGCTGCCATGTTAAGCATAGACTATAGGGGAAAGGTGGATGGGTAATGTTGCAGTGCAGGCCGGGGATGATGGTGGCTGGACAGGAGGGAGTGGGGAGCTGGTAGGCACTGGATGGATACATTTTAAAGGTAGAGCCAAGAGGATTTGCTGATGGATCCAGTGTGACCTGTGTGCGAAAGAAGAGTCAAGGACGACTCCAGAGTTTTTGCCCTGAGTCACTGGAATGATGGATTCATCACCAGCCAAGATGGGGGAGGGTGTGGATGGAGCAGGCTCAGAGGAGAACAGGGTTCAGTTTCGATCTGTGAAGTTTGAGATGTCAGGCAGGCAGTTGTGGTATGCATCTGAAGTTCAGGAGAGAAGTCCCGGCCAGGGCTATCCACTGGGAGTTGTTGACGTGGAAATGGGATATTAAGCCATGAGGCTGGATGGGACCACCAAGGGAGGGGGAGAGCAGCTGGAGAAAAGGCAGGGACTGAGGCCTGAGCCCAGGGTCCTCCAAGGTTAAGAGGTCATAGAGAAGAGAAGGAACCAGGAAAGGAGATGGAACTCCCAGTGAGTTGGGAAGGAAACCATGGAGCCCTGGAGGTGGAGGGAAGAAATGTGGCTAGTTGATGAGCCTGACGGTGATGAGGGGGAGGAGGAAAGCGCTGTGCTTAGTAAGAGTTTCTAGATGATGGGGATGATGGCTATGTCATTCACCTAGCCCAGGATGTGGTTCTCAATAAAAGCCAGTGTGCTGATGACCATGAGGATGATGGTGTATGTGGCTTGGCCCAGGGTGTGGTACACAGTAGGTGCTCAATAATCGTGATAAGACTGAGATAAGGCACCTGGCCTAGGGCCTGGCACACAGTAGGTTCTTATTGCATGGGGCTACCTGGGGACCATGATGATTGACGATGGTGTAAACCACCTACCCCTGGGGTGGCTTGCACTAGGTGCTTCCCAGATGATGATGGTGGATAGAGCCCTGGGGTGGGGGCAGAGCACCCAGCGGGGCACTCGCTCATGCCACAGCCCTTCCCCTTGCAGATCACCTACAGCGCCATCAGCGATGAGCTGCGAGACAAGGTGCGCTTCCCGGCTTTGCTGCGTACCACACCCAGCGCCGACCACCACATCGAGGCCATGGTGCAGCTGATGCTGCACTTCCGCTGGAACTGGATCATTGTGCTGGTGAGCAGCGACACCTATGGCCGCGACAATGGCCAGCTGCTTGGCGAGCGCGTGGCCCGGCGCGACATCTGCATCGCCTTCCAGGAGACGCTGCCCACACTGCAGCCCAACCAGAACATGACGTCAGAGGAGCGCCAGCGCCTGGTGACCATTGTGGACAAGCTGCAGCAGAGCACAGCGCGCGTCGTGGTCGTGTTCTCGCCCGACCTGACCCTGTACCACTTCTTCAATGAGGTGCTGCGCCAGAACTTCACTGGCGCCGTGTGGATCGCCTCCGAGTCCTGGGCCATCGACCCGGTCCTGCACAACCTCACGGAGCTGCGCCACTTGGGCACCTTCCTGGGCATCACCATCCAGAGCGTGCCCATCCCGGGCTTCAGTGAGTTCCGCGAGTGGGGCCCACAGGCTGGGCCGCCACCCCTCAGCAGGACCAGCCAGAGCTATACCTGCAACCAGGAGTGCGACAACTGCCTGAACGCCACCTTGTCCTTCAACACCATTCTCAGGCTCTCTGGGGAGCGTGTCGTCTACAGCGTGTACTCTGCGGTCTATGCTGTGGCCCATGCCCTGCACAGCCTCCTCGGCTGTGACAAAAGCACCTGCACCAAGAGGGTGGTCTACCCCTGGCAGGTGAGGGGGTGGCTGCCATAGAGTCTGCAGGGCACCTCCATCCTCCTCCCCTGGGGTTCTGGGCAAATGGGTGTGAAAGGGCATGAGTATCCCATTCTTCCAGACACATAGCACTAGTCCTTCCTGGTGCCAAAACAAAATTGCTTTTTAAATTAATTGAACACTCACCATTCAAGATAGTAGTCTGTTCTTGGGAGATTCAGGTGGAATTCACCAGAAGGAAATCCCACAGGCAGTGGGAACGGCAGCGCCCCCCTCCCCCAGTCTCTCCAAGGTTGAGAGCCTGGGACGGGCTTGTGTTTTCGCGTGGACCCTCTAAAGGCCTTGAATTGCTTTTGTGGGTCTTCATTACCCTAGTTCTCTATCACCCTGGTTCAGACATAGACTTTAAATCTGTTCTTCTGGCTTAACACACACATCCACATCCACAGGCACACACAGAGACCTCCCACCACGAAGCTTTCTGGGATATAGAAGGTTTTACTGAGGATCAGAGGAGCAGGGGGGATTTACATTAGAGACGCACACTTTATACTTTGCTGTTAGAGATCTCTGTTCTTAAATGGTTCCTTGGCTTTTTCACAGTTTGGGGCCAGCCTCCCACCCTGCTATTTAGCCACTTCCCTAAACCCTGTCCAACTCCCCTCTTTGTTCTCCCCTTTCGCCCCCTTGCTAGATCCCTCTCCCATCCTCAAATAACTGTTCACTTCCTTAACAGAACAAATTAGTTTGCTCTGAAGAAATTCTCTCTCTCATTCTATATAATTGTACCTCTCTATCCCATAATCTCAGATCCTAACCTTGCAACCTTAAACACTTTTCTTTTAAAAGATTGCAGTTATTCTTTAAAAGGAATTCTGGTGCCAGTTGGTAAAAATACTGTGTATTGCTGTATGTCCTGTTACATTAATAATATACATAATTATCATGGGTGCTTTACTCCTCTTTGAGTGCCTACTAGGCACTGAATGCCTAGTATACATCACATCTAACTCATGACCCTCCTGTGAGGATAATCTACAGGTAGAAAAGCTGAGGGGCAGGAAGTCAATGTGACTAGCCCGTGATCGCTCAGTGGTAAGTGGTGGACCATGCTTTTGAACCCAGGTCTGGCCCATTCTGCTGTGGTTTTCCCACTTCACCTTCTGGGCATCCTCCCAGCTGCAACTGGCAGGAGCTATGATGAAAGACAGTTGACTTTTTCCTTCTCCCAGCAGCGGAGACCAAAGGGCACCAATCATAGCAACCAGGATGTCCCATCCCTTTTGTTGAGCACCTACTATGTGCCAGGCCTGGGGGACCCCCAACCTAGGAGGAGATGAGGACAGTTAATAAGATCTGTCTGCCAAGTGCAGCAAGAAGTCAGAATTGCACCTGTGCACAGAGCAGGGGCATCATCATGGTGGGAGAGGGTCAGGGAAGGCAGGACTGAAGTAGGGAGTGAACAGGCACTGGACCTTCCAGGAGGAGAGTGGGAGAGTGGTGGCCTGGCCACGTGACTGGGCTTGAGTGGTGAAGACTGAGAGGCGACGGGAACTGCAGGTGTTACTGGAGGGCATCTAGTGCCCCGAAGGAGAGGCGGCTTTGTCTAGAGGCAGCAGGCGTTCATAGAGCATTCCAAGCACTGAGATGACATTCTTGAGACAGCCCAACAAGCCAATTTAGGGCTGGGGATGATGCAGTCAAGAGGCAGGGAGCCCAGCCCACCCTATGTAGGCTTCACCCAGGGTCTCTGCTGGCATAAACAGCGTCCTTGGGAGAATTAGAAAATGATGCCCTTTTGTGCAGACAAGTTAGACCAAGATGCTCTTTGGCTTTGGATGCACGCAGACCTGTGGCAGGCACATGGCTTTGTGGCCTGAATGGGCTGGACTCCAGCTGTTCCTCCCAGTTGTCCTAAATGGACCCCCTCATGAAGGGCTCAACCTGCAAAATGGTATGTGGTGTCCTTACTACCTCCCACCCTCCTTGCTGGGTCACACCACGGCACTCTGTTTATTTTTGTCATAACAGGTATCCCAAGTTGTGATTGTGTTGATATCCTTTGTTTGTTTATTGGCTATTCCCCACACCTCCCAAACCGAGGCCAGTGAGAGCAGGGACCCTGCCAATCCTTTCCAATGCTGTATCCCAAGTTGCTAGCACTGGTCTGGCTTCGCGTTGATTCTCAGTGAATATTGGATGAATGAATGGGCACTTATGTGCCGGACACGGTGTTCACCTCTTTACATGAATTCTCAGTCACCCCCAGACAGACACTGTTGAGCAGATACTGTTACTACACGGTTGCTGTCCCATACACAGGTCAAACTGAGGTTCAAAGAAGTGACAGGCACCCAGCTAGGGAGTGGCCAGGGGTGGTGGTAAGGGATGGTGATGAAATAGTGCTGGGGTAGTGGGGATGGGCACCCCATGAGAGGCGAGGTAGAGAGACAGGACTCAGGGGCGATGAGAAGAGTTGGAGATGACACTGGGTAGATGTGCTGCCCGTGCTGATGGTGGTGGTGGGGTCAGATCAGTGGGAGGTTGGGTAAATCCAGGCTGGCAAATTTGTGGCCATCACAGCAAAACTGTTCAGCAGGTTGGCCGGGTGCGGTGGCTCACACCTGTAATCCCAGCAGTTTGGCAGGCCGAGGCAGATGAATCATGACGTCAGGAGTTCGAGACCAGCCTGGCCAACATGGTGAAACCCCATCTCTACTAAAAAAACAAAAAATTAGCTGGGCATAGTGGAGGGCGTCTGTAATCCCAGCTGCTCAGGAGGCTGAGGCAGGAGAATTGCTTGAACCCAGGAGACGGATGTTGTAGTCCGATCTGAGATCGCACCTCTGCACTCCAGCCTGGGCGACAGAGTGAGACTCCGTCTTAAAAAAAAAGCAAAACAAAATGTTCAGCCAGTCATTGAATCAGGAGGGTCAGGGTTGCGAGCTCTTCTCAGGTTCTGGTCCAATCCTTTTATTTCACAAATGGGGCCCTCGGCACTGGTCTGGCTCTTCCCCACACAGCTCTCTCCACATTTCTCCACCCCTCGGGCATCTCGGATATGGCCCACCTGTTCGTACATTGTAAGGCAGGTGGCGGTGAGCTGGGCAGAGCTTAGCTATCATACCTGGAATGGAATCCCAGTGCTGCCACTACTAGCTGTGCAAACCTGGGCAAATTTAATATCTCTGAGCCTTGATTTTCTCATCTGTTAAATGGAAGGAATCATATGTGCCCTGCTGAGTTATTGAGGGGATGTGCAATCATGATGCAAATTACCTGGGGCAGCGAAGAGGCTGAATGTACTCCTCCTCTTCCTCTTCTCTGACACCGAGTGCTGGCCTCAGGAGAGAGTGTGGGGTTGGAGAGGTGGACTTGAGTCTGCCTTAAATGTACAGCTTATGCTGGGATAGGGGTAGGGCTAGATGGGGAAGGGGAAACGGGGTTCAACCTGATGAGGGAACCCCAAGGTGCCCAAGTCCCTGCCAATAATAGTCTAGGCTCCCACCCACTCAGGACAATTACAAGGCCAGTGCTTTCCGACCCCTTGGGGGTGATATCTTGGATCCCTCAAGTCCCAAGTGCTCAACCCTGCTTGGGCAGGTCATTGCAGAGGTGCAACATGGGCACCCAGGACCTGATTCCCAGGGGCCTCCGCCATCCTGATCCTCATCCTCAGGCCGACCACCTGGTTGGAGCCTCCTTCTTGGCTCAAAGGACCATTGCCCTTGGGCTTAGCAACCTGTGCACATTCCAAAGAGTCTTTCTGAGTCAGGACCTCACGTGCTAGGCAGGGAAGGGAGAAGGCCAGGGCCCGACTCCCTTGGCTACCTGTCTGTGTGTATCAGTCCCTGAGGCCAGGTGAGCCCTAAAGATATAGCCAAATGGACACTACCATTTATGGAGGGAAAATCTAGGAGCCAGGTCCATGGGATATTTGAGCTGGAAGTCCTTTCAGCGTTAGCCCAGCAAGGTTCAGAAACTTGCTCAGAGTCACACAGCAAATTGCGAACAGAACTGGGACTGGACTTTAGGTCGGAGGATGCCCAGTTCAAAGTGTGCTCTAGTTTGTCCCAGCTGCTGCCTACTGAGAGTGATGGGGGGTTGGGAGGTGGGGAGAGACTGGAATGAGAGCTGACCCTAAGGTCTGGGGAGGTAGGAAGGACCCAGGGATCAGGGGAGACCCCAATTGGCCTTTGCAGGTGACAGAGACAGTGGACTCTGTACCTCATCTCATGTATTGGGTTCAAGAGGGATGACTGAGGTGACTTCCAGGGAAAAGGAAATCTATCAGCACCTTGGTAGGAGTGCTTCCTGTCTCAGGCTCTGCTCTAAGTCTCTAACATAGATGAACTTATTTTTTGCTTCCAAGCCCAGAAGATAGAGTTTTTATTGCTCCCACTTTGCAGAAGAGGAAACGGGTTCAGAGAGGTTAAGAAACAGGCCCAAGGCCTCACAGCAAGGGGCAGAGCTGAGGCCTGAACCCAGATGTGTCTGGCTCCAAAGCAGAGCTCTCAGCCACTGACTCCTAAATTGCCACCCTTTCGGAGATTTATTGCCTCCATATTACAGAGTTGGAAATCAAGGCTAATGGAATGGTAGAATCTTTCCCAGGTCCAGGAAAAATTCTGGCTCAGATTCTGATGCTAGCTCCACTTCCCTTCCCTCTGACCCCGCCAGCTGCTTGAGGAGATCTGGAAGGTCAACTTCACTCTCCTGGACCACCAAATCTTCTTCGACCCGCAAGGGGACGTGGCTCTGCACTTGGAGATTGTCCAGTGGCAATGGGACCGGAGCCAGAATCCCTTCCAGAGCGTCGCCTCCTACTACCCCCTGCAGCGACAGCTGAAGAACATCCAAGACATCTCCTGGCACACCATCAACAACACGGTCAGCCAGGGGGCCTGGTGGGTGGGCAGGCCTGGGGCGGGGCCTGGGGCCCTTGCTGGAGTGGCTAGGGCCCTTTTCATTAGGGACAGAGCCTGGAGATGCTTTATCAATCTCTGGGGGGATGTCTATTTGTGGGTGTATCGTCTGGGGTCCTTTCCTTCCCCCATTGATTGGGAACTATGCCTGTTCAGGGCTTTCTGGTTTCCCAGGAAGAGGGGCTCAGGGGCCTCTGCAAGGTAAACGTTCACTTTGTGTGTGTGCCTGACTTGGTGCTAATGATTTCAATTCTCACATCAACCCTGGGGCAGTGGTCCCCAACCTTTTTGGCGCCAGGGACTGGTTTAGTGGAAGACAATTTTTCCACAGACTGGGAGGAGGATAGTTTCCGGATGATTCAAGTGCATTACACTGTGTGCTTTATCTCTATTATTATCGTAACATATAATTGTAATATATAATGAAATAATCGTACAACTCACCCTAATGTAATATTAATGGAAGCCCTGAGCTTGTTTTCCTGCAACTAGACGATCCCATCTGGGGGTGATGGGAGACAGTAACAGATCATCAGACATTAGATTCTCATAAGGAGTGTGCAACCTAGATCCCTTGTATGCACAGTTCACAATAGGGTTTGTGCTCCTATGAGAATCTAATGCGGATGTTGATCTGACAGGAGGTGGAGCTCAGGTGGTAATCAAGTGATGGGGAGCAGTTGTAAATACAGATGAAGCTCTGCTCTCGCTCACCTGCTGCTCACCTCCTGCTGTGTGGCCCAGGTTCCTAACAGGCCACAGACTGGTACTGGTCTGTGTCCCGGGGATTAGGGACCTCTGCTTTATCAATAGCTGGTAGGACCTCTATTCGTGGGTATACAGTCTGGGGTCCTGTCCTTCCCCCACTGATTGGGAACTATGCATGTTCAGGGCTTTCCAGCTCCCCAGGAAGAGGGGTTCAGAGACCTCTGCAAAGTAAACACTCACTGAACATGTGTGTGCCAGGCCTGGTGCTAAGGACCTCAATTCTCATATCAACCCTAGAGGATAAATGCTACCATTTTCTCCATTTTATAGGTTAGGAAACTGAAGGCACCGAGAGGTTGTGTGACCTGTCTGAGGCCACACAGCTAGTCTGTGGTGGAGGTTCTCTATATACAGCATACAGCTAGTCTGTGGCGGAGGTTCTCTATATACAGCATTCAGGCTAAAGCCTGTGATATGGCTTGGCTCTGTGTCCCCACCCAAATCTCATCTTGTAGCTCCCATAATCCCCACATGTTGTGAGAGGGATCCAGTGTGAGATAATTGAATCATGAGGGTGGGTCTTTCCTGTGCTGTTCTCCTGATAGTGGATAAGTCTCACAAGATCTGAAGGTTTTAAAAATGGGAGTTTCCCTGCACAAGCTCTCTCCGCTTGCTGCTATCCATTTAAGACGTGACTTGCTTCTCCTTGCCTTCTGCCATGATTGTGAGGCCTCCCCAGCCATGTGGAACTGTAAGTCCATTAAACCTCTTTCTTTTGTAAATTGTCCAGTCTTGGGTATGTCTTTATCAGCAGCTTGAAAGTGGACTAATACAGCCTGTCATTGGATACTCTTGTTTTAGTTTGGTAGCTATGCCTTCAACTGAGTCTGACATCTGTCAATCTAAAGATCCATTATTTTACCCTCTTTAGAGAGTAGACCATCAGAATTCTGCTGGAGTAGGAAAGGATAGAGACCTGCCTTGTGGAGTTGGGGAGGGGATCTAGAGATCTAAAAGCTTCTGGAAGAGACTTCATCACTCTCCTTTGCTAATAGCCTGCACCCTCTTCCCCCCAGTCCCCGACAGCACTCTATCCCCAGTTGCAGAGGTACCTGATGCTGTGAGTTTCTGAGTGCCTTGGGGATTTTTGTGGAGTAAATTAGGGTGGTGTCTGTGTTAGTTTCCTAGGCCTGCCTCACAAAGTATCACAGACTGGGGTGGGTAGGGAGCTTAAACAGATGAAATTTATTGTCTCACTGTTCTGGAGCCTGGAAGTCCAAGATCAAAGTGTCAGCAGGGTTGGCTCCTTCTGAGAGCTGTGAGGTAGAATCTGTTCCAGGCTTCTCCCCAAGCTCCTGGTGGTTTGCTGGCACTCTTTGATATTCCTTGACTGTAGATGCACCACCCATATTAGTCCACTCTTGAATTGTTACAAAGAAATGCCAGAGACTGGGTAATTTATAGAGAAAAGAGGTTGCATGGGCATACTGTTCTGCAGGCTGTACAGGAAGCATGATGCTGGCATCTGCTCAGCTTGTGGGGAGGCCTTAGAAAATTTACAGTCATGGTGGGAGGCAAAGGGGGAGCCACCTTGTTACATGGCTGGAGCAGCAAGAGAGAGTGAAGGAGGAGATATCACACACATTTAAACGACCAGATCTCACAAGAACTCACTCACAATCAGGAGGAGAGTGCCAAGAGGATAGTACTAAACCATTCTTGAGAACTCTATCCCCATGATCCAATCACCTCCCACCAGGACTCACCTCCAACGCTGGGGACTACAACTGGACATGAGATTTGGGTGGGGACACCCACATCACCACCCCATCTCTGCTTTCACCTTCAGGTGGTGTTCTCCATGTGTCTGTCTCCAAGTTCATCCCTTTTATGAGAACATCACTCATATGAGATTAAGGACCCACCCTCCTCCAGGATGACTTCATCTTAACTAATTATATGACTATGTTGACTGCAGTGACCCTATTTCTTAATGAGGTCACATTCTGGGGTCCTGGGGACTAGGACTTTAAGCAGGATATAGTTCAGCCCATATACTGTCTTAGCTTTGGTGTCTCCCAGAAAGCAGAGCCTGAGACAAGGGTTTATGTGCAGAAGATTTATTCCAGGACATGATACATGGACAGGAACAGGAGTGGGAGACTGGGGAGAGTTCCACAGGGAACAGGGAAAGTTGGTCCAAGAGAACAACCTCAAGCCACACACTACTCTGAGCAACTGGAGGTCAATCTTACTGGGACCTCCCGAAGAGCCACCTTAGCATTGTCTCCCAGAGGAGGGAGGAGGGTGGCAGTAATCCACTAGCTCCCATCACCTGGTGGTCAGGGGTTGCTCTGTGGGGTGTTAGCTTCAGAGGCCTCCCATGGGCATTTCATACTGCAGCCTTAGGGCAGAATACAAGACACAGCTGTGTAGCCGAGGCCAGGTGCTGACAGGTGGCACTTGCTTGAAACTGGTGACTGCAGCAATGGCTGGAATAAACAGTGGGTTGAGAAAATATGAGGCAGGCCACAGAGAGGCCCATTTCTTGTTCCACTCAGTGGCTTTCCTTGAGCCTGAGGAGTCACAGACTTTTTAGAGCAGCCGCCAGCTCAGTCTCTAACAGAAAGGGAGTTTGGCGGACTTAGCCACTACCCAAAGTTGTCACTGATATTCATCTCTCTCTTCTGCTTACCATTCTGGGTTTCTTCACTCTCAGCCAGCATTTGGCTGCTCTCAGTCACTTGCCTGGGGGGTGATCCAGACCTTCTTCCCCAAGGTGTCTGGGCCCTTAGTTGCCTTGCATTTCTGGGCTGTGCCTGCTGCAGATTCCCACCCGCAGGTGCACTGGGATTGAAGCACCCAGGGTTGCCTGGTGAGTCCTTGGGTGCCAGACCTACTCCTTCCTACTCCACTTGTGTAGCAACCACCTCAGCTCCACCCACGAATCCAGGTCAGTTACTTCTTCCTTTCTTGGCCTTCTCATTCACTGGCATGAGGAACCCAAAATGACCACATGGTAATCGTAGAGCCCTATAGTGTCTGCTGGTGGAAGTATTCCCCCTTTGGGGACCAGAATCTCTATTCCAGCAGAGTGTAAGATTGTAGAGAGGAGAAGCACCAATGCTGCAATGGGTTCCTGAGAATAATGGTGCATGTAGCCAATCCTTCTGGTTGCTGGATACACATATTCTAGCTGTTGAGGCCACAACACTATACACAAGCCATTCATTCAAAACTTCATCTTAAAGGGCAGTGTCCCCACCTTGCAGGGGGTCCTGAAGATGGTACCTTAGCTGAGCTTTTAGTATGTCATCTCATCACCTGGTTAGATAGGATACTTCTGGGTAATGTGGTATATGTTAGGATCAGTGGAGCCTGTGGTCACATGCCCATGTCACACCCCTTTACCATGAAGTTGACTCCTGATCTGAGGTGATACAGTGTCCTGCATCAATAAATCATTTGCTCTGTAAGCCCCCAGATGGCGATGCTGCATTGAAATCAGGGAAGGAAAATTCCCTTCCTGGAATTTTCCCAGAGAGGAAAAGATCTGATGTAATAGATCTTTCAGCAGTTGGTTGGCTGGTCTTTTTGAAGAATTGTATCAAGTCAAGGGCTCAGCATGGGTGGGTCTCTGATGCTGGAATGTTAGGTGTTCTGCAATGGCAGTAGCTAGGTCAGCCATGATGAGAGGAAGCTCAAGCTGTTGGGTTCATATCTGTAGCCTCCATCCCTGACATCATGGCCACTCTGTGCAGGCCTTGGGGTGGCTGAGGACAAAAGCCAGCTGACCTTCATTGGACAAGTCAACCTTCTTCTTCTTCTTCTTCTTCTTTTTTTTCTGAGACAGTCTCGCTCTGTCGCCCAGGCTGGAGTGCAGTGGCACAATCTTGGCTCATTGCAACCTCCGCCCCCAGGGATCAAGAGATTCTCCTGCCCCAGCCTCCCAAGTAGCTGGGATTACAGAAATGCACCATCACACCTGACTAATTTTTGTGTTTTTAGTAGAGACAGCATTTCGCCATGTTGGCCAGGTTGGTCTGGAACTCCTGACCTCAATTGATCTGCCGACCTTGGCCTCCCAAAAAATGCTGAGATTACAAGCATGAGCCACGGTGCCTGGCTGGGACAAGTCAACCTTTTAATCTGGTTTCTATTACTCTGTGTTTGCTCTCTGGTTTGCATTAACATGAGACACAGAGATCTTCATGCTTTGTGCTCACTCTCATGGATCCATACATATACCTTTCCCCAAGCAACTTTGTCTCCATTCTTCCACTCTTGCTCCTTCCAGGCCCCTGAACAACCAGCCAAGCCATTCCATATGTCCAGGATCTCAAGAATATCCATCCTTCAGGACATCTCTCCATTCACACAAAGCAAACAACCAAGTGTCCTGCTTGCATCTCCACATACAAGCAGTATCTCCCATCATTACTGTCCTTCAGAATTCACCCTGAAAAAAGCTTTGTATCCCTGAAAAAAGCTTAGTATGGCAGCAGTCCACTGTCAGCTCACATTAATATATCAAACCAACCTACTTGTGAATCATTCCTGAATGTTCTCCTCTATTTATTTGTCATAAAGAATCTCTCCCTGAGGTCTTAGGTATGATTTGAGGGAGAGGCATTTGTTACAACAGAAATAGATACAGGAGTCACAATAATTGATTTAAGAAATTTACTTGGACCCACTGGCGCTTCTTGGATACCATTTCCCTTATATGAAGACTTGTTTTTATTCCTGCCTCTCTATAAGACTCTGTGAATCTGATAGTCACTTGATGTCCTGGGGTCAGGTACTCAATTTCCATGATGGCCCAGCAGGACTCCAAGAGTTGATTTTCAAGTAGTGAGTAGCATGTTGTTGTAGAAGGCATGGCATTGTTGCATCTCTCTCTTTGGGCTTGCCCATTCTTATAAGCATAGATAACTCAAACATCATCAGATCTCCTCGATCATGTGGCCCCAGTGGCAGGATCGCTTATACAGAAGCCAGGGCCTTCTTCAGAGTCATTTTCTGGACTTGTTACCCTCTGCCTTGAAACTGAAAGCCTTCTGAATCACCTGATAAACGGGTTGCAGTAGTATTTCCAGGAGCAATTTATGTTGTCCCGCAAATCTAAAGAGGTTTATAAAGTTCCATACTTTCATGGTAGCAGGTGTAGGGTGGATGACTTGTCTATTATCTTAGAATGGATGTCCTGGCATTCTCTGTACCTTTGGCCTCCTAAAAACATCACCAATGTAACAGCACCCCCAACCCCAAGTTTTGAATCTTTACAAGGTTTATCTCCAATCCTCTGGCATTCATAGGTCTTACTTGGATATAAAAGTGCTTGCTACTTTCTACTAACCAGGTCCAATTACCACGGTGTCATGAATATCATAGACCAGCGTGATATTCTGCAGAATGTCAAGATGAACAACTTCCATGTGGACTACATTGAGATCGAGAGTGAAAGAGTAAACTCTACGATAAGATAGTGAATGTCAGTGATTTGATAAGATAGTGAGTGTTAATGATGTAACATCTTTCTTCTTTTTAAATACAGATGTTTATAATAATAAATTTCCCTCTTAAGTATTGTTTTCACTGTACCCCATTAATTTTGGTACATTAAAATTTTTTATTTTTGTGATAAAAGACATATAACATAACATTTACCAATTTGTTTATTTTTAAGCATGCATTTCAGTAATGTTAAGTATATTCGCATTTTTGTGCAACAGATCTCTAGAACTTTTTCATTTTGCAAATTTCTAACTCTATTCCCATTGAACAACTCCCCATTTCTTCCTTCCTCCAGCCTCTGGCAACCATCCTTCTACTTTATGTTTCTATGAGTTTGACTACCTAAGACACCTCATATAAGTAGAATCATACAGTATTTGTCTTTTTGTGGGGTTATGTTGTGTTTTTATTTTCATTAATCTCAAAGTATTTTCTAATTTCCCTTGTGAATACTACTTTGACCTATTGTTATTTAAGGGTATGTTGTTTAATTTCCACATGTCTTTGAATTCCCCAAACTTCCTTCTGTTATTGATTTCTATTTCATTACATTGTTGTTGGGGAACATACCTGTTATTATTTCAGTCCTTTCAAGTTTATTAAAACTATGCTTACTATTTGCTATAAATAAATAGCAATGGTGTCAGAGGCCAAAATTTTCTCCAGTGTCCTTTTTTGTCTCCCATTTTATCTTTGGGTTTCCCTAGATATTCCTTCTTAAATGCAGTCTCAGCCTTGCAGTTATTTCGGTTGTATGCCTTGATTGATGTGGTGGTGAGATAGAGGGGAAGTGTTCTGTAATCCTGTGATTAGGTCTCAATCTTTCAGTAAGCCTGTGCCCCAGAACTGTGACCTTCATAAGTGCTTCTCACCCCACCCCCTTAGGTAAGACAAGAAGGCTAGAGAGGGCTGGAGTTCAGAATTTCTCTTTCCATGTCAGTTAAGCTCTGGTAAAATTCACATCAGTTGGGTTCTGGTAAAATGGTTTCCCTTGAGGAAAGGCATTTGTTAAGGAGAACAGAATGCTCTGAGCATATTTCAGAATGGCTGCTTTCCTTATCCCCTGCTAGAAGCATGAGAGTTTTTTTTTTTTTTTCTACAGTTTCCACCCCAAAACCTAGGGGGCTTCTAGGCTTCCTCCCCTGAACATCCTGCTGGTTGGAGAGGGGAGGGGGCCCCCAGAATGTGGGAAAAGAGGACTCAGGGTCTCTTGCCCTCCTCCCTCCAGATCCCTATGTCCATGTGTTCCAAGAGGTGCCAGTCAGGGCAAAAGAAGAAGCCTGTGGGCATCCACGTCTGCTGCTTCGAGTGCATCGACTGCCTTCCCGGCACCTTCCTCAACCACACTGAAGGTATGATTCACAGGCCTAGCACTCCTGCCCTGCCCCTGCCCTGCCCCTGCCCTGCCCCTGGAGTCTCTAGGGCTTGTCCTCCTTGGCAGGGTCTCTGGAGTACCCCACAGGGGGTGTGAGTGTCCAAAGGCCAGGGACCAGATCTGATTCCTCTTGTATCCTCCCAAAACCTAGTGTAGAGCAAAATCCTCCATACAGGCTGCTTCAGAGAGGGAGGGAGAAGGGAAGGGACGACACTCCCCCACGCTGGACTGCAGCTGATCCCACTCCACACACACATAGCCCAGGGCCCAGGGAGTCAGGCTGGGGAACACCCACTGGATGAATGAATGAATGAATGAATGGTATTTGCAATAGGAGGAAAGTTTCTGGCAGACAGGGAAGACACCATCTCATTTATCCCTCTGGCCTCCCAAGTGCCTAGCGTAGCTCAAAGCATAGCATAGTTGCTCAGTGGGTGCTTGTTGAATGACTTCCTTGATGAGAAGAATGATCATTTCTCCCTATAGAACATAAAATCTAGGAACATGCAGACAACGTCATCTCTGTCCACATTAGTGTTTAGCACAGTTCAGAGTTTGGAGCTCAATTCTTTTTCATGACTTCATGTAAATTAAATGGATGATGACATTTACCAATGCAAGTATTTAATATGTGCCTAGCAGAGCACAGGACACAGAGCAGGTGGTGAACAAGTTTGTGGAATGATTTCATTGGCCTTCCTCCCACAGTCAGTCAATAGCGGCGAGGTGAGGGCTGGGTTTTATCCATCTCTCTGTGGCCTTCCACCCCAGGTCCCTGTCACAATGGATGGTGCTCAAAAACACGTGTATTGAATGCATTCTTTGAGTCAGTGGTTGAATGCCTCTCACACCAGAGGGTGAGGTCTTGGAAGGGAGGAACTGCAGTTGGTAGGCTCTGGGTCAAGGAGACCTGGATTCAAGTCCTGCCTCTCTAACTTACTGGCTTTGGGCAAATTACTTAACCTGGCTGAGCCTTGGTTTCCTCATCTGTGAAATGCAGTTGCTGTGAGGATTTGATGAGCCAATGCACATGAGACTTGAGGAGTACTGGCTGTGAATGCAAGGGTTGCCCTTGGTGCTCTCTCTTCATCCCTGGAGCCTGGCCCTGTGCAGGGCTGGGAGGATGCAGGTGCTTGGAAGATGGGCTTGGCTAATGGGAGTCGCTGTGGCTTTTGCAGATGAATATGAATGCCAGGCCTGCCCGAATAACGAGTGGTCCTACCAGAGTGAGACCTCCTGCTTCAAGCGGCAGCTGGTCTTCCTGGAATGGCATGAGGCACCCACCATCGCTGTGGCCCTGCTGGCCGCCCTGGGCTTCCTCAGCACCCTGGCCATCCTGGTGATATTCTGGAGGCACTTCCAGACACCCATAGTTCGCTCGGCTGGGGGCCCCATGTGCTTCCTGATGCTGACACTGCTGCTGGTGGCATACATGGTGGTCCCGGTGTACGTGGGGCCGCCCAAGGTCTCCACCTGCCTCTGCCGCCAGGCCCTCTTTCCCCTCTGCTTCACAATCTGCATCTCCTGTATCGCCGTGCGTTCTTTCCAGATCGTCTGCGCCTTCAAGATGGCCAGCCGCTTCCCACGCGCCTACAGCTACTGGGTCCGCTACCAGGGGCCCTACGTCTCTATGGCATTTATCACGGTACTCAAAATGGTCATTGTGGTAATTGGCATGCTGGCCACGGGCCTCAGTCCCACCACCCGTACTGACCCCGATGACCCCAAGATCACAATTGTCTCCTGTAACCCCAACTACCGCAACAGCCTGCTGTTCAACACCAGCCTGGACCTGCTGCTCTCAGTGGTGGGTTTCAGCTTCGCCTACATGGGCAAAGAGCTGCCCACCAACTACAACGAGGCCAAGTTCATCACCCTCAGCATGACCTTCTATTTCACCTCATCCGTCTCCCTCTGCACCTTCATGTCTGCCTACAGCGGGGTGCTGGTCACCATCGTGGACCTCTTGGTCACTGTGCTCAACCTCCTGGCCATCAGCCTGGGCTACTTCGGCCCCAAGTGCTACATGATCCTCTTCTACCCGGAGCGCAACACGCCCGCCTACTTCAACAGCATGATCCAGGGCTACACCATGAGGAGGGACTAGTGCCATCCGGTGGCGTCTGGGAGGGAGGGAGGGCCACAGAGTTGGGAGGCGGAAGCCAGGGGTCTTCCCTGGCTGGTTCAACTCCAGATGGAAGCAGGGAAGCCATCCCCAATTACTCCCACCTTGCCCTGGTTAATAATTTAGCATTCCTTGGAGGTCCTTTGCATCTGGGCCATTTTTACCCACTTAGTGTTGGGTGTCTTAAAACATCCACACTTCATTGCTTTCCCTTGACCTATTTTACATGCCAGGCACTGTCATCTTCTAGAAAAAAACCACCCAAGGTGACCTATTGGTCTCCAAAGACAAAGTCTGATTTAGCAGCCTATAGCCGCATCTGGCGGTCACAGTGGGCACCAGCAGGTTGCAGCTCATTCCCTTCACTCATGTTCAAGGCCAAGGGAGGCCTTGGGTGCACTGGGCTGGGTGGGCTGTTCTGGTCTGGGCCAGGGTTGGTGTAGGTGGGTGGGGCCTGCCGTTCAGCATGTGAGCTCGGATAGTGCAGCCATGGCTCCATTTGGTAGCTGTCTCACGTGTCCATTTCCTTTCGTTATTCCCGAAGCGCTCGGGCCCAGGTCCCTGGGTTATCTCTAAAGGATGGCCAGGCATAGCGTGCTTCCCAAATGCTTGTGAATAAACCTCACTTGGGTGAAATGAATGCACTTCCTTCCTGTTTTTGGACGTCCCCTGAGAAAGAACATGTGGAATCAGAGAGACCTCAGTCTCAATGCCAGTAGTGCCACTTCCAAACTGTGTGACTTTGGGCCGTTGTGTTGACTTTGATGGGGACAACAGCTAACATTTATTGCCAAGTCCCTGGCTAAGAACTTTACTACTTTACCCATGTATTCCTCACAAAACTCTGTTGGTTGGGTGCAATTATGCTCCTTATTTTACAGATGGTGGGGTGAGGGCAGGGGGAAGAAGAACTCAAAGAGTTTATGGAGCTTACCCAGAGTCATAAAGCTTGTCTGAGCACCTCCTTCCCCTCCCCAGAGCCCATTCCTGGAGCCACTGTCCTCTACAGAGTAACATCCAGGCAGCCCTGCCTGGGAAGCTGTCCCCACCACAGTGCACAGGGGGAAGGCTCCAGCTCCCCGGACAAGGAACTGTGCTATGGCAGGGGCTTCAGATTTTAGGCAGGTGGCTGGTGGGTGCAGTGACCAGGAAAGCCTTTGAGAGAAGCTGACATTTGGAAAGAGCCTTGAAGGACAGAGAAGTGTTGGAAGGCAGGAAATTTGGGTGTGTGGGGGAGGGGCAGGTGGGGACAGCAGGAGGAAAGGTGGGATGGAAGGAAGACCAGGCAGTTCCAGGAGGATCGTGTGGCTGAGAGTGGCCGGACTGTGAGAACCCAGCTTCGAAGGACAGCTAGGGCCATATGTGGGGGGCCTGGCCCTGGGTGTCTGGACCTTGTCTTCTCTGGGTGGCTACTGTCAGCATCCTGTGCACATGCTGGTTTACCCCTCTCCTGGGTCACCTGGGATGCCATCCAGGCCCTGTCTGGCCACTGTGACCAGCCTCCTCTGTGGCTGGGTCCTCTTCCCACAGTCCCCAGCGCTGGCCTGGCCTAGTGGGCTGGAGACTGCTGGGCGCAGACCCCAAGAATAGATGGTCAGGGTCTTTCCAGAATGTCCTTTCTCTGTCCCCTCCAGTTACTTCCCAGGGGAGCCCAGAGCTTGGGCCAAGGCCCACCCCAGCCCCAAGCTTTCAGGGAGCCACACTGAATGATCCGTCCCTGGGTGCGGCTGTGTCCCATCCCCCTTGCCCTGGGGACCAGATTGTCAGAGGCTCAGAGAGTTTTAAGCTATTAACTCTGTTTTCTTGCATGCTTCTGATGCCTTGGTTTAGTTTTTTTTTTTTTTTTTTTGTAAAAGAGATAATCACCTAATTTCTTGGTTCTGCCTCACAGACCACCATGAGAGAAGAGAATCCTGGAATCCCACTGACCTCAGGGGGCCTCTGCTCCACACCTCCTAAAGCAGCCCTGAGGCTGGGATGTTAAGCCTTTAAAGTTCCCCTCCGGTGATGGGAGCCTCACCGAGGACAACTGTAGTTGTCAAAAAATTCTTAGATTCAATCAAAACCCTACTCCCTGGGATTTCAGTTTATGGACACTAGTTTTATCCTTTGGGACCATGAATTAAATCTAATTCCTAGCCTAAGCATGGTAGCTCACACCTGTAATCTCAGCACTTTGGGAGGCCAACGTGGGAAGATTGCTTGAGGCCAGGAGTTTGAGATCAACCTGGGCAATGTAGCAAGACCCCATCTCTACAGAAGTAAAAATTAGCTGGGCATGGTGGTGCACGCTTGTAGTCCCAGCTACTCAAGAAGCTGAGGCAGGAGGATCTGTTGAGTGCAGGAGTTCAAGGCTACAGTGAGCAGTGATTGTGCCACTGCATTGCAGCCTGGGCGACAGAGCAAGATCTTGTCTCACCCTTCCCCACAAAATCGAATTCCTCTTTCTCATGATGCCTTTTATATACAATAACAAAAAGAATTGCCTTTCAAGGAGCACCTGCTGTGTGCCAGGTACTTTTCACACATCATCTCCAGTCCCCAGAATGACCATGCCCCATGGGTACCAGTGACGTTGGTGGACACAGGCTGATGCCTCCCACACCCCTTCCCTCCGCCCTACCTGGCAGCCCCTATATGGTTCCAGGGAAGATGAGGCCATCTCCTGGCTCCAGGGGCTGCAGCAAGTGACCTAGGCCAAGCCAATCGGCACTGTTCTTCCCAGTCTGCAGTGATTGGCTCAGAGGTGGGCACATGACCTTGGTTGGTCCAATCAGAGAGACTCTCAGAACTTTTGCTGGAACCAAGCTTCTTTGTATAATAACTTGAAAGGCCCTAGAGCAAAGAGCTGGGGGCAGTTCTTGTGGGATCACGAGGCGAGTCAGCCTCAGGGGAAAGCTGAACCTTATAGAAGGCAAAGAGGAAGGATAGAAAAACTCAGCCCTTAAAACTCTTTGTGAGCTATTGGATCTCACCTGACGGCAGCCCTGCCTCTGAAAACTTCCATTTCATGAGTCGGTTAATATCCCTTATTGCTTAAGTTAACTTGAGTTGGATTTTCTGTCCTCTGCAACCCAAAGCATCCCTGTACTACTGTAAAGGAAACTGAAGCTCAGAGACGCTGATTAACTTGCCCAGGGTCACCCAGCTCTTAAGTGAGCGAGCTAGGATTTGGGCTCAAAGGGGGGATTTGGGAGGGGTTACAGCAATTGTGTTCTCCTCACGTCATCTCTTCTTTGGTCTGAAGGTCCCAGGTGCTCTTAGGACATGATTTTGGCCACCATCCCGGTCCTTTCCTTTGGACACTCTGATTTGCAAGCCCCTCTCTTCGACCACTTTTCGAGCTTTCCTTTCTTTGGTTCCTGTCATCCTTCCCAAATCCACAGTCTCTGGCCGCCTGAGTCATGTCCCCTAAACCTGACACAGTCAGGAGCCCTCCTGCCTCAGGAACCTCCTGTGGCTCCCCAGTGCCTGGGCAGTAAGTCCTCATTAACGTTGTTGCTACATTCTTGGAAACTCTGACTTTAGATAAAAGGACAAGGCATATAATGAAACCAATATTTTGTTCTCATCCGTATTATAATATGTTATAATGAAACAACGTTATTTGAGGACCCGCTGTACGTCCTTTTGCTTAAAGTCGCAGTTTCCAAAAACCTATCCACTACAGCATTAAGTGAGGACTTCCTGGACAGTCATGCCTGACCTCCTTTGTGTGTGGAAAGCCTCACAAAATCTGAATCCTGCTCATCTTCCCAGCCTCATCTCCCAGTGGCCCCACTGGACTCCTGGCTGTCCCCAAACATGGTTCCTGATTTCACACCTTTGCTCAAGATGTTCCTTCTTGATCTTCCTATGGGAAGCTTGTATTTATCCTTCAGGGCCCGGGTCAAATGCCTCCTCCCCCGGGAAGCCTTTCCTGCCTTGTGGCAGAGGGGATTCTCTGCTCCCATAGCCTCTTGAGCTTCATACCGTTGGTCCTAACGCTTGGGACCTGGCTGCTGTCTTTCTGGTCTGGGACTTCCTGCAGGAGAGGTTCAGCTCTGTTCTCTGTGCAGCTCTTTTCTCACCTGTTGTGGTCACCTACGGCCCATTGCTGCTTGAAGCCTTGAGCACTTGTTGGCTGGGCAGGGCAATCCCTGGAGCCATTTGCAGGGCTGGCACTGGACCTGGTGGGAGTGTCCTTTGTGGGGAGTTGGCTGCAATCGGGCGACCTGGCTCCAGACCAGGTGAAATGGGCCAGAATTTCCTCCAGTGGCTGGGGCTGCAGAGGGGGAAGGAAAGGGTGACAAGGGGAAGGCAGAGGCTGGAGCTGAGCCTCATAGGTAAGGAGGAAGGTGTGGTCGGGTCTCACAGGTGGCATCTCCATCACTCAGACCAGAAACCTGAGTCATCCTTGACTCTGTTTTTCTCCCATCCCGCACCTTATGGTAAGGACCCCCTCTTGGCCAAGGGGACCAGAGAAACCTTAAAAACAGAGTCCTAGGTCATGAAGAGAAGGGAAGTCAGATATGCCTTGTTATGTCCCTTCCATTTTGGGGTTTAGGCACAACTAACCAGCATTCATGGTAAAATCGAGATCATAAGACAGACATAATAGGCTCTTTGTGGCAATAAGATACCAAGTTATAAGCAAGACCGAAAGCCATGGCAAGGAAGGGTTAAGTCAACCTGCAGGCCATTGATCTTGCTAAACAGGCCATAGCGTGACTGACTCTGATACAGCATCCTTATTTTTTCATTTTTTGAGATGGAGTCTTGCTCTGTTGCCCAGGCTGGAGTGCAGTGGCATGATCTCAGCTCACTGCAACCTCCGCCTCCCAGGTTCAAGCAATTCTTCTGCCTCAGCCTCCGGAGTAACTGGAATTACAGGCACCCACCACCACACGTGGCTAAATTTTTGTATTTTTCGTAGAGACAGGTTTTCACCATGTTGGCCAGGCTGGTTTTGAACTCCTGACTTCAAGTGATTTGCTCACCTTGGCCTCCCAAAATGCCAAGATTGCAGGTGTGAACCATTGTGTCCAGCCTACAGCATCCTTATCTTAACTTAAACATTCCTTTCTGCTAACTCAAACTTTTTAGACAAAGAAGTTTTCTTCCTTTAAGCAATTGTGGATTACAGAATCTCTGAATCCACTTATGACTTGTAAGCCCCCACTTCAAGATATTCTGTCTTTTTGGGCCAAATCAATGTATCCCTTCCATGGATTGATTTATCTCTTTTCTTGTAACCCTGGCATCCCTGAAATGTATAAAACCAAACTGTAATCCGACCGCCTCAGACACACTTTCTCAGGACTCCTTGCGACTGTGTGTCCCCGGGCTGTGGTCATTCATATTGGCTTAGAATAAACCTCTTTAAGATATTTGACAGAGTTTGGTTTTTCCGTTAACACTGTCAGCAAAACTATCTGCTCTACCTTCAAAATATACCCCAAACATAGGTAAGCCCAGATTCCTGCAACAGCCTCCTAATTGCCCTCTCTGCCTCTATCCTTGCCCTCCGAGTCAGGAGTGGTCCTTTAAAACTCTGAATTGGTTCATGTTCATTCTTTACTCCATACCCTCCAGAGCTCTCCAGCTCACTGGACAGAAGATCCAAAGTCCTGATGCGTGTGTCAGACCCACAGGCTCCCCTCTACCTCTGTGACCTCTCTGCAGCCTCCTCTTGCCTCCTACACCCCTCTGCAGCCACACTGGCCTCCTCATCATCCCCTGAACATGCCATGATTTCTGCCCCAGGGCTTTTGCACTGGCTGTTCTCTCTTCATGAAATGCTCTTCTCCATATAGGCACGTGGCTCGCTCCCTCATTTATTTCTCTTCCTGCTTAACTCTTTTCCTTAACACTTACCACTGTCTAACTCATTATATGGTTCACTTCTTTGTCTTTATCTCTCCCAATATACTGTGAACTCCGTGAAGGCAGCAAATTTTGTCCATTTTGTTTGCAGATGTTTCTCAAGAACCCAGAAAAGCACTTGGCACAGAATGGTGCTCAGTAGGTGCTGTTTGAAAGAAAGAAAGAAAGAATGAGTGAATGAATGAGTGAAACAGAACTTTAATGGATCATGAGGTCAGAAGCCAAGAGAACTTGCAGCAGGCCAGGAAATAGGGAAGGTAATGGACAGAGTGAGTCTGTGAGCAAGGAGAGGGTGTTGGTGGCCAACACCTCATTCACTCATTCATTCATTTACTCTCATTCACTTATTCATTCACTTAGCACATGGCTGTTGAGCACTATTAAGGGTCAGGCCCTGTGTGGCACTGAGGGTATGCACCCAGGAGCATAGTCCCCGTTCCCAAGCAGCTCACATTCTAGTGGAGGACTCAGGACACAAGGCAGATGCTCACAACACCATGCGATCCTCTGTGATGGGGTGGCTCATGGTGCCACAGAGACACCCAGAAAAGGTTTCTTGCCTTGGGAGGTGGAGGAAGGCTTCCTGAGCATTCAGGCCTCAAGTAGAGACCTGAAGAACGAATCACTGTGAGCCAAGCAAGGGAGGTGTCACCAGGAGTGCACCAGACAGAGGAGCAGCCTGGGCAAGGACCCAGGGCAGGGAGACTGGGAAGGTCAGAAAAAAAAAAAGAGTGGGGGCTAGTGGAGCTGGAGCTGGAGAGAAAGTGGGTGAGCTTGGGGAGGGGAAGACAGGGAGACAGGGAGAGGCAGGCAGGGGCAAATAGAGGGAAAGAGAGTGGGGAGACAGAAAGAAGAGAGGGAGGGAGTTGGAGGGGGAGGCAGAAAAGGGAGAGAGGGGTATAGAAGGGAAGAGGGAGAGAACAGAGGGAAAAAAGAGAGGGAAGGAGAGGGGGAGAGAGTGAGGAGAGAGGAGGAGAGAGATGAGAGAGAAGAAGGGAAGGAGGACAAAGGAGAGAGAGAAAAGGGAAGGAGAGTGCATTAGTCTGTTTTCACACTGCCATAAGGACATACCTGAGACTGGGTAATTTATAAAGAAAAGAGGTTTAATAGACTCACAGTTCCACAAGGGAGGGGAGGCCTCACAATCATGGTGGAAGGTGAAGGAGGAGCAAAGGCACGTCTTACATGGTGGCAGGCAAGACAGCCTGTGCAGGGGAACTGCCCTTTATAAAACCATCAGATCTTGTGAGACTTATTCACTATCTTGAAAACAGCATGGGGAAAACCTGCCCCTGTGATTCACTTACTTCCCACTGGGTCCTTCCCATGGCACTTGGGGATTATGGGGGCTATAATTCAAGATGAGATTTGGGTGGGGACACAGCCAAACCATATCAGAGAGGAAGGGAGAAACTGAGAGGAAAGAAGAGAAGAAGGGAGGAAGTGGGGTAGGGAGAGAGAGAGAGAGAGAGAGACTGTTGGGCTGTGCAGCTTGGGTTGGAGGCCCTCACCCCTCTGTGCTGCCCTTCCCTTCTGTGTGATGGGGTATGATGCCAGCACTGCCCTCCCAGGGCTGCTGGGAAGCTCAAAGCAGGGATGCCTGGCATGTGCACAGGTGCTCCCCCACTGTTAGCTGCGCTGATTCTAAGGAATTTGGATTTTCTCCTAGGGTAGAACCTTGAAGGGGTTTTGGAGAGAGGAGATGGCAATGTGGGGAATGGGCTCAAGGGGTCTGAGGGAGGAGGCATGGAGACCCCTTGGAGTCTGCCACTGGGCCCAGGTGAGTGAGGATGGTGGCCTGGCACTGGCCAGTGGTGGCTGTGGTGCTGGGGCCACATCAGTGGTCTTGGTGACTGGCTGGCCGTGGGAGTGAGACAGGGTGGGCACACCCTGGTTTGGGCAGCGGTTAGCTGAAAAGGCTGTTGGGTGGCTGTGTTTGTACCACCCAAGAGTGAGAAGGGACACCCTGAAGTCATTCCCACCATGCCCCTGCCTCAGGGCAGGCCTAGGACCCAGCCTAGTGGCCAGTGCTGGTCTGGTTTATAAAGGTCTCTGTGAGTTTATTCTTGCATGGCTACAAAGAAATACCTGAGACTGGGTACTTTATAAAGAAAAGAGGTGTAATTGGTTCACAGTTCTGCAGGCTGAACAGGAAGCATAGAAGCGTCTGCTTCTGGAGAGCCCTCAGAAAGCTTCCAATCATGGCGGAAGGCAAAGGAGGAGCAAGGCATCTCATAGGGTGGGAGAGGGATGAGAGAGAGAGTGGGGAGGTGACATACTCTTTTAAATAACCAGATCTCATGAGAACTCACTATTGCGAGGACAGCACCAAGAGGATGGCACTAAATCATTCATGAGAATCCACCCCCATGATCCAGTCACCTCCCACCAGGCCCCACTTCCAACACTGAGGATTGCAATTCGACATGAGATTTGGGAGGGGACACAGATCCAAACCATATCTGTCTCCCCGGGCAGGCCCATGAACACTGGATGGAGAAACCTGGCAGAAGGTTGTAGACACTCTGAGAATTTGGGACCTCCTGGGCAGATGCCCATCTAGGCCCACTCCATAACCAGAAGCAACCACTCTTACTCATCCTCAGGGACAGGAGATAAGGCCCATTTTTCCTGGGCTTCAACTCTCCCACCCTGGGCTTCCCCAGGAGACCCTCAGACCCACTGCCATCTGTGGGGTGTGTGGGGTGGGTGAGAGGAGGGGCCAGGGCACTGCCTTCCCCTTCTACAGGGAAGTGGGAAATGCAAGTTTTCCATACAATAATGGACAGGCCCATCTGCTTCCAGTTAGCAGCTCTGGGTGAGCCTAATTGGCAGATCAAACCATTTGATGTTCCATGTTAGATAAGTAGTTAGAGCAGCCCCAGCGGAGTCTGACACTTTTTGGATGGAGCCCAAGCCCTACATCCTACCACCGCGGGGTCTGGGGTGCTAATGCGAACCAGACCCTCGTGCACAGAAGCGGGAGGATATTCACAAGTGTCAAGAAGCTTTGAAGCGCCTGGGCAGATGCAGCCCTGCCTTCTTCCCCCTGGGCCGACGAGGAGGGGCGCGGGGGCTCCTGAAACTTAAGCTTGAACGTTGAGGGGGAGGGAAGAGGCCTCGGAGGGTGGCTTCCTGACACCAGCTGTGGTTGGGGACACCCAGGAGCCCTCAGGTCCAGCCAAGGCAAAGAGAAGTGACGGTGGAGAAGTATTGAGCACAAAGTGGAAAGACCTCAGTACTTACTTCCCATACGACCTGCTGCGGGTCACACCGCATGAAAGAATTGATGCTACGTGGCTTTGGGCAAGTGACTTCGTCTCTTAGAGACTCAGCTTTCCCACGTGTGAAATGGGGGAAAATAATCCTGCCTCACTCAAGGTGGATAGATTTGGTTTAGATCCCTGATTTGCTACTTACTGTTTTGGACAGAATTTTTTTTTTTTTTTTGAGACGGGGTCTGGTTCTGTTAAGCATGCTGGAGTGCAGTGGTATGATCATGGCTCATTGCAGTCTCAGCCTCCTAGCTCAAGCGATCCTCCCACCTCAGCCTCCCAAGTAGCTGGGACCATAGGTGCACGACACCATGACTGACTAATTATTGGATATTTTTTTTTTATAGAGATAGGGTTTTGCCACATTGCCCAGACTAGGACAGAATACTTAACCTGTCGGTTAAGCAATTCATCTGTTACTAACCTTACCTGTAAAACAGGGTTAATACTTGGGTTGTCATAAGTATTAAGTGAGATAATACATGTCAAGTCCTCAATACTGTGCCTGGCCCAAGCACACACTAGATGGGTGCTAGCTATTGTATTAGTCAGTGTTTGATGAGTTGTGCTGTTGTGACAAACATCCCCTGAATCTCAATGGTTTACAGGAAAAAAGATGGATTTCTCTCTTGTGTTACATAGCCACTGTGGGCTGGCTGTGGCTTTCTTCCTTGTGTCTTCTTTCCTGGGTCTGGGCTGAAGGAGCAGGCCTGTCTGAAATGTGCTATAGTCACAGCAGAGGGAACAGAGTCACAGCAAAAGCTCACCTTGACTCTTAAAGCTTCTGCAGGGGGTGGCATATGTACCCATGCTCACATCTCACTGGCCAAAGCAAGTTACTTGATCTTAAGCCCAGTGTTGATGGGTGAGGGAGTTAAGTCCTCTCACAGCAGGGGGGGCTCCCGATGTGTGGAGGGTTCTGATGAACACAGGGGCCCACAGACAGGGAGGGTTATTATTCGAATGTTTAGTCAAGAGTTTGATTTGGATTGTGGCACAATGATGAGTTTCTCAAATGTTGTCATTAATGTCCCCACACTTGTTTGTGCTCTTTCTCCCTTCAGGCTCTGGTTTCCCAGGAGCTCAGGGCCCTCCCCGAGCCTGTCTGATCCCTGCTGCTGTAAGGAAAAGGCTCGCGTAGAATAATTCATAAAAGGTGAGTTAGGAGCCCTCAGGAGGAAACCTGGACACCACGCTTGACACACCAGCCTGGAAGGAGGAGAATTTTGCCAAGGAGGCCTTCCCAGTACCTGTGAGGGAGGCTGCCTGGATTGCTTACCCCAGACCGCTGGCCCAAGGCTGAGCCATCAATAGAGGCTCACTCTTTGACTGTGCTCTGAGCCATGAGCTGGCCTGCCCAAGCAGACATTCAGGAGTCGCCTCAAGACCTGCCTTTCTGGGGGTTCCTCAAGTGGACTTGTGTGTCTGTAGCTCCTCTCCTAGTGACCTGGACACACAGGCTCCCGGGGAGGGGACATGTTTGCTGAACTCTGGGTTCTGGGCTGCACCATTCTCAGTCCTTTCTCCCAGCCCTCGGGGTTGCTGCCTGGTTGTGGTGCCAGCAGGTCCTTTGAACACAAGTTACAAAGCCCCCGAGAATGGGTGTGCCTCCCACCTTGCCCAAAACATCTCAAAGTCCAAGGAGGACCATGTGCATGGCTTTCTTATGATGACAAACTGAAGGTGTTTTACAAAGATAAGGAACAACCACTGCAATGGCAATGGGTGCCATTTATTGGCCTTTTCCTATGAAACAGGTACAGTGTTTAGCATTTTGCACACATCATCCCATTTAATCTTCCTAGCCACCCACTTGGGCATTGCTATTATCCCCATTTTCTAGATGGGAAAACTGAAGTGCAGGGGAGTTAAGTAAGTTGTCCTGGGCCATTCATTCAGTCATGGTTCGAGTTGAGACTAGGACTCAAGTCTGTCTGACTCTAAAATGAAAATGGAAGTGGCTCTTCTAGTGGTTAAGGTGGGGATAGCACAGTGGCCTTTGTAACAATGCTGTGATAACATTGAATGTAACAGCAGTATCAATGACAACAGCCACCATTGAGACAGCTCTAAGTTCAGACAACAGGGTGGGAAGGTGTGAAGGAGGGCAAAGCTTGTATGTTAACACATTTCCTTCCTGTCATATGTAGATCTTGTGTTTAATCCTTATGACAACCTTCCAAGGTATAAAAAATTACGTTATTATGAAGTGACATATTTTCTGAAGAGGAGACTGAAGCCCAGAAATATACAGTGCTGTGTCCAAGATCATAGAGCATATAGATGGCACAGCCAGGATTGGAACCTGGAGTGGTCACTTGGTGTTGGTGACAGTGGACAAGTGGTCATATGGTTGGCAGGATAGTGATGTAGGTCTGCAGTCCCCAACCTTTTTGGCACCAGGGACTCGTTTCATGGAAGACAATTTTTCCATGGACCAGAGTGGTGGGATAGTTTTGGGATGATTCAAGCGCATTACATTTATTGTGCACTTTATTTCTGTTATTATTACATTGTAATATGTAATGAAATAATTATACAACTCACCATAATGTAGAATCAGTGGGAGTCTTGAGCTTGTTTTCCTGCAACTGGACAGTCCCATCTGGGGGTGATGGGAGACAGTGACAGATCATCAGGCATTAGATTTTCATAGTGAGCATACAACTTAGATCCCTCACATGCACAGTTCTCAATAGGGTTCGCGCTCCTATGAGAATCTAATGCTGCTGCTGATCTGACAGGAGGCAGAGCTCAGATGGTGATGATAGTGATGGGGAGTGGCTGTAAATACATATGAAGCCTCTCTCGATGGCTCACTTGCCACTCACCTCCTGCTGTACAGCCTGGTTTCTAACACGCCACAGACCGATACTGGGGACTGGGGACCCGTGATGGAGGTCACGGCTGTCCAACTGGGGTAAAGGAGAGTTGGCTGAAACAGAGATTCCCCCAATGTGTAAGCGCAGCAGAAGTTATTTCTCTGCTATGTAACAGTCTGGAGGTGGCAGGTGTGTAGTTGAGAACTGGTAAGCAACTGCCACCCTCTACACTTAGCATCCATCTCTGGATCCAAGGTGGCTGTTCCAGCTCCCGTCACCACATCTGCAGCCCAACTAGTGGGAGGGAGAGTGGGAAGAGGGGTACATGGCTATTTCTTTTCAGGCACGACTTGGAAGTGGCAGACATAATTTGCTCTCATATGTCCTTGGTCAGAATTCAGCCACTTGGCCACATCTTGCTACAAGGGAAGATGGGAATGTGGTATTTAGTGGGCATTGGGGGTGAACATTGTGATGCTCCACTCCAATACCCTTTGGAACTGAAGGACATCTTTTTCCAGCTGCTGGGAGGGCTGCTGGCTGACAGTCCTCAACGCTTTCCAGAAATGGCTCTTGGCCGGAGAGAGCTGCCCTACCCAAGGTTATGCTCCCTACCTGGGGGTAGCCTGCACACAGTGGCTTGATGGCATGGGAGTGTCACAACCTGCACAATTCTGAAGGGCTACCCGGTCTTCACAGGTCCTTGTGGGGTCAGCCAAGGCCTTATCTGAGACGGCATGAAGCCAGCATGTCCCTTTGTCCAATTCCATTTCTTTTCCTGCTCCTACACGTGTGTTGACCCCAAGGGCGACCCCCAGCCCATCTGCCTGCTGATCTCCATCTCAGGGTCTGCTTGCAGGGCAAGCCAACCTGCAACAGCATTCCTATGCCCAGATAAACTTGGGAGCTCTGAAGGCAGCAGGGTACAGTGACTGCTGATGGGCAAGAGCAGTCTCTGCTTCAGTCGTGGTGGTGGTCACTGGGGGATGTGAGAGAGTCCATAGCTATGGGGAAGGTGCTGTTCAGGCTGGTTGTCATGGTGATGGTGGCCATGGCTGTGCTAGAGAGTGGGATGCTGTGGAGGTGTAATGGTGATGTTCATTCAACTGGGCTATGCTTACCTGCCTGCTGCACTCCACCCACTCCTGGCCTGCTCTTCACCTCATGAACGGGCTCCTGTAGGGGCTGTTCTCTTTCCCTCTTTGACATTCCATCCGAACAGCTGCCAGCTGCCTTCTCACTCCTTAGACTCCCTAGTCCCTCCTTCTCCTAGCCAGCCTGTTGGCTGCCCTGGATAGACTCGTGTCTGCTGCCTCTACTCCCCAGTCCTAACTCAACCCCATCTCCTGCCATTCCAGCTCCATGTCCCTGACGACCGATAGCCATTTGGCTCTCCCCGGGGCAGATGCCCAGCCCATGCACAGTCTATCTGGGAAGCTTTCTGGCTTCAGTGTTAGCTACAGGGGGTCCTCTTTGTTCTCCAGTGCAACCCAAACTAGATCTGGCTCAGTGACGGTGGTGATGAGGGTGAAGAGGTGTTGATGGTATTGATGGTGTTAGTGGTGATGATGATGGTGATGGTGTTAGAGATCCTAATGATATTGGTAGTGATGGTGATGGTGGTGGTGGTGGTGGTAGAGTGTTGGAATTGGTGTTGATAGATGATGATGGTGTTGCTGCTGTTTGTATTGAGGTGGTGATAGCGGCGGTGGTTATCATGTTGGAGATGGTGATGGTGGTGGTGATAATGATGTTGGTAGTGTTGATGGCAGTGGTAGTAGTGGTGTTGGTGATGGTGGTGGTGATAATGACGGTGGTAGGGGTGATGTTGGTCATGGCGATGGTGATGTGGTGGTGGTGGTAGAGTATTGGTATTGGTGTTGGTAGTGATGATGGTGTTGTTTTTTGTATTGAGGTGGTGATAGCGGTGGTGGTTACCATGTTGGAGATGGTGATGGTGGTGTGATAATGATGGTGGTAGTGTTGATGGTAGTGGTAGTAGTGGTGTTGGTGATGGTGGTGGTAATGATGGTGGTAGTGATGATGTTGGTAATGGTGATGGTGATGGTGATAATGACGGTGGTAGGGGTGATGTTGGTCATGGCGATGGTGATGTGGTGGTGGTGGTAGAGTATTGGTATTGGTGTTGGTAGTGATGATGGTGTTGTTTTTTGTATTGAGGTGGTGATAGCGGTGGTGGTTACCATGTTGGAGATGGTGATGGTGGTGTGATAATGATGGTGGTAGTGTTGATGGTAGTGGTAGTAGTGGTGTTGGTGATGGTGGTGGTAATGATGGTGGTAGTGATGATGTTGGTAATGGTGATGGTGATGGTGATAATGATGGTGGTAGTGGTGATGTTGGTAATTGTGATGGTGATGGTGGTGGTGGTGATGTTGACAAAGATACTAATGCTGACCCTTTCCTTTCTTGCTGGATGCCTTCATTAAGCCTCCAGTTAGGGGCCAAAGGCTAAGGCTTCTTCTTTTGTCCTTTCTTATGCTGGCAACATACGGACTCTGCTCCTTGTCAGATTTGGGTCATTAGGGGATTCACCCACATTCTGGCTGGGCAGAGCAGCCTGTGGGATGGAGTGAAGTGGGGATGAAGTTTGGAGGCCAAGGCCCCTCACCGTCACCCCCTTCTCTAGAAAAGATTGTGCAGGCCTGACCAAGCCCCTGTGTCCTTGTCACCCAGTCCTGAGGGGCAAGTTTGGGCTTGTGGTACGAGAGAGCACTGGACAGGGAGTCAGGAGACTGTGCCTGTGTTCTGACTCCCTGAGTGTCAAGTCCCTTTGCTTCTTGGTGTCTCAGTTTCCCCACTTGCATAATGAAGAGGCTGGACAAGGGCTGAGGATTTAAGCTGTTTCTCCCAGTGGCACAAGCACTGCTGTGGGGCAAGAGTGAAGTGGACAAACCACGCCAGGCCCCCTGAGCAGCCTTGCCAGGCATCACCATCAGCTTGTCTGACGGGTTCTCTGACCTATGTAGTCTGATCACTGGGTACTGCATGAAAAAGCATGGATGGTCAGGTATGGCGGGTCCCATTACAGCTAAGCGTGGCTCACAGGCTTCTCCCGTGTGTGTGTGTGTATGAGTGTGTGTGTGTGTGTGTGTGTCTACCTTCAAAAACATTTCACAGATCTGACCACTTTGCACCTCTTCCACCCTGACAACCTTAGCCTAACTCTCCAGCTCATCACCCCTGGGTGCTGGGCAGCTCCTCAGTAGCCCCCATGCTTCTGTCCTTGGCCCTGTAAAATCTATTAACCACTTACATGGTTTGGATCTGTGTCCCCACCCAAATCTTATGTCAAATTGTAATCCCCAGTGTTGGAGGAGGGGCCTGGTGGGAGATGGTTGGGTCATGGGGGTGGAGTTCTCATGAGTGGTTAAGCACCATCTCCCCTTGGTACTGCATAGTGAGTGAGTTCTCACAAGATCTGATTGTTTAAAAGTATGTAGCACCTCCCCCATCTCTCTCTTTTGCTCCTACTCCAGCCATGTAAGACAAAGCTGTTTCCCCTTCACCTTCCGCCGTGATTGTAAGTTTCCTGAGGCCTCCCCAGAAGCTGAGCAGAAGCCTCCATACTTCTTGTACAGCCTGCAGAAATGTAAGCCAATTAAACCTCTGTTCTTTGTAAATTACCCAGTCTTAGGCATTTCTTTATAGCTGAGTGAGAACAAACTAATACGAAACTTAATCTGCAATGCAAAAGTATTAAACGGATGAATACAACCACACGACTTTCAAAGTGCCCTTTAAAACCCAAGTCTGATTTTGCTACCTCTCTGCTCAAAATGGCTTCCCATTTCATCTGGGTAAAAGCCAGATTTGTCACAGGCCCTACCTGGTCTCCCGGTAACCTCCTTGATCTCATCTACTTTCCCCTCTGTTCCAGCGGCACTGGCCTCCTTGCTGTTTCTCAGACACATGAACCATGGGCCTGCCTCAGGGCCTTTGAACAGGTCATTTCCTCTGCTAGAAGCACACTCACTTGGCTGGTTCCTCCACCTCCTTCAGGCCTCTGCTCAGCCATTCCCCTCTCAGTGACACCTTCCTGAGGCCCCCTCTGCGTATCGTCACCCTCACTCCCTATCCTCCCTCCATACTCCACTTTACGCCACAGCCCATGTCACCATCTGGCAGGATACGTGTTTGCTAGCTCATTGTGTTTATCTGTCCCCTATGCCCCTGCCAATAGAGGGCAGTTTTGTCTGTTTTATTCTCTGCTGTACCCTCAGCACTTGGGACAGAGCTTGGCATATAGTAGGTGCTCACTAAATACTTGTTCAATGAACTTCTGTGTTTTTTGTACCCCTGTTGCAGTCGGGCACTGATACTGCTGAACAAATTCAAGGACACAAACTCTTCCTGTCCTGTATGTAGTGGTGAGGAGCAGTGGGGAGGGCCTTGGACTTGAAGCTGGTGTCCCAGGGTGTATCCTGCTGCAGCCACTTGGGGTGTTGTGATGTTGGGTAAGCTACTGCCCCTCCCTGGGCTTATCCTAGCTGTAAATGAAATAAGAATAATCCATCACTGCAGGGAGATGTCTCCAGGCTACTTAACACACAGTAGCTACTATTATCATGTGTCTTAGCTTCAGATGCTATAACAAAATATTATAAACTGAGTGGGTTATAAACAACAGACCTTTATTTCTCATAGTTCTGGAGGCTGGAAGTCTGAGTTCAGGGTGCAAGCATAGTTGGGTCCTGGTGAGGGCCCTCCTCTGGTTGCAGATTGCTGACTTGTTATATCCTAACATGGTGGAAAGAGGGTGAGAGAACGCTGTGGGGTCCCTTTTAGAAGGGCACGAATCCCAGCCGGGCTTGGTGGCTCACGCCTGTAATCCCAGCACTTTGGGAGGCTGAGGCAGGCAGATCACCTGAGGTCAGAAGTTTGAGACCAGCCTGATCAACATGGAGAAACCCCGTCTCTACTAAAAATACAAAATTAGCCAGGTGTGGTGGCACATGCCTGTAATCCCAGCTACTCAGGAGTCTGAGGCAGGAGAATTGCTTGAACCTGGGAGGTGGAGGTTGCGGTGAGCCGAGATTGTGCCATTGCACTCCGGCCTGGGCAACAAGAGCAAAATACTGTCTCAAAAAAAAAAAAAAAAAAAAAAAAGAAAAGAAAAAAAAAAAAGGGCCGGGTGCGGTGGCTCACACCGGTAATCCCAGCACTTTGGGAGGCCGAGGTGAGCAGATCACGAGGTCAGGAGATGGAGAACATCCTGACTAACACGGTGAAACCCTGTCTCTACTAAAAATACAAAAAATTAGCTGGGCATGGTGGTGGGCGCCTGTAGTCCCAGCTAATCGGGAGGCTGAGGCAGGAGAATGGCGTGAACCTGGGAGGCGGAGCTTGCAGTGAGCCAAGATTGCACCACTGCACTCCAGCCTGGGTGACAGAGCGATACTCCGTCTCAAAAAAAAAAAAAAGAAGGGCACTAATCCCATTTGTGAGGGCTCCCTTCTTATGACCTAATCACCCCCAAAGACGCTGCCTCTCAATACCATCACATTAGGGATTAGTATTTTAACAGATGCATTTTTGGGGGACATAAACATTCAGTCCATAGCATCATGACTACTATTATTGTGAATTCTTAACCCCAACGGTCCATGATATGTATGCATTAACAAAAGGGAGGCAGGAATAGGGGTTGGCCTAGAGTTGAACTTAGGAAACTGGTAGAGTCCCCAGGTCTCCTCTGCCTCCAGGCTCCCTAGATCCTCTTGATCTAAGAGGGGGAGCTTCTCAGACTCTTTAAGGGCTTATCTCAGCCACTTTTGCCAGGGATGTGAAAAGACGGCCCCTGCTCCGCTGGAAAGAGTAATTCTTAACCCAGGGGAAGGAAGGAGCCAGTCACGCGAGAGGCAAGAGCTCTGGATTGGGAACCAGAAGACCTGGATCGATTCTTAGCCAGGCTGTTGGCTCCAGTGACCTTGGGCCCGTCACCCCTCCTCCCTGGGCCTCAGTCTCCCAATCTGGATCAGGTCATCTCTAAGCTAAGGCTGCTTCCCATCTGCATTCAGTCCAGCACAGCAGGACCTCAGCATCTCCCCATCCACCTGTGGCCTGGCCTTCCTCATCGCTCGTTCCGTTTGCTGTTTCTTGCCTCGGCCTCCCTATCTCCGTCCACAGCCCTTCTCACAGGGCGTCAGGTATGTGTACCTCGGTGTGGCTGAGAACAGGATTCCTGCAGCGGGCCTTCCTGTCCAGGGCAAGGCCTGGTGTGGGCAGGGGACCTGCGAATCCCATCACTTCACCCCAGCCTGCCTGCCTCCTGGGCGGCTCCCCTAAATCAGTGCCCTGCCTGTCAAAACATGAAACACAGTCAAGATATGAACCAAAATGAGGAGCTGGAGAACAAGAACTCTATGAAATCGCTATGATCCTCTTCCCTGGGCCAACCAATGGACCCCGTCACTCCCTGCCTCTGGGCCTGTTTCCCCATCCACGCAAGGAGAGTGGTCCCTAACTTGGACACAAATTTTCCCGGTGGTTCTGAAGACCAGCCTCATTCTAGTTCACTGGACTGGGGATGTCCCTGTGGCCCAGCTTGTTGTCAGGATAGCGGCCACAGCCCAGGTCCTTCTGGAAAGCTGATCCGAGAGCCAGGTGTGCGCTCTCTGCAGGGCACTTCCAGAAGCTGACAGCAGATGGTGCTGTTGGCCCCATTCCTGTGCAAAGGGAGGCTGAGCCGCTGCCAGGGGCTCCGTGCTTGGAAGTGCTGGGCAGGGCTTGAAGTCCCGTCTCTTCCAGGCCCAAGGCTGGACGCTTGGGTAGACACACACACACACAAACACACGATGCAGAGACACGGAGGTGCATGCGTGCAGGCTGTTCCCGTCTATCCAGAGTGTGGTGCCAAATGCCAGCCCCGACTGTTAACTCACCCAGTGTGTGTTTCTGTGTCACCTCTACGGCACGGGGTCTGCCAGGCTGCAGGTGTCGGAGAGAGGCAAGGGCCGAAAGCAGGGCGGTTTGTGTGGGTGAATGCAGGCACACAGGTGCTAGTGTCTGTGGTTCGTGTGTACGCAGTGCCCACGGAGACCCGTGTGTGCACGCGGGTGTGCGAGGGGGTGCGTGTTAAGCACCCCAACGCCGTGTCCCTCTGGGCGACTATTTGGCTGTGTGTGGGGAGATGTGTGCGTCTATGACTGTGCATACAGGCATCTGTGCTTGCGTGCACACGTGTGTTTGGTACGTGCGTGTGCTTGTGTGGTAATCACAACCTTTTGGCTGGGCTGATGGGACAGGAAGCAGGAGGAATGATGAATGGTTTGAGTAGTAGGGAGGGTGTGAGTAGACAGGCTGGAAAGACCAACCAACCTCTTTGTTAGGAGGGTGAAGGCTGAAGCAGGTGGACCCAGTGCGCAGAGACCCTGGCCCGGATCGGGGAGGGGCGCGCCAGTCCTCACGAGCTGCGGGGAGATGGCACTGCCACTCTCATCACGGGTTAAATGAGTGTCCTCGGCACCAGGCACTTGCTGGGCCCTTTCCACTCACACACACTCTCGTCTAACAACCCTTGACGTCCCCACAGTACAGAGGAGGAAACTGAGGCTGGGGGAGGTAGAGGAACTTGCCTGTGGTCAGTCAGCGAGGAGGTGGCGGAGCTGGGTGTTGAACCTAAGTCCAGCCCCAGGCCCTGTCAGCAAATCACCTTTGCCTCAAGCCAGCCTGGCAGGAGGGAGAGACGTGGTGCTGGTGATCACCGGTGGGGAGAGGCAGGGGAGAGTGGCAAGGATGAGAGGAGGGAAGGGAGCCCGTGACTCCTGGGGCAGTGGAAAATCCTGGCTTGGGAGCTAAGTGCTCCCTCAGAGCATTGGCCTCTGCCCTTAGCTGTGGGGTCAGCCCCTCAGAGCCTCAGTTTCCCTATCTGCCAGGCAACGGGCTCGGCCCAGGCATGCTATGCCCTGACAGCATGCAAGAGACCTTGTTGGGCACTGCCCCTTCCCCATTAAACAAATGTTTATTGGGCATCTACTATGCGACACTGGGGGGTGCCATGGGGAACAGGACAGGCCAGCTCTCCACCCTCATGAAGCCCAAACTCCAGTGCACAAGCCCAAATTCCCACAATAAAGGGAAGCGGGGAAGCGCCGAGACTGAAGTAAGTGAGGTAAGTGCTGTGAAGAATGGCCGGGGCGACTGGACAGACAGGGGCTGGGGCCGCTTGTGGCCAGGGAGGGAGGCTGTCGGGGAGGGGCAGCCGCAGCAGGTTCTGGGGAAAGCATCTTCCGGACAGAGGGATGGGGAGGGGGCAGGAGCTGGATGGGGCAGGGCCTCTCAGGATTTCATTCTCAGGGCAACAGGACGTCACCCAGAGAATTTAAGCAGGAGAGGACCCGATCTGATTCGTGCTTGAAAGATCACCAGATGCAATGTGGAGAATGCTCTATGGGGACCAATGACTGCAGAAGGAGACCAGGATGTGGCAGGGATTCTATAAAAAAGCCACCCTGAGCCGGTGCGTTTAGGGCACGGGGGGCCTGGGAAGCTGTGATTTGAACTCCGTACCGTTGAGCAAGCCCTCTACCTGGTTTCTCCCTTCCCCTTGGCCCCACCCTAAAGCAGGCTCTTTCCCCGGCTTATTTTCTTATGCCTGGGGTGACTTATTTTACCACTGTGAAGCCTGGGAGTGAGGTCTCCAGGCATAGACCCTCTATCCCAGCTCAGGGCTCGAATTCTAGCTGGTCTGTTATTGGCAGGATGACTTCAGTCAAGTTGCTTCTCTGAGAGCCTCAGTTTCCCCATCTGTAAAATGACGGTAATGATGCTTCTTAGAGCACCTGATGGTAGCAGTGAGGATGAAACAGGATGGAGCAGGCGAGGGCTCTGTGCAGTGCCTGTCACATCGTCAGAGCTGTTGTGATCTTGCTGATCACTAAGTGACCCATATGGCCTGGCACAAGTCACTGAAGTCTCTTAACGGCAGTTTTCTCCCTGTAGAATCCCTGAGAACTGGGAAAGCCTGTAACACATAGCAGGCGCTCAGGATGCTTGTGTTGGGGAGTTGCTCCAGCCTACCCAGCCTTCTTTGGCTGGGAGGCAGGAACCAGTCCGTTCTGCAGAGAGGTGGCTTTGGGGGCAGGGGTATGGCCAGGAGGGGGTCAGGCTCACGTGAGGTCCCATGGTCTCCTCCTCCATCTCCCTCAGCTCCCCCCCACCTCCCTCAGCTCCCCCTCCACCTGCCTTCCCTCCAGCCCTCCCTCCACCCTACACTGTGCCCCAGGGAGTGGGCATTTGGAAGTCTCCCAGTGCCCCTTCCCTTCTCTGATTTGCATGTTTAGAATGTATCTGCAGACGCATCTCTCTAGCACGGGGCCCAGCCTTTCTGCCTCCCTCCCTTCCTGCCTGCGTCTCTGGGAGCTGAGCTATCTGCATGCACGAGAACCGAGAAAAGCAGGTCCACCCGGCCCCTCCTCTCCAGAACCTTCTGAGATGCCCCGTCCCTATCCCTGCTGCCTCAGCCCTGCCAGGACAACAGTTCCATCTGGGGGGCGTTGGGATTTCTTTTTGCACACCCGCAGCTCGGTCTGCACCCGTGGGGGCTGTCTAGCTCAGCGGCTGCCGGGTGGCACTCTCAGATCACAGGCCTGACATTTCAGCGCTTGTGTCTCTGTGCCAGGCAGGCACCAGCCCGAGCAATCGATTCTCTCTGCATAATCGCTCAGCACCGTCCATAACATTTCATCAGCCCCCATTGGCCCTCTGGGCTCCTTCCTCTGGGCCTCACGCTGGGTTGCCCATGCCCTCTCTTCCGGGGCTGGGTGCTGTTTTTCCAAGTCCTCGCGAGAGCTGCCCCCCTGCCCTCCACTGCCATCCCCGCTGCACTCCCCATGAGGCTGGCAGGGCTTCCTCAGTTTCTGGTCACCTCCTCATTCCCGTGTCACCTGGCATCAGCCACATTAGGTTCCCTCTGGTTGCTCTAAAAGCAGAAGTCTTTCCCAGCTCAGGGCTTTTGTACATGCTGTGCCTGCCATCAGAACGCCTTCCTAGTAGCCCCAGCATATTCTCCTCTTTGCCTAGCTCGCTTCCACTTAGCACTGGGGTCTCAGCTTAGCTGGTGCTTCCTCCAGGAAGTCCTCCTGGATTTCCCAGACTAGGCTAGGTTGTTCCACTTCACCCCTTTTTACAATCAACTCATCTCTTTGGCACCCCATCCCTCCTGTAGTGATTTATTTGACATCTGTCCTCCTCATTCCATCCGAGTAGGCCCTCTCTGTTTTCTTTACTTCTGTAGCTGTTGGGCTCATACAGTGATGCCCAATAAATGCTTAGTGAATTGAATGAATTATCGGATGAATGTTTGCTGAGTACAGCCACTCAAAGGCCTGATCTTTTGGCCGTGACAATGTCCCTCCCCGCAATCATGAGGAAGAGAATGGGTCTGCTCCAGGCCTTCCTTTGTGTAATGAGGGTGATGAGGCTGGGAGAGGAAGGAATGGTCGTGATGAGGGGAGGGGAAATAGGCTCTCTGAGGCCAGGGGCCAAGCCTGCTCCTCTGTCTCTCTTCTGTCTCTGATGTGTGATGGTGCTTGGGGGCTGTCAGCTGAGCAAAATGTAAAGAATGCTCATGTGGCTGGTGGGGTGGGTGGAGCTGATGGTGGTGAGGCTAAAGGTGACAGCTCTTGGCAGTGGTGGTGACTGTGTTGATGATGGCGGTAATGAAAATACTCATGCTGATGTTGGTTGCTTATTTGGCAGTGGAAACAATGGCAATTTTGCTGTGGCTTTGGGGTGATGGTACAAAGCATGTTTGAGAAAATGGACTTTGGAGTTAGGCAAACCTGGGCTCCTCTCCTGCCCCTATCGCTTTAGGCATCCAAGAAACCCTTCAGTGTCTCAGTTTTCCCATCTGTAAAGCAGGTACCATAAGAGTACCTACTCCATTGGGGCATGGCTGGGACTAGGTCTGTTGTCAGGATTAAATGAGAAGATGCCTGGAGAGCTCTTAGCGCAGTGCTTGGCCCACGTGAGGTTTTGAGTGACCATGCGCGGAATGACATCATTAGGATGATAGCTTGGTGGTGATGGCCCCAGGGCTGCTACTATTCCTGGGGATGATGATGGTGACATTTGGGAGGAAGGGGATGAAGATGGCCATTGTGGGTGCTTTTCCTGATGCAGGGGCAGTTGACAGGGCGAAGTGATGCTGATGATGTTGATGATGGTGATGGTGACAGAGAAGCTTAAGACTGATTAATTCAATTGTCGGTTAAACAAGCAGCATGTGTTTTGTGTCAGCAAATTTGGGGGAAAAATAAATACGACCCTTGGTTTTCAGGAGTCATGAATAAAATAGAAAATTCACACACATATGGTAGGAATAAAACTCTGGGGACTGTTGTGGGGTGGGGGGAGGGGGGAGGGATAGCATTAGGAGATATACCTAATGCTAAATGACTAGTTAATGGGTGCAGCACACCAGCATGGCACATGTATACATATGTAACTAACCGGCACATTGTGCACATGTACCCTAAAACTTAAAGTATAATAATAATAATAATAATAATAATAATAATAAAAACAAAAACAAGGTGGCACATGATTGGATGTCAACTGGGTGCTTTCCATCAGAGGAGGAGCAGGGCGAAGGCACCAGGGGGAGGTGGTTCCGAGGCTGGGTGTTCCAGGAGGCAGGAAAGGGGTAAGCGCAGGGATGGTGCTTCTTGCAAGCTGAGGGAAGAGTGAGAGGTGGGAGCCAGGGCTGGGGGTGGGGGACTGGCGGGAGAGGAAGAGGAACCTTGATGTTTAGTCTCAAGCTCTGGTTCTAGTCCCAGCTCCACTCCTGACCTTCTCTATGACCCTGGGCTGTCTCTGTCCCTAGAAATAGGCCCTGGTTTCCCCAAGGCTTCAAGCCTCTTGATTTAGTGTCCATTTTACAGACGGACACACCGAGTGCATTTGAATCCTCATTTTAGCAAGCAGATGCTGACCTTGCAGAAGGCATCCTCGGAGGTAATCAGGCCGGCATGTGTGACATCAGGGTTGAGATCCATTTCTGAGGAATCACACAGGGATGTCTGAACATCCCTCCTTTCCTCTCATTTGCATGTTTAAAATGTATCTGCAGATGCATCTCTGGCCGCCAGCCTCCCTTCCCCCATGGCCAGCAGCTCTGGGAGCTTAGTTACCTGCATACATCAAAGTCTAAGAAAGCACATTCCATGCCAGTGCCTCCTCTTCTGATGTTGGTGTCCCAGATGTGTGTCATGACAGAGAGGGCAGCACCTTGCCCGATGCCACACAGCCAGAGGAGGCAGAACAGCAGCTCAGGGGACACAGGTGAAAGCCACGGTGTGACCCCCATCTTGTCCAGGGTTCTCCCCTCACTGGGTTGACCACCGGGGTGGGGAGCAGTGGAGGACAGGGGGAGTAGGGACAAAGGAAACTACCCCTTATCTAGTGGACACGGTGTAATTAAGCCTGTGGACTTTGGAGCCAGAAAGGCCTGGATTTGAATCCTAGCTTTACCACTTAGTGCTGTGTGACCTCAGGCAATCTACTCAGCCTCTCTGTGCCTCGGTTTAGGATTAAGTGAGTTTGTATGTAGGCCCTAGGGCGTAGCTGCCCCGTGGAAAACCTAGCTGTTAGTATGTGCTCTGCACTTTGTATATGCAAATTAGCTTTGTTGAATCCTGTCCCCCCTTGAAGTAGGAATTATCCCCGCTTTGCAGATGAAGAAACCGAGAAGGAAGGTAGGAAGCTTGTCCAGCCAGGATTCATGCCCAGGCCTGGCTGGCTCTGTGCCCGCTGAGCCGCCTTGGCAGGGGAGAGTGAGGGAGGGGTCTGGAGGGCTGATGGGGGGCTGGTGGGTTGGGGAGGGGAGTGGGAAGCAGCCAGCCTGACATAAGGCCCTCAAGAATGTGGTCCGCTTCCTCCCAGGCTCCTGGGACCTGTTTATCCTGGATGTGGGGAGACAGCTGTGGCGGGTGTGGGGGGAGCCTGGGCCCCCCTTCTCTGCTTTTCCTGCAGGGGTGGGAGCTGCGGGCCAATTAACCCTGGCAGGGCTGGAGTCAGCAGGTGGGGAAGTGGGAAGAGAAAGGCAAGCAGAGGCGACTTGGGGTTAGGGAGGGGAGTAGGCGAGGTCTGAAAGAGCCTGTGGGTGAGCCTGCTCTGGGTAGTCGATCCCCAGGTGTGGCCAGCTGGCCCTCCCTAGGAGGTGCTGGGAGACTAAACTTCTGAGCATGACAGAGTGGGAGGAGAAAAACAGGCTTTTCTTTTTTAAAGACGGAGTTTTGCTCTGTCACCCAGGCTTGAGTGCGATAGAGTGATCGATCTCGGCTCACTGCAACTTCCACTTCCCAGGTTGAAGGGATCCTCCTGCCTCAGCCTCCTGAGTAGCTGGGATTACAGGCACCCGCCACCACATCTGGCTAATTGTTGTATTTTTAGTAGAGACGGGGTTTCACCATGTTGACCAGGCTGGTCTCGAACTCCCGACCTCAGATGATCCGCCCGCTTCAGCCTCCCAAAGTGCTGGGATTACAGGCATGAGCCATCGCGCCTGTCCAGGGAACTAGCTTTTAACAGGGTCACAGCTGGAAAGGCCACTGGGGGCCTCTAGCCCTACCCTCTTGCTTTATAGAAGGGGAAACTGAGGCCCAGAGAAGGATGGGCATCAAGTGGCTCAAGGTCACCCAAGAATCAGTGGCTGAGTTAGGAACAGGCCCAAGGCTCCTGGCCCCAAAGCTGGAACCTCCTCTATTGCCCAAGCTGCTCCTCATCCTGCCCCCGTCTCGGGGAAGGAGTTTAACTGGACAGTGGACACAGACTCCGTTGGCTCAGCTTACTTACACAGGGTGCCACATGTCCGCTCACCAGCCGGGAACTCCAACCTTGAAATAGTAATAATGAGGATACTAATAACATTTCATAGCTTTTTGATTTTATAAACAGTTAATAGCTTTGGTAGTTTCTATTTTATAGTATTTCAGAGATTACTAAGCCCTTCACGCCCATGATCTCGTGTGATCCTAACTGCGCACTCTGTGTATGTTGTGAATCCATTGTACACTTGTGGACACTGAGCCTCAGACGATTGAGGTGATTCGCTTAGTCACACAGCAGATAATAATAGTAGCAAATCTTCCTAGACACTGAATGCAGGCTAGGAATTGTGAACTCTTCACAGACCCAGTGGCTCCTGCTGGCGATACAGGAGTCATCCTTAATTCCTCCCATCCTCCTTCACGTCTCCCAAATCTTGACTCTGTCTCCATGGGTACCATGTTGAAACTGGCTGCTTTCTTGTCTGTTTTGAGACAGAGTCTCTTTCCATCACCCAGACTGGAGTGCAGTGGCGCTATCATGGCTCATTGCAGCCTTGACCTCCTGGGCTCAAGCAATCCTCCACCTCAGCTTCCTAAGTAACTGGTACCACTGGCGTGGGCCATCATGATTGGCTGATTTTTGTATTTTTTGTAGAGACAGGGTTTCACCATATTGCCCAGGCTGGTCTTGAACTCCTGGGCTCAAGGGATCCTCCCACTTCGGCCTCCCAAAGTGCTGGGATTACAGGTGTGAGCCACCGCGCCCGGCCTGGCTGCAATCTTTTCTTGCTCGGATACCTACGGCCTCTTTGCTTGTTTCTGCCTCCATCCTTGCTCCCGCCCCAACCCAGGCAATTCATTCTTCCCAAAGCAGCCAGGGACACTTCCACTAGTGGGAATCAGATCGTGTCACTCACCTCCAATTTTAGAAGAAACTGTAGGCTTTTCAGTCAGCCCATAGGCCCCCACGCAGCCCTGTCTCCCTCTGCTCTGATCTCATCTCCCACAACTCTCGTCATTATTCTTGTCACCCTCTTGTTGTGTCAGACACAAATGCCCTCCTTCCTTTTTCTTGAACCCGCCAAGCTTGTTCCCACCCCAGGGCCTTTGCATGTGCTCTTTCTTCTGCTTGGATTGTTCTTCCCCACATTTATGCACTGCTGTCTCCCTGTCGATTCAGCCTGGCCTTTGCTGACATTGATCTCCAATTACATCACTGGGCTGGACTGTCTTCATAGTGCTTAGCAACATCTGAAATCATCTCACTTGCTTCTTTGCTTTTGAGTTTATGATCCGTCTCCCTGACCTAAAATATAAACATTCTGAGAGCGAAGACTTCATCTGTTCTGTTTACTCCTGTAACCCCTGTTCCTAGTACAACGTCAGCACATCATAGGTGCTCAATAAGCTAGTGATTGACTGACTGACTACATGACCAAGATCGCCTTGAGTTCAAAGGTGACATTTCCTCTCTAGCCACCTGCCTGTCTGCCTGACACTCCCAGGCTGGGACCCCACCCCTGCTGTTGTCAGTGAGCCAAGGACACTTTGGGCCTAATCCCTGAAACACTGAGACTCATGTTTCTTCCTGCAATACTCAAAGCATGAACTTCTTGCTACGTGCCATGTGGCCTACTAGGCCCAGGGCAAAAAAAAGTGCACAAAAATAAGATTCTGCCTTCAGGGTGCTTAAAGTGCAGAGCATAAGAGAAGAGACATTGACAATGGTCTAATGCAAGCCAGGCAGCACCTACTATGTGGGAGGTGCTTTGCAAACATCATCCCATCGAGTCCTCATTGAATTAATAGCAGTTGGAGAGAGGATGAGATGAATTATCAAAAAAACCCATTTTACAGATGGGGAAGTTGAGGAATGCAAGGACAGTGCATCGCCTAAGGGTAACCCAGCTGGCACATGGCAGAGCTGGATTCATATCCAGGTCTGTCTGGCTCCAAAATCTATGCCTAAGAGAAAGCAGGAGGTCACATGTGATTGGGATGGGGGAGGACACAATTGAGGGCCAGGGGAAATGGAGTGAGGAGAGAATTTCCGACAGGGGGTCTGGTGTGAGCTGGGGAAGGCGGTAGGAAAGAGCAACTGGCTGTGGAATCGGGGAGTGGCTTAGTTTTCCTGGGGACATGGGATGACAGGAGGAGAAGGGAGAAAGATGAAGGAGGAAGGTGAGCTGGATTAGACCATGGTGTGCCCACAAAGCCAGACCCTTGGCGTTTGTCTCACTATCATGGTGACAGTGTGGGTAATAAAGGGAAACTGGGGTTCAATCTGGACCCTAGGACATTTCCCAGGAAGTCAGTCCAGAGGGAGAGAGACTCGGGGAGGAAGCTTCTCTAAGCTCAGCTCCATGCCAATTGTCGAGGAGGAAAGGAGAGGTCAACTAGAAAACCATGTGAACTGGAGAGAATTTGAGACTTCAGTTTGCAGGGCTGTGAGGCAGTAACCCCATTGCCTTGAACGAGAAGCAGTAGGAGCTCCGAGTTTTTGGAGTCACTGGACTTGGGTTTGAGTTCCACTTCTGCCATTTCCAGGCTGTGAAGATGATCTTTGTGTGCCAGCTCACTCTCTGCGTCTGGTTTCTTTGTTGATGGAATAGGAATTCCCATTGTTATAAGGACTAAAGGACTTGATATATGTGACATACCCAGAATAATGTGCGACACAGGGTTTTTGCTCAGGCAGGGACGATGGGGAACTCTGTAGCCTGAACGTTTATTTTAAGAGAGGCTAGAAATGCGAATTTTAATGCAAATTTCCCACAGCTATGGTGCAAGAACCCTCACTCTTCAAATAAAATGGCCGTGGGCCCAGAGCTGGCCAGTGTGGACCCTTGTCTACAGAACACCTGGCTGAAGAGATTTGGGACTTTCTGAGGTTGCGGCAGGGGGAGATAGATCAGTCCAGGGTATTTGAGGCAGTGCATTGGTAGCTGACAAGTTAATGAGGAAGAAAAGCTCTGTTGACCTGGTCAAGGTCACAGTCAGGGCAAATCACTGGCATTAGACTGGGATGCAGGAAGCAGCAAGGTCTGGGAGCAAGGAAGCCAGAGATCTGGCCTTGGCTCTGGACAAGCCTGCTCTGTGACCGTGGGCCAGCCCCTCTCCATCTCTGAGCCTCTGTGACATGAGTGAATAAATTCTCTCAACAGTTCTGCCTTTCCAAGCTCTGGGGACAGGCGCCTGGGTCTCTCACCCCCAGCAGAAAGTTAGGAGGGACTCGGGGGAGAGAGCCCCCCTCACCCTTCTTGGATCCTGGGAACAGTGTGGGGTCTAATCTACTGTTGACAGTCTGCTGGGTCCCCAGGCTGCACGCGGAGCTAGGGTTTCTCCCGGCCTGTGTGATCCTCCGCCCCTCGCAGCAGGCGGGCGCTGGGATACAGCACTTGCTCCATGTCACTCTGGGGTGGATTAAGGACCCTGGGGCCTGGGGATTGGGGGTACTGAGAAGAGGGGGAGAAGAGGGGCAGGGCTGAGGGCCAGCTGCTGGGTCGGGGCTCCTTTTCCTTCAAAGACCATTCGAGGAGGCTGTGCTCAGATGACCAGGCTGGGCCAGCGTGAATAGGCAAGGAAAAGTCTGCAGGATCTCACTATTATTATTCCCATTTCACAGAGGGGAAAAACTGAGCCCCAGGGAGGGGAGATGACTCACCCAAGCTCACGTCATTGTTAGAGGATGGTGAGACTGGAATCCAGGCAGCTGGACCCTCAAGCCTGCATATTAAACTCACCTGCTGGGTATGGATGTCCATGGCTGTGGGGGCAGAAAGAGGAACCTGAAATGGTTTGCACGGTTTCTGTCTGAGCTGTGCCTGGAGCGCAGGCACCTGGAGCCAAGGCCCTTGGGTTGGCTGGGACCCCTGCCCCTGTCCCCTTTTCTGATCTCCCTCCTGCCTTCTTCTTTCTTCCCTTTCCTTCATGCCTCCTGTGTGCTTGGTGCCAAATGAGCAAGAAGAGGTCTCAGAGACAAACTGGCACCACCTCTGTCCCCAGCACTCTCTTGATTGACTGGGAGAACAAAGATGGGGACCCCCATTATGAAAGTGGTCAGTCTCCAGTCGAGGCCAAAACTGAGGGCCTGGGGCTTGCAGGAGGAAGGGAATGCTTCTGAGAATGCCTCCTCAGTTTCCCCATCATGGTGGAGGTTAAATGAGATATTTTGTAGGAAGCACCAAATACATCCTGGCATACCAGCTTCATTCGTTCATTCATTCATTCACACAGAGTGCCAGACAGTCTACCAGAATCCAAAATCATAATGGGAAACTATAATTACTCAATTACTCAATGCCAGGCTCGATGTTAAGCACTCTGGATTCATTGCTTCATTTGTTCCACACCAGAATGCCAAGTGGTAGATGCTATTACCTGCCCATTTTATAGATGAGGCATGGAAAGGTTAAGCAACGTGCCCAAGGTCACGTAGTTCCTAAGTGGCAGAGTTGGGATTTAAACTCAGATCAGCCTGGAGACAGAGCCCAAGCCCCAGTTGTTGCTTCAGTCTTGGTCTGGTCCTCAATCCTGGATGCTGGGGGTGGGCCTGAAGTCTCAGAATCGTGCTCTTCTGGGCCTGCTACATGGAAAACTTCATGAGGCCAGGAGCTGTCTCTGGACTATCTCTGGCCGAGGCTCACCTCTGGAACCCCTTTGCCTGAAATAATCTAGTAGGTATTTGGGAAATGAATGAATGGATGAATGAATGAATGAACAGCCACCCAGGCAAGTCTCCTGAGATTTCTGGAGGGGACTCTGTAGGCCACTCTCAGGGCTGGAGGTAAGCCCAGGCACCTCTGCCTTGTGGCGTGGCCTCAGAGGGTGATCTGACTGCCTCTCTACTCCTGCCTCCTCCAGGATTTGGAGGGCCCATGGAGATGGGCCGGTGGCAGGTTCTGGAAGGCCCCAGATAGAATATCAGTGGCTGAGCCCTTGAAAATCTGATCTCGCCCCAGCCCATCTCCCCAAGGTTTCCCCCAGACCATCAATCAGCAGCGAGACACGATTGTATTTTATAGCCAGACCAGGGTGGGGGTGGCATGAAACCCAAGCCCCGACTCTGCCTGGGGTCCTGCCTGCTTAGGGGGATCAAGCAGACCCGGGCAGCGCCTTAACCCTTTGTGGTCCTGTTTCTACCAGCTGTGGGCACAGCTCCTCTCCTCCAACCCTACCAAACTAGGTCCCTCAGGGGTGACAGAGGGACTTACACGGAGGTGACAAGGTCTTCTGGGGTCTTGACTGCTCCCAGAGACCTGCAGAAAGGCCCATGGATTAGAGGATGGTTTTGGCCCTACCTGGAAATCTGTGTTCTGGCTCAAGGTCTCTCTACTTTGTGGCTATGTGACCTCAGGCAAGTTGTTTCCCCTCTCTGGGCTTGCTCCTCACCTCCCAGCTGACCCCTTGCTGATCTCACCGTGGTTGTCCCAGTGTCTTCAATGTGGGTGAAACTGGCCTTGGGCTCCACCATCTTCACACCAGATTCCTTCCTCCAGGAAGAGCTTCTCCATAGAGCCTCTTAATTCCTGTTTCCATTTTGGAACCTGAGGCCCAGATAGGAGTTTCTATTACCCAAGATCATACAGCAAATTGCTGCAAATTAAGCTGGAGCTGCTGATCCCAGGGCTAACACCCTCCTCCCATCTCCTTTCCTCCCTCCTGCCACTGGAAGGGGATCTGTGGGCCATTCCAGGATCTTGGGTTGCTGTCAGGGCTAAGGTGATCAGATGGATGTCCAGTCTCCCCTGTGAATGGAGGCTGGGGGGACTCGGGCCAAGGAATAGAAGCTCAGAGTTGGCTTGAAGCCACTGCTCCCAGCTATGACCTTCCAGGGGCAGCCTAGGGAAGATGCCATGTGGTCTTCAGGGGAACCAAGGCCGGTGGGAGGAGCCATGGGGTGAAGGAACTTGTTTACTACCGGGAAGGAGAACTGGGAAGGCAGGGGTGACACCTATACCTTTGGGGGTGAGCCAGCCCTTGGGGAGAACGGTTGACCTTGGAGCCTCAATGTTGTCATCTCTCAAATGAGAAGGATAACACTGCCTTGCCTAATTACCTTGAGGCTTAACTACAGTGATGACCACTCCCAGTTGCTCCACGATCAATGGAACCTGAGTTATCATCAGGGCTGCCCCAGGAGGGGCTGAGCACCCTGTCACTGAGGGGTATTCAAGTAGACCCAGTATTGTGAGGCTGCAGAGGGCCTCTGGGGGAAGCGGTTGAAAACCACTTTCAGAGTGATGGGGGGTGGGGGTGGGGAGGAGCAATCACAGGGGAGGTGCTGTCTTGGGTCTCCAGTTACCAGTTCCTGGAATCACAGAGGTCATTTTAGGGGTGAGGGAGGGCGTTCCAGGAGCAGCTTCCTTGGGCGGACTAGGCTCTGGGGACACGGGTGTCACACCAACAGCTGGAGGTGCCGTGTTGATGGATGGCTGTTAGGAAATCAATTTTCTGAAGCCTGGTCAGTGGGGTGGGCAGGCAGGCCTTGGGGAACCTTGGGTCTAGGATGGGGAGGGGCTCTGTGTCCAGCAGGTGGAAGGCAGCCCCTCCCCCAGCGCTAGAAGTCCTGTCACTTCCCCTACCCCCTGCCTCTTCCCCTGGCTGTGCCTCAGGCTGAGACCCTCCCTTCCCTCCTCCTGTGCTCCTGGGGAGGAAAAGAACCCAAGTCCGGGTACAGGGGTCAAGCTTCTAAATGGCTGTGTGACCCCTTTGGGTCTCAGTTTCCCCATGCGTAAGTAGAAGAAGTTGGTCTAAATTTCTCTCATTTCCCAGGAAACAGTGAGCCAGGCTGGCTCCTGCTCATGCTTTAGGTCTCAGTTTAAACATCACCTCCTGGCCGGGCATGGTGGTGGTTGCCCGTGATCCCAGCACTTTGGGAGGCTGAGGCTGGAGGATCGCTTGAGTCCAGGAGCTCAAGGCTGCAGTGAGCTATGATCATGTCACTGCACTTGAGCTTGGGCAACAGAGTGAGACCCTGTCTCTCAAAAAAATACAGAAGTATCACCTCCTTAGAGAGCCTGCCCCTCTCCTCCACCCACCCTATCATCCTTCCTCCACTTCTTGCCCTCAGCACTGTCCCCAGTGGCTTCATCTTTGCCCATCTCTCCCTCTAGAAGGTAAGCTCCGTGAGGGAGGGTGTGGCTTCTTGTTCCCTGTTGTATTCCAGGGCCTACACACAGGCACATAGTAGGGCCTACATCTGGCACATAGTAGGTTCTCAATAAATAATTGCTGAATGAATGAGCCATTGGTGGGCCCTCTGCTGGGCACTCTGGAAGCTCCAGGAAGCAGTAAGATAGGTCCTGGCCTCAAGGAGCTATAACAGTCTAATGGGGCTGGTGGACATGCTCCCAGATTCCTTGAATTCTGAAGCAATGAGCAAAAGGCCAGGCAGGGGTTGGAGAGATGGCCTGGAGCACAGACTGGGGTGAAGGGCAAGAACTGATTGGGGAGGGAATTGGGGAGGGTCTGGGATGAGTCTGTGCCTCTCGGCTGCTGGTTTCACATTGGAGCGTGGGCATCACAGTGGCCACAGGAAGGCCAGCCCTGGAAGCTGGGCCCAGGTTAAGGGTCCCTCCTCACGAGCTGCCCCAGGGGCTCCTGGCTTTGGCTCAGGGCCTTTAGCATTGCTTAGGTTCTGCATTCTTTGGGTCGGAGAAGGCCACCCACAGGCAGCCAGAGGAGGCAGGGGAGCATATTGGGTGCAAATCCCTGCTGCTCACTCCTGGATGACCCCGGGGCAGGCCTTAGCCTCCCTTTCACACCTGCTGTATGGAAGGAGGTCAGCACCTCTACTCAGCATAGACACTGCTGTGCTAAACGCAGGGCTTCAGTGTGCCTGGCACATTGTAAGCACTCAGTCTCCTCTCCATAATCAAAGGAACCTTCATACTCATATCCCAGCAGGGAAAATCGAGTCCCAAGAGGGGAAGTCCTGAATATTTAGTTAAGGGCCTAAGTTGTCCGCAGATTCAGGGGAGAAGCCTCTCAATGGTTCTCACCCTCTCCCCACTCTGCCTAATTTCTCTGCTTTGGATGAGGCTTTTCAGAAACTCCTCTGGAATCCTGCCTCTGCTCCTGATAAATCCTGGTTTGTAGAAAATAGAGCTGGGAGGGCATCATCCCATACATCTGGCAGATGAGTGACTAAGGCCCAGAGAGCTCCCTGGCCCAAGGTCAACCGAGCTTGCTAGAGGCAGGGCAGGTCAAAGATGGAACCAGGGTCCGTTCTGGGAGCTGCTGGTGTCTCCCGGCCATGCCTCTGGATATGGGGTTGGGGGTAGCACTGCAGATGGTCTTTCCTCCTCCTCCTTCTTGCTCTCTTTTTTCTTCCTTAAAAAGAAAACAAAACAATGGATCCCCCATGACTTGAAGAATGGCCCAAATCCTGTGTCTGGCCCCGGAACGTTTTACGGCCCTTTCCAGCCAGGGATGTGAAGCTCTGGCGACATGAGCTCCCCGTTCCTTGGCCCTGGCTCGGGAAGGCCCATCCATCTTCCCAGCTGGCGGCTGCATGTGGGAAAGGCCCCGCTGGCAGGGGCAACACCTGTCGCTCTCACTCTCCCTAAGCTCAGCACCGAGGATCCTTCCAGTCCCTCGTGAAGGGGGTGATAGGGGTGGGGAGGGGGACTGGGGAACCTCTGTCACAGTCACAGACCCTGAGCATTGCTGACATTTTCAGGGTGACAGGGCTGTGACAAGAGTGGGGGTCCCTGAAAGCCTGGGCTTTCCCACTGCTCTAGTATGCTGGTTTCTCTTCCAGAAGGGGTGGCAGGCCCTGGGGTCCCCCAGAGAGGAGAGAAGCCAGCCCTGGCCCTGCTAGGGCTTGAACTTCAAAAGCAAGACAGAGTCAGCAGGCAGTTACAGTGCAGAGGTGGCACGGGCAGTGAGGGGAAGGGCAAGCTAGGCTGCAGGAACAGCACCTGTGAAAGCCCAGAGGCTCGGCAGGGCAGGGCATGTTGGGAAACTCACAGGGTATGAGATCGGCGCGGGGAGCTAGATTAGAGACAGGGCATGCGTGTGGACTAATTTTGACAGTGATTGCAGGTGGCTGTGTGTTCGCAAGCAGGAGCGGTACACGTGAAAACCTCTCTGCTCTCGGAGGGGAGGAGGGGTTGAGGTGAACAACAAGGCAGAGAACAATAGGGGAGGTCAGGGATGCGTTCCCAAGGAAGGCAGAGGGGAGACTGAGAACGAGCCTGAGAGTCAAATCCTCTTGGGCTGTACCCAGCCCGGTACTCCTGGCAGTGTCCCTTGTGAAGGTACCTCCCTTCTCTGGGCCTCAGTTTCCACACCTTTGTAATGAGGGAGTTGGACGGACAAAGTGTGGTGGACCTCTGACCAGCCCGAGTTACTACGCAGCTCTGTCATTAATCAGTGATGGAGAGCTGCCCCAGCCTCAGTTTCCCTATTTGTAAAATGCTAAACTCACAGGCATGTGGGATCACCCACTTGCCATTTGTAAGGTGCCTAGCACAGGGCCTGGCACACATAGGGGAGAAGTGACTGAGAATTTCTTTGTTTTAAGCCCGTCCCAGGTTAAAGTCGCCCGTTCCTGTTATTGCTGTAATTGGAGTCTTGCTGGGAATACAAAAGCGCTTGGTGCTAAAGCAAAATGGTGGCCAAGGGAGCCCTGCGTGGGGCCATGGAGGCGCCACTCAGGTTTCAGAGATCCAGGGACCCGCAGAGCACAGAGGAATTTTCCCAGGCTGGGGGCGGCAGGCAGCTGGAAGCCATCCGTCCCAGGGAAGGGAAGGATCAGGGATCTTGCCAAGGTCTTTCCCTGGGAACAAGAACTCGGGAGGGAGGCAGGATTCTCCCATCCAGCCTGGAAAGACGAAACCCTTCTGCCCGGGCAGCTGCTCATGGGGATGCCAAAAACCAACCGGCCTGGCCCCTGGGCTCCCCTGGGGCTGTGATAGTTAGGGGGTGGCATTTGGATCCCAAAGAGCTCTGGGAGCCAGGAGGGCCCTGCCTGGAATCAGCCACCCTCTGTGTGCCTGAATAGCCTTTAACATAGACCTGCCCTGGGAGGGGACCTGAGGACATTGCCCCCAGGGTGCCAGGGTTTCCCCCGGGTATCCAGAGTGCCATGGCCCAGGAGACAGGGAGGTGGGGGCCCCGTGGCACAGCGAGAGCCTGGTGGACTCCAAGTTCAAGTTCATTTCAGGGTCAGTATTATCTGCTCTGCAAGGTTGTTGTGAAGATGAGAGATAATACCTGAGAAGCACCAGCACATAGTAGGTGCTCAGTAGAGGCTAATTATATTACTGGAGGAGGTGTAGACAAACGATTAAGAGCACAGGCAGAGCCTGGCTGCCTGGGTTCAAATCCCACCTCTGCCACTTCTCGGCTTGGTTAATTCATTAACATTTCTGAACCTCAGTTTTCTCATGTGCTGCGCTTTGGACATGCCTGGCAACACAGTGAGTCCTCGATAAACACAAGCTGTTATGGCTGTGATTGTTGCTACCAACATCGAATGAATGAATGCAGGCTTTCAGCCCTGGTCGGCAGAATGAGAGTACTCTTTTTTTTTCTTGCCAATCCTGATAACAATAACAACTGCCCCTTACTCCATGCCTTCTGTGCCCTGGGCGCCCTGCCTGAAGACTTATATGTGCGATCTCAGGGTCTGCCTGCCGCTCAGGATAGAATAATGTACCGTCTTGTTTTGCAGGAGGGGGTAGAAAGACCCTGACATATGGAGAGACTCACCCAAGGCGTCACAGCTTGTGTGTGCCATGGAGAAAATTTCAGCCCAACTTCACAGAGCAAGAGGAGCAGGCTGGAGGAGGATGTCCAGGCAATGGAGATAGACACAGATACAGTGGGAAGAGCACTGGACTAGGAGTCAGGAGTCCAGCATTCTTGTCCTGATACACAGTGGCTAACCTTTATGAGCCTCTGTATTTTCCTATGTAGCTGGAGATAATAAGAGAGACACTGAATGGGGTTGGGATGAGCCTTCATTGAAATCATGTGTGTAGAGTGCATGGCACAGTTCCTGGTACGAAGTGAGTGCTGGTGGCAGTGGGGTGTCGGGAAGGGGGTTTTTGTTGATATCATGGTATTACCGGGTTTGCTACTAATGTAGAAGGTGTTACAGGTGGGTTAAGGTAGCAGTGGCTGTTGTTGGAATAATTGTTGCTGCTGTTGTTGACGGCGGTGATATGGTATTGGTGATGATGCTGGGGTATTGATGTAGTTGGTAGTAGTGTTGGTATTGGTCATGTTTTGCTATTGGTGTTGGGGTTGTTGATGCTGGCGTTGACACTGACAGTGTTGGTGTTAATGTTGCTGCTGGTAGTGTTGTTAGAGAGGGATCGTGTTGTTGGTATTGATCATGTTGAAGTTACTGGTGTTGGTGTTGAGGTTATTAGGTGTTGAGGTTATTAGGAGTGGTGGTGGTGATGGTGATAGTAGTGTTAATGTTTTACTGGTGATGTAGGTGTTATGTTGTTATTGGTGTTGGGGGTATTGTCACTACTGGTAATGTTGAAGTTATTGGTGTTGGTGTTGAGGGTGTTCTTTTTATTGTTATTGGAGGTGGTAATGTTATGGGGTTGATGGTGGTGGTGTTGCTATTAACGTTATTGCTAATGGTAGTGTTGGAGGTGGTGCTAACATGATTACGGGTGGTGTTAGTGTTGATGATGTTGGTGCTAACATCATTACTGGTTTTGGTGTTGGTGTTGGTGGTGTTAACATGATTACAGGTGGTATTTTTGTTGGTGATGGTGTTGGTGCTACTATTATTAGTAGTTTTGGTTTTGGTGGTGGTGGTACTAACATGATTACTGGTAGTGTTAATGTTGGTGTTGGTGCCAACATTATCAGCTTTGGTGGTGTTGGTGTTGGTATTAATGTTATGCTGATGGTGGTGTTGGTGTTGGTATTAATGTTATGCTGATGGTGGTGTTGGTGTTGGTGCTAACATGGTTACAAGTGGTGTCAGTGTTGGTGATGTTGGTGCCAACATTATTACTGGTTTTGCTGTTGGTGGTGGTGGTGTTAACATGATTACAGGTGGTATTTTTGTTGGTGATGGTGTTGGTGCTACTGTTATTACTAGTTTTGGTGTTGGTGCTGGTGGTGCTAACATGATTACTGGTGGTGTTGGTGGTAGTGTTGGTGCTAATGTTATTACTGGTTTTGGTTTTGGTGGTGTTGGTGCTAACACGATTACTGGTAGTGTTAATGTTGGTGTTGGTGCTAACATTATTATCGGTTTTGGAGGTGTTGGTGTTGGTATTAATGTTATGCTGATGGTGGTGTTGGTGGTGGTATTAATGTTATGCTGACAGTGGTGTTGGTGGTGGTGCTAACATGGTTACAAGTGGTGTCAGTGTTGGTGATGTTGGTGCTAACATTATTACTAGTTTTGATGGTGGTGGTATCGGTATTGGTGCCAACATTGTTGCTGGTGGTGGTGTTTGTACTAATGTTATTACCGGTTTTGGTGGTGGTGGTGCTAACATTGTTACTGGTTTTGGTGTTGGTGGTGGTATTGGTGTTGACATTGTTACTGGTGGTGGTGGTGGTGGTGGTGGTGGTGTTTGTACTAATGTTATTACTGGTTTTGGTGGTGGTCGTGGTGGTGTTGATGCTGACACTGTTACTGATGTTGGTGGTGGTGGTGGTTTGAGGGATGCTGTTGTGTTCTGGGTGCAGCACCCGCCCAGCCATGCTGAAACAATGCCTTGGCCAACATCCCTTCAGCTGTCCAGGCAGACTTGCCTGAAGGCATCTGTACCTGCGGCCATGCCTGTGTGCTTTCTTTGGGATCTGGTTTTCTTTGCCGTTCCTTGTTTTCCTTTTGAAAAATCCAGCATGGACTGGAAAGCATATGGCCACAGTTCAGTGGGGTTAGGGAGGGGATCAGGGTGTCCGGTAGCGCTGCTAAGCAAGGTCCTTGAGTTGGGTGAGAAGTTGCCCTAGGTTGGGGGCAACCTAGGATGTGGGTGAGACCTGGGGAAGGTGAGGCCCACAGAACCTTCCCTACTGGGGCTTTTCCTCCCCACTTCCACATTCCCCTAACTCTCTTTCTGTCCACCCTTGTTGTTCTCTGATCCACTTATTCAGCAGACTCACTGGGGGCCCTTGGTGCCAGGCCCTGAGAGGGCCCCTGAGGTACAAAGATAAATATGGCACTATTTTAGGTCACAGGTGACTGCGAGCACCCTGAGCACAGGGAGCTGGCCTACCTTGTTCATCACAGCATTCCCAGCCCCTGTTGAATGAACGAATGAATGAATGCACAGATGCAGCCATGCCACCCCTGTCTCTGGGAACTCACACACTGGTGAGATCATCAGTGGCTACAGTGGCGTGGAGCCAAAGGGAGGGAGGGATCAACTCTGCCTAAGGGGTCCAGGGAAGCTTTCCTCAAGAGGTGGCGCCTGACCTGGACATGATAAGGGCCGGAACAGGAGGAAGGAAGAAGGAAAGGCCTTACATCTGCAGAAACCAGCCTTTATTTGGGGCCAGATGACCTCACTTCTCCCCTCCTTACTTCCTGAGACTTGGTGGGGGGTGGTGGTCAGTGATGAGCCTCTTGGGCACGAGGCCCTGGTGAGCTGCTCCCTTGGGTCAGGTTGGGGTGGGGCTTGGTCAAAGCCTTGCTGGAGGGTGCTAGCATGGGCCCAAGTGCAGCTTGGGGATGGCCTAGAATCCTCATGGAGCCCAGAAGTGTCCTTAGAAATTGGCCGCCCTAGTGGTTCCCAACTGGGTTCCTTGAGGCCTTGGGATTCCACTGAGGCACCTCTGCAAATGAGAAGGGGACTGAAGGCCCCAGCCCCAGGCACAGCAGCACCTCTATTCCATCTTCCCCTTCCGTGGTTTCTTGTTAGAGGATCAAAATCCTTACCGTGGCCAACAGGGACAATGGCCCAGCCCCCCTGGGCCTTTTGGTCCTCCCCGTATACCAGCTTCCCAGTCCCAGCCATGCTATTCCCTGAGTCTGGGACATCCAGTGGATTCCTATGTATCCAGGTCTTTCCTTCCTTAGGGAAGCCCTCCTGATCCCCCAGGAAGACCCTGCCCCATCCTCCCAGCCCCTGGCACCCCGGTCTGCCCTGGCACCCTTTCACTTCCCATCTCACATTCCTTATTGAAATTGTTTGTTCTCTGCCTTCCCACCCACAGTTAGCTCCAGGGGGCAGGAAGGAGGCCTGTCTCCTTTGCTTCTCTGCCCCCAGGGGCCAGCCCAGGGCCCGCAGCAGGAGGTGCTGAGTGAATTCTTGAAATAAACTGTCTTGTTTAGCCCCCTTGGATTGCAGATGGACTGAGGTCCAGAGTGGGATGTGACTGTCCCAGGGTCATGCAGCAGGTCAGCAGCAGCGGCAGCCTGTGTGTCCTCTGTCCCAGGCTCCTCCCACTGATCCCTGTGACCTCTCCAGGGCTCTTCTCTCACCTTCCCTGGGTGGATCCTCTCCTGTTCTGTCCCCTACTCCCTGTCTTAATCCTTGCACTTCCTCTGAACACTCTCTGGAACATCTGCAAGCTGGGATGAGCATGGGAAGCTGGCAGTGGCTTCGTTTCCCCCTGGAACGCAGGAAGTACCCCACCCTCAGCTCTGACCACTTGGCCTAGACCCTTCTTCTCTAAGCCCCAGCCTGGGAAAGGCTCCCCTGGCCCCAGTGTGGCATTCCTGGCCCAGCCTTGCCAAGGGCCTCAGGGGGTGAAGGCCAGGACATGGCGGGCAGGGGGTGCTGGCATCCAGACCCTCATGGGTGAGGTCAGGGTATTTTCAGGAAGCGGCTTCCTGTCCCAGCTGCTCCCCCTTCTCACTTGTGATGGGGGCCCCAATTACAAGAGGCGGTCAGGGCAGAGAGGGCTTGGTGAGGAGTGGCTGGCGGCCAGGGTGGGATGAATGATGATACCAGAGAGGCCAGACCACTTCTGGGAAACACCCTTGAAAATCGATTCTTGGTGCAGAAAACCAGCAGGCAAAGCGGGGTCTAGCGGGGTCTTTCGGGGTCTTGTGGGCTGTGGCATGTTCCACTCTCCTCTGGGGCTGCCATTCCCAGGGAGGCTCGGTTCCACCCGGTTCTGCGAGGTTCCCAAGGAACCACTGCCCGTCTGGATGTACAAGGCTGCCGCCAGCTAGGCAGGGACAAGAACAACGATAACAGCCGTGATGTTTACTTAGCAATTCCTACCTCACCATGGTCCAGGAGGGATTTGAGGCAGCGTTCAGTTTTGCAAATGATCAAATGCTCTCACACAGTAGGCACACAGCAAATATCGGTGGAATATTACCATCTTATTCCATTGGATCTTCACAACAACCTTGACAAGCGGGAAGTATTACTAATTCCCATTTTGCAGATGAGGAATCTGAGGCTCCCAGGTTAAGAGTTTTGTGCTAGGGCTCCTAGTGTGTGTGAGCAGCCCTGGGGCTTTGACTGCAGACCCCACTGTCTACAGTGGGCAAGTGGGGGTGCGTGTGGCAGAAGGCCCTGGAGGCGGCTGCCGTCCTGGGCAGCCAGGAGAGTGCCAAGGAGACAGAAATCGTAGACTGTGGTGCCACAGGCTCCAGAAGAAACAGGCAACCCACCAAGGAACACTTTCTAGTGTTTGCTTATTTTTTCTTCTGATTATTACAGGAAGGCATGCTTATTAGAGGAAATACAGAGAAGTAGAAAGAAGAAAATAAACACCACCACCCAATGGCAAATGAGACTAAAGCAGAGGCGAGGGGCAGGTGGGGGGGGGGTTGAAAGTAGGACACTTTGGGCTTAAATTTCTCTTCTGCCCCTGGGACAGCGACTCCAATTTCCTGAGACTCAGTTTCCTTTTTTGTAAGATGGGAATAAGAATCCCTTTCAACATCATGGGAGGATTGTCTGAATAAGATGAGCTGATGCTTGTAAAGAGCCTTTCAGGGATCATGTGAGTCTACCATGGTGTTATTATGGAAAAGCGGCCTCCACCTTCCCCACAACCGTCATCCCATCATTAGAGCCATGCTGTATAGACTTTTGAATCCTGCTTAAAAAAAATCTTTATTTAGAAATCACTATGGATTCGCAGGGATTGGCAAAGATAGTACAGAGGGGTTCCATGTACCCTTCACCCAGTTTTCCCCAATAGTGACATCTTACATAGCTCTAGTTTGATATCAAAGCCAGGCAGTTGACATTGGGACAATGTGTTGTATAGTTCCCTGCTTTTTTTCTTTTCTTTTTTTCTTTTTTTTTATTCTTTCTTTTTTTTTTTGAGACAGAGTCTTGCTCCATTGCTCAGGCTGGAGTGCAGTGAGGTGATCTCGGCCCACTGCAACCTCTGCCTCCCAGGTTCAGGTGATTCCCCTGCCTCAGCCTCCCGAGTAGCTCGGACTACAGGTGTGTGCCACAATGCCTGGCTAATTTTTGTATTTTTAGTAGAGACAGGGTTTCGCCATGTTGGCCAGGCTGGTCTCGAACTCCTGACCTCAAGTGATCTGCCCGCCTTGGCCTCCCAAAGTGCTGGGATTACAGGCATAAGCCACCTAGCCCAGCCAGTTCCCTGCCATTTTTTCACATGTGTAGATTTGTGTAACCACCACCACACCCAATATACAGAACACAAAGACCCCTGTGCTACCCCTTTATAACCACGCTCTCCTTCCTCCCACAACCATCCTTAACCTCTGGCAGTCTCTAATCTGTTGATCTATGATTTCATCATTTCAAGAGTGTTATAGAATTGAACTCATACAGCATGTGACTTTGAGTTGGCTTTGTTTATTTTACCCAGCAGGGTTTTTTTTGTTTGTTTGTTTTTCGAGACAGGGGTCTTGTTCTGTTACCCAGGCTGGAGTACAGGGGTGCGATCTGGGCTCACTGCAGCCTCACCCTCTTGGGCTCAAGCAATCCTTCTACCTCAGTCTCCAGTGTAGCTAGGACTACAGGCACATGCCACCACGCCTGGCTAATTTTTGTAGGTTCTTTTTTGATTTTGTTTTTGTAGAGGTGGGGTTTTGCCATGTTGCCCAGGCTGGTTTCAAACACCTGAGCTCAAGGGATCCGTCGGCCTTGGCCTCCCAAAGTGCTGGGATTATAGGAATGAGACACTACGCCCAGCCCCAGCATGACTCTTTAGAGATTCATCCAGGTGCTACATGTATCAATAGTTGATTCCTTTTCATGCTGAGTATTATTCCATGGGATGGATGAGCCAGGGTGTGCCTAACCATGTACCCACTGAAGGGCATTTTGGTTGTTTCCAACTTTTGGCCATTCCAACAAATACAGCTGCTACGAATCTGTGTGCACAGGTTTTGTGCGGACATCAGCTTTCCTATCTCTGGGATAAATGCCCAGGAGCGCCCCTGCTGCGTTGCGTGGTATGTGTATGTTTGGTTTTTAAAGGAACTGCTACATTTGGTGGCAAGTGGCAAGAGATGAGGCAGCAGAGACAGAGGCTGAGGGACAGGACATGGGGTGATTTGTGCTAGAAAGATAACTCCAGCCACAGGGAGACAGGGTGATTGGGGGAAAGAGGCAGGGAGATCGTGGAGACCCCCGAGCATCCAGGGAATGTGGGAATCATAGCCAGATGGAACCTCGGAATCCCTAAGCTGGGGGAGCCCCCAAAATGTTTTATCCCCTCCCTTTGCAGTCATGGAAGTGAGCCCTGGAGAAGGCAAGTGACTGGCCCAAGGTCACACGGAATGGTGGTGGCAGATCCAGAATAAGGGTGAAGAAGGGGGAGGCTGAGTGAGCTCCTGACCCCGTGATGGATGTCAGAGGCACCACTCAGGGAACACTCCTCGCTGCCCCTAGCTTCCCCTGCCCTTCCCTCACCCTACCCCAGCCTTCCCGCAGAGCTTGTACTGTCACATTGCTGAGACCCTGGATGCTGAGTCTCACCCAAGCTTACTCCTGCCCAGGCCTCTCTGGAGACCACCTTCTTGGGCAACAGCCAGGCTTCCCAGCTAAAATTTGATGCAACTAATGGAAGCTGATGGCCAAAAGGCCTCTCTGTGAATCGGGGCCTAATCAGAGGCGGCTGCAGCCACAGCTAGGCTTTGGGAAGGGTGTGGCCCATAGTGCTGGTCCCCCTGGCATCCCTCCTGCCATGGCCACAGAACAAGAGGCCCAAGTTCCAGGCTATGGGGTCTTCATGGACCCCCATTTGTTCATTCCACAAAGATTTACTGAAGACAACCACATGCCAGGTTCTGGCAACACAGCTGTGACCTAGACTGATGTGAGGCAGACGGCCGTGGCGCTGGCTTCATGGGGCTGGCAGCCTAAACATGGGGGGAGGTGGGGATCAGGTAGACAGGGCCCTCTCCGTGGAAGACAACACGCTTGGAAAGCAAGGCAGGGAGGGGGATGGGTGCTGCCCTGGAGGGAGTGTGCCTGGGCTTTAGATGATGGGATTAGGGAAGGATGAGAAGGAGGGGGCTGGGCAAAGATCTAGGGGAGAGCATTCTAGGCAGGGGGAGCAGCAAATGCAAAAGCAGAACTTTGAACCGGAAGTCCTGGGTTCAAAGCCTGAGGCTGCCACGACGTGCTGAGGGGCCTCGGGTCAGGGCCCTTTCATGTCAGGTCGCCTGTTGGAGTTGGACTCGCTCATGCTTCCAAGCCTTAGTTTTATTTTATTTTATTTTATTTTATTTTATTTTATTTTATTTTATTTTATTTTATTTTATTTTATTTTATTTTATTTTATGTATTTTACTTTAAGTTCTGGCATACATGTGCAGAATGTGCAGGTTTGTTACATAGGTATACACGTGCCACGGTGGCTTGCTCACCTATCGACCCATCATCTAGGTTTTAAACCCTGCATGCATTAGGTATTTGTCCTAATCTAAGCCTTAGTTTTGGATAAGGGAAGACTGGGAAAGCCACATGGGGTGTGGAAGGGGAGCTGAGATTTCAGAGGTGTGGAAAGTGCCCCGGAAGCCTGCTGGTCTGTGCTGCAGGCAGACAGCAGGCCCAAGCTTTCTGTGCTCTGGCTAATTGAATTAACTCTTAGCACTTGAGCTGCCAATGCCCCCAGCTCTAGGTTTCTCACATTCAGCCAACTACGACAGTAATTTAGGAAAGGGTATTACCATATTCATTTCCCCAAGGCGGCTGGAGAGAATCATCCTGCAGGTGGTGCCCCTGAGGAGGTAGACCAGATGGCTCCAGGAAGGGCTGGGCCTCCGATGGGAACTGGGGAGGTTAAGAACAGGCCGGTGGAAAAACTGCCATGAGACCCAGAGCTCCCCTCCTGTCCTCACTCTGGGGAACCCCCAGAATGATGGGGAGATCAGCCCCTGTTTGAGGGAGCTACCGGATGGGGGAGGCATAGCAATTGCCCTGATAGAGTTTCCTGTCTGATGCTTAAAACCAAACCAAAAGACAGAAACACATACCAAGAAAGGTAAAAATAAAATGAGACCTGGTTGCCGTGGACTCTGAGAGAGCATTATAGAGGCATTTGTTTTGCGTGAACTCTGGGGAGGCGGAGAGATGCCTGATTGGGCCGAGGTGCTCATGGATGGGTGGTGAGAGATGCCGGAGCAAGGGGCTTAGGAGAGCAGGTACTGGAGCCAGACTGCCTGGCTGTGTGGCCTTGGGCCTGTTATTTGACCTCTTGTGTTTCAGTTTCTTTCATCTACGAAACGGGAGGTTGTGGAGCTTAAATTAACTCATGTCTTCCGAAGAGCTTGGAACAGTGCCCGGCACATGTAAGTGCTTGACAAATAGATATTATTTAGGTTATGTCTGCTCTCCCCACTTTGCAGCGAGAAGACAGGCTCAGGGAGAAGCAGTAATTTGCCTGCAGCCCCTCAGCTTGCCGGTGGCTATACCGGGACTTGAACCCAGGCACCCTGACTCTGTGTTGGGTGATCTATTCTCTGCACCAACTGCTTTCCCACTATGCCCACATTAACGACCCTCCAGGATCCTCACAGTCGCTCCATGAAGCCATCCAGGGAGGGATTGGTGCCCCGTTCTGCAGATGAGAAACTGAGGCCCAGAGAACACTGACTATCTACAGCCGGGAACCGTATCTTATTCCCTGTAGCATCCCCAGCCCTTGGCCCATAGGCTGTGATCAGACAACACTTGTTAAGTTGAAGATGAAAAGAGGAAGGAATTGGCGTGAGGGTCGGGGGTAAATAGGGAGCTTAGGATGATTTAATGTCCTCTAGACTGGGGCTGACAATCTAACCCATTTCTTTTGCATCCCAGGCTAGCCTCTCTCTTCCTGTGCCACACAGCCCATCCCAGATTCAGACATCTGAATGGAGCTTCCACCCCAGGCCCCTCCTCGTGGCTGGAGTGTCTCATTTGCAGCCTGTACCCCTAAGCTGGGGAGGTATATGAGGACGGGATGGAGCATGGAGCCTCTGAGCCCGGGTGCTGAGGCTTCATGTTCAGGACCTTGGGAAACCTTACACCTGGCTGGGGAAGATGAAAAGCACGGCAGAACAGTGTCTGTGACATCCTGTAAATTAATCTGAGCATCCTGGGCCCCGGGCAGTACAAGCGGTGGCAGCGGGGGGAATCCTGTCTCCAGCCTTGATTAAATCACAACACGCTGCCAGTCCATACCCATTAGCACAGTCACGGAGGGCAGCTAAGGTGGAGAAGACATGGCTGATGCATGAGGGGAGGGGGCACCAGGGTGTGGGGTGCAGGGCCAGGCGGAGGCTTGGGCAGCCCAGACAGGGCAGGAGCATAAGAAGGGCTCACTGGCCTTGGCCCCGCATCTAGGCAACAGAGCTCCCCATCTCCAACCACCCTCACCTGGTGATGTAAGCTACTCCTGGGGGTCTTGGGTGGGTACCAGCTGAGCAAGTTCACTTGGTCCCTGCAGACCCCAGAGGTACTTATTCTGTATGCATAGAGGAGACTTCTCAAACTGGGTGTTGTTGGATGAGTAGGAGTTTTCTTGGCTCACTGGCCTTATCTCTTATTTTCTCCGCTTCCCATGGTTGGCTAATTCACACCTCCATGCCTTTGCACATGCCGTTCTCTCTGGCTTCTTCCTTCCCTTACTGTGCCACCTGGCAAACTCCTACATCTTGTGGAAATAAAGAAGACTGACCCAATGAGAAAAGCAAAGGCTATTTATTCTGAGCTTGCTGTAGCAAAGGAGTCAGCCTCCATCACTTGTGTTTTGGCTGAGATTCAAAGAGAGGAGCGGTGGGGTGGTGAGGGAAGAGAAGCCTCGGGTGTGGCCCGATGGGAGGCCATGGGCATGGGGAGGCTGGAGGTGGCTAACTAGAAGCGGGGCATCCCGTGTGATTGATTAGGGGTGCACATTTGGCTTTCTCTGGTTGTAAGTTGGATACAGGAACAAAAATTAGGGAAGCTGTCAGTTATTAATCAGGGCCTGACCATTTTGGGTCTATTGTTATAGAAGTTATTGTTTAGCTTTCTGGATTGTCCCTAGAGATAGCATGTGTGACTTCCAGCAGGCTGGTTTCCTGGGTTGTTTTTTCTTTTGCAGATGAGGGAGTTTGTTTCTTGGGCAGGGTGCTGTGGGTTGCGGGCTAAGTTCTATCTTCATATATGGTCTGGCCATTGTCCATTTGTATATTCAGTCTTTCAACATCGTTCAAGAACAAGATCAAGGGCCACTGCCTCCAGGAAGCCTTCCTTAGCCTCCAAGGTCAGAGTGGGTGTCCTCCTTCCATGCTCGCATACTCCTCTCCAAGGAGGCACCTTGGTCATTAGGTCAGACGATTACAGGTTTGAATCTCATTTCCTTTCCCATTAGCAGTGCGTGTCCTGAGCCATGTGACTTAACCTCTCAGCTTCCTCATCTGTAAACTGGAAGATAATAATAGCATTGAAGATTAGTTGCTTGAAAAACTGCTACTATTATTATTAGCACTATTATTTTCACCAGCCCAGCAAGCATCTGCATGGTCGGTGACCATTTGTTTATGAATCTCTTTCCTCTTTAGACGTGGGGTGGGGGGATGCTGGGAGAGAAATATCAGCTCCAGGTCCCGCCACTCCCCATCAACCACCTTCCTGGATTCAAGTGCAGCCCAGGTAATGCACAGATATTCTTACATGTCAGCCTGACCCCCACCGAACTGGAAGCTCCTTGAGGGCAAAAGTGATTTCTTATTCATCATGGTTATCTTTTTTTGAGACAGGGTCTGGCTCTGCTGCCCAGGCTGGAGTGCAGTGGCAGGACCATAGTTCACTGTAACCTCCAACTCCTGGGCTCAAGTGATCCTCCTGCCTCAGCCTCCTGAGTAGCTGGAACTACAGGTACATGCACAACCATGCAGGGCTAATTTCTTTTTTGTTTTGTAGAGACAGGGTCTCACTTATCTTCCCCGGGCTAGTCTTGAACTTCTGGCCTCAAGTGTTACTCCCACCTCGGCCTTCCAAGTGCTGGGGTTAAAGGCATGAACCACTGTACCTGGCCTCCTTTCAGGTCTTAATGCTTAGCTCAAGATCTGCCCAGGAAGGGGAGCCAAGAGGTTAACTGATAAGTGAATAAACGAGTAAGTGAATGAATGAATGAATGCACAATGTGGTCTCAGATTATCTTTTCCTTTCTTTCCCCACTTACAGGCATGAGCGGATCTCCCCTCCTTCCTTGGTTCTAACAGGGAACCTCTCTCTCTCTCTCTCTCTGTGTGTGTGTGTGTGTGTGTGTGTGTGTGTTTGGGGGTGGACAGCTGGGACCCATGCCCTTTGGGGGAGGTTTATACTGAAGGAAGGTTGGAGAAATGGGAAGAGGAGGATGGAGAGGAGAACAAGGGTTCCATTAAGGGCAGCCTTTGCCAACTGGAGCTCCTCAGTGGCAGGTCAGGCTTCCCCTAGAGGGGATAAGTTACCCATCACCAGATGTGTGTAACCAGGATCAGAGGTGCTACAGAGCCTTTGTTTCATTCATTCACTGATTTTTTTTTTTTTTTGAGGCAGGGTCTCTCTCTGTTGCCCAGGCTGGAGTGCAGTGGTGCAATCTCGGCTCACCACAACCTTCTCCTCCCGGGTTCAAGTGATCCTCCCACCTCAGCCTCCCAAGTAGCTGGGACTACAGGCACTCGCCACAATGCCAGTCTAATTTTTGTATTTTTTGTAGAGATAAGGTTTCACCATGTTGCCCAGGTTGGTTTTGAACTCCTGAGCTCAAGTGATCCTCCCACCTCAGTCTCCCAAAGTGCTGGAATTACAGGTGTAAGCCACCATGGCCAGCCATTCACTGATTTTTGTATGCATTCGTTCATTTATTGAGCACCTCTTTATGCTGATGGATAAGCAACATAAATTTTGGGGTGGAAAATTTAATCAGATCTGTGATTTCCAAAGCATGGGGTATGTGGAATGAGAACCCTATTTATCCCTCCCTGGCCAAAAGTGTCTTGATCCTATGTTACAGGAGTTTTCTGACAGCGCTCCGTCTCTCCCTCTCTCTATCTTTCTCTCACAAATCACAGAAAAGAGGAAAAAGCCATTCTCAGAAAAACACACACCTAACCACAAAGAAAGGCAGTTCTCATTAAAAGCTCAGCAACTAAGGGTGGACAAGTAGTTGTCACTTCAGGATGTCAAGGAGCTGGCGAGCTGAGCCCCTGCTGTAAGCAACAGATTTTTATTTTAAAGTTGTCTTTTTCTAAAATTTTGTATTGCTTTACATCCTAAGCACAGAAAAGAGCACAAATTGTAGGCATGCAGCTGGAAAATGTTTCCCCAGGTAAGTGCACCTGGGAAGCCAGCATCCAGGTCAAGAAATAGAACATCACTGGTTTCCCGAACCTCCCCGATCCCTCCTGCCAGTCACCGCCCCTCAAAAATGGCCGCTTTCCTATACATGGAATCACACAACACATTCTGTTTTGTGCGTGGCTTCTTCTACTTGACCTGCTGTTGCGTATGGCTAGTTGATCTTCATTTACTGATTCTCAGTGTCTTGTAGTATTCTATTCTGTTGCATGAATAAGTCTCAGTTTCTTGATCTGTTCTACTCTTGAGGGACATTTAAATATGTCCCTTCCTTCTGAAAGCAAACACTGCCCTGATTTATATCCCCATGGATTAGTTTTGCTTGTTCTTGAACTTCATATAAATGGAATCCTACAGTAACACTATCCATTTGACTTGTTTATCTTGTTTATTGCCTGTCTGCCCAACTAGGATATAAGCACTGTGGGTATGGATTTTTGTTTGTCTTGTTTATTGCTAAATTCCCAGCTTCTAGAACAGTGACCTAGATTAGACTTCCAGAGGTGCTCAGGCTGTAGATACATGTCATACTCGGTAAAAGATTTGTTGAATAAATAAAGTTATAGAGTTGCCATTTCATTCACCCACTGGCTCATCGTTTCTTCTAAGAGAGGCAGGAGAGAACATTAAGCAAGAGGGGCCTGGAGTTTTGGTTTGGGGCTCCATAAATAGCCACGAGCATTGTTGCAAAAGGCATAAGCACACCTGTTGAATATGTACTTAGGAGTGGCACTGGTGAGCCATAGGGAAGGCACACATTCACCTTTACAGACACTGCAAAACAGTTTTCTGAAGTGATCATGCCAGTTCAAGCCCTAATAGCAGAGCACGAAGAGCTCCACCACATCCTCAACAGTACTTAGTATCTTTTCCTGTGTCCTCATTCTGATATGTAGTTTTAATTTGCATTTCCTTAATGATTAGTGGCATTGAGTATCTTTTCGTGTTAATTAGCCATTTGGGTGTTTTCTTTTTTCAAGTATCTGTTCCAAACTCTTGACCATATTTCTATGGGTTTATTTTTTTCACATTTATTAGTAGAAAAACTTTTTAAGATATATAATGGGGCCAGGCGCAGTGGCTCATGCCTGTAATCCCAGCACTTTGGGAGGCCGAGGTGGGCGTATCACGAGGTCAGGAGATCAAGACCATCCTGGCTAACATGGTGAGACCCCGTCTGTACTAAAAGTACAAAAAATTTAGCTGGGCGTGTTGGCGGGCACCTGTAGTCCCAGCTACTCAGGAGGCTGAGGCAGGAGAATGGCGTGAACCCAGGAGGCAGAGCTTGCAGTGAGCCGAGATCGTGCCACTGCACTCTAGCCTGGGCTACAGTGCGAGACTCCGTCTCAAAAAAAAAAAGAAAAAGAAAAAAAAGAAACATAATGGATATGAGTCCCTTGTCAAATATATTCAAATATCTTATTTTTCTCTAGGTTGCATTTTCACCTTCCTAATGATATTGTTTGATGAACAGCAGCTCCTAATTTTAACATAGCCTAATTTAGATTTTTTTTTTGATAGATAGCACATTTTAGAAGAAATTTCTGCCTGCTTCAAGGTCATAGAGATGTTCTGTTTTACTGTAAAGTTTTACTGTTTTACCTTCCACATTTAGATCTGCAATCCATGTGGAATGATGTTCTGTGTATGGTGTGAAGGAGGGTTTCGATTTTTTTTTTCGCATATGGATTTCCAATTCCCACTGCTGTTTTTTGGGATGTCCAGTTATTGTTGGAGGTAGGGAGGCTGGGGTGGGTGGGAAATGTGCTGGTAGAGACATTAGGGTTGGGGGCAGGGTGAGCAGAGTTAAGGGACATCTCCTTTTCTTTAATTAGCAGAGTAGTCTGTCTGCCCCGTGATTTCTATCTCCTAGACCCTGGGATTTAGGGTTTGTCCTCAAACTACTCCTTAGCAGGACTCCATGCAAGAGGCTGTTCTCAAACAGACACCACCACTGCCCCTCCCACACTGGAGAAGCCTGATTCCCCAGGGCTTGGAGCTCTGGGAGCATGAATCCCTGTTCACCGGGAGTGCTCCTTTCTGGACAAGACGTGGCTTTTACTCCCTCATTTGCCCATCCCTCCCTCCCTCCCTCCCCCTTCTCTTCCTCTCTCTTTCTCTCCCTCCCTCTTTCTTTCCCTCCCCCTTTCTCTCCCTCCCTCCTCCCCTGCCTCCCTCTCTCTTTTCCTCCCTTTTTCCCTCCTTCCCTCCTTCCTTCCCTCCCTCCCTCCCTCCCTCCCTCCCTCCTTCCTTCCTTCCTTCCTTCCTTCCTTCCTTCCTTCCTTCCTTCCTTCCTTCCATGACACTCTATGTAAAATCTCCCTACCCTACCTTGGTTTTCTTCTTATTTTCTCCCTAGTATTTAGAACCACCCAATATTATATCTATTTTCTATACATATTGATTTTACTGATTCTCGACTGAGGTTTACTTTATATACATACAGTAAGATGCACAGGCCTTACATATAAAGTTTGACAAGTTTTGGTAAATATCTACCTCCGGCTGGGCACGGTGGCTCACTTGTGTAATCCCAGCACTTTGGGAGGCTGAGGCAGACGGATCATCTGAGGTCAGGAGTTTGAGACCAGCCTGGCCAACACTGTGAAACCTCATCTCTACTAAAAATACTAAAATTAGCTGGGCAAGGTGGCGGACACCTGTAATCCCAGCTACTTGGGAGGCTGAGGCATGAACCCAGGAGGTGGAGGTCGCAGTGAGCTGAGATGGCACCACTGCACTCCAGCCTGGGCAACAGAGCGAGATTCCATCTCAAAAAAAAAAAAGCTACCTCTATGTTACCAATATCCAAACAAGATAAACAATATTTCCACCACCCCAGAGAGCCCCTTCCTCCAATCCTCCTTCCGAGGGCAACCACTGCCGTGATTTCTGTCCCCATGGATTAGTTTTGCTTGTTCTTGAACTTCATATAAACAGAATTCTATAGTAACACTATCCATTTGGCTTGTTTATCTTGTTTATTGCCTGTCTGCCCAGCTAGGATATAAGCACTGTAGGTATGGATTTTTGTTTGTCTTGTTTATTGCTAAATTCCCAGCTTCTAGAACAGTGCCCTAGATTAGATTTCTAGAGGTGCTCAGGCTCCGGGTACATGTCGCACTCAGTAAAAGATTTGCTGAATAAACAAAGTTAGAGAGTTGCCCTTTCATTCACCCACTGGCTCATCGCTTTTTCTAAAGAGAGGCAGGAGAGAAGGTTAAGCGAGAGGGCCCCAGAGCCAGACTGCACCCTGGCTCCATCACTCACCTGCTCTCTAAACCAGGCCAAGCCACCTTAGTGTCCTCATTTATAAAGTGGGGATGTGAATGGTTCCTACATCATAGGGTTGTGAGGATTGAAGGAGTCAATGGTTATAAGAAAATTTTGTGAGCATTCAGTAATTGCTAGTTAGTATAATTAATTAGTCAGCTGTTTGTTTATTTACTCTCAGAGGTCATCTAGGCCATTCATTCATTTATTTGTTCAATAAGCATTTATTGAGGATCTACTTGGTGACACGTGTTGGTGTTAGCACATTGAATGATTAAGTCCTCACCTTCCTGGGGGCTGATATTTTGGTGGGAGAATGTGTTAGTTAGGGGTACAGTCAAAGCTACTAGAACAAATAAACCCAACCATACAGTGGCTTAAACAATTAGCTCTTTTTTGTTTATTTATTTGTTTGTTTTACCTTGAATAACACTCCAGAGGTAAGTGGTCCAGGCCTACTAGGGACAACTGTGTCATCCTCAACATGTGGCTTCTACCTCTGGGTCAAATATAGCTGCTGCAGTTCCTGCCATTTCTTCTGCAACCCAGCAAGCAGGAAGGGGGAAAGGGCAAGATAAATGTCTGTCCTTTCCTTTTAACCAGAAGGGTCTGGTATCACTTTTACTCGCATTCCGCTGACCAGAACTTAGTCATGTGACCACACTTAGACGAAAGGAAGTCTGGGGAATAGAATCTCTGGCTGATGTTTCTAAGAGTTCAGGATCTAGTGGCCTGGGGCACTGACCCCAAATCTCCTAGGTGAGTCAGGCCCATTGTGGGTTTGCTTGGGGTATCTCCAAGCTTGGACTACCAGATTTAGCAAATCAAAAGACAGGACACCCAGTTAATTTGAATTTCAAATAAACAATGATATTTGAGATATATTTACACTGAAAAGCTATTTGATATGGTTTGGCCTGTGTCCCCACCCAAATCTCATCTCGAATTGTAATCCCCACATGTCAAGGGGGGGAACTTGTAATCCTAACCTGTCAAAGGAGGGAGGCGATTTGGATCATGGGGGTGATTCTCCTATGCTGTTCTCATGATGGTGAGGGAGCGCTCGCGAGATCTGATGGTTTTATAAGTGCTTGGAAGTTCCTCCTTCGCCTTATGAAGAAGGTGTCTTGCTTCCTCTTCACCTTCCACCATGACTGTAAGTTTCCTGAGGCCTCCCCAGCCATGCTGAATTGTGAATCAATTAAACCTCTTTCCTTTATAAATCACCCAGTCTCAGGCATTTCTTTATAGCAGCGTGAAAATGGACTAATACACTATTCATTTTCTATTTGAAATACTGTTTTTTATTTGTCCTTTCTACTAAAAGCTCTTCCTTGGATAAGGCCCAAATCCGCTTTCCCTGGGTGCCCCATTCCATCCCAGCTCTGCCTCTGAAGCCACATGGGACAGACGTATACTCCACAGGACTTAGCTGTGCACGTACTGACTGATAAACATTGCAAGCAGACACAGAAGGTTCAGGTGATGGGCACCTGCCTTCTAGGGCACAGCAGTCTGGATGGGCAGCTGTGTCTTTCCCAGGAAGGTGCATTAAACAGAGGCCCGTAGTTTGTCACATGGGAGCCCAGAGGCTCGCATCCCAAGGATTTAACTTCAATAGGCAGAGACCTGCCTGGGAAGCCTTCTTGGAGGAGCTGAGCCTGGAGCCTGGAGTTCCCATGTGGTGCTAGGACAAGGCCCAAGTCTTGGAATCACTCCAGCCAGGGGGCAAATCCCAGCTCTGTTCCTTTCTCCTTGCGTGACTGTGGGCAAGTCCCTTTACTCTGCAAGTCTGAGTTTTTCTCCTCTGTAAAATGGGGATCAGAATAGAACTCACCTCACAGGGTAGTGGTGAAGATCAGTTGAGACAATGCTTTTATAATGCACCTGAGACAGGTTTATCTTGCAAAATAAGCTTCAGACGGATGTCTCTTGTTGTGTTGTTAATATTTTTACTGGGTCTTTGAAGGGAGCAAAGGATTGGGATTGCTATGTGGGAGGCAGAAGACTTTCAGAGCAGGATAGGGGTGGGGGGAGAGCAAAGGTGAAGAGGTAAAAGGGGTTGGGGTCGCCACCCTGGGCACCCCGAGGCTGGGCTTGGCATGGTGGGTGGCCAGCTTGGGGGCAGATCGGAGCCAGCAGGACCCCTAAAGGCCAGCAGCACTGTTCCTCCCCTTGTCCATTCGCCTTGCCCCTGGGCGCCCCTCTTGCTCAGTCCCTTGTGCCTCTCGGTTTCCGAGCCCTGCTCTGGCCCAGCCCACCGCGGCCACGGCCATGGCCACGGCCACGCTGTGGAATTTCCAATTTTCAGCTAATGTGCAGGTCGTGACAGAGGCTCAGAGGCCCTGGTCGGACATAATGGCAGAAGAATTGTAAATGTCGCCCTGAGTGAATGGCAATGAGGAAGGGCGGGGAGGGGACATTTTCCGTCGGCCGCGGCGCCGAGCCCGGGAATACATTTTCTCTCGGAGTGTGTCGCATTAGATTTCCAGAGGTGCACGGGCTCCAGGTACATGTCATTAGTAACAGTTTGGACGATAATGAATCCTTTTATTTCTTTTCCTCACAGCTCATGAATACATAACGAGGCCGCGCTCAGGCGCATCTGGCCCGGCCAGCGCCTCCGCCACCTAATCTCGTCCATGCTCCAATATCCAGGCGGCCCAGCTGGGGCCTGCCTTAAAGGAGCCGCTTCCCTTTCCTGCTTGGGGATGCCGGGCCAGCCTAGCGCCAGGCACCACTGAGACCTGGGCATGAAGGGGGATGGCAGACCTGGGGAAGGAAGAAGTCCTGAGACGCTGGATTGCAGTGTATCCAGCAGGCGCTCAACAATGTTGCTTAGTGAACAGTGAGTGCCCGGCTGGGGTGGGGCTGTGTGAAGGCTCCACACAGACTATCTCCTTGAGCTTGGCTAACCACTCCACCAGTAGGGGCTTGTGATCCCATTTTACAGCTGAAGAAACTGAGGCTTAGAAGGGTAGAGGCTCTGTCATGGGTTTAACAAGGTAGACTGAGCTCGTGCCTATAACTGGCTATCATTTAAGGGCATTTGACCAAGTGATTCTTGATTCTACAAAAGGGTTTCCTACCAAGAATCCAGTTTTTATACATATCCTGAATCTGTTCACTTTCCTGAGCAAATGTTTAGTGGAAGACCAGAAAAGTTAGTTCTTTTTAAGTCGTTTTTCCAGATGTCTACAATCTTCTTTTCCCAAGATTCCCTCCTCCCTCTCCACCCTTTGACTCATTCTGTTTCTCTTCACTATACTTATCAGTTCCTCAAATTATCATATTAAATCTCACACTCGTTTATTTATTTATTTTTATTTTTTATCTATTATTATTATTATTTTTTTGAGACGGAGTCTCGCTCTGTTCCCCAGGCTGGAGTACAGTGGTGCGATCTCGGATAACTGCAAGCTCCGCCTCCTGGGTTCATGCCATTCTCCTGCCTCAGCCTCCTGGGTAGCTGGGACTACAGGTGCCTGCCACCACGCCCGGCTAATTTTTTGTAGTTTTTTTTTTTTTTTTTTTAGTAGCGATGGTGTTTCACCGTGTTAGCCAGGATGGTCTCGATCTCCTGACCTTGTGATCCGCCCGCCTCGCCTCCCAAAATGCTGGGATTACAGGCGTGAGCCACCACGCCTGGCCACACTGGTTTATTTTTTTAATTTCCCACCACTGACTCTGCTAGGATGTGAGCTCTATGTGAGCAGAGACTTTGTTTGCAGCCTGATCTCCAGTGCCAAGGACAGTGCCTGGCACACAATAGGCACTCAGCAAACACTTGCAGAGCAACTTAATCAGTTTCTGTCGTGGTTGTGGTCCCCCCAAGGCTGGGCAGCTGGGCTCCACTGGCTTCAGAAACAAAGATTAGTTGGGGGCTGGCTTGACATCTTGGGCCTCCAAATCAGCATGCAACCTTGCATCTGGGGCTCTCTAGGACTCTCAGGCAGTCTCAGGTCTTGGTGGCCTCCTGGACTAGGGGTGGAGGAGAGGGAGCCGGCAAGCAGGGCTTCCTGGCAGGTAGAGTGGGAATGAAAAATTTAGATCCTGAGACATCAACGCCCTTGCTGATGGCCTGGGTCTCTGCACTCCCTGATGGCTCCATTTCAGCCAAGTGTCCTCTGCCTTCCAGAACCACATGGCCCTGATAGCTGAGACCTAGCCTGGGACGCCCCTATTGCTTGCTGTCTACCAGGCAACATTATAAGCACATTACAAGCATTAAAAAACATCTAAAAATTTAACCTCCAGGACACCTCTGAGATCCAGGCATGATCATGAACCCCATTTACCCAGATGAGGAATTAGAGGCACAGAGAAATTAGGCAACTTTCCCAGGGACATGCAGAGGTCAACGGCAAAGGGAAGATTTAAGCCCAAACTGTCTGGCTTCGGCATTCAGGTTCTTAAACACCAGACCTTCTGCCTTTCTGATGGGCTTCATGAACAGGCAGGCAGGAGAAGAGTACCCTCTCCTCGAAGCCTGCCAACCTGTCTTTCTGGAAACCCACAGAATACTGCAAAACTCTCTACAATTCCACTTTTTTTTTTTTTTGACGGAGTTTCGCTCTTTTGCCCAGGCTGGAGTGCAGTGGCGCGATCTCGGCTCACTGCAACATCCACCTCCCGGGTTCAAGTGATTCTCCTGCCTCAGCCTCCTGAGTAGCTGGGACTATGTAGCACACCACCACACCCAGCTAATTTTTGTATTTTTAGTAGAGTCGGGGTTTCACCATATTGTTCAGGCTGGTCTTGAACTCCTGACCTTAAGTGATCCACCTCCTTCAGCCTCCAAAAGTGCTGGGATTACAGGCAGAAGCCACCGCGCTTGGCCAATTCCACTCTTAAAATCTGAGCAGTGTTGGCATGAACTTTTGAATACTGGGCTGAGGAGGCAGCTCTGGGAGACCAGGTGTCTGGGCCCCAGAATCAGACAGACTTGAGTTAGCATCTTGGATCTGCTACTTACAGCTATGGGATCTGGGGCAAGCCATTCTGCCTGCTTGTGCCTCAGCTTCCTCATCTGAAAATGGGGATGGCACAGAGCCACCTCACAGGGATACTGGGAAGATTGATGTGCCGATGCGTGTAAAGCTTTGAAAACAGTGCAAACAATGGCTCAGTCAGTGTTGAAATTTTTACTAAAAGTGTGGGGGTGGGGTGAGGGAAGGACTCAGATTAGGGTTCCACAAGACTTCATCACCTCTGACATCCTCCTTGTCACCACCCCCACCACTGCCATTGTTATTTTGATCCTCACCCCAGCCCCCAAGAAGCACTGGCCTGGGACCCAGATGTAGGTACCTGGAATACCTGCAGCCCCATCCTAGGATGGGCACACACCTGCCTTGGGATGTGCCAACGCCACCACATGCTATCAGGAATTCAGAGATCCCCAAGGAACTTAGATCCAACTGGGATCACCCATGGTGTCACATGGTCATGGGGGTGAGCCCCAGGCTCTAATCTGACTATTATTTATTGTGTATCTACTATGTGCCAGTCCTGAAGCTAAGTAATTTACATTTATTACCTTATGTAATGCTCACAAAAATTCTGAGAGGAAGGCATCATCATTCTTTTTTTTAAAGATAAGGAAATTGGGCTCAGAGAGGTTAAATAATTTGCCCAAGATCACACAGCAGGTACAAGGAAGAGACTGGATTCAAACCTAGATCTATCTGACTCCAAAATCCATGATCTTAACCATGATACAGCACTATGTCTACTTCTTGTCCCTGAGGTTCCACTCTGGCTAAGAAGTCTTTCTAGATTAAGGACAGAGTGGGAGTAAATATCCCCTGTCCTCTTGCTGCCATCTGTAACCACTTGTCCCATGATCCGAGGTTTGTCTCACATAGGCCTTATGTAAGGCTTTTCCCATGGCCAGTGCCTTTAGGTCCAAGCATCTGGAGGGCAGACTTGGCCCTGGAAGGCTCAGGAATGTAGGGAGCTGGGCGTCAGTGCCTCGGTGTCCAGCCCTGCCCCTTTAGTTACCAGTGCCCTTGGCCTAGATCTCACCACTCCACTTTGGCTATTGGCACCTCACACTTGTGGGGAGAGAGTGTGGTCCGGGGAAACAGCACTGTTGGGAGAGTAAGGAGGCCTCCATCCCAGCCCCAGCTCAGCTGCCTCTTAGCTCTGTGGCCTTCTGGCAAGTGGTCCCTATGCATCTCAGCGTCCTTATTTATTGAATGGGGATGCTAACACCGCTTCCCAGGCAGATACTGCACGCACTCAGAATGAGGCTCAGTAGATGTTGGAACTCAGTAAGCTTGGAAGCTCACAGTAAACATTAAGCGATTGATATAGTTTGGATCTGTGTCCCCAACAAATCTCACATTGAAATGTAGCCCCCAGTGTCAGAGGTGAGTTCTGGTGGGAGGTGATTAAATCATGGGAGTGGATTTCTCATGAATGGCTTAGGACCATCCCCTTGGTGCTGTCCTTGCAATAGTGAGTTCTCCTGAGATCTGGTTGTTTAAAAGTGTGTGGTGCCTCCTCCTATCCCTTGCTCCTGCTTTCACCAGGTAATGGGCCTGCTCCCGCTTCACCTTCTGCCATTAGCAAAAGCTTCCTGAGGCCTCCGCAGGAGCCGAGCAGATGCCAGCATCATGCTTTCTGTACTGTCTACAGAACCGTGAGCCAATTAAACTTCTTTTCTTTATAAATTGTCCAGTCTCAGGTATTTCTCTTTTTTTGAGACAGGGTCTCACTCTGTCACCCAGGCTGGAGTGCAGTGGCACAGTCTCGGCTCACTAAAACCTCTGCTTCGTGGGTTCAAGCAATTCTCCTGCCTCAACATCCCGAGTAGCTGGGACTCCATGCATGTGCCACCACACCTGGCTAATTTTTGCATTTTTTGATAGAGGCGGGGTTTCACTGTGTTGGCCAGGCTGGTCTCAAACTCCTGGCTTCAAGTGATTCTCCTGCCTCAGCCTCCCAAAGTGCTGGAATTACAGGCATGATTCCATGTGCCCAGCTCAGTCTCAGGTGTTTCTTTAGAGCAATGCAAGAATGGCCTAACACCACTGTAATTTCAATCAGAATTATTCTTTGATTTCCTCCTCTTCATGACATATTTGTGCAGTAGCCCATTTGTTCAGGGCCCCGTGAACAGAGTCCTTGCTCGCCTGCCTCTCCGTGTTCACTGTCTCCTCTCTTTAACCCATTTGGTGAGAGTTGCCCTCGTGACTCTCCTGATAGCCCATCTCTAATCGTGGCACTGCCATCTTTACGAACTTTCGATGGCTCCCTCTTACTTCCAAGACAAAGTCCAAACCGCTTACCTTGACATTCAAAGCACTTCAGAAACCGTCTTGAACCTCCCTCCTCACTGTCCAATCTGAATTCTTACCCTGCCCAAGAGAAACTTCTGTTTCCCCAGAAGGCACCCACCCAATGCATGGGATGTCCTGCCACCTTGGTTTTGCTTCTGCTGTGTCCTCTGCCTGGAATACCTTCTCCACCTTCTCTCTCTGTTGTTCCAGCTTGAGTTTCACCTCCTCCCAGGGAGTTGTTTCTTCACCAACCTCTCTAAGCCTCTATTTTCTCATCTGTCAAGTGGACACTCACCATGCCCACACTGTGGCATTTTCTTGAACACCAAATGTTCTCCAAGCACAGTAAGTGCTTTGAAAGTGGTGCCCACTGCGGGGTTTCTTCTTTTGATCCTCCCAATCTGCCAACACAGAGCGGGCCATACTGGGTAGCAACAGTGAAGCCCCTTGGACACCCCCATGGTGAGGACCTCCATCCATGCTCCCTGCACAGCCCTTCCCAGGCTCCCTGTTGACTTTGTTACACAACGGGGCTGCCTTGACTGGCCCGGAATTTCAGGCTGAATTTGATGCGACCTGTCCTTAAGGGCTGGCCTCTAAACCAAACCATATTCCCACTGAACTCCCAGTGTCCCACTGGGAGGTGGACACAACCTGGCTGGGCAATTGCCCGGGGCCACCATCACCAGCCCCTGCCCAAAACTGCCTCCTGAACTAATTCCATAATCCTGCCTCCTGCCTGGCCCCAGCAGCTCAGGAAGGGTTTGCTGGTCTGCTCTGATCCCACCTTCCTGCCCAGCCCGGATCTGCGGCCCCTCGGCCCCTCACCCACCCATGCTAGGGCCCTGCTGAGATTCTGAATCTCATTTAGAGCCCCTGCTCCACTGGCTTCACACCCCTGCCCCCATACCTCCAGCTAGGCCCTGTAACAGGATCCAGATGTTTGCTCCCCTGTCCCCAGGGTCCCTGGCATAATCCGTGACAGTTGAGGGGGCCAGAAGGGGCAGGCACAGCTGCAAGGACTGGGGCACGGAGGACAGAAATGAGGTAGGAGCCCCACTGTCTAGGGTCAGCGGAGGGCTATACAGACACACCCAAACCCAGGTACCCCCTGTCCAACCAACTCTACCTTTTCCAGAAAGCGTCCTCTTCTCTCTAGGTGAGGGTGAGAATGCCCACATGTGCTGGCTGTGTGACCTCGGGTGACACAACCTCATCTGAGCCTCTCTGAGCCTTGTCTTCCTCACCTGCTGAACCAGCTAGGATATCCCAGCATCGCTCCAAGACCAGTAGGTGGGGGCTAGTTTGGCACATAGTAGGAGTGGCACATAGCAGGTATTCACCAAACAGTCTTGGGCAGGTCACTTCATCACTTGGAACCTCAGTTTTCTCATCTGTAAAATGGAGATAATTGTGCCTACCTTTCAGGGTTCCGGGGAGAACTGGCATGTAGTAGGAGCCTGACAAAGGGCAGGTGCTTCCCTCCTGCCTTCCGGGGTTGTGGGCCAGCGCCCAAGCAGCCAGAGGTGCGGCAGCCCATCTCCTGGAGTCTGTAAGAAAAGCCTGGCCTGCCTTGGGAGCCACTCTCTCAGTGAAGAACTCAGGGCAGAGAGACCCGGGTTCTAGTCCCAGGCCTACCTCTATCTAGACAAGCCCCTTCCCATGTTTGGGCCTCAGTTTCTCCATCTGAAATGTAAGGCCTGTTGGGTTCCTTGCAAGCTCCCAGAACACAGTAGATGCTCACTAAATGCTGGTTCAGTGATTTTCAGAAGGCTCTCCATCCTTTTCTCTCTTCCTTCCATCCACACTCACTGATCTTCTCCTTCCCTGGCTGTTTCCCAGGTGACTGAGGCACCCCTTGGCCTGACCACCCTTCCCAAAGCAGCCCCATCAGCACTGTCCTGCTCACCAGTCCATCACACCTCAGCCAAGGAAGGAGCGAGGACTGTGGGGGGGTTGGGGGGGGGCAGGGAGGACAGGCCCAGAGGACCTGTTGGCCTCCCCAGCCCCCTGCAGATGTAGGATGGATCTGAAGCGGGGGGAGGGAAGGCTTCCACATCAACTCTTTATAGGAGAACTCTTTTCTTTGATTTTAGTATACAACAAATTCTTCATTCTCTTGGTAATAATTCAAACAAGACAGGGAGACAAACCCTTCACCCACCATTGAAATGAGTCTCTCTGCCTAACTCCAGCCCTGGTATTACTGCTGGTTACTCTTCCAGATATCCTGCACACAATATATAAATGCACATCCAGAAATACAGCTTTCGGAGGGTCACTGTATGGGATCGTGTTGTATGTAATTTTCTGCCATCTCTAATTGTTACTTACTGTATCTTAAAGATCTTGAGTTGTTGGTCCCTGTAACTCTAATTCATTTTTAAAAATTCACTCCTAATTTTTACTCCATGAATGTTTATTAAACACTCACTAAGAGCCAGATGTAGGTTATGAAGATGAATAAGACCTAAACTCTGCTTTCAGGGAACTCACATACTAGGAGGGAAGCCAGACATCAAAACCAGGCATTTAAGTACCTGGGGACTGAAGGCTGAGAGGGAGGGATGTCATATGTTGGGGGAGGGGGTAGTTAGGCCAGCCTGGTTGTGAATGGAGAGGGGGCAGGACAGAGGGGAAGGATGGGCTAGCAGGAGTTTTGTAGGTGAGGAGGAAGAAGCGTTTCAGATAGAAGTCACAGCATGGGGAAAAGGATGGAGGCATGAAAAAAAATGCAGATTCGGGAATCACAGTGGCCCAGTCTGGCTGGTCCCTGAGGTACACGGAGGGAAACAGGAGCAGGTAAATCCAGGAGCCTGGGTAGAAAGGGCCCGGAGAACCAGAATTTCTAAAATTCAATTGTGTGCCCCCTGGCAGGTGTTGTTCCAACCTTTATCTACATTAATATCTTTAATCCTTTCAACCATCCTGGAAATGTATTATCTTTGTTTTAAAGATGAGCCATCAAGACACAGAGAGGTTAAGAAACTTTTCTGGGAACGCACAGCTGGTAAGTAGAAGAGCCAGGATTCAAACTATCTGTGTGTGTGTGTGTGTGTGTGTGTGTGTGTGTGTTTGTCTTTTTTTGTTGTTGTTTTTGAGATAGAGTCTCACTCTGTTACCCAGGCTGGAGTGCAGTGGCATGATCTCGGCTCACTGCAACCTCCGCCTCCCTGGTTCAAGTGATTCCCCTGGCTCAGCTTCCCGAGTAGCTGAGATTACAGGCAATTGCTACCACACTCTACTAATTTTTGTATTTTTAGTAGAGACATGGTTTCACCATGTTGCCCAGGCTGGTCTCAAACTCCTGACCTCGAGTGATCTGCCTGCCTCGGCCTCCCAAAGTGCTAGGATTACAGCCATGAGCCACCGTGCCCGGCCTCTGTGTGTTAAATCACTTCATTTCACTTATAAAGGAAATGGGCCCCCCCTGGATGCACGTGTGGCTGGTGAGTCCCTGGAGAAGGGGAGAAGGGGCAGGGACATACCTTCTGGGACCTTGAAGGCATGTAGCAAAAGCTGCTGATTCAGGACCACAGAAGGGCCTAGCGGTCAACATTGGAGACATTGGGAAGTGGGTGACTTGTTAAGGGATGGTATCAGAGGAAGTGCTAGACAAGAAGGGTGAAGAGGATGATGGTGACCATGATGTAGATCTATGGTTTTTGTACCGGAGTTTGCAACAAGCATCACTAGGAAGGCTTGTTAAAACATAGACTGCTGGTCCCCAGTTCCAGAGTTTCAGATTCAGGGGATCTGGGGTGAAGCTGGGTAGTTTGCATTTCTAGCAGGTTCCCAGATGCTGCCGTTGATGGGAGCCACTTTGGGAACCACTGGTAAAGCTGAAGGAGGAGGAGACAGGCTCATAAGGGGCTTCACACAGCACTTGTGCAAAGCCTTGGGACTCTGGAGCTACTGCTATTCCATTTCCAGGGAGGGATTTAAGGTTCACAGAGGTTGAATGACTTGCTGAGACCCCTACCACAGTCAGGGTGTTCTCACCCCAGAGTGCATGATCTCCCACTCTGGAAGATTCCGCCTCAGGGCCTTTGCACTGGCTGTTCCTTCAGCCAGGGAATGCCTTTCCCAAGCTTCTAGGTGGCTGCCTCCTGGACATCACTTAGGTTGCTGTAAGAATGTAGCCTCCTGAGAGGCACTGAATGCAGCCCTGCTAGCCCCTCCCAGAGCCCTCTGCTCCCTTGCCAGGCTTAAGACAAGTTGCAATGACTATTTTCAATACGTAATTTCTCAGCGACTTACCATCTGCCTCCACCTGCTAGAACGTGAGCTCCCTGAGGTCAGGAACTCCGTGCTGTTCCTGCTGCATCCCAGTGCCCAACAATGCTCTGGGATACAAAAGGGCTTATGTAATGTTTGTGGAATAGATCAAATCCTTTTTAATCCTCTCTCTCTCTTTCAGTCAAATGTTATTGAACTTTTTTGTCTCTCTTTTTATTTTGAACTTCCTAGTTCAAATCTCAACCATCAAATACGTTCCTGCCCTTGGAACTAACTCACTAACTTGGGCTCCTTTAAAGAACTACCTGATGGTGCCAATAAGCTTTTATGGGCAATGACAGGCAAGAAATCCAGGTCTAATGCTGCGAAACCCAAGGGCAGCCCAGGAGGGATGGTTCAGAGCCTGTCCTAATGAGTACGTGGCTGGTGACATCTACCTGTTTGTACCTTCAAGAGCAATGAGTTCTTTAAATTTGTTTTCCTTAAATTTTAAGAATTTGTAAATTCTATATGCTTAATATCATGCATTCACATGATTCAAAATTCAAAAGGACAAAGGCATTGCTCCCAGTCGCCCTCCCTAAAGGTAACCAATGTAACCAGCTTTTCACATAGCTTCCAGAGACTTCTTTATACCTGTACAGGCAAGCACATTGATTTATTCTTTTTTATTTTTCATACACAAGTGGTATACCATGCATTTTATTATTATTTTTTAATCTAACTGGATAACTTGGAGATCGTTCCATAATTAATAACTAGAGAACATCCACATTCTTATTTATGGCAGCAGAAAAAGGAGCAATGTTTCCTTCTGTGCAATGGGTTGGTTGATATTTCCAGAGCTCCTGCCTAGGGAGCTGGGTCTGGTTGTGGTGAAGGTCAGAGGCCAGGGTTTGAATTCTAGCTCTGCCACTGGCCCCGGGTGGGCTACTAAAATGGAAGAACCTCAGGTCACATCTCTCCAAAGGACGACCCCAGCACCTGTCTTGTGAGTTGCCATCTAGATAAAATAAGGTCAAGCATGTTGAGGTGTTGACTCTGTACCTGGCACACAGTTGGTACTCCATACATAATGGCTGCTTTGACAACTATTATTCATTTTAAAAATAAGTATTGTTGCTCAGTCCTGTGGCAGGGCATGAAAATTGTTGAAGGTCATGACACATGTGCTGTGTTGAAGCTGGAATCCTCTGTTTAGAAACAGCCATGCTGATGGCTCATGAATGGTGGCCTCGGTCGTGGAGACAGATGGGGTGGGAGTTTTCTTTTGCAGGCTTTTATCGGTTCTTAGTCATGGGGTACATTTGGGCTTGAAGCTTTCTGATTTTGTTAAATCCTTTTCCTCTATTTTTCTTTCTATGGGGCGACTTCCGCTTTCCTTGGGAAGCTGTCACTTAAAAGAAGTGACAGCCAAGAACAGGGCATTTTTCTTCTCGTCTTCCTTCTTATATTTATTCCTTGTCTGCTTTTCTCTTTTTAATGAATTTCTAGTTATCAAAGCAATAGAGCGTCCATTTGGAGAGTAAAATAATCCCCATAATTCCATTCTCCACGGCAACTTCTATGGACACGTTCATACTGCCCCTTCTAGTCTACCTTCTAGTACCTTGAGGTCACATCATAAGGGCCAGTTTCCTGTCCTATGTTATCTGGCTCATCAGTGGAGTATCAATATCTCCCTATATTAAAAATGTGGAAAATGTACATTTTAATGGACATTAAAGAGTAGCCCCTTGAGTGGAAATACCACATTTTCCTTAACCACCCTTCTATTATTGAACCTTTGGGTTGTTCTGATTTTATTTCACTATCCCAGGCATCTCCATGAAGAGAGCTTTGCCCTTATCATAGGTTTTTCTCTGAGGCTTGAATTCCCAGGAGTGGCCAATGACTATGACGATGGCCAAGGATCTATGAAGATGGTTAAGGCTTTAGGGAGATGGTGAAGCAGCTATAAAGATGGTTAAGGATCTTGATTCTCTTGATTCACATCCCCATTACCTCTAAGTAGCTTTATTTTAATCTGTGGTTTTAAAAATCCTGCCTTTCACTTGAGAGACACAAATTTCACACTTGTTTCCCTAAAGCATCTCCAAGTTACCTAAATCCAAGACTGTCTGAAGCCAGTGCAAGCAAATTTCCAAGGTATCCAGGATGGTCCTGCCAAGGGTGGGCACTGCTCCACTGTTGGAGCAGCAGGGTGGAGGACAGAGAGCTCTGCCACCATGTGAAGCAAACCTGGGTCCCAGCCGTGTCCACCCACCATCCCCATCCCTGCCACTTTGTTGCTGTGTGATCTTGCAAAACATCTTATCTTTAAAGTAGGGTTAACCCTTCACCCATCTGAATGCCAGTGAGTGATTTCCTAGGATTGGTCCATTTCTAAGAGTACTGTTCACTCACTCAATCATTTACTCAATAAATATTTAATTAGCACTGTGTTAGGTTCTGGGGTTGATTCCTTATTCCCCTAAGTTCCATCTGTGCTCATTAGTTCAACAGAGGAATGAGCTGAGGTCAGACAGTCATGGGTTAAAATCCTGTCTCTCTCCCAATTAGCTGTGAGACTTGAGCAAGTCATTGAACCTCTCTTAGTCTCAGTTTTTCCTCTAAATTGGGAACAATAATAGCAGCCTGTAAGGTGTTTGGGTGGATTAAATGATAGAATGCATGTAAAGTTCTTAGTAAGCACCCAGCAAATATTAGCTATAAACTGCTATTACATTGCAGAAAAGGATCTCAAACAACTTCTAAGATAGTCATTTTGTCCCGTTTTCAGGATGAACAAATTCAAGTCATGTGGCTGTGGAGGTTGTTAATTGCCTGGGTGCTGGCAGAAAGGCTCCCACGGGTTCCTGGGGGCTCATTTGCCCTCCCATGACAAGGAAGCACCTTCCTGTCCATCCATGACTTAGAATCAAATACTAAAAACAGGTGAATTGAAGATTAGAGGATCTTTCAATGTGGTAGAGAGGTTGAATATTAGAATGAGATAGTGTCTGCACATTAGAATAATCAAGGGTAACAATGTTATAATGTTAGAGTGTTAAAAACAACTCAATATTAGAATGTGTGGGTGTTATAATAATGGATAGAACATTGTCCTAGAAGAACTTTGGCTTTATTTTATTTTATTAAATAAAATAAAGGACTATTACAGAGGATCTGGCCTTTTGCTGAATTTGTAGACATGAAAAAAGCCACAGAAAAAAATGTGATATAACTTTTCTGGCGGTTGGTAGTAGTGGTTTTAGACAGAATTTTGCAAAGAAAAATTCCAAACTGAACTGTCACCGTTTTTATAATATAGTGCGCATTGGGGAACAGAACGCCAAATTTGCATGCATTTTTGACACTTAAAAAATTTGACCATTTAGGCCGGGCGCTGTGGCTCATGCCTGTAATCCCAGCACTTTGGGAGGCCGAGGCGGGCGTATCACAAGGTCAGGAGATGGAGACCATCCTGACTAACACGGTGAAACCCCGTCTCTACTAAAAAATACAAAAAATTATCCAGGCATGGTGGTGGGTGCCTGTAGTCCCAGCTACTCGGGAGGCTGAGGCAGGAGGAGGCGTGAACCCGGGAGGCAGAGCTTGCTGTAAGCTAAGATCGCGCCACTGTGCTCCAGCCTGGGCGACAGAGCGAGACTCGTCTCAAAAAAAAAAAAAAAAAAAAAAAAAAAAGACCATTTTGACCATTTAAGTAAATGTTGGCCTGGGGTGGGCTAGGTGGGGTTACTTCCCCACTCTGTGTGCCCTGGGTGTGGGCACTCACAGCTCCTTTCTCCTATCCTAGGGTTGATTGTGGAAATATGTGCAGATCACTGATTTCAGATCAGTCCCTTCATTCCACCCGTGAAGATGGGGAGGCCCAGAGTCACTAGGTGATCTGGCCACACCACATGGGGGGCTTTGCAGAACCAGGAGTGGAATCTGACTGCCTGACTATGCATGTGCTATCCTTTCTCCCAGCCGCATGGCTCAGCTGCTCCCTGGGTCATAGTCTGAGCAGAGTGCCATGGGTGCTTGGCAATCCTGCCTCCTGTGCTTGGCATCAGTCAATTTTGCCTTGGAGTAAAGCTAATTGTGTATTTGTCTTACTTAAAGCTAATTGTGTACTTGTCTTACTTAACCAGCTATCTGTTGATGTGCCTTAACTTCCTAGGGCACATGTCATTTGTTTATATATTTTTACTAAGAAAATACATAGTTGGGAAAAGATGGTCATCTGGTCAACCCAGAATACTTGAGTAGAGCATTTTGTTAGAGCCAGGAAGCCTGGGTTTACATCCCAGCTCTGTCACTTCCTAGCTGTGTGATCTTGGGCAAATGACATAACTTCTCTGTGACTCAGTTTTTCCATCTGTTAAATGGGGTTAATATTAACTTCATAATATGATCGTGAGGATTAACGAGATGAAGACCCTTAGCACAGTGGCTACGACAGAGCGTGGGTGTTTAGTAAAACATTGTTATGATCATCCCTTGCCCTCCTGCTTCCCCTCAACTCCACCACCCCCTCCCTGGATGCTAGCACGTTCATCTCTCAATACCCTGGTATCTGGTTCAGGCATAGACACTTGACTCACCCCCAAATACCAAAAAGTTTCTAAGTGATGAACACTTTGGGGCTTGGGCTTTTCTTAGTGAACCAAAGGAATTAAAAATAAAACCTCAAAATCCCTAAGCAAGCTGGGAGTCAGAGCATGAGAGGGGAAATTTACATCTGCTGAAGGTCTGCCACACTCTTGCAAAGTTCATTCTCACAGCCTCCATGCAGAAGAGATCATTTTCTACATCTTACAGAGGAGAACACTCGAGGCACAGAGACCAATTAATTTGGCCAAGGTCAGAGAACAAGAAAGAGGTGGAGATCAGAGTCTGAGACTCTGAATGTTTGATCCTAAAACCCATTCTCTTTCCACTAGGATGTCCCATTTTGCTCTCTGAGCTGGAGTGTGATCCAGTCTTCACCTCGCCCTGGGCCGAGGAAGGAGAGTAGGGAGGGTGGAATGTAGGGTAGGCTGGGATCAGAGGAAGAGAGTGTGGTCCACGCTCCAAGAATGAGTGTGGACTTGCTTTGGTCATTTCCCACATTGGTCTAGAATACCTGGTTACTCCTCTATAAAATGTTGAATGCTTCCTTTGTGAGCGAGGTCCCCCGTACAGGGCCGTGGCAAGATGGGATCATGTTGAAGCAGGTGAAAATGCTTGGAAAACCAAAACAAATGTGCTAAGCAAAAGCAATGGGCTTTAAGCGCTGCATCTCATCTTCAATCTTCCTCCACAGGCTTCGTTTAGGTAGAAGGACAACCCCCTGAAGTGGAGGAGACTTGGGCCAGACTAGACTAGCCAGGATGGAGGAAGAGCCAGAATAATCCTTAAGGAGGGAAAGGCAGGGCACAGCTGGCCCAAAGAGTGATGTGAGACCACGCAACAGATAGGAACCAAGTTCTGGGGACAGCAGATGCAGAATCGGGAGTGGTGAAGCCTGCCTAGTGGATGCTGGTTCAGAACAGAAGACTCAGACCAACGCTAAGAACCAAGGAAGAGGACGAAGGTCTGCCTGTAAGTATTTTGGATGCAGATCTAATGTCCCAAGAGATCTTCCACCCAAAGCTTGGACCAAAGGGATGGGTTGTTCAAGACGGCAGGTTTACAGGCACAGGGAGGAGATGGATGCAGGTAGGAATGACCTTCATCAAGGTCACTCAACTAGGACAAAGAACAGAGAGCTCCACCCAGTTCGGTAGCTGAGACTCACTGGCTGCCTACCCTGTCCACTCCTTCTGAACTCCAAAGTTCCATGGGGCTGGATCAAGCCACAGGCAGTGGCTTTTCATCCTTCCATCTCCAGCCACAAAGAGATAACACAATGGAAAAATAATTAAAAAATAAGAGTGCAGGTTGAGGCGGGGGGGAATGCATTGGTAGGAGGGATGGGGGAGCCATTTCCAGAGAAGAGCGGGATGGAGGGTTGGAGCAGTTGGCGTCGTGATAACCAACAGATGCGATTCTGCAGATAAGCGTGGCAACTTAGATAAATTTCAGGCTTTGGAGGTGGGCGCCTGTGTCCCCTCTCCTCTGTCTGCCTTTTTTCAATTTTATCTCTGAGCCAAGGGAGGGGGAGGGGGAGGGCAGAGAACTCTGAGGGGTGAGGAGATAGGAGGAGGGGAGGGCAGGGAGGGGGGCCAACTTCATCTTCGGGGACTTTGGCTTTTCTTTTTAATGTGTTTTTCCCAGAAGGTGGGAAATGCCAACACATACTCGGAGACCTAGAAGGCGGCCTATGTTTTTTAAAAAGCAGCGGACAAAAATCAAAATATTTGAAAATGTATTTCATGGTAATTATGTCATATTTCATGGGCTGGTGCCACTACTGAAAGAGAGGCTGAATGCCTTAATTTGTATAGAAATTGTAATCATTTGTTCATTTCAAGGTGAAAATTGCATTTTTTAATTTAAATTGTATCCTGCATGATAGTCTATTATCTAGTAAAATTGTCTCCATGTCTGAATGCCTTATATGCAGCTGCAATGCTTGTTACAAATCCACTTATATTCATAAAAGCAGGTGGACATCTCAGGAAATGGAAGCCGTTGTGTGTGTGCGTGCATGTGGATACGTGTGGACGCGTGTGGAGGCAGGGGCCCCTCTTGCCCACCTCCCTCTCCCGCCTTGTCAGTCACCCACCCCCACTTCCAACTCTCATGTCGGCATTTCCAGATCTGCTTAACTGATGATAATTAGTTGGAATAAATGAGGAAGCTGCCTGATCTGGAGGAACCAACCCTGGACTGAGTCAGGGAGCCAGGTGGGGCTCTGCCTCTCCATCACTGTGTGTCTCTGTTAGGTTGCAGCCTTAATCCCCTCTCTGGGCCTCAGTTTCATGCACTTAAAAGTTTCCTCCACGTGAAGATTCTGTGTCCATATGGCAACTGAGTGGTTAAGAGCCTGGCTCTGGAGCCCAACTGCCTGACTCCGAGTCTGACTATGACTCCAAGTTTTGCTACTTGCTAGCTGTGTGATCTTACGAAAATTCCTGAACCTCTCTGGGACTCAGTTTCTTCATCTTTAAAATGGGGGTAACAACAAAATCTACTTCGTATGGTTTCTGCCAGCAAACTGTGGCCCTTTTGGACCAAATCCTCCTGTCCCCTGTCCATACAGGCTGGGAGCTAAGAGGAGTTTTTGCATTTTTTAATGGTTGACAAATAAATTCAAAGAAGAACAACATTTTGTGATATGTAATTATGTGAAATGCAAATTTAACTGGCACATATTAAATTTTCCTGGAGCCGGGTGCAGTGCCTCACGCCTGTAATCCCAGCACTTTGGGAGACCAAGGCGGATTGCCTGAGGTCAGGAGTTCGAGACCAGTCTGGCCAACATGGTGAAACCCCATCTCTACTAAAAATACAAAAAAATTAGCCGGGTGTGGTGGTGTGCACCTGTAATCCCACCTACTCGAGAGGCTGAGGCAGGGGAATTGCTTGAACCAGGGAGGTGGAGGTTGCAGTGAACCGAGATTGTGCCACTGCACTCCAGCCTGGGCTGGAAAAAATTTTCCTGGAACACAGACATGCTCATGTGTTTACACGTGGCTGCTTTTGTACAACATTAAGAGCAGAGAAACTGGCAGAGACTGGATGGTCCAAGAAGTCTCAGATATTTACTAACTGGACCTTTGTGGATAAAGTTTGCCAGCCCCTGAAATAACATAAGTAAAGCACTTAACCCAATCTGGCATGGGATGTGAGGGAGTTTGGATGTCAGGAAGAAAATTAACCAGTCAGTGTTCCTGCGGCAGTTTCCATTTTCCAGCTTATACCTGATACATACCGGTCAGAGATGCAGAATTTCTCTTTGGGATGAACACCAGAATGAGGACTTTGTTTCCCCAGAGAAGCTTTACCCAGACTTTTCTCGAAAATTCCATGACTTTTTTTGAACTCTGGGATGTCAGAAGGGGCTCTGGATCAGGAGTTAGAGGATCTTGTCCACCCTGTGACTGTGGGCCTCAACCTCCCACCTGTAAAATGGGTCCCTTCCAGCAGAAGTATGACTGTGAATGCCCTATGCTGCGTGTAAATGGCTGGCCTGTTCCTGGTGCAGCCACTGCCTGGAATGGTTAGTTTCTTCCTCTCCTTTCACTGAGGTGGGGGCCTTGGTCACTACAGGACCCTGTTTAGAAGCATCTCCTGCCCATCTTTTAGCTCACTCATTCATTCATTCTGCAATTTCCAAGCCTCTCCTATGTTCCAGTCACTGTCTTAGGCAAAGCTCCATTGTGGGCCTTCTTAATTCCAGCCTCCCTTTGGCAAAGAGAAAGAAAACCTGCACTCAAACCATAGCTGAATGTACTTTGGCAACTGACTTCATCTCTGAGCCTCAGTTTCCCCAACTAGAAAATGGAACTAATCATTTCCCTCTTCCTTACAGGATTGTGGGGGAGAATTCAAACAGATGGTGTATATCAAAATGCCTTATCAACTGTATAGAGTCGTGCAATGGTTATTGAAGAGTTGATCTTTCCCAGGAATCAGGCTGGAGAGAACTTAACTAAGGCCATGTGGCTAAAACATAACTCAGAAGGGTTTAACCCCATGCTGGGGGTTCTTAACTACCCATCACACTTCCTCTCTGGAGGTCTTTTATGCAGGGAAGAGAAAGCCAGCCTTATTTTCCATCCTGTAGGAACTCAGGATAGGAAAGACTTAGGGTTAGAGCTCTAGGGCTTCAGGTTCTCCATTGGTTTTCAAGACTGGATTGTGTCAGAATCAACGGGGGACCTAAAATGATGATGATGATGATGATGACAATGATGATGATGATAATGATCCTGATACCTGGGCTTTATTCCCAGAGGTTCTGATTTAACGGGGCAGGGGAGAGGCCTGGACATTGATATGTTTTAGCCCCCTTCCCTCTGCCCTCTTCACCTACCCAGATCTGATTCTAACAGGCAGCAGCCAGAATTGAGAACAAGTGGATTCAATGTACTTGAAGCAGGGCCCCTGTGTGGCAGAAATCATCAAGAATAGCGCCTCCAGGCAGCCCCGTCTTCAGTGCCCCTTCAGCAGCTCCCTCCTGCTATGGGAATGGCTGCCGTGCTATGTCATGGAAAGACAGTGGGCTCCGGGGTCAGCAGAAGTGGATTCGAATCCTAATTCTGTCCCCACATTCTATCAATAACCCTATGTTACAGATGAGAACACGTGGGCTCCAAGAGCTTCTGGAACATGCTCAGGGCCACACCCCCAGGGCAGGCAGAGCTGAGAATGGATGCTGAGGCTGTGGGGGCTGGAGCCTGAGACCCGATGTCCTCCCAAAAAGCATCTGCCCTGTCAGACAAGGGCCAGACTCCAGCATCAATTGGCTGATGGTGGACTGATATGTGGCAGTCATCTTCCAAGCATGTTTAAGAGTTAATACCAATATGGACCAATTACTGTAGGCCTGCTATGTTCCAGATGCCTTACGCATGTCGCCTCATGGAGGACCTGCTATGTGCCGGGGCGTGTGGCCTCACCCAGCCCTCTCTTCTGCGGCTCTGGCATCCTTCTTCCCTGCTCTTCCCCTGTTGTCTGCTGCTACTTTGCAGACTGCTTTGCTGGAAGCTGATTTTCTTTTGAACTCTAAAGGTTGGAGCACCCAGGGTCCAGTCCCTGGCTCTCTTTTCTTCTTCCATGTTCTATCTTACCCCCTCCCTAAATGATCTCAATCAAATTTGCATTCCAGCCAAATTTCCAGAGCCACATGCATCATCTTCTCCAGGCTACAAAATTGTCAGGCAGCGCCATCTTTACTCGGGGTCTCCTGTGGAGCTCCCAGCTCTGCCATGGCTGAGCAGACCTGTTGAATCTCTGCCCCCTGCACCCTACCCCTTTCCCAGCCTTTCCCATCTCAGTTAGTGGCCTCCATGTCTCCCCAACTGTAAAGGAGCAAAGCCGAGGAGTTACTCTCCATTCCCTCCTTTCCTAACCCCCACCATATCCCAATTCATGAGCAGGACCTGCTGGCTTTTCCTCCAAAATGTGTCCTGAATCTCTCTCCTCTCCACCTCATTGCCACCACCCTGTCAAAGCCACCATTGTCACTGAGCCCCTGGCTTCTTGCCTGTCCAGCTTCATACGATAGTCAAACAGACTTTTTCTAAGTCTGATTATGTCCCTCAAGACCCTCCATGGTTTTCATTCATTCTTAGAATAAAATCTAACTTCTTTGCCAGGATCTACAAGGCCCTTTATTCTGTGGCCACTGTCCATTTCACCCTTCCAATCTCCTATCACAAATGTAAGGCTGATTGAGTAAATGGATGAATAAATGAATGAATGCATGGGGAAGGGCCTAGACTGAGAATTAAGAAACATGGACTCAAGCCCTGGTTACTCTGGGACTTTGGACAACTCCTGCTTGTCTTGTCAAAGGAGTCTTGGAGGGGGTAAGTTCCATGCCAAGGTCATCCAGTGGTAGCTGAAAGAGCTAGAATTTGAACAGCTGCCCATCTGGTTCCAAAGCTCATGATGTCCTCGTCGTGCTTTTTCTCTGAATGTGCTTTCTATCCCCAGATCCCTCCTCTTGTCTCCAGGTTGGGACCAGAAGCACATCCAGCTGCTGCCAGAAATCCCCACCTGACCCTGCTTTCGGGCAGGGAGCTGGGCCCCCTCGTGCTGCAGAACCCTCCACCCACCAGCGCCTGGCCACTCCCAAACCAGCTGCAGAGGCTTGGAGAGGACACTTCATAAGACAAAGTGTACCCAACTCAAAAAGGGCGTGCTGCCACATCCAGCTGTCTTCCGGAAAGAACCAGATCAACTGCTACTCTGCTGAAGATGGAAAAAATCCCATTAATTTCCTGAGTCTGGACACAGCCCCAGATGACTGAAGCGTCAATCTCCCAGCCTCTGTGCAATGGAGCTAACCCCCTCCCGATCCTTTCTCTAATCCAGGGTTTCTCAACCTTGCCACTGACATTTTGGGCCAGATAATTGTATGTTGAAAGGACTGTCCTGTGCCTCATAGGATGTTGAGCAGCATCCCTGGCCTCTACTCATTAGATGCCAGTAGCAGCTCACCCACCCAACTGTTATAGCCACAAGTGTCTCCAGACATTGCCAAATGTCTCCTGGGGTCAGTAAGACAACAGATTGCCCCCAGTTAGGATTACAGTAAAATTGCCCCCAGGTAAGAACCATTGCTCAAATCTTAAGCATAGCTTGATCCGGAGCTGTTCGATGTTGCAGGATAATAACCCCTACACTGGACATTACTTATCCACACTGCAGGCTTCTAGTGATCAGTAACTCACATGGAACACTTATTAAGTGCCAGGCATCCCACATCTAACATAGATCAACTCACTGACTCCTCACAGCAGCCCTTTGGGGCAGGTACTCTTATTACTCCATTTTACAGATGAGGAGACTGAAGCACAAGAGGTTCGATGAGTTACTCAGGGTTATGCTGTTGACAAACTACCCCAGAAAGCCAGGCTCTCTGCAGGGCATGTGCCCGCATTTATGTGCTCATTGAATCCTAACTACTTTACAAGTCAAAGTGCCATGATGTGTGGATTTCATAGGAGGAAACGGAGGCTCATGCAGTTTCCATGAACTCACCCAGTATCCCATAGCCATGGCAACTGGCAGAGCCAGGGTTTGAACCCAAAGCTTATGGTGAAGCCCGTTATCTTCCCACTACTCCTGACTGCCTTTTAGAGATGCGCAAATACACTTTTGGCTTGACAGATGCTTAGAGATTTTATTCACATAGATAATAAGTGAAGATTTATTGAATAGTTATTGATGTCCACTCCATGCGAGGTCCTGTAGTTAAGAACACAGGCCCTTCCTTATCTTTTAGAGACAATGCTGAACTATCTAAAGATGATGTGAGGTCTGGAATTTGCTTCAACCTAACCCAGGGTGTGGAGGAGTGATTGGTGGGGGGACACATGAAATGGGATGGGTGGTAAGCTGGTAACTGTGGAGGCCGGTGATGGCTATGTCTTTAACTCTTGTGATATTTTCCATCTTACGATGACTTTTAAAGTGTGAACACTGAATTCTTGTCTGGGTTTATGCCCTGGCTTCACCACCCAGGGTGTCATCTTGAATACTTTTCTTTGCTTCTCTAGACCTTGGTTTCCTCCTCCCTAAACTGAGCATAATCATTTCCAGCTGACAGGGTTGTTGTAAGGATTGAGTAAGATGACCCAGGACAGTATGTGGACCACCTGCACAGAGTGAGGACCTGGCCAATAGCAGGACTCCTCAGGGCTCATAGCAGCTCCTCTGACATCGCTACAAGGACTTCACTGTCTGCAAGTAGACAGGGAAGACAGCCTCATTCCAGAACCTCACCCTAGCAGTATCCTCAGTCTACCTCCAGCCCAGATTGCGAGGGCGGCCCTAAGCCTTGTGATGGCCCTGGAGGGAGTCTGAGCTACCCAGACAGCAGGATGGAGACAAAACTTCTAATCCCCATGAAGGACTCTGAGTTCGTGCAAGCCCTCCACCCCTCGGCACCAGCTGTGAAAAGGCCTCATCTGGAATTCCTGGTGGTTGAGCAGACAGCAAGGTCCTTGCTGAAGCCACAGATGAGGGGACCCTCCCACCCATTCAGCCCTTTCCCCTTGCTTCCTCTGCACTCTTGAGGGGCTGGCCCCCTTCTCTCATCAGCTGTCTGGGCTGGTTGAATTATTTCAGTGTTCTCGGACTCTCAGGAGTTGGCATAGAGCGTTGGAAGCCCTCCAGGAATTCCAGCTGGGTATGGAGCATGGATGAACTTGGCAGGTCACCTACTTCCTACTCAGTGCCTGTCCACTTCCCCTGGGCTGACAGGAAGGGATAGGGATTGTCTCATGATTGGAGGGTGTCTTCTTGGGGACTGGGCCTCCATTCGGCAAATATTCCATGAGTTGTCCTCCGTGTCCCAGACTTCCTTACAGTAGTAAGTTGCAGCCGTGTGACTAATCCCCATCAATGGGCTGTGAGAGGAAATGACACGTGTAACTTCTGGGCCACGGCGGTTAACAGCCAGAGCGCCTTGGCCTCCCTCCTCTTCCCCAGATGCAGTGACCTTGGGGGCCATGCATTCCAAATGACATGGGACCGCAATGGAGGAAACAAACCTTTATTGTCTAGCACTGCTGAGCTTGGGGGTTTATCTGCCTCTGCAGCAGAGCCAAGCCTAACCTGACTAATAACAGGGCCTGTTGAAAATATCATTTCAACCTCCAGGGTCTGGGGTCTAAAGGTCAGCCATGCAGGCAGGCAGGCATCGACCATGACTCCCCAGTAAAAACTCAGAACACCAAGGCTCAGGTAAGCCCCCCGGTTGGCAATATTCTGCTTATTGTCACACATCATACCTGGAGGAGTCAGCCCTGTCTGTGACTCCACAGGCAATGAACAATGGGAGCTCTGACATTGGAACCCTCTTGGGTTCTACCCCACATGTGTCTTCCTTGATTTGATCTGTATCCTTACACAGTAATAAACCATAACCATGGGTATAAACACTTTCAGTGACTTCCATGAGTCTTTCTAGCAAATGGTCAAACCTGAGAATGGCCTTGGGAATGAACGCCCAAACTCCACAGTTAGAAGTGAGGGTGGTCTGTGGACTGCCCCCCTGACTTCAAGCTGCCTTTGCTTTCCCTCATGAAAGACCTGGAGCCAAAGGTGGCACCATGTGAATGGACCTTGCCAGACCCTGGAGATAGATTCATGGGCCCATCTGTCCTCAGGGGCCAACATCACAAATGAGGAAAATGATGGAGACTCTCCTTTGACAACACTGGGTCATCTGACAGAGTCTGATGAACTTGCAGCCCCATCTGGATGTTCAGGTCACATCTGCAAGGGGTCTGGTATGAAGATGTTCATTTCAGCACTGCTGGTGGGAGCGGGAGCTGGAGGGAGCTCAGGTGTGCATCCCTCAGGGACTGGAGAAGTGAACTGTGATGAAATGTTCATTAGCACACAGAGGTGATGCTTGAATATAGTCACATGGAGGAGGGTCAGTGCCACCTGAAAATGAGCAGAAACAGAGAAAATCTGCATCACAAAGACATTGATGTAAATTTATAACACACATAAAGCTAATTTTCAAGACTCTAAGGACATACATTCAAGAAGGAGGATGCCAGTGGATGAAGAAAATAATAAAATCAGACAATGGAAAGTGACATTTGATTAGAAATTACGGAACTAGTGCAGCACTGTAGGCTATAGGATTATTGGCATGACTTTGTGGCCTGTATGTCTTGTTCCCTTTGTGGAGTCTTTGCATTGGTCTTTCCCCCTCTTCCAGCCCTCCTTTCAGGCAAGTACACCTGCTCTCACCCACGTTGATGAAGATCCTTCTGCTTCCTGCACTTTTCATTTCCCTGATTTCCAGTCTACCTTCAGCGTCCCATGAGACCAAATGCACTGTTGGGTAGATCTAGATGCCTCTACCCAGGTGGTTGGGGGTCTTCATCTTGGCTACAGTTTGCAATCACTTGGGACACTTTAAAAATTACTCCTACCTCAGGCGCTGGCTTATGCCTGCAATCCCAGCAATTTGGGAGGCCAAGGCTGGAGGATCACTTGAGCCTAGGAGTTCAAGACCAGCCCCTTGGGCAACTCTGAAAAAGACAGAAAAATTAGCCAGGCATGGGGTGGGGCAGGATGCCTCTGTAATCCCAGCTACTCAGGAGGCTGAGGTGAGAGGATAACCTGAGCCAGGGAGATTGAGGTTGCAGTGAGCTGAAATCATGCCACTGCACTCCAGTCTGGGCAACATAGTGAGACCCTGTCTCAAAAATTATTGCCACCCCCCCACCAAGATGCTGATACAATTGGCTGAGGTGGGGTCCCACTGGTAAGCTTTAGAGGCCTGCCAGGTTTGGATTCTGACCCAGGGATCAGAATCACTGAGGCGCATGCTCCTCCCCTGGCCTCCCTCTCAGAGTCTCTGTCATGCTCCACTGAAGTTTTCTACTTGTCTCTCCCCAGCTAAGCTGTTTCTGAACCATCTTGGGCAGGAGCTGGCATAGGCCAGGCTCTCAGGAAAATGTTGGTTTGAGATGAGCTGTTTTAAAGCTGTTCAAACAGATGAGACACACAATGTCATTATTAAGTTCGGACTAGCACAACGTTCATTTTCTTTTTCAGCCACCCCTAAATTAAGCTCCTAATTCCCACCTGCATCTTGGACCTCTTATCTACAGAGAAGCAAAAGTTTTCTTTTTTATTTTTAGGACTACCTACAAAACTGGGGAACCAAGAAGGCGAGCAGATCACGAGGTCAGGAGTTCGAGACCAGCCTGGCCAATATGGTGAAACCTCGTCTCTACTAAAAATATAAAAAATTAGCTGGGCATGGTGGCTCGTGCCTGTAGTCCCAGCTACTTGGGAGGCTGAGGCAGGAGAATCGTTTGAGCCCAGGAGGTGGAGGTTGCTGTGAGCTGAGATTGCACCAGTGCACTCCAGCCTGGGCAACACAGCGAGACTCCATCTCAAAAAAAAAAAAAAAAAAAATGCCCAACGCGGTGGCTCATTCCTGTAATCCCAGCACTTTGGGAGGCTGAGGCGGGTAGATAATGAGGTCAGGTGTTCAAGACCAGCCTGGCCAACATAGTGAAACCCTGTCTCTACTAAAAATACAAAAAATTAGCTGGATGTGGTGGCGGGAGCCTGTAATCCCAGCTACTCGGGAGGCTGAGGCAGGAGAATCGCTTGAACCTGGGATGTGGAGGTTGCAGCGAGCTGAGATTGCGCCACTGCACTCCAGCCCAGGTGACAGTGTGAGACACTGTCTCAGAAAAAAACAAAAAGAAGGCACAGAATGCTGGAGTAAGTGGACAGACAGTTTATGGAGGGTTCAAAGGATCACACCGAGTCTGCATCCTGACACACAAGGACCAGGGTCATATGGACTCCACTTACCTGCAGGTGGGACAGATTGGAAACTGTCTTTCTGGCCATAGGATCAGGAAAAAAATATCCCTCTAGGCTGGAAAATGTAAGAAAAATATTTGTTTTATTTTTCTTCTTCTCCTTTTCTCCTCCTCCTCCTCCTCCTCCTCCTCCTCCTCTTCCTCCTCCTCCTCCTCCTCCTTCTCCTTCTTCGAGATGGAGTCTCTCTGTCGCCTAGGCTGGAGTGCAATGGTGTGATCTCTGCTCGCTGCAACCTCTGCCTCCCCGGTTCAAGCAATTCTCTTGCCTGAGCCTCCAGAGTAGCTGGGATTACAGGTGACCGCTAAAACACCCAGCTAATTTTTGTATTTTTAGTAGAGTCAGGGTTTCACCACGTTGGCCAGGCTGGCCTCAAACTCCTGACCTCAAATGATCCACCTGCCTCGGCTTCCCAAAGTGCTGGGATTACAGGTATGAGCCACTGTGCCCAGCCTCTTTTTCTTCTTTTAAAATATTCTCTGCTCTACTCTGAGACCAACCCTAGTAGTGAAGCCACACTTCTGTAATGATGCTGGTGGCACGTGGGCACCTAAGGGCCAGAGAGAAAACCTGTCACCCCGGATAGAGGAGCCAGGCAGAGGGACCCCCTATTTTGTGGAGTGTGGAAAGAGTTTAGAGGTTTTTTTTCTTTTCCAAATACATGAGACAAATGGTGAATCTCTTTATGACTAGAATTTTAAAAATCTTTTAAAATATCTTGTGCCTTCTTCCTAAGGGCAGACCCACTCACATGCATCTGTGTGATAGCAAGGGAGGCTAAAACACTCAGAGAATGTCATTTTTCTGGCCAGAGGGACCAGAAAATGGGACCCCTGGAAGTGACAGGATGTGGGCAAAATCTCCAAGAGAAGAGGATGGAGAAGGAAACCCCCTAATTCTGTGTATGAACTGACATAAGTCCCAGGCTCACCTTCAAGTGATGCATGCATGAAATACATATTTAAAAAAAGCAAAGGATTTGAGAAGTGAATGATGACATAAAACACTGCCCAAGTCTGAGACCAACCTCTGGGAGGGACAGACCCAAACAGCATAGCAAAGGCTTTGAAAACTGGACTGAAGTTGAAGCCATCATTCATGGAAGGCAAGGTGGATCTTGGGTTCTGAACATCAACAGGTTGATGGCCTGCTAAATTAAAACAATTAAAAAAAACCTAAAAAACAAAAATTCCATCCTCCAGAGGATTTTAACAGGATTGAGAGTCTCACAATGTAATATTCAGAAAGTCCAAAATTAGTTGATAGACCAGAAACCAGGAAACCCTAAACCAGTTCTCAAGGGAAAAGACAATCAACAGATGCTAACCCTGAGATGACCCAGATGTTGGAATTATCAGACTTTAATGGGGCCATTATAACCATACCCCATGAGGTAAAGGTATTAAAATGAGTGAAGAGATAAAAATTCTTAGCAGAGAAATAGAAACTATAAAAAGGAACCAAACAAAATATTATAACTGAAACATATTATACATATATGTATTTTAAGATCACTGAATGAGTTTAATAGCAGAATAGAACCTATGGGACAAAAACAAACAAACAAAAAAATCAAAACTCTAACCTTTCTGTCATTGGAATACCTGAATAGGAAGAGTAAGAGATGGATACAGAAAAAATATTTTTTGAAATAATGGCTGGAAAGTTTCCAAACTTAATGGAGAAAAATCCATACATATTCAGGTTCAAGAGGTTTGGTAAAGCCCAAAGAAGATAAATTTTTAAAAAACCCATGCCCAGACACAACCTAACAAAAATTCTGCAAGCCAAAAACAAAGAGAAATTGTTAAAGTAGTCAGAAAAATGATACATGTTACCTAAGAACAAACAACAGTTCAAATAACTGTGAATATTTCATCAGAAACCATAGATGCTAGAAGAAACACTGGGACATCTTTTCTGAAAGAAATAATTGTCAACCCAGAATTGTTTATTTAACAAAAATATCCTTCAGAAATGAAAACAAAAGAAAGGTATTCTTAGATGAAGGAAAACTAAGAGGATTCTTTTTAAAAAAATTTTATAGAAACCATGTTGAAAGCATTTGTGATAGGCATTTAATCCATTTATTAAATAGACATGTAAGACATAACAACTATGAAAATTATGTTTATAAAACAGAATGTAATTTGATATGGGCATAATAAAGTAAAAATAATAATGTAACAAAAATTTTGTAAGAATTTGAAGAAACATTGAAGGAAATGCCAATTTTCTCATTATAGCAGAGAAATAAGAAATAGATATCAACATTAAAATGTGTGGTTTAAAAAATACAATATCTCAATCTGTGATTTTTTTTTTTCTTTTTTTTTTGAGATGGAGTCTTGCTCTGTCACCCAGGCTGGAGTGCAGTGATCTCGGCTCACCGCAAGCTCCACCTCCCGGGCTCATGCCATTCTCCTCCCTCAGCCTCCCAAGTAGCTGGGACTACAGGCGCCCACCGCCACGCCTGGCTAATTTTTTGTATTTTTAGTAAAGACGGGGTTTCACCACGTTAGCCGGGATGGTCTCGATCTCCTGACCTCGTGATCCGCCCACCTCGGCTTCCCAAAGTTTTTTTTAATAGACCTAATTTTTTTAAGAGCAGATTTAGATTTACAGAAAAATTAAGCATAAAGTACAGAAAGTTACCATCTACCCCTCACCCCCACACATGCACAACCTCCCCAACTCTTGACATCCCCTGCCAGAGGGATACATTATTAAAACTGATGAGTCTACTTTAACACATCTGTATCAGTCCATTCTCACTCTGCTGTAAAGAAATGCCTGAGACTGGGTAATTTATAAAGAAAGGAGGTTTAATTGGTTCATGCTTCTGTAGACTGTACAAGAAGCATAGTGGCTTCTGCTCCTGGGGAGACCTCAGGAAGCTTTTATTCATGGCGGAAGGAAAAGCAGGAGCAAGTGTCTTCACATGGCTGGAGCAGGAGGAAGAGAGAGAAGAGGGAGGTGCTGCACACTTTTAAACAACCAGATCTCACGGTAACTCACTCACTCACATGTCACAAGAACAGCATTGAGGGTGATGCTAAAGCATTCATGAAGGATCCACCCCCAGGATCCAGTCGCCTCCCACCAGGCTCCACCTCCAATACTGGGGATTAAAATTCAACATGAGATTTGGGTGGGGACACAGATCCAAACTGCACCAACGTCATTATCATCCGAAGTTCATAGTTTACATTAGGGTGTATTCTCGGTGCTGTACATTCTACAGATTTTGACAAATGTATAATGATGTATTCATCATTGTAGTTCAATCTGTTAATTCTTAGTATCATTTTTTAAACTCTAGAGACATGTTTTAGAAACTAAATATTTCTCATGTGGGATATTATTCAGGATTAGTGGGGATAAGTTGCAGTAATCTACAACTTCAAAATCTCAGTTCCTGAATACAGCAAGGTTTTATGTTTTTATCTTATAAAGTCTGCTATAGGTCTCAGCATCTGCATCCATTAGATTTCATCATCATGTAGCTGCATTTTCTGGATTATGCAGCTTCTCTGATGAATATAGTAGGGGAAAAGATTGTTAGAGAAACATATATGACAATTTAATCCTTTGGCCTGGAAGTCACATTATCACTTCCACCCCTGTGTTAGTCTGTTCTTGTGTTGCTATAAAGGAGTACCTGAGGCTGGGTAATTTGTAAAGGAAAGAGGTTTAATTGGCTCACAGTTCTGCAAGCTATACAAGCATGGCATCAACATTTGCTTGGCTTTTGGGGGGACCTCAGGGAGCTTTTACTTATAGCAGAGGGCCAAGTAGGAGCAGACATGTCACATGGTCAGAGCAGGAGCAACAAGGTTAAAGGCGGTGGTTTGCAACGCTTTTAAACAACCCGATCTCGTTATTGTGACTAAGAGAATTCTTAACCAGAAGAAATGCCCTGAAAGAAAAGTTAAAGGGAGTTCTTCTTGATGATGGGAATCAATACCAGAAGAAAACTTGGAATAAAGAAAGAGCAACAGAAATGTTAGATATCTGGGTAAATATAATACACTATTTTTCGTCTCTTAAGTTCTTTAAAATACATGATTATAAAATATAACATTGTCTGGGAGGGTTCAATGTATGTACATAGGACAACTATAATATCAAGGATTGTAAGGCTTCTATGTTTTATTTTTATTTACAGGTACAAATTAACTCTAAGTAGACTGTAAAAAGTTAGGTATGTATATTATAATCCCTAGGTCAATCACTAAAAAATAATAGAAAGAGATATAAGCAAAAAGCCAATAGATAAATTAAAATGAAATACTAAAATATATTAAAATAATCTGAAGGAAGGCAGCACAAAGGCAACACAGAAACAAATGAACAAAAGAGGTTAAAACCAGAAAAAAAAGATAAAATGGTAGACCTAAATCCAACTACATCACTTATTACATTAAATGTAAAAGGTCTAAACATAGACCTTAAAAGATAGAGATTGTCAGATTCTGATAATGCTGTCTATAAAAAACCTACATATCTATATAACTGACACTCTAAAAATTTTCCAGAGTGTATATTTTTCAGTTCTTTGCCATTAAACAAAAGTCTAGTTCTTAAAAGGTCATGTTAAGTATGATTTTCTTAATGGGATTACCCTCCTTCTCTAGATGCTCCCAAACGATCCCTAGATCAAATGAACACATCAAAGAATTCAGTATCTAGATTATATCCTGTTCTCATATCTCCTCACCTGCCAGCAGGATTATATTTGCTACACTGCTGTCAACCTATATTGAAGACCATTGTGAGAAACAATCCCTCACAACTCATCTTTATACATTTCACAAGTTTCCTGAGTTTTTATTTATTGTATCACACAGTCTCTTCCCAGAGAGAAATTATTTGAACCTACCCTTTTGAAGGGTAGAAATCTTTGAACCTTCCCTTAGTAAGATTCTTATTTTCTCATTGGCATCAGTGGTTGTGTAACTCTTCAGATTTCCCACTTTCTGTTGGCTGCTAGAAAGCTCCAAGCATCTCCCTGTAATGTTAATAAGCATTCCTACAATAAAAGGCCCTATGATCAAATAAATGTGCAAAACACAGGGCTAAAGAAAGTTAGGTTGATTTCTTTATTCTGTGATCTCATTTAACCTCACAACCACCTTGGAGGTTGGTGCCATTATTATGCCAGTTTTATAGATGATGAGGAAACTGAGTCTTCAGAGAAGTTTAGACCACTTGCTCAAGATTATACAGTAGTGGTGTCAGGACTGGAACATAGGCTGCTTGGATCCAGAGTCGGCTGTCTTGAAACTGTAGTCAAATCTTGTATGTAAAGTGCCTGACACAGAAAAAAAAATGCTTATCCTTATAGTATGGGCAGCTAAAGTGCTTACCTCAAGCCTGGCTTCACAAAAGGAGGAAGGGATCTGTAGGGTCAATTAGGTGGGACCCAGCACAAGGTCCCAGGGAAACCAGCCACCTCTATGTCAACTTTTCTACCCTTTTGCCTGGGAATGCTCCTGCTGGTGTTCAGATGTCCAAAGCGTCTCCTGATACCCCACAAACTTCATCCCGATACTCCTACTGATATTCTGACATTCGCCGGACTTCCCCTAAGTCCCATATTTCTCTCTTGGAGGCCTATCTTCTGTGGACCAATGTGACAGGGCTGGTATGGGGTTTGATGAACTTTAAACTCAGCATGGAGGTAACTGCTTATTGATCAGCCGTGTATCCATGGAAGTGGAGGAGGTAGAAACAGATAGAGGGATTTTCCCCTAAATTTCCTGAATAATGGGTCCTAATTCTTCACTATTACAGAATTAGACATTTATACTCTTTTCATGCATTAAGATGGGTGGAATATACATCCCCATTCCTTGACTTTGAGCTTGGCCATGAAACTTGCATTGGCCATGGGATATCAGTGAATCTCACAAGAAAAGGAGCTTGAAATGGAGATTGAACTGGAACCCCCACGACATCCATTGAACTCATGAGTTGTAATCATTGCCTAGAAGCTGCCTTCTTAATGGGGTCCCAGAACAAATATTGTCAGACTTGCAGCCTGAAGCAAAGCTGCTTGGCTGTATTCGTTTTCTATTGCTGCATCACAAAGTACCACAAACTCTATGGATTAACTCAACATTCATTTTATTTTCTCACAGTTTCTGCAAGTCAAAGTCTGAGTGCAGAAGAGCTAGGCATTCTGCTGAGGATCTGACCAGGTTGAAATTGGGGGCTGGCAGGGGCTATGATCTCATCTGAAGGCCTGTGTGGGGAAGAATTTGTTCCCAAGCTCATTTGGGCTTTTGGAAGAATTCAATTTCTAGTGGGTGTAAGACTGAGGTCTCCATTTTATTGCTGGCTGCTCGACAAGGGTCACTCTCAGCTCTTAGAAGATGCCTTAACATCCTAGCCATGTAGCCAGCTTACTTCTCAAAGCCAGCAGGAGGATCTCATTGCAGTCTGCTGTGATGAAGTCTTATGTAACGTAACATAATCATGAGAGTGACTGACTATTCCATCACCTTTGCCAGGTAACATAACCCTGTGAAGGTAGTGACTAGTCCATTATATTCACAGATCCTGTTCATGCTAAAGGGGTGGGAACTAAATAGAGTGTGTACACCAAGGGCCAGGAATCTTAGGGGACATCTTAATGTTGTGCCTATCACACCATCCATGCCTAGATTAACCCAACCATAGTCAACCCACAAACCTGTGAATGTGAGAATTAATGCTTGTTGTTTTAAGCCACTGAGTTTTGAGGTGGTTTGTTATGCAACATTATTGTGACATAGCTGACTGTTAAATTTCCTTTCAATAAGCACTGTCCTTCTAGTTTAACCAGTGTCATAGCTCCACTTTGGGGAAGCAGCCTGGTATGATGGACAAGGCATTTGAGATCAGGCAGATCTGGGTTTGAATCCCTACTTCTCCAATTTCTAGTTGGGGGAGGCTTGATCCAGTTACTTCACTGTCTGGGTCCATGTCCTCATTTGTCTGATGGGACTCACAATGCCTATCTTGCAGGATATTGGGAGGGTTAACTAAAACTATGGACGTGGAGTACCTGGTACGTAATATTAGTGTTTCTCTCTTAAGCTCTTAGTTCTAGCCAACAGGCCCAAGAGAATGAATGTGGTGTGAATTCTGGGAGGGGTCACTCCACTGCTAATACCTGAGGGTTTCCTGGCAGGTGTCTCATTGCCAGATGAGAAGGTGACCCCCGGGGCTCCCTGACCTGGGGTAGCCCCTCTGGTGTGAGCCCCCTAGCAGAAGGCAGCCCCACCTGTTTTCTATGGGGTAGAGACCCCAGGGATTCACCCTCACACAAGACCCCTGCTCCATCTCCCCAGTGCTTTGATATTAAAAATCAGACATGAACATGGAGAGCTCAGTCTCCACCACTGACCAGTGGTGTGAGCTTGAGCCAAGACTTTAAATTTCTGACCATTGATTTCCTTCCTGTACATCAAAAGGTTAAATTCCCACCTCACAAGGCTGTTTTTACACTGATGATACACAAAAAGCTGCTGCCTGGAGCCAATTAGGAGCTCAATTAAATGGCATTCCCCTTCCCTCAGAGCAGGGGCCATCTATGTCTCCTGTTCTTTTTAATGAAGCTCCCTGCCCCACCCTCCCTCCAGGGCCCACCTTGGAGAGGAGCACAGAGCAGGTGCTTCAGGAAGGTGTTTGCTTCTCCTCTTGATCCTCATAAAAACCCTCTGGGCAGCGAGTGCAATCCCGCTTCCCACTTCCCAGGCAAGTGGTAGATTACACCTCCCTGCTCCCTTTGAAGTGCAGTGTGGCCATGTGACTTGCTCTGGCCAATGGCATGTGAGCAGATGTGTCCTGTTTTGAGTGGAAGCTTTAAAAGCCAGTGGCTGATCCACCTGCTCTGTCTTTCCTTAGGTAACTGAGGCCAGCACGCTCGAGAGGATGCCTGTCTCCATCAGGCTGACTAGGATGAGTAGTGGTCATGAATATGGATGAGAAGAAAGCAAACCTCTGGTGTTTTAAGCCACCAACATTTGGGGTTGTTGGTTACTGTATTCTATGCTGACACAGTGGGACAGACTTTACTTCCATCTGAAAGACGAGACAGCGGAGGGGAAGTGACTTGCCTATGGTCACACAGAGAGTACTAAGGGGTGGGGCTTTACCTAAGGAAGCACTTTTTAAGGTGACTGGAGCTCTGAACTAAGGTGCTAAGAGCTAAGGTGACTGGAGCTCTGAACACCAGCCCCACTTGCTGCCTTCAGGAAATGGGTCCCCACTCCTCACTGCAGCTGTTTACACTGCAGCTGTTTCCTACTCAGCAGTAGGAAAATGATCTCTGTTCAGAGTAAGTCAGTGGCAGCCTAGGGAGGGGAATGGTGGAGCTCTGGAATCTGTACTGTCAGGAGGACCAGATATTCTAGATTCAGCCACACAGCATGTGCAATTGCTTTCGGTCTCCCTGTCCTGTGTGTCCCTCCCACCTCAGAGGCTTCATTTATCTAAGGAGCTCCTTTCCCTAACTAGCAAATTTTGTCCAAGGAAAGGCTGTGAAACTCATTCATCATAAGGCGTGCAGATCAATGAAACCAGGAAGAGAGACTGCTTTGTTACACAGCATTACTGTGGCAGTAGCTGACTGATACACTTGTCTATCCAATATCCATCTCCTCTTTTCTTTTATATACAGGAACCTGATTTTATTCTGGGCAGTCATGTGCCTGGGTAGAAAACTACATTCCTCAGCTTTCCTTGGGATGCACACAAAGGTCTTTGGGGGCAGGGGGTGCTTCTAGCAAAGCTCCTCAAGTTGGGGGTCTCAAAGGGCAGGCTATGTTGTGGAGCTCCTTGGCCTCATGCACTCAGCACCTCATGTCTTGTGTTGCTTTCCCAGCACTTGTGATGGACACCTCCAAGTGATGCAGGCACTCTCTGAGCTGCCTGCATGACAACAAACCTTTGGCTTAGGTTATCATCACGGTGACCTGGAAGATCCTTAGGTGTCAGCAAGCCTGTTTTTTTAAAATATATGAAAATAGGGTCCAAGAAGGGAAGAAAATTGTCTGAGGACCCATAGTGAGTTAGCTGCAGAGCTGACTCTCCCCCACATCTTCCTGACTTACCTGAAGGATAGATTGGTTGCAGATGGGTAGGTGGGGGACAGATGTGAGACAGGACATGGCTGGGAGCACTAGCTCTGATATACGCTTTCTGGATTCCATAGGGGACTGGCACAGAGCTTATCACACTCCAGGGACTCTGTGAAGAGGAAGATACTGGGGCAACTTCTGATTGGTTTCAGACCCTAGGAAGATCCAAGGGTTTCCCTCCAGATCTTGCCCTGGGGAATTTGGCTGGATTAACTGGACACAGGTCGACAGGAGCACCTTATCAATTCTTCATGTACAATTTCAACCAACAACTCTCTCACCCCACTGCATTCCTGGTTCAGAAGACAATCCAAGGAAACCAGAGCCCTGGAATGACTTGGATACCCAGGTTTTAGGGCCAGGGGAACATATGTGGAGTGGACATTGCTGGTCCCTGCCCAGGTCCCTTTTCCTGGGCCAGTGCACCTGTCCCCTAACTGATGTGCTTGTTGTTGCTAAGGGCTCATAGCTGTGCTTTCTCTGCAGGAGTGCCTGCAGCCCACAAAAGCCACTTTAGAGATGCTTGGGCAGATAGTTTACATATCACTTACATATCACCCACCCACCCACATCAATGGGACAGCCAGCAGTCAATGACTGACTGACACAGTACCAAAAGCCAGCCCCCAGCCTCAAGGTGGGACTACTCTGGTACTACAATCCACACTCCAGAGCTCCTTGTAGCATCAGGTTCAAGCTGGACTCCAGGTAAAACCACCTCTTTGCTCACCTTCTTTACTTGTCCTATCTTGCTTCCTTCATTCCCTTACAGCTTTCTCTGGAGATCTCTCCATCAATAATTCAAAAAGAGAAAAAGAGCCAGGCATACTGGTAGTCCCAATGACTCAGGATGCTGACGGGAAGATCACTTGAGCCCAGGAGTTCAAGGCTTCGGTGTGCTATGATCACACCTGTGAATAGCCTTGCACTCCAGCCTGGGCAACATAGCAAGACCCCATCTCTAAAAAGAACAAAGCCAGAAATTTGCCCGAGAATCCCCATATGCTTCCAAGCAATATGTAAGTTTCTGAGCTCTCTTCTACCTCCCAAATCCTATGTAATGGGAGACAGCCACTGAGGGTTCTAAGATTAGCAGCAGGAAAAGTTTGCTCTGGTGAAGAGAACTAAAGTTTCACCTTATTCTTTGACACTGTGCTGTTTCTATGAGCTCAGAGCGAGGCTTAAAGTAACAACATCCATTGAACAAATATTGATTAGGCATTCACTAGAAACCTCGCAGCTGCTTGGCACTAGAGGACCCAGTGGGGAGCAAGAGAAACACAGTTTCTACGCTGATCCTCTAAATTAGGTCCAAAGGCTTCTTGGACACCCCTCAGAGTCCCTTTTGGAGCAGCTGCATAATGACAATCAATTGAGTACACGAAACCTTCAAAATGCTTTTAATTTCTTTTAATGTATAACAGTTACGCCTGAGTTACAGAGGAAGCGCTTACAAGCAGCAGGTAGTTAAAGCAAATACCAGTTTCTCTTTCTAGTCTACTACTCCATATAGCTGAATAAATTATGGTGTGATTATATTTAAACACACACCTCACGCCCACACGCCCACGCACACACCCCACTCACACCCTCACGTACACCCACTCACTTCCGCATGGGGGAAAGTGGCTGTGAGTCAAACACAGAAGCAACAAAGTTGCAGTTACTAGGAAGAAGGAATGATCTAGAGTACTATGTAAATATTTCCCAGGTCAGGGAATTGGCCACGTCAGAGCTGACTTGAAGAAGCATCAAATACACAGAAGTCTCAGAGCGTTTCAAGTTGGCGGCTAGAGAACCCCCATTTGGTCTTGGTTTTGGTGCCTCTGCAGGAGGGGAGGAGAGAAGACCTGTGTACCCCCAAAAAGTGTCCAATAGTGCGAGACACATTCGGGAGCTTGATGAGAAGAACATCAGCCTGAGAGAGGTCCCAGAGAACATCTTTTTAGTTGGGTGATGGAGTGTCACTGAGGCCCAGGATCCAAAATCTTGGATGCTTCACCAACTCCATCTTGAAACACTGGATTCTGGCAGTGGTCAAACTCTGGGACCCGTCCTGTTCTCAAGCCAGAGTCAGATTTCAATCTGGCTCTTCGTTTTCCTTCTGGGCAAACCTCTCTCTCCATTCTTCTTTTCTTCTCTCTTATCCCCCTAGTTCTCTGTTTGCTCTGCCCTTTGATGTTCCTCTGGCAAAAGAACAACAAAGCTAAATCAAGTATAAAATGGAAGTATAAAAGCATAGCTTGGTTCTTACACATCACTTCTTTTTTTCTTTATATAGCAAGAGAGAAATACCAAATGAAAAAAATAAAGGAACAAGATTGAAAGAACCCACTAGAGCCTGGAATGCATAATTTGAAACACACAATATGAAGATATATCCCTACAGATGGTCTCTGGCACTAGCACGACACACACTGTGGGGGATTTCTTTCCTTTTTTAGTATATATATATATTTATAAAAAGTCAGCTTTCTATAAACGAACAGCACATCACCACGTTTCCAACTATTGTACAATGAACTCAGAAGAGAGCCCTCCTTAGAGAGGACCAACGGCGACTTGTGATAAGTTGGAGGAAGCAGCTCTTATTTTGCTACAGACTCTATTTACAGGGATGGATGGGGGTTGTTTCTGGGACGGCCTGGCCACTGGAACCCAGACCTTCTTTCTCAGGCTGTGGTCAGCCCCAAAGAGATGGAGGCCTTGTGTCTCTCATTCAACATCACCTCTCTGGTGATGTTTCGAGTTGCCAACACAAGGCTGAATTTTATAACCCAAGTTGGCCAGATGCGTTAATATACGGGTTTTAGAGAGAACCTATCAGGGTCAAGGGCCTCTTTCTGAAGGGGGTGGGGCCTGTCAAGGAATAAGTCCCATTTTCTACCAAGATGATGGCTTGGGAGAACTTATGTTCAACGTCATGAGAAATCATTTGGTTTATTCCCAAGCAGGTCTTTGTTCCATTTCACCATCGGGACCAGATATCTGGGATTGGTCCTAGCATTGGAATGTCGCCTCCTGGGGATGGGGCTGGGTGGTTTTGATATCAGCTGCCTGAGATCCCTGCTCCTGAGTCACAGAGGGTGTCAGGATACTCAGATACTTTCTGAGCCAGGCCTCCAGATGGAAGGATTGGCCATTCAAGGAATGTGGATGACGAGTGTTTGGTCTTCAGGAAGAGTTGCTTTCTGCTGTGATAGCTACAAAAGCAGGGACTGGGTTACCAAGGGACAACAGAGTCTTCTTTTTTGTCCCGAGCTTGAAGAGCCAAAGGTCTCTGGCAGTGGACGCTCCAGTTGCAACCTTGGTTGATCTTGATGGATCACATGTGTCTGCTGCTACCAAAGAGTCTGTTTGTCCCCAGTTATTCATAGGTTTCTCTAAACCAGAGATATGAGCCAGCCTGGTCATGGTCCAGAACAGGCTTGATATCGCCAAGTCTGAAGATGAGAAACAGGTAAGCATTTGTCACAGAGGTGATGTCCATGCAGGTGAGTGTCCTAGAATCTTGCCAACCCAGCTTCCCAGGAGGGAGGAACTCAGGTTGACTCCCAGAGCAGCAGCCCTTTCCCTCTAGGAATGTCTTGTTGACTGAGGGCAAGAGGCATGGATTGAGCAAAGAGGTGGCCTCATGAACCCAGATGGGGACAAACAGTTTGGTCCAATGTTTGTGAATTCAGTGCTGTGTCTCCCATCCCAAGTGCTTTGTACTCAGCAGCACCTGATAAAGGTGATGGAATGTAGATTACAGTGACAGTGATGGTAAAGATGAATATGATTTTGATAAATAGGTAAAGGTGGTAAAAAGTTCCCAGGGAGGAGGAATTGAGGGTTTGAATCATCCTCCCAAGGTCCCAGCTCTTAAAAGCATGGAACTTCAGGAGGCCACTGGTGTGGTCAAGGAAGGTGCCTCTTCCCTCTGCTCTGGAATTGTTGACATCTTCCTCTGCCCAGGGCTGGTAGCTTGAAAACTGGTCACATCTGCCTCAGCTCAGCTGTGCCGGATCAGGAGGCAGGGACCTCTTGGCCAAGATGGAGGCAACATTGAAAGATGCCACTCTGAGCAGGACAGCAATTTGCCCCTAACAACATGCCAGGGGGGATCATCTTGTCTGTGGGGCAAACCATCCCTGCCCAGTCTACAACCCTCCTCCAAAGCTCTGAGGGTAGCTCTCTGCATCCCCACAAACTGAAAGGGGTTTGGGGAAGATGGAGACCTCTTCCTAGAGGATGGGGCATGGTAAGGATGGGCTCGGGCCTCTGCGGAAGGCTTTGGGCAAAATCTCAACTCCCTGGGGTGTGGACTTGCAGGCAGAGAGCTGAAGCCTTGGGCAACAAAGGCTTGCCCTCCCACAAACAGAGGGATCTGGTTATGAAAGTGCCTTCTGAGCCCACTTCCTGCTCCTCCACTCATGTATCCTCAAGACTTTATCCCCTCCCCATCTCATCTGATTCAGCTAATGAAGGAAACTGAAAAGTTCTGTGGGCTCCCCAGGCCCCAGATGGAGTGGACATGCTGGGAACTTGGGCTTCAGGATAAGAGCCCTCTGCTTCCAGAAGCCTGAGTTGGGTCCTTGTATCCTGGGCGGGCCCACGGCTGACAAGCCCCACCCCCATGTGCCCCTACCCTCTGGTTAAGCCTCTTCCTGGTCTCCCCAGTCTCCCTGCCTGTGCTAGATTTCCCCATGCACCCAGTAGAGGTGTCTGGGGAGGGTTCTGAAGTCCTTCAAATTCCTGGGTGGGGGTGAGACTGCCCCCCTGCTGACTCCCCTGGGAAGACCCCAGGGCCAGGGTCCCCTCTTTGCTGGAGTCCCAATGTCTAGAGGAGGAAAGGGCTGTGGTTCTGACACTGAGCCAGAGACCCTCCTTGCAGGGCTGGCTCCCAGTACATCCAGCTGAGAGCAGCCCTGAAAGCTTCACCTCCACTTCTAGCTAGGGCCCCCACTGGAGTTGGGTCCAAAGGGCTGTAGGACCTCCTCTCAGGCACCATCCTCCTCTGGACACCCAAGGTGTTCAAGGTGGGCCCCAATCTCCATGCCTGAGATGGCACAGAGGCCACCATGGGATTTGACAGGGGAGGACCTCAGGCTGACCAGAAACCCTCCTTGGGGAAAGTGGGGAGCAGACTCCAAGGGCATCACTCTGGATCCCTAACCACAGGTGAGTGACAAGCTGGCTGTCTACCTCCAGGGGGCTGGTGATGAGAAGCAGGTGGGCTCCTTTCCTGGCCTCCTAGGACAACAGGGGGGTGAGGCGGCAAGGCTGGGAAGCTCAGGGGTCAGTTAGGGTTGGGCTGGGAATTGGGCTGGGGCAAGTCGCCCCAGGGGCCCTAGTAGGCCTGGCCAGTTTCCACAGGCAGGAGTCCCAGCACAGCAGAGTGCTCCCCGAGCTTCATGCGACGCTGGGTGGAGAGGCTCACATTTTTGGCCAGATAATCAACAGCAGCTGGAAAAAAGAAGAGACTCTCCTAGAAATTGAGGTTCTTTTTGTTTATTCTTCCATTCACTCTATCTACACCCATCCATCCATCCATCCATCCATCCATCCATCCATCCATCCATCCATCCATTTATCCATCCATCCATCCATCCATCCATCCGTCCTGTCTACTCATCCATTCTTTCATCCATCCATCATCCTTCCATCCTTCTATCCACTCATCTTCTCATCCATCCAGCCATATCCATGCATCCATGCCTCCATCCACCCATCCATTCTGTCCATCTATCCATCCATTCATTCATTTATCCATTCTCTGTCCATCCATCCATCCATTTATCCATCCATCCATCCATCCATCCATCCATCCATCCATCCATCCATCCATCCTTCCATCTATCCATCTCTTCATGAAGCTCTTTCTCTCACCTCCTCTCCAATCATTCAGCAAATATGTTTAATGCATTTTGTGCCCAGCTCCCTGGTAAGTTCCTAGGGAGGCACAGAAGATTACCCACATTGCTGAGCAAAGAATTAACCACCCCTCAACAAGCCCACTACATATACCTGCTATGGAGAAGGCCCTGTGAATCCCTGAGTGCAGGTAATGATGAGGGCAAGGTCTCTCTGCCTTCTCTATCTGTGCCCAGCTTACAGATAAGGCAAAGCAAGACCTTTGCTGCGAGGCCAAAGTGGCTGTGGGTGAGCTGAGGGATCCATGCAGAAGGAGCCAGGACACAGATACGCAGGGAGCTGAGACCTACAGCTCTGTCCATCTGGTCCCCCAGAGGAGACAGATGAGTGTCTGAGGGTGTGTGTGCCTGAGAGTGGTGCATACTTGTGTGTGTGAACAACTGAAACAAGAATCTCCTTGAATTAGACTGCACATGAATGTCCACAGAAGAGCAACATTTGCACACACACATGCACATATGTGTGTGAGTTGTGTGCACCTTTGTGAATAGATGAACCTTGGGAATGCCAGTGCATGTGCAGGCACTGTGTACAGGTGAGTTCCAACTCAGCCAGGTACCTGCCTCTATATTTGTGTATGTGCAGGGATGACCCTTGACCTGCATGTACAAGTGTTCTGTCTTGACTGTACTAATTCTGCCTTTCTGAGGCTACAAAAGAAATCAGCCCTGACCAAATGATTTGGCTGGGGTGTGGCCAAGGCCTCCAGAAGCACAGAGATGCTGCCTCCCAAGCTGGGATCTGTGGCTGTGGCCAGTCCAAACCCCTGGGATTTGTAGGATCCAGAAGCAAGAGGAAGATGGAAAGAACACTGTGTTAAGAATTGCAAGGCCTGGTTCAACACTTGTTCTGTCACCTGACCACAGGGGACGCTGTAGCACTCTACATGCTTCCCCAAGGTTGGAGGTTCCTGCCCAGGGCAGGTGGGTGGAGCCAAAAGGTGATACGCACGGCCTGAGGATGAGGCCAGGGAGGCCAAGTGGACAGTGCCAATCGTTGAGCCACGGGAGGCTGTATTGCCTAGTGGTTCAAATGACGGAGGTTCAAATCCTGCACATGCCAACTTTTAACGTGTGCTCTGGGGCATCCCACCTCATCTATTCAAACCTCAGTTTCCTTGTCTGTAAAATGGGGATCGTAACAGCAGCTATCTGAGGAGCTGTTATGAAGGTTAAAGAAGAAATACGTACAAAGTGGCTAGCTAGTACTATGCCTGGCACAATGTGAGCTTGAGAGATGTTGGTTTGGAAGCAGCAGAAGACTAGGATTGGGATTTAGTAAGTAAACATGGCCTTTGATGGGGGCAGGAGGGGATGAAGCAGCAGATGAGGTGGCTGCAGTCCCAGTTACCTCCTGCTCATGTGGCCCTGGGCACATCACTTGACCTCTCTAGACCTGCTTCCTTGTCTGCAGAATGGGGGAAATAAAGTCCAGCCTCCTCCAGGGCTGCTGCTATCAGGATGAAGTGAGACACTGTTCTTTAAGATGGTGGTTACAGAGCATGAAGGGGCTTGGCCCTCGACAGTCCCAAGGGATGTGCAAATGCCCTGGAATCTCTCTGGAGTGTCTGAACCCTGTGCCCCTCTGCTTACCAGGCTCCAGGGTGGGTGATGAGAGGAAAGTTAAGTCTGCCTAGGGTCTGAGCTGAGCCCCCAGGGACTGCCAGCCTTCCTCTGAAGTCACTTGGCCTCCAGGCTCCCAGTTGGTAGAGCAGAGTTGGTGGCAGTCAGCCTGGCCCTGCCTTGGGTCTGCCCCTTACTCTGTGTGAGGGTAGGGCCATTCCCATCTCTGGCCTTGGGGGGACTCTGTAGCCCTGGCCACACCAACTCTGCTACTGGAAGCCTGCCTTACCCGGGCTCCAGTGTCCATCCCATTAAGAAGCCTCATTCTGCCCGAGCACGGTGGCTCATGCCTGTAATCCCAGCACTTTGGGAGGCCAAGGTGGGTGGATCACGAGGTCAGGAGATTGAGACCATCCTGGCTAACACCGTGAAACCCTGTCTCTACTAAAAATACAAAAATTAGCCGGACGTGGTGGCGCATGCCAGTAGTCCCAGCTACTCGGGATGCTGAGGCAGGAGAATGTCATGAACCTGGGAGGCGGAGCTTGCAGTGAGCCAAGATCGCACCACTGCACTCCAGCCTGGGCAACAGAGCAAGACTCCGTCTCAAAAAAAAAAAAAAAAAAAAAAAAAAAGAAGCCTCATTCTTAGAGGGACAGTCGGAATAGAAAGAGGAGAAGCCAGGGTTTACAGAGAGCTTGTTCTATCCTAGTCCTGTTCTAAGCATTTTGTGCTCATTTTCCATTTAATTCTTACAACAACTCTATGAGGCTGGTAGTGGTGGTATCCGCATCTTACAGATGATGGAACTGAGGCTCTGAGAGACTGCACCACTTCAAAGATCACACAGTTCATAAATTGTGGAGCCAGGATTCAAACCCAGGCAGTCTGAGCCTGGATCCCAGCCACCCCTGCAGGCTCCTAGAGAATAACCCTTTGTACATGCAAAACACTAGAGGGCACGAGGTGCTCTGCACCCCAAATTCTGCATTGATCCCATGTTCTGCTCCAGGCAATGTAAGCGATCTGTCCAAGGGCACACCGCTAAAGCAGGTGACACTTTCCCGGAGTCACAGCAGCCGCTGCCTCCCCTCCTTACTTCACACCATGCCAGCCTCTCACACCAACCTCTTCAGCTATTCCTGTGGATGGGCTGAGAGCTCTGTCTTTTTAAACAATTGATACATAATATTTGCACATATTTTTGGGGGTACCTCTGATGTTTTGCTACGTGCATAGAATGTGTAATGATCAAGTAAGGCTGTTTAGGGCATCCATCACCTTCAGGATTTATCTTATCTTTTCTTTCTTTCTTTCTTTTTTTTTTTCTTTTTGAGACGGAGTCTCACTCTGTCTCCCAGGCTGTAGTGCAACAGTGCAATCTTGGCTCATTGCAGCCTCCGCCTCCCGAGTTCAAGCAATTCTCCTGCCTCAGTCTCCCAAGTAGCTGGGATTACAGGTGCCCACCAATACACCTGGCTAATTTTTGTATTTTTTAGTAGAGATGGGGTTTCACCATGTTGGCCAGGCTGGTCTCAAACTCCCGACCTCAGGTGATCTGCCCACTTTGGCCTCCCAAAGTGCTGGGATGACAGGTGTGAGCCACCATGCCTGGCCCAGTATTTATCATTTCTATGTGTTTCAAATCCTCTCTTCTAGCTATTTTGAAATATACAATACATTGTTGTTAGCTGTAGTCACCCTATTCTGTTATCAAACACTAGAGCTTATTCCTTCTATCTAACTGTATGTTTGCACCCATTAACCAACCTCTCTTCATCTCCCTCCCTGCTTCCCTGCCTCTAGTAACCATCATTTGACTCTCTACCTCCATGAGATCAACCTTCTTAGCTCCCATATATGAGAACATGTGATGTTTGTCTCTCTGTGCCTGGCTTATGTTACTTAACAAAATGACCTGCAGTTCCATCCATGTTGCTGCAGATGACAGGATTTTATTCTTTTTTATGGCTGAATAGTATTCCACTGGGTAGATACACTATATGTTCTTTATCCATTCATCTGTTGATGGATACTTAGGTTGATTCTACGTCTTGGCTATTGTGAATGGTTTTGCAATAAACATGGGAGTGCAGGCATCCCTTTGATACACTGATTCCTATCCTTTTGATAAATATGGTAGTTCTAGTTTTCACTGGCTTTGAATAATAATCAGAACAACAAGGCGAGCACCCTCATGTATGGACCACCTACTGTGTGCTGGCAGGCATGACCACATCTATTTCTTTCAACTGCCCCATGCTTTAGGTATCAGCGTTCTCCTTCTATAAATGAGGAAACTGAGGTACGGAGAGGTCGCTGGCCCAGAGTCACATGCAGTGCGTGACATGGAGGAGGAGTCTGCATTGGTCCTGCTTGTGCCTCTGGCCACTCTGCGTGCCTTATCCTTGTCAGCCTCTCCCAGCGACCAGCCCATGGGCCCAGCACACAGTAGGAGCTTGCCAGGCCCTGTCTAGGTAGCCAAGGAAACACCAGGAAGCCAAACTTTCCTGATGACCCTGCCAACTTCAAGGGCACCCAACAGGCTGCACAGCCTGCCTCTCCCAGGGGTGGAGCCGAGGGGCCGGCGAGGGCAGGGTTGTGACATCTCTTATTATGGCCTCCGTCAACGGCCCTCCCTGTCCCTCTGTCTCTCCGCATCTCCCCTCTTCTGCCTCGCGCCCGTGGCTGGGCTCTAAATGTCTCAAATTAGATTAATTGGGAGTTGGCAGGAGATGTGGTGGTGATGCCAACCGGTAAACAATCTCAGCCGTCAGCGCCTCGTCAGCCCGCAGCCCCAGAGGAGGACCCTTCTAGACACAAATTCTTATTAGACTTGTCAGATCTATTAAAATTCTTTTCACACTTCAGCGTTCTATCAGCCCCATTATTAGTACAGCCCTGGCCTCTGGGAACACCAGGGCCGTATTAATCTGCCATGTGCCCCATCCCTGGGCCCCTGCCCCCACTCCCCTAGAGACGAGGAAAGACGGACAGGTGGATGGACAATGGCCAGAGCAGGAAAAGGAGTGAAGGTGTCCCTGGCAAGATGAGAAGCCCACGGAGAAGAGGAGGAGTACTCTGGGGCCTAAGAGTTTGGCCCATGTGTAGGCTTGTTCCATGCACACCTGAAGGTGGCTCTCCAGGAACCAGGCTGCAGGTGTGGCTGTGTACACATCAGTATGGGCTGCCGGGTGACCTTGCATAAACAGCCTCTCTGGGATCCCATTTCCTCATCTGTCCAATGGGAATAACCACGTGTACTGCATAGGGTGGCATAAGGATGAAATGCTAGACCCATAGTAGATGCTCAATAAATGGTCGTTCCTCCTTCCTTTACACATGCACATTTTGTATATTTATATCTTAAAGCTGTGTACACACATTAGTGAACACTCACATATAAACCCCTCTCTCTGCGTGTGTGTCTATCCATATGCACATGCATGTGAAGCTGTGGACATGAATCCACGCATGGGTGGGCTCAGGTGTGTATCGCTGCTCAGTGGCCTCCACAAATCTGTGGTTTGAAGTTAGAAGACTTTGGGTCCACCATTGCCATGCTGTGGGATTTTGGAAAAGCTACCTCGCCTCTCTGAGCCTCGTTTTTGCACCTGCAACCTGGGGACAAATAACTTAGAGAATGACATGAATGAGGAGCATGCATTTTGCCCAGTGCCCTGTGGGATGAACTTGGGCAGAGGGCAGGTGTTAAGGGAGGACAGATGGACCTGGGCATAGGCGGGCACAGTCCAGGACATGGGACTCTTGCACACACACTGGGGCATCCCAGCCACAGATGGATTAAGTTGCCCAGGGATGTGGGGCAAGTGGTTAGCGGGAACATGATGTGTCTCAGGGCCTCCAAAATGCCAAAGGAGAGGGAGGTGGTGCAATGGAAACACTTTGAGACGGCTAAGTCTAATTCGTGGCCTCCATTTCACAGATGGGAAGACTGAGGCTCAGAGAGGCAAGTGTGTGGCTGCCTGCACTAATTGGGGGCAGAGGAGGGGGCTTTTCCTCCAGCCCTTCCCTCCCAGCTTGGGCCCAGAGTCTCTGTGGGGTGAGTTGGGGTCTGTGCTGGGCTCCCTTTGGGGAGGGCTGGAGAATGTGGCCAAGAGGAGCTCTGAGCTATTCCTGGAGAAGCCAGGGCAGCAGGGGTGGAGCTGGAAGGGGAGTGACAGGAGGAGAAGGGAGTGGAAAGAGAGGATGGAAAAGAGAAGAATGGAGTAGGGGGTGGTGGGGGAGGAGGAAGCTGCTCTGGCTGGCTTTGTCCAAGCAAGAGGAGAACAAACCCTCCTTTCTCGCCTCCTAGGCCCCTTCCCTTTTGATCCCCTCCCCTGCTGCCCCCATGCTGACTTTGGGGTTAATTTTATTTCCGAATTGAGCAGGCGCCCCTGGAGCAGGGCACCGAGCTTGGGTGTGACTAACGCCTGCCCCAGGCCGGGGCTGCCGCTGCCGCTGGGGTCACTCTAAAATATTTATCAAGAGCATGTGTGTCCTGCTGCATGCCCAGGAACACGGGCTGGGTCAGGAGGTCACCCTGGGACCCTCTGGAAATTCTCCCATGCACATGCGTGCACCCTGCTCTCAAATATACATGCAGACCCCCACGTACACATTCACACACACACACACACAGTTATACACACAGACACAGTGTATGTCTACACCCAGATGTACATCCATACACATGTACACACAGCCACACCTATGACATACTCAAACATACACTCATACACTCACCCCTATTTACACACTGCACACAGAATATGTGTCCACACACAGGTACTTCCAAACACACAATCACAGACACACTCAAGCATGTGTGCATGCCTCAATGCATGGCTATACACATGTACATACAGTCACATGTTTGCACACTCATATACATCTATACACACGCATACATATTCATTATACCTATCTACATATTGACATATGCATACCTATGCCAAACATGGAGGCACACATAAAGACACGCTCAACCATATGTACAGACTTGAATGCACATTTAAACATGTTTAAGCAGATACATATACTTACATATATGTGTGCACATGTGTGTTCACACACACAGATGTGCACATCATGTATGCACAATATGCTCATTTATGTGCACGCATGTGAAGTCATATACACATATGCTCACATGTGCCCACTGACACATACATGTATTCGCGCATATGCAAAGATGCATGCAATAACACATGGGTGCTGAAATAGAAGCATCACATGCACACACACACAAGAATTGTAACATGTCCCAACATACGTACTCACAAACACCCATACACACATGTGTACATACACATATGCAAACATGTACATGCACAGGAAGGGTTGTGAACACAGCTGGGAGGTGGAGGCCGACATAGCTGGCCCTCATTTGGCAGTGGCCCTCATTTGGCAGTGGAGGCCAACGACACGTGAAGAGGAGTGGGTTTGGGGGGGTGGGCAGGAAGCAGAGGTCAGAAAGGCTGGCCCAGGGCTGGGCTGGGGGAGAGGACACCCTCAGGGATGGGGGCCTCACCCTCTTGCCACACGCCCTTCTGATTAGTTTGACACCAGCAGGTGAGGCCTTTGCAGGGCGGTGGGGCAGGAAAGTGACCCATGACCTCTGGCTCCCTGTCCCATCTGGACCTGCCCTGCTGCTGGCCTTGCCAGGCGGTGGAGGCTGTGTCCAGGCCTGCGTTTTCCAGCCTTTGGTGTGAGGATCCACGGTCCCTGCCTCAAGGCAAGGCACAAAGGGGATAGCAGCTGGGATGGGTGCATGAGACCATTGCAGAGTTTGGAGTGGAGGAGAGAGTTGGAAACACAGCTTTCCCATGCCCTGCGGCAGAAGGGGCAGGGTCTCCCACTGAGCTGTCCAGCACAGTGGCCACCAGCAGCACATGGCTGCTGAGCACTTGAAATGTGGCTAGTGCGACTGGGAAACAGAATTTCAAATGCCGATTTCACTTGAACTAATTTAAAGTCAAAAACCAATCTTCAATTGGGTTATTTAGTAGTTGGAAAACTTACAATTTGGAACACTTTGGGTTTGTAAGTATATTTTCTCAGTTGCAAACTATATGAAATTTAAATACAGATCAAGTATTTCTGTTGAAAACTCAGTGTCCGAATTAAAATGGGCTGTAAGTGTAAAACACACACATGATGTCAAAGACATAGCATAAAGAAGAGAATGTAAAATATCTCAATAATTATATATGAATTGCATTTTGAAATGATAATCTTTTGGATGTACTGGGTTAAATAAAATGTTAGTAAAAATAATTCCATTGTTTCTTCTCCTTGATTTTTTTTTTTTTTTTTTGAGACAGAGTCTTGCTCTGTCACACAGGCTGGAGTACAGTGGCGTGATCTCGGCTCACTGCAACCTCCGCTTCCCGGGTTCAAGTGATTCTTGTGCCTCACCTACTTGAGTAGCTGGGATTACAGGTGTGCGCCACCATGCCTGGCTAATTTTTGTATTTTTAGTAGAGACAGAGTTTCACCATGTTGACCAGGCTGGTCTTGAACTCCTGGGCTCAAGTGATTCGTTTGCCTCAGCCTTCCAAAGTGCTGGGATTACAGGCATGAGCCACCACGCCTGGCCTGTTTCTTCTTATGTTTTAAAATGTGGCCACTAGAAATGTTAAGTGATATTTGTGTTGTGTATTTTATTTCTGTTGGAGCCATAGTACGGAAGCAGAGGCTTAGCCAGGAGATGTCCTGGGTTTTGCCCAACTCAGTGTCATTTTAGGTGAACTGTTCCATCTGGCTGGACTTCAATTTTTCCATCTGTGAAATGGACATTCCCCACCCTGACACCACCTTGTAGCTCTCCATAAACAAGCAGGAGGCCCTGGGGGTGGGAGAAGGAATGGGGACGGGGGACGCCCAGGGCACCAGGCACTCACTCTGGCCGTACTGGCCGTACTGATAGCCGGCCACGGGGTCCACGCTGTAGCCGGTGGTGCTGTAGGTGGGTGGGCAGTAGGCCTGGGAGGTGGGCAGGCTGTCTCCTGGCTTGATGGAGTCGGCCCGCTGGCTGCAGCTGGCTGAGATGGAGGTGGCCGAGTCCAGGCCGCCATGCAGCGGGGAGATGGAGAAGTCAGCCTGTGGCTGCGGGGGCACCGCACTGGGGTTGCCCAAGATGCTCATCACCTGTGGGGAAAAGGCCATTAGTGCCAGGCTCACCGGACAGACCCCAGAGACACGAGCACACTGGGCACAATGCCAGGCTGGCCCTGGAACACTCTTTGCCAGAGTTGTTCCCTTGAAGTCTCTGTAGCTTCGAGGTCCTCAGTTTACCTGATTTGCGTGCCCTCATGCATGGGATGGCTGCTGGTCTTCGGTGTTTCTCTTGAAGGAGGGTCCTGACCCAGGGATCCTCCTTCCACTGAGAACTCAGCAGGGCCTTACTCGCCTCTCTAGCTCCAGGGTCTGGCCCTAAGGGTCACTCTGGGCCTGTCTATTGAATGAATAAATGCATGAATGAATGCATGAATGAACGAACTGGCTAATGAGGCCTCTCCCATCAGTCAGGGAGTTCTCCAAGCTCAGAGAACTGTGCCTCCCCCATCAGACTGGGATGGCCCCATCTTCTAACACAAACATTACAGCAGGACTCTTGATCTGTCTGCTGTCACTGTGTGTGGCTTGCTCTGCCTGCCACTCCTCCGGACTCTGAGGTTCCTGCCCCTTCGACACTGAAGCCCACAGCCAATGCTTTCAAAGAGCCTCTCAGGCCCCTTCCTTTGATTCTACCAGCTCCTGAGGTCTGTGAGCATCCCCTCCTTCCCTGCCTGGCCAGGTTCCGCAAATAGGAACTCACTGTCAGTGCTGGCAACACAGACTACCAGGGGAGGCTTGTCTCTAGAAGCTCAGCTTAGGGGACCTGGATGGAGGTCCAGGTGTTCACTTACTGGGATGTTCACTTGTTTACTCCACAAACAGGCATGGATGGTGACTCTGGCCCCAGGCTGAGAGCTGAAGGCTCTGAGACTTCAGAGGAGAAAGAGCCATGGTCCCTGCCCTCGGTCGGGGGAGAGGAGGAGGAAGGGTCTGGGTCGGGTGAGGGAAGCTACTAGCAAAGATCATAGAGACATGGAGTAGTGATACAGGCATCTTATCTATCAAAGGACACAGAGGAGGGCACCCAGTCATCCTTGGCAGTCTGGGAAATCTAGGGGAGGTGGAACCTGCTGTCTAGCTCTCCAGGAAAGAGGACGGGGAGAAGCAGTGCTTTCCTGGGGTGGGACTGGGAGTGGTGCAGCAGGAGCTCCTGGAGAGTGGGAGGGCACAGTGTCCCAGTCAGTTCAGAGCAGAGCAGGGGAGAGGGCAGGAGAGAGAGGGCACAGTGTCCCAGTGAGTTCAGAGGAGGGCAGGGGAGAGGGTAGGAGGGAGAGGCAGGCCCTCGTGAACCTAACCTGCAGGGCCCAGGCCCCTGATGACCTCCTGGTGATGCCGCCCTTTATGGGAGGAAGACCCTGAGTATGAGGTGGGGACGGCTTTGCTGATAATCTGCCCAGCACCGAGACGGAGAACCACGTGGCAATCCCTGCTGGGCACACAGTTGAGTTCCCTGACTCCCCTTACAGGGTAAGAAAGCAGGCTGCGGGCATTCGAGCAGTGATCGTTTTGCCGACTAGACACCTTCTGAAGATTTTTACCTTTGCCTTTATTATTGGCTTGTGCCACAGGCATTGAGGCCTGGCCACAGTCGAGGGCACTGATGGATTCCTCGGGCTAGGGACAGACAGCGAGCTCCTCCGTTTACCAGCTGTGTAACCTCGGGAGTATCCCTGAGCAGTTAACTCATTTGACTCTCCCAACCCAAAAGCCCACAGAGATTTGTGGGGCAAAGCTAGGATGCCCATTTCCCAGATGAAAAACTGAGGCCCGCAAAGGGGCCGTGGCTTCCCTAGATCTCACAGCAGGCCCAGGGCTCAGTTCGCCTGACCCTGGCTCACCTGCAAAATGTCAAGTTCAACTCTCAAGAATGAATGAGGTTGAGGCATCTGATCACTTTAGAGGGTCTCACTCCAAGGACCAGCAGTAGTTTGTTTCCTGGGCAGCTAATGTGGGGTGAGTGGGGTGGGGTCCCTTGCTCTGGGGGAAGCTTAGGTCCTCTGGAATGTCTTGAGCAGAGCCTCTGCCTGGTTCTTTCCCCCATGCCCTCAGCCCTGGGGGTCTCCCCTCCTCCACCTTTTCCCTCTGTCACTCTCACCCCAGAACCAGAGCTCAGAGCTCAGACCAGCTGAGACCGTCAACTGGCTAGTCTTCATCTCCACACAGCTGGGGAGATTTGGGTGGGACATAGGGGTGTGTCAACCTCATCAAGATGGCAAAGACACACTGGAATGGGTTTGCAAGAAGGAGAGAGAAAGTCTGCCTGGGAGGCAGGAGGCTGGGCTGGGGAGGGTCTAGAGTCCTTTGGACACTAGCACTACTTTAGGGAGCTGAGGTCTCCCTAACTCGCTCTGTGTTGAATGTGCTTCTGAGATCTTTGTTGTGGTCGGGTCAACAGTAGGGTGCTGGGGTAGTGGTATGTGAGGGTGTCTGACACTGTGGGACTGTGTTTGTTGCTTTCTGTCTGTCAAGATGGGATCTCCTTAGCTTGAAGAATGTGCTAAGGGGCTTGGGGAGGAGAGCAAGGTCCCAGGGCAGACTCAGGAATCTGAGTCTACCCTGGGGTTCTCAGTCTAGACCTTTTCCCACCCATCTCCTTTCTCACCCAACACAAACACGGACCCTGCTCCCTGCTCAAAGGAGGCCTGGACTCCAAGAATAGACTTAGAGGCTCAGAAAAAACACTCAGGCTCCAGATCACTTCTTTCAGAAGGACAGTTGACGGGGGCTGGGAGACTACTGGGAGGGTTTGTCAGCTCCCGTGAGACTCCAGTTTGATCCTTCCCTCCTGCCCATCCCCAGGATGCCAAGCCCGGATGGGATGATGGGAGGGGAGGAGTCGGGGGATGGTTAGGAAGAGGACGAGGATGTTTTGAGACAGGCTGAGAGCTATGTGTAGTCCCACTACTCATCCTCTAAGACAGAGACCTGCACAGAACTGCTGCCCAATCTGACAGTATCACTCAAGAATTATGAATGGCTCCCCATTATCTCTCAGCAAAAGCTCCTAGTGACCAGACCTCTAGCTGCCTGTCCCAACTCCTTTCACCCCTTTCTACCCTGCACTTTACCTTCCAGCTATCCCAAACAATGTGGTATTTCTTGAAGATATCCTTCATTCATTCACGTATTCGTCCAACAAGCATTTCATAGGGTGCTACTATGTGCCAGTCTGGAGCTAGGGCTGGACTATGAGCTCTTTGAGAGCAGGATGGAACTGCATTTTGTCCGTCTCTGTAGTCCCAGTGCCTACGTGGTACTTGCTACATATTCTGAGCTCAGAAAACCTCTGCTGAATTCATGTGTATTCCTTTAACAAACATTTACTGAGCACCTATTATATGCCAGACACTAAGCCAGGCACTGGGGACACAGCCATGAAAAATGCCAATCCCATGTCCTCCTGGAGCTGTCGGCCTAAGGAACGAAGCTGACAATAAACAAGTGAACAAATAATATAATTTCTGATACTGATAAATGCTACGGAGGAAAAATAAGGGGCTATGTGGGGCAGTCAGGCAAGACCTCCCCAAAGATGTGATATCCAGCAAGACCAGAAAGAACAGCCCTGAGAAGACGAGGCAGGGGAGCTTTCCAGGCAGAGAAGTCAGCAAGTGCAAAGGCCCTGAGGTCCCTGGGGCTGAGGGGGCTGAATCACGAGATACACCCAGCAGGTTTAGGAAATAGCAAGAAGGTGAAGGCGGAGAGTAAAAATTCCAGGAGCTGCGAGGGCTTGTGCAGTCCTTTCTCAGAAGGGGCTTGGGTGGTGCCCGGTGGCTCAAGAGGCCTTGGACCCTGGGCTGTGAACTGACAGCTCAGAAACAGCTTGGGTCCAGGGAGCTTTTCCCGTAATGGGATTTGCTCAATGGGATTTGCCCTGGAACATCAAATCAAATCCACATCTGGGGAGGGTGTGAATGGAGGATGTGCTGCCACTGCTTACTCTCTCCCAGAGCCCCTGGGGGTCTGTGGATCAAAGGGCTTCCATTTCATCCAACCCCCTGTCTCCAGGCAGGGCAGCGTCTAAGCTAATGGGACAGGACCCAACTGGAGAGCGGCGGGAGGGGAGAACACTCACTGATGAAGACCACAAGGCCTGAGTCATATATTGGCCAGTTCATGGACTCCTCAAGCAGATGGGGTATCATTACTCCCATTATGCAGATGGGGAAATTGAGACACGAGGAAGCAAAAGGGCTCACCCACAACCACACAGCCGGTAAGTGGCAGAGCTGGGATTTGCACCCAGGTCTCCCGGGTCCCTAGCTGTGCTCTTTCCCTGCCACCAGCTGTGCTGGAGAGCACACAGGGAGAGGTTTGGCAACCTCACTGCACAGAGCCCTATGGGCCTAAATGCCCCTCGCTGGCCTCTGGCTTCCCGGGGACCTTTAGGGCTCCCTCTTGGCCTGCAGAAGCAGGAAGCATTGGCCCACAGTTAGGAATCCAGCTGAGGTCCGGAGCCTGCAAACTTTTCAACTTGAGGAAGTTCAGGTCTGATGCAGTAATCCACCCCTCTCAAGAATGCTAAGGCCTCTCCCCGGGTAGATTTTACTTTTTTCCTGGTGACCTTGCTTTCACTAATGTATTACTTCTTGGTAGGTTACCGTTACTAACTCAAAATCAATACCGACCTCCACATCTGTAAGGTTTTATCTGAAGGCAAATCTCAGGGCTGTCCGTCAGGCTGACAGACAGCCGTCCCTTCCTCTCCCTTCCTCCTCCATTTCCCCCCACCCGCCACGGCCCCTACCCCACCCCCAACCCCTTCCTCTCCCTCTACTCCAAATCAGTCCCAGCCTCGACCAGACTAAATCAATAAGAGGCCAGCCTCACCCTCCCTTCCGTCTGCTGGGGAGAGGCTTGCTGGTTTGGGGGTGGGGGCCCCCCTTCCACAGCCTCTGCTCACCGCCCCCTCCCCTGGGACATGCCGGCGCGCTCCCCTACTTTAAAAGAAGGGGATGGGAAAAATGTAATTAGTTCCCTCCGTTCCTGAGCTGGCCCCGAGGGCCTGGGACTGAGGAGGCTGAGCTGCGAGATCTGCACCCTCTGTGATAACTGAACGTGGCTTTGGGAGTGTGGCTGCAATTAGAAGGGGCAATCGCCATCATTGGGGCTCTGTGGCAGGGTTTGTGGTGGGTGGGTGGGGGCCGCAGCAGGGTGCAGAGGAAGAGGGAGGCACAGGGCCTAGAGACTGAAGGTCAGGATAGGGGTGGGGGTCAGGAATCAGGTCAAGGCTGCAGGGACCATCGGCAGGACACAGAGCCCCACCTCTACACTGCCTGAGAGGGACCCTGAGGCTCTAAGAGGGACAACAGTTTCCCCGAGGGCACTGGGCCTGGACCAGTCAGTGCTCAGAAGGGCTTTCCTGCAGCATAGGGGCCAGAATATCTGCCCTGACTAACTGCGACTCTGAGCAATTTCTTTAACCTTCTGTGCCTCGGTTTTCTCATCTATAAAATAGGTATGATGATAATTGTAGCTACCTAGAGAGTTATTGTAAGGATTAAGTGAGTAAATGTACACTGGATGTGCCATGCCTGGTGCATTGTTAGTTCCCAGTAAATATCAGCTGTCCCCCTCCCCTTCCTTTTTCACCTCCCCGACACCTCTTCTGCCTGGATTAGAAGGGAAGAGGCAGGTGGCTCAGGGACCTTGCCTGAGATGGAAATGAGCACTTGGAAGCAGACTCTGGGAACAGCTCTCAGTCAGGGGCTGTGCAGTTTTTCATCTTTTTCTCCCATGGGGGCCAACACCCAGTGGGTTCTTTCTGAATGAAGCATTGCTCTGCCCCCTTAGAACTGTTCTGTCCCCACGCAGAAGCTGGGGCCTGCACACTGGAAAGGGAGCAGGAGTGTGAGGCTTTGACAAGTTGCACCCCACTCTGGCCTGAGTGTGCTCCCCTATAGGAAGAAGGAACCATCAAAGTACAAATCCTTGGAGTCTCCCAGTCTCAGCTGAGCAAGGCCTGGAATCCACACAACTCCACAACACACACACTGCACAGGGCAGCCCACACCACACTCTGCAGGACACACAACTGAATCCAGGACGATGAGTCCATTGAAAATATCTCTGGTCCCAATCGCCAAATAGCCTTTCATCAGAGCCCCAGTTAACGGGCAGGATAGTTTTTCCCATTTGCACTCCCACTTTCCTAAACTCATCCAATACACTTACACATGCACACACTTGCATGTAAATACACCCAAATATGCACATGAAACTTGGGAGGCAACTTGGAGTTTGCTGCATGTTCACAGATGGGGAAACTGAGGCTGAAAGAGGGAGAGTGACTTGGCACCCCAGGGATTACTGCCACTCCCTCCTGCCCCCTGTCTTGGGTGTGGTTCCAAAAGGATCTGCTGGCTTGACACACAGAGCACTTTCATCTCCAAGCCTCAGGTCCACCTCCAGCCCTGGCTCACCGTTTTGACTTCCCCAAGAGGTGAGAAGAGGAGATATTTTCAGAGCCCTCTGTTCCCATTGTCAGAACACAGCTTGCCAGGAATAGAATGCTTTGTCTGAATTGCATGAAAGTGTCCCTATGGACCAAGAACTGTCCCCAGGCTGGGAGATGACCTGTGGCAGCCCAGCTCACAACTTGCCTTGGTTCCTAAGGGTCTGGGGTCTGGAATCCACCTCTGCCTCCAGGCAGATCCTGTCAGAGCAGGCTGAGGACTGGGCAAGAGAGATGGGCCTCTCCCCTGGGTCTGTCTGCTCCATCACTGGTTCTCCGTCTTGACTGTCCACTGGAATCACTTGGGGGTCTGGGGGTCAGGAGTTTTTTGTTTTTTTTTTTGAGACGGAGTTTCACTCTTGTTGCCCAGGCTGGAGTGCAATGGTGTGATCTCGGCTCACCGCAACCTCTGCCTCCCAGGTTCAAGCAATTCTCCTGGCTCAGCCTCCTGAGTAGCTGGGATTACAGGCATGCACCACCAAGCCCGGCTAATTTTTTTTTTTTTTTTTTAGTAGAATGGGGTTTCTCTATGTTGGTCACGCTGGTCTCGAACTCCTGACCTCAGGTGATCTGGCTGCCTTGGCCTCCCAAAGTGCTGGGACTACAGGCGTGAGCCACGACGCCCGGTCAGGTCAGGAGTTTTTAAAGCTCCCGGGTGATTCTAATGAGCAGCCAAGTTTGACGGCCACTAGTCTCAAGACATCACTGTGAATTGCTACACACGCGTAATACCATGACACATCCATACTCATACAGGCGAAGATATGGGATGCACACAAAAAACACCCAGACACCGATGCAGGAAGACACACACATTACAGACGCACCAACACACACCCAGACACCCGTGCAGGAAGACACACACATTACAGACACGCCAACACGAACAGACAGAGAACGACATCCATGAAAACCCGCAGGCACCCATCCCGCTGGCCACAGATCCACCGGCCTCCCCGATGTGCACACAAAGAGGTACACAGACCCTCACGCACCCACACACTGCCACCCCACAACTCCGCCTTCGTCAGCTCACTCACGCAAACCTGTGCGCCCTTCACCCTCCTCCAGCCCCCAGGGGACACCCAGACACACGCATGCCCCTACTGGCGGCTGCCTGTTCCCAGCCCCACACTGGGATTAGTGCAAGCCAGAAATTACCCACCCGGGCAGCTGCCCACCCTCACCCCCTCTTCCTCTCAATACTCCACTAAGAGGATCTGGACCCTCCCCCTCCTTTCCCCCTGTGGACAGCGGTAATAGGCTTCGGGTGCTGACTTGGAGCTTCCAAACAAGATTTCCTGCAGGTCTCCCTGTCCCCCACTTCAGTTTCCATCTCTGCTTATGGCCTCCACACCCAACCCCCTCCACTACCAGCATCCCACACCGAAGCCCTGCACCTGCCGTGTGGGCAAGAAGGTTCCCTTCCCTCTCCCGACCCAGCCCCCTGACTCCTGGTTCCCTCTCATTTGTCACCCTCGAAGCCCTCCATGAACGCTTTTCTAAGCCTGGCTGATGGCATTCTCTTGCACAAGCACAGCACTTTACAGTTTGTGAAGTATTTCCCTTTAAGCCTCATCATGACTCTAGGAAGTACTGTGACCCCATTTTTCAGATGAGAAAACTGAGGCTTAGCGGCTCACCCAGAATCACCTGGGGGATGAGTGACAGGACTGGGGCAAGGACCCTTGACTCTCGACTTCTGGTCTGATGCTAGAAGGTGATCGCCTTGTGCCTGGCTGTGGCCTTCATTTACCATAGGTGGCTCAGGGTCATTTATTACCTGAGTGTTAACTCTGTGTGTGTGTGTGTGTGTGTGTGTGTGTGTGTGTGTGTATGAGAGAGAGAGAGAGAGAGGATGAGAGAGTGTGTGCATGTGTGAATACTGTGTGTGCATGTGTGAGTACTGTGTGTTCATGCAACTTGTGCACATGGAAGTACTGTGTGTGTGTGTTGTATGCATGCTTCTAAGTCCTTGTGTGATGTGTGAGCATTGTGTCTTTGTATGTGCCTGTGTGTTATATGTGCATGGGAGTATTGTATGTGCATGTGTAGAATCTGTGTGTGCATGTGCAAGTATTTGTGTGTATATGTGTGAATTTTTTATGTGTTTCTGTGAGTATTGTGTGTGCATAAGTATTGCATGTGCATGCAGTATCTACTACTGTGTGTGCATGGTGTGTGTGCATGTGAGCACTGCACATGTATAGGGCACAGATCCTGTGTGCCCCAACCCAGAGTACAGGCTGAAGCTCGGGGACCTTGGAAGCTCAGAGGATACGTGGTGAACACCGGGTCATTGACTGCCATCTCTGACCAGGGTGGGGGCTAGCCACCCACAACCCTGGTGGGGTCTCTTCTCCTCCCACGTGCAGCTTGATATACAGACTTGGAAAGACTCATGAGGCCGGCTCTGTCTGAGTGAAGAGGAAAGCAGAGGGGATAATTTGTGAAACTGCAGCAGAAGACATCCAGCTGAGACTTTGGTAAGAACCTTCTGGTGTGTGAGGGAGAGACCCTGGGAGGTGCAGCCAAAAGAGGCTGTGAGGTCCCTGTGTTCAAGCCTTACCCCGTGGAAACTTTCAGTCCCACTAAGGCCCAACCCTCTGCCTGGGAACAGACTGAGCCTCACCCTGTTTGTTGTTTTCTTGTGGCCATGACGTGCCTGGATTTGGCCATGACGTGCCTGGATTTGGCCAGGAGCTGCCTGGGGACAGACTTGGCGTCTTATTCCCAGTGCCTGGGACACAGAAGGCACCCAATAAACATTTGCTAAGTGAGGAATTCATGAATGAAGAAATGAATTTATCTTTTTATCCTGAGCACAGGATCTAGCACAGAGTTGGTTGGAGGAAAAGAATAAATTGAGGGGACATATTGCAAACATCCTCCAACCCAATGGGTTTCTAAGTGCCCCCTCCCCATTCCAGGGGTCCTTGGAGGCTTTTAGTTAAGGACTGTCTAGAGGTGAGGTGGGGGTGGAGGGAGGAACAGAATGGCTTTCCACTCATTGTCCAAGAAGTCAAAGACACACACACACACACACACACACACACACACACTCACACTCTTCCAATGTCTGTTTTATAAGATGTCTAGAGGTGAGGTGGGGGCGGAGGGAGGAACAGAATGGCATTCCACTTATTGTCCAAGAAGTCAAAGACACACACACACACAAACACACGCACACACACGCGCGCACGCGCGCGCGCGCACACACACACACACTCTTCCAATGTCTGTTTTACAAGATGTCAATCTCCAAATTTCTGGAAACATCTAGAAATATCTGGAAACACCAGATGGAGGCTTTGCCCCTCATCCCAGGGCAGATCCTTGGGTTGGCCTGAGTCTGAAGGTGCCCACGCCAGGATGGGTCCAAGGGCTCAGGGCCCCTGGTGGGTCCTGGTGCTAACGGTGTAGTGAGATTCTGAAACCATCTCTGATGGCTCGATAAATGGTGGACGAGGGATTAGAGTGACTCTGCTCGGAGCGGCGAGGCTCGGGGGGAAGGGGCCGATCGCTGGAAAAGATATGACTATTTAAAGATAATGATTGCATAAATTTAATTAGCACACTTTCACGCGGCAAATGGCCGTTTTGTAATTAATGTATCTGGCCTTACTAAGCATGAAAGATCCCATCTCCTCCCCCTCCCTTCCCTGCTCCCCCTCTTCTGCGGCCCTAATGAAAGACAGAGAGCAAGTGACAGAAACAGTTTGTCAGCGGCTCCAGGTGTCAGGGGCCTAATTGGCCGAGCTGAGGGGAGGAGGGGCAGGCGGGAGGAAGGAGAGGGGAGGGAGGAGGGCCTCCTTGACTCTGGTCCCCCGCCCAGGTTGGAAAAGGAGGACGTCTGGGCTCTCAGGCCCCCCTGGCCTGGCGGTGTTGGTGGGGCGGGGGGGGGGCGTCTCCACCTCTGTAATTGGTGGAGACGAGGATGCAGATTGGCTCTGGCAGGGACTGAGCGGTGGCAGGGAGGCCTTGTTAGTACCTGGGCAGACAAGCTGGCACATATCACAACGTGTTAAGGACTCAGGGCCGTGATAGCTCAGGCCCGGCTTGCCCCCTCCCAGGAACAAAATCCCTTCAGTGGAATGAATTAATAAACAAGCCTCAGTTTCCCCATTTGTAAAATGGCCCCTGGTTATAGAGAAGCTCACATGGGCAAAGGATCATAGCCTTAAGCACCTACTATGTGCCCATCACCTACTTTGTGCAGGCGGACTGCCAGCCCCTCCTCCCCACAGCAGGTCGAAGACATGCATTTTCACTTCTCTGAAATGAGGATGTGTATTGCCTTCGTCAGTGCCTTGCTGTGGCTATGTGGCTGCGTAGCTGTGTGGAAAGCTTTTGTTCCCATCTTCTGATAGGATCAAGGGAGGGCCAGGATCAGATGTCTTAGATTCAATGAAATATGAAATATAATGAAAAATGCCTGTTCCATTTTCAAGATCAGGAAACGGAGGCTCTAGAAAGCTAAATAATTTGCCCCAGTCTCCACAATTAGTAAGCACTGGGGGTTGGATTTGAACTCAAAAGTTGTAAATAGAGTCGGTTCTGTTTCTAGCATCCACCCAGGGGCCTTGCTGCAGGGCCAGCTCAGCACCTCTTCCTACCTCCATAGTACCATCCTCTGCAGGATGACTAAGGTGTTTGACTGGCTTCATAGGACAGTCTGTTAGTTAGGTGGGTGCACCTGTCAATTGCAGTGCTGTCCCTCGAAGTTACGGATTGGTTTTCTGGGTGACCTGGTAATGGAGCAGACAGAGAGGGTTTGAGCTACCATGCCCGCAGTGTGCCTTGGCTGTGTTGGGGCTCTGCTGATGGTGGCTGTGTACATCTCACCTCTCTGACCATGACCCTCCACTGCCTTCACCAGCTGCCTCTGCAGCCTGCTGCCAGCCTTAGCCACTGGCCTGTGCCCCAGTGAGCTTGGCCCTGCCCAGTTTTCTCTGTGGAAGACAGAGCAGGGAGGCCTTGAGCCAGCCTCGACTGGTGGAGTGGGGCCCAGCCAGCCCTCTCCCGGACCAAATTCAATTTCGAAGCTTAATGAGTTTGCAGAGGAGCCGGGTGAGCCCGCTGACGCCACTCCTTGCCGGCTGGGTGGTTCCCGGCCGGCCCACCGAGCACGCAGCGGCCTGAGCCGGGAGAACCCTGGGCCCCATTGAGAGTGGCGGGGGCACTGAGCGAGTGAAAAATGTCAGAGCAAATTGCTCTTGACAGCGTTAATATCTGCACCTCATAGCAATAATTACATGTAAATAAATAGCAAAATCACACTCAGCTGGAGGCAGCTTGGGGAGGACAGACGCTGCTAAAGACCAGCTGGGGACCGGAATGCTCTGCTCCACTCTTTTCTTTCCTTCTTAGAGTCTCTGCTCCCTCTCTCCCCCTCAGCCAGGCTCTTGCTGCAACACAGAGCAAGGACCTCAAGATCCTGGCTATGCATATTAAAAATGGAAGGGAAAAAGAAAGCATTTGGGTCCCCCCGCCATGGGTGCAATGAAACCTCCCAGCCTTTCTCTCTTCTCTCCCTGTGCATCTTATTCCACCTCCAGGTCTCTGCAGAGAGATGTCTCTGAAATCCACATCTTTGCCCCAACCTCTGTCCTGGACACGTTTGTGGCTATCTCCTGGTCTTGACCTACAAAGAGCTAGCTCTGACCCAGGTCCTCCTCCTGCATTCCCTGTTTCTGTCTACGATACCTCACCTTCTTGGTCACTCAGACTTCAGACATCCCAATCATCTTCGATTTCCCTCTCAGTGCCCATATTCGGCTGTCCTTCATGTGCCATGGAAAGCCACAAGCTAAACATGGCGCAACTTCCTGGAGAGGAGTCAACTTGACACGATGCCAACTTATTCCATTATTATGACCCAACATATATGGCTCCGTAGTGGCAAAGAATGCATCTCAAAGAGAATACATTAAACTCTATATTACACCCCACCCCCAGGGCCTCGGGGGGAACATACTCAACTATTATCCCGGGTGTTTGAAGAGAAGCTTGAGAAGCTTGAGAAGCCCTGTGAGCAGCAGATGGCCATTCCTTAGAGAGCATCAAGGCTAAGGAAGCAGCTGGAAGCATTCTAGGGTTTCCAACCAGATTCGCCTCTTGCTGCCACATTTGGGGGCCCATTAATTTGTTGTCTTGGTTTTGTCCAACTGGACTATGAAGTCTGCAAGAGCAGAAACAATGTCTTATTGGTGCCTGAATGTGCAGTTCTTAGCAAAAGGCCCTTGGAGGGGTTTGAGGGATGAGGAAAGGAGACAAATAAAGGAGGTGAAGGGTAGGAAGGAAAGGAAAGGTGGATGCAGACAGAAGATGGAGAGGAAAAAGCTGCAACCCAAGGAGGTGACACAACTCAAAATGAGCCCCGGTATACCTATTTACCCAGGTCTGATTTGGAGTTTCACTCTCCCCTCACGAGATGGACCCAGGAGCTCTTTCTCCAGAGATCCAGCCTCCCTCCTGCTCCCTGCTGGCACTGTAGAAAGTTCCCACGAGTTAGGGCTTCTGGGGCCCTGGGAGAAGGAACAGAGACAGCCCTTCCAGCTATGTCGACGCCCTGCCGCCTCACCCACACAGGGCAGGGAACGCAGGCTCCATTCTTTACAAAACAAATATCTTCTCCGGAGCAGCCCCCCGCGTCCCACACCTTCTTGTTTAGCTCAAAGACTAATCCACTTATCGAGGATAAAGCGCCTGTGAATCCCCATTTGATAAAGGCAGCTACGAAATTAGCAAAAACATGCCCACGGCATTGACGTACCAAACAAACAAGAGGCTGGGGACGGTGGTGGAGAGATGTTGTCTCGTTTCAGTCCCCAGGCCCTAAGAGATGCGGGAGGAGATAGTAGCTTTCTCGCTGGCGATGCAGGCTGGAAAGGCGATGCCTCGGGTTATATGGGGAAGGGGTTGGGCAAATGGAGTCCCCGCCTTATCCTATACTGCATGCACCCCAACTCCAACCTGGGCCCCCCGCTCTGATTACGACCCCACTCCATGACCCTGGTGCTGACCACACTTCCAAGGTCAGCCACCCATAATCCTAAGCTAATATTTCTGTAATGCTGTCTCCATCTCAGGTAGTATTCTAAGCATTTCAGTGAGTTAACCCATTTACTCCTCACAACAGCCCTGGGAAGCAGGTCTAACCCTGTGTCATCCACATTTGATAGATGAGCAAATGGAGGCACAGAGAGGTCAAGTGACTTGCCCAAGATCACACAGCTGGTAACCATTGCCACCAACTTAGATAATACTCTCCAATTTAACACGACCAATTCTAACTCCAACCTTGATCCCCATCTCTGACAGCAGTCCCCCAAACCATGCAATGTCCCTAGTTATGACTCTCTTTGAAGTAACCATGGTCTGCTTCTCTGCCACTCTGCACAGGGCCTTCAAGTTGCTGAAGCCTGTGTGTTTCCAGACATGGTCCGACAACTGCCAGCTTCTCCTCCCCGCATCACTGACGGAGCAGAAATGGTTCTTTTTATCCCCACATCCACCACCATGAGTGGCTCTGGTATCAAGAGTGTGTGGGGCTCCCCAGAGGCCCCCAGCAGCCTCTCTGCTTTGCCCCAGGGAGCTCCGGGCTTTCTGCTGGCACAGCCTCCTGAGCACAGCAGCAGGACTATTGCCACCTTCAGAGAGCCAGGGAAACTGAGGCTTAAAGGGAAACTCAGTCACGGCCATGTGGCTTATCTGAGAGTGTCTTTGAGGAGGGGTCTGCTCTCTGCTCCTGGTGGCTGGAGGGGGTCGAGGGAGAGGGAGGAACCAGGAAGGGATTCGGGAAGCTCAGTCCCTGCGCTGCACACCCACCGCCACCTCTGGCTTGGGGAGGAGGGGCTGGTCCCAGGCCTTGGGGGTGGGGACATTAATCACAGGGTAGCACCTGTCAGGGTGGCATCTGGAACTAAAGGAAAACACTTGGCAAAAGGGCAGGACTTCTCACCCTGGGCTCTGAGCGCTCTGGGACCCACCACCGCTGCACTGGGAGGCCAGGGCATCTGGGGTTCAGGCCCGGGCAGCCCCCTGTGCATGGGAAAAGGTCCTCGCCACAGACACCTGGACTGGGAGTGGGAGAAGAGGCTGGAGGGAGTGTGGAGAGAAGCTGGCTCTGGCAGGTCACTAGGCTGGGAGAGAAAGGGACCTGCCTGCTGCTGCTGCTCCCGTGGACCAACATGGGGGAGCAGGTGGTGGGCCTGGAATTCAAATTCGGGTTCCTCTGATGGCAGAGCTGTCTGTGTCCCTCTCCTCCGAGCCCTCAAGCCCTCTCTCTGCACCTTCGTCCCTCCAGCTCTGGGTCCCCCCTCCATCATCCCTGGCCTTCTTGATTTATCTCTCTCCCTGTGTCTCTTCCTCTCCTGGCCCCACCCTTGTATATGCCCCTGCCTCCGCATTGCTCTGCCCTAGGTTTTCTTGCTCCTGTTTCTGTCTCTTGGTCTCTGGGTGTCTCTCTACCTCTCTCTCTCTCTCTCTCCCCCCAGTCTCCACCACTCTCCATCCCTCCTTTTCCTTGATGCTTCAGTGGGTCCATCCACACCCACCTCCCTTCTTTCCATGGGTCCGTCTGCGCCCACCTCCCCTCTCTCCATGGGTCCATCCACACACACCTCCCTTCTCTCCATCAGCACCTCATACCCCAGCTCTCTCTGGGTCTGTCTGTCTGTCTCTCTGACCACTTCCTTGCCCACTGCATACCTCCCTGCTAGATTCACCTGCCAAATCAGCCCAGGAGCTTGATGTGCCCAGGGTTGAGCTGTCATGCCAGGGTGCCAGGCCCATACCCTGGTCTAGCTGGGTGTTGGCTGAGTACAGAAACGCAGCCACCTCCCTTGCTCTCCTGCCTCTTCCTCTGGGCCTCGGAAGGATTTGGGGTTCCCTCCCAGGCCCCTTCCTTTCTCTGTCCTCTGCTGTTCAGGGTGTTTACTTTGAGTCATCGCAGGGAGCTTATGGAGCATCTGAGAGCTGGGAGGAGGGGACGGCATGAGAGGTCATCCTCTAGTGCTTCTCAAACATCCGCAGGCACGCAGAGCCTTGGAGGGACCTCGTTAAAGTGCAGAACAGACTTGGAGTAGCAAGGATCTGCTCCAGACCCTGCCTGTTCTGGCAGCCCAGCTTGGAGGAGAGAATTTAGTATCTGGATAAACCAAGGGTTTTGGTTCCAACATTGTGCCTTGCTGCTGACCACGGGGCTCACCTCTCCGAGTCTGCAAAATGGGTACAATGATTCCAAGCCCTTAGGGCTCAGGGAGGGCCAAATACTAATAGGAGTAGAGGTGCCTTTGCCAACTGCCAAACCAATGTGGTGTGGCATGACTGCTACTATGATCAGTAACCATGCTGGGATACCAACTTCACTTCTTTGGGGGTAAAAGCAGAATATGACCCAGTTGGGACAGCTGTTTCACCCCAGAGACCTAGACAAGGAGAATGAAGTTGGTTGGGGTTGGAGCCACAGTCCAGGGGGCTCAGGGAAGGATGCTATGGAGTTCCAGGGCCAGCAGAGGTCATTATCTATGCCCAAGAAGGGAAGGGAGCCCCTTGCCGGGGAGGCTCCGGAACTTCTGCCCCTGGGCAGTATGTCTCAATTTCAGCCTGGACATGTCCCCTTTGTGATAAGACACTTGCCAGGGCCCTCACGGGACCTTAATCCTTCGATGCCGCTGGTCAGAGACCCCTGGTCTGGTGAGAGGGTCACATTCATTTGGCCTCAGGCCAGTTCCACTGGCAGTCCTCAGGGCCTAGGGGCTGGGTTCCGAGAGCGCACACTGTCTCCTATTCCCCAAAGCCCCAGCCCTCACGCAGCAGGATGGAGGGACAGGAACAGGGCAGGGGCGGATCTCCCTCAAAAGCCCCACCCAGGTCTCCCGTCTCCTCATCCAGCACTCATTCGCCCACACGGGTTACCTCTTTTGTGGATGCTTGAAAAGATTTCCCAGGGCTCTGTGTCAAAGCAGAAGTCACCTAAGCCACTGGGAGCAGAAGCATGAATGACCCCACGTGCTGCAAATCAACCTCTTGCAATGATAAGGCCATTGCTGCACCCACTGTGCCCTCAAAAGCCCTGCTAACTCCTGAGTCTTTTTGGACAGTGAAAGTGTGCAGGAGCATTGTGAGTGTCTCTATTTGCAAAATGAGACAGCCAGTTAACTCTTTCTAGGTGCCTTCTAGCTCTGAGATTGCTGGGGAGGGGGATCTCAGTTCATTTCAAGCAGACACTCCCCCCAACCTGTTTTCTAAAGAAAAGAAGGGTCGGCTGGGTGCCGTGGCTCATGCCTGTAATCCCAGCACTTTGGGAGGCTGAGGCGGGAGGATCATGAGGTCAGGAGTTTGAGACCAGCCTGGCCAACATGGTGAAACCCTGTCTCTACTAAAAATGCAAAAATTAGCCAGCGTGGTGGTGCATGCCTGTAATCCCAGCTACTCGGGAGGCTGAGGCAGGAGAATTACTTGAACCTGGGAGGCGGAGGTTGCAGTGAGCTGAGATCGAGCCACTGAACTCCAGCCTGGCGACACAGCGAGACTCCCATCTCAAAAAAAAAAAAAGGAAGGGTCAAGGCGTGGATACCATTGGGGTGCACAGGGACCCCCAGGTGCACTGAGGTTAGGGAGGCCTTCAACAGATCCCCACGTTCCTCCACTTGGGGAGAGGTTTACAAGATGGAACCTCGCTAATCCATGCTTTGGATGTGCCAGGCCTGGGACCGGCTGCCTTGCACTGTACCTTTTTAAAAAACACAGATTTCCCCAGTCCCACCATGGACCTACTATAACAGGCTCTCAGGGTGGAGTCTGCAAATTGAGATTTTTGACAGGCTCAGGTTTGGGAACCACTGACTCTAGCTCAATCGCCCCACCCTGCAAAGACTCACCCTCCAATCCTTTTGGCAGGTATGGCCTGGATTCTGCTGGCACCCCGCTCTGAGCAGAGATGGCGCACTCCCTGCTTTCCAAAGTTACCCCTTCCATCCCTGGCCAGCTCTGAGTGAACTCAGTTCAGCTGAATTCTGCCTCCACAGGACGTGTGCCTCCTGCCATCATCCCAAACATGCTGGCTCTCCTGTCCCTGACACCCCCATGGAGGTTCAGGTGGGATCATGAGGGCTCCCTTTTGGCCTCACTTTATATAATCTCATCTCCTGTCCCTCTGGAATCTACACATTGTTGAACCATAGCTTGTTAAGGAGGGTGGTCAGACAGCAGAGTCGGGGCTCTAGGTGGTCTATCCAGCGAGTCAGGCCAGCTGGCCGTCAAGACGGTATTTCTCCCCCTAAGAGGGGGCTGCAGACCCTCCCTAGGCCTCCCTCCTCTCTGGAGGCTTCTGGCTCATGGTTTGTCACTTGCTTGTCTGTGGGTGGACTAACTGGAAGGTTCTTGAGGGCAGAGGCCAGGTTTAGCCCACCTGGCATCCTCTGTGCACAGAATGGGGCACAAAATAGACCCTCAGGAGAGCCCAGGGCATGTTTGCAGCTGTTTATTGGGCACCTACTTCGTGCCAGGCTTTGTGCTGGGGACACACGCCAAGAGCCTAGGGTCCTTGCATTAGAGGGAGAGAGCGGTATCCAAAAAGTTAGAAACCAGAGGCAAAGCTGCTACCCAGGGGAATACAAGGGGCATGGGAGGGGGCCTGGCCACCACAGCCAGGTCAGGGCAAACTTCTGGAGCAAACAACCTCTGAGCTGAGACCAGAGAGATGAGCAGAGCTGGCTAAGCGAGGAGAGGAGGGGCAAGAAGGTTCTAGGTGGAGGGAAGGGCAAGTGCATTGGTGGAGAAGGCCCTAATGAACTAATGAACGGGTGGGGAACGGGGCGCTCCCGAGGGAGCCTCTCTCTCCAGCAGGCAGCAAGGGTCTTGCTTACCGGCTGCCCGTCCCTTCGCCGCCTGCCCCGTCCCGAGACGGCCGAGGCCCCGCGACCAAGACTGGACGAGCGAGCGGCGGCTCCGCAGTCCGGGGGGCGGCCAGGCGCGCGGCTGCTCGGGATCCCAGGCCCGGGCAGCGGGAATTAAGCAGGCCGCCGAGCCCGAGGGCGTCCTTATCTCGGGGAGACAGTTGTTGGGAATCACTTTGACTGAGTGGTTTTGTCTCCCCGCATTTTCCACTGTCAGGCGGCCTCGGGCCATGGATCAAAGGCGCGGCGGCGACGGCGGCGGCGGCGGAGCGCGGGGAGGGGCGGCCGCGCGGATCCCCCCAGACCCGATCCCCGCTCCGGCCGCCGCCCCAACCCCCGCCCTGGACTTGGGTCCGCCCGGCCTCGGGAGCCCGCGCCCGGTCCCTGCCTCGGAGCCCACCAGCAGCGGAGGAATTCGGAAAGGGGACACGGGGGTGGGGGAGAGGGCAAGGGCAAGGGGGGCGCGCAGGGGCTGAAGATGGAGGGGGAAGAGGTGTTTGTTGGGTGCGGAATGAGAGAGGAGAGGAGAATGAGAGAGATTAGGGGGAAGAGAATGGGTAGAGGCGAGGCCAGCTATGGGAGGAGGCAGGCAAAGAGGGAAATGAGGGTTTGAGAGAATGGAGTGGGTGGAGAGAGGACCCAGGCTGGAGGTATTCTCAGGGTTATGACGCGATCAGGGAGACGGTGAGCAAGGGGGTGGTGGCACAGGGGGCGAAGGGAAATGGGGCGCGAAGGGAGAAAAGAGGAAGTGGGGAAAGGAAAGAAATAGGAAGCAGAGAGTGTGTGAAAAAAACAAAAAACAAAAAACAACAAACAGACGTGGATTTCCCATCAACTGAGCCCAAGAGAAAGTTCTGGGCTGTGGCAGGGGACAGGGAGGCACGAATGGCTGGAGGAGAAAGTGAAAGGCAGGCCTGGCTGGGCTGAGGGGTGGGGGAGGCTGTCCACCCTCTCAAGAAAGTGCAGGCCCTTATCACTCAGAAGGCGACAGAGCCACAGAGTGGGGGAGTGACAAGGCCGAGGTGCGCAGGAATTAGGGCGCACCCAGGCCCATCCTTCCAAAGGCCTCCAACAATGTCCTGGGGGACCCGACCCAGGTCTCTGATGTTCTCCAAAGCTCCAAGGGAGGAGCCTCCCCTGCCCTTAGCAGAACTCCCCTGGTGGCCAAGGACACCCGTCCCCACTGAAAAAGGTGTTGGAGAAGCGTGTTCACAGCCGGGGAAAGGGCCAGGAGAGAGAAGGGCCGGTGGGGAAGGTTAGGGAGCCCTGGGGCTGAGGTGGGAGCAGGGCAGGAACCTAGAGTGGGGGACAAGAAGGAGCGGGGGGAACAGGATGGAAAAGGCTGATGGAAAGAAGATGGGAAATGAGTGTGGAAGAGACAGCTGCAAAGGTGTTGAGGGAACATGAATTCTGCAACAGGAGGTCTGCATCCCGGCCCTGCGCTAACTCACTGTGACCTTGGCCCCTGGTGGCACCTGCTGGAGCCTCAGACCCCATCTGCAAACAGCTACCTCATATTATGCTAGCTGTTCTTCTTCATGCTTTGCATATATGAACACACTTCTCAGGCTAGCTCTATAAAATGGGCATGATTATTAGCCTCACCTTACAGAAGGGGAAACAGAGGCAGGGAAGAGCCTGTTTGGGGTCACACAGGTAGGAAGTGACAATGCTGGGGATTGAGCCCAAGCACTGGGATTCTAGCATGCATCTTGACCCCCCTGCTCTCCTGCCTTAAAGAGCAACTTACCCTGGACAAATTATTTAAACTGCTCCATGCCTCTGTCCCTATATCTGTAGGACAGAAATAATCATTCCAGCACTTCCTCCAAGGGGATGTTATAACGATTAAATGAGATAATTCATGTAGCTGACTTAGCACAGCATCTGGCTTGTGGTAAATGCTAAAACATTTTACTTATTACTATTTAATAATATTTGTGTAGCAATACAGACATACTGTATTACTTATATCAATATATACATTTAATGTACTGATAAAATGTGGTAACTGCACAGGGAAAGCACAGCTAACCCACCGTGTGGGGGGTGTCCTGAAGGAAAGCTTCATGGAAGGGAGCCAAGTCTTAAAAAAGAAGTACGGGTGGGCTTGAGATGACAATGGGGTGGTGGAGAAGGTGTTCCCGGCCAAGGGAGCAGCAGGTACAAAGGCTTGGAGGCAGAGGAGAGCACAAGTCTCCTTTGGGGACCCTCAAAGTCACCCCCCGTCTCTCCTACCTGCGATCTTGCCTGGCCTCCCAGGCCCGATTGCCCAACCATCCCAGCGGCCTTCCTCCTGCAGGGGACCCCAGGGACAGGCCTGAGAAACTCTAAGTCTGCCTGCTGTATTAATTCCTAATCTCCCTCATTTTCTTTCCTTCTGTCTGCTGTACTGTCTCGTCCCCAGTCCCTGTGCTAATCAGAAAGAAGGACAGATCCACTATTTGCATTCTTTCCCACCAAGCCATGCAGCTCTGGAAGGCTAAACCCGGGCCTGCTAGGCTTCTCAGGAGGCAGGAAGGAGGTGCGGATGTACAACTGAGAGGCGGGCCAGCCCTGCCCGCAGATCTGGAGGCTGTGACTCCCCTGGATGTACAAGTAACCCACAGAATCACTGATTCTGAATAGGAAGGCTCTCTGCTAGCAGTTGGTCCATCTCTTTCATTGCACAGATGGGGAAACTGAGGCCCACAGCAGTAAGGCCTCTATCAAGATCACATGGTGGTTTGGAGGCAGAGTCTAGAGGAAACTTGGATCTCCTGAGTTTCCAACCTTTGACCAGAAAGGAAATTGCCTGGGTAGAGAAACCTAGCAAGACTTCTGGAGTTCAATTTCTGTTCAGGGCGAGGAGAAGCAGAAAGAGGAACATTGTCTTAAGCTCTTACTAGATGCCGGGTGTGGAACTAAGGGTTTCACATGAACAATCGCATTTAATTCTCATAAGCCTGCAAGGTGAGTGGCAGAGGCCCCATTTCACAGATGAGTAAAATGAGGCTCTGAGCGCTCATATAACTTGCCTGTGATCACACAGCAAATAAGTAGAGGAGCTAGAATTTGTTTTTGTATATTTATTTATTTATTTATTTATTTATTTATTTGAGACGGAGCCTCATTCTGTCACCCAGGCTGAAGTGCAGTGACTAGATCTCGGCTCACTGCAGCCCCCGCCTCCGGGGTCCAAGCAATTCTCCTGCCTCAGCCGAGTAGCTGGGACTACAGGCACGCACCACCATGCCCGGCTAATTTTTGTATTTTTAGTAGAGACGGGGTTTCACCATGCTGGCCAGGTTAGTCTCGAACTCCCGGCCTCAAGTGATCCACCCGCCTTGGCCTCCCAAAGTGCTGGGATTACAGGCATGAGCCACTGTGCCCGGCTGAGCACGTGAGCATTTGAGCCCTGGTCTGTATGTTCATTCCACTGTGTCCACGATGTGCCTAAATTAGTGACTGTTTTCACATCTGCCATGTCATTTGCTGCTGTCTGGTCGGCACCAACCTCCTACCCCTTCCTTTATCCCTGTGCAAATCCAGTCTTCCCTCTGGAACTCCTCTTCCAGGAAGCCTTCTCTGACTATGCCCTCCCTCCTCTAGACTTCCTCTGGTCTTCCTGTCTGACTAGAAATCACACTAAATTGTCTACAATGAATACTCTAATTTATCTCTGGGGTGGGATGAGGAGTATTGTCTCTCCAAAGTATAAGAGCAGAGACAGCCATGCATATTTCTTTCTTGAGTCTCCCTCTAGGCTGTTAAGTGGAGTTAGATAAATGAATTTGAAGGGAATCATATGTAATGATATTCAAGTGCAAACCACATGATCAGCTGCCTCAAAATCCTCCTGAGAATGGACTACAGCTGTGTCTCACCAGGCCTGCTGTATGCCTGCGGGTTGCCCAACAGTTGGTGGTGGTCCGTTACCTGCCAGACACCTAGTTATAATACAAGTGTCACACCAAGATTTTGTGTGCCAAGTACTGCCATGCTGCCTGTGGTCCTACTGAAGACCATGGTCCCTGACAACAGTGGTGTGTGGAAACATCTAGAGCTTCCAAGCAGGCTACTTTCCCCTTCCCCACTTGTTTATACCAGGCCTCTACTCCATCTGTGTAAAGGGGCAGAGGTCAGCTCCTGCCCACACCCTCTGGAGGTGTGGAGTTTGGATGGAAGATGTTTTGCTGGTGGGCATAAAAGAGGCCCAGAGTGCCCCTCCCCTTTTTTTTCTTGAGATGGAGTCTTGATCTGTTGCCCCGGCTTGAAGGCAGTAGCGTTATCTCAGCTCATTGCAACCTCCGCCTCCTGGATTCAAACGATCCTCCCCCCTCAGCCTCCCAAGTAGCTGGGATTACAGGCATGCACCACCACGCCCAGTTAATTTTTGTATTTTTAGTAGAGGGGGGGTTTCACCATGTTGCCCAGGCTGGTCTCAGTCTCCTGACCTCAAGCGATCCGCCCGCCTCAGCCTCCCAAAGTGCTGGGATTACAGGCGTGAGCCACCACACCCGGCCCCAGAGTGGTCCTTGAAGGCCACCCTCCACCCACCTCTTGTTCGGACTCAGATAGGTGGGCTGAAGACCCGATATCTTCCCAGAATTCTACCCAGTTCTCTAAGAAAGGAGGCAAGGTCAGGGTTGCTCTCCCACTTCTCCTTCAATGATCCAAGGGCTCTAATGTCACCCTGAAAGCCAGGCAATCCGCCAGGCCTCCCAGTTCCTAGCAGAGCCTACTCATAGGCATGCTCCACTCCCCTCAGCAGCAGTCTGGAAAGTTCCTAATCCTGGTTTAGCCTTTCTTTCCGGGAGGGGTTTCCTCCTTCTCCCCTGCCCCCTCATTTCCCTCCACCCAGGAAAAAGGGGTAGGAAAGGCAGAGACATAAACACGAGTCTATTTTCACAGGAGAAGAGGCTCTGCCCAGGCCGCTCCCTTGTGGGCTGGAGCTGAGGCCTCTGATGGACTTGAGCAGGTGGTTTTGTTTGGTGAGGAGCTGCCGGGGGGAAATAACTGAGCGTTTCCCACTGAGGTGGGTTAACTGTGGACAAAGATGGAGCTGGATGTGAGAGCAGGGTCTTGGCCGGGTCTGTCTCCCCAGGTTCTGGAAGGGCTGAGGATGCTCAGGGCCAAGGACTAAAGCGACCGTCAGTTCACACTGACCATCAATTCACACTGACCATCAGTTCACACCTACGCCTTGGCTGCTTCCCTGAGCCTTGCAGTTCATCCCTACCCTGGGGCTGGCCTCGCCAAGAGAACCGGGGGAAAAAGCCCTGGGGGATTGGGGGCTGCCTGATGAGCAGAGTGGACGGGCAGCCTAACTGTTAGCCTGATGCTGTGACCAGGGGCTGGTGGATGTGGTTTGGGTGGGGCAGGGGAGCAGTCTCTGGGAGCTGGGCTCTTCCTGGGTGCAGAAGGCCAGTTGGGGAGGGCAGACACTGAAAAATGTCATTCGGCTTCAGGTCCAAGAAGATCCAGCCACGGACTCCTGGTCCACTCCACAAACTGACCCCTGACTCTGTACCAACCGCACTGGTCATGAAGAGAAAGAGAAACAGGGGTGTGGGGATGTGTGTTGGAGGGTGGGGGGATGACTCAGTTAGCTTTCCCCTAATCCTGGGAAAAACCACTCAGCCCATGCCCTGCCAACTTGAGTCAAGCACTCCTCCATCAGCTCGTCCTTCCCCAGGGGCTTGAGGGAGGAGCAGGAGACAGCCTTTCCCCTGCTTTCTGCAGAGAGGGAACCCCCTGCACCTGGCACCTTCTCCTCCCCAGACTTAGGTCAGCAGAACCCCTTACATTGCCCTGGATAGGAAACCAACTCAAGCATTGTCCAGTTAACTGAAGGGGGTCAAGGAGAGCAGGGAAGTAAAAGAAGGGAACAGAGGGAAGGAAACAGAAGGGATGGCAGTGAGGCAGAGGTGGAGGCCAGGGCACAGGTGAGGGGGGTGTGACGAGGGCACATTTAGTGAGCTCCTACTTGCACCAGGCACCTAATTTGAATTTTCCCTTAGTTCTCACAGCAACCCCTGAGAGGTAGCAATGATTACCCCTGTTTTCCGATGAGGAAAAGGAAGCCCAGAGAGGTTAAGCAAGCTGTGCCAGGGCCACACAGCAATTTAGTAAATGGCAGAACCAGAGCTCCAACTCACGGCTGCTTGTTGGCACAGGTGGCACAGTTTCTCTCGCTCCAGGCTTCCTTCTACCCATGGGGCCTGAGGGAGAGGCCTCCCGAGAAAGCGGAGGCCTGAAAGAGACCCAGAGAAGGCAAAGGGAGGAAGCGGGCAGCAGGAGACTCGCCCAGGAAGGGAGGAGAAGGAAGGGCTGGGCGGGGCGCAGAGGAGCGCGCAGCTGGGGTTAAAGCCCCATGTTCCTACAACCTGCTAAGCCGGAGAAATGAATTCTGATCCCTCCAAAACCCAACCTCGGAAAATGTGCGAGAGAAGGGTCTCCTTTCAGCGGGGCAGGCAATCCTCCACACCTCCTCCTGACGCCCTGGTAATGCCAGGATGTCCCCAATCTGCTTTGAGGAATGGAGAGATTAAGAATAATAAAAAAATTGCAATAAAATATGTGTGAAGGAGGGGGTAATTGTGGACAAACGCAGCATTCAAATTCATTTTTCAGCTCTTTTACACACCATTTCAATCTTATTTTCTGCTTGTTAATGAGATCTTGTTGCCTGGGCTAGGCAAAACCTTCCAATATCAGGACGTAATTGCACATAATTTTCTCTCCTACCAGTGATTTGCATCAGTTTTTTTTTAAATTCTGGGCTATTTAACACCCCACAATCCCCCTCCCCATCTTCCTGCCTACAAATCTCTCGCTCCCTCCTCCTTCCTCGTCCCTGGTCCAGCAAGACTCATTTTAAATGCCTATTATAAACGCAGTGTCGCCAATGAAGGGGTGGGGGCATGAAGAGGAAGTGATAGGAGAGAGAGGTAGGAATCTCCAGTGTCCACTGTGTGAGTGGCACTGCTCAGTTCCCTAGGGCAAGAGGACTGTCTTGGTCGTGTCTTGCTGAGAGTCAAGTGGTGGTGAGGTTCCTGGGTCCGGCAGACCTGAATTAGAACCCCATCTCCATCACTCACCTGCTCTGTGACCTTCAGCAAGTGACTTGACCTCTCTGAGCCTATTTCCCCAAGAGTAGGGTTGCTGTGGGGCTGGAATGACTTCAGATAGGCAAAGTGCTTACATGGGATCTGGCGTCCAGTAGGTGTGCCATTGATGGAATGTCTTTTCTTGCTGAACTGGCTGCCCAGAGGCCTCAGACAATGCCAGGAGGGCAGTACTGGGCATGTGCTGTTAAGACGCACCCAGGAGACCCCATTCACAAATAAATAAAGGTAAAGCCTTGAGCTTGATTTCTGTGGGTCTCAGGAGGAAAGAGGAAGCTTGGCGTTTGGGGACAGCGACTCTGAACCTGACTCTGCCATTAATTGCCCCTATGACTTAGGACCTCAGCTTCCCTGGATGGACCACCAGACCAACCTCACCAGGCAGATACAACACAGTAGCATCGTGAGCTCTGGAGCCACTGTTGGAATCCTAACTCTGCCACTTGCCAGATCCTAGCACACAACCTGGCACCTGGAAGAGGCTCCATAAATGTTTCTTAGGTGGTTGGATGGATAGGGGACCCTGGACAAGGAAGGTTTCCTCATCTGTAAAACGAGGGTCACAAGATAACAGCCAAGAGTCAAGGAGGGCAAGTGGGGTCAGCATTCAGGCCCATCGGGACCTGGCCCTCTGTAAGCATGATCTCTGCCATTGCTGTCGCCGTAATTACTAAAGGCACAGGCTGGACCGGAGAGAAGGGTATCAAGAAGCAGGAAAGGACAGAAAGGCTGGTTGGCCGTGATCGTGGTTGTGTGGTTAACTGCACACTTAGAGAATATTCTTCATTAGGTCGGTGTGTGGGGAAATTGTAAATATGTAAATCCCTTTATGGCTTCCTTCGTTTTAAGCTCCAGAAAGGAACAAAGGAGACGATGAGTATGGGACATTACAAAAGAGCACCAGGAGCGGTGCTGGGGAGACAGACGCCCCTTCCACGAGGTCGTGGCAGGAGCCCTCCAGACCCCAGCCAAGGATGCCGCTAACCCAACCGTGTGATTTTCAGAAAATCTCGGGGGAGATTGGGCCCTCTCTGGGCCTCAGTTTCCACTTCCTACTCTGATATAGTTGGCATCTTAAAAAGGTTGGGAGATGAGGAAGTTCCAGCTAACCACACCTCCCAGCCCCACCTGGCACACACCACCTGGGCCCTGAGGAAGCCTCCAGCACAAGGCACCCTGCCTGCAGCCTTCAACCCAAGGGACCCTCGAAACTGGCAGAACTTTTCTCCTGGTTCTTTGCTTGGGATCTCAGCCTGCCAAATACTGCAGCTCTGAATGACTTTCTGATGCCTGTCTTCCCCACCTGTCTCTTGGAGCTCTGTTCCAAGAGAGGGCTGTGCTTCCACCATCAGACTAAGGCATCTAAGGATGAGGGTTTTGTCTCTTCCGTCAGACTATGAGTTCCTGAAGACAGGGGCTGTGTCTTCCCCACCAGACTGGAGATCCCTGAAGGGCCAGCCTTGTGTTCTCCTTTCTGCCTGTGGTCACTACTCCTAAGAGCCTGGCCTGCTTGGGATTCCTAGACAGGGGCTGGTATGAAGGGATGAATCTGCAGGTGTCACATTATTCAAAGTCATTTGCGTTACAAAAGGTTCCTTTCATCCTAAGTCATTTTATGTTTTTAATTAATTAATTAATTTTGAGACAGGGTCTCTCTCTGTCGCCTAGGCTGGCGCACAGTGGCACAATCACAGCTCACTGCAGCCTCAACCTCCCAGGGTCAATCAATCCTCCCACCTCAGCCACCCTAGTAGCTGGGACCACAGGCTCGCCCCACCGTATCTGGCTAATTTTTAAATTTTTTGTAGACACTGGGTTTTGCTATGTTGCTCAGGCTGGTCTTGAACTCTGACCTCAAGTGATCCTCCCACCTCGGCCTCCCAAAGTGCTGGGACTACAGATGTGAGCCACGGCACCCCACCTCTAAGTTGTTTTCTTACAGTCGTTGTCCAAGTAACTGGCCCTCAGCCCGGAGCAGAGGGGAGAGAGTGGGCTGGGGGTTGCGGGTAGTCTATGATCCTAACCCCAGATGAACGTTATCAGGAATGAGGTCTCATGAGCAGGATTCCTTTTCCCTACATCTCTTCAGAAGGACCCAGTGCACAAAGCCAGGGACATGCATGTGCTGAGTGCCTAATCCCTAATCCTATTAGGCTGGGGCTTGGGTGGGTAGGGGAGACAATCAGGGAACCAAGCCTCAAGGGTATCTAAACCTCCTGAAAAGCATTTGCCCATATAACTCAGCTCTGCCTATTGGTCCCTAACCTGAGTCATTGGCCTCAGTTTTCTCATCCACCACATGAGTCGAATGAGCTATTTCCTCCACCAAACTGAAGGGGGTGGCTTCCATAGATGGGGGGTGGCTTCCCTAGATGGTTTCTTCTTGCACCAGCCAATCTCTAAAAAGAGTGCAAGTGAGGGCATTTCTGAGAGGCAGGAAGACAGAACAAGTAACTAAGATTCAGGCTCTAGGCCAGGCGCAGTGGCTCATGCCTGTAATCCTAACACTTTGGGAGGCTGAGGTGGGTGGATCACTTGAGGTCAGGAGTTCAAGACCAGCCTGGCCAACATGGTGAAATTCCGCCTCTACTAAAAATACAAAAAAATTAGCTGGGCATGGTGGCGCATGCCTGTAGTCCCAGCTACTCTGGAGGCTGAGGCAGGAAAATTGCTTGAACCTGGGAGGAGGCAGAGGTTGCAATGAGCTGAGATCGCGCCACTGCACTCCAGCCTGGGTAACAGAGTGAAACCCTATCTCAAAAAAAAAAAAAAAAAAAAAAGAAAGAAAAAAAGAAAAGGAAAGAAAAGGAAAAGATTTCAGGCTCTAAAGACATGGGTTTGAATCCTGGCTCTACCCTTTAAGTGGATTAATATAAGTAAAACACCCAGAGCAGGATCTGAAAGTCAGAAGGGCTCCAGAAAATTCAGCTGTCCTTGTCAACACTGGTATTAAACATACTGTATGCCTTTTAAAATTATATTTTTTGTCTGTCTGACCCTGTTGTACTGTCACCTCCACTAGGACAATATAAGGGTCTTCCTCTCATGTTCACTGATTTATCCCAAGTGCCTAGAACAGTGCCTGGCACATAGTAGATTCTCTATAAATATTCATTATGTTAGTGACTCCCTTCCAAGCCAGGGGGCACGTGCAGAGATGAGATGAGTAAATGGCTTTTCCTTGAGATTCTGCATGGAGTCCTTGATGTTCTGTGGTCCCCACTTCCCAGGCTGGGTTTGAGACAAGGGACTTGGGTCAAGCCACTGGAGGAGGCATGTCTTCCCCACGGTAGTAGCAAGCTGGCCAGCGTGATGCACAGCTAGCTTAACCCGGGTCTGTCCAGGTTCTCGGTAGAGCCACAAATTCATCCTCCAGTGTAAGCCCCTTTGGCTTCTGTAAGAACAAAAATTCCGGCCAGACGCAGTGGCTCACGCCTGTAATACCAGCACTTTGGGAGGCCAAGGTGGGTGGATCACCTGAGGTCAGGAGTTCAAGACCAGTCTGGCCAACATGGCAAAACCCTGTCTCTACTAAATATACAAAAATTAGTTGGGAGTGGCGGCAGGGGCCTGTAATCCCAGCTGCTCAGGAGGCGAAGACAGGAGAATTGGAGGCGAAGACAGGAGAATTGCTTGAACCCAGGAGGCGGAGGTTGCAATCAGCCAAGATCGCGCCACTGCACTCCAGCCTGGGCAACAGACTTAGACTCTGTCTCAAAAAAAAAAAAAAAAAAAGAGAGAGAGAGAGAAAAGAAAAGAAAAAAATTCCTTCCAGTTTTGAGGTCCACATCTATCTGGGCAATGTGTCAGGGACCTGCCATCCTGGGGAAAGGGACAGTGTGCCTACCCCACAGCCCAGCGGGGAAGCTTAACCTGTCCCTCTTGCCCAGGTGAGCTATAGAGAAGCCGGTCCTGTTGGGAAGAGAGGATGCAGGAGGCAGATCTGTCCTCACAGGGCGTCTCCCTGCAGATCCTTATACACAGAGGATTCCTGGCCCCACACCTCCCAGGACCACAGTGATGTGCTGATGGTGTCAAGTCCACCTGCCCAGAGTGAGGAGGGAGGGCAGTGGGAGTCGGAGCCTAGCAACCCCGGGAGCTTTTGTACAAGACCCAGAAACTCCCGCCCTGCTCGCTGCACCCGTCCTTCAGGAAGTGCTCGCAGGTTAACCTCTGCGGTTTACATGCACAGAAGCACACACGGCCTGCCCTGCTGCCCCTGCACCCGCCCTCCTCCAGCAGCTGTTCACCTCCTGGTCCCCTCTGCCCCGGTCAGACCCTCCATCTGTCTTCACACCTTTGATGGGAGCCTCTGAGCTTCTCCGATTCATCATGTCAGCCTCCCAGCCCTGAGGAATGGGCTGGAGGCCTCTCGCTTTTAGCTTCAGTAAAATTCTGGGCTGGGTGGAGGGCTGGGCGTCCAACTTAGGAACTTCCAGGAGAGGATGGAAAACACGTCATCCAACCCTGAAGTCTCCTTGCCATGGGGGAGATACTTCCCCTTGATCCACTGCTCACACCAGTGGGTTGGTTTCCCATCCCCGACCCACACTCTGGAGGCCTGGGGCCCCTTCTTTGCTAAGTCTCTCTTTTGTCCTGTGACAGAGTCCTGTGTTGGGGATAAACCTCAGCCCACAGTGAGACAGGGCGGGCTAGGAAAAGCAGTGGTCATGGAGTCAGGTGCGCCGGATTGTCAACCCTGGCCTGGCCAATGTGTACTGGGGCCCTCCATCTCCAAAGCAAGACAGCTGCACACAGAACCCCAAAGACCCTCTTCAGCTTTCTAAGGACACTCCCCCAAATTTGTTTTGTACCACCAAGCCACGCCTGGACCCTATTCTTGGGTGTGGAAAGCTTGGATCTCGGCAGTGTCCTCCCCCAGCCAGTTCAGGGATCCTGTTGTGACTCATCTCAAGGGCTCTGGAAGGTTAGCACTAGTGAGATGGAGGCCATGACCTTGAACCTCAAAGAAGCCAACTGGGGTCCCCAGGGAAGACATTCTGGCCGACAGGCTGTATTCCATGTGCAGGGTTTAGCTCACCTGGGATCCCAGCAAGAGAGTGGGGTGGCCTGGTGAGGACTAGTGCAGGGGCTGACAAGGTCAGCCAAGTAAGTGGCATCACCCTTCATACTGCGGACCCTGAGAGGGCTTGATACGTCACCATTAGGAGCTCCGCAGGCAGCTGCCTACAGGTACTGGGCACTCACTCTGTGCCAGACCTGAGCTGACTGCCTTCCACAGATCATCTCATTCAATCCCCAGCAACCTTGGGAGGCAAGTACTGGGCTTATCTCCATTTCATAGATGAGAAAATTGAGGCATAGAAAGGGGAAGGGACTTACTCAAGGGTTTTCCCATAAATAAACGATGCAGCTGAAAGGCAATTAACCCTCAACTACACAAATTAATGGAGGCAAACAGAAATGAATCCAGACAAGCAGAAAATTAACATTCTTGGGAATGTTTCAGACAAAGGTTTGTTTTTTTTTTTAATTTACTGTAAGGGCCTGATAGTAAATATTTTAGGCTTTGTGGACCACATGGTCTCTCTTTTTATTTATTTATTTATCTTTTTGAGATGGAGTCTCACTCTGTCACCCAGGCTGGAGTGCAATGGTGCAATCTTGGCTCACTGCAACCTCTGTCTCCCAGGTTCAAGCGATTCTCTCGCCTCAGCCTCCCAAGTAGCTGAAATTACAGGCACCTGCCATCATGCCTGGCTAATTTTTGTATTGCTGTAGAGACAAAGTTTCACCGTACTGGCCAGGCTGGTCTCGAACTCTTGACCTCAGGTGATCCACCCGCCTCGGCCTCCCAAAGTGCTGGGATTACAGGTGTGAGCCACCACGCTCGGCCTTATATGATCTCTTTTAAAACTACTCAATTCTGCTGTGGTGGCAAAAAAGCCACCATACATAAATGGACATGGCTGTATTCCAATAAAACTTTATTTACAAAAAACAGGGAGCTGGACAGATGTGGCCCGCAGGATGTAGCTTGCTGGCCTTCTTTGAATTCTTTCTATTCTCCTTTTAGGTAATGGGTTTCCCATATTAATTACATTGTCCTGACACTGGGAGGGCCAGAGAACTAATATTTACTTGGCACTGATTTCGTGCCAGGCTCTGGGCTAGGTGCTCTGACCTGTTAGCATATTGAATGTGGCAAGCACCTCTTGTTGAGACGTTAGTTACAGACTCTCTTTGTTTAATAGGGGATAAACTGAGGCTCACAGATGCTGACTTGCCTCAGAGACCCCTGAGCAGTAGAGCTGGGATTTAGACCCATTCCACAGGCTTCACTGTTCTGCCACACTATGGCTCTTCAGATCAGTTTGGATCATGTGCAGTGGATTCTCACCACAGACATGTGGCAGGGGGCACTTCATCCCTTCCCCCACGGATATTTGGGAGCCTGCTGAAGCTACAAAAAAATGAGCCCATCAGTTCCTCAAGTTCATTGGGACTTCCGGCATTATCAAGTCCTGTTCCCCAAACTCACCAATAACCACCATCAGCGCCCACATTATCTCTCTGACTTCATCCAAAGCAGGTCCTGTGACTTCTAACAGCACCCCGAGGCAATGAATGACTTAACCAATCACACAGGAGCAAACAGAATTCCATTGACCAATCAGGGTAGAGTTACCGGCCCAGAACCCCATCCACAATTCTCTCCACCAATAGGACATGGTCCTGCCTTTCAGGAATTGGTCACTCCTGGTGAAAAGCCAAGAGCACAGGACAGAGTCCAGGGAGGATTCCTGATTCTAGAACAAAAACCCCAACCGCAGTCAGCCTGCTACAGGAAAGAGCGCAAGGCTTCCACCCACGTGCTGTCTGCAGATGTCTGACTTTCGTGGCGGTGGGATCCTGGGTGCTGGGCTGAGACCACCTACCTGAGGAGACAGGCCGTTGCTGACCGGGTTCATGTGGTTGGAGGGCGCCGCCGGATTCATGAAGCTGTCAGAGTAGCTGGAGAAGCTGTGGCGGGCTCCGTAGGCAGAGCTGGTGTCGGCGGCTGCAGCCGCTGCAGCCAGCCCGCCCTGGTGCATGGTGGACGGTGGCAGGGGCTGAGGCCGGTGCACAGTGCTGCCCCCATCTGTAGAGAGACCCAAGAGAGGTCCTAAGCAAGTGGCCTCATCCTGGACGCTGGGCCTCTGAGAGCAGAAGGCAAGCCAAGAGACTCCTCCTCCCGGTCTCCATTCCTTGGAGGGAAGGGACCACCCTCTCATGCTACCTGGGATGAGACAAGTTGGCTCCTGGGCAGGGCAGTAGGCACTGGCCAGGTCTTGACTGACAACCCAACATTCTAGACAACCCCTAGACAGGTGCACACCAGCCACTGTTCCTCAGTGCTTGGCACACAGTAGGTGCTCAATAAATGTCAGCTGGGCTGAAAACCAGACCTTGATGGGGACTCTGTTAATCTACCCAGTCTGTTTTGTTTTGTGAGCGTCAACCACTTGCCAGGTGCTTTTACAAACGCTGCCTAAGGGTATGAAGCAAGACTGTAAATCCCATTTTACAGATGAAGAAACCAAGGCTTGGTGGGCTTGGGGCACTCACACAAGATGACCAGGCTAGTGAGTGATGGGACCAGGATTTGAATGGCCTAACTCTGGAGCCATCTCTGTTCTTTGCTGCTAGGCTGTTATTCTGCGCTCTCTGGGCCCTTCTGTGCAGCTTTGCAGAGGCTGGGACCCTCAACACTGGTTCAATTTATCTTACCAAGTCACAGTGGTGCTGGAGGGGGCTCTTTGACTCTTTCCTTGGCCTCCAGAACTCCAGCCTGCCAGTCATTTAAGAGGAGGCTTTATGAGGTAGCTATCTTTTTTAAAATTTAATTTTTTTTTTGAGATGGAGTCTCACTCTGTCGCCCAGGCTGGAGTGCAGTGGCGCGATCTGGGCTCCGTGCAACCTCCGCCTCCCGGGTTCAAGCGATTCCCCTGCCTCAGCCTCCTGAGTAGCTGGGATTACAGATGCACGCCACCATGCCCAGATAATTTTTTTTTTTTGTATTTTTAGTAGAGATGGAGTTTCACATGTTGGCCAGGCTGGTCTCCAACTCCTGGCCTCAAGAGATCCGCCCGCCTCAGCCTCCCAAAGTGCTGGGATTGCAGTTGTGAGCCACTGCGCCCAGCCCATGAGGCCAATATCAAGTAGTGGTATTCCTGGTGTGTGCTGGGACAGGGCTTCTGGGGTGACAGAATGAGAGCAAGTTCCGGTGAGGTAGGGGGAGGGAACCCTTCTTCCCCTACAAGGCTCACCTTCTCTCCTGAGACCCAGACTTTCCTTTCCTCTCCCAAGGCCCCCTGATCCCCTATCCTCTCTCACCCACTCACCTTCTTCCCTCTGCCTATCCCTTTCCAGCGCTAGAAGGGAATCTTATACTTCAAGCCACTGGGAGAACTGGGCTCAAGTGAGGCCTCCTTCCCAGGAGGACCTGAGGGCTCTGACCCCTCTCAGCCCAGCCTGGCCTAGGGCTGTTCACCCCAGAGTGGGGGGAATCCCTCATAGGGAGCTTTCTCAGGTCCTCAAAGGAGACCCTGACCTTTATTCCATCTCTGAAAATGGATCTTTCCAGAGAGAGGCAAGAAAATGAGGTCCCAGCAAATTATTTAAGCCCCTTTGTAAATTTTTTTTTTGTCATAGGTTGGAGACCAACATAATCTAAAAAAAAAAATGATTCCAACATGATTCCAACATCTTCCCAACAAGTACACACACACGTGCACATGCACACACTCATGCACACACTCACACACTCATTCACTCACTCATACGCACACACTCATGCACACACCCACACACACTCATTCACTCACTCATACGCACACACTCATGCACTCACACGCACACACTCATGCACGCACTCACACGCACATTTGTACTCATGTCACTCTCTCACTTTAAAAACTCAAAGACTGTGACTATGCATGGTCCCAAAGTCCCTGCAGAATCCGTTCCTTTCCCTCCAAAGCAGGTCAGCCCAGTGTCCTCTCCTCCAAATCCTCGCTGCTCAAAGCCTGGTCCATGCTCCACCAGCTTGGGCATTCCCAGGGGGATTTTTAGAAGTGCAGAATCTCAGGCCTCACCCAGACCAGCATTTTAGTAACATTCCTGGGAGATCCCTGGTACCATTTGAGAAGCTCAGTTCTAAACAGGTGCACAGGGGCTGCCTTGGGGATCCCACCTGGCTGCTCTGTGTCAGGGCCAAGAATTTCAAGGGCAGGATTGCATCTTTTTGCTCTCAATAGCCTGCTTACATGAAAGTAAGAAATGGTCATAAAAAAAAGAAGAGCCTTTGTAAGTGAAAGTAAAGAAAGAAGGGAAGGGGCACCACTGAGATGGCAGGACGGGGCCAAGACACTCACCTTGGGAGATGGTGGTGGTGGGGTAGGTGGAGTCCGGCAGCTGGTAGGGGGGCAGCGTGGGCATGCCGGTGGGTGGGAAGCCTCCTGGCAGAAGGTGGTTGAACGCCGCCAGCTGGTTGGCTCCTGCCTGCTTACGCCAACGGGCGCGGCGGTTACTGAACCAGACCTGGGAGGTGGAGAGCAGAGAATGGAGACCCCTCGGCCAGGTTCCTGGCAGAGAGCTGCAACACATGTAGACCCAGTTGCCCAAGCCATCACCCTCTGATCCAGCCAGCATCCTCCTGCAGGCCCCGGCATTGTGCAGCACAGGACGCTTTGCAGAGTGATTTCATAGGTATGACCCCATTCTGCCCTCACAACCACCAGTGAGGGGGTTCTATATTATCCCCATTTTACAGATGAGGAAACCAAGACCCAAAGAAAGTGGGTGACTTGTCCATGGGCCAGGTTGAGTCAGTGGTCCAGCCAGTCCTGTGTGGCTCTCAGGCCAGTGCTCTTTCCTCTGCAGCTGCTCCTTCCTGGAGGGATGCTGGTGCCCTGCTTGACCACCTCCTCCAGGAAGCCCCCCAGGAGGAAGCCACGCATCTGCAACCCACCTGAATGAGACCTGCACTTCAGACCCAGATGTGCAAGCCGGGTTCTTTCTCTGGAGACTGAGGCCCTACTTTGCTTACACACCCTGGGCCTCCTTGAAATAGGAAACACACACACACACACACACACACACACACACACACACACGGATTTATCAAACATTAGTGGGATAATAACCCAACATTTTTGTCTCCCCTTCCTGTGCTGGCACTTCACGTATCAATCCATACATAGACCCATGAGACGTATTCTCCTATTCCCATTTTACAGAAGGGGAAACCAAGGCTCACAGAGGTCAAGTTGCTTGCCCAAGTCCACACAGCTAGTCTGTGTTGGAGCTGAGGTTCAAACTTAAAATCAGTCTGGCCGGGCGCAGCGGCTCACACCTGTAATCCCAGCACTTTGGGAGGCCGAGGCGGGCGGATCACGAGGTCAGGAGATTGAGACCATCCTGGCTAATAAGGTGAAACCCTGTCTCTACTAAAAATACAAAAAAATTAGCCGGGCATGGTGGTGGGCGCCTGTAGTCCCAGCTAGTCGGGAGGCTGAGGCAGGAGAATGGCGTGAACCCGGGAGGCAGAGCTTGCAGTGAGCTGAGATCACGCCACTGCACTCCAGCCTGGGCGACAAGCGAGACTCTGCCTCAAAAAAAAAAAAAAATCAGTCTGGCTTTCTAGAGCCCACTTATCTGGATTTGCAAGTTTCCTGGGACAGGTCAGAGAAAGAGGAGAATGAGGGTGCACACTGGGGCTGCCTTGAGGGGGCTCTTTTCCACCTTCAGCTTTGCACATGCTGTTCCCTCTCCCCTGAACACTCTTCCTGCAGCTGGCTCTTTGGCCTTCAGAGCTCAGCTGAAATGCTTCCTCCTACTCCTACTCCTTAATTGCCGCATCTAAGGTGGGTTCAGGTAGGTTCTCTGCCTTCTGTCAGGTGGGCCTCCTACCTGTGTGCTTCCCCACAGGATCAATGATTCTATATATCTGTTTCTTGGCTGTGCTGCTCCTAATGTCCCCCTCAGACTCAGGCTCCACGGGACAGAGGCCATGCATTCCTTGCCCAATGCCTGGAGCTCAGTAAGTGTTCAAGGAATACTTGTTGAATGAATGAAGGAGTGAATGACGAATGAATGAATGAACAAGGGGAGGCAGGATTGGCACTGGGGTGCCTTTGCTGGGGCTGGGGCTACAAGGCTTGGTTGGTGTTCCATCCTGATGGGGGGTGAAGGCCGCCACCTCCCCTGGCACCTGATCACCCAAGACCCCCAAATCTCTGGGCCGTGTCTGCTGAGATGGGGGAGGGGAATGCAGCCAGGTGGAGGGCGCTTATGCACCCCTAGAGCCATCCTTCCCGGGTGGGAAAAGCAGCGTTCAGCTTGCAGGCTGGATAAACAAGAGCTGCCGGCTTTCACCTGTTGAGGTTTCACAGAGAAAGGGAGAGGAGGCAGCCAAGCCTGGAGGAAAAACGACTGGCTCCCGATGGATTCAAAGCCCTGGCTTCTCCCCACTTCCACAGGGCGCCGAGGGTTTCCCCGGGGCACCCTGGAGTGGCAGGGATGCTGGAGGGAGCCCTGCAAGGAATGGCCTTGCCTCCGAGCTTCCAGGCTCTGCGGGAAGGGTGTGAGGAGGTCTTTGTACTAATTCAGTGTTTCCCAAACAGTGGGCCTCCTGCCACTGCTCCCTGTTGGAGAAACAGAATTCAATAACCTGGACATGAGGATGGGAAAGTTATTCCATTCCACTTCTCTCCCAGGCCTCCTGGGCATGGAGAAGGGGGGAAGAGGGGTCTCAGTTTGGTGCTAATGCATCCTCAGTGCCTTTCTAACCTGTGCCAATCTCCCTTCTGAATGCAGGGAGAGGAGGCGTTTGCAGGTGACATTTTCCTGAAAGGCTTTAATCATGTTGTTTTGTTTTCCTTTGTGTGTAGTGTGTGTGTGTGTGTGTGTGTGTGTGTGTATTTTAACAATTGCCTTCCCTTTATGGGAGTGTTGTGCATTTTTATTTTAAAACACTTGATTTCGTTGAAAAGTAAATAACAATATAGATAATAGGTGAAGGTGGCGAACATCTTGGGTGGGTGGGAGAGCGATGGGCATTTGGGATATGCCACTGTAGTTTGTCATGTAGCAGCAGGTCCTTAGGTGCCGCTCATCTTTTCCTCAAAAAAAGAATGCTGAATAAAGTTGGATGCATTCTTCCTCCTTCCCTTCCCTTCTAATCCCTTCCTTTTCTTTTCCTACTCTTCCCTTCCTTCTTTATTCCCACCTTCTCCTCTCAAACTTTTACTGGGACTCCTCTCTGTGCCAAGCAAGACAGGCTAGAGAGATGGACAGGACCCACTCCTAGCCCTCAAACTGCCCTTTGCCTGGGCACGAGTCAAAGAGCAGCTGCTTTTCAGTGCAATAAGCTCAGATGGGGTGACATGCAAGGTTGGGTAAGGAGCTCAGAGGAGGGGCTTCCAACTTTGCCTCTCAGAATCCAGGAGGACTTCCTGGAGGAGAGGGCATGCCTTTGTTGCCAATTCTGTCATCTCTTCTTCCTTCATTGTCCTATGTCCCTAGGTTCACCTCCTTCCCAGTAGGCACCTCCCTTCTCACTAAGTGTAACAGGATGGTTGACAGCAGGGATGCTGGAGTCAACTGCCTGGGATGGAATTCTGCCTCTAACTCCTAAGATGGGAAAATTTTTGTTATCCCAGTTTCTTCATAAAATGGGGCTAATAACAGCCACCTCCTAGGTGGTTCTGGACCTCAAATGAGCTAGCACAGGCAACATGCTTAGAACAGCGCCAGCCACAGGTAAGTATCATTCTGCTGGAGACCCTCTGAGATAGCTGAGCTGGAAGGGTCTCTGCCAGCGTCTCGTATGAGCTGCCCGTTTACAGAGAGGGAAATAAACGCTCTAAAAGGGACAGTGACAGCCCCAGCACCCTACCCAGAATCTCTGGTCAGGACTGAGTTCTTTGAAAGCAGGCGCTGGGTTTTATTCTTCATTTCTGATCCTTCTCTCAATACCCTGCGCTGGGAGTAGGGTACAGTTGATGCCATCTGTGTACTGTGTCCAATATTCCATCTGGCCCTTCTCTTCATGTAGCACAGAGGAAACGAACCTGAGCAGATAGACTTGGGTTCAAGTCCCAGCACAGTCACTTTGAACTGTATCTTTTTTTTAAGTTTTAGTTTTTGTGGCTACATAGTAGGCATGCATATTTATAGGATAGAGGGGATCTTTGATATAGACATATAATGTATAATAATCACATCGGGGTAAATGGGGTATCCATCACCTCAAGCATTTACCCTTTGTGTTACAAACAGTCCAATTATATTCTTTTAGTTATTTTTAAAGGTACAATTAACTTATTATTGACTATAGTCACCCTATTGTGTTATCAAATACAAATACATCTTCTTTATCCTTATTCCTTTTTTGAACCCGTTAACCATCCCCACTTCTCCCCTCACCTCCCACTACCCGCCCCAGCCTCTGGTAACCATCCTTCTACTCTCTATCTCCATGAGCTCAATTGCCTTAATTTTTAGCTCTCACAAATAAATGAGAACATGTGAAGTTTGTCTTTCTGTGCCTGGCTTATTTCACTTAACATAATGACCTCCAGTTCCATCCATGTTGTTGCAAACGACAGGATCTCATTCTTTTTTATGGCTGAATAGTACTCCACTGTGTATATGTATAGCTGTGCTTTAGGAAGTTACTTTCCTTAGCTACATCTCAGTTTTCTCATCTGCAAAATGGAGAGAAGAATCACACATACCCCGCAGGGTCATGGTGAGAATTAATAAACATAACACACGTAGACTGGTGAGCCATCATGCCTGGCACATAAAAAATGCACCATGAAGGCTGGGTGCAGTGGCTCATGCCTGTAATCCCAGCACTTTGGGAGGCCAAGACCAGCAGATCACCTGAGGTCAGGAGTTCAAGACCAGCCTGGCCAACATGGCAAAACCCTGTCTCTATTAAAAATACAAAAAATTAGCCAGGCATGGTGGTGGGCACCTGTAATCCCAGCTACTCGGGAGGCTGAGGCAGGAGAATCGTTTGAAACCGGGAGGCGGAGGTTGCAGTGAGCTGAGACTGCGCCATTGCACTCCAGCCTGGGCGATGAGTGAAACTCTGTCTCAAAAAAAAAAAAAAAAAAAGAAAAGAAATGCACCATGAATGCTACCTAGTGTTATTAAGAGATTCAGTGTAAGTTGTTAATTAGTGAATCTCTGTAGTGCTTCCACAATGGGATTTCCGTTCAGAACATCCCACCCCTACCCCAAGCACAGAGCAGGGTTCCAAGGACGGTAAAGTAAAGAGGCGTTGTACACTGCCCTAGTTTCCTGGTGCTGATCATCTGAAGGATGGGGAAGTCATCAGAGGCAGTCATGGGAGAGGCCATGGGGTGACCTTGGGACCTATTAGCCCTGCAGCCTCTATTTCTAGAAGAAATTCACAGGCTCAGGGTTGTGGCACCCAGGAAAAAATGGGTCTGTTCACCTCTAAGGAAGATATATGTATCACTCCAGAGAAAGGAGTCATGGGTCCCCAGGCATGGGTTCTCCTGCCTGACACCCCCTTGGCTGCCCTTCATGTGGCTCTGGCTTTCTCCTGGCTGAGGCAGAGGTGTTACAGGCACTGGTAACATCTAGCAGGCTTCAAGCAGAGGCTCCTGGCCCCTGCAGGAAGGCAGAGCTTGAGGGAGCCAGAGGGGATAACAGGCCACTCTTTGGTGACCAGATCCCCACCTGACATCATGTTTACCTGTGCACGTATTTATGAGAATGCCAGCTTCAAGACAGCAGAGCTTTTTGCCCAGTGAATCCCCAATGCCTAGAACAGCGCCTGGCACACAGCAAGTACTCTGTAAATGACTGCTGGGTGAATGTACCTGGAGCTGCAAAGGTGGCTAGAATTGGAGCTGCCAAGAACGGGCAGAGTTTTAGTAAGAACAACCCCCATTTATGGCACTTCTGTGTGCAGGTACTTCCTCTTTTTTTTTCTTTTTTTTTTTACATGTAATCATTTAATCCTCAGAGCAAGGTAGACATCATTATCATCATCTTGCCTGTGAGAGATGGGTGGAGGGTGGAAAGGGTAAGACATGGAGCTGGAATCCACATCTAGGTATTTGGCTCCAAGCCTACCCTGAACCAATCCACTAACCCACCCATCTGCCAGGTCCACTGAGATGAGATATTATACGATTGGAAAATCCCAGAACCACAGACCTTTAGAATCAAAGACCAAGACCTAAAATGTATGAAGCCATACAATGTAAGCAGTACTCAGGGGGCTTTGAGGTCATAACTCAAAGACCTCAGGGTCCCTGATTGACTGGACATTGTGCTTTTGTTTGAACACTTCTGGTAATGGGAATCTCATCACCTCACAAAGCATCCCTGATTGTCAGTAAATAGGGATCCCAGAAATGTAAGGGTCTTAGTAATTGTTGAGTTCCATCCCCTTATTTGCAGACAGGAAACGAAGTCTCAGGAAAGGAAATTGACCTGTTGAAGGTGACACAGCTGACCAAAGGCAGGAACCCTGAGCTCTCAGTCCTGAGCTCTTTCCTGGAGACCTTCATGTTGGACTTTAGATGCTCCTCTCTTGACCCTGGCCCTGGGTTAACCCTTTGGGGATGCTCAGAGCAGCTGTATCTTTCAAGTCTCCACTTCTCCAGGCTAAATGTTCTTGATTTATTTTATTTTATATTTATTTATTTATTTATTTATTTATTTATTTATTTATTTATTTATTTTCGAGACAGAGTTTTGCTCTTGCTGCACAGGCTGGAGTGCAATGGCATGATCTCGGCTCACTGCAACCTCCACCTACCGAGTTCAAGCGATTCTCCTGCCTCAGTCTCCCGAGTAGCTGGGATTACAGGCATGCGCTAGCATGCCCGGCTAATTTTGTATTTTTAGTAGAGACAGGGTTTCTATGTTGGTCAGGCTGGTCTCAAACTCCCGACCTCAGGTGATCCACCTGCCTCGGCCTCCCAAAGGGCTGGGATTACAGGAGTGAACCACCGCACCAGTCCGTTTATTCTTTAAAAACTCAAACGTTTTTTGTTCCCTCTTCTCTGAGAAAGCTCTCAGGCTAAATGGGGAGATCCAGCCCTGCCCTGGGAGAGATTCTGGTCTAATGGGGAGTCCCTGCCCTGCCCTAGAGGGAGCTCCATGCACTGGGGAAGCCCAGAGTATGATAGGAAGTCAATAAGACGCAGGAGGCGGGCCCCGCCCCCTCAGGATGGCTTTGCCTGGGCTCCGGCTGCCTCTCCATTCCCAGACCCCCTCCCTCCGTGGACCTTGAGTGACACCTGTTTCTGAGTCCCCTGGGCCAATAAAAGCACTGCTCTGACAGCCAGGAAATTTTACAAGGAGCAGTCAGGCTTCAAGGTGGTGGGAAGCCGCCGTGGCCGCCAGACGTGGGAACGAGAAAGCGCCCAGGAATGTGCCCAGGAGAACAGCTGCAGGAGGATCAGAGCGGGAGGGAGGCCTGGAGCCAGCTCGGATATCACCTCGGTCAGGAGGGGAGGGAAAGAGATGAGCTGGCTGCTGCCTCCCGCCTCTTTCCCCTTGGGGTCTCCCTCAAAGGAAGCGAAGGACCCCTAATCTGGGAGTGAGGACAGGGGGCGGAGGGGTGTCCGCTGGGTCCTGGAGTGCTGAAACGTCCCTTGCTTCTAGGATTGTCCCAGTTGCTTTCAAATTTCAGCTTGTGACTCAGCTTGTTCATTTCCCTGGATGGAAAGGACGTGGTTTTTGCCAGCAGCTGGGCCTGGCTCAGCCCCCATCCAGCTTGTGCCCCTGGGCATGTTGCTTCTCTGAACTTCCAGTTTCTGCACCCGTGGCTTGCAGGGGGTGACCACGCTGACCCGACAAGGTGGTCTGAGCTTCCACTAGGTCACGTTTGAGAAGCAGCCCCAGCAATGCCACTGGCACCAAGTGGGTGCCGGGCAAAGGCTGGCTCCTCTTGGATGGAAGTGCCCGCCGTCAGCAGTTTGGGGTGGCCCCTCTGCAGGCCGCTCTGACTCCCTGAGCACTGCTTAGATTCTGGTAATGGGGATCTTTCCCCTCTCTCTATGCCTCCCAATCCATGCAGAAGACAGCCAGGGAATGGATTCCCACAAGAGCCGTTCATCACGACTTGTCCCGGCTCTTCCTCCTCCATCCCCAACCCTCCAGCCTCAGCCCTTTCCAGCCAGATCCCCAGAGAGGCTCCTGCACTTGGAGAACAACTGTAGGCCTCCTGGAATCCGAGAGTTTGGCCTGGGGAGGTGAGGCAATGTCCCCAGGCCCCCTACAGCAGGCCTTTGCCCCTCAACCCACTGACAGAGAGCAGGCGGGGCAGTCCTCGAGCCATTGGGAGGCTCTTGCTCTTCTCCCCTCTTCCTTCCCATATATTGAGGCCATGGAGGGGATGTTCAGGGTCTTTGGGGGCTGCCCACCCTGCCCTGAGGCATCTAACCTGCCAGGAACTGGCCTACCCAGCCTACGTGCATGCTTCCGGTAACAGAACACTCATCATCCATCTGAGGAAGCTAGGCTTGTTTGGAAATCTTCCTCCTGATCACTTCCTCTGCTCATCAGAGATTTGGAGATTCTTATACTCCCCAAACCCTCTCTTCTGGCTGAACTAATGCCCTCCCTCCCTCCCTTCTTTCTTTCTTTCTTTTTGTGAGATGGAGTCTCGCTCTGTCACCCAGGCTGGAGTACAGTGGCGCAATCTTGGCTCACTGCAACCTCCGCCTCCCACGTTCAAGTGACTCTCCTGCCTCAGCCTCCCGAGTAGCTGGGATTACGGGTGCCCGTCACCAAGCCCAGCTAATTTTTGTGTTTTTAGTAGAGATGGGGTTTCACCATGTTGGCCAGGCAGGTCTTGAACTGCTGACCTCATGTGATCCGCCCACCTCGGCCTCCCGAAGTGCTGGGATTTCAGGTGTGAGCCACCACACCTGGCCTCCCTCCCTTCTTTCATTCCTTCTTTTGTCCTTCTTTCCCTTCCACCTTCTTCCTTTTCTTCCCCCCTTCCCTCTATCTCTCCCTTCATTCTTCCCTCCTCCTTGGGCTGTCCAGCTCTCAGTCAACCAACATTTGCTGCCAACTAACTCTGCATCAAATGCTGGTGGCATTACTTGCCTACACAACCCCCTGAACCTGTTGTAAACCCCCCGAGGGGTCCCATTAAACCCACTGACCTTGGCCATCCCAAACTTCTGAATCTCTGGAGTATATCTGCAGCACCGACACCGCAGGTGCCTCCTCACCTGCACACGCGCCTCTGTCAGCTTGGTCCTCTGCGCCAGCTCCTCGCGGGTGTATATGTCTGGGTAGTGGGTCCTCTCAAAGGCCTTCTCCAGCTCCTCCAGCTGCTCGGCCGTGAATGTGGTCCGACTGCGTCGCTGCTTGCGCTTCAGTGGGAGGTCAGGTTCCGACTCCACATCCGAGCCCTCGTCCAGCCGGTTCCCTACAGCCGGAGGAGAGGGAGGGAGAAGGCAGGGGCTTAGAGAGATGGAAGGGTGCCGGGGTCTGGGAGGAGAGCACAAGGCACACTCGTGCCCACCTAGGACCCATGACTGCACTTCGATCAGACTCCTCCCAAGCACAAGATAGAAGGATGCTCACCCTAGCATTGTTTATCAATGTGAAGGATGGGAAGCAACCTCCATGCCCAACCCTAGAGTATTGCTTAAATACTTTCTTGTAAAACCTTTCCCTTTAGGGAAAAACAAACAAACAAACAACAACAAAACAGTCCCCTCTGGTTGGGCATTTTGTTTATTTCCACTGACATGCAAGGATGTCCATGACATAAGACTCAAGGGATGGTTTCGTGGTGAGATACACTTGACAAAATCCGTAGAGCTGTATTCTCAGTTAAAAGGACAGAATTTTACTGTATATTAACTATACCTCAATAATCCTGACTTTAAGAAAAAGGCCTCCATGTATGGTGGCTCATGCCTGTAATCCCAGCATTTTGGGAGGCTGAGGCAGGAGGATTGCTTGAGCCCAGGAGTTCAAGACCAGCCTGGACAACACAGTAAGAACCAACCTCCAGAAAAAAGTAAGAAAATTAGCTGAGTGTGGAAGTGCATGCCTGTAGTCCCAGATACTCAAGAGGCTGAGGTGGGAGAATCGCTTGAGCCCTGGAGTTCCAGGTTATAGTAAGCCAATCACACCACCACACTTCAGCCTGGACAACAGAGCAAGACCCTGTCTCATCAAAAGAAAAAGTGCACGTGTCCAGAGCTGCCCATCAAGAAGCTTAGATTCCAGGCCTGGCTCTGCTCCTAAATGCTGGTGACCCTGGGAAGGCCACCTCCCCTCCTCGGGCCTCACTTTCCCCATTTGTGACATGAAGGGTTTGGATTAGGCGACTTCCACTGACAAGCTCTCTCTGGGATGTCCCAGGGTCTCTGAGTGATTCCCCCAGGCTAGAGGAGACCTCACCTGAATGACCTTGGTCAAGGCCATGGACCCCACCCCATTATCCCCACTAATTTCCACCATGGAGACTGGGGGTGGGTGAAGGCCTGTTGCTTCCTGGGCCTGGGCCTGGAGAGCCCAGAAGGTTGGAGTCAGCTCACTTCCCAGGCCTGGTTGGGGTTATCAGGCCAGGAATCTGCTTCAGCCCTGGGCCCAAGCTAGGGAGGCTGCAGGAAGCCCCTGCTCAGCCTCCTTAGCTGTTGGGGCTGAGACACCCAGGTATCAGCTCCCTGTCCCCATCAATCCTGTGGCTCCTGCCCACGTCTGACCCAACAGAGGGGATGCTAGCAGGGCATCTCCCAGCCGGGGCGCTGAAGCTGCCCCTCAGCAGCCCCTGGGGAGCTGCGGGAAGCATAGAGAAGAGGAAGCAGAAAGGAAGATGGAAAAGAGAGCAGACACTCAGAGGCTACCTTCCTTCCTCCCCACTCCTCTTCCTCCTTTTTCTCTTTTGCCTTCATTTCTTTCTCCCCCTTCCTCTCCTTCTCCATCTCTGGTATTCCTGGAAGCACTTTTATTTTTTGTCATTGACTCATTCACTCCTTCCCCTAAAGCATTTATTGAGTATCTGCTATGCACCTGAAGAGGCTAGGTATGCAGTGGGCAAGGTAGGACCTGAGCCCTGGGCTTGGAGCATTCAGCCTGAGTCAAGCTAGAAGATCTTGGGAGACCTTGTGCTCGCATCAGAGATGGGAGAAGCTGAGTCCCAGAAAGGTAACGTGAGGTTCACTCAAACTGTGCTCCCCGCCCCTGACCCCTTCCACCAATACAAAGATCCCTTCCTCCCAATCGCTTCAAGTGTTAATTATAGGAATAGGCCTAGGCCCCTCCCCCAAGGGGCAACCCCCTCCTCCCCGCAACAAAAACAAAAAGAGAAACTAGTACTGCCTTACATGTTAAGTGGAGGTGAAGGGAAGGGCACTGCAGGCAGACAGGAGAGCACATGCAAACGCCTGGTGTGTCAAAAGGCATGCTGGGTAATTTAATCATGGTGCCACATTCATAGCCAGGAAGCTGGTGGGTATGGCCCGGATGTGTGAGAGGTCATGCGCCTGGAGGGTCATCCATCTTGGCAATGCCTCTCTGCCCTGGGCCCACTTCCTTCCATCCTGCTATCTTGTCCGTTGGAAAGTTATCCTTGCTTTTTTTTTGGCCAGTGCCAGGTGGTCTCTGATGGTGACGCCATGCCACACAGCGAAGGAATGGATTGCAAGGGAGTCCTGCCTTCATCATGGCCTGGCTCATCCCCAAGGGCAGAGACCTGGAGTCAGATCTAACCCCTGCCCTTGCTTTTCCTGCCAGGGCTCTGCCCTGGCCTTTCCTGCCAGGGCTTCCAGTTACCCAGCCCCCCAGTCACTGTGGGGAGACCACAGTGGGCACAGCTGCCATCCTGGGGCCCCTTCCCCACCATTTCTGGGGCTCAGAGCCAAATACAACTAATGCCAAGGATTCAATTCCTGAAATGCAGTGCATAACCTCAGTGTTCTGACGGTGACAACGGAAGCCAGCCCTTGGGGCTTCAGAAGAAGGAAGCAGGCATTTGTCTGGCAGGCAGCGAGGCCAGCCCGTGGATGGGGAGTGGGGCACCAGATTCAGTTCTCCAGTGAGGACACTTGAGCTCAGACAGGAGCTGAGGCGGATGGGGACTAGAGTTGTAGGGAGTGCAGTCTCTGGGCAGAGACTGTCCTCAGAGCTGTGAGGTCAGAGATGAGGGCAGACACAGGCCCTACCCTCAGAAAGCCCCAGTCTGATGGAGGAGGCACAGCCTTGTCCTGGGGGAAATCCTAGTCTTTCTTATTTATTTTTTATTTTTATATTTTTGAGATGGAGTTTTGTTCTGTCGCCCAGGCTAGAGTGCAGTGGCGCCATCTCTGCTCACTGCAGCCTCCATCTCCCGGGTTCAAATGGTTGTCGTGCCTCACCCTCCCGAGTAGCTGGGACTACAGGCACACACCACCATGGCCAGCTAATTTTTGTATTTCTAGTAGAGACAGGGTTTTGCCATGTTGGCCAGGCTAGTCTCGAACTCTGGTCTTGAACTCCTGACCTCAGGTGATCCGCCTGCTTCGGCCTCCCAAATTGCTGGGATTACAGGCATGAGCCACCATGCCTGGCCTGGAAATACTAATCTGACTGAGTCTCCATTCAGTTCTAGAGCAGTGCTGTCCAATAGAAGTTTCTGCGATGACGGAAACGTTCTAGATTCGCAGTGTTCAATGTGGCAGTACTAGCTACATGGGGTTTTGAGCACCTGAAACTTCCCTACTGCAACTGAAGAACTTCGTCTTTCATTGTATTTAATTGTAATTCAAATTTGCATAGTCACACGTGGCTGGTGGCCACCACTGAGGCCAGCACAATCCGATACAGTCATTAACACAGTTGTTGTCTCTTCTTAACAAAGAGAGGGCAGGCCCCACGCTCACAACTTCCCGTGTGCTAGTCTCTAGGTAGAATTTAACAACGTTCCTTGTTTTTATGCTATTTATGGTTTTTATGGTTCCCATCTATTTACAGGAAATGATACTCATTTTCCATTTATAAGAGCATTAGTATCCTTGAATTAGTTTTTTAAAGGTGCTTTTAGATATAGTAAAATATTAAGGAAATAATAGGACAAGATATAGAGTTGTGACCAAAATCATGACTGCAGTTAGCAAAGGACCAACATTTGCTTTATGCCACTGAGAGATAAAATTCAAGTGCTTCTGCCAAGCCCCGGGCCCCAGTGCCCTCCCATGCTTCAGCTGATCCCTGGGTCCTGCAAGTCACCTGCAGCTTTCTAGACTCACCATGGAGTTCTGGGTCTAATTCCTTCCTGTCTCCTTGTCCCTCCCACTCCTTATTCTGCAGGGATCTGGGGAACTCCGTGGATCCAGAGAGATGCCCAGACCGAAGCCCAGACTGGGGAAGGCCAAGCAGGGCCCACAGATCTCTCTTGTCCGAAAGGATCTGGCATGATCCTCTTGGATGTTGGAGGTTGCCATAACAACCCTCTGGACACTGAGTGGGGAGGGCAGAGCTCTGTCTCACTGCCCACCGAGATCCAGAGAGATCTCAAGAGAACAGAACTGCAGTTTGTTTGTGACTTCAACCCCTAAAAAAGAGCATCCACTACCCGCCTTGGCCAAGCTCAGGGGAAGAGACCCCCATTTTAGAAACCTCTGTGCCAGCCTTCATAGGTCTGTGAAGCAGGGACTATTGACTCTTTTACAAATAGGTATACCGAGGCTCAGAGAGGTTCAGTCACTTGGATGGAGGACACACAGCCAGTGAGCCCTGGAGAGGGATTGGCGGGAAGGGACAGATTGGGAAGGAGTTTGAGGGTCCTCTGGGACAGCCCCGGTCTAATCAGGAATCCTGGTCTCGGCAGCCTGAGACCTGGCTTGTGGGCTCTGTCTTTCCCTAGCTGTGTGGTCTTGGACAAGTCGCTCCCCTTCTCAGGACCTTGGTTTTCTCCGCTATAAAAATGAAGATAACAATACACCCTTGTATGCCTCCCTCCCTGGATGGCTTTGAGAATGGAATGAGATAAAGATGATGGGGCCTGGTGTGGTGGCTCATGTCTATAATCCCAGCACTTTGGGAGGCTGAGGCGGGTGGATCACCTGAGGTCAGGAGTTCAAGACCACCCTGGGCAACATGGTGAAACCCCGTCTCTACTAAAAATACAAAAATTAGCTGGGCATGGTGGTATGCGCCTGTAATCCCAGCTACTTGAGAGGCTGAGGCAGGAGAATCACTTCTATCTGGGAGGTGGAGGTTGCAGTGAGCTGAGATCACGCCACTGCATGTCCCCCAGGGCAACAGAGCAAGACTCTGTCTCAAAAAATAATAATAATAATAATAAAATAAAATAAAGATGATAGGAGTAATTTGCAACTTCAAGGACCCATGAAGGCTATTACTATTGTTGATGATGAGGACAATGACGGTGGTGATGACAGAAAAGGAAACGGGGCGGGGAGTACAGGGTCAAAGCAGTGTGAGAAGACACAAAGAGCCCCAATGCCACCACATCAACCTCACTTCAGCTTCCTGCACCCCCACTCTCTTGGGGTGCCCTTCTCTCTCCCCACCCCTGGAAATCCTTTAGCCTCAGAGTTAAATTAATCAACAGGATTAGGTGGAATTGGCCACAGAGGCCCTGCTGGTTGGGGCTGAGTCTTCTGTGTACCAAAAGCAGGTACCTTGGTGAAGCCTGGGCAGCTGGTTCGAGGAGGGGGACGTGGGGGGAGTGAACATGGGAACGCATTCATTAAACGGCAGCCAGATTCGGGGTACGCAGTAGGGGAGCAGCCTCATGGCCAGCCTGGGCTCCTGCCCTCGCACTATCAAACAGCTAAGGAATGGGATGGTCCCAGGGGGTGCTGGTCTGGAGATTGCCCCAAAAGAGAAGGATACAGGGAGAGATGCTTTCTCTGAGTTCCTGGATCCTGTCTCTAGTCAGGGATGTGGAGCAGTCCATACTGAGCAAAGGAGAATTGCAGCTCCTACCTGAGAGACCTCCCAATCTCATGGGGGAGAAACAGCCTCTGTTTTAGGAAGCTCCCAGTCAGATGGAGGAGGTATCACCTTGTCCTGGGGATTTTCCAGTCCAGTGGAGGAAACACTGCCAGATGAACCGGGGCACAGGACAGACGTAAAACATCAAGGCAGCTTGTGGCTCGTTAAAGCAGCAGAGCCTTAGGACAGAATGAGGGGCGGAAGGTGCTGGGAGCCATTTGCGTTGTCAAAGCTTTGGGGTGGGCAGGAGCAAGTTGGCCGGGCAAAGTCCGGCCCAGGCTGAGGTGATGGTGGTGATGGTGATGGTGATGGTGATGGTGATGGTGATGGATGGAAGGTTGCTGGGGGCAGCTCCCATCATCTCTCCCCCAGCCTTTGCCTCTCCCTTCAAAGCCTCCTTTCACAGCTACTGACCTCTGGAAGCCATCACTGACTGCCAGCATGTGCCAGGAAGCCTCAGCCACGCCAGCAAGGCCTCAACCACTATGGGCCTTGCCCATGTGTCCCCACTCACCTTGCCATCCCATACAGTTCCCTGTCCAGCCACTCATGGCTTCTGTGAGTGAGTGAGCCAGGTGGGTCTTGCTTTGACGCCTTTGAACATGAGCTTCCTCTGCTCAGAGTGCCTTCCCTCTTCCTGGGAGTGCTCACCCAGCACCATCCAGCTCTTGGGCCACCTCCCCCAGCAAGGCTTCCTGGGCCCATCCAAGGTGATTTCAGTTCCCTTTCTTGGCGTTCTCAAAGCTCATCAGGAGACACTGAACTAGACTGTTTATGGGTCTGTGGGTCTCACTGGTCTGGGAGATCCTTGAGTGCGGCAGGGACTATGCCTAGGACACAGCATGTGCTCAATAAAGGCCTCTTGAATGAATAGAGCTTGACAGAGCTTGGCAAAGTCTCTCTTAAACTCTGACACACTGCAGCAGTCACCCCCCGAACTTGCACACAACACTCTACAGTTTACAAGCCCTTTTGTTGTCCCAACAGTTTCTCCCAATAAAGGGAGGGGAAGGCAGGCAGTGTTATCCCCATTCTACAGATGTTCAGTGGAGTCTCAGGGCAGTGGGGCTGCAAAGTAAACCCAGGACTCAGGACTCCCAGCCCGGAGAAGGCCAATATGGCTACAGCAAGTTCCCGGGTGATGGAAAATTCCATTTCTGGTCCTGAAAACCAACGTGGCTTCTCTTCCATCCCCAACCTTTCCCTCCTCCCTCTTTTGCCAGAGGAAAAGCCTTGAAATAAGGTGGCCACAATCTCTGAATCTACCCAGCTCACAGAGGACCAGGAGCTGACCCATTTCTAAATCACCCATCCCGGATCAGTGGAGGCCGGCAGTGGCCCTGAGGTTTGGGGTCCTTCTCTCAGCCTCCCTCACACCCTCCGGAAACCCTCCCACCCCTGCTTCTGCGCTCCCCTCTCCCGCAGCCTCCCAACCCAGCTTTTCTTACAGTTTAACATAGGCCCCGGTGTTGAGCTGCGGCAGAGAAACGAATCACATAATAGTTGATATGCGTTTTAATCAAGTAATTCGGGCAGAGCTGAGAGCTGGCGAGTGTGGGCCAGGCGTCTCTGAATACCAAACAGGCCTGGGCGCAGGTCTCAGAAAATGGAAAAGTCATTTACAGCTCAGCTGGGGGCCCGGCAAGCCGGGACCATGGCAAGGGCCCTCCCTGCTCCTCCGAGGGAACTGCTCAGCTGTAACCAGCGCACGGTGTACGGGGCTCGGGCGTGGCTGCGGGAGTCAGATTGCACACAAGGACAGGGCGACGGAGGAGCAGACTGAGAGGCAGGGGCTTGGAATCCAAGTTAAACCTCCTTGGGGGCCCAGGAGAGGATGAAGCGTCCCATTACAGTCCACCTCTTCTGCTCACACTCCTTTTGGGAGCTCATCTCAGCATTGGGCACCATACCCAGCCAGCACTGTCCTTCATCCCCTCCTCTCCCTTCACGCCTCTCATGCAGCTGGCCCAGCACTGAGGCCAGGAGATCCCGAGTCCCTGTTAGCTTGGAACCTGTCCTGGCATCCGCCCACCCCATCTCTTCCTGGACTCCAGCCACCACCTTCTTCCCCAGCAATGGCAGGGCTTTGCAAAGGCTGTGCCCTCTGCCCATGCCCTGTCCCACCCTCCTCATGGCCTGGTGAACCCCTGCAGTTTGCAGCGGGTCAGGCCAGGAAGAGCGGGCACTGAGGAGCACAGACTCCGGGCTCAGTCTGGCTGGATTCTGTGGCCCCCACATGTGAAAACACAGATAATAACAGAGAAACCCTCGACCCTCCCTCAGCACAATCACAGACGTGCTATGTATTCTGTTTTGTCATCTGTCCCCAGCACCCATCCACCACCCACCGCACACTCCACAAGGATGGGTATTATTATTATTATTATTTTTGAGACAGTCTCCCTGTGTTGCCCACACTTGAGTGCGGTGGCTTGATCTCAGCTCACTGCAACATCCGCCTCCCAGGCTCAAGTGATTCTCATGCCTTAGCCTCCCGAGTAGCTGGGATTAGAGGCACCGACCACCGTGCCGGACTAATTTTTGTATTTTTAGCAGAGACAAGGTTTTGCCATTTTGGCCAGGCTGGTCTCAAACTCCTGACCTCAGATGATCCATCCGCCTCAGCCTCCCACAGTGCTGGGATTACAGGCATGAGCCACCGCACCCGGCCAATGGGCATTCTTGACTGTCCTTTGGATAGTCAAGAGCATTGACTGTCCAAATTCATTCAAATTCATTGATTCGTTGCCGAATCTCCAATGCTCAGCACAAAGTGGACACTCAAATATTTGTTGCATGAATGAATGGATGATAAAATGACTTGGTATCTTACGGCACATAAAGTAGTGCTGGGTTGGTAACAACTGAATGTTCAAAGAAAACGAAATTTAGAAAAACAACAGTGCCGGGGACAGGTAAGCCTTCCTCGGTGCTCTGGGTCTAAGGTATCCATAGCTGCATTCTCATTGCTGAGACAGAGCAAAACTATCCACGCTTGATTCATTTCAAATGTGTCTGTGTGCTCACTCAGTCCCAGTATCTAGGAGTTCAAAGGTGAAATCAACCCAGCCCTACTCTGGGGGTGCAGGGGAGATGGGTGGAGGGGAGGTCAGGTCCTGGATAGAGCCACTGAGTCAACCGCCTGACCAGTTGGCCCTGCTCTGGTTTCTGGCTGTAGCTGACCACTTTCCTGACCCCCATCCACTTCCCCCACACAGGTACTCCCCTGTCCTGGTGAGCAGGGACCCCAGCCAGGTGCCCTGCCCCACCCAGGCAGCTGGGCAGCTGTGCAGGGACAGGTGGAGAAGGGGATTGAGTGAGGGTACAGGAGCAGGGAGGGGGCTCTGCATATTCCCCTTGAGACCAGTCCTTGAAAGATGGGTTCTCCATCAACTCCCTAGGTCCTGCCTACCCCGCCCCCACAGCCCGGCAGCACCTCCTCTCTCCCCTTCCCAGGCAGACCCAGGAGGGGCCGAGAATGTCTTAAGGCCACAGCACATCTGGGGAGTCCATTATCTCCAGCCCTTGGACCAAGGCTAAACCACCAAGTTGCTGGCCCCAGAGGAGGGGGTGGCAGCTCAGAGTCTCAGGGACTTGCCCAGGGCCACTGCCAGAAGGTGGCAGGGTGGGATTCTAATGTGGGGTTTTCTAGGGCTGGAGTCCCGCCCACTTCAGGCTGCTCCTCCCATCCCCAGTTCTCCACTGGGAAGAAGACAGGGTGAGCTGGCATTGATCCAGGGAGAACACTTCTTGCTTCTTCTCGAAGGAGATTCTAGAAAGGGGGCAACATGGCTCCTCCCCCTCCATGGGGCCCAACAGCTGGCAAAGGGCAAGACTCCTCCATGCTGATGTCTGAAGGGTCCCACCGGCCCCTAACCAGAACCTAGGCCTCAGGCTCCATGGCCAGGTCCTCTGGCTGCCCCAGAGGCCTCCTGGGGGCTAGGAAGCATTGGCAATGTGAGGATCCAAATATGCTCTGTCTGACTCCAAATCCTACACTCTCTCCCAGTGACTGAGAGACCCCCACAGGTTCAATTTCACTCTCCCAACTCAAGGAGAGGAGGGAGGGAGGAGAGTGTCTTTAGGAAAGCCAGAGTTGGACTCTCACCTTGTTCACAAAACTTGACAAAACTTTTTCTCCAGGGAGCTCCCATCGAACCCCACCAGGCCGGATTTTAAAATTCTAAGCCCGGCCGGACATAGTGGCCCACACCTGTAATCCCAGCACTTTGGGAGGCCAAGGTGGGTGGATCATCTGAGGTCAGGAGTTCGAGACCAGCCTGACCAACATGGTGAAACCCGTCTCTACTAAAAATACAAAATTAGCCAGACATGTTGGTGCATGCCTGTAATCCCAGCTGAGGCAGAAGAATCACTTGAACCCGTGAGGCAGAGGTTGCAGTAAGCTGAGATTGCACCATTGCACTCCAGCCTGGGCAACAAGAATGAAACGCCGTATCAAAAAATAAAAATAAAAATAAAATAAAATAAAATAAAATAAAATAAAATAAAATAAAATAAAATAAAATAAAATAAATTCTAAGCCCTAGGTAGATGATTTGCACCACAAAATCTGATGCAAGGGGAAACTGCAGTGGGGCATTCTCTGATCCTGGCTCTCTGCTAGCAGCATGGTACTGTCCTTAGACACTAGAGGGCACTGTGTATACATTCCTGCCAGGAAAGAGCCTTTCTAGGAAGAAGGAAGTAGTACTGCTGGAAATGGTACTGTGTAGTTGCATGGACAGAATTCAGAGCCCTGTATTCTCGTGGCAGACCCAGAGCTCTTTCTTCTGCGCCAAGCTGTGAACCAAGCACAAAGCACATATGGGAGATGAAGCAAGAGGTTGAAGTTGAAGATATCATGAGGACCCTTCTAACTTGGTCTCTTTAACATGCTGGTGTCCTGTGCAGCTAATATGGAGTTTTGGAAGGGGTGGCAGCTGTGAATTAGTGAGGAGGATGAGGTGGGACATTTTAAGAGGGCACCTTGGGGGCAGGGGCAGGCCCACTCTATGAGGAGCTCAGCTCAAAATCTTTTTTTTTTTTTTTTTTTTTTTTTTTACGGAGTTTTGCTCTTGTTGCCCAGGCTGGAGTGCAATGGTACAATCTCAGCTCACCGCAACCTCCGCCTCCCAGGTTCAAGCGATTCTCCTGCCTCAGCCTTCCGAGTAGCTGGGATTACAGGCATGTGCCACCATGCCTGGCTAACTTTGTATTTTTAGTAGAGAGTGGGTTTCTCCATGTTGGTCAGGCTGGTCTTGAACTCCTGAGCTCAGGTGATCTGCCCACCTTAGCCTCCCAAAGCCTCCCAAAGTGCTGGGATTACAGGCGTGAGCCACCGCGCCCGGCTCAAAATCTTTTACACTCTTCCTGTGACTTTAAGTCCATCTTGAAATTACTCACTAGTTCTCATTCACTTCTCTCATGGGTTATTTCAATCATTTACTCATCCAAGTTATTTAAGCAGCAGGGAGAGCAACGATTGTGCTGGGCAGAGCAGAGGTCACTATGCTGCTCCTGAAGGGCTTGCCCGCTTGGTCCTATCTTACAAAGTGTGGTGGAGGTAGCAAGGGCTGGCACTGGGGGAGAGGTGAGAAGAGTAGAGGCAGTGAGGTCAGACGGACCTGGGTTTGAGTTCGGAATCTGCCTCCTACCAGCCATAACTCCTGGGTATGTTTAAGTCCTGAGCCTCGTTCTTGTTATTTCTAAATGGTGAGAGTGATGGGAGACAGAAAGGAGGAGGGGAGGTGAGGAAAACTAGATGGAGGCTGAGCTCCCAGCCTTGTGTGTGACAGGCGCTCCTGGGCTGGCCAGCCTGCCAGCCACCAATCCCAGACCCAGTCTCTCCTCTCCTTCAGAACAGAAGCCTGGCAGGTGGGGAGTTGGCACTCTGGGCTCATCCATGACCTGCTGTGTGACCCTGAGCATGTCACTTGTCACTTGTCCTCTTGGAATCTCTATTTGCTTATCCATCCCCCTGGGAATAAGAGCTGCCATCCTGCCTATTCCCTAGGGTACTGATGCAGCTCCAGGGGTGGGAACCTTGAGAAATACACAGACAGAGGTACCCTTGATACAACTGTCCCAGCCCCCCACTAACCTAGGAAAGTAACTTCATCCCTCTGGGCCTCAATTTCCTCATCTGTAAAATGAGGACAAGAATAGTACCAACCCCACAGAGTTGTCATGCACAAAGATGAAAGGAATTACTGCAAGGCAAGAACAGTTCCAGGTACTCAGTAAGCACCCAATCCATGTTAGCGATTATTATTGCTGCTATTGTTATTATTGGCCCCTCCATGTAGTGTGGACCTATTTTACTTCTGTATCCCTCAGAGGCAAGCACAGTTGCCTGGCGCAAAACACAAAGGCAAGGAATGAATGCATGGATGAATGAATGAACAAATGCCTGAATGAATGAACAACTGACTGAATGAATGAACATGCCTTTGTCATCCTTTCCTTATTCTTCCACGGTGGAGGCTTTGCAGATCCCCAAGCCATGCCTACAGACCCCACGTCCATCCCATCCCATCCTTTTCCCAGAAATCTGTCCTGGATGCAAAACGTACCTACAGAGAAGAGGGGGCCAGGTGGTCTCAGGTAAGTGATTCAGCTGTAGCATAAATGCTAGAGGCACTAAGGGGCCAGAGGAAGACAGACGCCCAGGAAGCTGGAGCAGGGGAGGCCTAAGGAGAGGTCTCAAAATCAGCAGAGGGGAAAGAGCAGCAGCTGGGGCTCCAGTGGCCAGATGAAGCTGCCCGGCATGGAAAGGAAAAGGCAGCCTGACCACCCATCCGCGCCCCACAAAGCGGCTGTGAAAGGACCATATGCCTGAGAGGCCAAGCCTGCGGGACCCTCCTTCTCCCCCTCCCCACGCCCTCACCCCTCCTCAGTGCTGGAGCCCTGGGAGACACAGGGGCTGTGTCCAGTTGGAAAGTTGTTTGGAGGTGGAGATGGAAAATGGCTTTGGGCCTCGTCCCTCTGTCCATGTAACTCCCTGCTTCCGGGCTCAGCCATGAAGAAGGACTTAAACCTGGGGCTCACTCTACCCTGAAGATGGGGCTCTGTGAACCCATGCAGCATCCCCCAGTGGGGCTGGGTGTGAAGGCCACAGAGAAGAAGCGTTCAAACCGCTGCTGGTGTGCTTTGACCTTACGAAGCACCTTTCCTGTAGCAAATCACAACACCTCACTACAATGCTCATCAGTATTTCTATTAGCCCCATTTTACAGGTGTGAAAACTGAGGCTCAAAGGGGTTAAGTAACTCAATGGCAGAGTGACCGTGACGGCCAGGCAGCCAGTCCCAGAGCCCTCTTAACCATCGCGATGGGCACTTCTGAGCGTGCCATGCCAGGTCTCCTGCACAGGCTCAAACATGCCCACCCTGCAGAGCCACTTCCAGCCTCCATACCGACTTGTGCCCTGGGATGATGGCTTCAAATTAGTTCCTGTTGTCTAACCCCACCATCCTCCCAATCTAGACATGAAGGCCACATAATCCATGAAGCCCTCCAGGACTACCACATCCAGAGAACTCTGCTTGAATCCCTGTGGCACTTGCTGCCTGTGCCATCTTCTCAGCCCTTGGTATCAACTCCTGCTGGAGACTAATCATTAGCTTTTAGTGGATATGTGTGGAAAGTCCATCTCCCCATCAAACTGAGGACAGCTCAGGGTAGAGATGGTGCCTTTACAATAAGACAGGGAGTTCCTCGAGGATGGAAACTCTATTTTTTCTTATATCGGGCATTACTCGAGGGCAGGGTAACTAAGAACAGCTCTGTAGTTCCTATCATTCTAGAACACTTTTTTTTTTATTTTTGAGATAGAGTTTTGCTCTTGTTGTCCAAGCTGGAGTGCAATGGCACAATCTCGGCTCACTGCAACCTCCGCCTCCTGGGTTCAAGCGATTCTCCTGTCTCAGCCTCTTGAGTAGGCATGCACCACCATGCTCAGCTAATTTTGTATTTTTAGTAGAAACAGGGTTTCTCCATGTTGGTCAGGCTTGTCACGAATTCCCAACCTCAGGTAATCCACCTGCTTCGGCCTCCCAAAGTGCTGGGATTACAGGCGTGAGCCACTGCGCCCGGCTAAATGCTTCTTTTCTTTCTTTCTTTTCTTTTTCTTTTTTTTTTTTTTTCAGACGGAGTCTCGCTCTGTCACCCAGGCTGGAGTGCAGTGGCACGATCTTGGCTCAGTGTAACCTCCACCTCCTGGGTTGAAGCATTTCTCCTGCCTCAGCCTCCGGAGTAGCTGGGACTACAGGAGAATGCCACCACGCCCGGCTAATTTTTGTATGCTTAGTAGAGACAGGGTTGCACCATATTGGTCAGGCTGGTCTTGAACTCCTGACTTTGTGATCTGCCCACCTCAGCCTCCCAAAGTGCTGAGATTACAGCCGTGAGCCACTGCGCCTGGCTAGAATGCTTTTAATCACAGTCTAAAGGAACTGCAGCCATCAGTTAAATAAAGAAGCCACGGACCCTCATCATTACACACACAGCAAGGAGAACTGATTAAGCTTCCCCAGAGTCACAGCTTCTCTCCCAGGACTCTGTGCCAGTTTCTTTTCCCTCCAGAGTTATTTCTATGCTTCCAGCTTCCCGTCTATCCCCACATTTCTATCTTCCTTCAAATAGGCCTCCCAGGAAAACTCTGAAACCTAACATTCTGTGCACCTAACAAGGTGTACAGAGAAGCATGTGCCCAACAGGTGTTCACCAAGCACCCACTGGTGCCTCACAAACCACACTAACAAAAGCTACAGCAGTGAATGTTCATTGCAACAGGAACTAGGGGTCTCAGGATCATGCCACCATGAAAGAGACCCACTCTCCGAAAGATGGGTCTGCTGTGCGCCGGTCCTGGAGTGCTGATGAGAAAGTCAAGCAGGATCACTGGAAACATAAGCCTGACACCCCCACCACTGGGGCAGTTGCTGTAATGGAGGCCATGCCGCCCCCCTTAGAAACAAGATCTCCACCTGAGAAGCCCACCCTATGAAACAGACTTCACCCTCTGGAGACACCAACACCAAAGCCATCAACTTGGTTATTTCCCCTGCTACTGCCTCCAGGAATGCCAGATTAAAACACGAGTTGTCAGGGCGGAAGTGTCCCCCAAATCACCTACAGTCAGCTAGCATGCCCCATTTAGATGAGAGGACTCTTCACCTTGCCCAGAGGGGCATCCCCCAGGAGCCCGTGGGCTGGCTGTAAAGACGAGGGGGCTTGGGGTTGAAACCCTGAAGTTTGTCCCTGACTTCACCTCTAAACCCCTCTCTGAGCTGCATTTTCCCTACCCCTAAAACCAAGGGGTCTTCCTGGATCTCAAAGAACAGCCCCCTGAGAAGGGGTCTGGGCTGTATCTGATGGATAAACTCCACCTTCAGGGTTCAGGACAGTGCCAGGCATACAGCGGGGCTGGCTCTCAACAATGCCTGTTGCTGGAGAAAGGATCATTGACTGGTGGGGGTGGTGAGGAGTTTCAGAAGGGACTATGATCCTAAGTTGCGTGTGCAGCATGAGCTACAGGACACCCTGAGATCATCTGCTTCCTGTGGGGGAGGGGAAGGACCAATTTCATCACCCTCCCATTCTGCCTGGGGCCTGCCCTGCCTCCCAGGATCCCCCAATCCCCCTCTTTTCCTCTTAGGAGAAGGGGGTGGGGAAGACTTATCCTTCCTTTCCCCTCTCCTCCCCCAACTTCCCCTCCCCTCCCCTCCCCTCCCCCAGCCACTCATGGGCCTCTTGTGTCTCCGGCTGGTCGCTGGGCAGCGAGAGGCCTTTCATGGTGCATTCTCCCGCTGCCCCCCTCCCCACCCTCTCTCCCCAGCAACCCCAACCTGTCGTGCCCCCATCAATCTACTGCAACCCAGCCCTCTCCAGCTGGCCTGGATGGGCCGTTCCCAGGCAGAGCAGGTCCACAGTGGAAGGTGGTGGAAAAATGTGGACAAATTTCTGATTTGCAACACTCTGGGAAAGAGTTTATTGCCATTGTTTGAGGACGAATGTATAAATAAAGCAAGGCGAAGATGGCAGGGGGAGGCTGGTGAAAGGCAGAAAACGAGAAATTTTATGGCCATAAGGAGCGTACTCTAATGGTGATTTTTGAGGCACTGGACCATGGTAGTTACTTAGCCAAATGATTGCTGTGAAGCTGGGCGAGGTGGCTTATTTCTTAATTACTGTTACGTATTATGTCAGGCAGATGCCCCAACCCTGGAAAACTTGGTCCTGAGCGGACCCCGGCTTGGAGCCAGCTCCTGGTGCAGGGATGCTGGTGGGCAGATGGGAGGCTAAGTGAGGGCTGTCACCTGCCCTGATCAGGGGAGCGACCCTGGGGCCTGCTGCATCTCCCCGCTGCCGGGACTCCTGGCCCCCGAGACACCACCAAGAGAAGAAGTGAAAGAGAGACTCGAACTTAGAGCCATGCCTTCAAGATATGAATTCACTCAACACATCGGGGTCGAACACAGGTATGAGCCCCGTTCTGAGCTAGTTATGAGAGCTGCGACAGAAAATGAGACTTCAAAAGCTGTTTACAAAAAGCAGCCGGGGGCTCATTTCGGCTTCCTGGCTAAGAGTCTCTGCAAAGCTGTTCAGAGAGCAGGACAGCAGGTGGGGTTGGGGGGACAGCCTGAGAAGGGGTCCTGGGCTGTATCTGATGTATTAATTACCCCACCTCCAGAGCCCAGGACAGCACCGGCATGCAATTGGGCTGGGGAGAGGAGAGATGCCCTGACATGCTATGTCACCTTGGCCAGGTAGGTGGTCTCTCTGAGCCTCTGTTCCTTCACCCATAAAAACTGGGTAGGCTGGGTGGGGCTAAATATTCCCTTTTTGGTTCTAACATCTTAAGATTCTGTGATTCTAAGATGCTGTGGTTCTGTTGCTGTCAGAGTTGGTGAGGTTGATTTTTCCAAGGCGATCGGCACGTGCCTATTGGACACTTTCGGCTTTTTTTCATGGTGGGCGTGTGTCAGGTAAGGCAGCCACAGAGGAAAGAAGGGGGCTGCTGAGGGTCCACTATGTCCCAGGAAGTCATCGTGCACTACATCCTTTCATAGAACCCTCACAATCATCTCGTGGGAAGAGGACTCTTTCAAACACTCAAAAAGAGGTGCAGACTTGCTCAGATGCTAAGCAGCAAAGTCTCCATCCAAACCCAGGTGGGGCAGACACCGAAGCCAATGAATGCATTTTAAGCAAAGCAAGCCACCTCCCCAACATCTTCTAGACCAGCTGTCAAGTGTTAGCAGCATCAGAATCACCTAGAGGGCCTCTGGAAACACAGGTTGTTGGGCCCCATGAGGGAGCCTAGGAAGTCTCATTCCCAGCAAGTTCCCAGATGATGCTGCCACTGCTGTTGGTGGGGGTGGTTCACAATTTGAGAACCACTGTTCTATAGAAATGCAGAGAAAACCAGCATCAGCAAATAAACAGGACCACGCTGCTCTGTGAAAGGGAGCAAGAGCCTGGGGAGAAACACACAACCCCTCTCACCCATCAGCACAGTGGAAAAAGGGGGACAGACAGCGGTGCCATGCCCTAGCCCCTCGTGGCTCCAAAGCCCTGGATCTTTTTCACATGGGAAGGGTGGAGACGATGCCAAGGGGGCCAGCTTGGAGGAGGAACTTCTTTCTCTGTGCCTGCTCCTGCAACTTGCCATGGTGGCTGTGCCATCAGATTCTTGACAGACCACAGCCTGGAAGCCTGCCTCCCTGCCTGCTCCGGGCTCTGAACTCACCTCTTTTCACCTCTTCTTCTCCACCCTGGCTCTTTCCCTAAGTCCCGTTTCTCCTCACCATCTTTTCCTTTGTGTTCAGCAATCAGGTGTGTCACTGGTGTTTGCAAGGAGAAAGAGCCGTCATAGTATCAGGAGAGTGGCCTTTAAAAGACTGAAGTCAGGAACCACACCGGACACCTACCTCCTCCATGAGCTGTCTTCCAGCCTCCCCTCTTGAATTATTTGGAGGAACCCTGTTTCCGCTCCAAGAAGATAAGGATTTTATCTGTTTTATTCATTGCTTTATCCTCAATGCCCAGAAGAGGGCCTGGCCCATGGTAATTGCTCAACAGACATTTGTTGAAGGAGTCAAAGAATTGCGTCCTCCTATATGGCCAGATCTGTGCAATAAGGTGCAATGTTCCAAATAGTTTGCTCTTCAAGCCAACGTGATTGTTGGTGAGTGTGTTAGGATTGTTTTGTACAATAATTTCATTAGAGATGTATTTATGCAACACCAGACACCTGGCCCCACGCTGGAAGCCCCAGCTAGCCAGCTGAACAGTTCCAAGAGGTCGAGGACTGACACTCTAAACCAACACACAGATATTCCGTCGAATTCCCCCTTCTGCTTCCAGATGTCTCAGCTGCTCAGAGGGCCCCCAAATGCAAATGCAGTGTCTTCATTATGGCTCCAAAATAACCTCCCTTGCCCGTGGAATCCCTCATCCACCCTGGGGTTTGAGTATCTCACTGCAAAGGGTCGGACATCTTTGGAATGGGTTCCTGAAGGAGCCACTTTTTAAAGGAGTTAAAATCCAATTTGATCCTGCTGTTGACGCCTTTTAAAAGTTTGATGTGTTTTAGATAAAAACTTTTTTTTGATCAATAAAAATAAAATCTGTTACTCGCACCCTGGGACAATTATTGCTCTGAGCCCAGTTTACTGAATCTTGATCAAATAAACAATGTTATTTTCCAAAAATGTGGCCAACCATAGGTTAGTTACATTAAACTAGCAGGGGGTGGTACAATCTGAAAACACACTGGTTCTGACAGGGCACGAAGTCATGCTTCTAGATATTTGGGAGTGGACAAAAATGTGTTCACTTAAGGAGCTGACCGTGTGGGATTGGGCTTCTTAGTTCTGAAGAGCATGTGGTCTTCTCCATGGGGATAAAACAGTGGTAACGGGTGTCTATGACGCTCTTGCCTTATGCCAGGTACTAAGCTTTGCATGCGTAATTGTCATCATTCCAAGCGCTCAGAGATGGTAGGCATCAATATTAAACCAGTCCTAAAGAAGAGACTCTGAGAGGGGCAGTGATTTATCCAAGGTCACACAGCTATATGTGGCTGGGTCAGGACTTGAACCCAGGCCCATCGGGAGTCGGAACCCACGCTACAGACCCCTTGCCACTCCAACTCCCTTTCACTAAGGGAGGGCAGTGAGGAGGCCTTGGAAATTGCAGCTCTGCATGTGCCAGTGCTGCTGCATCCACAATCTTTTACCTCCTCTTCCCCGCATCAGCGCCGTGCTGTGCTTGCTCTAAATAGCCCCGATAGAGGCTTCATAAAATACCAGTGCTCTGGCCAGATGCAGTGGCTCACTCCTGTCATCCCAGCATTTTCGGAGGCTGAGGCAGGCAGATCACCTGAGGTCAGTTCAAGACTAGCCTGGCCAACCTGATGAAACCCCCCTCTCTACCAAAACTACAAAAATTAGCCGGGCGTGGTAGTACATGCTTATAATCCCAGCTACTCGGGAGGCTGAGGCAGGAGAATTGCTTAAACATGGGAGGCGGAGGTTGCAGTGAGCCCAGATCTCGCCATTGCACTCCAGCCTGGGCGACAGAGCGAGCGAGACTTAGTCTCACAAAAAAAAAAAAAAAAAAAAACACAGTGCTCTCCAGTCTAGGGCCGCATTTGGCAGGAGGGGACACTGCATCTGAGACAGGGATGCATATCCTGGGAAGATGCTGCACCTCGTGTTTCCTGAAATTGACATGGAAGGACACACACCTCCTGCCAGCCATGGTTCTGCTGGGTGGGTGCATGGCGCACCCTTACAATCCTGAGGACATTTATTTCCTGTTACATGTTTCTAAACAAAAAAAAGTTGATATTTTATTATAAGAATCTTATGTATTCTGTAAGAGATGGGGGAAGGGGATGGCTTGGTGGTCTCAGAGGCTAAGCTAGATCTGTAATACCAGGATGCCAGGGGACCTGGTGGCTAGTTTCAGAGGGGCAGTGGTGAAAGAACAGGAGATGGCAAAGGGAGATTCTGGAAAGTAAAGGGTATTATCAAGGGTGCGTGGGATGAGGAAGCTGTTAGGGTTGGACATCAGGCTGATCACCTTGGTGAATGAGGAGGGACAGAAACAAACACTCACAGAGTGCCCTGTATGTGCCATACTCTGCTCAGACATTCCCTCATTTCATCTTGACAACTACACCAACAGGAACTTTATTATTCCTATTTTATTTAGTTATTTATTTACTTTTTTTTTTTTAAGAGACAGGGTCTTGTTCTGTCACCCAGGCTGAAGTGCAGTGATGCAATTATAGCTCAGTGCAGCCTCTAACTCCTGGGCTTAAGTGATCCTCCTGCCTCGACCTCCCAAGCAGCTAGGACTACAGGTGGGCACCACCATGCCTGGCTCATTTTTTAATTTTTTTTTTTTTTTATAGAGTTAGGGTCTTGCTATGCCAGCTCCTGGCCTCGAGTGATCCTCCTGCTTCAGTCTCCCAAAGCACTGGGGTTACAGGTATGAACCACCAGGCCTGGCCTGTTCCCATTTTAAAATGAAGAAAGTGGAGGTACTGGTTATGCCACCAACCCAAAGATATAAGGCAGGGCCAAGATTCAGGATTTGAATCCAGGCCTGCTGAGCCCTCCGAGATGCTGGGAGGGAATATGTCTCTCCAAGGTCGTCCTCCCAGGGCCCAACCTCCACCATCACACCCTCCTCCCACCTGGCCCACTGGGGCCTCCCAGCCCCAACCTCTGGCTTTCTTCCCCTTCCAGGCTCGGCTGTCTGCCCTCTAATTAGATTCCCCTGGAAATAAGAGTGCATTGTACAGTTCTGCTAAAGGCAAACTGATTTTACCATTTCTTTTCTTTCCTCCTCTTTAATGACTCACAATGTCTCAAGGAGGTTTCACTTAGGGCCTGCACACTGGAAAATTATTCTGTCTCTCATGCACTCATTTTTCTGTTGAGGAAAATTGAAAACTGGATTCCTCCTCCATCACTGGCCCCCTCTCTTTGCCTACCTTGTGCCCAGAATATTCTAGTCCTCTCCCGAATTGCCTTCTAGGCCCCTCTCTACCTCAAAAGCAAGTCCTGCTGCCTTCCTGCCCCACAGCTTGGAAAGGCTGGCAGGCCCACTGAGCTAGGGAACAGTGAGGGGTCTTTCAAAAGTTTAGCGAGGAGGGAGGGAGCGAGGGGGTATGGGGTGCTGGGAGCCAAGCGGTTTGCCAGGCTTTGAGATGTGTTTGCCTCTAGAGAACTGGACCGGCTCCAGCACTTTTGAGGCAGGAGTTGGGTGAGTTCTGAGCCTTTATTGGTCCCATCAGGTTCCTGTTAAGTGTCAGAGAGTAAATTATAAACAAATGGGTCCCATTTCCATTTCTGAAGGCGTCTCCAGCCCTGCCTTTGCCCTCTACATGTAACGGTACATCCTCTTAAGTGGTGCCTGATGGGACAAGGAGCCAGGTGGAGGGACTCGCACGGGCCCGGGCTGTCGTCTCCATGGCCTGCAGCCCCTGCCGGCTGGCTGGCACCCTCTGACCAGGCCCTGGAGAGAGGCCAGCAAGGCTTCTGGTGTGACGGATGGACAGATAGACTGACGGACGGATGCCTGGGGCTGCAGGTCTGGGCCCTGAGTCAACAGGTTTCATGAATTAGGGGTTGAGAGCTCAGGCCCGAGGGAAAGCAAGAGAGTGGAGAGGTGCTTAGTGGAGAACAAGGCCTGGGCTAGGGCTGGTAGTGCCACAGCCGAGGAGGTGGGAGGGGCGCAGACAGGTCCCCTGGGCCTGGGCACTCAGGACTTTGGGAACTGAATGTCTTTGGCACCCTGGGCAGGGCAAACAAAAGCCACCTCCATCCTGCCCTGCAATGCTCCACTCCTTAGTTTCTGCTCTCATGATGGGGGTTGGAAACAGGAGACTCAGCCACACCCATGCAAATAATTGATTTTACAATAGTTGGGATCATTTGCTGGACACCAAGCTACAGGCACTTACTGTTTCATTTTAGCCTTGCCATGGCTCTACAAGGTAGGTACTATTTATAGGCAGGGGGTCTAAGATGCAGAGAAATCCTCATCAGTGATAATTTCAGCTCATAAAAAGTGCTTCCTATGTACCAGGAGCTGTTAAGGGCTCTTTTTTTTTTTTTTTTTTTTGAGATGGAGTCTCACTCTGTCACCCAGACTGGAGTGCAGTGGCACGATCTCGGCTCACTGCAACCTCTGCCTCCTGGGTTCAAATGATTCTCCTGCTTCAGCCTCCCGAGTAGCTGGCCTACAGGCACGTGCCACCACGCCCAGCTAATTTTTGTATTTTTAGTAGAGACGGGGTTTCACCATGTTGGCCAGACTGGTCTCGAACTCCTGACCTCGTGATCCACCTGCCTTGGCCTCCCTATTAAGGGCTTTTTGTGGATTAGCTCCTTTATCCATTACAACTATGTTGCAACCATTATCATTTCATTTGCAGATAAAGAAGCCAGAACTCAGAGAGGCCAAGCTACTGTCCACGTCTCAAAGCTTCTAAGCAGCAGAGTATGGGATTGTACTCAGGTCTGGGGCAGGCACCAGCCTTCCTTTTTGGGACAGCTTCCCCCAGTACGGACTTTGTCTCCAATGTCTGAGACATCCTCTCTGCATCAAAAGAGTCGGTTCAAGCTGGAAGCAACCTGAGAGATAACCTAGTCCCAACTCATTGTCTTCCAGATGCAAATACTGAGCCCAGAGAGGGAATGTGACTTGCTAGAGGTCACACGGCAGTCAGTGAGGGAGCTGGGACTGGTTCTCAGACACTCTAGGGGTTTATCAGTAAGGGGTGAAGGGGTGGCCAACAGCAGATCTCCTGAGGGTGCCACCATATGGTCACTGTTTTTGCTAAATCCTAAGGCCACTGACTCGGGACACCAGCTGTGGAGCTCTAAAGAGGCTATGGATTCCTCCTCTACTCCCCTGCTATGTGGAACCAGAGGCTGCCAGCAGAATATAGCTTTAGAGACTGAGGACTAGGTTTGAATCCTGGTGCCCTTGGGCTGCTCACTCTGCCTCTCTGAGCCCCAGCATCTAGCAGGCAGGAAGATGCTCCAGCAAAACAAGCACTTCAGAAAGCAGAAGGAAAGGAGAGACCCCTGTCCCTTGGCCCCCGATCCCTCCCAAGGGCCCCCAAGGAAAACCAACACAGGTGCTTAGCACATCCTCCTGGGCCCTGACATGTTGCAGGAGGAAACTTGAGGAAGCCAGGCCTGGCCTGGGAAGAACTCATCTATAGCCAAGGCGGCTGAGTCACTGTTTGCTGAAGGTTACCTAAGATGTGTCCAAACAAGAACCAGCCAGGGTCCTGCTCCAGGGCTTCCAGACACACCCGCCTGCCTCAAACCAGGACAAAGGCAGCCCTCCTCTTGGGAAATGTGGTGCCAATCCCAGGAATCATTCAGGTCCAGAGAAAAGTTTATGTGAATGCATGCAAAGTATCTGGTACCAGGTAGGCATTGCAAAAATGAGAGCTGTTATTATTATTGTTATGTCATTATTATGATTTTGAAACAGAGTCTCACTCTGTTGCCCAGGCTGCAGTGCAGTGGCAAGATCAAGGCTCACTGCAGCCCCGACCTCCCAGGCTCATGCCATCCTCCCACCTTAGCCTCCTGAGTAGCTGGGACCACAAGTACATGCCACCATGCCCAGCTAATTTTTTTTAAATTTTTTGTAAAGATGGGGTCTCACTATGTTGCTAGGGATTGTCTCTAACTCCTAACCTCAAGCAGTTTGCCTGCCTTGGCCTCCCAAAGTGCTGGGATTACAGGTGTGAGCCACCACACCTGGCCATTGTTATTATTTTTAACAAGCATTTACTGAGCACCTACTAGGTGCCAGGCACTGCTGCCTCACACTGCTTTCTCTTCTTGCCTGCCTTACAGCTCTGTGAGATGATCCTGACAGTGCCTGCTTTGTGTGGGCCAGGACGTTGAAATTCAGAGGGTGTGGCTCAGGCATCTAATGTGGCTGGAATATCCACAGCTCTGACTCTGGGCCAGAACTTCTCAGCCTGGGCTGCTCCTTGGAATCACTCAAGGAGCTTTAAAAAATACTGCCCCACCCCCTGTCCATTTTGATTTAATGGGGCTGTGGTGCATCTTGGGCACTGGGATTTGTGAAAGCTCCCTCATATGAATCTCGTGTGCAGCCAAGGCTGAGAACCCCTGCTCCTGGGCTCCTGGGTTTTGCCCGGAAGTTTCCCATATTTTACTCGGTTCCAGAGGCAGCATGGTTAGGAGACTGGGATGTAGAGGAAGCATCCTTTGATGGCTCAGCTGGGAGGCATGTAGCTAATTCCTCAGAGGAAAGGGAGGATTGGGAGCTGGGGAGAGGGCATGTGTCCTACTGGCCTTGGCTGGGGAATGAGGAAAGCAAAGATTGGACCTTCATCAACCCCCAGTGCTGGTTAGGCTAGCTTAGGGACAGGGATCCCACATAAGTAGGCAGGTGGGCCAGAGTTCCTGGGTGTGATGCAGGAAGGTCATTGACACCATATCCCTGACTCTACCACATTTGTAGAGTTCTTTTCAATGGCCCTCAAATTTCCACCCCCTTAAACCCAGGATTCCATGACTTGTAGATACTAACAGGTTTGTGTTTCCTTATGTCTAATCTCAATCCCTCCACCGCATCCTCCACTATCTACCTTCTGTGATTTGTCCTCCTGGCGCTCCGTAGTTTTATGAGAATCTGGCTTCTTGGGGAAAGATCCGCTTTTACCGGGCTGCTGCTCCGGGGTGTGTGCAGACCAAAGCTCCTTCCTTCCTTCCTTCCTTCCTTCCTTCCTTCCTTCCTTCCTTCCTTCCTTCCTTCCTTTCTCCTTCCTTCTCTCCTTCTTTTTTCCTTCCTTCCTTCCTTCCACTCTCTGAAGATGCGGGCAAAACCCAACCACTGTACAAACTTCTCCCCACCTCTTCCCTTCTTGTAAAATTTTCCACTTGGCCCAGAACTTCTGAGGGGGCAATTATTATTTTCCCCAATTTTATAGATGAGGAAAGGCACAGAGAGGTAAAGCAGCTTATCTGACAGCACACACAGCTAGGGTCAGGACTTGAACCTGACTCCTCAACTCAGCTGGTGAGCAAGGGAGAAGCTGTCTTTTGATCTGCAGCAGGAGGGAATGAAATCAGACCAAACGAAGAACTGTCCAAACTTGGTAGCCCTTAGCTCTAGAACCAGCTGCTATGGAGAAGCTACGGAGCGTCTCAGGGACCCTTCTCAATGACCCCAGAGGACCCCCACTCCCTCAGCCTATCCTGGAGCCAGGTCCCTGATGCCCCCACCACCAAGCAGTCTGAATTTTTCCCCAGGTGAGTCGAAGAGGAAATTCAATCCCACTTCCTTTTCTCTGAACTTGCCAAAAGTTTGTTTGCTCTGAGAATGCTGAGAGGCCCGAGGCCTTGACTTCCTCAGTTTCAAATAATTCACTTTCAAAGCCTGTCTCCAGGTGGAGCGCAGCCAAACAGCACCTGGGTGAAGGGTTGAACCCCGAGGACTTTGCCGGGCAATGGGGTGGTGTCAGGGCTCTGTGATTGGCTAGATGCCTCCCTCAGTCACCCTCCAGGCCCCATCAACCCTTTCCCCCACCCCAAAGCCTTTGCCCACAATCACTGGCTGGCATCACCTTTACTCAGATTGGGGGCTAAGAGGATCAAAGCTGACCGCAGGCCCTTAGCACCCCTGAAAATGTTGCTGGGCAGCTATTAGGAAGACTATGGCATTTGCAGGTATGTTCATCTGTGCCATCAGCCTTTCTGGGGCCTGTGGCAGGGACTATGCCACCTCCTTCCCTGACAACTTCTTTGGAGAGCCTATGAGGTCCCCACAGATCACAGCAAGTTCGGGGCCTCCCCTAGACCACAGCCAGGCCACTAAGTGCAAAGGGGTGGGGGACAGACCCAAGGTTTGGAGTTGGCCTTCAGCCCTGGTCTGCAGAGCTATTTTTTTCCCCTCTAAATTAAATGATGATTTTGAAACAGAATGAATTAGATGGGCACAGCCTGGGGAAAGGAGGTGCAAATGAACTACCACCTTTCTTTTATTTTTATTGAGATGCAGTCTTATTTTATTGAGACGGAGCTACGCTGCCCAGACTGGTTTCAAACTCCTGGGCCCAAGCGATCCTCCTGCCTCAGCCTCCTGAGGTGCTAGGATTACAGGCTGGAGCCACAATGCCCAGCCTCTTTCTTTTTTCTACAGGAAAACTTCACCATTTCTGCAGCTGAAATGCCACCCCAGCCGGGCATGGTGGCTCATGCCTGTAATCCCAGCACTTTGGGAGGCTGAAGCAGGCGGATCACCAGAGGTCAGGAGTTTGAGACCAGCCTGGACAACGTGGCGAAACTTTGTCTCTATTTAAAATACAAAAAAATCAGTCAGGCATGGTGGTGCACGCCTGTAGTCCCAGCTACTGGGGAGGCTGAGGCAGGAGAATCTCTTGAACATGGGAGGCAGAGTATGCAGTGAACCAAGATTATGCCATGTACTCCAGCCTGGGCAACAAAGCAAGACTCTGTTTCAAAAAAAAAAAAAAAAGGCTGGGCGCAGTGGCTCACGCCTGTAATCCCAGCACTTTGGGAGGGTGAGGCAGGTGGATCACGAGGTCAAGAGATGGAGACCATCCTGGCCAACATGGTAAGCCCCATCTCTACTAAACATACAAAAATTAGCTGGGTGTGGTGGCACGTGCCTATAGTCCCAGCTACTCGGGAAGCTGAGGCAGGAGAATTGCTTGAACTAGGGAGGTGGAGGTTGCGGTGAGCCGAGATCGTGCCACTGCACTCCAGCCTGGTGACAGAGTGAGACTCTGTCTCAAAAACAAAAGAGAAAGAAAAAGGAAAAAAAAGCAATGCCACCCGAGCCCGCTCATGCCATATCTCTCTAGTTCCAGGCACAAGCCCGCCTCATTGCTCACCTTCACAGGTTGGCTAGAGACCTGTGAAGGTCATGTGCCATAGGTGTGTTGTTAAGGCCATTGAGGTTGAGAGCTGGGACATCCTCCACCCCTCTCACTAGGCCCTGATTTAAGAAATAATAATAAGCTGCTAACCTTTACTGAGCACTTACTGTGCCCAGGCTCGCTGCTAAGCTGTGTGCACACATCACATCATCTAACCCACTCAACCACCCTGTAATGGAGCTCTATATTGCACGTGAGCAGACTGAGGCACAGAGAGATGTCATCTTCCTAAGGACACACAGCAGAGTCAGGACTGGAGCTTGGGTCCAGCTGACTCAAGATTAGCCACCACACTACACTGCCAGGTTTAGAATCACTGGAACCAAAGGGTAATGTCTCCCACTAGGCCCTGTCAAGAAGCACGCTCCCTGGAAAGGGAACACATCATCCAGTCTCCCTTCAGGATTTGGGGTTTACCATCATATGCCCAGGAGGCCAGCATATGTCTAGGGAAATGAGCATTACAACAGGGAGCTCCTAGCCTCCCCTTCTCGGGGGCTCACCTTCCTGATCTGTAAAATGGGGGGATAGGACTAGATGGTCCCAAGCTGCCCCTGCCTCACCCCAGATCTGACATTCCATCACTTACTGTGGGACTCTGAGCAACGGATGTCATCCTCTGAGCCTCTCGATTTCCCCATGTGGAAAATAGGGATGACAAGGCTAGTTCATAGAGGGCTGTGAGGATCACAGCTTGGGACAAGCTTCATAAACTGTAAAGTGCTGACCAAATGAGAGTGCTGTGACAGCCTGGTAACTGGACTTTCGTGTGGCTGCCTCGCCCTCCTCCCTCCCCTTCCCCAGGCATGGTGTTCCCTCTTCCAGGTCACCAGCTCCCCATTTGTTACGCCTCCCGGCCTCCCCGAGGTTTGGAAGACTTTCAACAGTTGGGAAGGAAAAACTCAGATGTGGCCATAGGCTGACAGGGGCCAGGAGAGAGGTCACTACCGCCTCAGAGGCACGAGATCATCTTTCCAACAAAAGGGAATCTGTCCCAGCTCTGCCACTGATTAGCTGTGTGACCTTGGGCAAGTCACTTAACCTTCCTGGGGCCTCTGCCCATCCATCTGTGAAAGTGAGAGGGTCAGACTGGATGCTTCCAGAGCTGACATCTGAGGAGTGTCTGCTGGAGAAGCTCTTTCAGCTCCAGGTCCCAATCTTGGTACAACGATCTGGGAGAGCTGTGAGTTTCAAGATCCTGGATTGGAAAAGTGAATTGCAGCCCTGGAATCCCACTTTATTAAGGCCAGTGGGTGGGGTGGGGGCTTTCTAAGCCCCCATTTCACCTCTGTGCTTTCTCACTGGGAGGGAAAAGGGAAGACTGTGGCACTAAGAAGCCATCTGGCATGGGCTGGTAGCAGCTGGCCTGAACTTCAAGGCTATGTTAAAGTGATAACTGTTCCTGACCTGTGGGAAGATGTCAATACCACGTATCTTTCACCACAGGCTGTTATACTTCTTGTCTGGAGTCTGTCTTCTGAACTTAGGATACGGCCAGTTCCTCCACGTACCCCAAATTATCCTAGAGGATTGAGAGTCAGAAAACCCAAATTCAAATTCCAGCTCAGGCTGGCTGTGGTGGCTCACGCCTGTAAGCCCAGCACTTTGGGAGGCCGAGACGGGTGGATCACTTGAAGCCAGGAGTTTCAGACCAGCTGGCCAACATGGCGAAACCCCACCTCTATTGAAAATATAAAAATTAGCTGGGCATGGTGGCACATGGCTGTAATCCCAGCTACTCGAGAGGCTGAGGCACAAGAATCGTTTGAACATGGGAGGCAGAGGTTGCAATGAGCTGAGATCATGCCACTGCACTCCAGCCTGGGTAACAGAGCAAGACTCTGTCTCAAAAACAAAACAGAACAAAACAAAACAAACCCCACAAATTCCAGTTCATCTGCTTTCTAGCAGGAGACCTGAAGAAATCATCCAGCTTCTCTGGCCCTCAGTCTTATCATCTGTACAATGGGGACAGCAATGGCTCCTCAGTTAACAGGTGGAAGTGATGAGCCCAGGGCTCAGCTACCATCAGGTTGAAGGTGATAAAACAATGGGTAAAACCCATCACTGGCGAGGTGTCGAGAAGGAACCAGCCTCCGGAAAATGATGTCCTGGACACATTATTAACTGATTAAGTCCAGAGCAGTGTCTGTTGCACAATCCCACTTTGTCAAAATAAACATATGTATAGATGTGCCGTTTCTCTGTGGAGAAACATCTAGAAGATCAGACTCCCAAGTTATTCATTGTATTTAACTCTGGAGAGTAGGAAGCAGAGGCTGACAAGCTTTTTTACTTTCTATATTCTTTTAGTGTTTGAGGTTTTTTTTTTTTCTTCACAATAATATGTGATTCCTTCAATATAAAGAACTTACAGGCTGGGTGTGGTGGCTCATGCCTGTAATCCCAGGACTTTGGGAGTCCAAGGCAGGAGGATCACCTGAGGTCAGACATTTAGACCATCCTGGCCAACATGGTGAAACCCCATCTCTACTAAAAGTACAAAAAAATTTAACTGAGCATGATGGCGTGTCCCTGTAACCCCAGCTACTCGGGAGGCTGAGGCAGGAGAACTGGTTGAACTCAGGAGGCGGAGGCTGCAGCGAGCTTAGATTGTGCCACTGCACTTCAGCCTGGGTGACAGAGTGAGACTCTGTCTCAAAACAAAAACAAAACAAAACAAACAAACAAACAAAAAACTAGAACTAATACAATGTTTTTGAATTTGAGAAACCAGCTTTCTTTTCTCTAATTCCAAGTAGAAGTGTGAATCTACAGGCTCTCTTACAGGATGAGAGAATGAGTGAATGAATGAATGAATGAATGAATGAACTAAAGAAGGAACAAAGGAGCACTGCAAATTCCAGGACTGCAGAAAGGTCGCCTCATGGAACCACACCAATGAGCATTGCCCCGCGCATTCTCCAAGACTGCCGGGGCAGGGGTCATCTTTAGGCCCGTTTTGAAGGCAAGATCACCAAAGCTCAGAGAGCAGGAGTAGCTTGGCCAAGGCCGGGTCACATAACTTCAGCAGCACTCACCCCAGGCTTTGGGAAACCAAAGCTCCCTCTCCTCCCAGGCCTGCAGGAGGAGCTGCCTCCTCGCCCCCCTCAACCCCCCAGCACCCACCCTACCCCCAGCGAAGCACCAACTCCTGTTGCCCAACCCCAGAGCAGGTCTCTAGGACACTGGTGCAGGCAGAGACCAGGTTGTGCTCAGTCAGGGCCCCCAAAATAAACAAAGCCACTCTCTGAGCTCCAAGTGGCTGACTCCCACCTGCTCCCTGGAAATCGTCTTTGATTTCAGAACAGGCTGGAGTGTAAAACCAATAAAGCTTCCTGTGCCCATAAACAAACAGGCAGCCGCTTAACTTCCCCCTCCCGGCGCCCTCCGCCCACCCCCTGTCACTGGAAGGCGCGGGCAGAGGGCAGGGCTGTGCTCCATTGTCCCTGGGTAATTAATTGCCATAATAAGGAGCCACACTAAGCTTCAAAGGCCAGGCCCAGTTGGCCGAGGGAGCCCAGGCTCTTGTGTGCTGCAGCCAGAAAGCCAGCATGGGCTCCAGGCCCATACTCTGAGCACCTACTGTGTGCCAGGCACCACACGTGGCTTTGTCCGACACTGTGAGGTGGGTGTTGTTAGCCCTATTTTACAGATGAGAACACTGAGGCTCATGGAGGTCATTTCTTGTCTGCAGTTACAGGGCGGGGCAGTGGGCTGAGTTAGCGTGCAGGCTTCCAGATAGTCCCAGAGCAAGTGCTGGGAAAGGCCAGTTCGATCCTCTCAGCCTCTGCATGCCCATCAAGGAGCTGGAGGAGGATTAAAGTCTAATCCAAGAGACGTGGACACACCAAAGGCAAGTTTGGGGTGGGAGGAGAGATCAGAAAGTTTCTGCAAAGAGGCACAGGAAATGTGAGTTTGAAAAAATAAAGACGAATTCATTTCCACCTCATGGACCCCAAAGCGGGACTCTCCCACAGCCCCTATGCCCCCTACTCCTCATGGCAACCCTTACACTGAAGGGAGGGATATCTGTTTGCCTGTCTACCCCACCAAGCAAGGGGGCCTCTGAGGGCAGGGATGGACCCACGTTGTTCTGTTTCAGCCAAGCTCTGGGTATTTATTTCTCAACAGAGATTTACTGATCATCTAACAACCACGTGTCAACTGTCTAATCCTCCATGCTTTGGCCCCCTCCCTATTCTATGCCCCCTGCTCTAGCATGCGTGTGTGCTTTTTACTTTCCCCTCTAGCACTCTGAAGCCCTTACACTCACTATTTCACTTCAGCCTTACAAAACCCTAACGAGCAAAGTAGCTTTTGCTCCATTTTACAGCCAAGAAAACCGAGGGTCAAGGGGAGGAAATAGCTCCTTATGTGCCCATTTCTCCCCTAACTCATCCTCCAGGTCCCCCACCCCCGTGAGTCCTCTCTCCCCTCCCTTTAGCCGCTGGCTCACAGGCCAGGACTGGGCCCCACCTCTGAGCCCCCTTCTGTTTTTTCACTCAGGATTCCTGAGCCCAAGGAGGCAGGCTTGTTTATAGCCCTGCCAGTCCTGGTGCCTTGGTCCCAGCTCAGGTCAGCTCTCTGGGGCTAGTAGGGGCTTTTGAACGTGGTAAATACAGGTTGCAGGGGTCAGGGGTCACAGCCCTTCCTAGGGGGAAGTTAGACTTGAATCATCCATGAAATAGTAATGCTCATCTTGGGGCGTGGAAGGGAGGCAGATTTCTTAAATTATGATGACTCCACAACAACCCTCCCTCCACCTCCCAGGCCTCAATCATCCCCCACTTTGGTTTCCCTGGAAGGACTTGGCATCTGGATTTTCCGTTTTCCTCCCTCCTAATTTTGTCCTTAAGCCAGAAAAAATAAGGTGTCTAGGGGAAGAGAAGAGCAGAAAGGAAGAGAAGAATGTGGCGTGTGTCAGAGGCCTGCTGTGTCCTGGGCAGAGTTGGGTTGGAGTGGTGTCACCTGTCTTCCACAGGTAGGGGGATGACTTGGCCAAAACCTCCCAGCCAGCAAGTGGCAGAGCCAGGATTCGAACTTGAGTTGGTCTAAGTCAAAGAGCCAAGCTCCAAATGGGAGGCCCATTTGGCCCTATCCTAGGGGCCCCTCCCCTGACAGAGGCTCCAATTTGGGAGCGTTGATAAGGAGGACACCCCAGGCTCCAGCCACTGGGCTCCAATTCTACCCACAAACGTGGACGAATTCCGACCTCCTACATCCATGCTTCCCCTCAACCACCCCACGCAAGGGGCAGATGCCGAAGGGTAAGGTCCTCGAGCACATGGCCCGCTGGGCTTTTCCCAATTCTTTTGCAGTCACTCTTCCCTTCCAACCCATTCCTTAACAAAGGTGGGAGGAGGTTGAGGCCGTTCCTTGTGACAGGTACCTGAGCCCCACGGACCTACGGGATTGATCCTTACACGCCAGGGGGTAGGGTGAGCAACAATCCCAGTCTGCCTGGGACTGAAGGCTTTTCTGGAATGTGGGACCCTCAGTGGGAAAACCAGGAAAGTCCCAGGCCAAATGGGACAGTTGCCTGCTACCAGGACTCAGAGGCAGGGTTCCCACCTCTCAGGCAAGAGCAGTTTTCCCTCCACCTGGCTACTTGCCTAAGGTCCTTTCCTTTCCACTCTCTCTTTCCCCAGGGGAAAAACCACCAGGGAAGGTGAGTACAAATGACCTCCCTGGCCCTGCTAGCAGGGAAGCTCCTTAGAAGGTGAAGGTAAATGGCATGGGTGGAATTCTCTACACCATGATCATTAGGGACACTCCCTTTTCAGGCCCCCTCAGTAGCACCCAAATTAAGACAGATGTGGGATTGGGAGAGAGGGAGGAAGAGAAGTGGAAAGGAGGGGGAGGGAAAGCCTTGCCTTCAATTCTCAGCAGAGGCCTGGCTGCCCCCTCCCCTTTCCTGCTCAGGTGTCTCAGAGAAGTTCTCAAGTTAGGGAGCATTTATTGAGCACCTGTTCTGCATATGGTATTGCACTGGCACTAAATAGGTGAGATCAAAGCAGAATAAAATGTAGTTGACTGGTCCTTGCTCTCAAAGAAGGTCCTAATCTGGTGCAGGAGCTGAAAACACAGAACAAAACTCACTAGGACAGTGAATCTGCAGTACACACACAGACACACACATACACACACATGTCACACACATGCTTATGTGCACACAGTCACATGCATGCACACAAATACATATGCACACACATATACATACAGGCATGCACACATTACACATGCATGCACACACAACACACACATACATATGTGTACACACACACATATACGTGCATGCACACACACATATGCACACACACTCTCCAGCTCAAATGAAGGAAATTTTGGAGTTTTGCATAACCCTGGCTTGTTTGAGCAAGGGTTCCCTTAGCATTGATAATGAAGAAAGGTTTCTCCCAAGGCAACTTCATGTTTATGAAATGTCAACCCCAGCCAGCTCTCCTACAACCTTGCCCAGCCACGTGTCCTTGGGGTCAGGCTTCTACCAGCAAACCTTCCTTGCAGAACACATTCTCTCTGAGCTGCCTGAGCCATAGTCAGCCGGGCAGAAGCCTGCCATAGAACTGGGGCTAAGATTTGCTTTTGGCTTTAACCCCTGTCCTGCATGCAGCAGCTGAAAATCAGGGTGAGCCCCCAAGAGTGGGCCAGGCCTAGAGTTGCATCCCAGATGATTCCCTGAGAAAGTTACTTCTCTCTTGCCTCACTTTCCCTTCCATCATGTGGGGCCAATAACACCTACCTTGATGAAAAAGTCTGCAGAGGCGATGGTACACCTGGGTCCCTAGTCCAGCCCCTGCTACACAGTAAGTGTTCGGAAACGGGGTGATTATTATAAGCATGCACTGGAAGGAACAGAAGCTTCAGAACCCCCTTCTCTTGCTGTCTTCCAGAAATACCCACCCTGGGGTCCCTCGAAGACACAGCCAGGATGGGCTCAGTAACATATGGCTCCAGGACCTTTGTGGGGGGAGGGGGAGGGCAGGAGCGAGGAGGGGCAGGTGGGGGCAGGGAAGAGGAGGAGAAGGGTGTATTTAAGAAAAAAGAAAAACCCACACAAAACCGACAGAATTCCAGCCGATTATTCCTCCCGCTGCAGATGTACATTAATGCAGGAGAAGTGATGGACGGAGCTTTGGGCTGGAAAAAGAGAAACAGCTCGCAGTTCCTTTTAACAAGCTGTTGTCTGGCTTGATCTTGTCACTCTAAAGAGGGCCATTGAGAGGTATTCATGCGTCGGCCCTGGGGGGACAAAAGGGCCCAGTATATATACTGACTGCTCAGTCGCCTGCGGGCCCTGGGGCCTTTGTCTAACCTTCCCTTAATAAACTTTTGGGAAGAGTTCATCAATCCGCTTCAATAGCTGATGTTCTCATTTTCAGAGAGAGAAGAAAAATAGCAGAAGGCTGGCGTCTTTTTTTTTAGGGGGCATTCTCAATAAGAAGGGGAAGGGGAGAGAGAGAGGAGAGAGAGAGCCAGCAGACACTCCGCTTTAAAGGGAAAAAGAACACACCACCACTGCAGTCGCAGATCCTAAAAGGCAGCCCAGACAAAACCGCTATTCATCGGGCCCCTGAATTCTGCTTCCCTTTAAGTGTCCCTGGGCCTAGCGGAGCTGGGTCCTGCTGGCAGCCTGGAGGAGGCAGAGGAGACCAGGTCTCTAGCTCAGAGAGTGCGGGCTAAGAAGAGGAGCTTCTTAGGAGGAAAGAGTGACAGAAAGCAAGAGCAGCCAGGAACCCTTCCTCTGGTTTCTCTTTCTAGATCTGGGGTCATTTGGTCTCTTTGCCATCAGGCAGTTTTTAAAAACTGCAGGCTTTTTTTTTTTCATGGAAGGTGGAGGCGATGGGGCCAGTTTTTCCTCCTCTGAGCACTTTTTCCTCTCCACATGAGGCTTCTGCTTCTCAGATCAGAGGGACCTCCACCCTTAGGCTGGGGGTGGAGTTTCAATCCCCAGCCCCTCTCCTGGGAGCCCATATCTGCCTCACTTTTGGATTAGGTCATAAGAAGGTGTAGCCTCTTATCACCCCCATGCTCCATGCCAAAGCAATGGGATCTCAACCTGTCCCCCTGATTGTGCGCTGCCTGGTAAGGTGGGGTCGTGGGTTGAATAGGGAGGGAAATAAAGAAAAAAGGACATTCCTGATATTCCTACAGCAACAGACACCATACTAGTTTTGATTCCATATGTGTTAACTCACTTCTTGACATGATCCTATTTTTTCTTTATTTATTTTTTGAGACAGGGTTTTGCTCTGTTGTCAAGGCTGCAGTGCAGTGGTGTGATCACGGCTCACTGCAACCTCGACCTCCCAGGCTCAGGCAATCCTCCCTCCTCAGCCTCCCGAGTAGCTGTGACCACAGGCGTGCCCCACCATGCCCGGCTAATTTTTTTATTTTTTGGTAGAGAGAGGGTTCGTGTCACCCAGGCTGCTCTCTAACTCCTGGGCTCATGCAATCCTCCTGCCTCAGCTTCCCAAAGTGCTGGGATTACAGGCATGAGCCACCACGTCTCGCCTCATTATCCCCCCCTTTTTTTTATGCATGCATTTATTTTACTCATTTTACTTTGGGAAACTAAAACTCAGGGAAATGGTCTGTGATCTAGAGTCTCATACCAGGAAGCTGAAATTCAAACTTGAATCTTTCCAAATCCAAACTTGAATCTTTCCAAATCCAAATTTCAAAGTGCTAAATGAAGCCGCCTGTTACATTTTATTTATTTATTTGTTTGAGACAGCGTCACTCTGTCACCCAGGCTGCAGTGCAGTGGCGGTATCTCGGCTCGCTGCAACCTCTGCCCTCCCAGGTTCGAGTGATTCTCGTGCCTCAGCCTCCCGAGTAGCTGGGATTACAGGTGTGCACCACCTCACCTGGCTAATTTGTTTTTTGTATTTTTAATAGAGACAGGGCTTCACCATGTTGTCCAGGCTGGTCTCGAACTCCTGACCTCAAGTGATCCACCTGCCTCGGCCTCCCAAAGTGCTGGGATTACAGGCGTGAGCCACTGCGCCCGGACTTGCCTCTTACATTTTAGATCATCAATCACAGCAACAAGAATAATAGCTACCAGTCATTGCACTCTTAAAATGCACCAGGCATTGTTATAAGCGCATTAGATGCATTATTTTCCCAACAGCCCAGTGAAATGGGTCCGTTATGACAATACCCATATCGCAGATGGGTTAAACTGATACACTGGCAAGGCTAAGGAGAGGGCTGCATTGGAGTGCCAGGAGGGTAAAGGCCGATTCCAGCTCAAGTCTGATGCTGCAAACCCCCAAGCTGTTCCGCCTTTGATGAAACACAGATGCAGGAAGGAAGGAAGTAGATGAACAAACGAATGTGACTTCTGCCCCTGCAAAGCCTAGGAGATGGGTCTCCCAGGGCCTGGTTCAGCTTTGGAGCACACACTCCCAGACACACACACACACACACACACACACACACACACACACACCCTCTCCAAGTCTCCCCAGTGGCTCTAGTTCAATGTTTTACAGGCCTAATGAGTGTTGACAAGTTTAATGAGTTTGTTTTAAAGAAGGGAGGGGGAACCTGGTCAAGTTGAGATTTCCGAGTCAAATGAATTAGCGGAGGCCGCCAGACTTCAGCTGACAGGCCTGGAAACCCTCCCGCCGACTGCAGCCCTGAGCCACAGGCCCCGGCTCCCCTCAATGGGAGCGAGGCCCCGTGCCAGACACTGGGGACTGTGGAGGGTGTCTGAGCAACCCTCAGGTGCCTGGGTCCCAGCTGAAGCCCATCTCTTCATCCTGCAGCCCCCTCCCTGCCAGCTCATCCCGGTTGGCCCCCTTCGGCTGGACTTTCCTCCCCCACTGAGTCCCCAATGAGAAATTTGATTCAAACCCAGTTTGGCACTTGTTTGCATATTGATTGCATGGTAATTAAGTGGCTTCATCTACGGAGGGGACGTGCCACCTGCATTTCTAAGCTCTGTAGTCATGGGCTGGGACCGGCCGCAGCCCTTGTTTCTGACCGTGGAAACTGGAATCCAGGGAGACCAGCTTCTGGCCCCTGGAAAGGAGTCACATTGTCTTCATTGAAAATAACAGTCTTTATTTTTTGCAGTAATGAGATGAATTGGGAAGGAGTTTGTGAAACCTGACTAGCTCCAGACAAAATAGCAGAGTTAAAATTAAATGATAACAATGATGCCCAAATTAAAGGAATGCATATATGGTTCTGGCCCAGGAACTAATATCACGGTGGCATTGTAGGCACGTGCCAAGCAAGATTAGTTCTTCCTTTGATCGGCTCCTCCCTTGCCACCCCAGGGGTGATAGGAGGCCCCAGGCCCAAAGCCTGAGAGGCCTGGATTCAAATGCTTCCTCTTGCCTCTTTCTTCAGCCCTGTGATCTCAGGCAAGTGACTTTACCTCACTGAGCCTCAGTTCCCTCATCTGTAAAATGGGATTAGTAAAACCTGTGAAGTTCATAGGGCTGTGCTGATTAAAGGAGCTGTGTCTAGCTCATGGTAAATCCTCCAGAATTCCAAGTTTGCTTTCCAGAGCTCCCTCCCAACTGGACGTGAGCATGCTCTGTTCATCTCTAATTATTACGGCCTGGCAAATTTGTACAAGCTACCTTGCAGCCCACCCGCTGTTGTGGTTTTTTTCCTCTGCTACCCTAGATAGTTCTCAGATGGCACCTGCCACCTTGCCACTCGCTGGGAAGAAGTGGGTGAGTGGAGATTTAGGAAGGAGGAAGGCATTGCACATGAGCACCAGATTTGTTTTACTGTGTTGCATTTTGTCATCCATTCTGGAGAACGGTGTTGGAGCTGGGTTCAGCATGCAGCTGGGATTCCAGCCCCTCCACTTCACGCTCTCCCACCTGTGATTATTTATTGCATATTTCCCCCTGAGAGGGGACACCCCTCCCCTTCTTTAACTCTCCCCTAATCACTGGTCTAAGGTGGTGGACTTGCACTTGAGCGAAGTGTTCTTTCTAGGGAAAATTTCTTTGCAGACTGTTTATCCTTTCAGCCAGGAGTGTGGAGCTGGCGGGTGGGGGGAGGGCTCACTGCATTCGAGCCAGAGCCAGCAGGCAGACTCTGTGAACTGCCTCTCTGGACTGGGCTGCTGTGCTCCTCGGGCAATTTCTTCACTTCCTAGGTCTTGCCATTGTTCAGGGCTGCAGCCAGCCAGCTGCGGGCGGCGTTCATCTTTGGCGTATTTGCAGTCCCGAGAAAGAAAGGCTCTCCTGCGACAGGGCTGGGCTGGGGGCCCATAGAATGGGCAGGAGCTGAGACACCAGAACGAGAATGGGGACATGCATGTGACCGCACACACGTCTGCCAGGCCCCATGACCGACGCTGGCGTTTAGACCTTTTGCTGGCATTTAAACCTTTTATTGTTACTAAAACCTTTCCTGGGGAGCAGGGAAAAGAGGCTGGACTCTGAAGGCAGCCCTGGTTTCCCTTCAGGCTCAGCCGCTTCTCAGCTAGATGACTTCAAGCAGATGACTTGGCCTCTCTAAGTCTTGGTTTCCTATCTGTAAAATGGGGGCAGATACGTTCAGAACCATGGACAACCCCCCCGACCTGTGCCTGGACATGGTGGAACTGACAAAGTCACATGGTACAGGTATCACTTGTTCTGCAGAAACACACCCAGATACATCCCTCCATCCATGTCATCAGCAGCTACACACCCATATCCACATAACCACAGACCCCTGAACACATTCTCAGACAGTACATTCCATATCACAGGAACACAGCCACCAGCACACCAACAACCGAAAGCGACACCTCCCCCAAGTCTAACCACAAACCAACGCCACTTCCTAACTCCCCAAATTTGATCCACTGTAACCGTGCGTACACAGCACCGTTGCAACAACAACAACAATATACACACACAAGTGACAATTCTTAAGTCCTTAACCAGGATTGCAATATTTATCTTGCAACTAATTCCCAAGGCTGACTGTGATTCCTCAATTCATAAACCCAAGCGCAAATCAAAATGCGGGCCAGGAAGCCCATTCGTGTAAAAAAAAAAGAAATGAAAAAAAAAAATGAAAAAAACCCAGCAAATCCTGATTCAATGAATCTTCCCTGAAGGATGAAACCCTTTCCCTGAAGGAGACAGGGAAGGCCATTCCCCAGGACAAAGGACCCTGTGAATCAGCTGAGGGTATTCCAAAGTCAGTGCCTGCAAAAGCACAGCTGTTGCAGCAGGAAGAGTTTGTGGTACCAGATTCAATGACTGGCTCTCCACTTGTTGACTGTGTGACTCCAGGCAACTGAGTAAACCTCTCTGAGCTGTGCTTTCATCTACAAAACTGGGAAAACAGATACCCACGGGGCATGGCTGGGGAGTTAAGGGAGGTGTATAGAGCACCTGGCTCAGTTTCTGGCACATAGCAAGAGGTGGGCAAGGGGAGGGCACAGGTGTCCAGTGAGATGGCCCTGCCCATCTGGACCCAAAGAGCTGAGGCACCTCTCTGTATGCCTCAATTTCTGTATCTACTAATGGGCTTCTTAATTAATAATCTCTCCTTTGAGGTATTCTTGGGAGGATCTGATGAATTCATTAATGTAAAGCACTTAACACATATGCAGTCAGCTCTCAACTGGCCATTGTCCTAAGTAGTAGATGTTTTCCATAAATGGTTACCTCTTTCCTTCCATCCAGGTTTCAGGTCAAATATCACCTCTTCTGGTGGCAGGCCTCCCTGATAGCCCAACTATTAATAAACATCACTCCTCTGTCAGTCCCTTTCTATCACAATTCTGCTTTATATTTGTCAAGCCCTTATCTACCTTCTGAAAGCCTTTCCGTATTGGTGAACCTGCTCTTCCCCCAGTGTGTGAGCTCTGTGCAGCCGGGACCTTGCGCTATTGCTGGCTGTGCTCCTAGGAATAGCGCCTGGCACATAGTGGGTTCTCAATACATTTTGCTGCAGGAATAAAATGGTAGTTCTAACTCTACCTTCCTGGGGCAATGGGGGGGCGGGGAAGAGAAGGGGGCCAGTTGAGGTTAAGGGTGGAGGCAGCCAGTGGCCCACCCTTCCCCTCCCACCCTCTACCGGCTCTGCACACCCCCACTACCCCACTCTGGAATGTGATTCCCAGGCTGTGGGCCCAGCCGGCCCAGCCTTTCCGCTGCTGCCCGGGATTCTCTTGCTGCCTCCTGCCAGGGGGCCGGTGAGCCTTGATGGGTTTACCTGAGTGTTAATCCCCCAACAATCCCCCCTGGCCTGACCTGAGAGCCAACTTCCATTCTTGTCCCGGGTCTAATTAAGTGCCTGAAATGCCACTTCCCCTTTCAAACCAGGCTGCTTTTCTCCAAGGCAGGCAGGTAAAGCCCAGCCTGCCTCTTTGAAGCAGCAGAGGCCGGAAGCCTCAGCAGGTGCATGAAGAGGCGGTGGGGTGGGGGGGGCGGGGAGGGGAGAGGGGGAGGGGTGGCACTGTGAAGCCTGGAGGGAGGGTGTTGGGGAGGGACGGAACTTTGAGAGGACAAACACCTGCAAATCTTCCAACTCAGGATGCTTAACCTTTGGGGGACCCTGAGCTCTGGAACACTCGGAATCTCTCTCCAGACTCATACCCACCACTGATAAATTAATTCTGCGGATTCACAGTCACCCCTTGAAGCTTCTATTGCCCCCAAGTTAAGCAGATGTGACACCACTTTCCTTCAAATATATATCTGCATCTGAACAGATAGATGGATAGGTAGATCTAGATAGAGAGACGTATCTAGATATCACTGTATAAATCTAGACAGTTATATCCCAACTCAACAAAGCTGTTGCTAGGGATAGAGAAGGATTGTTAATTTTTATTTTATATACTTTTTTACGATGCGAAATTTTACAAGTACATATTACTTTTGCAATAAATCTTTCAAAAACCTATAAAAATATATGCATATACATTTTAGAGCCACCGATGAGACAATGCGCTTTTGACTTGGGAAATTCTCAGCATATAGACTTTTAGGGATCATGTATTTCACACAAATCACTTTCAGGTCTTTCATCTCATTTTAAGCATGTACTTCCTATGTGCCACATAGCTTTTCTGTGTTTTAATTCATTTGCTCCCATTGTCTGGATGAGAAAACTAAGGCTGAGAGAGGGGAAGCCACAGCTCAGGGGACATGGTGGGGGCAGCAATGGGGAGGAACCTGGGTCTTACTGATTCCAAGTCCAGGGGTCCTTCCGTGCACTGAAGCTGCCTGTGGATATAAGGGCTCAGAGCCCAGAGCTGAGATGACAGTGAGTGTCTGGGAGACCATCCATGGCACAAGCAGGAGTTGGGGACAGTAGGACAAAGCAGAGGTCTTGCCCTGCCAGCCCCATTGTTCCCAGCATGGTACCCTGGCAGATGGGACCCTCAGTAGGGACAGGTGACCGTAACAAAAGCTGAGGGACCCAGAAACTTTGGAAGAATGTTCCCTTCATGGTGCCTGGCATAATACTTTGGGGACTGGGTCTCTCTTCTGACTCCTCTCCGTTTGCTATGCAACAGGTAACAATTCTCTTCCCTTCTTTGGGCTTCAGTTTCTCCATCTATAAAAAAAGGTGTTGCATGAGACCAGTGGCTCTTGCTGGGGAGGCCATCAGAATGATCGGGACAGATTGCTCCAAAGCCACTGTACTCAGATGTCCCAAATCAAGAAAGTACCCAGGTGTGTATGTCTTGCAAAAGCACCTGGGTGACTCCGGGGCACAGCCCTCTGTCCTCCGCCCTCTGCCCTCCTGCTCCTTCCATCCCCCACAGGCTGCATTGAATCCTCCTTCCAGCACCATCCCAGGATGGCATTGCAAGCCAGCTGCTCCACCAGGCCCCAAAATGAAGCACAGAGTGTGTAACTGCTTTCTGGTCACACAGCAAGCCGGGCAGGGACTGAAGAGGCAGATGTCAGTGTCTCTTGACCAGCCCTGCCCTTTTTCCAAAGAGACCTCCCAGCCAGGAGAGAAAGTTCCCTAATCAGAGGAATAGAAGAGGAGGATAATCATTTGTCACCAGATAAGCAGTTATCACCTTATCTCTGAAGACCAATAACCACAGCCTGAGGGCTCTGATTCCAGGAGTATACAGAGCTTCTTCCCCTCACCCTCCTCCAGAGTAGCCTTGGATGGGAAGTGGTCCTTGCTCTTCCCAGGACAAAGCCCTGCCTCCCCGGAGTTTCCTCTATCCATGGGGAAACAGGCTGTTTTTTCACTGCTTCCCCTCCACTAAACACACGCCCAGAGTATTACAGCTCAAAGGATGGCCCCTGAGGCTGAGAATCCCAGGACTCCATGGAACACAGTTTGAAAACCACTAGGTGGATCCTGCCTTGCCATTGTTCAGACAAAAGGACCAGGGGCCAGAGACATGAAGCGGCTCTTCCAGAATGACACAGCAGTTAGTGCTCAGGCTAGGGCCTCTGCATGGGGCCATTTACATGAGGATCTGAATTCCAACCCTAACCACAATCTGTGATTCTTTTCCCTCTGGGCTTTATTTTCCCTTGCTGTTGAAAGGACAGTTCCCCGGATGGTGGACAGACTAACCCTTCAGCAGGCCAAGTTTGTGGCATCTAGCAGGGCTTGAGATCCCAGTAGGTGCTTATGGGTGCTGGGAGTGTGGGTGATAGCGGGGTGGGGTGGGTGTGGCAATGGCTTGAACCACAGTCTCCCCTGGACCTGAGAATCTGGGGTTTATGAAGAACGGGGGAGGGGGATGGGGGCTGCAATTGTCCAGATGGGGTAAGAAGAGGAGATTCTTGCTGCCCTTCAGGCTTCTTAGGGCAAAGGTGTCAGAGTCCTGCAGAGCCTGTTAGAAGGGGACCCTCCTCCCCTTACTTCCTTGGGCTAATCAACTCTCTGTGCCTCAGTCTCCCCCTCTGTGAATCAGAACTTTAAGGCATGTGTCACATTAAACACGAAGGGCGATGAACTGCCAGCATGGGGAAAGGCCTCATTCCCATGGCTGTCCTTATCCCATGCCTTCCTAATTCCTGGGAGCAAAGCTTCCACCAGTCCGTTTTGCTCCTGTACCCGCACATAACTGTCAGCAGACCAGAGTGGCCTTCCCCTCCATTGGCCTCACTCATGTCACTCCCTCTGGACCTGAGCTTTTCCATCTGTAAAATGGCCAGATGACCTCTAAGGCCTGTTTGAGTCTGACTCCACCCTTTGTAATCTCAGCCTGCAGAGGAATTCCAAGTTCCCTTGAATGAACCTAGCAGCCAGTCACGGGCTCAGTACCCTTGGGCATCAGTGGCGGGAGTCTGGGAATGGGCTGCTTTCCTCCTCTTCCACCTCCAGCTGGGGCAGTCCTCTCCTAACCATGTCTCCTTGCATCCTCTGCTCTCCAGCCCCTCTGCACCTCTCTGCTCCTTTCCCACAGCCTTGACCTCCTAGCTGGTATCTCCACATCTTCCGGTACATTCTCGGCTCGGTGAATCCATCAGTCCCCTACTGAAATATCCTCCATGGCTCCCCGCTGCCCTTGGAATAAGTCCTACCTCCTTAACTTAGCCTTTGATGAGTCTGGACCGGCAGTGGGGGTTATCCTCCCCAGCACATCCCACACAACCTAGGGTTTGATAAATAGTAGTGGAATGGCTGGGCATGGCGGCTCATCACTATAATCCCAGCACTTTGGGAGGCCAAGATGGGAGGATCGCTTGAGTCCAAGAGTTCCAGAACAGCCCAGGCAACGTGGCAAAATCCTGTTTCTACAAAAAGACACAAAAACTAGCCAGGTGTGGTGGTGCGTGCCTGTAGTCCCAGCTACTCGGGAGGCAGAGGTGAGAGAATCGCTTGAGCCTGGGAGGTTGTGGCTACACTGAGCAGTGATCACACCACTGCATTCCAGCCTGGGTGACAGAGCAAGACCCAGTCTCAAAAAAAAAAAAAAAAAAAGACAAAAATAAAGTAGTAGAGTGAATGGATGAAGAGTGACATTGCCTTCAAAGAACTTCCAAATCACTGGAGTCAGGGCCCCTTTTCTGGGAGATGGCTGGGGGTGGGGAAAACAGCTGTGGTTGGGGAGGGGAGGTGACTGGGGGCCAGTCAGGTAGGAGCCTGTGTCACATACCCTCACCTACCTCCTTTATACCTGGAGGATGTTTTCACCATCTCCTCAAACCAGAGCACTCACCCACACCTCCCTACCCTGTCAGTCAAGGCTGCCCAGCCTCTGCCTGTGGGGACAGAAGCCATCAGGGGAGGGAAGTCCCTCCACACACAGAACAGTGTCTACTGGGCTCCAGGAACTGGCTCTGTGCGTTTCTACCTTCTTCTCTTGACCTTCTGCTGAATGAGGAGCTGCCCACAGAGCAGGTCTATTTCTTCTGTCTAGAACTGTAGATCAGGAGGGATACTATTTATTTGCACTTGGCTGAGCATCTGCCCCCACCCCACCTGCGCCCACATTTGGTGATCACTTATGGATTCACAGCCCGTTTCTTCCAAGGCCCCTATTATTTCTCAAGTCATAGGGGAGTGACTGAAAGAAGCCTTGGAGGAAATGAGGAGGCAGGAGAGGATGGGGGAGTGATATTTCTCCAGCCTCCCAGTTTGCCCTGTACTTTACGTAATTATAGCATTTACGCTTCCTAGCCTACTTTGAGGTTGTGTCCATGGACCCATTTTGCAGAAGAGGACATCTAGGATCTCAGAATGCTTCACTCAAAATTACCCAGATCTTTCAGAATCCAGGGTCCTCCTCTTTCTCCTTCAATCTCCTGCCTCCTTCTCCTCTCCCCCCCCACCCCGCCCAATTCAGGCATCTCCTCTACAGCATCCACTATAGCTGTGACCACAGATTCGCAGGCCACCACAGCGGGGATGACTTTTGGAGACCTCTGTACCCAGCTCCCTGGGGTCACAGAGGAGGACTAGAGAGCCTGAGCCACAGAGCCGCGTGCCCAAGCCATGTAGCACTTAGCGACAGACTGTCCAACGGCTGCAACTTTCTCCTTTCCTCCACCACCCCGTCCCAAGTAAGCAACCCAGCCCAGGCGGCAGTGGCGGCGGAGCCCAGGTCCTTTGCCCCCCTCCCCTCCGCTGGCCGGCGCGGGCAGCTGACCCAGCCAAGCTCAGCAGACGAGGCCCTGCACCAGGGCCCGGCTCCCCTCGCCCGGAGCTCGGTTTTGTTGTGGGTTTTGTGCGTTCTGTTTTGTTCCGTCCCCCGCCCCTTCCCGCGCGGGTCGCCCCTCCCCCTCCAGCCCTTCCCCCACCCCACCTCCGGGATCCCCGCCCAAGGCCCCAGCCCTCCCCCCCACCCCACCCCCGGGCTCCCAGCGTGCCCGCTCTTGACTTCATCCACTAAGTCAATAGCCCGGGCGCGGGCGGGCCGCTCCCCCCGCGCCGCGCCGCCCCGCGCCGCCCCCCGGTTTTCTTCTCGGGATAATGGGGGCTCTTTGTGGCCTAATCAGCCTCCTGAGGGGCCGGGAGGCCGGGAGCGCTTCCCCCGCGGCCGTCGGTGGAAATGAAAGCGGGATTAGGCCGGGGCCTCGGCCCACACCATAGTAAAGCGCCACCAGGCATTCGCCTCTTCAAAGCCGCTTTCGGGGGTTTGGTTACTTTATTTCTAAAGTTGTTTGTATTTCTAAAGTGGCCATTGAGGCGCGAGCGGGGACTGTGCCGAGAGGGCGGCGGGGAGGGGGCGCCCCGGGGAGGAGGACGAACTCCTGACGCCTCCCACCCTCTGCCCGCCTGCACCCGCTGACCAGTTTCCAAACCGCTTTCCCGGCCCTAATTTCCTGCTGCCTGGGGAGGCCAGGAGCGGCTCTTATCCTCACTAATCAGATAGGGAAACTGAGGCTCAGGTACCGCCGAGACGGAAAAGACCGGGTTTTTGGGGAAGAGGGTCGACGCAAAGGGGGCCATTTACAGCAGTAATTGCCTGTAACAGGCAGCTCTGGGCAAACCTCTCTGTGTCCCCTGTATGGGCCACCAGGCCACCAGAGAAAAAGTCCCAACCAGAACCTAATTTGAAGAGAGAGGGAGGTTCAGCCCCATTTATTAAAGAAAGTTCCAAGGCCTCTTTTCTTAGGGTTCACTCCGAGGACCTCCGACAAATCCCGGACATGCTGGGATTCTGCAATCATTCAGAATCTTCCCCCATGGAAAAGGTAGAACGGGTGGGCATTTTGAATTTTGGCATTTGCAGGCAGCGGGAGGGAGGAGAATGGAGGATGGGGTATATCCCCCCACATTGGACTTTATTTTTCTACCATATTTTTAGACCCTCGGAAGGGTGAATTCGAACTCAAGAAGTCCAGGCGGGAAGGAGAGCTGCAGGGTGAGGACCGCGGGAGGCGGGGGAAAGCGCCTTGCCAGGTGGCTTAGAGACCAGCTTCCTGAGTTAGGGCTGTGGTTACAAGAAAGTGCGGGAGACGGAGGTGCTTCTGCAGGCTTCCACTGGGAACAAGAGGTTCCAGAAGCTTCCTTAGGACTCCTCCTGACTCCTTCCAACTCCCAAGTCTGCAGCCCAGGTAAAGCCAGAGCAGACTTAAGGCAAGTTTTCAGGAAACCAGGAGGCTTGATCCAGACTCACAATCTCCCTGCAAAAGTGTTCAGAACACACCGCACAAACACACACACGCCTCACAAAACTTCTGAATGTTGCTCTGTCTCCACCTTCTCCAGTCACCGAAAGACCTCGGCCTGAATTGGAGCCCGCAGCCGTAGCTGTCCCTCTCCACCTGTCGCCCTCGCGGAGGCTTGGGACTGTAGAGAACCCACGGCCGGCCGCCCACTCGCCCACTTGGGTGAGGTTCTGTAGGGTCTGGGTCCCATGGAAAGGACCCAGAAAAGTTTAGGGTGGAGTTTTCCGAGCTACTTATCGCGCCCGCCGCCCCACCCCTTTTTCTGTCCCGCTCGGGGGCCTCTTTGATCTTCGGTCTTTTCGTGGTGTCAGACAAAGAGTGCAGTGAAGGCAAGAGGCTCCGCAGCCCAGCCGCTCCTCCCTCCGCCTCTCCCTCGAACCCGTGGCGAAGCAAGGCCCAGCCCGCCGACGCGGGCCACTCCAGAGGTCAGCTTGGGGGCTGGCTGCCAAATTCAGCCCCAGCCCCGCAAACACACTCTGCTGTCGTGCGCACGCACGCGCGCGCGCGCACACACACTCACACACCATTCACAAACACCCAGACACAAGACAGTCTTGCGAAGAGGGAAGCCCACAAAGCTATCCAGGTAAACACACAACAAACACATAACGAGACACATCTGTTTATTTGCGGGCTTGTTTATTTTCTGTCTCCACCGCCTGGCTCAGAACTCCATGAGGGCAGGGACCTTCTTGAGGTCACTTAACACAACGCCTGGCACCTAGTAGGTGCTCCAAAAATTTTTGCAGAATGAATGAAGACATTCACACACATACACTCCAGAGGAAAATTTCTCTTTTGGGTGGTATAGGTAAAAGGGGGAGCATAGTACACGTGCTTATATCAGCATATAAACACTTCCCAAAGGACCCTTCCAATACCAAGTGGGGTGGAGGAGAAGCTCTCCGCTCTGTTTTGGAGAGGGGAGGAAGCAGCAAGGACCAGACCAAGGGCAGGATCTCAGTGCCCCTCCGCCCCATGTCCTCATTTTGAGCTTCCTGATGCTGGAATCAGAAGCTCCCTGGAGAATACTGAAGTCATCAGGAAGCACGCAGATGTGAGGTTCTGAATGGGGTGTGGCCTCTAGAAGCCCCAAAGACCCCTTTATACTAGATGAAAAATTCTGCCTGTATGAAAGTATATAAGTATGTAAATGGCAAGGTTTTAGAATTATTTTTTCGGTTTTAGCCTATTCTTAAAGGGATCCAGGATCCCCTAAAAGGATAACAACATTTGTCTTAGCTAATTCTCTTTTTTCATGGAAGGAAACTGAGGCCCAAAGAAGTTGAATGGGTTGTCTAGAGTGATATCGCTAGTGAGTTGCGGGTGGGATGGACAGTAGAACCTCGACCACGATGCACTTTGCCCCTCTCAGATTGCTCCAGCCTGGCACACCTGGGTTCGGATGGAGAGCAAGGCGGTCGGAGGAGGGGATGGAACACAGCCGCGGGGGGCTGGTGGGTGCGACCTGGACCCGGAGTTGCACTAAGCCTTCAGCTCGCCCTGGGTTGCCTCCCCATTACTCGCCCTCCAGTCCGCAGCGTTCGCAGCCTGGAAGAGGGGAAAGTGGCCGGAGCGCCATCCCTTCCCAAGAACTTAGAAGGGGCGGCGGCTAAATTGGAAGGCGGCGAGCTTCACTCTCCGGGCAGTGAAGCCCGGGCCGGCCTGTTAATTTAGCAACGCTCTGAATGCAGTTCCCGGCCTCTCCCTCTCTCCACGTCCCAACACCGCCAGGCACGCGGGCTGGCCCCTGCCCAGCGCCCCGGGTTGGAGCGCAGAACCCGGCCTCCCGCCTCGGGGTCGGCCTCCCTCCCGCCCTGCCGGCCCAGCTCGCTCGCCTCTAATTAAGCGGCAGGATCGCAGCGAGCCGCCGGGACGTGCTGTAATATGATGAACTGCCTTTGTGCGGATGTCACCGAAAGCGCTTCTGATAAGGCGAAGCCACGAAGGATCAAAAGGGCGGCCGCGGCTCGCCCGCCTCCTATCTTCCCCTAGCCGCTGCCCGGCTTTGAGCACTCGCCCTCTCGGCCCGTGCTCTCCCGCGGGCTGTCTCTAGGTCCCGCTGGCTCTCCTGATCCGCCTGTCCCAGGGCCAGTCTCTCGGTGATTCTGCATCTCTTTGTCTTTCTTCCTGCTGCTCGGCGCCTCCCTCGGCGCCTCCGCATTTTCCAGCGTCCTCAAACTGTGCGCAAGATTCTCTTCTGCTGCGCTCAGACTTTCTCACTCTGAATTTTCTAGCTCTCTCCTCCTCTGTGGCTCTCTGTCTCCGCTGCCTCTCCCCACCCCTCCCTTGGTCTCCACCGGAGCTCGGGCCCAGCGCACCTCCAGGACCAGGGCGACCAAGCCATGGAAAGGTCCGTTCGCTGACCCTCAGACTGGGGAAATCGGCCAATTCACTGGCAGCCGACACGCAGAGCTCCGCGGCGGCCCCAGTGCCCCTCGCAATCCACCCTCGCTCAGCTCGGCTGCCAAACCGGGGGCCTGGCACGCGTGCCCAAGGCGCCCTAGAATGCCCTCGGGGCCTCTTTTGAGCTGGACTTGGGGCGCACACAACTTCCCTTCACCCCTCCCGAGGCTGTAGCGACCCGCAGACGCTTTTCCTCTCCCAGGAGGTTGAAGTTCCAAGTGCAGCCGACCCCCTCCCTTCGCATCCCCTCCCCACACCCTTTCCTTTGGCCCCCGCCTCCCCTTTGCCCTCGACCCCGTCTCTTCCTCCTCCAGGCCCCTCCCCTTCCCATGCTGGTAGTTCCCCCTGCGCTCTCACTGGACTCCTTCCCCGCCTCACCTCTCCCCCACCCCACTTCGTTTGAAGTTTTGGAGACATCTATCTACTAATGGCGAAGTTTCCCCCTTAGGTCACCGTTCTGCCTTGATTCGATTTGGGAAGGCGAGTTCCCTCCCTCCCTCCCCCTGCTCCACCCCAGCCGGGGCCAATCGCTCCAGAGCAGGTCAGAAAGCGCTGACCCCATTTCCACCTTTTCCTCTTTCAGCCAGAGTTGGGGGAAGGGGAAAAGAAGAGGGAAGGCCCCGGACAGCAAAAACTGAGGGGGGCATCCTAATCTTCCCAGCGCCTCTAACCCTCATCCTGTTTGCTAATTACCCCTTTAGTCTGCAATGGGAGGGAGAGAAGAGCTATTTTTCTGGAATTTCTGGAATGTGTCCTCCCCCCTTAGTCATGGCCTTCAAGGCCCCAGAGCCTCTAGAGAACCTTTCTTTGGGGGTCTCTCCTCTGTGCAGGAACCCTTCCCTCAACCAGGCATTGTCTTTTCAGGGGTGTGAGTTCTGTCTAGTCTTAGACTATGAGCTTCCAGGGCCACGGCCAGGACCTTGTACATTACATGTTTATATCCTTAGGTGCTCTTGCCTCACAGTACAGAATGAAGCCTCATCAACTTTGTTGATGGTGATAGAATGATGGCAAATAGAAACTCCAAAGAGGTAACCTGGAATGAAATCTCATTTGCTCAGCCCTCTTTTCCTATATAAAAATATGTTTTATATAATATTATTTATATATAATGTAATGTGTGACAACTATCATTTTCAGAAAGACATTCTTAAAAAAAAAAGCCCAAATAATCACCTTACTGCTTTAAGGCTACTGTTATATGTGCTTTTAAATCCTTCCATGTAAATTCCACTGAAAATTTGGAAAGCTGTGAAAGGGGAGGGGGCCGCGGGAGTTGGGGGGGGGGAGGTTAATCCGGGTTTAACGCTGCGATGCAGTCTCAGGACCAGGGTTAGCCTGATTGCGTTATCTCTTCCCAACATTTGAGACGCCCATATTTTACCCAGCCAAATAGCTCCGAGAGCAGCGCAGATGGCTGCTGTGGTCGCGCCTCAGGAAAATGTGTTATTAATATCTAAATAACTTCCCAATACTGTCTGGTAAATCTCCCCTCCACCATTCCAAATGATGAATTCGTTTGAAGTCTTCCCCCAGCCTCGTCTTTTCAATGTCTCTCTTCTCTCTTCTTCTTAGCCAGGCTTATTTCAAACTGGTAAATATCTAATTCCTTTAACCGCTGCGCCGTGCACACTAGTCTTTTAGGTACAAACGCCTTGAAACAGCCCAAGTGTGGCGGTGCGTGCCCCGAGGGGAACACAAAACCCGCACGCCCTCGCAGCGGGGGACCCCACCCGGTTCAGACGTGCCTGCGTTCCAAGACCGGCTGAGCACGGGAACCTCACTCAATCCGGGAACCGAGCCTCTTTTCTTGCGCGCCCTGGGGAGCCCCTCTTGGCTCCCCACGGAGTCCCAAAGGCACCCCCCAACACTCAGCTCTTCCGCAGCTCCCAGTCCCCTCCCTTCCACCCCTTCCCAGACCTCCGACGGCTTCCCCCGCTCTCTGGGGCGGATAATTGCCCTCCGCTCGCCTGTTCTCCCTTGTTTAAAGTTTGTTTTCTAAATGTCTTCTATTAGATTATGCTCATTCATCCCCCTCCAACCTTATCTCCTTCTGTCTCTTCTCTCCTTGCTCGTCACACTCAATTTAGGCACGAGTTTATCTAGCAAACAGTTTGCAGACTTTGTTTATTTACCGCGGGTTCTGGGGCTGCGAGCGCGCGAGCGCCAGTGTTTGCCTTTGTAATAGTTATCTCCTCATTGTTGTTTCTCGTTAGTCTCTGCTCCCGCCTCCCCCTCTCTCTTCTTCGGTTGGGGGGATGGAGGGAAGAAAAGGGGAGCCTTGTCAGCCCAGTGTGGGCTCGGCCCCTCGCCGGGAGCCCCCTCCGCCGGGAGCCCCCTCCGCCGGGACGTTCCCAGCTCCGCACGCCCCTCTCCGCTCGCCCCATCCCCCCCAGCCCCCGGCCCGGCGCGCCCCTCCAGCGCCCCCTCCCTCTCTCCCTCTGGTCGCACTGGATATCCACCGCCGAGCGCTGCCTAAAGCCGGGAATTGCCTGACACCCTCCCATCTTCCTCCGAGCCCCCATTATGCGAAGCTGATCCCACTCTGAACAGCTTCAAATCCCGCCTGGACTCTGTTTGATTAGATTGCCAACCCGGGGTAATCCTTTGATTTGGTGGAGTGTCAATTACCTTTCTCTAAACACACATTTACAGAGGAGGGAACTTGTTGGTTTAAATCAATGCAGATTGTTTCGTGATAAATGGACTATCCTCGTCCCCTCCCTCGCCCCCGCTTCCAAGGCTCCTGTCCCTCTCCGCCCCCGCCCCTTCCTGGTTTTCGAAGATCCCGTAAACAATGTCCCTTCCAGGTGTGAAGCCGAAAAAATGGTGTGGGCTGAGGGGAGCCGTGCCCCCCTTCCCCTATTCACTCGCTCCCCCGGAGCCTAATTAAATTTGGCAGGTCCTTGTACACACAATCAAAACAGCTTCCTCCAGTGTAGCAAACGACCGAAAACCGCATTAGCAGCTATCGCTGCTGCCAAATTAAATTGTTTCCCACCTCCTTTTACAAGTGTCTAAAACCGACACTCCGGGCTCTCCCCTCCTTTCCGATCCTTCCCCGTCATTTCCCACTCCACACCTGTAAGTTTGCTGCCTTAAAAATAAATAAAGGAAAAATACAAAGAGAAACAAATCTGCCTCACTCGCCGTCCTCGCCAATCCTCCCCCCACCTCAGATGGTCTTTCACACCCAGGAAGTCTGCAAATTCTCCACCTGGACTTTGACACCCCCAGGATTTCCCCCCCGCCCCGTCCCCTGGAGAAAAATGCTACCTCCACTACTACTACTTCTTTTTTCTAATCTTGTAACTTTTCCCTATATTTCATATTAATTGTAACCTCATTGGCCTTTCCATCCTAGAGAACAAAGCGGAGCCCCTGGTCTGATCCGGTCAGTTTTGGCTTAAACTGGTGCACTGTCAGATGCATGCGGCTTTGGTGTTCTTATTGTTTGTCACTGCTGTTATTGTTTTTTATACTATTGCTTATTTCTTCACACTCACTCCCTCAGCTCCCACTGAGGAACGGTTTGACCCATTGCAAACCCCTATCAAATTCCCCACAAGAATCTCTCTGAGCTCAGATTCTATGAAAATCTTTTCCTTTCTCTTCTCTCCTCAAATCCCCTCCCTGTTGGGTCCCCGGCCTGTCTATCCCCTGATCCTCGGAGAAAGGGGTGAAGAGGAGGGAGTCTAAGTGCATGGGGGCAAGGAACTGTCCACTTCCCTTTCCAGGTGAGCCAAGCTTGACTGGGGCAAGCACCTATCGGCAACGGTCTGAGAATACTCACCACCAACAATCCTAATAACTCAGTCTTAACAAGGATAAGAGCAAAAAAAAAAATATGAACAGCCTCATGAATATCAGCCCAAGGGGAGCAGGAGTGAGCTGTTCAGAGATGAAAGTGCACAGAAATAAAAGCTCAATTTAATCTGCTTTAAAACCCTTCAACTTAACGTTTGTGCTTCAAACTCTGAGAGTGAGAACTGATTGCGGATAAATAGTTTCTTACCATGCCTGGAAGCTATTACACCCCTCTCCAACACAGTTTCCTATTCAGCAGTCCCAGTTTTCATTACCAGCTCTAATAAGTCTTAACATTATTAAATGCCAAGCGGACGATAGGAAAAAACGGACTCAGGGAGGGATCTCTCTTTAGTGCTTAAAGAGGAGAGCTCTTAAACCCCTTCTTTGGTGGCTCCCTGCCATGAGAGGGGCAACTCCCCCAGAGAAAGCATTTTTCAAGAGCAAGAAGCCAAAACAAAGTTGTGGGTGTGCACAACTCCCCCTGCTCTGGCCATGGGGCATCTCTGCCTCTCCCTACCTGGATTACTCGGATGGAGATTGGAAGGTCTTTTCACCTTTAACTTGGACATGAAACTGATGTCTGGGGCCTGGAAGAGAGATGAGGGGTTCACAGGGGTGCCTGCCGACCAGCCCAGGAACTCAAATAGGAAACGGATACAATTTGCTCACAGATGGATAGATGGCCCTCTCTCATCTGCACCATCATATTGCCCATTCACACCCATCTACACACTCCCTGCACATCTATGCTGAATCCCATTTGCACAGATATATGGCCTACAGCATTCAGATCAGAAGGCCCGTGGGTAAACAGTCACACTAAGAGATGCTTGCGCTTACACAGCCATTCAAAGCACAATCAGCGCACCCAGCACACCCACTGTCACGCAAAAACTGCGGGACTTTCTGGAGACCAGGCTCACTGCATAAGATCATTTCATTTCTTCAGCTCCTCTAGACTTAGCACCTGTGTCCTCAGCCTCCCCCATCTGGCACAGGCTCCACTTTAAACCCTTGGAGACGTGGTTCTTCCTGGTTCTGCTGCAGGGAAAACCTCTATCCAGCAAAGTGGCTTGTTAGCTGGTGTGGTGAGCACAGGCCAGCATGGAACGCCCCGCATTCCCTGGAATCAGAGGAATCCTCCAAACCGCACGATCTTTCCATCCTCTTCCTTTCCTTCCCTTCCCTTTTTTCTCAGAGGAAATTTACCTATTTGTGCTTCCTCACAGATTGAACTGGATATACTCCCTGCGTGCAAACACAATTAAAGTCTCTCCAAGGAAAACCAAACCTCCTCTGCTTCTCCCTGGGATAACCTCAGAAGAGTTGTTTGTTGTGCAGGAAAGATTATTTGTCCAGGAAAGATTATTCGAGTTCTATGCCTCCCCTCCACAACCCACAAAAAGTCCATCTAGTCTCCTTCCAATGGGAACTGAAATAAGGACTGGGTCCCCCGGCAGGTGTCCCAGGGCTCTGGGCCGACTGGCCTAGCCAAGGACCGCTTGGCAGTGCAGGGCTGCCTCCCGCCGCAGACCCGTGGCCCCTCGGCAGGCCGGGCACAGCGGGGCGCCCGGCACAGCTGGCTCCCTTTCTTCCCTCGCCCTTTTGTCCCGGGCGGGACTGCGGCATCACTAGGGGCCCTGTCTGTCAATGGCCGCCCCTTCCCTTCGCTCCAGGCCGCTGTCACACGGGGCTGCCCGGCCACCCATCCTTCCTCCTCGGACCACGCCTGTGGGGGCTGGGCGTAGATGGGAGTTGTCTTAGTAAGCCGGCTTTGTCTGTGAAGTTCATCTTCAAGGTTGGGAGGGTCTTCTGAGAACTGGAGAGAGACCTGGGCTAGGAGTGCTTGGGTCGTGAGGAGAGGGGTGCTGGGAGAAACCTCTGAAGGGAGACTGAAACAACACTGGCTTTTTGCAAGCTTTCAGGTTCCAGGGCACTCGCCACTTTTTCCAAAGCCATCAGTCTGCGGGTTCCCATGGCCACTGTCTTTCCGATTCCCTCAGCCTGCCGCCTCTCCGCGTATGTGTTTGGGGCCTTTTCTTTAACTGTCAGTCTTTGTGACTCTGGGTCTTCCATTTCTGTTTCTCTCCCTGTCGCCCCTTAACGTGCACTTACCAAGTCTCAAAGAGACTTAGGAGGGGAATTATGAGGGCAATGAGGAAGGGGAGGGGGTAATGAGGAAAAACTTTCCCTTCCTTCTCTCGAAACTTCCTCCCGTCAAGAAACAAAAGCACAATCCCCTTTCCCGGGCTTCCGGGCGCTTGAAAACTAAACGCCCTCCTTAGCTGATCCTGAGAAAAAGCATGGCGCAGGACTCAGACTCCAGCCTGCCCGCGGAAGCCGTGCTAAGAATGGGGAGAGGGTGTGTGGAGCCTGGGTCTCTCCCCCACTGCGATCCTCCGACCCTGGGCATCTGGGAACTTGGCCTCCACTCCCAGCCCTGCCGGCGCACGCCACAGAGGAAGGCACTCTCTGTCCCCCAGTCCGCCCTGGCAACGCGGGGCTGAGTCAGGCGGCGGCCCTGGCTAATTTTTATTGATTGCAGCGGTCAGTCAACTGTCAGGCGGGGTTTCAAGGGACCGTTTAGAGAGCGTGTGGGGGTCTGGTTAACAAATTCATTTAGGGAGCCGCGGGCCGGCTCCTCCTTCCTCTCTCCCTCCCTCCCGTCCCCCGCCCCCTTGCCCAAGTTTCCTATAAATAATTGATCGACGCCGAGAGTAGCAGCCAAAACGCCAGCCCGGGAGGACGCACTCCCCGCAGTATTGGGGTAGACCAGGCGCGCAGCCCCGCAGCCGGGCTCTCCCGGGACTCACAGGCCGTCCGTGCCCGGCCTCCATAGCGCAAAGAAGGCGCGGGCTTCGCATCTAGCCGGCATCCGGGGTGCGCACCGAGGGGGCGCTGTCGGCAAAGCCTGAGCGGCTCCCAGCTGCCCCGCAGCATGAGAGTTTCTCCGCTGGAGTTCTGGTCGCCTGCTCCGGCGGCGGGAGCGAACCACTGGCCCGCACACCGGAGCGTGGGAAAACCCGGGCTGGGGCCTCGCAGCCCAGGGAAGTTCCCTACCTTTGTCGCCCAGGATGCCGTCGATGCTGTGTTTGGCCTTCTTTTCGCCGTCGTCCTCCTTCTTGTCCGCTTCATCCTCCTCCTCTTTCTTCCCGAACTTGATTCTGAGCACGCGGCTAATCGAACTCACTAAACCTCAGAAATTCAAAGGCAAAAGAGCAAGTATAAGTTGTTGGAGCAGAGGAGCGAGCGGTGGCCTGGGCCCCTGGGAGAAAGTCAGGAAGCCCCCTGCTTCCTTACAGATATCCATTCATCCCTCTTCCACACACAGGCATTTAGGCATTGACACGTACTCCATAACCAGCATCCACTTGGAGAAGCCTGACTCACACCCCGGGCACTCACAGGGTGGTTAGACTGTGCATTTCTATGCAGATGCTTGCATGCATTCGTGCCTTACACTAACACCTGCCTAGGTGCACTTCCACCCACACCCCCGAGAGGTCCCAGGGCCTCTCTGGAGTCTCTCCAGCTCCTGCTGCCACTCCCACACTCAGGTGTGCATTCTGGCCCTGCGTGCCTGAATGCACATGTACACACACACACACACATACACACACACACACAACAGATCACTTTCTCTCTCACAGGCAGTATGGTTTGGGACCTCCAAATTTAGGACTCAAATGGCTGGTGTTGGCGACAGCAGAAATCATAACTCTGAGACGGTGGTCTAGGGAAGCCCATGGGCATCCACCCTCCTAGGACAGATCCATCTATTGAAGCCATTTTCTCCGAAAAAGCCTCCAGGGGGGCTCTCTTATCATCCAGCTTTCTAGGTTAACTTTTTGCCCATTCCTGCCTGCCCACCTGCCTGCCTGCTTTCCTTCCTTCCTTCCTTCTTTCCTTCCTTCCTTCCTACCTTCCTTCCTTCCTTCTTCCTCCCTTTCTTATTTCTCTCTCCTTTCTTAACTTTTTTTCTTTCCCTATTCCTTCTTTCCATCTTATTCCATTCTGTTTTGATTTACTCCTATGCCTTAACTCTGCCTTTCTGTACTCCTTTCCTCCCAACTTCTCAGTAAGTTCACAGTCAGCCATCATCTCCTCTCCCCTCTCTCCCACCTCCAGCCCTCCACACTGGACCCCTGGCCACACTCTGGGCCAGCTCTGCCGGCTCAGCTGCCTTCTCACCTGAGGGCACAGTGCTTCGGTCACAGTGCCCATCCTTCAGCAGCCTGTCCCGGATCTCCCAGCTGAACATGCCTGGGTTTTCCCTCTTGTACTCCTCAATCTTTTTCTCTACATCCGGAGTCGCCACCTGCTTCAGAGGTGGAGGTGGGAGAGTAGGAGTGGAAAGATGGGATGGGGGGAGGAAAATACTTTTAATATCACCTCTTAAGAGCCCCAGACCAGGCTGGTGGTTCTGGTTACCTTGTGTCCCCCCATCCCCCAAGAGATTGGCTTTATCCTTTCAAGAAACCGGTTCCTGGCTCCCAGGAAGGCAGCTGGGGGTCTGGCCAGGTGGGGTGGGGTGGGACATGGATAGGCAATAAAAAACTCTAATTAGGACCCCCAGGGTCCCCGTCATTATCTCAGGAAAGACTGAGAGAAGATGTCTTCTGGTCTTGGAAGGTGACAGGGGTTGAGGCAAATGTGGGGACAGTCCAGGAATGGCTCATTGGCCTCAAGGTCTTGCACAACCTAGACCTCACTTAGCTCCATCTCTGAGAAATTCAAATAATAGGAAAACAATGGGAGGACATCTGGGAGTAGAAGACACCCTCCAGCTGTACTTTCCTACAGCCTGGTGCCACGAGGTAGTAAGAGGGGCCACAACCAGGAGCCCCCGACTATAGGAAGCCAGCTGCCAGCCTCTGTGGCAAAGACACTCACTCTGGGCTTGCTGCCGCCGATGGCCCCAGGCCGGATGGACCCGGTCTCCTGGTAGCGGCAAAGAATCTTGGAGACGCAGCCGTGGGAGACACGCAGCTGTCGGGAGATGACACAGGGCCGGATGCCATGGTGGGCCATCTCCACTATCTTGTGGCGGATGTGGTTAGGCAGGGGTCGCCCATTGATGAAGACCCCTCCCAGCTGATTGACCCGGCCTTGGCCAAGCGGGGTGGACACTGGAGAAGGGAGGGGAGATGCAGAAGGAGAGAGGTGCAGGGTGAGGATGGAGAGCAGACACTGAGTACACTCCCTGACTCCAGTTTTGTTTGTTTGAGCCCCAAGACCTCAGACAGCAATCCCGGTGGTCCTCACACTGGGGCTTCGGTAGGTAGGTAGTTTGAGAAACAACTGTCATAAATCTAGGAAATCTCCTGCAGAGATGGATAGAGGAGTCACAGCTGCAAGAGTCTCCCCAGATGCTGTGTCCCCCAACTCCTGCCACACTACGAGGGATGAGGACACACCTGGGGGATTCGAATGCTGCTAAGAAGGGGAGGGAGAGAGATGAAGATGAGACTGCAGACAGAGCCACCAGGCTGGTAGAGCCTTAGAGATCTTGGGACCAATGACTATCTGTCCCTCAGGCCGAAGCTTGGGCTGCAGGCCTGCCTGCGTCTTGGAGAGGCCAATAACGGGTGTGATGTGGCTCATCTGCTCAGTTCTACGCTCCTGGTAGTCATGAATGATCCAGTTTGTTGGGGGCTAGAAAGGCCTGGCTGATTACTACATTTACAGCTCTGGCTAGAGCCGTGGAACTGTCCCAGGGAACAGCTGAGGCACAGCCGAGGGACGGGTGACATATGCTGTTGGCTGCTGCCTCCAAGGGCACCTGGTTGTCCCTTGGGTGACTCTCCTTGCTTCTAACCACCCTCGAAGTCCTAATTTCGTTTTGGGACAATTTTAGGACACTACTGCCCCAAAGCTCCTAAATTAAATAGTCGACTTGGCCTCACAAATCCATGAACTGTGCCTGCAGGCTCTGCGAGGCTGGTAGGCAGATGGGACACAGTCCCCCCGGGTGGGGGTGACTTTGGGAACCGGGAAGACAGGCATCACTGGTGTGTGCTGGGGAGGGGAGAACGCCTGGTTGCCTTAATGCAAAGTCTACACAATTTCCTCACAGAAGATTGGGGGGACACCCAGCGCACTAATCCGGCCTCGATCCCCCCAATTTGGGGACTCAGCGGCTGCGGAGATCTGGAAGATTAGAACGATTTCACAGCCGCGGGAGTGGAGGGAGCTGACTGTAATTGAAAGGGAGGAGGCGAGAAGAGGCTCCGCTGCTGGGCCGTTCCTACCGCCCCCTCCCTCGCTCTCCCGGTCCCCCCACCTCTCTTTGTAAAAGTCGGTGTCTGAAGCCACTCTCGGATTTAATCAGAAATCGTGCGTCGCAAAGTCGGAGTCACTCGGTCTCCGTGGCGGGATATGCCATTAGCGCTCAAGAGCTCTCGAGCGCCCAACTTTATATTCAAGAGCCTCTTTAGCGACCGGCACTCGGCTCTCCTCAGTATTCTGCGTCATGTTGGGCAAATATTGTTCTAATCCGCCGCGCGTCCTCAGCCGCCTGTTTTACTTGCATTCGCTACAGGAGAGTGCCACTGCAAATCCCCGGGTTTGCGCGCTCTCCCGCCTGCGTGGCTGCCGGCGCGCACTTGATCACGGAGCCGCTCTCTTCGCCTCTGTCTAATTCAGGGACCCGGCGCCGTCTCGCTGCCCAAGGGAGCTCCTCCCGGATCGCAGGCTGCCAGCCCACCCACCCCCTCCCTGCCTCCTCTCCCCTTCCTCACGCGCCAGGGACTCAAACGATCACAGGAAGAGTAATTTAAAAAAAAAAAGTCGCACATATTTCTAATGACTTCTCTGTGACACCCTAGGCTACCTACCCTCAGAAGCCAAATGATCCCTCAGTGACAGGTTGAGGCCTTCCATTAGTTTAAAAAGAAAACAGAACAAAAACACAGGAGCGGGTCTCTCCGCTGTGCGCTCCCAGCCTTTTCTCCAGCCAGGACCCGGTTCGCCGCCGCCCGTCCTATCGGGTCTCCCCGGGCGGGCGCTGGATGTTTAGGAAGGACGCTTTACAAAATCAGCTCTTTCTTCTCGTTTGGACATTGCCGTGCCCCTCTCGCCGTTTAGAGGTTCTCTAAACCTCGCCGTTTAGAGGTTCTCTCCCGGGAGATTTCCAGAGTGCGGAAGCCCGAGTAAAAAGTTTTAGGGGGAAAATCATTACTAATTATTATTTCCAATTAGTTTGTTTCCAGGCGGAAAAGCAGGAGTGTTTGACTGTGGCTTCGGAAGAAATGGATAGCCGTGGTAGTTGAGGCATATAAAGTATCACCCATGGTAGGTGGTTCGAAATAAAGGACTGGAAGACCAATCCCGGGGGTGGAAAAAATAATTCAAAACAAGAGTAGAAAGCTGGCAGCCAGCGAGCCAGGAGAGCCGAGAAACTGTCAGGGAAGAAGTGTCTGGAAATAGTGGAAAGAGCTGAAATTCACCAGGACCTGATATTTACTAGGAGTCCAAATCTACCAGAATTTCAGCCCTGCGGGTAAAGACCGGCAGCTAGCGACCTGCGAAACGAAGGCCGCCGGGCAGTGAAACCCACGCAGAAGCGGACAAGTATGGGTCCCAGAAACTCCCTGGGTTCCGCGCCCGGACTGGGACCCAGAAGAGAACGGGATCCCTCTGCTATCGCCGGCGCCGCCACCGTCCCCTGGAGACCGCAGCCTCTCCAAGGACCCCGAGTTCCGGGCGGCGGAGTCGCGGCGAGGCCAGCCTGGGCGTTCTTACCTTCCAAAGGGAATCCCGTGCGGGGGTAGTTCTGCCCCGGAGCCGGCCGCATCATTCTCGGTACCGTGCCGGGAAGGGCCGCCATTCTTGCGCACGCCGGGGACGAATCCAAAGTCGGCAAAAATCGCTTCCCGTCCGCTCCCTTCACCCCTGCTGCGATCTCTTTCTTTCCGTCTTCTTCGTCTTCTTTTTTTTAACCTCTTCTCCCTCCCCTCCACACACACTCCCTACCCCCACCCCCCACCCCTGGCTGCAGTCAAACGCGTCCAGAAGCTGGGGAGGGGGGTGAGGTGGGGTGGAGGTTGGGGGGAGGGAAGGTGGCGACGACGAGGAAGTTCAAACAAACAAACACTCCAACCCCAAGTCCGCCTCTGCCGGCTGGCCTCGGCCAGAAGTTGTGCGGGCTGATGCGCCTGGCAGAACCCGGAGACCAGGCCCCGCGGCGGAGGGGGGCCGGGGGAACGCGGCCGGAATCGAGGCCGCCAGCCTCAGAGTGGCGAGCGCCGCGCTCTCGCGCTCTGGCGCTCTGGCGCTCGGGGCCAAAGTTTCCGAGCCCGGAGACTGCGGAGTGGATTTCGTTCTCGTATTTATTTATATATTTATTCTCTCGCTCTCGCTCCCTCCCTCTTCTCCACGCCTTCTTTCTCCGGACCACACTCGCTTCTCCCTCCACACCAGCTTTCACAGCCCCGTCCCCTAGGAGACCCGGGGACAGACGGAAGAAGGAGCCTCCTCGGGTTTCAGGGCTGGACGGAGGAGACAGGGGGTGACGGGGTTGGGGAAAGAGAAATGGAAAAGCGAGGGGGCGCGAGTGATCAGCTGGGTAAGTTGTGCAAAAGTGTTCACCGAAGTACGAGGAGGAGGAGGAGGAGGAGGAGGAGGAGGCAGTGAGCGCGATCTGATAGGTTCGGACTTTTCTTTTATTCATGAGGAGGGAAGGGGGCCAGGGCGCAAGGGAGCGGAGGACCAATAACGAAAAGAAATCGCCAACGAATATTTTTTTCCCTCTTTTCTAATCCCCGGCTCGACCTCGTTTTGGGGGAGAATTTGAACCGCCGTGAAAAGAGAGGGAGCCGATCCCGGCGAGTTGGGGGCTGGGGGAGAAGGGGAGGGGGCCAACTTTGTCCCAGTGCCTTCCTTTGATGAATGGGCCGGATCCGCCGAGTCCCCGGCCCCCAGGTCGCCCACGGCTGCTCTCGGAGTCCCGGCTGTATGGGAATGTCTGCCTCGGGTCCGGCGCCTCTCTGGAGTCTCGCCTTTTCTCTGGCCTCCGAGGGCCAGAGTCCGCCCTATTTCTCATCTTCTCCCTCGTCTTACACCCTCTGAAATTCCTCCAGTGAGGCTCCCCGGGAACCGGCCTAGGGTGACTTGAAGGGAGGAATTCTGACCTTTTCTGTGTAATGTCAGAGCCCCGGTGTCCGGTTCTTACTCTACCTTCCTGCCGCTCTGAGAAGCCCCCAGTAACCGTATCTGGTTCCGAGGCTTGGCAAAGTGGGTCTGCCAAGTGCTAGGCACAGGTTTCTTCCTCCCCTTCCAGTTCCGCCCCGTGCAGACGTCTCCAGCCGCCGCCGTCCTCCTCAGGCCCCCAGGCCGGGCCTATAACTCCTTTCCAGCAGGTAGTTGGGTTTACAGGGAGTTGGTGCTGGTGTGAGGATCTGGGGGCCCAAAGAGGTGGGAAATGGGAGGGAGGGAGCCCGTCAAGACTTGATACAGCTCTGAACTCACCAACTCTGAGCTCCTTGCTGGTGGGTTTGAGGGGACGCCCCAACTGAATGATCAGGAGTCAGGGTGGGGTGATCAGAGGTTCCTGAATTCTTCGCTTTCTGAAGCCAGGGTGACCAGTAGCCTCAACCTCGGGACACCGAGTCCTGGGGGCGAAACGCCCTCCCAGCGGGGCAGGACGCCACAACTGCAGGCCTTTTGTCTCCCGGGGGAAAGAGCGTCTCTGGCCCCACGCTGGAGGCAAAATACAATAAAATGAACCCAGCCCTCAATCTCACCCCCTGCCCGCCCTCTCTCGGCAGTGGGGTCAGCCTTGTCTTAGCCTGGGGCGCTCACCGCTGGCTGGCCCCAGGGTGTCCCCATCCCTCCCCTTCGCCTCACCTGTGACCTTTGCCCCTTGCAGCATGTGACAGATCTCCCTCCTCTCCCCACTCTCCTAGCACAAGGGGCTCATCAGATTTTGGGGGGGCCTTCTGGGAATGGGGGCCCTGATGAAAAACTTGTTGAGCTCATACTCTCTCTAACTGAGAAGACAGATGCCAAGTAGCTTTCGAATTGGAAGGGGGACACCGGGGTACTTTGCCTGGCCCAAGTTATGGGGCCCTCCCCCGGGAGAGATTGGGAGATCAAGCTTTAAGCCATAGCATGTGTGCCCAGGGAAGACAGCAACCCCCTTACATCACCAGCCTTGCTGGGGACCTGGCCTGCTTTGACCTCCATAGGTGGATATATATTCTCTGTGTGTATATATACATGTATTTGTATCATATACACTTATGCATACACACGTATAACACACACACATATATATTAGGTATATTGCATATTCATCCATTCATTCGTCACTAGCTGTCCTCTGCCTGGAAGGTTTCAAGGCACTTCTTCCCTGTATTTGTGGAATGGGCCAGTGTGCTTGCGTGTGAATATAGGCCTGTGCCCGGGTCTGTGTGTCAAGGTGCAGGTGGGTTTTGTGTGTAGGTCTGTTTGGGGTCAGTTTGAGTAAATGTGTGTTTCTAAGTGAGGGTCCATGTCTGTATTTCTGCTTTGAGGTCACCTCCAGGTTGCCTTGGTATGGCTCTAAGCGCGCGTCAGGAATGTGTGAGTGTGTGTTTAGGTCAATTCTCAAGTGAGAAAAGACCTCCAGGGTGTGCCAAGGGTGGGAGGCTCCCTCTCTTCTGGCCAGTGCTCATGTAGCATCTTGAGCTGAGTGGGGCGAGTGCATAGCTGGACACTTCTGCTGCCAGGGACCCTCAGAACCTCAGGAGTCCTGCACTGGGGCCACCTTGCCCACAGTGTGGTCCCTCACCCTCCCTGCAAAAGACTCACAGTAGTGGGTGCAGTAGCGACACAGGCCCCCAGGGTTTCTGCAGCTCCGGGATTCCATGGGCCCTTGCAGAGGGAAGGGTTGAGGTGGGGTTGTCTATTGGAATGAGCGTGGCCGTTCTTGCCTGTTGGAGACCAATTTCACAAATGATTTTTGCAACAATTAAGGAGTGTGGTGGGGTGAAATGGCGATTTCACATCCAGCAGGGGAAAGGGGGGTTCACCTGGGAACTGTGGCTGGGGATGGGGGAGAGCCGCGTCCCCTCCTCTTGTTTCCCTTTGCTTACCCCCTTGTCTAGAAAAAGTCACCCCCATGCAGGCTTAATCAACTCCTAAGACCTCCAGTTGCTGCTGGGAGGGTGTGAGGGCTTCTGAGTGTGTGGGCTGGGCCAGACTTGTTCCAGAAAGTTTTCCTTTAGCCCTTGACCCCCTCTTTCTATCCCTGTCTCTCCTCACCCTCTTTCACCCTCTTTCTCTCTGTCTCTCTCTCACACACAAACATTTTTCCTGTCTCTCTTTCCCCCTCAGTCTATCTTATGGTCTCCTCCATCTGTTTTGTTCTTTTGGTCTCTCTTTCTCTTTTCCTCCTTGCCTTTCTGGCTTCACCCCAGCGGCTTTTCTCTGGGACTGTCTGTCTTGTCACCGCCTCCCCCATCTCCATGGTTTCCTGAGGTATGTATGGGCCTCCATTGCTCTCTGGGCTGTAACTCAGACCTGAATCCCTGGGAAGATCCTTTGGTCCAGATGAGGTTGGCTAAAGACCTTGGGGAAGAGATCCTCCTTCTCTGCTTGGTCTTGGGGTGCATCTCCCGGCCCGGCCCAGCCCAGCCCACTAATCCGCCAGGAATCATTCCCGTCTCAGTGTGGTCTGGCTTGGATGATTGTCTCCTATCTCTAGCTCACCCCGTCTGGTCTGAAATCTCTGCATTCCTCCTTTTCCCTTTTCTTAAAGGCAACAACAATGCTAATAGGAATTCTTCTTCCCAAGTTTCCAAGTGGCATCTTCCAAACCCAATTTGGGTTTGGAAACGGGAGAGAAATAAGTAGGCCCAAGGTACAGAAGCAAGACCCCAGCTTGAGTTTAGCTGGGGAAACTTGGCCTGTCTCTGGCTGCTCCCTCCCAAGACATAGGCCACAAAGAGGCTCCCTCCTCCCTGCATCCAAGTGGCCAACAGCCTCTTCCCTCAGCCCGAGGGAGAGGACGCTCTTTATTTCAGTCCCCTGTGTCATGAGCACTTTTGGAAAGTGATTACCCAATAAATATTCCTTTAAAGGGTGATAAATCCACCTTGAAAACCAGGGGTTTTTATTTCATTGGGGGCCTTTGCATTTTCAGAGGCTCTGGCCTGCTCTGCTAGAGGAGGCCAAAGACATCAACAAATGGAATTACTCAGTCTTCAAATGTTTGATAATGAGAGAGGAGGGGGTGGGCGTGGGGGTGGGGAGGGAAACTGAACATCCAGGAACAAAGGACTCTCAGGAGTCTCCTTCCAGGTTTCGGAGGCTGGAATTCCTCAGCGCTACATTTCCAAGAGGCACCGACCTTTTATTATTATGCTTTTCTTTTAAGAAGTGGCACTCTTCTAGGGGTGAGCTTGAAATAATCTGCCCAAACCTGAATAGAAACAAAAAGGAAAGTTGATAGCTTGCTTGACATTTTCATTTTCCCCAGAAAAATGGAATAGTATGCACTGGATTCCAGTTCTCAAGAACTGGGCAAGAACAACATCACTAAAGATACAACAACAGTAATAATAACCAGGTTTCTCTCAGGCCTACTGCTAAGTGGGCTCTCGAGTGAGCCTCCTCCCTTTTTTCTTCCTGGTCTTCTTCCTTCCTCTCCTTCTCCTCCTCTTCCTCTCTTCCTTCACCCTTTCTCTTCCTCTTCCTTCCCTTCCTTTTCTGTTTTCTCTTTCTCCTCTGTTTTCTTCCTCTTCCTCCCCTTCCTTTTCTGTTTTCTCTTTCTCCTCTGTTTTCTTCCTCTTCCTTCGCCTCCTCCTCCTCTACACCTCTTTTTTTTTTTTTTTTTTTTTTTTTTTTTGAGACAGGGTCTCACTCTGTCACCCAGGTTGAAGTGCAGTGGTGTGATCTTGGCTCAGCGCAGCCTCTGCCTTCCAGGTTCAAGCAATTTTCCCACCTCAGCCTCCCGAGTAGCTGGGATTACAGGGACCCCCCACCACACCTGGCTAATTTTTGGATTTTTAGTAGAGATGGTGTTTCACCATTGTTGGCCAGGCTGGTCTCGAACTCCTGACCTCAGGTGATCCAACCACCTCAGACTCCCAAATTGCTGGGATTACAGGCATGGGGCACTCTTCACCTCTTTTCCTTCTCTTCCTTGTGTTCTCCTTCCTCCCCTCCTCATCCTCCTCTTCTCCCTCTCCCTCTTTCTCCTTCCTCCATTCTTCCTTCTCCTCCCTGTTTCTTATGTCTCCTCTTTTTCTCCTTCTCTTCTTCTCCTTCCTCCTTTTCTCCTCCTCTCTGCTTTCTTTTCCTCCATTTCTCCCTTCATCTCCTTCTCAGGCTGGTCCTGGGAGCCTTTTACCTCTCAAGGTTCTGGAAATAAAGACAAGCAAGGCTAAAGCTTAGAGAGAGACCCAAGACGGGCCAAGGTGCTTCTCCCACTTCTCTTCCTTCTCCTCTCTGCAGTTTCCTCTCCTATTAATGCTTTTCTACTGGCTTTCAGAGATGCGGTTGAAGCCATCTTTACAGAGTGTTCCCTGATATCTGTAAAAGCCTTTTCCTCTCTGCCCGTGTCTGGTAATCCCTCTTTCCTTTCCATTTCTCAAGTGGAAAAAGAACCTTCCCAGGAGGAAGAGAATACCCCTCCTCCCCTGCCAGCCCGCCCCAGTCTGGTCCCAGTGGTTTAAAGGTAATGGATTGGGATGAAGGTATATTGGGATACGTTCATATGAATATGTGAAGCTGAGGGCATGTGTGCACCTATGTAAGAGTATACAAGAGCCTGTACACAAGAGAGTATGAGTGCGCCTACATATGTACTTATGTGCATGTGTGTACACACGAGTGCATATGCTCATGCAGAGATGTGAGGTAGGGCGTGTGTAACAGGAATTTCTCTCTCTTGGCACCCTTTGGAAGCTTCGGGAGGAAAGCCTCCTCCCAAACTCCCAGTTGCCGGAACAAAAGACCAAGTGTCAGACGGTGTCGAGGCACCTTCTCCAAGTTCAATTTGCACCAAGTCCAGCATTAATGGGTTGTAGACATTGCCCTTGGACAATTACCTTATCACAGTGGAGCATCTGTGGGACCTTCAAAGCACTTTCATTAAACAATCAAAGGGATGTGGTGAGCCCAGCACTGGCCGGCCTGGAGCTCCAGGCTGTGCACAAGTTCCAGGGAAGCCCACAAGCCCAGGTGAACTTTCCCTCCAGGCCCCCAGGCTTTCTCAGGGCTGAGGCAGGATGGGAATAAGATGAAAAGATCAAACGCTGCCTGTACTCCACCTTAGATTGGCTTGTTGAGACGAGGAAGCTGATGGAATTGAGTTTTCTTGCTTGCAAGTCTCCTGCTTCCTTCTCTCCCTGGGGATCTCCCTCCTCTATCATGGTTCACTCCATGCAGAGGGGTCTTTCCTCTCCCACATGCAGGAGGAGCATACGGATGGACTTGGTAGAAGCTTATGGAAGCTCCACAGGGACAAGGGTACTTGTTCTGTGTATTCATTGCTGTATACTATATACCATAGTAGATGCTCAGTAAACATCATTGGGTGAATGAATGGATGAATGAATTATCCTAGCACATTGAACCTTGGCTTGCTCTCTATGTGCTAAGGTTTCCTCATAGGTTAACTGGAGACTTGTCCCTTGGAGCACCACGAGGGTGCATGGCCATATAGGCATGGTGAACAGTGCTCCAACAGAACTCAAAACATGGTGATCTGTACTGTCCTGAGGAGCAGGGATGAGTTGGGGGAAAACGCCTAGCGTCATGGTTGGTCTACAGTTGGTTGGCAGTCAACGCAAGCTGGCTTCCTTGTTTCCCACTTCCTTGATAGTTGGCCACTGGGATTTTTTTTTTTGTATTTATCTCTGCAATTCTGGGACGGAGCTCAGTGTCTGAAAGAACACAGATGGTGCACAGTAAAGAGCTGAATGATCTTGAAGTTGGAAGCTTATGTTACTCTTTGACCTTGGGCACTCACGTTTATAACTAGAATTTTTGAATGCCCACTCTGTGCCACACAATTGACAGTAAGCCTGCTTAATCTCAAAGCTACCCCAAGTAGGAGATAGCAGCATCTCTATTTTACAGAGGAAGAAATAGACTCAGGGAGGCTCAGAGAGGAGTCCAAGGTCAAAGAGTTATCAGATAGCATGGAAGAGATTTTTCTTTTCTTTTTTCTTCTTCTTCTTCTTCTCCTTTTTTTTTTTTTTTGAGATGGAGTCACATTCTTGTTGCCCAGGCTGAAGTCCAATGGTGTAGTCTCGGCTCACTGCAACCTCCGCCTCCCCCGTTCAAGCGATTCTCCTGCCTCAGCCTCCCAAGTAGCTGCGATTACTGGTGTGAGCCACCGCGCCTGGCCGGGAAGATATTTTTCACTTAGGCCTCCTAGATTTCAAAGCTCTTTTTTGCTTCTGTTTCTTCTCTTGCAGCATCAGTTTCTCTTTTGTAAACCAGATGATCTTCAACACTGAGCACAGAGACTGGTGCATGGTGGGTACTCAGCGGTGTTATTAAATGAATGAATGATTGAATGACGGAATGCAGCTGAAACATTCTGATGACTGTGAGATTTTAGATACTGCCTTGGGAGTCCTGGTGGGGGTGTGGGACTGTAGGATCAGAGAATGTTACTGCCAGGAAGCAGCATTTGACATGCCCTTGCTCAAGGATTTTGCAGCTTAGAGAGCCTCACTTGCTTTCTGGGAGTTCTGGGGAAGCCAGAGAGGCTTTTGCTGGGCCAGAAGGTGCTTAGCCTGGGGAAGGAGGTGGCCAGTCTAGGGGTACTCAGGAGCCTCTGGCGGGTGCCCGGTCTTCATTGAAATGTATAGATGGAAGTGAGAATGCACTGCATATTTGTCTAGGTGAATTAAAAGCACAATCCCCATTTCCCAGAGGGAGCAGTTGGTTCATATTTATACATTTAGTCTTACAGGTGTAAAATAGGTTTCCTTTATGCTTATATAATAATTTTTCATTTGAATTTCAAGGCTTTATTCCCTTCTTTGGATTCAAGTCTTCCACCTGAACCCGATTCTCTCCATAGCCATTAATTCCTTCATCATAAAAATGAATTCCATCTAATTCTCTATAGTGGCAGTTAGAGCAGATCAAAAAGTACCTTTGCAAAGGGCTCCCCCCGCTTCTACCATTGTAGTTTCCAGCTCGCCTGAGTACCCACGCCCCTACCAATGCTGAGTTTCAGAAACCAGGGCTTGGAGCAGAAAAACTTATTTCTCTCATCAGAAAGGGTCATGCGCTTGCATGTGGGTGTGTGTGTGTGTGTGTGTGTGCCCTCATGCACATGTTGGCACCCACAGGTGCATTGTAGAAAATGCTCCTCACTTTCAGAAAGGTAGCAACCACAACAACGATAATAATGATGGGCCGGGGGCGGTGGCTCACACCTGTAATCCCAGCACTTTGGGAGGCCAAGGCAGGTAGATCACTTGAGGTCAGAAGTTCTAGACCAGCCTGGCGGGGCACAGTGGCTCACTCCCGTAATCCCAGCACTTTTGGAGGCTGAGGTGGGTGGATCACCTGAGGTCAGAAGTTCTAGACCAGCCTGGCCAACATAGTGAAACCCTGTCTCTATTAAAAATAAAAAATCAGCTGGGCATGGTGGCGCATGCCTGTAGTCCCAGCTACTCGGGAAGCTGAGGCAGGAGAATCTCTTGAACCTGGGAGGCGGAGGTTGCAGTGAGCTGAGATCGTGCCACTGCACTCCAGCCTGGGCTATAGAGTGAGACTCTGTCTCAAAAAAAAAAAAAAAAAGAAGTTCTAGACCAGCTTGGCCAACATGGTAAAACCCCACCTCTAGTAAAAATACAAAAATGAGCCAAGTGTGATGTCACACACCCGTAATCCCAGCTACTTGGGAGGCTGAAGCATAAGAATCCCTTGAAGACAGAGAATCCCGGGAGACAGAGGCTGCAGTGAGCAATGATCATGCCACTGCACTCCAGCCTGGGCAACAAGAGTGAGACTCTGTCTTAAAAAAATAATAATCATAATGGTAACTCAGTACTCACAATGAGCCGGACGCTGTGTTAGGCATGTTCCATTCATTATATTATTTAATTCTCATACAAATCCATGGAGTAGATATTGGCATCCTTATATGACAGATGAGGAGATAAAGGTCCCGAGATGTGAAATAAATTGCCTAGGGTTGCATAGCTAGGAGAAAGCAGGCCTTAAAATTTTAAACTTTAAGTTATTTATTTATTTTAATAAATGTTTACCATTAACTATTTAGGGACAGAGTCAACACCATCGAGTACCCCTTCCCTGCCTCAGTCCCTTTCTTCTCTCCCCGGAAGGAAGCACACTCCCTAAGGTGGCATCTGTCGTTTCTCTACATTTTGTAGTAGCCTGGATAACGGCCCTAGAAATATCAGTTCTTAATCCCTGGAACGTGTAAGTGTTACCTTCAAATGAAAAAGGGTCTTTGCAGATGTGACTAAGTTACAGATCATGAGATGGGGAGATTATCCTGGATTTTCTTGGTGGCCCCTAAATGCAATCACAAGTGTCATTATAAGAGGGAAGAAAAGGGAGCTTTGACACAGATGGAAGAGAAGGTAATGTGGCCATGGAGGCAGAGACTGGGTGATGTGGCCGTAAGTCTAGGAATGCCGGCAGCCACTAGAAGCTGGAAGAAGCAAGGGAGGGATTCTCTTCTGCAGCATCCAGAGAGAGCGCGTTCTGCTCACCTGACACCTTGATTTCAGCCCCGTGATAGTAATTGAGGACTTCTGACCTCCAGACCATGAGAGCATAATTTTTTGTTATTTTTAGTCACCAGGTTTTTAGGAATTTGTTACAGCAGCCATAGGAAACGAATATACATGCTTTTATAATTTTTTTTGGAGACAGGTTCTCTGCCGCCCAGGCTGGAGTACAGTGGCACACACACGGCTCACTGCAGCCACCACCTCTCCGGCTCAAGCGATCCTCCCTTCTCAGCCTCTCAAGTAGCTGGGACTACAGGCACACACCACCATACCCGGCTAGTTTTTAAAATTTTTTGTAGAGACATGGTCTTGCCGTGTTGCCCAGGCTGGCTTTGAACTCTTGGGCTAAAGTAATCCTCCTGCTTTGGCCTTCAAATTGCTGGGATTACAAGCATGAGCGACTGCTCCTGGCCCATATTTTTTACTACATATGTATATTAAAATAAACAGTTTTTACAGTTTATGTAACAGTATACTTTAGGCATCATTCTGAAACTTCTCTTGCTCAACATCATGTTTTCGAGATTATCGTTATTGACCCAGGTAATGTTGGTTTCAAAGAAAGAAAGAGTCTCACTTGCTGGGCAGATGCAGTTGGATTCTGAAGGATATTGGAGTTGCATCTGCAGAATGGGCTCTGCAGGGCAAATGCAGGGTTGGCTCTGGCTGCCACGTTCTTTTTTGTTGTTGTTGTTGTTTTGAGATGGAGTCCCACTCTGTCACCCAGGCTGGAGTGCAATGGTGCAATCTTGGCTCATTACAACTTCCACCTCCCGGGTTCAAGTGATTCTCCTGCCTCAGCCTCCCAAGTAGCTGGTATTACAGGTGCCTGCCACCACACCCAGCTAACTTTTGCATTTTTAGGAGAGATGGGGTTTCACCATGTTGGCCAGGTTGGTCTTGAACTCCTGACGTCAGGTGATCCGCACGCTTTGGACTCCCTAAATGCTAGGGTTACAGGCATGAGCCATGGCACTTGGCCGCTGGCTGCCATGTTCTGAAAGGGTAGGGCCACACCCACTCTGACTGCACCTCCAGGTACGGGGACTCAGCTGAACACAGGTTTGCCATGTGTCAGGAAGGCCGGGTTTGTTAGGGACCCAGTTTCATGTGAACCGAGGGATTCTGTGTCTCTAAGACCTTGGAGAGTCAAGAGGTTTCAAGCCATGGAAGAGAAAGATACGCTAGCCGGGCGCGGTGGCTCACGCCTCTAATCCTAGCACTTTGGGAGTCTGAAGCGGGTGGATCACCTGAGTTCAGGAGTTCGAGACCAAACTGACCAATATGGTGAAACCCCTCTATTAAACATACAAAAATTAGCTGGGCATGGTGGCATTCATCTGTAGTCCCAGATACTTGGGAGGCTGAGACAGGAGAATTGCTTGAACCCAGGAGGCAGAGGTTGTAGTGAGCTATGATCGTGCCACTGCATTCTATCCTTGTCCACAGAGCGAGACTCTGTCTCAAAAAAAAAAAAAAAAAGACACTCTAAAGGAAAACTCAAATGGAGGTGAGAATGCATGTGTGTGTATGTGTGTGCATCTGTGGATCAGTGTGAGCTCCTCGAGGTCACAGACAGTCTTGTCTCCCACAGGACCTGGAAAACTGTGAATATCTGTTGAATAAATGAAAACAATTTGTGGGAATGGGAAGGGGGGTTGGCAATCCATCCTGTAAATATAAGTATCTGACTATATATGACTGTTACAGGTTGTAAGATTGAAAGTGAATTAATGGCTATATTCCGAGAATTCATCTAAGAAGGTGCCATGTGTGCCTTTGTCAAAGGTAAACTGTCAGTTTACAGTTATGGAGTCTTCATGTCCATGTTTTTTAAAAACCTTGGCTCTCTTCTTGATACTGCATGGTATGGAGGCAAGCTGTTATTATCCCCAGATGAAAGAAACCTGGGGACTAGTGTGGTGAAGGGGTTTTCTGGTGTCATAAAACAAGCATGTGGCAAAGCCGGGGTTAAACCTGGTGAGTGGGGCTCAGGAAGAGGACACAAGTTTTGAAATCTGACAAGCTAAATTTTAATCTTGGCTTCAATCCTCAGGAGCTGGGTTTCTTGGGGCAAGTTACTTAACCTCTCTGAACTTCCATTTCCACTTTTAAGAAATGAGCACAGTGATACTTAGCTTGTGGAGATTGCTGCAGAGATAATAATGCATGTAGAGCGGCTGGCACTTAGCAGGGCTCAGTAAGGGGCATCTCTTATCTTTTATCCTCAATTGAATATTATTTTTCCTCTTGCAGTCCTAGGCTATAATCTACATTCCGCCAAAAATTATCAGGGAAATTTAGAGAAGCAAGCAGCCAAACCAGTTGGCTGGCATCAACTGTTATCACCAGGGGGCTTGAGTTATCCCTTTTTGGGGGTCATTGGGGCGTGATGACCTATGACCTGTGACCTTATGAGGCAGCCAGCAGGGGTAGGAACCCAGTGGATTTGGGGGTCATCTTAGACTTCTGAAAAGACCTGATAGACCACTTTCCAATCTGGGGTTTTTCATTACGTAGGGGACAGTAAATCAAAGAGACTGCCCCAGGCTGCAGACTTAAAAGGGCCCAAGGCTGGTGGAGCTGGGCAGGGAAGATGCTGAGGGGGAGGAGACTATGGCTCCCCTGGCTGGGATCTGAGGCAAACAAAGTGACACGCGGTGGGGAAGATAAAACACCGAAAATAAAATTGACAGCAAATGGCACACTAGATTAAATGCTTTCAATGCCTCTGCTGAAAAGGGTTAATATCTTTGCTATATAAAGAGCACTTGCAAATCAATATGGATGATGAACAATCTCTGGGCAAAGGACATAGACAGGCAATTTATGAAAGACATACTCGAGGGCTGGTAGTATATGAAAAATGGTCTGTCTTACCAGAAACCTCAAAGAAAAGCAAATTAAAACAATGATATGCCATGCCCCGCCTATCTAAGTGGCAGTTGTGAAGGGGAGAATGGTACTATCAGGATGACTGAGAGGTCTGGAACGTGTGACTCACATACTGTGTGGCAGAGTAAATTACTGTGCTTTCTGAAGGGCAATTTAGCAAGTATGTATCAAAAGCTCTAGAAATGTTTAGAACCATCCTTAGTACATCACTGTATGCCTAGGAATTTACCACGCATATGTGCAAAGATATAAGTACATCACAATATTTTTTTCTAATAGGGAAAACTGGAAAAAAGTAAACATTCCTAACAATAGGATATTGACAGATATATTATGAAACATCCATATAATGGAATACTCCAGGCCATTGCAAGGACACATAATAAGAGGCAACAATGTGTAATGTTTCTAGGCTATAACCCATATTCCACCAAAAATTTAGCTTCATGCTAGCAACCATCCTAAATGACTTACATAGATTAGCTCATCTAATTCTCCTAACAACTGTTTGTGATAGGTACAAATACTATCATCCCAATTATACTGGTGAAGAAACGGAGACACTCAGAAGTTAAGTAACTTGTCCAACTTCCCTTATCTGGTAAGTGGCAGACGCCAGTGTGAATTCAGGTAGTTTGGCTTCAGAGTCTACATACATGTTCTTTTTGTTTTTTGAGATGGAGTCTCGCTCTTCCTCCCAGGCCGGAGTGCAGTGGCGCGATCTTGGCTCACTGCAAGCTCCGCCTCCCAGATTCACGCCATTCTCCTGCCTCAGCCTTCCGAGTAGCTGGGACTACAGGCGCACACCACCATGCCCGGCTAATTTTTCTTGTATTTTTTAGTAGAGTCAGGGTTTCACCATGTTAGTCAGGATGGTCTTGATCTCCTGACCTCGTGATCCACTCGCCTCGGCCTCCCAAAGTGCTGGGATTATAGGCATGAGCCACCGCGCCCGGCTACATACATGTTCTTTATTTTTATTTTTATTTTTTTGATACAGGGTCTCACTCTGTCACCCAGGCTGGAGTGCAGTGGTGCAATCACAGCACAGTGCAGCCTCCACCTACCTGTGCTCAAGTGATCCCCCAACCTCAGCCTCCCGAATAGCTGGGACTACAGGTGTGCCTCATCATGCCCAGCTAAATTTTGCATTTTTTGTAGAAGTTGTGGTTTCACTATGTTGCCCAGGCTGGTCTCGAATTCCTGGGCTTAAGCGATCCGCCTGCCTCAGTCTCCCAAAGTGTTGGGATTACAGGTGTCAGCCACTGCACCTGGCTGAGTCTATGTTCTTTTTTTTTTTTTTTTTTTTGAGACAGTTTCGCTTTCGTTGCCCAGGCTGGAGTGGAGTGCAATGGCACGATCTCGGCTCACCACAACCTCTGCCTCCTAGGTTAAGTGATTCTCCTGTCTCAGCCTCCTGAGTAGCTGGGATTACAGGCACGTGCCACCACGCCCAGCTAATTTTGTATTTTTAGTAGAGATGGGGTTTCTCCATGTTGGTCAGGCTGGTCTCGAACTCCCGACCTCAGGTGATCTGCCCTCCTCGGCCTCCCAAAGTGCTGGGATTACAGGCGTGAGCCTCCACGCCCGGCCATGAGTCTACTTTCTTAATGGAACTATCCTATCCCTTGAAATTTGTACCTGGAAAAATTTCATGACCTGCAAAAGTATTCATGAAACATTGAGTGAAAAAAAGGCAACTTCCCAAACAGCATGATTCTACTTAAGAAAAAAACATACTTATGTGTGGAAAAATAACACCCAAAGAATATATTCCTAAATGATGAGTGAGTACTCCTCAGGGTTGAGGTTATGGGTGATAGCTATTTTCTTCTTTTTGCCTCCAAACATTTTGTAAATTTTCTATAATGAGGGTCACAACTTTTAAAAATAAGAACACCCATGTGAAAATTATTACAATGAAAAGAAACAGACTTTGGACCCATGTTCAGGCTTCAGCACCTAATTGCTCCTAACCCAAGGTCAAGGTGAAAAACCAAGAGAGCCATGGCCACTCTTGATGCTTCTGCAGACTCTTGTGCCATCTCTCCATTCCCTTCCTTTTAGGGAGTGGGAGGCAGTGGTGTAATTTACCTCCACCTAAAAGCTAAGACAGCATCCAGAAACACACATTTATTGGACGCCCACAGTGTGCCAGCCCTGGAGCCAAGCACCAGGGAACAGCAGCGACCAGGCTGGACTCCTGCAGTCTACAGCAGACCTCCAGTCCCAGCCACGTCTGCTTGACTTTGAGTTCTGTGCCCAACTGCCATGGGATTCTGCTCCCAGGTTAATATAATTGTTTTTCACTCTTTTGCCTGAATCATCCAAACAGCATCAAGAGCACAAAACAGTGATCTCAAAGTGTGGGCCATGGACCAGCAGCATCAGCCTCACTTGGGAACTTGATAGAAATGCAACTTCTCAGGCCCCATGCCATGCCTACTGAATCAGAAACTCTGGGTGCATGGAGAGGGGTGGTGGGCAGCAATCTGTGATTTGTTTTTGTTTTTTTGAGACAGGGTCTGGCTGTGTCGCCCAGGCTGTGGTGCAGTGGCACAATCTCGGCTGACTGCAGCCTCTGCCTCCTAGGCTCAAGTGATCCTCCCACCTCAGCCTCCCAAGCAGCTGGGACTACAAGTGCAAGCCACCACGCCCGGCTAATTTTTGTATTTTTTGTAAAGATAAGGTCTGTCAATGTTGCCCAGGCTAGCCTCAAACTCCTGGGCTCAAGTGATCCACCTACCTAGGCCTTCCAAAGTGCTGAGATCACAGGCATGAGCCACCACACCCGACCAGCAATCTGTTTTAACAAACCTTCCAGAAGATTCGTATGCACGCTAAAGTGTAAGAGTCACTAAATCACAGGCACCGTCATGTGGGTTGAGAGCAATTGAGGGTGTTAGAAGCGTTTCTCATTTTCTCAGATGCCCCCAAAGTGGCTGGCTCTGCTAAACTCATTTTTGAAATCCTGAAGACAGGCTCTGGGAAATGAGTTAGTGTTCTCCATCCTCAACTCCCCTCCCCTCCTTCAGAACACTGCTGACAGCTGATTAATGGGGAATGACTCTCTAAAGATTTCTTTACATATATTAGGCTAGGAAAGTCTTTGTAAACTTTCTGTGGCAATTGTGCCTGCAAAGATTCCGTCCATTGGCTCTCCTTGGGGATGGAGAAGTTGTATTTGTCTCCTTGCAATTTAGACAATGACTTTTATTGCTTGTACCTCTCTGGGCAGTGCTGGTCTGAGAGCCGGGGGTCCACCTGGGTACCCACTTGGGCTCCAGCATAAATTCACTCTGTGACCTTGGATAAGTCACTTCCCCTCTGGGCCTCAGTGTGCTCCTCTGTTTAATGATGAGGTCAGATGGTCCCTAAGCTTGCATCCGTGATTTGAAACCTGGAAATCCTATTCTGTTCTGAATTTCCAGAGCTGGGCATTATTGAGAAGATTCATGGAGATATGTTTTATATATTGATTAAGTCTAGGGAAGAGACTCACGGAGTTGTAAAGAGAGGATGCATGTGTTTTAGTGTGTATGTTTGTGTGCATGTGTGTGCCCTAAAGACTGACGTGGGCTGAAGTCCGTAGAAAGAAAGGGCTGATGCACATAGAAAAGGTACCTTTCAGTTTTCTTTCCTTTTTTTTTTGAGGCAGGGTCTCACTCTGTCATCCATGCTGGAGTACAGTGGCACAATCATGGCTCTTTGCAACCTCGACCTCCCTGGGCTCAGTAATCCTCCCATCTCAGCCTCCTGAGTAGCTGGGACTACGGGTGTGCACCACCATACCCAGCTAATTTTTGTATTTGTTTGCAGAGACGGGGTCTTACCATGTTGCCCAGGCTAGACTTGAACTCAACTGATCTGCCTTCCTCAGCCTCTCAAAGTGCTGAGATTACAGGCATGAGCCACCATGCCTGGCCTCCCAGTTTTCTTTATTCTCTAAAAGATACATTAACAAAAAGCGTTGACTGATACTGGATTACTGCAAATTGCAAACTATGGCCCACTCAAATGTACTCATTGCAGAGTCAAACATTTTTTCCTCTACTCATGGGCACCAATGTCTTTACATTAAAGCTGGGAATCTACATTAAAATAGTACTTCCTTGGGATGAACTGGGAGTTTCTTTAAAAGCCTTTCTGAGGTAAATTCTTTATTTTTCCTTGGAGTGAAAAGTAAATTCTAAAGGGTGGGGAAGGGAGAGGGATCCCCCTGAACCGAGCCTTCCACTTCTTATGCCAAGATGTGGATCCCCTGAACCTGGGGCGGGAATGTGTTGGTGGGAGCAGGTGGCTGCGCCACGTGCCTACAGCTGCAAGTGGTCTTGTCTGTCCCTAAGTGTATCAGTTTCTGGGTGCACCATGATGTATGGAAGGCTGGCAAGTGAACACCTACACTTTCTCCGTGGGCCACATCCATGGTTTGCAAGGAAAAGAGCATCTTCTCTTGTCTCCTGCAGCTGGGTAATGTCTGCTGATCTACAGCTGGGCACGATGTCCACCAATCCATAGCTGGCTGTTGGCCACTAGCCACAGCTGGGCAGACTCACTGCTCTCACAGTCTCTGTCTAGTAAGGGAGACTTAGCGTACCAACCACTCTGGCCCAGGGCATGGCCTCCCAGCTGTAAGCAGGGATCAAGATTTATAGTGGCCCTGTCAGCTGAAAGTGCCCAGGGCAAACAGTCAGTGTAGAATTTAACACCCCTGGTCCTATGTAGACACCAACTGCAATAACCAGGCTGTGGAGCTGATAATCTTAACCATATCAGATACCCTTGGCTTCATATCCTCCTGACTCCACAGCTGTGTGATGTAGGGAGAGTCAGTTTACTTCTCTGTGTCTTCATCTGCTCATCTATAAAATGGGAATGATAATAATAGCTACCTCTCGGGGACTGATGAAAGGATTAAATAAAGCAAAGTATGAAAAGCGCTTAGCGCAGTAGCTGCACAATACATGGCTTTTTAATATTTATTTTATTTATTTTGTTGTTGTTGTTGTCGTTGTTTTGAGGTGGAGTCTCCCTCTGTCACCCAGGCTGGAGTGCAGTGGTGCTATCTTGGCTCACTGTAACCTCCGCCTGCCGGGTTCAAGCAATTCTCCTGCCTCAGCCTCCTGAGTAGCTGGGACTATAGGCACCCGCCACCATGTCTGGCTAATTTTTATATATTTAGTAGAGATGGCGTTTCGCCATGTTGGCCAGTGATCCGCCCGCCTCGGCCTCCCAAAGTGCTGGGATTACAGGCGTGAGCCACCACGCCTGGACTTACAATACATGTCTTAATGTTATTCTCATTAGAGATTCATCACAAATGTTGACTGAACCAAATGTGGTGTCAATCCTTAAGCTGCTGTGTAGTCAGAGGGATAATGTGGACATGAAAATGAGGAATTATTCAAAAGAGCCTGGGCTCTGTGGCCAGGCATCTGGGTTCGAATCCTGGCTCTGCAGTTTTCCAGCTCTGTGACTTTGGGTGGGAGGCTTCACCTCTTTGAGCCCATTTCCTCTTTGGTAGAGAGCATCTGGCTTATAGGACTATCCAGAGAGGTGAAGAACCAGAACAGACTGGCCAGGATGCAGGGTTCACACTCCAGGCAGGGTTGGAGCTCTGGGACTTGCTTATTTGAACCTCACTGGAACAACTTGCTCTTTTTTTAAATTAAATTTATTTATTTATTTATTTTGAGACAGAGTTTCATTCTTGTTGCCCAGGCTGGAGTGCAATGGTGCAGTCTCGGCTCACTGCAACCTCCGTCTCCCAGGTTCAAGTGATTCTCCTGCCTCAGCCTCCCAAGTAGCTGAGATTATAGGCGCCTGCCACCTCACCTGAATAATTTTTTTTGTATTTTTAGTAGAGACAAGGTTTCACCATGTTGGACAGGCTGGTCTCGAACTCCTGACCTCAGGTGATCTGCCCATCTTGGCATCCCAGAGTGCTGGGATTACTGATGTGAGCCACCACGCCTGGCCTATTTTATTTATTTTTTTGAGATGGAGTCTCACTGTGTTGCCCAGGCTGGAGTGCAGTGGTGTGATCTCCACCTCCTGGGTTCAAATTATACTTCTACCTCAGCCCCCGGAATAACTGGGATTGCAGGCACCTGCCACCACTCCCAGCTAATTTTTGTATTTTTAGTAGAGATGGGGTTTCGCCATGTTGGCCAGGCTGGTCTCGAACTCCTGACCTCAGGTGATTCACCTGCCTTGGCCTCCCAAAGTGCTGGGATTACAGACGGGAGCCACCGTGCCCAGCCAACAACTGGCTCCTTTTGCTGGCAAGTGGTACAAATCACTTGCCTAAAGACGCACAACCAGTAAGAGGGCAGAGGCACGAATGGAGGGCATTAGAAAGAAGACTCCAGGAAGAATTGCCTCAACTCTGATCTAAAATGACCCTCGGATTCTCTGTGAGAAAGGAGCCCTGGTGCTGGTAGGAGGCTGTGTGTTTCCAGAAGCCCATAACCAAAGCCTCTCCAGGGTCGGGTTTTTCTCCGGCTCTCTGCAGAGGCAGCATCTTTGGGAGGTGGCCAGGAGCAACCCAGCGGAGCCGCTTCTCTGCCTGTGATCTGAAATCTCCCCCACCGCGGCTGCAGCTATAGGCAGAGAGCAAAGAAGAGTTTAGGCTATTTGCAAGCTGGAAGCCATTTCAAAGGGAAGGCTGGTCCTTGATATTCCCTGAAAATATCTGTAGAAAAAAAAATGTTTTTGGATTATAAAAGCAACACACTCGCTCTTTGCAAAGTACATAGAGCAAAATAAAGACTGGCCAGGGAATCTGCCCTGCATTTTTGTGTGTTTGCTTCAGTATTTCCCCCGTCCCTACATTTGCAACTGTACTATGGTTTCAAGTGCTATTTCACTCAAGTCTATATGAAAATACTTCTTCGTGTCTTTAGTTTTTTTTTTTTAATTTTTGCAGGCAGCATATTTAATAGCTACATCATGTTCTCTTGTATGGAGTTACACAGTTTCATTAGCCATTCTCAAGTGGGATTTCTGCAGGTTGCTTTTCCCTTCCCGCAGGATGAATAACCCCCAGTACACCTGCTAAATAAGAAACCCTCTCTCTAGGCCCCAGGGAGGAGTGAAGCAGGGCAAACCTCCTCTTGAGTCATTTTCCCGTCGTTTGCAGTGGGACCAAAACTCACTTTGGCTCCAAATGCTTCACGCCAGAACCTTCAAAGAAAGGACTTCCCCCTCTTCTATTAATTGGGCAATTTGGAAACCAGGACTTGAGTAAAAATATATTTTTTTCCCCAGTCATTCTCAAATTGCTTATTCACCAAGGTAAAGCATCCAGCCAAAGTGAGGGAAAATGAAAACAAAAATCCAACTTTGAACCAGCTGTGCCGTGTTGTGTAGACAAAATAACCCTTTGACAGACCAATCGGAGCACCTTTTGGACCTGTTGACGCTCCACAATGTCAGCGAGACTTCAGCTGCTCCAGCGGTTTTGGCCTTTTTTTCTTTCTTTCCTTCCTTCCTTCCTTCCTTCCTTCCTTCCTTCCTTCCTTCCTTCCTTCCTTCCTTCCTTCCTTCCTTCCTCCTTCTCTCCCTTTCTTTCCTTCCTTTCTCCCTCCCTCCCTCCCTCCTTTCTTTCTCTCTCTCTTTCCTTCCTTCCTTCCTTCTTTCAGTTGGTTTGTTGCGCCAACAATATTTCACTATTAAAGAGAGAGAAAGAAAAGGAAGAAAAAGATGAACATATTGTCTCCTGGTCCAGAAAAGGGAGATTGGTTGTGCCTTTTATTTCTTTTGTTTATTTTTTATTTTTATTTATTTATTATCATTTTAAGAGATGGGGTCTTACTCTGTCACCCAGGCCGGAATGCAGTGGCATAATCATAGCTCACTGCAGCCTCAAACTCCCGGGCTCAAGTGATCCTCCTGCCTCAGCATCCCCAGTAGCTAGGACCACAGGACTGCACCACCACTCCTGGCTAATTGTTTTATTTTTAAATTTAATTTATTTATATATATTTTTGAGACAGAGTATTGCTTTGTCACCCAGGCTGGAGTGCAGTGGCATGATCATAGTGCACTGCAACCTCCGCCTCCTGGGTTCAAGCAATTCTCATGGCTTCAGCCTCTACAGGTATGCGCCACCACACCCAGCCAATTTTTATATTTTTAGTAGGGACAGGGTTTCACCATATTGACCAGGCTGGTCTTGAACTTCTGACCTTAAGTGATCCACCTGCCTCGGCCTCCCAAAGTGATGGAATTATAGGGGTGAGCCATCATGCCTGGCCTATCTTTTATTTTGTAGAAACAGGATCTCACTATGTTGCCCGGGCTGGTCTCAAACTCTTGGCCTATAGCAATCCTCCTGCCTTGGCCTCCCAAAGTGTTGGGATTACAGGTGTGAGCCACCTTACCTGGCCCTTTTCTTTTTTCTTTCTTTCTTATTTTACATTTTTTTATTGTGGTAAAATACACGTAACATAAAATATACTATCTTAAACTGCACGGTTCAGCAGCATTGAGTACATTTACCATGTCGTGCAGCCATCACTGCTGCCTAGCCCTAGAACATTTTCATCCATCCTGAAATAAGCCCCGTCCCCACAGCAATCCTTCTCCATTCTGCCCCCAGCCCTGGGCAATCACTTCCTTTCTCTCTAGACTTGCCTATTCTGCACATTTTATTTAATGGCATCATACAATATATATTCTTTTTTTTTTTGAGATGGAGTCTCACTCTGTCACTCAGGCTGGAGTGCAGTGGCGCGATCTTGGCTCACTGTAACCTCTGCCTCCTGGGTTCAAGTGATTCTTGTGTTTCAGCTTCCTGAGTATCTGGGACTACAGGTGCCTGCCACCGCACCCAGCTAATTTTTGTATTTTTAGTAGAGATGGGGTTTCACCATGTTGGCCAGGCTGGTCTTGAACCCCTGACCTCAGATAATCCTCCCACCTTGACCTCCCAAAGTGCTGGGATTACAGGCGTGAGCCACCACTCCCGGCCGTATCCTTTAGTGGCTGGCTCCTTTCAGCCAGCATAATGTTTGCAAGGCCCTTCCATGTTGTAGCATGTATGAGTACCTTGTTCCTCTCGTGGCTTTGTTCCCTTTATCCATTGCCTGGATATACCCGTTTCTGCCACTTTGAGTTTGGCGATCCATCAGGCAGCTGAGTGGAGGGGACATCGTGATGACGGCTTGCTGAAAAATGAGCAGACTGCCTCACATGTGCCAATCATCTGGATAACTTAGTCTGTGTGGATGGCAGAATTAATCAAGTGGCTTTCGGATGAGACTGTCTAATTTAGTCATCCACGTTGGCTGGGGGTGTTGGGTTTTCTCATCTTTAAAAAGGAAATGGTGTTATGTTTTTAAAAGGTTGCTGTAGGGATTAATTGGTTAATTAGCATGAATACATTAAGAATGATTACTATTGCCCATCTAAGCAGGTTAATATGGTTCATTTAGTCTCTGACATTTCACTTGTTTTGTTAAGTTCTAGCTTCATTATTTACTCACAGAATCACCTGGCTGAGCCTCAGTTTCTTCACACATGTGCTTTATTTGGCTGTTGAGAGGATAAAATAACTTACAAAAGAAAGTGCAAACCACACATCAAACATTTTTAATCACCTAAAAAGAAGCAACAGAGATTAGTTTGGCTTTTGGTGTATATACCATCTTCTTCCTAAAAGAGTAAAGCATGATTAAAACAAAACAAAAATCCTATAGGCCTATTGAAAGAAGGATAAAAGAACATATAGAGTCATTAAAGATGAGAGCTGGGGAGATAAATAGTTGAATTGGAAACCAAGAATGAAAACAGCTATGGCAGTTGAGTATAAAACTTTGCTTTGAGCTTCCTGGTGGCCAAGGCAAAAAGGGAAAGAAAGTGAGTAGAATCAGTCTGATGTAGAGTATCTCAATATGGACACCGCTGACATGTTGGCCTGGACAATTCTTTGCTCTGATGGCTGTTCTCTGAATTGTAGGGTGTTTAGAACATCCCTGGTCTCTACCTATTAGGTGCCAATAGCACTCCCACTTACTCCTCTTTCTGGTTGTGACAATAAAAAATGTCTCCAGACATTGCCAAATGTCCTCTGTGAGTGAATACTGCCCCTGGTGGATAACTTATGATCTAATGAAATGAGGCAAATCTTGATGTGGGGTCTTTGGTTAAAGGACCAGGCAAGGTGACTACCAGGGCCTTCAGAGCCAGGGTCTCAAAGTCTGCAGACAAATTTTCAGGCTGTGCTGTGCCCAACCTATGATGACACCAGACCCAAGTCTGGTGATTTCTATCAGTGAAGCTCCTCTTCTCTGGGTGACGCTGTTGCTTCTCCCATCCTATGACCATCTCCTTTGGTTAAGGCCATTTCCAGGCTCTAGGCTAAGGGCCTTGTGTGCACAGCACAGGCTTTCTCTTGTCAAGTCCTCAGAGTTGGCTTTCTCTTGTCAAGTCCTCATCCTTGTAATCATTATGACGTCCATTTGACGGATGGGGAGACTGAGCTTTGGATAGGTCGAGCAGCTTGCCAAATGCCACACTCTACGTGGCAGAAGGGGATTTTGAACTGAGGTAACTTGGCCCCATACTTTTAACTACTAGAGCAATGCTTTTCAACTGGGCGATGATTTTGCCCCCCTCCCCGCCCCCCCGCCCCCCCCAGTGGACAATTGGAATACCTGGGAAAGTTGTCACAACTGCGGTTGGGGGTGCCCCTGGCATCTAGCTGGTAAGGCTAAGGCCGCCCCCCAACACGGAATTGTACCCTGCAACATCCCACCTCTCTTGAGAGTGGTCCAGAGCGAGGAGATTTGGGCCTGGCAAGATGCGGGATTCTGGAAGAGGAGGGAAGGTGGTGGACCATGGTGCCCCTGGGGTACTAACTGGGCTTGGCTGCCTTCTCCACAGCCTCTCCACCTCCTAGAAGAGAGGCCCAGGCCTGGATTTTCCCACACTGCTGCTGATGTCTGCATGGGCACGGAGAGTCCTGCTGCTGCCCAGGAACTCATCCTGAAGTTTTTAAGATTCTAGACACATTTCTTTCTTTATTTTTAGTTGATGAGGAAAAGTTGGAAGATAAATGTATAATCCTAGACCTGCAGAATTGTCAGAGGCCATTATGCTGAGCGTCACGAGGGGGGCTCTGGAGTCAGGCAGGACTCCAGGCACCAACTGCCACTACCTACCAAACGACAAGGCTGACTCTGCCTCCTCTGAGGCCACCACACTCGCTGCTCCTCCTGCTCCCTCACCTGCACTGTGAAGATAGTAATAGGACCCAGCTCACAGTGTTGTTGGAGGATTCAATGAGGTAATGCCTGTGGCAGCTCTTACCATTGTTGTTATTACCAGAATTAGGAATATCTCTAGAGCTGATCTCATCCAATCCCTTGGTTGACAGGTGAGGAAAAATGAGGCCCACAGAGGCGCGACAGGCAAACACCCAGCGGGGCAGGTGCTGGGACCCCTCTGCCAGCCCAGAGCTTGCTGCAGGACCCATTCCAGAAAGAGGAGGAATTCCCAGCTGAGGTAGGAGCTGATGTGGAAACCCCTTCTCCAGCCTTTCCCTCCCTGAACCAATTTGTAATTAATGGCTTGTGGCCACGTTTCTCCCCGCCTCCAGGGCAGACTTGTAAAACCTGTAGGAGAAGCTGCTGTGGGCAGGGTAGCTGGCTAGGCAGCCAGCTTCTCTGTTCCAGCCCCTTTGTCCCTTTGCTCCTGCAGGAGGGGGGATGGCGCCGCCTCCTCATCCCTGGCGCCCCACTCCGTCCCCTTCCTGCAGGCCAGCAATCCACGGTTGTCCAGGCTGTAATTTGTGGCTGGTGCTGAGGCTGTGCTGGGGTGCGGTGCCCCTCTGGGGATGGGGAGACACAGCAGGCAGGGCCTCTTCCTGCAGTGCTCCCAGCAGCCCTCTGAAGAGTTCAGGAGGTGCCAGGTGCAGGTGCACGGGGTGCACGATGACCAAGAGGAACAAGGATGATGGTGGTGCCAGGCCCAGCCAGGGTACAAAGCCTGAAAGCTTAGCCGCTTCCCCTACTCCTCCCCCGGCCCCGTGGGCGATGCCAAGGCAGCTGGAGTTCCGGGAGTTGGGGGCATCTCTGCCATAGCTGCTGACTTTGGCAAAAAAGAAATCCTCCTCCTTAATACCCTCTCCCTCCAGAATGACAGGGGGTTTGAAGTTGGCGGTGGAAAGGGAAGACAATCTTGTTACTAATGTACCATAAAGTACAATAAATATTCTGCTGACAGACTCCGAACCCAGGAAACAATTCTGAAATCCTCAAATGATAATAATAATATAAACAGAAGCCAAACCTTCCTGAAGCCTCTTTCTTCTTTGGTAAAATTTTATTACGATGGGAAGTGAAGTCACGCTCCCTCCTCCACCCCCACCCCTCCTGCTTCTTCCAACCTGGCACCTCTCTTTTGGGTCAAGGTCTTCCTCCTTGGCTGGGATTTTACAACTTTGAGGCCAGGGCACCTACAAGTGGGTTGGGACAGGGTGCCCTTGTCTGGAACCCTCCTGAAGGCATGCATGGGGCTTTCTCGAAGCTGGCCAAATACCTCCCAGTCCCCGTCTCTCTCTTTCTGCCCCCCATAAGCACACTTGCCTTCAAAATGGGTCTCCATTTTTTCATTAAATCCAGGAGTTGATAGGGAGGGATTGACCTGGCTACTTCAATTAATTTTTTTTTTACCTTTCAAATCATAAGGTTCCATTTCCTTTGGAGGAGGCGGTGTGTTGCAGGGTGCTGCAGAGTTTAAAACGTAGGGCTGTATTTGAATGTTTGGTCTTGATAGGCGATAGGGACCAGCATGGAAAATCATCTTTATCACCCCAATATGGAAGGTAAAGCGTGCGGCCTGGGCTGGCATACCAAGCGGCCTGTGAGCCCTTATCGTAATCCCAGGAGCCGCCCCCCTCTCCATCACCTCTGCTATTCCAGGCAAGTGTCAGACCGTCTTCCCTGCTGTACAGAGCCAGATAGCACCGAGCTGGGCCGGCGCAGCGGGCATAATAAGAAGTGGAAATTGCTCCCAAGGAAAGTTTCTGAGGAATTAACTTCTGATGGGTGAAGGGGGCAGTGTGGGGGTGGGCAGGTGGGGAGGGGTAAGGGAGCCGAAGGAGGAAGGTGAGGACCTGGGCCAAGACAAGGACGCCAGCAGTCTCCGAGGAAGGAGGCAGAGACCTTAGAGAGACTTTCAGAAAGGCTGTATTGCTCCCATTGGGAAAGGCAGGTGGGCCCACAACTGCTGTGGCCGGCAGAGAGAGCTCTGGGACCCAGGAGGGCCCTAGAGACCCCCAGCTCCCTGAGGGGATGAAGGATCTGAATGCTTCCTTTGGGGGTCAGTTGTGCCAGATGGGCTGGACTGCACGTCAGGCCCAAGACATTGAGGGACTGTGGGTGCAACAGAGCCGTGGCCAATGCCTTTGCTGATTCTTTCTCTGAGCGGCCTCCATACCCGTCCCGGCCTCAATCCCTTGCCTTGCTCAGGCTGCTTAAGTGGAAGGTTCTTATTCTTACCCCATGAGGAAGACTCCTCAGCCCCGTAGCCTACAAAACATTTCCTTCCAAGCATTATTTATAAACGTCTGTTGAGCACCTACTCTGTGCCCGGTCCTGCCCCAGGCACTAGAAACCCGGCAGTGAAGGGGAAAGGTGAGGCCTGGGCAGACACTCCCCTGTGCACAGATGCAAGAAAAGAGATGGAGGGAGCATGATACGCTCTAAGGAAAATGAAATCAGGCCGGGCATGGTGGCTCAGGCGGGGAATGGTGGCTCAGGTGGGGAATGGTGGCTCGGTGGGGAGTGGTGGCTCAGGCGGGGAATGGTGGCTCAGGCCGGGCGTGGTGGCTCAGGCGGGGAATGGTGGCTCAGGCGGGGAATGGTGGCGCAGGCGGGGAATGGTGGCTCAGGCCGGGCGTGGTGGCTCAGGCGGGGAATGGTGGCTCAGGCGGGGAATGGTGGCGCAGGCGGGGAATGGTGGCTCAGGCCAGGAGTGGTGGCTCAGGCCGGGCGTGGTGGCTCAGACGGGGAATGGTGGCTCAGGTGGGGAATGGTGGCGCAGGCGGGGAATGGTGGCTCAGGCTGGGCGTGGTGGCTCAGGCGGGGAATGGTGGCTCACGCCTGCAATCCCAGTACTTCGGGAGGCCAGGGCGGGAAGGTCATTTGACTAGCCTGGGCAACATAGCAAAACTCCATTTCTACTTAAAAAAATAAAATAAATTAGCTAGGCATGGTGGCATGCACCTGTAGTCCCAGCTACTCAGGAGGCTGAGGTGGGAGGATCCCTTGAGACCAGGAGGTCGAGGCTGCAGTGAGCTGTGATCATGCCATTCACTCCAGCCTGGATGACAGAGTAAGACTCTATCTCAAAGAAAGAAAAAAAAAGAAAAAGAATGACATTGGGAGGTGGCATAAATGATGGAGCGGCCACATCTTAGCTATGAGATTTTGGGCCAAGTACTTGTCTCTGGGCCTTAATTCCTCACCTGTAGAATGAGGATGCAGATATGCATTTCCTGGGCTTTGGGTCAGTGGCGCTCAGCACAGGGCCTGGAGTGTGGTCACTGCTAACTGAAGCTGTGCTCCAGCTCTACTATTAGCAAGGGGAAGTGGGGACCAGGCAGGTGCTCCAGCACGAAGCTCTGAGGGTGAGAGCTCTGGAAGGAGATTGGGGCTTTTCCTCCATACTGAGCGTGTATGAGGCAGGTCTGGGGTCAGGCTTTCTGGATTTGAACCCTGGTCACTTGCTTCACAGCTTTGGGTCTGTGGGCAATAACCTGCCCTGTGGCCTCAGTTTTCTCACCCAAAGATTGGGAATCATAATCGTAGCTTCTTTAGAGAGCTGTGGCCAGGATTAAGTGCATTCCTCTGGAAGTTTCTCTGAGCTGCAGCGTGCGAGCTCTTCATATGACAGATTCGAAGAGCTGTTTGTCCACGTGTCGGGGCCTCAGTGAGGGGTGGGGAAGGAGCTTGGGCTGGGAGCTGAGATCCCTGGCTTCTTCTCTGAGTTGACACCCATGTGAGGTTCCCACCATCCCTGGTAGGGCCACCACTCGGGGGCGGAGGGGCCGCCTGGGTGTATGATTGTTGATTTGCAGGGACCCTCAGGAGAGCTAATGTGGCAAGATACCCAGAGAGGGCCTGTGAGCTTCCTAAGGCCACACAGCAAGCTGGAAGGACTCAGGCCTGAGCCAAATGCATCTGCCTGCCTAGTCCTTTCAGGGGCGTGCGGAAGGGTCACTAGGGGAGAGAGCTCTTAGTTTTAGCTGCGGGCGAGTGATCATCCTGGAGTAATTGGGTGCTAATACCATTATGCCTCCCATTTCATACTCTATACGTTCCCAGGGCTCTCTCTCCGAGGATCTCAAAGCCCTTTACATGACAATGCCACCATTAACTCATAAATCCTCCCTGGCCTGCTGGGAGGAGAGGTGGGTGGTATGTGCAGGAGACTGAGGAATTAACCTCAATTATTTCCCAGTGATTCAGCCGTCATAGAATTGTCAGGTTGGCTCTGGGGTTTGGCGGGCCCCAGTTAGTGCTGGTGGGGTAGAGCCTGGGAGGGGACTGGTGATATCTGCTGAGCGGAGCCTGTTCTCCAAGTCAGCTTGTTGTCCACGATGTCACCTCATCATTTTCAGAACAGCCCTGCGAGTTGGGTAGCAGTGTTCCCATTTTACAACAGGAGAGACTCAGAGAGGTGCAGGACTCACCTAAGGTTACCCAGGTAGTCACAGCAAGCCTGGAGTTTACCCCCAGCCATGCCTGTGCCACCAAACACACGAGGTTCTCAGAGTGGGGCAGGGCTAGGCTCGAGGGCCAGGGGCCTTGGGACAGGATGCTCTGCCCCCTACCAACATGCAGTGTGACTCGGGGCCAGTGCTGTCCGTCTCTGAGTGGGTCTCCATGAGCACCTGATGGTTAAGACCTCAGGTTGACTGCTTACCACCATTTGTAGGGACTGCTTTGCCCCACACTGTGGGAGAAATACAGGCCCCTGAAGGAGATGGGTGAAAGATGAAGGGTGGCTCATGCATGCATGCATGCATTCATTCACTCACACATTCATTCATTCACTCATGCTTGCATTCATTCATTCACTCATGCATTCATTCATTCACTATGCATTCATTCATTCATTCATTCACTCATTCATTCACTCATGCATTCATTCATTCATTCACTCATGCATGCATTCATTCACTATGCATTCATTCATTCATTCACTCATTCATTCACTCATGCATTCATTCATTCATTCACTCATGCATGCATTCATTCACTATGCATTCATTCATTCATTCACTCATGCATTCATTCACTATGCATGCATTCATTCATTCACTCATGCATTCATTCATTCACTTTTGCATTCATTCATTAACTCATGCATTTATTTTTCATATGCTCCTGTGTAGGGTGGTAGTTAACAGGGTAGGCTCGGGAGTCAGGCTGCCTGGGTTCAAATACACTCACTGTGTGGCCTTGGGCAACTGGCTTCATCTCTACCTCTCAGTTTCTTCGTTTGTGAAAGGGGATAGTAAAGCAGTCACCTTACCGTGTTGTCCACTTGTGTATTTCACAACAAGATCCTGAGCACCTACCACATGCCAGGCACTGTTCTTGGCCCTGGGCACATGGCAGTAAACGGAACAGACAGGATCACTGCCCACGGGGGCCCAGTGACCTGGGGGAGGCAGACCACACTCATAGTAACTGTAGCATTGCCAGGTGATGGGAGTCTCAGGGGGTTTGAGATGGTGGTGGGGATTGCAGTGGATCATCCACACGGGGCACCTCGTGTGAGGCTGTGTTTCATTTGCATCAGCATGGATTTTGACTAGCTGGGCACTACACTGGGACCTGGGGGCAGGAGACACATAGATCTGGGGCATGTGTGATACTTGGTCACAAGGCAGAAGTAGCATCTCCCAGTGGCAGGACCAGGGTGCCCTCCCACCCCTTACCCTCCACCCTGACCTTGGAGGAGGAGGGACATGAAGCCTTCACAGAGCCCAAAGCCTGGGTCCCGAGAGCGCTGGGCACAGGGCGTGGAGATGCTTCCACAGCTGTGGTCTCCTGGACCAGGGCTGCAGGGAAAGGAGGAATGGGCTCTCATTTCACAGATGTGGAAACTGAGGCCCAGAGGGGTGATGGAACTGGCTTGAGGTCACATGGTCAGGGCTCAATGGATTCCAAGAGCCGCTGGCTGCCCCAACACAGAGGCCTCCTTGGACAACCCCAGAGAGTTGGGATGTGCATTAGAGATGGCTGGACTTCAACGCTTTGTTGAACAAAATAATTGTATCCCAAGTTTCTGTTCCAATATTTGTTCACTGCAAGGCCCAGGATTCCAGGTGAGGATAGCGCTGGTTGGGAAGAAAGAGACACAGGCTCTAGATTTGGATCATCCCCATCTATCCCAGTCCTAAAGGGTGATGGAAACTGGGGAGTGGGGTGTGTCTCACTGAAGGCACCAGATTTAGCAAATAAAACTGCTCAGTTAAATGTGAATTTCAGATAAACTAGGAATATATTTTTAGTATATGTCTCAATTATTGTCCTGTATTTTTTTCTGGTAACTCTCGTCCTATGAGTGGAGCAGAAAGGATGCCCAGAGCTACAAAACCTTCTCTGGGTCTCAGTTTTTCTTGTCAGTACAAAAGAATCTTTTTATACAATAGAGATTTGGGGCAAGAGGTTTGGGGAGATGATCCAGAGGTTCCTTGTGGGAGGCGGCTGTTGTCTTCCGTTTATCCACCCCAAATTTCTTCCCATCTCAGTTCAGCCATTGGGTAGAGCAGGCATGTGCTGGGGCTGTGGGCTCAGACAGGCTTCCATCCATCTGACTCCTGCCTCGTCTGCTGCTTCTGAGCTGAGTCACCATCAGCAAATCACTTCTGCCCAAGTCTCATTTTTCTCATCGGTATAATGGGCATAGTTTAAAGGCCTAGCCCACAGGGTTGCAGGAAAGCTCAAACACAGTAGCAGGTAAGAGACATGCTTGCTTTTTTTTTTTTTTTTTTGTGAGACTGGGTTTTGTTCTTGTTGCCCAGGTTGGAGTGCAGTGGCGTGATCTCGGCTCACTGCAACCTCTGCCTCCCGGGTTCAAGCAATTCTCATGCCTCAGCCTCCCAAGTAGCTGGGATTACAGGCATGCGCCACCACGCCCGGCTAGTTTTGTATTTTTAGTAGAGTTTGGGTTTCACCATGTTGGCTAGGCTGTTCTTGAACTCCTGACCTCAGGTGATCTGCCCGCCTCAGCCTCCCAAGGTGCTGGGATTACAGGCGTGAGCCACCACGCCCAGCCATGCTTGCATTTTAACCAGTGCTGCTGGCTCTGAAAGGGCCTGCCAAGGTGAGGGGAGAGCTGCGAGCTGCGTCTCCTGGGACCTAGGGCGCCCCAGACTTCCAATCCAGTGCTCACTCAGCGCACCCTACTTGGGATTTCTTCCAAGGGGGAGGTAAGGATTGTTAAAAAATTGAAAGATCCCTTTGGGGACCACTACTCCACTCTTCTGCTTCTCTAGGAAAATATGGCCCAGAGACATCACGTGGGTACCCCAAGACCACACAGTGAGTTTATAGCTGAGCTGGGATCTGAAGCTAGGTTTGCTGAATCCCAGTCCGAGAGGTGTGCCCCTCTGTGATCTCAGGGCTTAAAGTTTAGTTAAAAAATTGTTTCTTTCTGGAGGCTAGAGCTCATTTTTTTTTTTTTTAATTTTGAGGCCAAAGTTCATTCCATCAGAGGTGTTGCAGTGTGGTGGGGAGGAGTCTTGCGGTGAGAAACAGGTAGATGCTGCTGCAGTGGAAACCGAGGAAGTGCGAGAATGTGCGTCCTCCACATGTCTGTCCTCGAAGCCTGTCCTGCTCCAACAAGGGGACCCCAAGAACAGCATTTAGTGGCGGCCTAGCACCTGAAGTCCTCGGATCCACCACCAGGTTTGCTGTGTGACCTTGGGGAAACGTCTTCCCCAGTCTGGGCTGTGGTTGGGAAGAATCCTTCTCCCTTGTTATTGAGGACCAGTGAGGCCATCAGTCTTCTCTGCCAGAGAAAGACGCTGGGGACATGCTCCCCTCAGCACCCAGGATTGGGAAAACTGCAAGAGGCAGAGGGAGTGGTGCCAGCCCACCTGCCTGTGTAGGAATCTTGGCTCCTTCTGTCCAGCTCTGTCTCCCCTGGCCCTTCTCTGTGGCTTCTGGTCTTCACTGCCCTGGTTGTACACGCCGCCCCCACCCCTCTCTCCCTGTCTTTTGTCTCTCTGTTTTTTTTTTTTTTTTTTTTTTACTCTCCCTTCCCTCTCCTTCTCTCCCTCCCTCTTCCCTCTCCCTGGCCACCTCCTTCTCCCCCTTCCCCTCCCCTTCTCTCTTTCCCTTTCACTGTTTATCCCGGATCCTCTTTTCCTGCAGGGACACTCTGGAAAGCCCTGGCTCCAAACCAGTGTGATTCTAATCTTCCCAGCAGACTGTCTAAAATGTAATTTACGAGCAAGGCTCTCCCGGCTTCTCCATCCTGCAGCCTGGGCAGGACTCCCAGCCAGTGAATGGGCTGGGGAGCGGGAGTGGGGCTGGGGCCAGCCTCGCTGGGTCATCTCCCATTCTGCTCTATCTGCCCATCAGCTGGGGGAACGGGCCCAAACCCGGGGAAGCTTTTCACTTGGAACCGACTTCAGTTCCGGGTTCATGGAAGGCAGTTGGCCCCGATGCAGCAACAGATTGCCGTTTGCTGTGGACTCTGCAAAACCTTGCGGCAGGAGAGACCTCTTGGAGGCCATGACATTAGGCCAGGACATTTGCGCATTCATTAACTCATGTTACTGTACACTTTCTATGCATCACACAGTCCTGGGAGCTGAGGTTGTAGTGCCGAGCACAGAGACCAGTTCCTGTTCTTTTGAAGCTAGCAGTTTGGTGGAAGGGACCGACATTAATCCCATAGTTACTTAAGAGAATGCTGGCGGGGCACGGTGGCTCATGTCTGTAATCCCAGCATTTTGGGAGGCCTAGGCAGGAGGATCTCTTGAGGCCAGGAGTTTGAGACCAGCCTGGGCAACCTATTGCGACCCTCATCTCTAAGAAAATTAAAATTAACCAGGCATGGTGGCAAATGCCTGTAGTCCCAGCTACTAGGGAGGCTGAAGTGGGAGGATCGATTTAGCCCAGGAGGTCAAGGCTACAGTGAGCTATGTTTGTGCTCAGCCTGGGCGACACAGTAAGACTCTGTCTCAAAACAACAACATAAAACCAAAGAATGTTAAACAGATTTCCTTTAGTTCTGTGCTGAAGGAGAGGAATAGGATGCTTTATAATATGGGGGTTGACTAGGTCTGTTGGGGGAGGCACAAAGGAAGCCACCCCCACTTTTTTGCATGATAATGAATAATGACACCATTAGTGGCGTGTTTATACAGAGAGGCGGTGACAAATATAATTCCTCCTTTGCTGCCACTTTTGACTTTATGTGTGTTGAATTTAGATACCCCTCCATCAACTGATGTGAGCGGCTCCTGGAGGGTCCTTAAAGGGTCCCAAACTATGAGCGCTGCTCTCGACCTGTACACCAGACACAGGTAAAGGGACTTCTCACTCCCCCCACTTCCAAACTATGAGCGCTGCTCTCGATCTGTATGTACACCAGACACAGGTAAAGGGACTTCTCACTCCCCCCACCTCCAAACTATGAGCGCTGCTCTCGACCTGTACACCAGACACAGGTAAAGGGACTTCTCACTCCCCCCACCTCCAAACTATGAGCGCTGCTCTCGACCTGTACACCAGACACAGGTAAAGGGACTTCTCACTCCCCCCACTTCCAAACTATGAGCGCTGCTCTCGATCTGTACACCAGACACAGGTAAAGGGACTTCTCACTCCCCCCACCTCCACTGTCTGCCCTGCCACTGGGCCCAATTCTGGAAGGGGTGAACAGCTCGGAAGAAGGCCGGGCTCGGCAGCCACGGTGCTCTCTCTGGGCCTCTGTTCTCACTGCAAAGTGGACTAACAGGCCTCCATGGACCAGCTCACAGTATTTGCTGTAAGGGTCACATGAAGCGATTGATGTGAAAAGTATTTATTGTCTTGGAAATTCCTGAATTCACCACCATATTCCTCACTGCCATCCTCATCCATGAAAGCGAGGGGGCTGAGGGAGGTTTTGAGACTTCCCATGAAGCCCCTTCTTTCTGGGATTTCAACACACCCAACTCCGTGGAGCGCGTGGCCGCCTTCTCAGCGGAGCAATGCTGTCACCTAGTGGCCACTCCGCACCCTTCTCCTTGGAATCAGGAGCTGACCCGGAGCACCTGCCCTTGGGAGCTGTCCCCAGGTACCCCTCCACACCTGCAAAGCTACCGGTGGTCAGGGCTTCCGTGTCTGGTCATGAGAGAGCAAATATTGCAGTGGAGAAGAGGGGCTGAGGAGGCAGGGTCCCTGCTCTTATGAAGGGCAGCTTGTCCTTGGGCCCCCTAGCTCCTCCTGCCATTGGACTTGGCTTGGCAGATATTCCATCAGAGCAGGCGAGGGCAGGAGGCCTGGGTTTCCAGACCCTCATCTGCAGGGTGCCTGTCAGTGTTGAAGTCAAGAAGCTCCTTCGTGTGAGCCTCACCCTGTTTCTACCTCGTGTCTTCCTGTAGTTTATTCTCTACCTGGCTTCTAGAGTGATCCCTTTAAAAGCAAGTCAGATGATGTCATGCCGCTGCTCAAACCCTGCAGTTATTCCCACTCAGAGTAAAACCAAAGACAGCAAGACAGGATCGGGGCCTGTGGGTAACCTTCCCTGCCCTTGTTTATCTTTTTAGTTTTTGTTTTCAATATTTATTTATTCACTTATTTATTTTTTATTTTTTGAGATGGAGTCTTGCTCTGTTGCTCAGGCTGGAGCGCAGTGGTGCACTCAGCTCACTGCAATCTCTGCCTCCCGGGTTCAAGCGATTCTCTTGCCTCAGCTTCTCAAGAAGCTGGGATTACAGGCATATGTCACCAGGCCCAGATAATTTTTGTAGTTTTAGTAGAGACAGGGTTTTGCCATGTTGGCTAGACTGGTGCTGGTCTCAAGCTCCTGACCTCAGGTGATCCACCCATCTCGGCCTCCCAAAGTGCTGGGATTATAGGCATGAGCCACTGCACCTGGCCTTGTTTTGTTTTTGAGACAGGGTCTCACTCTATCACCGAGGCTGGAGTGCAGTGGTGCAATCATGGCTCACTGCAGCCTTGACCTGACGGGCTCAAGCAATCCTCCTACCTCAGCCTCCTGAGTAGCTGGGACTACAGGTGTGCCCCTCCATGCCCAGCTAATTGGCATTTATTTTTTTGTTCTTTTTTTCTTTTTCTTTCTTTCTTTTCTTTTTTTTTTTTTCTTTTTTTTTTTGAGACAGAGTCTCGCCCTATCACCCAGGCTGGAGTGCAATGGCGCGATCTCAGCTCATTGCAACCTCCGCCTCCAGGTTCAAGTGATTCTCCTGTCTCAGCCTCCTGAGTAGTTGGGATTACAGGCACGTGCCATCATGCCCGGCTAATTTTTTGTATCTTCAGTAGAGGCAGGGTTTCACCATGTTGTGCAGGCTGGTCTGGAACTCTGGGACTCAAGCAATCCTCCCACCTCGGCCTCCCAAAGTGCTGGGATTACAGGCTTGAGCCACTGTGCCCAGCTCTGTTTATCTTTCAGACTGCACCTGCCCCTCATCAGCTCCTCTCCAGCCTCCTTGTCATGCCTTAAACTCTCACTGCTGCTCCCTCTGCTTGGAATGACCTTCCCCTGGGTAGCTGCACAGGTGGGCCCTCGTGTCATTTATCACTCTGCTTAAATAGCCCTTACTCAGAAAAGTCTGCCTTAACTAAATTAGCAGCCTCCATCACTTTTCTTCCCCTTTGCCTACTTTGCTTTCTTCACAGGACTCACAATATATGGTTGTTTCTTGGTATCTGCGGTGATACTAAAATCTGCGGATGCTCAAGTCCCTTCTATAAAATGCTGTAGTATTTGTGTATAAACTTCACATATCCTCTCATATACTTTATTTTTATTTTTAATTTTTTTTGGGACAGGGTCTCACTCCATCACCCAGGCTGGAGTGCAGTGGCGTGATCTCGGTTCACCGCAACCTCTGCCTCCCGGGTTCAAGCAGTTCTGATGCCTCAGCCTCCTGAATAGCTGGGATCACAGGCATGAGCCACCATGGCTGGCTAATTTCTATATATATTTTTAAAAGTAGAGACAGGGAGGTTAAGAGGAGGGTTTAGATAATAAAATGTGTGGTATAGAGTTCTGGAAAATGCATAGTGTATAGTGCTCCTAGAAAGATTTGTAGTAGTTAGGGCATTTATTATAATAATGTTCATGTACTCTGCTACAAAAAAGAGAGCGTATGGGCCTGCAGCATATTCAATATTAAACTCTGAGACTAATTCTCATTCTCCTTCTGTCAGGTCAACAGATTTCACCATGTTGGTCAGGATGGTCTTGAACTCCTGACCTCAAGTAATCTGCACACCTCGGCCTTCCAAAGCGCTGAAATTACAGGCATGAGCCTCTGTGCCTGGCCTATCCTCTCATGTACTTTAAATCATCTCTAGGTTACTTATACCTGATACAGTGTAAATGCTGTATAAGTTGTTGTTATACTGTATTTTAAAATGTGTATTTTCTTTAGTTGTTCTATTTATTATTTGCATTATTTATTGTTGTTGTTTTTTTTTTTTTTTTGAGACGGAGTCTCGCTCTATCACCCAGGCTGGAGTGCTGTGGTGCGATCTTGGCTCACTGCAAGCTCCACCTCCCAGGTTCACACCATTCTCCTGCCTCAGCCTCCCGAGTAGCTGGGACTACAGGCACCCGCCACCATGCCTGGCTAATTTTTTTGTATTTTTAGTAGAGATGGGGTTTCACCACGTTAGCCAGGATGGTCTCGATCTCCTAACCTCATGATACGCCCGCCTTGGCCTCCCAATGTTGTATTATTTTTAATTATTTTTCACACTTTTGAGATCCCTGATGGGTTGAATCTGTGGATGAGGACATGTGGATACAGAAGGCTGACTGTACAGTGAACTCATATGGTTATGTGGGACAATGGCAAGAGAGACAGCCTCTGATTCCAGAGGTTTCCTGGTTCTCCATTCTGTGAGGAGACTGATGGCTGCTTGTCAAAGGCAGGAGCTGTGGCCTCTGTTTGTGGCACCTGAAGTGCCGCATGCAGGCTAGGGCAGCTGTAGGGTCGCTCCACAGAACGCTGATGTGAACGTGTCAGCATGAAAAAGCAGTTTTCATCTTCTCCGCCTGGATATTGTGACTAAAGACCCCACAAACTCCATCTTCAGCCAAACTCGAATGCAGAAAGAGCAGACTGGAACATAAGGCATAATGGCTGTCAAATGCAGCCACCCTTGGCACACAAGCCACATGGGGTGAAGGGTGGCAGAAGCAATGTGGGAGGGTATAAAGGGCAAGATTGCTCCACCACCGGAGAGTCCAGAAAGATGAGCAAAATCGCACTTGTGTCAGTGAGAAGCTCATCCAGAAGAGACAGCATCTCTATCTCTTAAACACCAAACAGCAGAAGGCATTGCCTACAATAGGCCAGGAAAACCTAGCTCCTTCCCTTGTTTGTAATAATAAGGCAATAGTAAGATATTGGAAGACCGTAGAGCAACGCCAATGAGAGCTAATTGAGGAAAGAAGCTGTGAGGCAGGATTTTCTATTGAGCCAAGCTGTCCTTCAGATATACGCGCCACCCACCAGCAATTCTGAACATGGCAGAACTCAGTGGATATTGTCCCTGTGGAGTCTCTCTGGAGGAAACATCTAGAGGATGAACTTCAGCCCCATGACTGGCAGAGGGCTGGTAGTGCATTGACTGTGGTGAAGTGTGGAACTGAGACTAACGCAAATGTAGGAAGTAGAGGAATAGATAAAAATGTGAATGCAGGCATCCGTGATGAGGTTAGAAATGATGCATCTGAGAAGAAATGGGAGGGGACACGTGAAAGAAGCCAGGAAACAGGGTGTGTTTGCAAAGTGCCTCTTCTGTAGTAGGTGGGAATCAAAGAACATCTTTCAGAGTCAAGAGTGCTAACCATTACACAATGGAAGCACAAAGAACATGTTTCAAAGCTGGCAAATCAAGACAAGTAGTATGAAGACATGCAGCAGAACAGAGGAGATCACTGAGAAAGGAACCCATCAGTGCCTCATTAGCTGTGTTGGGGGAAAGCCAGGGAGATGGGCAAGAAAAAGAATAAACTATAGTGTTCTTACTTTCTGAGAAATTGAGAACTAAGAATATTGTGTAAAGTTATAATAATGAACAAAAGTATAAAACTCCTTCTGTATCAAAAGAACCACATATAAAAGAACAAACCACATAACAAAAGACATTTAAAACACCCATAAACAGGAAAAAATTACATAAAATAATATGACAGAACACAGGTGTTATAAATGCAAATGAGCTTAATTTGCCCAGTGAAAGAAAAGAAATTAGATTTGGTCACAAAACCAAATCTAACTCAGTGTTCTATAAATGAGGCAATCATAAACCAAAGTAATTCAGAAAGGTTGAACCTAAAAGCTGGGCAAAGGTATACTAGGCAAATGCAGATAAAAAATCTTAATATCACACAATGTGGAGTTTAGATTAAAAGGTATTTAATAAGACAAAGAAAGTCATCTTAGAATATACAAATGTGTATCCACAATGAAGATAAGAGTTATAAACATCTATGCTCTAAAAAATATAGTAGGTGCATTTCTGAAGGAGAAATCACATGAGACACAAGGAGAAACGCACTTCAATTAACTTTCCTCGTTGCATGACAAATAAAGGATAAAGAAAATCTTCATAAGGTGATAAATAACTCTTATCCATTGCCTGGCTGTTAAGACAATGTCACAGATTGACACCCCATTTCTGATACCAATTCCTGTATTATTGAGGATGAAAGATCTAACTCTTGGAACAAAAAGACTCCAACATACATTGGCTTGGAGGACAAAGAGGTCTAACTCCTCACAGTGTGAGGTGAGCTGCTTAGTTGGTGGGGCAGCTCTGTTCCAAAGGGTCTTCAGAAAGTCATATCCTTTCCAACATGTTTCTCTGTCTTCTCCTAGGGCATTGCCATTGTTTGCATGGTTGATACTGGGTCACTGTGGGCTCTAGAGGGAGGGAAGGGGGAAGGGAGTGTGAAGGAGGTGCACCCACTGTGGAGTATAAAAGGGACACATAGACTTCCATTCATAATCTGTTGGTGAGAACTCAGCATCATGTGACCTTATCTAACTGCAAGGGAACCTGGGAAATGTAGTCTTACGATGTTCCTGATGAGAAAGGAAGAATGAATTTGAGCAGACAACTGGTGGAGTGGAAATGAGTACCAGTGCTTTAGAAAATGATGTGTCAGTGTCTGCCAGAGTTCACATACACACACTGTATGGCCCAGCCATGGTACTCCTAGGAGGGCTCAGCAGAAATGAGCACATATTTGTACCAAAAGACATAGGCAAGAGTGTTCTATTCCTAATGCTACTGTTTATTATTATTAATTTTTTTAAGAGACAGGGTGTATCTCTGTTGCCCAGGCCTGTGGTATAATGGTGCAATCATAGCTCACTGCAGCCTCCAACTTCTAGGTTCAAGCTATCCTCCTACCTCAGCGTTTTAAGTAGCTGGGACTATAGGTGTGCACCACCACACCCTGCTAATTTTTAAACTTCTTTGTAGAGATGGGGTCTCACTATGTTGCCCAAGCTAGTCTCAAACTCCTTGCCTCAAGTGATCCTCCCACTTCGGCCTCCCATAGTGTTGGGATTATAGACGTGAGCCGCCATGCCCAACCTAATTCCTATTACTAATTATTAGTAATATTATTAATTCCATAACAGTATTCCTAATAGCCCAAATATCCATCAGCAGTAGAATGCTTGAACACATTGTAATATAGTCAGACAATGAAAAACTCTACAGTGATTAAGATGGACAAAGTACTGCTGTGCATCACAGCAAGGATGGATCTTACACAGTGTTGAGTGAAAGAAGTCAGACACCAAAGAGCACATGTGGGTCCAGTACAGTGGCTCATGCCTGTAATCCCAGCACTTTGGGAGGCTGGGTGAGGCAGGTGGATTGCTTGAGCCCAGAAATTTGAGACCAGCCTGGGCAACATGGTGAAACCTCGTCTCTGCAAAAAATACAAAAATTAGCTGGGTATGGCTGGGCGCGGTGGCTCATGCCTGTAATCCCAGCACTTTGGGAGGCCGAGGTGGGCGGATCACGAGGTCAGGAGATCTAGACCATCCTGGCTAACACGGTGAAATCCCGTCTTTACTAAAAATACAAAAAAATTAGCTGGGCATGCGCCTGTAATCCCAGCTACTCGGGAGGCTGAGACAGGAGAATCACCTGAACCCTGGAGGCAGAGGTTGCGGTGAGCCGAGATCTCACCACTGCACTCCAGCCTGGGCAACAAAGCGAGACTCTGTCTCAAAAAAGAAGAAGAAGGAGAAGGAGAAGGAGAAGGAGAAGGAGAAGAAGAAGAAGAAGAAGAAGAAGAAGAAAAAACGAATTAGCTGGGTGTGGTGGTGCACACCTGTAGCTGCAGCTACTTGGTAGGCTGAGGTGGGAGGATGAGGCAGTCCCAGCTACTTGGTAGGCTGAGCCTGGGAGGTTGAGGCTGCAGTGAGCTGTGATGGTGCTGCTGCCCTCCAGCCTGGGTGACAGAGCAAGACACTGTTTCAAAAAAAAAAATTGTAAAAAAAGAGCACATATTTTTTTAAACTTTTTTTCCCATTTTTTTTCATTATTTGTCTTTACATATGTTTTGATTTACATTACAACGTGAAAAAATGCTCATCATCACTGGCCATCAGAGAAATGCAAATCAAAACCACAATGAGATGCCATCTCACACTAGTTAGAATGGCGATCATTAAAAAGTCAGGAAACAACAGATGCTGGAGAGGATGTGGAGAAATAGGAACACTTTTTCACTGTTGGTGGGACTGTAAACTAGTTCAACCATTGTGGAAGACAGTGTGGAGATTCCTCAAGGATCTAGAACTAGAAATACCATTTGACCCAGCCATCCCATTACTGGGTATATACCCAGAGGATTATAAATCATGCTGCTATAAAGACACATGCACACGTATGTTTATTGCAGCACTATTCACCATAGCAAAGACTTGAAACCAACCCAAATGTCCATCAACGATAGACTGGATTAAGAAAATGTGGGATATATACACCATGGAATACTATGCAGCCATAAGAAAGGATGAGTTCATGTCCTTTGTAGGGACATGGATGAAGCTGGAAACCATCATTCTCAGCAAACTATCGCAAGGACAAAAAACCAAGCACTGCATGTTCTCACTCATAGGTGGGAATTGAACAATGAGAACACTTGGACACAGGAAGGGGAACATCACACACCCGGGCCTGTCGTGGGGTGGGGGGAGGGGGGAGGGGGGAGGGATAGCATTAGGAGATATACCTAATGTAAATGACGAGTTAATGGGTGCAGCACACCAACATGGCACATGTATACATATGTAACAAACCTGCAGGTTGTGCACATGTACCCTAAAACTTAAAGTTATATAAAAACAAACAAATAAATAAAAACAGACAATACAGGATATTAGTTTGATGCAAAAGTAATCGCGGTTTTTGCCATTAAAAGTAATGACATTACTTTTAATGGCAAATTACTTTTAATGGCAAAAACCGCGATTACTTTTGCGCCAACCTAATAGAAATGGGAAAGGTGTTTCCTTTTGGGAGGAGAGGTATGATCACCAGGAGGAGAAGGAGGAGGGCTCTGGGGAGCTGGTCACGTTCCGGTTCTCAATCTGAGTAGCTATTTCACGGGGGTGCTTGCTTTGTGAAAATTCACAGTGCTGTTCCTTTATGATTTGTGACTTTCCTGTATACATGTTCTATTTCAATAAGCATTTTAATTAACAAAATTACTAAAAGGCAGAAGAATGTGAACAAGTGGAAAGATACATCGTATTGTGGCGGAGGGGGGGAGCGGCGGGGCTCAACACCGTGACATTTTAATTCTCTCTCAGCTAATTGATAAATATACTTTGATTCTGATAAAAAATATCCACAGTTTTTGTTGAATGAGGCATGCTTATCCTAAAGTTCGTATGAAAAATTAACCAGTAGGCATAGACAGGAAAATTCTGGAAAAAGAGGGTGCTCGGGGGAAGGACCAACCCATATTATGAAGCCTCAATCATTAAAACAATGTGGTTTTGACCCGTGAATAGTCAAGCAGACAATAAAATAAAAGAAAACTCAGAAATAGGCCTACATTAAATGGACAGTTAGTAAGGTTACCATACCAAACCAGCAAAGAAAAGCTGAATTATTTAATAAACGGTGTTGGACAACTGGAAAGACACCTGGAAAAAAAATCTGGATTTCTACTTTATATTTAAAATAAATGTTGAAGGAATCAAAAATTTAAGTGTGAAAATGAAGCTTAAACATTTTAGAAGGAAACATCAGAGAGTTTCTTTATGACTTTTAAATGAGGGACTTTCTAATTATGACTCAGAAATCTAGAAGCTATTAAAAATGGATAATTTACTTATTTTTTATTTTTCTTTAAAGACACGGCTTCATTATGCTGCCAAGATTGGTCTTGAACTCCTGGCCTCAAGCGATCCTCCCGCCTCAGCCTCCCTTGTAGCTGGGACTACAGGCATGTGCCACCATGCCTGGCTAATTTTTATTTATTCATTTATTCATTTATTGTAGAGATGGGGCAGTCCTAGGTTGCCCAGGCTGGTCTTGAACTCCTGGCCTCAAGCGATCCTCCCACCTCAGCCTTCCAAGTAGCTGGGACTACAGGTACGCACCACCATGGTTGGCTGATCAATTTACTTCTATAAAAATTGGCTGGGCGCAGTGGCTCACACCTGTAATCCCAGCACTTTGGGAGCCTGAGGCAGGCAGATCACCTGAGGTCAGGAGTTCGAGACCAGCCTGGCCAACATGGCGAAACCCTGTCTCTACTAAAAATACAAAAGTGGCTGGGCATGGTGGTGCAGGCCTGTAGTCCCAGCTACTAGGGAGGCTGAAGCAGGAGAATTGCTTGAACCCAGGAAGCGGAGGTTGCAGTGAGCTGAGGCGCGCCACTGCACTCCAGCCTGGGCGACAGAGCTAGACTTCGTCTCAAAAATAAAAAAATAAAAAATAAATAGATAAAAAAATAAAAAAAAATCTGCTTGTTAAAAAAAAAAATCCCATCATGAGCAAAGTCAAAAAAAAAATGACAATCTGGGACAAAATGTTTGTAACTCATATCAGAGGTAAAGGGTTAATCTCCCTCCTGAAGAACCTAGGGAAATTGATGAGAAAGTCAAACGACCCAAAATAAAAATGGGCAAAAGCTGTGAAGAGATAATTTAGAGAAAAGAAAATCCAAAAGTGCTTGAAGATAGGAAAAGAAGTTCAGCTCACCCATAGTAAGATCAATGCCCATTAAAGCTACAGACACATGTCACGTTCCCTGATCAAACTGCCAATCATCCAAATGTAAAATGACGCCTTCTGTTGGTGAGTGTGAGGGAGAAGTAGACATTCTCCTATGTCACCGCGGGGACAATGTCTAAGGGCACCTTGGCACTATCAATCAAAGTTTCAAACGCATGTTGTCTCTGACCGAGCGACTCCCCTGTGGGAATTTATCCTATAGAGATACTTGCACGTGTGAAATGACAACTGTATATAAGGCTGTTCATCACAACAATGTTTAGCAAATGGCTAAAAACAGCCCATGCCCTGCAATAAGGGGCTAGTTAATTCAATTATGGTCTGTCTAGACCACAGAATACCATGGTTAAGAGAAAAAATTAGAAGGAGAGAGACAGTGTGTTCAGTGTTTTACATTTTGTATCAATAGAGGGACAACCGAGACTCTATATTCTTATTTGCATGGAGATGCAGAAAAAAATGCTGGGAAGATACAGAAGAAAGCATGAACAGCGGTCACCTGTGGGGTCAATGCTGAGAACTGGGCAGATGAGGGACAGAGGTGGAAGGAGGATTTTTACTTCATATATTTTGATGTCTTTTGGTTTTTGAAGCACGTGAATACATTAGCTATTCAAAAATTAAAATGCAACAAAATGAAATTTAAAATAAAACTGCCCAAGGATGTACGTTATGCCTTATATACTTGTCTCTGTTCCTGAACACACCCTCTGTGACACATTTAAAACGCTAAGCCTTGAGAGTGGTTTTTTTCTGTCTCAGTTAGCCTCCTTCCCACCAGCTGGAAATCCTCATCCATTCCAAAGAGGCTTCATGAATTAACCAGAGATCCAGCTTCTGATGTCCTCTCTCATTCCTTCATTTCTTGGGCATCTCCACCTCCTTTCCCTGCCCTCATCCCCATTCTCAGAATCCGCCTTTTAGTCCCCATGGGATACAGGCACTTCATGTCCATACCTGTCTGGGTAATGGCGGTGCCCATTAGAGGTTGCTAACAGTTCAACCACTTGTTCTGGGGATGCAAAGACAAAGATGTCTTCTCATTTCTGCAGGGTATAAATGAGGACACCTATAGCCCAGGAACTGCTGGCTGCATTCTTGGGATCAGGTGGGTGGCCAGCTTTAGGGAAATGCCCACACTTCAAAAGGCAGAGAACAAAAACAGAAAGAAAGCCGTTTCTTGCTGGCATTGCTGAGCTGCTGCTGGACCAATCCTTGCCAGACTGGACCTAAAGCTGGGCTTCACGGTTCTGTGAGCCAGTGGAGTCTCTTCATGGTTTCAGTCTGATTGAGTCGGGTTGTCTGTTACTAGTAATGGAAAGCATCCTGAGAAAGCATCTGGTGGGTGTTCTCATCCCCATTCATGCATGAGGGACCCAAGGAGAGAGCGATTGTGTGATTTGTGCAAGGTCACAGACCCAGGAAGAGGCTGAGCCAGAGTTTGAACCCAGATCTATCTGACTCTGAAGTCTTCTTTCTGCTGCACGAGCCCTCCCTGCTCAATGTGTTGAGCTCTGCACATAAAGCTATAAAGGGTGTTGAGTGGGGCTGAACCAGGCCCGTGCCTGGCTCTAGGCCATCCATGACCATGGCTATGACCTGGCCAGGCAGGATGCTCTGTGGGATGCACTTTCCACCAGGCTGAGTACAGGTACAGCAGTGGTGTAGTGGGTAGGGCCTCAGTTTCCCCTTTTATACCATAGGAGTTGGACTAATCAACATCTAAACCTTCTGAAATCTTGGGCTTTGAAGGGGAGGGTGGGGTTACGTAGGGCCTGGAGGGCCTTTGAGGGTGTCCAGGTGCCTCCCTCGGACACCTGAACTAGAACCTCAGGCTGACCTCACCTGAGCTAGAGGTGAACCACTCTAATTCAGGGAATTCTCCCGGGGCCTCTGGGCTGCTTAATACTCGGCCATTTCTTGAAACAGCTTTATCAAGATGTAATTGACACACAATAAATGGCAGATATTTAAAGTCTACCATGTGACAGTTTCTTTTTCTTTCTCTTTTTTTTTTTTTTTGAGACAGAGTCTTGCTCAGTCACTCAGGCTGGAGTGCAGTGGTGCGATCTTGGCTCATTGCAACCTCTGCCTCCAGAGTTCAAGTGATTCTTCTGCCTCAGCCTCTCGAGTAGCTGGGACTACAGGCACGCACCACTGCATCCAGCTAATTTTCTGTATTTTTAGTAGAGATGGGGTTTCACCATGTTGGCCAGGCTGGTTTTGAAATCCTGACCTCAAGTGATCCACTCACCTTGGCCTCCCAAAGTGTTGGGATTACGGGCTTGAGCCACTGTGCCTGGCCCATGTGATAGTTTTGATATATGCGTACATTATCGAAACCATACCCAAAATCAAGGTAAGGAATGTATTCATCATCCTCAAAAGCTTCCCTGTGTACCTGTGTAACCCTGCCTTCTCCCAGCTTCCCCCCACCCCCACTCCCTGCAACCACTGACCTGCTTTCTGTCACTACAGATTAGTTTGCATTTTCTAGAGTTTTATATAAATGGAATCATACCGTATGGATTCATTTTGGTCTGGCTTCTTTCTTCAGCACAATTATCTTGAAATTCATCCACGTTGCCATGTGTATTCCTAGTTCCTTCCTTTTTGTTGCTAAATAGTGTTCTGCTGTGTGGACGTACCACAGTTTGGCCATTCACCTGCTGATGGACGTTTGGGTTATTTCCAGTTTTTGGTTACTTCCAATCAAGCTTTGAGGAACACACGTGCACAAGTGTTTGTGTGGACACATGCTTTCTTTTCTCTTGGGTAAACATCTAGGAACCGAATGGGTGAATTATGTGGTAGGTGTAAGTTTAACTTTTTCAGAAATCACCAAACTTTTCCTTTGTTTTTCTTTTCTTTTCTTTTTTTTTGAGACGGAGTCTCGCTCTGTCACCCAGGCTGAAGTGCAGTCACACGATCTCGGCTCACTGCAACCTCCGCCTCCCGGGTTCAAGTGATTCTCCTGCCTCAGCCTCCCGAGTAACTGGGATTACAGGTACACACCACGATGCCTGGCTAATTTTTGCATTTTTAGTAGAGAGAGGGATTCACCATGTTGGCCAGGCTGGTCTCGAACCTGGCCTCAAGTGACCTGCCCGCCTCGGCCTCCCAAAGTGCTGGGATTACAGGCGTGAGCCACTGCGCCCAGCCTCACCACACTCTTCTGAAGTGGTTGTACCATTTTTCATTCCCAGAAGAAGAGTCCTGTTTCCGTGCCAACACTTGGCATCTCACTGTGTTTGTGACTGGCATTTCTCTAATGACTAATGAGGTTGAGCATCTTTTCATGTGCTTACTTGCCATCCACATATTCTCCTTGGCGCAGCATCTGTTAAACCTTTTGCCTGTTACAGATGGAATGTCAGGCTATTTTTAGGTTCCAGCAGATGGTGCTGCAGGATCTAAGACTTCCTTCCGCGTTGATGCTGCCATTTCTCTCCCTATGGCAACAACCTTTCCACATTGCTCTTGCCACACCCCCTACCCCCAGTGGATCAGTCAGATCTACAGAAGGTTGATCTCAGTGCCTTCTGAAGATCCCTCCTAGCCTTCCATTCCAGGGCGCTATAACCTCAGCTCCCATTCTGGCCCTGACTCTCACTGTGTGATGCTGAGCAAGTTGTGTCACCCCTCTCTGAGCCTTAGCTGCTATTTGTAATACAGAGATATTGGATTGGGCCATGACTTAGGACCTTCCCAGCTTCGCCACTTACCAGCTGTGTGACCTTGGGCAAGTTACTTAACCTCTCTGTGCTTCAGTGCCCTCATTTGGACATGGGGATGATAACATGGTAGCAGCTGGCACATAGGGTTGCTGTGAAGACCTGATGAAATGATACAGGTGGAGCCCTTAGAACAGAGCCGGCACATAGTATATACTCAGTAAAACCTCGGCTCTTCTTGGACAGTCTAAGATCTATCTCTCAACTGCTCAACTACCCACCTTTGTACAAGCTGCAGTTTGTTCCGTTTTGAACTTTTGCACGGGCTTTCCTTCCTCAAATTGCTCACTCTCATACTTTCAGTCTGTCCATAATTTTCTTTGCTTTAAATGTACTGTAATGTTTGCCTCCTCCATGCAGCCAGTCATGATAAACTCCAAACCCTTGTCAAACCCTTCCTGCACATGGGCCAGACTTCATTTTCTGGGCATTGATTTGCCTTTGTCTCTTTGTGGCTTTGTTTTAATGCTGTTTTCATCTTGGTGTCACTCTTCCTTCTGAGACTGAAGCCTCCAAAAGCAGAAGCTTGGCTTCCCCCATTTGACCTGGGGATCCCTGAAGGCAGAGGCTGGGTCTCTTCCATCAGACTGGAGGCTCTTGAAGGGAAGGGGCCAGGCCAGCGTATCGCATCAAAGATTGGCCCAGAGGCTTGCAAACCCTGCTCCTGACAGCATGTGCAGAGCTTGTGCTGTACCATCACCCTGGACCCCAGGGGAGACCTGGCCAGAACCACACCCACACCCTGGCTCCGCCCCTCTCTGCAGGCCAGCTTTTGGCCAGAGTGGGTCAGCCCAGGGCTCCCAAGGCTCCCAGAGGAGCCTGGGCCATGGCTGGGAGTGGAGGCGGCTTTGACAGAGGGCCATGGAGCCAGCTATTAAATGTTTTCTGATGCCAGGAACAAATCTGTGTATTGACCTGAGGCCAGAAGAATGATGTCACTCTGAAAGAGCAATGGCTCCCCGGAGAGTGTCTAAATGGGTCAATGCATCTCTGTAAAGGCGGCTAAGTGGGTGGCCTGGGTTGCAGGGATGGGTTGAGCCAGAACCCCAGGGACCCAGCTCAGCTCACCATGGGCTGGGCAGTGCCAGGCAGGCAGCGCCTGGGCCCCTACTTCTTTGGACAGAAAAGTCTCACACCCACAGACAGCGGGAGTAGACTAAAATGGACAGCCTTGGAATCCCGTGACTGAGGCCAGATGTGGATTCACATTCCAGGGACAACCTTGGGACAGTCAGATTGGGAGCATTGTTACTGGAAAGCACATTGGAGATAGTTCCAGGCTGCTTTGCTACTTACCAGCATTGTGGCTTTGGACAAATTGCTAAACCTCTCAGAGCTTGTTTCCACATCTGTAAAGTGGGGATAACTCCAGTGTCTACTTTAAAGCGTGGATATGAGGAGCAATACATGTTAGCTATTAATACCATTATTGTGCAGCATTCTTATTTTACAGACGAGGAGACCAAGATTCAGAGAGGTGCAGTGACCTGCCCAAAGTTGCCCAGCAAGCTAGTGCTAAGACAGGCTGTGCTCCCAGATCTCCCGGTTCTAAGTCCATGGAGATGAGAGTTGGGACTCTGCTGAGAGATGGCTGAATGTAGCAGGAGAGCACAGCCACCGGGCCTGGGTGCAAATCCTGGCTCTGCCAAGCTGTGTGACTTTGGAAAAATAACTGGAAATCCCCCAAATTCGATTTTCTTGATATAAAAATGGGGTTCTTGATGGCAAAACCGCAAAGTTACAAGAGTAAAAAGGAAATAGACCCAAAGAACCTGGTCGTGCTGGGGATATGGGTGGGTGGGTTAGGCTGGAGCTGAGGCAAGGAAGGCAAAGGAAGGAGGCCACACAGGCAGAATGCCCACACTGGCCACAGGCAGGAAGCCAAGTTCGAAGGCCAGGAACTCATGGGAAGGGCTCCCTTCTGCCCTGGGGTTCTCGGAAATGCTGGTTCTTCAGCCCAGAACACTTTCCTTCCCTCTTCACCTAGTTAATGTTTTGCTCTTCCTTCAGCTCTCAGCTCAAGCACCACCTCCTTCAGGAAGCCCTCCCTGACTTCCCCATCCAGGTCAAGTCCCCTTATCGTGGGCTCATCCAGTGGTCTTTACTTCCTAATAGGAAATCAGCTTTATAATTCAATAGCATTGATGAGTCATCATTGTATATTTATTTTTGTGATTCTTTGATTAATATCTGGCACCACTACTGGGCTGCAAGTTGGGTGAGGACAGGGGTGGCGTCTGCCTCTCTCTTTCCATAAAGAAGGCTCTCAGCCTCTGTAAACTCACCCAAGGAAGAGGGAACACACTCATGAATGAGCTTGTTGCCTAAAGTGTAGTGGAGAAGCGATTTTACGTGGCACATGAATACAATTTTTGAAGGTATATACTTAGTGTTTATTGGTAGCAGGACAAAATGCGACCAGCACATCATACTTGGGATTTTGCAGACATTATTGCCCAGGATGAGGCTAGCTAAAACAAGTGAGTTGATTTAAAGAAAAATATACCGAGTAAATAATAGTTCAGGCCAGGTGTGGTGGCTCGTGCCTGTAATCCCAGCAGTTTGGGAGTCCGAGGCAGGCAGATAACTTGAGGTCAGAAGTTTGAGACCAGCCTGACCAACATGGTGAAACCCCCATCTCTACTAAAAACACTAAAATTAGCCAGGCGTGGTGACATGAGCCTGTAATCCCAGCTACTCGGGAGGGTGAGGCAGAGAATCGCTTGAATCCAGGGGGTGGAGGTTACAGTGAGACAAGATCGCGCCACTGCACTCCAGCCTGGGTGACAGGGTGAGACTTTGTCTCAAAATAATAATAATAATAATAATAATAATAATAATAATAATAATAGTTCAGGTGGTTTTGTGTGCTGTCGTGACAACAAAATGAAGATGGCACGGGAGGGCCTGAGGTTTTTGGGGTGCAAGGCCCAGCCCTGTCCAAAGAGCTCTTGGGCGGAGGGCTGCAGGGCTGCGGAAGGACGCGAGGTGGCGCCAGCGTCCCACCAGACGCAGGTGTGGGCCGGATCGCGCCTTCCGGTACCCTGGATGCCTGCGCCCCTCAGGACATCCCTCCAGGGACCTTGGGGTGAGCTCTTGAGGAGAGGGAGCTACACTGCTTCGCTGGAGGTGGCCCAGGAGCAGGAACAGAAGCCTTACCAGAGCTTGGGAGTGGAGGTGGGCACCTGCCCAGCCTCTTCTCCAGCCACAGCAGATATGCCTGGTCGCTCTTCCACAGGGGCTGAAAGATGGAGCCTGGACACAGAGACCCCCTGCCCTGCAGTGAGTGGGGACCCTCAGGGGAAAGCCAGCTAGACCAAGCCAGAAGGTGTAGTGGGTTCTGGTTGGATACACGTGAGTTCAAAGCCTGGTTCTGCCATTAAACAGCTGTGTGACCTTGGGCAAGTTGCTTAACTTTTCTGTGCCTCACATCCCTCACTTGCACATCAGGAAAAAGAATACACATCTCATCAAACGGTGGGTGGGTCAGGTGAATTGATACGAGCTTGGAACCGAGCCTGATGCAGAGAGCATTCCCTAACGTCAGGATACGCAGTGAATTTTGTCGAATGAATGGTGAAGGAGAGATGGTGGAGGGAGCACAGGTGGTGCCTCTGGGTTCTGTCCAGATGGCAGTGTGTCCCCAGGATACACGTGCCAGAGTCATGCCAGGGATCAGGGCAGGATCCCATCTGGATGGCACACATTGGCACACACCTATTGGTGCCCACGTGATGCCATTTATCCATCTGTGCAAACCAGGAACCACACACTGAGGGCTGGGGCACTCACGTGGCCTCAGAGGGTGGGGGTTTAGGGGATCAACTCAGGAGCCAGACTCCCGGGGCTCTGATCTTACCAGCCAGGTGACCTTGAGTGAGTCCTTCCAGTCCCGTGGGCTTTAGTTTGTCCACTTTTAAGATGGGGGCCGTGCCACTGACCTTGTGGGGATGCTGTGATGACTAAAGGTTGTGTCAGGCACACAGTACATTCCCATCAGATATAAACTTCCTTCATCCTTTACTATACCCCCTGCCCCAGGGGGCTTCCTTAAAGAGTGAGGACAGTGGGGACAGAGCCATGAGGCAGCCATGGGAAGTGGGTGCCTGGTCCTGGGCAGACTCCTAGTGAGGAGATGGGGAGGGGCACAGGAGTCCTGTTATGCCCGAGCTCAGGGACACCCCAGCAGCCCAGTACCTCTTCCCCCAGGAAAGCCCATTCATCGTCGGCTAAAGGAGGCAGGGATGTGTGGCCATGACCATGGCGTTTTATGAGTTTATAAACTGCTGAGGACACGGCTGCTCTGAGCTCCAGGCTGTTAATGGACCATCAATTCATGCTCCAGCTGGTTTTATGGGGTGCTGGGCAGGCAGGTGTTGGCCCCTGACTGCCCCTGCCTGAGGCCCCAGGCTTGTCTCTGGCGGCTTTTGGAAGCCAGCGGTGCTACTCATGGCAGAGCTCTGCCTGGCTGCCATGCCCCTGAGCCAGTGGGAGGAGAAAGACAAGTTCTCAGCCTCAGTTGACTCAACTCTAAAATGGGAATAGGCTGGGTGTGGTGGCTCACACCTGTAATCCCAACACTTTGGGAGGCTGAGGTGAGCAGATTGCTTGAACCCAGGAGTTTGAGACCAGCCTGGGCAACATGGAAAAACCCCAACTCTACAAAAATTACAAAACTTAGCCAGGTGTGGTGGCATGTGCCTGTAGCCCCAGCTACTCGGGAGGCTGAGGTGGGAGGATCACTTGAGCCCAGGAGGTGGAGGTTTCAGTGAGCTGATACTGCACCACTGCACTCCAGCCTGGGCAACAGAGTGAGACCCTGTCTCAGAAAAAATAAAAATAAAAATAAAAATAAAAATAAAATAAAATAAAATACAATGGGAATAATCATGCCCACCTCTCGGAGGGGCCAGGAAGCTGAAATAAAGTCACATCCAGTCCATCAGGGAGTCCTGGTTGGTGCCTGATATGGTTTGGCTGTGTCCCCACCCAAATCTCATCTTGAATTGTAGTTCCCATAATCCTCACTTGTCATGGGAGGGGCCTGGTAGGAGGTAAATGAATCATGGGGGCGGTTACCCCATGCCGTTCTCGTGGTAGTGAGTGAGTTCTCACGAGATCTGATGGTTTTATAAAGGGCCTTTCCCCCTTTACTCAGCACTTCTCCTTCCTGTTGCCATGTAAGGAAGGATGTGTTTGCTTCTTCTTCTGCCATGATTGTAAGTTTTCTGAGGCCTCCCCAGCCCTGCGGAACTGTGAGTTAATTAAACTTCTTTCCTTTATAAATTACCCAGTCTCGGGCAGTCCTTCATAGCAGCCTGAGAACGGACTAATACAGGGCCCTACCTTCAGAATACATCCTGGCTCTGATCTCTTCTACCCGCCTCCACTGGGCCACCCTGCTCTGAGTTATCATCCTCTCACACCTGGACTCTAGGCAGCCTCCTCACTGCTCCCATCCCTGCCCCCTACAAGTCTCCACGCAGCAGCCAGAGGAAGTTATTTAAAATTTTTTTTTTTTTTGAGATGGAGTCTCGCTCTGTCACCCAGGCTGGAGTGCAGTGGCATGATCTCTGCTCACTGCAAGCTCCACCTCCCAGGTTCATGCCTCCTGCTTCAGCCTCCTGAGTAGCTGGGGCTACAGGCGCCCACCACCACGCCCGGCTAATTTTTTTGTATTTTTAGTAGAGACGGGGTTTCACCGTGTTAACTAGGATGGTCGCGATCTCCTGACTTTGTGATCCGCCTGCCTCAGCCTCCCAAAGTGCTGGGATTACAGGCATGAGCCACCGCGCCCGGGCTTTTTAAATTTTTTTTTGGAGATAGGGTCTCACTCTGCGGCCCAGGCTAGAGTAAAGTGATGTGATCATGGCTGATTGACCTCCCTGAGCTCAGGTGATCCTCCCACCTCACCCTCCTGAGTAGCTGGGACCACAGGTGCACACCACTACACCTGGCTAATTTTGTATTTTTTTTGTAAAGACAGGGTCTCGCTATGTTGTCCAGGTTGGTCTTGAACTCCTGAGCTCTAGCAATTTGCCCACCTCGGCCTCCCACAGTGCTGGGATTACAGGCGTGAGCCACTGTGCCAGCTTCAGAGAGAGCATTGAAAAATATGAGTCAGATCCTGTTGTCCCTCTGCTCAGCACTCTGCAGCAAGCCCCAGAGTAAAGCCAGAGTTTTTCTGGGCCTCGTCTCCTGCTACTTCCACTTTGTTCCAGCCCCTCTGGCCTTCTCGCTGTTCTGGAACGGGACAGCCTCTTCCTGCCCCAGGGTCTTTCCACAGGCTAAACCTTCCTCACATGCCTGCTTGGCTCATCCCCTTACCTCCTTTAGGTCTTTGCTCAAAATCATCTCTCAGTGGGGTCCACTCTGAGCACCTGATGAAAACTGAGATTCTCTCAGCAGGATCAATCCCTTTTCCCCATGCAGTTTGTCTTTTTCTATTGCCCTTACCACCTATTACATAATTTACTTATTTATTATGATTTAATTTTCTTTCTTTCCCTGAGAGAAAAATCAGCTCTGCACAGTCATGGAGCTTTGTGTTTGTCACTACTATCTCCCAAGTGCCCAGAAAAACACCTGGCATATAGTAGGTGCTCAATAAATGTTTGCTGACGGCACATATGGAAAGGTCCCAGAGTTCTGCCTGGGACATCTAGGCATTTGAGATGTGGTAGCAGCTGTCATTACAAATCCTGAGAGGTTCTGTTTTTGTTTTTGTTTTGATGGAGTCTCACTCTGTCTCCCAGCCCGGACTGCAGTGGCATGATCTGAGCTCACTGCAGCCTCTGCCTCCCAGGCTCAAGTGATTCTCCCACCTCCTGAGTAGCTGGGATGACAGGCCTGTGGCAGCATGCCCTACTGATTTTTGTATTTTTAGTAGAGACGGGGTTTCACCATGTTGGCCAGGCTGGTCTCAAACTCCTGGCCTCAAGTTGTCCATGATGAAAGGTTCCTGTGTATTTCAAATGGCCTGTGCAGGTGACCATCTGGCAAAGCCATCAGTGATAAAGAAAAGCCAGGCCACGGCAGAGGCCCTAGCCAGGCCCATATCCCAAGGGCTGTTGACTGACAGCTCAACCCTTCTCCAGAGGCTGGAAGTGGTTCAGAGCTGGGAACAGAGAGAAAAGCAAGGTCCAGAGAATGGGGGAGTCCCCTCTGTGGGTGAGAACATCATGCTCAGCCCACTCGCCATGGAGCTGGAGGGCAGGACACCTGCGTCCATGAAGGCCTAAGAGCAGCCCCACTGTTCAGTCCATACCAGACTCTGCCCTGGATACTGGTACCCTGGGATGAGCGTGCAGAGAAGGTCTTGGAGGAGCTTTGGAAGGGCTTCCTGTGTTCAGTCATCTATCTGTTATTCGGAGCACAGAAAGGCTAAATGACTTGTCCACCTTTATGTGCCTAGGAATTAAAGGGGTCTGCCTGGGTCTAGGCCTGTCTGATTCCAAAGGTTGTTCTCATCTTGTTTGTGTAGGTGCGGGAACCAGCACAGTGTATGGCCCCAGGGGGTGGGGGTTCAGGAGATTTTTGTGAAAGACCAATAATTGGAGAATGTGGGCTGTTCAAATGTGTCTTTGTCCTTGTCCAGGCCTTCTCAGAAAGACAAGTGGGGGCAATGGATCAGGGACAACTTTCTGAGGCCGGTGGGCTCTGGTGAGCTCAAATGTGGGGGAAGGAAGCCCCAGATGCTAAAAAGCTGACTCTGTCTTCCACATGTTCAGGGAGTTTTGCCCAGAAGTGAAGACGGGGTGGAAACTCACTCGTCTGTGCTGGTCCTTGTGGGGGAGGGCTGAAGGGAGGGCTGAAGAGAGAGCGAAGAGAGCTTTCTACATTTCATCTCCACTGCTGAGGGTCCTGCCCGCTTTGGAAGGCACCACTTTCCTGGGCCCAGAGAGGCTCAGCTAGTTTTCTGTGGTCACAAAGCATAATGTTGGTGATGATGGTGATGATGATTATGGTGGTGATGGTGGCGATGAGAGTGTTGATGATGATGGCAGTGGTGGTGACAGTGATGACCTGGTGAAAATGACCTGTTTGTTTACTGTGTGCTTATTATGTGGATCTTTTTCTTTTTTGTGAGATAGGGGCTTGCTCTGTCACCCAGGCTGGAGCACAGCAGGGCATTCACAGCTCACTTGCAGCCTCAACTTCCTGGGCTCAAGTGATCCTCCCACCTCAGCCTCCTGAGTAGCTGGGACTACAGGTGTGCACCACCATACCCAGCTATTTTTTTAAAAATTTTTTTATAGAGATAGAGTCTCACTATGTTGCCCAGGCGGGTCTCAAACTCCTGGGTTCAGGTGATCCGCCTGTCTTGGCCTCCCAAAGTGCTGGGATTACAGGCGTGAGCCACCACACCTGGGCTTGAGGCAGGTCTCCTAAGGCCCAGCCTTAAAACTCACACAGCACCACTCCTGCTGCATTCTACTTGTCAAACAAAACCAAGGGTAGGCCAGATTCGGGGGTGGGGGGGGAGGCGCGGAAATAGACGGCACCTTGGTGTGGGAGGACAGCTGAGGATAATTTCTTGCCTTTTACCGTCCACCATAGCCGGGACTGGAGCCTCAGTCTGAGTCCAAAGACCCCCAGAGGTGTGCTCCTGACCCCACACTGACTGGCTTCCACTTTCTCCCCAGCGTCTCTTTCAGGTTTGTGTTTGTGGGGAGGAGTTAGGGGAGGAGGCCAAGCTTGTTTCTGTGGCCTCTCACCTCGGCTTCCCGCTCCCTCATTCCTGCATATTTTTGTCGTACTCCAGGGCTCAGCCCCTGGACCAGCTGTCAGCTCAGTCAGGGACCTGGTGCTGGAAGAACAACACAGATGGCCACTGGGGGCCAGCAGAGTCAAGGCCTGGGCGAATCCGTCCCAAGGAGCTGGGTCCCTGGTTGGGCTGGGGGCTGCCCTAGGCAAGACGGAGCTGGGGGTCGGGTTGGCCAGATGTCACTCACTCCCAACCCCTTCATCCAGAGCTTGGTGCTGTTTTTACCCTCTTATGCAGTGAGTCCGTGGGGGCGAGGGGACTTGAGTGCCAGTCTTGTCTCTGTGTGACCTTGGGTAAGTCACCCTCCCGTGCCTCCTGGGGCTCAGTTTCCCCATTTGCACAGGGAGCTGGTGGATTGGTTAGTTTCTGGGGAGGCAAGGCTGCCTGGTGCCTCCCGACTTCTAGTCCTCTGTTCTGTCTGTGGGACCTGCAGGCTCCTTTTCATGAGCAGAAAGGGCTCCGTGGCTTAAAATGAGGTTCCCCCTTGACAGCCCCTGCTGGGCCCGGGTAGCCCTGCTCTGGAGGACAGAGCCCCTCCTGAGCCAGCTGGGCTGCGAAAACCTGTGTGCTCCCCTGGTAGGACGAGAGGTCCTGGATTTAAGCAGAGGCTTCTCTCTTCTCTCCTTCCCTCTACCCAGGAGACCCCTCCAGCTCCTAGAGGAGATCCCAGGTCTCAGCTGCTGCCCACCTGGTGAGGCCTCAGAACCGATGAGGGGACATGGGCAGGGAGGGACTGAGCCAACAACACCCTCATCCTGGCTTCGGTTTTCAATTTTTTCTTTTTTAAGAGACGGATCTTGCTCTGTTGCCCAGGCTGGAGTGCAGTGGCACAATCATGGCTCACTGCAGCCTCCAACTCCTGGACTCAAGTGATCCTCACACCTTAGCCTCCTGAGTAGCTGGGACTATAGGCATATGCCACCACGCTCAGCTAATTTTTAAAATTTTTGGTAGAGACAGGGTCTCACTGTGTTGCCCAGTCTGGTCTCCAACTCTTGGCCTCAAGCAATCCTCCTGCCTCTGCCCTCCAAAGCACTGAGGTTACAGGTGTGCACCACTGCACACGGCCAGAATTTTTTTTTTTTTTTTTTTTAAGTAACAAAAACAAGATGGGATTGTGGGCAGGGCGATTTGACCCAGCTTAATAGGCTTGGGAACTTGTTCTGGCTGCCAGGGTGGGTTCCAGGCCCTGCGGCTCCCTGAGGCTCCCCACAACTCTGTCCTGTTACACTTGTCACATGGCCTTGTGGTCTGGGAGTGTTCTGCAGTAGTGTCTGAATCCACTCTGTGTCCCCGGGCCCCAGTTTGGCTCCTTTCGGGCAGCTCAGTAGTGGTGACTAGCATTCACATATGTGCCCAGCACCACGGTAGGTCCTTCTTGACCCCTTCTCCTTGGAGAAACTCCATGGGGGAGATGCCTTTACTGTCCCCATTTGCAGATGGGTAAACTGAGGCCCAGAGGCCTAGACACATTGCAGAGAGTCATGCTCTTAGTAGGTGGCAGAGACAGGATTGGAACCCAGGTCCACACTGCTAATCACTTTACTGCTTCCCAGTGAGCAGAAATTGAGTCAATGAATGGCTTCCCTAGACCCGGGTCTCAGAGTCTTGCCAAGGCTGGACTCAGGGCAGTGGTGGTGGAGAGTCCTGGCCCAAGTGGGACCTGGGTCGAAGTAGTGGTTTTGTCAGCTGCCATTCAACATCTCTGTTGGACACCGAGCTCAGGGGGCAGGGTGGACACCCATCGTATTTCTTGCTGCATCTTTGTGCCTGCTGGATGAGCAAGCCCAGTGAGAGTTTGTTGACTGACCATATGATTGACTGAGTGAGACCAGAGTGGCCCTGTCACCTCTCTGGGATTTTGGTGCTGGCTGTTCATGGTGGCTCTGGACCCAGAGCCTCTTCGAAACATTAAAACCCTCTTTCATGATTGATTGTTCAATTGACTAGTTGATTTATTCATTTATTCAACAAATATTTATTGAGTGCCTCCTCTGTGCGGGGAATATGCAGCAAACTAAAGAGACAAGGTCCCTGCCCTTGAGGCTCACACCTTAAGGGAGGGAGACAAAGAAAGAAACAAACAGATCATCGTGGATTGCAGGAGACGTGAACAGAGGGATGAGATAAGGAGCCACTGGGGCGGCGGCTACTCTTAGGGGTGCACTATGAGCTGAGACCTCAAATTATGACACTGCTGAACAAAGGCCAGAGGCTTTGGGCTTCAGGTAGAGGGAACGGTTGGTGCAAACATCCTGAGGCAGCAATAGCTTGGTGTGTTGGAAACAGAGGAAGGAGGCCCGTGTGGCTGAGATGGAATGAGGAGACGTGGTGGGGGTCTCCCAGGGGACAGATAAGGGTGGCTTGACTAGGGTGGGGGCTGAAGAAATAGAGAGATGTGACAGACATGAGCCACCATGCCCGGTGGCTCATGCAAGAAATACAGAGGAAGTGAAACCACACATTTGCGGGCACAGTCTCTCCCTGCTGCAGGGCTTCCCAAAGAGGAAGACATGAGGGAGGGCTCCCTGGAAGAGGAGGGCTTCCTCTAGGCTGGAAGGACTGGGGGGTCTTGGAGCACAGCGGGAGCAGAGAGGCAATCCTTGGAACAACATGGGTGTGTGTGGGTGAGGAGGACGAGGAAATACAGGGATGAGCGAGGCGGAACTGTGCAGAGGTTTAAATGGGCATTGATGCCAGCCACACTTGCCAGCTCTGTAGCCTTAGGCGAGTTAGCTGACCTTGCTGAGCCTCAGTTTTCTCATCTGCAAAATGAAGCATGCAGATCCCTCTTGCAAAGGGTGTGTCAGGACTGAATGAGATTATATGCATAAAGCCGGGTACAGGGGTTGAGAACTCCGATCCTCCTCATCATGGTGGGGTCCTTGTTTCAGCTCCATTCCATTCCAGTCCTCAACAGTGTGCCTTGGTTTCTCTGCAGAATGGGGAGGGTAGGGCCTGAGCCCACTGGACAGTGAGCACCCCTCCAAAGACCTTAGATGATGGAGTGGCTGGGGTCAGGACCAGTGTTGTAACTGCTCCCCCTGTCTCTTCTGGGTGTTCTCCTATTCCCACTCCAGCTGCCACCTGGAGGGACCAGTTTGCAGCAGAGCTTCCGACAGTGTCACTCAGAGAATCCTCCCAGAGGCCAGGACATTGTGTAAGCCAGCCAGTGATATTTGCATTGTCATTTGCATTTCATTTGCATGCACCAGTTTAGACTGCACTGTCCCTTCTAAAGCAGGGTTCCCAAGAGGCAGCCTGCATGGAGAATAATACAAGGCTTGCAGTTCCCAGGTCCTGGGTTCGTATGCTCTTCCCTTGAGCTTTGGTCCCCTCACCTATAAATGGGAATAACCTGGCCTCCTTCACAGAGGCCCTCTCTTGTTCAGCAAATATTGATTGAGTTTCTGCCATGAGGTAGGTGGGGATGAGTGACCTGGGGACCCACTGTGACAGGGCAGGCCCTGGGCCCTGCCCTCATGGAGCTTACCTGCAGTGGGAAGACAAAAAATAAGTCGACTAATTTCTACGTAAGAGAACCACGGCTTACAAGGTGTGCAGGAAGGAAAGAAGCAGAGCGTGATGAATGAGTGAGCAAGTCTGACCTCAGCCACACACGCTCCTGATTCCTCTGTCCCCAGAGCAGGTGGGCAGCAGGTGGCTGGGCTCACTGACCTGGCAACCAACAAGGAGCTGATCCCTGTCCACTGTGTCCTGCCAGAGGCATCGAGGTGGGATGAACAGCTCAGTCCCTGTCTCTGCGGTCTTGAGATATCTGCCCTCCAGACCTGGGCCAGAAGTAAGGGTGGTCAGTCTGAGCAGCAGGGCAGGACTTGACTCAAGGATGTGGATGGGCGACGCAAGACACTTGCAGGCTCTATCAGCCAGCGGGAGCGATTTGCCGGAACCCTTGTCTTTCAAGGTTCAGAGAGAAATAAAAATGGAGGACGGGATGGTGGGGGAGTTTTCCTCTTGCTCCCTTCCTCATGCCAGTGGCTGGGGTCGCAGAAGCCCTCATCCGTCATCTTGCCACCCTAGCAGGTGCAGGTTGTGGAAGTGATAGGAGGGCCAGGTCCCACTGTGACCAGAGGTGGGCTGGGGGTGTCTGCGGGGCTTAAGGGGAGGGATGAGAGAGCACACAGCACTGACCTTTAAGCGTCTGTCAGCTTCTCCCCACCTGTGCCTCACAGCCACTCCCAGGCACCCGCGGCCTCTCGCCGGCATTCACTCACCCGTTCATTCATTATCAGTGGCACAAAGAACTCATCAGCTATTTATTTATTTATGACATGGGGACAGTGTTGTAGGGTGTGTCTCGCTATGTTGCCCAGATTGGTTTCGAACTCCTGGACTCAAGGGATCCTCCCTCTTGGTCTCCTGAATAGCTGGGACTGCAGTCATGTGCCACCACGGCCCCTGCATTTGTTAAACAGGGGTCCAATCAGTGCCTATCTCTCCATTTGAATGGATCACGGGGTTGTTGAGAATGCAAAACCAGTGAGTGAGTTACACACAAAGTCACTTGCTACGGGGTCTGGGGGCTCCAGGAAGTTTTAGAAAATTTGCTCCTCCTCATCCCTGATTCCCATCCCTCCTAGACAACCATTTGAATGTCTAAGATTTATCCTTTTGTGGGTCCACGTTCTTGCCAAAGGCAGGCTGCTATTTCTCATGTACATACTTTTTTTGTTTTTTTCTTTTAGTTTTTGTCTTTTTAATTTTATGTTTTAATGGTTGAAATAAAATAATGGTCCATATTCATGGGGTCCAAAGTGATGTTTCAATACCTATAATGCACAGTGAACAGATCAGGGTAATTAGCATATCCAGTATCTCAAACATTACACTGTGTAATCGTTTTGGTACACATTTTATTGAAGAATAACATACAGACAGAAAGGTGTACAGGTCCCCCAAATACAACTTGAGGACTTTTTCCAGAGTGGACTCAGCCCCCAGCTTGTGACCAGCACCCAGTAACCTGGCCATGCCTCATTCTGGTATATTACGTGTGTTTTTATTTTATTTTTTTTTGAGACAAGGTCTCACTTTCTCAACTGGAGTGCAGTGGCACAATCACAGCTCACTGCAGCCTCAACCTCCCAGGCTCAAGCAATTCTCCCACCTCAGCTTACACAGTAGCTGGGACTACAGGCATGTGCCACCATGCCCAGCTAAGTTTTGCATTTTTTGGTAGAGACGGGGTTTTCTCATGTTGCCCAGGCTGGTCTCGAACTCCTGAGCTCAAGCAATCCATCTACCTTGGCCTCCCAAAGTGCTGGGATTACAGGCATGAGCCACTGCACCCAGCCAACATGTATGTTTAATGTCCCAGCCGTGGCTGAGTTAAGGCTCCTGTTCTGTTCCTCACCTTGGTCTCCATGTACTACGTTTTCAGGTACATCTGGGTTGCTGTTCAGAAGACACATATCACCTGCCGTGGAGTCCTTGGCTTGCCCTGTGTCTGCCATATGCCACCTCCCCACTCCCTCTAGGCCGGCTTTGGCACCTTGACCAGGCCAGGCCTGGTCGGTGCCGGTGCTCTTGCCTGTGCCGTCCCCCAGCCTCATGATGGTTCACCCCTTTTCTCGAACCACCTCCTTTCCCCAGTCTTCCTGGTGCCAACCTGCTCCTCATCATCTCGTTGTTTCTTTTCTTAATAGCACTTATTCTACTCTGAATTCCCTTGATTAGCAATCTACCTCTCTCATTATTGTCTGTCCCCTTCACCTGGAGGTAAGGGCAAGGCTGCGGCTTCCGTCTTCACTGCTGCATCCCCAATGCCCAGGAGAGGGCCTGCGCCTGGTAGAAGCTCTGTAAATATTTGCTAAGTGAAAGACCCACGCGCAGCAAGCTGCCCTCAGCTGCATGCTCCAGTCCACATTGCTGCCGATGCGGTTCTCAGTGGGTCTTTTTCTTTATATAGCTCACAGGCTCCCCAAGGCCTGAGCCAGGGACATCGCCAGCTCCTGCTCCATCCCCAGATCGGCGGACCTGCCTCACAGGTGTTTCACTAACCTTGTTCTGAACCAGACATGCCAGAGAGAAATGCATTTTAAAACCATGTGCAATTTAAAGAGAATTTAATCTGCATGTCTGGGATTCATTAACACGTAGATCATCAAATTAGGGTTTGCTCACAGCTGTTTGACATTCGAAGGGCCTTCTGAGTATCTTTAATAAGTGCCTTTAAATATTATTTTTCCTTTTAATCTCAGGGCTGGGTGTTGAGCATGCTGTTCTTGGAATGGGAACGTGACACAAGTGACCTGGGGATGGTGGATCCATTCCTGCAAGAGTGTGGCAGGCTTGGAGAGCTTGGCACGGAGCCATCCCCACTCTCCTGCCCTGTCCCCGTCATTGGCAGGCACCGGCCCCAAGCTGGCCAGAGCCGTGTGTTCAAAATGGCTGTTGAGAGAGGCAGTGCTCTTCTCCCAGGCACATGAGCCCGGGAGGATGCAGGCCTGGAACATCTTGTCAGCATATGGAGCCTGAGAATGAGCCCAAATAGGAAAGCAAAGTTCGGGAGGTGTAGAGATGCTGGTGACATTGACGATGGCTGGACCTAGCCATGACTGGATTAGCCTTGTTAGGAGATAAATTGTGTCCTACCCCCTCCAACTTCTTATGTTGAAGCCCTAACCCCCAGAATCTCAGAATGTGACTTTATTTAGATATAGGCTCATTTGCAGATGTAATTCGTTAAGATGAGGTCATATTGGAATGGGCGGGCCCCTAATTCAATATGACATGTGTCCTTATAAAAGGGGGACATTCGGACGCACAGACATACATAGGGGGAAGATGACGTGAAGAAAGATGATGGATGACTACAAGCCAAGGAGAGAGGCCTGGAACAGATCCCTCTCTCACAGCCCGCAGAGGGAACCAACCCTGTTGACACCTTGACCTTGGCCTGCTACCCTCCAGAACTGTGAGACAATAACTATCTGTTCTTTATGCCCCTAGTCCATAGTTGTTTGTTATAGCAGTTCTAGGAAACCAATACAAACCCTCTTTGAACTTTTTAGTTATGAGAACCAATATATCCCCTCCTCTCTCCATCCCTCCCTCTCTCGTTCGCTCCCTTCCTCCCTTCCCTCCTTCTCTCCTTCTTTTCCTCCCTTCCTTCCCTCCCTCCTTCCTTCTTTCCTTTCTTTCTTTCTTCCTTCCTTCCTCCTTCCATCCTTCTTTCTTTACTTCTTTCTTTCCCTCCTTCCCTCCCTTCTTCTTCTTTCCTTTCTTTTCCCTCAAGCCAATTTATGTTGTGTCTTTTATTATATACAAGGGCAAAACTCTTACTCAAAATCACTCTCCTGCTTAAAATCTTTTTTATGAACCATCTCAGAGTTAGTGGCATAAAACAAAATGATAATTTATTTCACTCAAAAGAGGCAATTTAGGCAGGATGTTGTGGGATGGCCTGTTTCTGCTCAATTGGCGTTGGTGGGGAGCTCAACTGGGGCTGCAGAACCCACGTCCAAGATGGATCACTCCCATGGCTATCAGGCTGTTTCTGGCTGTGGGCTGGGGGCTCAGCCAGGGCAATGGATTTCTCTTATATCAGCCCCTCCACAGGCTGCTTGAGCTTCCTTATAGTATGGTGGCCAGATCCAAGAGCAACTGTCCCCTGAGAGCACGGTGAAGTATGTGACATTTTTTATCACCTGTTCAACTCACATAGCATTCCACTCACTATGCTCTATTAGATGAGGGGATAAATGTCCACACAGATTAAAGGGGAGGGGACACAGAACTCAGTTCTCTATGGGAGGAGTATCAACACCACATTGCAAAAAGAGTATGGGGAATGGGAGATACTGTTGAAGCCAGCTGTGGAAAATGCCATCTGCCATAGGCCACATGCTGTGTGGTTTCATGCAGATGAAAGTCAATAAGAGGCATTCCTAATGGATGGCGAGAGAAGTCAGAATCGCGTTACCTTTAGAGGAAGGTAGCTTTGACTAGAAAGAAACACAAAGAGATCTTCTGGGGTGCAGGACATGATCTCTGCCTTGATATGGGTGGAAAGGACACAGATGTGGATATGTCAGAAGTTGAACTGGTCACTTAAGTTCAGTACCCTTGATGCATTTTATACCTCAATTTAGGAAATTTTAAAGGCTGTAATGAAGAGTATCTGAATTAGCACAGAGGGTAAAAGTCCTCTGCCAGCTCCCAATTGTCCAAGATGCTTGGCCTGGCACAGGGAGGCCCTGGAGACCCAGCCCCCAGTGTCCCCTTGGGATTGAGTTCTGTCTCCCCTTCCCCCAACTGTTGCAGATTCTTGAATGTCTCCAGCTGTATGAAGGATGCTGGGAGAGTGCTCCAGAAGGCATGAACGCCAAGTGCAAAGACCTTGTGTGAGGAAAGGGTGGAGGGTCAGGAGCAGGAGAAAGAGGCAAGGGTCATGGAGTGGCTCCACACCAGGGTGTGGCGTCACCTGGCTGGTCTGTTCGAAACATCCTAAGCCCAGAGCTGCCGTTTCTGGCTGGGTGACTGTGGGCAAGTCTCTGCTTCCTCATCTGTGGGATAGGTCATGACAGTCCTGGCCTTGCATGGTCAATGAGAGGAGTCAGGGATGCCATGACCATGAAGGTCCTGGCCCACCCCTGAAATTGCTCAATGCAGCTTTCCCTTCACCCCTCATGGATCCCTAAGTCCTGGCAGGCAAGGCCTCCTGTCTCTGGGACATCCTTCCTGTTCTTACCGGGACCTCTGCCCTTTCTGGGCCACGCTTGCTCCCTCTGTCAGACTTCTGGAGCCTGTTGGGTGAAAGATAGATGGAGCCATTCATCTGTGCAGTCTAAAGGTTAATTCAAAGGGCAGCCATGGGCTGGAGATGGTGCCTTCCACCTGGCTCCAGTTCACAGACCAGGAAGCGGGGCAGGTGGGGTCATCAGCCAGAAGCTTTTCCCCCGTGTAAACTGCCATGCGGTAAACTGCAATCCCTCAGGTGGGCTCCCTGGCCCCTTCCCACCCAGCCTCATCTCCTGTGACTTCGTTTCCATCCTGTCCATGTTATCAGTGCCCTGCCTGGTCTTGGGCAAGTTTCTCCCCTCCTTGAACCTCTATTTTCCCATCTTGTATTGGGACCATGAGACCAGGCCATGCCAGCAACCCTTCTGTCCCAGACATTCTAAGACTGCGCCTCTCCATTCAGCGGCCAGGTGCACCTGCTACCCACCTAGCACCTTGCTCTGCCTGGCTTTCCCCTGTTCACCTCACCTGGGCCACCCACCTTCACCATCTACATCCTTTCTTTTCTTCAAGACCCTGTAGGAAAGTGTCAGAGGCATTTCCCCGATTCACCCCAAACTGGTCCAGGTTGGTTCTCTACCCTGTAGTTCCCAGTGGCTGTGGCCTTAGTCTGTGTGAGATTCATCCGCACATTTTTTGGGCCAATCTGGAAGTATCTGGAATTCTTGTCTCTTTTTGCCTCTCTCGTCTCAACTGAAGGATTCCCAAGGGCAGAGCTGGGTCCCCATCATCAGACTGACATGTCCCTTAGGGCAAGAGCTGAGTCTTCCCTCTTCGAATAGGTTCCTATCCACTACCCAGAAGACTTCAGAGGCTGGGCTGAATCCTGCCTGCAAAATGTGTTTGCCTCACTCAGTAATTTTTCTTTTTCAATGTTGAATTAGTTGTCGACTCTTAAAATTAAGTGATTTAACATACAACTCTATATTTGTATCTTAGAAATATTATAAGGGCTGGCTGTATCAGGCTTGTATTTCCTGCAGTAATGATGGGCAGGAGCTGATAGGAGGTGCTCCTGTGGATGGGGTGGATAGAATCCAGTTTGCCCCAGACCTCACTGGGCCCCACACTCTCCCAATACCTCATCAGTCCTGTAGGCATTTGGGTTTGCAGTCCTGGCCTTGGGGCCCGAGGTACTGTCTGCCTTCAGTAGCTGTCAGCCTGCAGTGGCAGGGGCAGGAGAGCAATTCCAGAGAGGAATGCGAGAATGAAGGCTTCTCTTCTCTTCTCTGCCTCATTAGGATCGGAATGGGCTGGAGATCAATGCTTTTAAAAATCAGATACATACTGACACTGTTTCTCGCACTGAGAACAGTCTGTACTGACACAGAATGATTCTCTAATCAAAGGCTTGCCTTTGGGAAAATTACATGAAGAAGTGCTGGAGGGAGAGGCATTTTCACTCAGTTATTATTTATAGGGGGCCTACTATGTGCTAAGCATTGAGCCAGATGCTTTAGAGACAGCATTGAACAATGCCCAGCCACGGTGCTCATACAGCTCATGGTCATATTTCATTTAGGCAGAAGAGGCCCAGAGAGGGCAAGCAGAGTAACCAAGATCACACAGCAGAGGTGGAAAGAAAACTCGCACTGCTTCCCAAGCCTCCTGCTTCTTCCCTCTCTCAGCCACATCAGTGTCCCTCCTAGCCCCCTCTGCCAGAGTCCCAGCACACTGGCTCCCTTCTTCAACTCCTCTCCAAATTGTGTTGCAGCATCCTTGCATTCAGCTGGTCACTAGAAAATGGGGCTCATCCAGTGGGGTTGGGGTCTGCTCAGAACAAAAAAAACTGGCCCTTCTCTGGCTGTTTTCCATGAGCCCAGGATGCCCTGCCTAACTATGAAGGCTGATTTCAATATTGGTTTGGAATTTAGCAGCGTTCCAGGCAGATCACCCCAAGTGGGATGTTCTACAGCCAGGTAGCTGCTCAGTGGCTTTTTAAAAGAGACAGGCTTGGAGCAGAGTCCCGAACTGTTAGCACCTCCCCTTCCCCTGTAAATACAGGTTGAGTGCCACACTGGTTGCCTCTGGGGCTAAGCTGGGCTTTATTTTCAAGCCAGACTCTTGTGTTTGAAAAGGAAGGGCTTAAATTCCATTCTACAGCTGGCTGCTCTGCAGATGTGCGAGAAACAGCCAGCTCTCCCGACACAGCCTGCATGGTTCAGTCCAGAGATGGTTCTTTGAGGAACTGGCCAGCTGGGCTGGGTTTCAGCAGTCAGATACTTTGCAAATAACCAGCAGCGAAACTCAACCAACTCCCCCAAAAGCCATTGGTTGAACCCAAGCCCCTGGGTATATTGAAACCAGACAGACAGACTTTGGCCAACAGCTGCTGGGTTTCAAGTGGGCTGACTGTAATTGGCTCAGAATCAGTGGTTTGCCAAACTAAAATAATCAATGGTGACAGCTACCATTTATTGAGCATCTGCTATGGGCCAGGCATTTTTGTGCGTTGCAGTTTTGCAAGGTTGCCATTAACATCCCCACTTTACTGAGGATGAAGTTAGGCTTCGAGAGGTGAGTTCTCCTGTCTGAGGTCACACAGCTGGCTTCCTGGCCAGTGGACAGCCTGAATTTGATTCCCAATCTCTCTCATGCCCAAAGCTCATACTTTTTATTTTTATTTTTTTTTTTGAGATGGAGTCTCATTCTGTCACCCAGACTGGAATGCAGTGGCACTATCTTGGCTCACCGCAACCTCTGCCTCCCAGGTTCAAGTGATTCTCCTGCCTCTGCCTCCCGAATAGCTGGGATTACAGGCATGCACCATCATGCCTGGCTAATTTTCATATTTTTAGCAGAGATGCGGTTTCACCGTGTTGGCCAGGCTGGTCTTGAACTCCTGAGCTGAAGTGATCTGCCCACCTTGGCCTCCCAAAGTGCTGGGATTACAGGTGTGAACCACTGCTCCCAGCCTCATGCTTTTGATTTCTCCCTGCATCTGCAAACTAGTTTCCTGTAGGGTCTGAGGTGAAATGGGCTTGAGAGCCCCCCGCCCTTGCTCTCCTCTCTGGTGGATGCTCAGGAGGCCAAGCTGAGGCTCTGCGCACCAAGCTTACCTGTTTCTGCCTCCCCTTGGCATCCTGCCCCAGATCTCTGCACAGCCCCAAATGTCCCCAACACGGTGAAGGGATGCTAAGCTGCCCTAGGCTCAGGGCAAGCCTGTTGATAGAGGGCAGCAGCAGCAAAACCATTTCCAATCAAGGCTTTCAAAAGACTAGGATAGACTCCTTCTGTTTCACAGCCTTGGTCCAAAAGCCCCGAGGCTGAGTCCTGGAGGAAATGTCTCAGTCCGGAAGGTCCTGTTAGCCTAGTGAATAAAGGATGAAAATTTAACAATGGTTACCCCAGTAACTGACTTGGATAGGACCCCTCCTATGCATCAGAGATCTTACAAGTGTTATTGCTGTGGTGTAGTGGGTGAGAACATGCACCCACTCTGGGTGAGCCAGATTACCTGGGTTCAAATCCCGATTTGCCATTTGCCAGCTGTGTGCCTTGGGCAAGTCACTTCATCTTCCTGAGCCTCAGTTTTCTCCTCTGTAAAATGGGCAGAATAATAGGACCTGCTTCACAGTATCCTTGTAGTAAGAAATGAGCTGGTACACAAAGTTCATGGCACAGAAGCTGGCAAGTAGCCTAGTGCTCTAAAATGGGCAGAATTTTATTTATTTATTTATTTATTTTTTGAGACAGAGTCTCTCTGTCTTCCAGGTTGGAGTGTAGTTGCACAATCTCAGCTCATTGCAACCTCCGCCTCCTGGGTTCAAGCGAGTCTCCTGCCTCAGCCTCCTGAGTGGCCAGCACTACAGGTGTATATGCCACCACGTCCAGCTCATTTTTGTATTTTTAGTAAATTTAGCAGCATTCCAGGCAGCAACATGGTTTCACCATGTTGGTCAGGCTGGTCTCAAACTCCTGAACTCAAGTGATCCACCCACCGCAGCCTTCCAAAGTGCTGGAATTACAGGTGTGAGCCACCACGCCTGGCCTGATGTCATCATTTTTAATGGTTATGTCTTTTAATCCACATGAGAACCCTGTGAGGCAGGTGTTAGTATCCTCATTTTACTGATGAAGAGACTGAGATTCAGAGATGTTGAATAACTTGCCTAAAGTCACACAGCTGGTAGGTCACAGAGCTAGAGTTTGAACCTGTACTTGTTCCTTAACGCCAGTTACTAAGGTAAGATCCCCAAGAGCTGATTTCTGTGAAGGGCAGGGTTGTAATCTCTTCTCTCCAGAGCTGGATCCACCTACAAGCAGCTTTCTTCAGCTGGAAGGGTTTTTTTTTTTTTGTTTTTATTCAGTTGATTTAAAAATATTTTTAGGACCAGGCATGGTGGCTCATATCCCTGTAATCCCAGCACTTTGGGAGACCAAGACAGGAGGATTGCTTGAGCTGAGGAGTTTGAGAGCAGCCTGGGCAACATAGTGAGACGTTGTCTCCATTAAGACTCAAAAAATCTTAGCCAGGTGGGGTGGTACATGCCTGTAATCCTAGCTACTCGGGAGGCTGAGGCGAGATGATTGTTTGAACCCAGGGAGCTTGAGGCTGCAGTGGGCCCTGATCGTGCCACTGCACTCCAGCTGGGGCAATAGAGTGAGAACCTGTCTTAAAAAAATGTTTTTAGGCTAAATATACAGAAGAGAAACTGAGGCCCAGAAAGGAAGTGGCCCTGCCCACAGACACCCAGCACACTTAGAACCAGAGCCCCAGCCAGTGCCTGGCTCTGCCTCCGTCCTGCTGGAAAGGCTCCCTTTGGCCCCTCCCCTTAGGGAGTTTGCTGGATGGACTGGAGGGGCTGGGTGAACAGGAAAATGATGATGGATTCTCCTAGAGACCGGTGCTGGTCATGGCTCCGTTGATTGATGGCCGAGGGGTGTCACTCCCCCAGCCAGACTCAGCATGGCCCCGGGGCTGGGAATCTGTCAGCTGGCGCATCCTCACTCTGACTGGGGGACATGGGGAGGGGTGCGTACCAGGAAAGGAGCAGCTTCCCCTAGGGAGAGTCCATTTCTGCAGGCGGAGACCTCTGGAGATCCAGTGAGGTCACACAGATGCCCAGGGCCGACCTGCAGTGGGAATGTGCTGTGGGGGCTAGTGCAGGCCTGAGAGGCTCCCAGGAAGCCCTGCTGGGGGCTCTGCGCTGGGCTGTGCCCTCCTGTGGTCCCCTCAGCAACCCTGGAGGTGAGGCTGTCAATGCCCTCACATTCCCAGCAAGGGAACCGAGGTTCAGAGAAGGCTAGCCATCTGCTTGGGACCACACAGCTAGTTAAGTGGTGGAGTAGTTCCTGGAGCCCGGGTGTCCCTGTCTCCTCTTTGACTCTCAGTCCCGGGTGCTTTCTAACGATTACACACACAGGGACACACACATTTATAACTCGTCTACTAGGTATAATCCTATGAAAGTGCCTTTTTTTGGTAGACTAAAAACAGTAGAAGAACTGCAATTTCATGAGGTTCAGTCAAATGTAAATTATATTTAGGTATATATATATATATATATATTTATGTTTGTCAATTTATTAAAGAAATGTAACTTATGTACCTTGCATATGTAATCTGTCTCATATATGTGCATTGTATATACAATCTATCTGAGGTATATCCAATTACCAATCTGTTACAGCATATCTAACCAGCATGTGCTGCTACATCAGCCCTTGGAAAAAATATAGCCCTGATTGTAGCATCTGCCCATTTCTCTGGTGTAAATGTTCCCATCAAGGCTGATTTCAGGCAACCCATATGATGTTACAGAACAGAGTCGGGAAGAGATGCCCGGGATTGACTCACCGGCTGATGTGAATGGGGGCTCCAGTCCACCCTTGAATTTTTTCATCTACCTCAAACATATAATCTGTGTATCTCAAAAATCTGTCAATCTATCTGACATATAAGCATAGTCATACATATATATAATTTACTCCCCTCTTTCTGATAGATCTCTGATAGTTATCACATCTGTCATCATGTGGAGCTCTCTACTTGGAATCCACTCATTCGTCCATCCACCTATCCATCTGTTCCGTGTGTTTGTTTACTAAACTCCAGGTCTGTCTCATTCTTTTCCCTGTGGTGTTTCACTGTTTCCTGCTCTGTATGGAGGCGAGGTAGGGCTGCTGGGCTGGTGTGTGGTTGGGTGCAGTGCCTGACTTTTCTCATCCAGGGCATCTGCATGGTTCCTCTCCGAGCAGGGCCCCCTGCCGGCCTTACAACCACAGGTTCAGAGGTGAGGTTTGGTGAGGTTGTGCTGAGCTGACACCACTTGGTCTTGGCCAATAGAAGTTAATTTTATCCTCCCATGGCTTGTCCTGATGTAGGATCAGAGCCTTCAAACAGGCAGTACAGGCTTCACTGGGGTATGTCTGCTGTCTTTGTTCTCGCTTCTTCTCCTTTTTTTTTTTATGGGGGTGGTGGGGGGCGGATGGAGTCTTACCTTGTTGCCCAGGCTGGAGTACAACAATCCACGTGGCATGATCTTGGCTCACTGCAACCTCCGCTTTCCGGGTTCAAGCAATGCTCCTGCTTTAGCCTTCCGAGTAGCTGGGATTGCAGGTGCCTGCCACCACGCCTGGCTAATTTTTGTATTTTTAGTAGAGATGGGGTTTTGCCATGTTGGCCAGGCTGGTCTTGAACTCCTGACCTCAAGTGACTTGCCCGCCTCGGCCTCCCAAAGTGCTGGGATTACAGGCGTGAGCCACTGTGCCTGGCCCTGGGACAAGGTATTTCACAGCTCTAAGCCTCTGTTTCCTGATGAGAAAAATGGGAGAATAACATTATCTCCTTCATGGGACTGCCATGAGGTTGAAATGAATTAAGATTTTCACAGCACTAAATGGCATCTGGCAGAATTGGCATTTGGCAGCTCTCAAGCAACATCATTCTCCTGAATTCATCTTGCTCAGTATGGTCGTTCTTTCAACTCTCTTGTCCCCACCCAGCCTGTAAATAGCTCCTAGGCAGGGCTCCCCAGTCATCTCGCAGAGCCTTTGCACTAGGTAAAGAGACTTTGGTGTCGTTCTAAAGAGGCGCTGCAGGGTTCACGCATTGCAACAACGGTTGCCCTTGAAATGGGCCCCCTGTGAGGGCCGAAGGCTTTTTCAGTGGGAAATGCCCACCTTCTCTTCCTTCCTCCAGTAAGAGAAGCTGGAGAGCAGACGGGTTCTAAATCCTCTCCTCATGCTCCAATTCTGGGATAAATGCAGGCTGTGGGGATGCTCGTGTCTTCTCAAGAACGATACTCCTGATCATCCAATCCAGGCTCAGAGCCCCTGGATGTCTAAAAAGTTCTTCCTGAGTGTTTAATAATAGCACAGGGACATGCCTCCAGCTACACTGGCATTCTTTCTGTTCCTTGAAGATGCCAAGCACATCTCAGTCCCTGGGATTTTGCCCCCGCAGTGCCCTCTACCCCGAGTGCCTCCCCCCTGGATCTTTTCACGGTTGGTTCTTCCATGGTTGGGCTCAGGTTGGGAGTTCAAGACCAGCCTGACCAACATGGGGAAACCCCGTCTCTACTAAAAACACAAAATTAGCCGGGTGTGGTGGCAGGTGCCTGTAATCTCAGCTACTCAGGAGGCTGAAGCAGAATTGCTTGAACCCAGGAGGCGGAGGTTGTGGTGAGCCAAAATTGCACCATTGCACTCCAGCCTGGGCGACAAGAGCAAAACTCCATCTCACAAAAAAGAAGTTTTTTCTTAGAAGAGACTTTCCCTTACCACCTTGACTAAGTTGCCCCAAGCCGTTCGGTGACTTTCCGTCGTTTTCCTGTTTTATTTTCTTTATAGCAGTTCTCATTTGCTGAACATATTCTATGTGTGGAATGATTTGTGTCTTGCCTGTCTCCCTCAGTAGACTTTCAGCTCCACGAGGGCAGGGGGCTTGTTTTGTTCACTGCAGTATCCCCCATCCCCAGAACAGTACCAGGTATGTAAGAGAGACTTAAATTGCTCTTCAATGAATAAATGAAAGGAGGTATGCAGCGTGATTCAACCATGTTAAAATGCATAGAATAAAAAGGAGAAAGAAAGGTAACAAACAAATGTTACGGGACTCTTCCCCCGTCTTCTTGGTTATACATTTTTTGGACTCTGGAAAGTGCACATCTTAACTTTATAATTAGAAAAAATACCCAAACCATGTGAAGACAAAGCTCTGCTGCGGCAGTCTGGCCAATCTTTCTCTGGGTTTAGCTGAGGTTCGTTTTATTTCTGCTCCTGTGGTTCTCCTTGAATTTAAAAACAAACCCCGCTCATCCCCTTAGGAAAAACTTCTGTAGAAGTCAGCAACCTGTCGCTACCTTCTGCTTTTGCTTCACTTCTTGGCCTCAATTTCTGAAAGAAGATATTTCATTTTGGATGGTTCACGCCCCGCCCCCGCCCCCGGCGCCCGTAAGTCTTCTGGGATACATCCAGGAAGGAAGGCAGAGGGCAAAGAGTTAGGTGGTGGCGTGCTTCCCCCATCAGATTGGGAGCTCCCCAGCACAAGGGCTGTCTCCTCCATCGGACTGCCGGACACCTCCAGATACCTTTTGCTCTAAAAGCAGTCCCTCCATTCTCCCCCTCTTCCTTCCTGTCTTCCTTTTTCTCCTCATCCCGATCCTCCTCCAGGAGAAGGTCTTCACGGTCCTTGCTCTCTGTCCTGGGTCAGAGGGTCAGGCACAAGGGGTGATCTCCTTGGCAGAAGTTTCCACTGCCTGCCTGCACAGGTGGGTTGGCGAGCCCAGGCTGTCCCTCCCCCACCCTAGACCTTCTAGGCAGAGGTGAAGCCTCATTCGCCCTCGATGATCTCAGCCCCAGTAGGCACCTCCCCACTGGGCTCCACTGCCCCCGTCCCGCATTACACACGCTGGGGCTCACGATTACCCCGAATTCATCCTGGTGGTATAGTCTTCTGCTCAATACGGCCATTCTTTCAACTCTCTTGTCCCTAGCCAGCTTGTAAATAGCTCCCAGGCAGGGCTCCCCAGTCATCTCATGGAGCCTTTGCATCAGGTAAAGAGACTTTGGTGTTGCTCTAAAGAGGCGCAGCAGGGTTCACGCATTACAACCACGGCTGTCCTTCAAAGAAGCCGCCTCTGAGGGCCGAGGCTCTTTCAAGAGAAGCTCCCGTGTGCAGAACGTTTCCGGAAACGGCCATCAGAAGCAGCACTATTCATGCCTTAGTAATCAGGATGAGGGCGAGAACGCTGCTTGCTGCTCTAAGAACAGCCACAGCTAGGCTTCTGCAGCGACCTCTGTGTGCCGACACCGGGCTGAGTGCTCACACGCCTACTCCCTGCCAGCCCAGCCATCGGATTGTGTCACTCGCTGCTCAGAATGAGTTCCCATTGAACTCGGAGTACAGGACTCATCACCATGGTTACCACGGCCTGCTTCTCCTCCCCACCCTCCTTTCTCCACCTCCCACCCTGTCCCTGGCAAGGCTCCACCTCTGGGCCTTTGCCCTTCCTTCCTGCTGCCTAGACTTCTCCAGGACACCCACACAGTCCGTTCCCGCACCTGCTCCAGGATGCCAGTTAAGTGGTACCTTCACAGGGAAGCCACTCCTGACCAAAGCACTTAAAAGTGCTACTTTGGGCCAGGTGCGGTGGCTCAAGCCTGTAATCCCAGCACTTTGGGAGGTCGAGGCAGGCTGATCATCTGAGGTCGGGAGTTCAAGACCAGGTTGACCAACATGGAGAAACCCCATCTCTGTTAAAAATACAAAATTAGCCAGGTGTGGTGGCACGTGCCTGTAATCCCAGCTACTCGGGAGGCTGAGGCAGGAGAATCGCTTGAACCCGGGAGGCGGAGGTTGCAGTGAGCTGTGATTGTGCCACTGCACTCCAACCTGGGCAACAAGAACAAAACTCCATCTCAAAAAAAAAAAAGGGCTACTTTGCCTCCGGGTTCCCCTAAATCTCTAGTGCTCTTTTCCTGATTCATTTTCATCACTACCACGTGACATCCTATATACATCAGAGGTCCCCAGTTCCTGATACTGGTCCGTGGCCTGTTAGGAATGGGGCTGCACAGCGGGAGGTGAGCAGCGGGGCGAGCATTACGGCCTGAGCCCCTCCTCCTGTCAGATCAGCAGTGGTGTTAGATTCCCATAGAAGCACGGACCCTACTGTGAACTGCGTCAGTGAGGGATATAGGTTGTGAGCTCCTTATGAGAATCTAATGCCTGATGACCTGTCACTGTCTCCCATCACCCCCAGATGGGACCATCCAGTTGCAGGAAAACAAGCTCAGGGCTGCCACTGATTCTACATTATGGTGAGTTGTATAATGATTTTATTATATATTACAATGTAATAATAATAGAAATAAAGTGCACGATAAATGTAAGGTGCTCAAATCATTCCAAAACCATCCCTTCCCACCCACCCATCTCCTAGTCCCTGAAAAAAATTGTCTTCCATGAAATTGGTCCCTGGTGCCAAAAATTTGGGACTGCTGCTCTACATTGTATTTGTTTGTCTTATTTCTTGTCTGTCTCCCCCTGCTGGAATGTCAGCTCATGAGAATTCGTCCAGCTTTGCTCTCAGCTATCAACCTGGGGCCTAGAGACTGGCACATTATAGGAGCTCAATAAATATTTGCTGAGTGAACAAACATCCTTATGCAGTAGGTGCCATTAATCCTGTTTTGCAGATGAGAAAACCGAGGCTCAGAAAGACTAAATGGCCGGGCTACCTTTGCACATCCTGGCTCTGTTTAGCAGCTACAGTGTCATAGGCCTAGTGCTAGGCTCTGGGGGCACAGAGATGGGTCCCTGCCTTGGAGAAGTGCCCTGGCTGGAGTGGGAGACAGAGCAGCAGGTGTGTATAACCCAGGCTGCTGTGCAGGGCTGGAGGCAAGCATAGTGGGCTGTAGGAACATACCCCTGTCCCCAGCCTGGGGCATCAGGGAAGGCTTCCTGGAGAAGGTGACACCTGAGCTGAGTCTTAGAGGATGATTAGACATTTGTCAGGTTGGGAGAGGTAGCAGCTAAGGAGGGAAGTGTTGTCCCAGCTACATGGAGTAATAGGATAAGCAAAGCCATCCAGATACGAGAATGTGGGGCTTTTGTATGCCTGCAGATTGTCCGGTCTGGCTGGGGTGGGGAAGAGAATGCATGGCAGGGAGTGGTAAGAGGTGGGCAAGTAAGATAAATGAGGCTGGAAGGTCAGGGGCAAGAGGATAGGGAGCAGGTAGATTGCCCAGGGCCATGCTAAGGAATTTGGGCTTCATCTCCCAGGGCTTGGGAAGGGATAGGGTACGTCACTTTTGGGTTCTAGACTGAGTCTCCGTTGACTGTGGGGAGGTCAGAACAGACTGTGGCCAGGTGGGAGGTAGGTGGACCAACGAAGAGGGTGACCTGGGTGAGCAATGCTGAGGCCTGAACCTGGGTGGAAGCAGGGGCACCTGTGGCGGGAGGAACTTCAGAATTATTAAAGAGGAAGAGCTGTGGCAGCCTGGCGCCAGGAGGCCCGGGCGCTCATGACTGCTGCTTGTCTTGGCCTAAGGCAGTTTTGTCCAGCTTGACAGCCCTCCTGGCCCATGAGATTTTAGCTCCAAGTGATTCCTGGATGACTCAGAAAATCAGCATCACTCCCTTTAAAGGATAAAGGTACAGGCCCCCAGTGGAAAGGTGCTGGCTCGGAGGCCCCTTCCCAAAATACAGGCCAGAATGTCTCCATCACTGACAGCGTCAAGGCCATGTGCAATGTGGCTTGTGGGTAGAGACTGTGGACGTTGGTCCCTGACAGGTCTGGGTTTGAATCTCTAGATCTCTGTCTGTGACCTGCTGCTTCCTGGGTGCAACACAGACAAAATATTTATAGCAGTGACATGAGGATGGAATCAGCTGACACGTGTGAATCTCAGCACAGAGCCTGGCACGTGAGCAGTGATTAACAAATGATCACATTTACTTCACTTTTAGCTACTCCCATTGCCATGATTAGTATTATTTTGGGAAGGATATTTAATTAAAAATATTTTGACTATGGAGAATTTTGAACTTCCATGAAAACGGACAGGGTGTCTAAGGACCCCCATGTACCCAGTCCCCAGCCCCACTCGCCACCAACCCCTCTTCAGTTCTGTCCCCTTCACACCCCCATCCTCTCCTCTTGTCCGTTATTAAGTTAAAGCAAATTTCAAACATCCCATCATTCATTCATAAATATTTCATCGCCATCACTATTAATAATATACAAAGTGACTGCTCTGAAAGTAACGACTCCATCCAGGAAGCACCCGTGGGGATTGGCTTCCTCAGGTTAAACTTGTGCAGGGCACCTTCGATGCCAAGATAAATACAGTCCCTGCCCCCACCAGGAGCTCCCGGTCACAGGCTAGGAGTGCAGGATAGAGAAAGGGGATGGGTATAAACAACTCCAAAAACATGGTAACTAAGTGCTACAATCTAGTTGGATATAAAGTGATGCTTATTTTCTGGACCTGAGATGTAGGGAAGCAGTTCGTTTCAGAGAAGCCTTATATTTACAAAAAAAAAAATCAAAACCAAATGAAGCAGTCATGTGTAGTGCGGGGCAGTAGGGGAGGTGTCGGGTGTGAGGCCAGAGAGACATGAGCTGAATTCCAGTTCCAGCTCCAGCACTTACTGATTGTGTGGCCTGGAGTGAGTCACTTCCCCTCTCCGTGCCTCAGTTTCCTCCTCTATCACACTCATCCCTGGGTAAGTGCTGATGAATTCCATTTCATTGAGCAGTGCTGGGAGAATCAGTTGATATTCATAACCAGGCTGCTGCCCGTGACTTTAGGCAGAACTGCTGACCTGGCAAATTAAGTTGTAACTGAACGGCAAAGAAAAATGTGTCTTATGCGCCCAATTACACAATAGACGGTTTGGGACATGGTTTGCTTAGTTAAATCTATAACCAATTGTGGATCTATCACAGCTTATGATGCTACTCTAATTGGAGCTGGTTGTCAAAGTCAGGTGGGAGGGAGGTCACCAGGATCTATATAGGTTGAGCCCCAGGGCTTGCTGAATGGACCTGGCTCGGTGTCATGGCCCACCATATCCTAACTGTGTTTCTGAGGGCAAGTTGCCACTCCTCTCTGAGCCCCAGTATTCCCATCTGCAGAATGGAGAGAATTCCTGCCCAGCTTCCTCACTTGACTGTGCCCCAAGGCAGCCCCTAGAGAGCTCTGAGGGTTGTTCTAAGTCACTTATTCACCCAGTGAGGATTTATTGGGTACCCATTATGAGCTCGGTGCTGGGCACAGTGCTAAGTGCCAGGTATCATGTCGAGGAGATGGATGGAGCTCTCGACCTCATCATGATGCACTCGGTCCAGGGAGGAAGGAGACATTGCTTGGATTGGTTTAAAGGGAGGAAGGCCTTGGAGAAGTTGAAAGATGGGGTCATTTGACTTCATCTAGAGCTGAGACTTTCCTACCCCTGAGAATAAGGGACAGTGAGCCAGTGGCACTGGAGCTGGGGCAGGAAGGGGGATTCGCACGTGCAAAGGCCCTGTGGCAAGAGGATGCCTGGCTGAAGGGGGTACCATGTGTCGACGGCAAGAGCGAGAGGTGAGCCCAGGGACGTGGATGCAGAGCCGATCGGCAGAGCCTCAGAGCCACACTACGGGGTCAGGGAGCTGCTGAAGTGGGGAGAAGCAGCCCCACGAACTAGATTTTGTTTTCATAGTGCCCCTCTGACTGCCCTGTGGAGAGGGACTGGAGGGAGAGCTGGAGGGGAAGCAGAGGGCACAGCTGGGGCCTGTGCAGTTCTGAGCCATAGATGATGGTGGCTCGGGCTATGTGGGGGTGGCAGCGATTCAGTGGATGGTTCCAGGATGCTTTTGGAGACAGGGTTGGCAGGGCCAGCGGAGGGGTCAGGCAGCCTGCAGAGGGTGTGGGTTTCTGGACAGAGTGCTGGGGTGGGAGAAGCTAGAGGTGGGGAGTCTGAGGGGTGGCCAAGAAGATCCCAGGACAAGATCAGAAGTTCCGGTTACAGCCAGTTTGAGGTGCCCCTGGGACATCCAGGTGGGGTCAGGAAACAGATTAAAGACACCAAGCTTGTGATTTTGTCAGTGCCTCATGCACAGGTGAAATTTCGGAGTCATCAGTGAGCAGGTGGCATTTCAGGCCATGCACATGGAGGAAATCACTCCGGGAGAAAATGGTTTAGGCCCAGTCCTGAAGGCCACTCCTTAGGAGTTGTGTGGAGGGGCAGGGACAGCTGGGGAGACCGAGAAGGAGAGACCAGGGAGGGGAGGTGCAGATGCCGGGAAAGCACGTTGCAAGAAGAGGGGAACCTCCACCGGCCAAATGCTGCTGGGAGCTCCCGATGGGTAGGCTGACAGGCGCCTGTTGGATTTGGCAACGTGAGGTTGGTGGGTGGGGGCCTTTGGGGTTGGGGCTAAGCAGCTGATGGGAGGAGACAGAGAGGCAGGTGTGGGAGCCATGAGGGCTCAAGGGAAGGTGTCCTGACAAAAGAGAGAGGGCAGAACATTTCTGAAAGCTAATGGGAAGGGTCCGGGAAGGGGACAGACTGAAGACGTGGGAGGTAAGTGAAATATGGCATGGAGGGGGTTCCTAGTGGGACCCAGGGTCCAGGTGGAGAGACTGGCTTTCAGTGAGTTGGGGGGGACTTTCTCCCTATAAGAGGAGGGGGCAACTGCAGTGGGGCAGGAGGAAGACATGATGGTGGGTTTGCATCTGATGGCTTCTCTATTCTCTAAGTCTTAAGGGGTAAGGCCTGCAGCAGAGAGCCGGCGGTGAGGGAGGGTTGCGTAGAAGACAGAGGAGAGAAAATAGGCACAAGGTCCTTGGGGAGGCGAGGGCACTCTGTAGATGAAATAAGGTGCACGCTTTTTGGGTAGTTGATTTCCTGAGGCTTAACCACTGTCATCCTGACCTTCTCATTCCTCAAAGGCCACCGCGGCCTCTCCCTGGAGCAGCGGTGCCTTGGCTTTCAGATTTTTCCTTAAGCAGCAAACCATTTCTTCAAATAAAACTTGACACGGAGCCCCAACAGGTGCAGACCAAAGCAAAGCTGTTCTGGCGATGAAGCCTCTGCCCGACTGGCTTCGCCTCCCCTCCCTGTGGCATCTCTGTGAAGTCTGAGGCTCCCTGGGACCCAGTGTGAATTCCACTGATGGAGGAGCCAAGTTCTAGCCCCCTCTTTGCCATGTGTTAGGCAAAGCTCTGTGCCTCGGTTGCCTTGTCTGTAAAATGGGGATATTACCAGAGCGGAGAGAGAAGCCTGCACCAGGGCATTTCTCTCTCTCTTTCTCTCTCTCGTTGTGTGTGTCTGTGTGTACATACTCCCCAACTTCTTTTCTTCCTTTCTTCCTTTCCTTTCCTTTCTTTCTTTCCTTCTTTCTTTTTTTCTCTTCTTTTCTTTTCTTTTTCTTTTTTTTTCAGAACCTCACTCTGTCACCCAGGCTGGAGTGCAGTGGCACAATTTTGACTCACTGCAACCTCTGCCTCCTGGGTTCAAGCGATTCTCCTGCCTCAGTCTCCCAAGTAGCTGGGATTACAGGTACACACCAATGCGCCTAGCTAATATTTGTATTTTTAGTAGAGACAGAGTTTCGACATGTTAACCAGGCTGGTCTCAAACTCCTGACCTCAGTGATCCACCTGCTCAGCCTCCCAAAGTGCTGGGATTACAGACGTGAGCCACTGTGCCCAGCTATTTCTATGATTTCATTAGCATCCATAACCTTGCCTCTTGGTTCTCTATTTAGCAGTCACTCATCAGCTATCTTGGGTTGTTATTGTGGAATTAGGACTTGACCTTGGTCTGACTGCAAAGCCTATGCCATGTAGATGAAACAAAGCATTTTACTTCTCAACCAGATGTGGCAGCCCATGGAGCTGGATGCTGGGGCTTTGTCTTGGGACAGAGGGATTGGAAATGGCCTAAAGGGTGGATTTGCCAGGTGGGCAATAATTCCACATTGTTGGCTGCAGGAAGCAGTGAACGCAGGTGGGGTGGACCAGTTGCTTGGCAGTGTCTGGGCCCCACCTGTCTGCACAGAGCACTGTGTGAGAACAGGGCTGTGATGAGAGTCCACCAGCTGAATTTGCCACAACAGGGAGTGGACTCCCCTCCCCACCCAGCCTGACCTTGAGACGGTTGCCCTGGAAGACCATGCTGAGATGGAGGGGTGCAGTGTGGGCCTTGGAGGCCGACAGACTTTTGTTTCAGTCCCAGCTTGGCCATTTACAAGCTGCATGACCTTCTGTGGACCTCAGTTCCCCATCTGTAACATGGTAGTAAAAGGTCGTCACAAGGATGAATGGGACACTGTGCGCAGCGTGCCCAGCTGGTGCCTGGCACACCGCAGGTGTCCCACAAAGGTGGTCCTTCCTCTGGCTTTGCCCCTCTCTCCCATTCAGAGCCCAAAGGCCTCCCTGCCTCTTCAGTCCTGGGTGAGAAGACCTCTCTGCCCTCTGCGTGTTCCTTGTTATTAAGTGGATGTGGATTTTGGATGGGATGACATGGCACGGTGTGGGCCGTGTGATGGGCAGGCGCCACATGGACCTCAGACTCACACAGAGCTGCCTTTGAATCCCAGTGCCGCCACCTGCTAACTTGATGATCTTGGAGAAGTCACCTGCTTCTCTGGGCCTCAGACTCCTCATCTGGAAAATGGCAAGAATCATGACATCACCTCAAATGGTGATTGTGAGGATTAAATGCATTGCCATTTACACTCCCCGAACCAGACCATAGCCACTTCTGCTTCCCAAGGAGGCAGAGGTGGCACAACTGGTGTCTAGGGGAGAATACATCTTTGCACTGAGGCCTCCACCTACAGAGCCCGCATATAGGCCAAGAGCCAAGCCCAGGAATTCCCTGTCCAGGCAATTTCCGAGCTTCTCCCAGGGCTCTGGGTTGGTAAGGGTGAAGACCGGATTGTTTGGCAGAGCCTGTGTGAGGTTTGGGGTGTCACAGCAGGCCTGGCGGAGCTCTGGGAGGGGAGTGAAAGCCAGCTGCCTTTGTGAGAAACAGGAGCAGATGGCTGCTGGGGGTTGGAGGCCAGGAGCAAGAGAGGGGAGGAGGGGGAGGCTGAGGAGCTGGTGGGAGGCTAGAGGGCTGGGGTTGGGGAGCTCATAAGGACAAGGTTCCTTCCATCCATGGGACTTGGAAGAAGGAATTTCATAGCAGAGATGTCTGCTTTTCCATTTCCAGGCAATGTTATTTTTCTTCATTAGCACTACCCAAACCTTCAGCAAATTTTGGACACACACATGTGCCTTGTCCTGGTGGAAGCTGGGAGGAACCAAGGCAAGGGGGCCACTATGTCCCACATTTGGGATAACAGAGGAAGGGAGGAGAGAAAGTCCATGTGAGAGGAGGTGGATGAAACTGAGCCTTTCCCAGATGAGGGGCCAGAGCAAAAGTAGTCATCTGCCGGTGCCTGGAGCCACTTCATTTGAATATTAAAGAGCAGGTGAATCATAAAACTAGAAGACTTGGAACATCATTCATTCATCTGCAGATATTAATTGAGCATTTACTACATGCCTGGCATGCTGCTGGGGATACAAGGTGAGCAAAAGAGAAGTGCAGACATCTGGGCAGGTAACCAGGGTTATGCACAGAAAGTATCCCGAGTTTTTCTTTTTAAGAGCATGAGGGCCCAGCTGTGTGAGAATGATGGCAGCTAGGTGGTGTTAATGCCATCGGACAAATGTGTTGATGGAATAGGCCCCAGAGAGTCGTGCGCTGCATGCTAATTGCATCTGTGTTTCTCCAGCTGGGGGTAGTGGCTGTGATGCAATTAACACGGAGGGCTGGTGTGGAGCTGTCATTTTTCCAGCCAACTGGCCTCGTCCCACTTATGAAGGCAGCTTGACTTTGGACTTTGCATGGTTCTTTTCCCATAAAAACACCTGGAAAGTGTACGGGACTTTTCTCCTCACTACACGCGCGACTTGACAGATTTTAAGATCAAATTCACTCTCACCATCACTCCCTGGAGATTTGAGGGTGGAGCTGGCTGCAGTGTTCAGGAAAAATACAGCGGATCTCAGAGGAGACTGGCAGCATGTTAGGGTTGTGGAGTAAGGCTGAGTCTTGGATTCCTCCTCTGGGTCATCCAGACTCTCTTTCTGGTCCTCCAAAAGTGGAAGCCCTGGGTTTGAACCCCAGCTCCACCTCTTGATCTTGGCCAAGACATCCCTGCTGTGAGCCATGAGGCCCTGGACTGGCAGATGGGGGCAGTCATGGTGCTGTGTCTGCAGGGTTGTGGTGAGGATCACATGGATGGTGTCTGTGAAACACAGCACGCTGCCCAGCACTGAGTCAGCTCTGTTAGTGACCTGGGCTGCAGGCTCGTCAGTGCAGTCCCCAAACATTCCCAGTCCCCCTCCTTCTGGGTATATGGAAGACAGCTTCTCTGGCTGCCTTGGGGTCGAGTGGAGCCACGGACTGCTTCCAGCCGATGAGTTGGGAAGTGACCCGGGCATCATGCTTGCCTGTGGGAGACTCTCCAGGGGCTTTGTTCCCCTTTGCCCCAATGACTGGGGCAGTATGGGTCCTGGAGGAGGACACAGAACAGACCCCAGAGGATCTATCCTGGTCTTGTTAAATAAATGAGAAGTAAGTACTGTGGCTTGAATCCATTTGCTGATAATTTGGGACTGTTTGTGAGGGCAGCAAACATAGCTTTTCCCGACTGGTGAGAAAATTACTTCCTCTCTCTAGACCTGTTTCCTAACCTGGAAGATGAGAGGCTGGACCAATGGCCAGGTTGTCTCTGGGTTCCCTCCATTTCAACCTCCAGGGGAGGAAATCAAGGGGCTGCTGTCCACACCCACACAGGAGCCCCTGCCTCACCCCTGCCACACCCCTACCTTGCCCCTGCTTTGCCCCTGCCTTGCCCCCTGCCTCGCCCCTGCCTCACCCCTGCCTCAACCCTGCCATACTCCCCGTAAGCCAGCAGATTCTGTTGTTGCTGTAGGTGGGCTGTACTGGAAGGACAGGGTGGGCTGGAGAGAGGAGGAGGTCCCTCTGGCGTTTCAAATTCAGTAGACCCAGAACAGAATTCCTCCTCCCGCTGGCTCCTGCTTCTGGCTTCCTCGCTCAGTGGGGACCCCAGGAATCCTTCCCGTGGCCCAGCAGAGAACCCTGGATGCCATCCTGTGCTTCTCCATTTACCCCACCCAAATCCTTTCCTTTCCACACTCTGATATCTCCCATATCTGTCCTCTCCTCCTTTCCTGTTTCCATCTGCCTCCTGCAACAGCGTCCTCTTTCTCCTCTCACCTTGTGTCACACCGAATCCCTCCTTCCCATCCATTTACACCACTGCTGCCCGAGAGATCTTAACAGACAACCTGGATGCGTCACTCTCTCCTGAGTTCAAGATCCACCAAGCAACTTGTAGTTTCCCCATTCTCCATCAGGGCCTGGGCCATGCAAATTCCTCTTCCTGGAATCCCCTTTGACCCATGGCTGCCTGAGGAATTCTTATTCTTCCTTCAATGCTCAGCTTAAATGCCTCTGGCTATGGAAAGCCTTCTCTGAAATCACAGGCTTTCCTGGTGCCTTTGTGACCACACTTAAAACAAGGAGGCCACCTGCCCTGTGGCAGCAGGCCTGTGAGCTGCTGGGGAGGTGGCGGACAGGGACTGAACCACTCTTATTCCTCTGGGGGTCCCTAGCACAGGGCCCAGCAGATGGCAGGTGCACAGCAAGTGACAATCACTGGTCCACCCACTCACTCACCCATGCCTGTGCCCCGCAGCACCCTAGGCACTGGGAACGCAGCAGTAAGGGTGATGCTTGCTTTCTATTGGGAGAGGGAGGATTCAGCAGTAATCAAGGACTAAAATGAAGGCACAAGATCATTTTGAGAGAAGCAAGTGCCAAGAAAGCTGTTAAACCCAGGGCTGGAGAAAAAGTGCTCTAAATAGATGGTCAGGAAAGGTCTCTTTGAAGAGGTAGCATTTGAGCTAGGACCTGAATGATAAGAAGAATCTTCCATTTGGGCACCCAAAGAGAAAAGCATTCTAGCAAGTGGGAACAGCATGTGCAAAAGCCCAAGGAGAGAATCGCTCAGTGCTTATTGAGTTGGATGGGTGGGTGGGTGGGTGAGTGGATGAATGGGAGATGCCCACTCCCTCTTCTTCTCCCTCTTGGGGTCTGGATGCTGAGTTGCTTTGGTGACCAGAGCCAAATTGTTTCTGCTCTCCAAGATGACAGACAGAACCTGCCACTGGGTGTTTATGGTCAGGAGCAGTCAGGGGCCGATGCTGGCCCCTAGAAGCCCCTGAAGGACACTGTGTGTGGGGCATGAGAGAGGATGTGAGAAAGACACATTTTTTGTATGGCTGGCTTGCATCTCCTCCAGCTGAGGACCTGTGGATGCTGCAGGCTCCTGCTTCATAACAAATATCTCCTTTTTTTTTTTTTTTTTTTTTTTTGAGACAAGGTCTCACTCTGTTGCCCAGGCTGGAGTACAGTAGTGCGATCTCAGCTCATTTGCAACCTCCACCTCCCGGCTTCAAGCGATTCCCGTGAATTCCTGGAGAGTTTCTCATTCAGATCTGTCTGCCACTGGAGGGGAAGTACTGAACCACACCAAATTCTCTGGCTGCATCCCTTCTCACCCCTGCCCTGTCTGTCCCAGTCTCCCATTTTTGCAGCTCTCCAAAGGAGTTGGCCACCTTACTTTGATATTTCTGCCTTCCTAGCAGATTCCCACCACATCCACACATGTATGTATTTTTCCATCTCAATGAAATGGCTCTAACAAGGAAGTGCCAATTAGTGAGGCAGAGGGCAGACGTGGAGCTTGCAGCAATGCACCTGCAGAGTTTACTGCTCCTGCCTGGACCGTCTGCACTGCTGCGCACTTTGGCCTCCCTCCCCTGCTCTCAAGCCAGCAATTAACCCGGGACCTGTGGCGTTTGCTGGAGAAGGAAGGACACAGCTGGAGCTGCTGAACTGGGGGGACAGGTGTGTGGTCTCTATGGCAAGTGGGAGGAGGGTGCGATGCTGGAATCTCACGGTGATGTGCCATGTGCACTGCTGGGAGCCAGTGAAGGCAAAGACCTTGGAACCGGTCTAATTTCCAAGTCACCTCAGGCTCCTAGTGTGGTTTGAGCATGGAATTTACTCGTTATGAGCCTCAGTTCCCTCAACTGGAAAGGAGGGACAACAGAGGTATTTTCAGGAGGGTGAATTTTGATGCCATCTGTCAAGTTCCTGGTGTGTGGGAGATGCACCTCGAATGGGAGTTTTGGCTTGGGGCTTTCTCTGATTTTGTCATGTTTAATTATCACAGTCCTTGCCCTTCATTGCCAGGGTACAGAGGAGGAGAGGGAGGCTGGGGGATGGAAAGTGTGATCCCGCCACCTGGACAGTGCAAGACCTCCTGGCCCCAGGCTGCCTGACTTGCCAGCTTAGGATTCTTTCTTGAGGTAGCCAAGCAAAGTGAGTGCTGGCTCAGGAGAGGGATGGAGAGAGGCTGGACCCCAAGGCTGGCCTGTCTGTGGTGGAGCCGTCTCCGCATGCTGGATAGATCAGTCCCAGCTGAGTTCCCTGGTGCCCAAATGGCCCCACTAATCCTTTGCTGCCAGTGGGGCTGGGACTGAGGCCCCTCAGGAAAGATGAGATGGGATGAGATGGGCCATCCTCCCTGTTCTAGGTCCAGCAGGTGTTGGAGCTGTCTCAGCTGAGTTCTGGTAAATAAACATTCATGAATGCATGTTGGACAAAGGCTTCCTGCATGGGGATGCTGGTGTGGTGGGGAAGTTCCTTACAAAGCTCTGGAATCGGTAGCTTGTCTCCAAGGGGTGTTTTTCCAGTGATGTGATGGTAAAATGTTTAACAGCCAGTTTTCCAGGAAAAATAAAGAAGGTAAACTGATTTGTAGCATTTGCCAATTTCCGTGGTGTAAATATTCCCACTATGGCTACCTTCAAGCTACTGCAGAATTGAGGTGAGATGTACATCGTCAGCGCTCATTTGGGAGGAGGTGTAGGTCATCTGCAGCATGCCTGAGGCTTCTCCCTTGACCTCTGGTGCCCCTCATTCCTCACTGCTTCCCCAAGCCTCACTGCTTCGTTTTCTTGGCCTCTCGCCCTCTGCTCACAGAGGCAAGATATTTCTGCCACGTCCCCCAGAGGGTCTTGCCTTGGGGCACAGCCAGTGATAATGTGAATCTGGAGGCTGCTCTCCTAGCTGGCCTCTGGGGCTCCCCATAGCTGGAGATGGAGGAGATAGATTGTTCCAGGGGTTACAGATTTTTTAAAGGTCACAGGCCCTCTTTGAGAATCTAAAAATTGAACATTTAACAAGGGAAGTGTAGGAGTGTATATTTACAGAAAATTTTGTACATAATTATAGGGAATTCTTGACTCCCAAAGGCAATCAAAGGACACTGTCAGGGTCTCAGGGGGTTTAGTGGGCTGTAAGTGCTTGGAGTCTCATGAGAGGGCAGGAAGGCTGAGTAAGGACTCTGGACAGAATTTTATAATTTTCAAAGCACTCTTCTTTCCCTCACTGAGTGTTCCCCACATGGCCAATCCTCCAGAGCTATGCTATTCTAAGCAACATCATTCCCCAAATCAGGAAACTGAGGCCCAGAGAGGAAAGACAAAGCCTTTTGTTAATATCACTACAGCTGCCATCCTGTGAACATCTGTTTGTATTAGGTGAGTATTTTTCTGGTTGCTGTTCTATTATTATCATTCAGCAAGTGTTTATTGAACATTTGCTAAGTGCCAGGCACTGTCCTAGGCATTTGAGTATATGGGTGAACAAAATAAAGAAACGTGTCCTCTTGGGGCTTGCATTCTAGCAAAAGAAAACAGACAATATGTAATTTTCTCAGTCAGATGCAGTGACTCACACCTGTGATCCCAACACTTTGGGAAGCCAAGGTGAGAGGATCGCTTGAAGCCAGGAGTTCGAGACCAGCCTGGGCAACATAGTGAGACCTTGTTTTCAAAAACAAAAAAAAAATAAAAAAATTAGCTGAGTGTGGTGGTGTGCACCTGTAGTCCCAGCTACTCGTGAGGCTAATGTGGGAGAGTCACTTTAGCCCATGAGGACAAGGCTGCAGCGAGCTCTGGGTGACAGAGTGAGACCAATTATTATTGTCTCAAAAGATTATAATAATTTTCTCAATTAATCTTGTTGGAGAAATTTCAGATGCTTCATGTAGAAACTGAAGACCTGGCCTTAAAACGGGGCCCTGGGCTCTAGCTTGACAGCTGCTGATTGCTTGAGAGTTGTGATGTCTCGGCTTTGAATTTTGCCATGTGCCAGCTGTTTTAATACACGTTTCTCATCTTCCCAGCTCTGCAAAGCTGGTGCATTAGTTTCCTGAGGCTGCTATAACAAGTGACCACAAAGTGGCATCTTTAACAATAGGCATTTATTCTCTCACAGTTACCGAGGCCGGAAGTTCAAAATCAGGATCACTGGGCAGAAAGCAAGGTGTCAGCTGGGCTGTTCTTCCTCCAGGGGCTCTAGGGGAGAATCTCTTCCAGTGTTGGAGGCTGCCAGTATTCCTTGGCTTGTGGCTGCATCACTCCAGTCTTCAAGGACAGCATCTTCAGATCACCCTCTGCTCCATCTTCATGTCACCTCCTCCTCTGTGTGTCTTTGTAAAATATCTCTCTGCCACTCTCTTATAAGGGACAGTGGTGATTGCATTTAAGGTCCTCCCAGATGCTCCAGGATAATCTGCCCATCTCAATATCCTTAACTGAGTCACATCTGCAAAGAATCATTTTTATTTTGCCCTATAAGGTAGCACTCACAAGTTCCAGGCATTGAGACGTGAATATCTTTTAGGGGTCCATTCTCAGCCTACCACAGCCAGGTATCACAATTCTCCTTTTCTAGTGGGGTTAAGTCACCTATTCAGTGTCCCACCATGAGGACATGGCACACCTGGGGTTCAAACCCTGGTCTTTTCATGTTCTTTCCACCATACGACACTGCACTCCCATACTAGGTGCACACTCTGCAGATGAGCAAACTAAAGCTCTGTGAGCTGACACGATTGGGCCAAGGTCATGGGTGACCGCAGCCTTTCCATGTCTTGCGTCCTTTACCAGGTGGCCAAATTAGAGTCCGTCTGATGCATCCTCCCCCAGGCCTGTGCACCCTGAGCTGGCACCAGGCCTCCAGTTGCCACCAGAAAAATGACAACAGAAGGGGTGGCCGGGAACTCCCGTCTGTCTCTGCATTTACCAGCTTTTAACTTTCAAACCAAGTCAGCCTCAAGGCTAATTTTCTGCAGCTTCCAGTCGTTCAGCTCCATCAATTGTGCCTGACACTGTGAAAGCTTTTGCTATTGATTCTGGGCTATGTTAACTTTCTTTCTCCCTCTCCCCACCCCCAGCCCCAGCCTCAGCTCTCCTGCAGTTTTTGGTCCACCAATTAGGTATTGCCGGGGACAATGTGGGGTGGCTGCTGCTGCCTTTCAATTACCGTCACAGTAAATACAACTTACTCTCCACCCCCGGAGTCCCTGCTGCACTCAGAAAGAGAGAACACTGCCTAAATGACTCCTCTCTCCGGCCTGACACTCCACAACTCTAGCGGATCAATAAGTCTATCACCCCGTGGGGCTCCCTTGAGACCACCCAGCCTTGTTAATTGGCTCTGGGAGATGGCTGGTTGGCAGAGGAGTGTGAGTGTGTGAGTGCGGATGTGTGAGTGTGTGTGTAAATGTGGATGGGGGAGGTGGCTTCTCCGCTCCCCATCCCCCTCCTAGGGATGGGAGAGCCCCTTCAACATGGATTAGGTGGGGAGGATCTCTGACTCTGGAAAACAGCCTTTGAATTGCAGGGATGGCAATATGTGATTCCTCCAGATTTAAATGGTCACAAAGCAAAGAGATAAATGGAAGTGTTTCAAGGTCGTAGTGGGTAAGCCCTTGATTCTGAAGTCAGGTTGACTTCAGTTCTAATCCTGGCTCTTTCCCTAATTTGCTGTATGGTCTTGGGCAAGCCACTTAGCCTTTCTAAGCTGCTGTCTATGAAACAAGCATCATGTCTCCAGTCCCAGAAGACTGTTTTGAGGGTTAAATGGAAGAATGGATGTCAAATGGCACATCAGTAAGTGACAGTGATGACTGAGGTCCTTGGAGTTCTAGGGTGGTGGGGTGGGTCGGGCAGGTCTTGATGTCAGGCAGACAGGAGCACAGATCCTGGACCTGCCACTTACGAAGCCACATGATCTCGAGCAAGTCATTTTCTGTGTCTCAGTTTCCTCTTCTAGAAAATGGGGGAATAACACCATTGTATGTGGCTGAATAGTGTCTCCCCCAAATCCTTGTGAACCTGGAACTTCAAATGTGACCTTATTTGGAAATAGTGTCTTTGCAGATGTTATCAAGTTAATACTGAATCATGCTGGATTGGGGGGGGGGTCATAAATCCAATGACAGGTGTCTTTATGAGAACGCCGACTGAAGACGCAGGCACGGAGACACAGGGAAGGCTGGGTGACGACAGAGGTAGGGATTGGAGTGATGCAGCTACAAGCCAAGCAATGACAAGGCTGCCGGCCACCACCAGAAGCTGGAAGAGGCCAGGAAGGATTCTCCCCTGGAGCCTCCAGAGCTGCCCCTTTCCATATGAAGCCCCTTATCCTGCTGTAACCCCAATTTCTCCAGGTCTCAGAAACCCAAGGAATGGGCCTCCATGCCCATGTGAGCTGGCCTGTAGCCCGCTCAGATAACCACTGGGTGTCTTCTTTCCAGAGGCCCTAGGCAATGAAGTAGACCTTAGGTGGCAGGCGTGGGAAAGGCTGGTGGGAGGTGAGAGGCAGCAGGAGGTAGCACTGATGCTGGCCTCAGCCCTTGAGGATCTTGAGGTCCCACTGAGCAGTGTGGTCTTTATCATGCATGTAGGAGGAGGCCCAGGGAGTGATGTGATCCCAAGGCAACCTGCAATTTGGGGTTGATCAACCTGGTGGCCGTGTTGCAGACAAATTGGATGGGATGAGGCCAGAGGCAGGGAGGCTGGGGGGACATTCCTTGTAAGGGATGATGAGGCCTGAGTTAGGGCCACAACAGGGAGGATGGAAAAGAGCAAGAGGGGGAGTCACTCCAGATCCCTTCTTCCTTCTTCGAGCTCTGTCTGAAGACCCTGCTTTGTGGAACTGTAAGAGCAATGGCCTCCATGTACTGAGAGCCCCCCATGGACCAGGCGCTGTGCTGAAAGCCTGGGCTGGGTGATCCCGTTTCTTCTCCATCAGATACAATCTATCTGTTCCATTTTACAAGGAGGAAATTGAGGCACGGGGAGGTGAAGCAATGTGCCAAAGATCACACAGTTGGGGAAGTAGCAGGGGGACTCACACGCAGGCCTGGATCTTGACCACCATTCATGCTGTCATGTGGAGGAGGCTGGCTCTCATCATCACTGTCATTACTGTTACTTGCTTCCTGCATCTGGGTGTGAAGACTTAGTATAGAGCCTGGCACATGGTCGGTGCTGGAAAAATATTGTTCAATGAACAAATAAAGAGAGGGAAGAGGAGCAACTCCAGATGTTGAAAGGCTGTGCCTCTGCATGGCACAGAATACAGGGCCTGGTGTGGACCCCACTCCCACTGGCTCTGGTTCCAGTGCTCCCCCAAGCTCTGTGGCAGGGAGTGGAGAAGGGTCAGGTACCTTAACCAACATTGCAGCATGGAGTGTGACCAGGTAGGGAAGTGTTGGGTGGCCTCAACCCAGCTGTCACACATGGGATGCCATCTTCACTACTTGTCCACCCTTTCTTTTGGAGGAGGCCTCTCTCACCAGCTTGGGGCCTCCTGCCAGGCCCCCAGGGCCGAGGCATCTCCTGCAGGGATGCTCCACAGTGTGACCATTTTCTCCGCTAGTGGGTGGGGTCAGCTGAGCCAGCATGTCTGCCCACCCCTTGGCAGCCCAGGGATGGGAATTGGCAGGTGCCCCACAGGGGAACTGACAGGCTGACTACCCACAGTCTCTTGTAGTTTTCCTGCCTCCCATCCCAGAGTCCTGGTCTGGGCTCCTCAAGCCTTTCCTTCCTTCCTTCCTTCCTTCCTTCCTTCCTTCCTTCCTTCCTTCCTTCCCTCCCTCCCTCCCTTCCTCCCTTCTTCCTTCCTTCCTTCCCCTTCCTTCCTCCCTTCCTTCCTTCCTCCCTTCCCTTCCCTTCCCCTTCCTTCCTTCCTTCCTTCCTTCCTTCCTTCCTTCCTTCCTTCCTTCCTTCTTTCTTTCTTTCTTTCTTTCTTTCTTTCTTTCTTTCTTTCTTTCTTTCTTTCTTTCTTTCTTTCTTTCCTTCCTTCCTTCCTTCCTTCCTTCTTTTGAGTTTCAATCTTGTCACCCAGGCTGGTATGCAGTGGTGTGATCTCAGCTCACTGCAATCTCTGCCTCCTGGGTTCAAGCGATTCTCCTGCCTCAGCCTCCCAAGTAGCTGAGATTACAGACATGTGCCACTACGCCCAGCTAATTTTTGTATTTTTAGTAGAAACGAGGTTTTGCCATGTTGGCCAGGCTGGTCTCGAACTCCTCACCTCAGCTGATCTGCCTGCCTTGGCCTCTGAAAGTGCTGGGATTGCAGGCATGAGCCACTGCGCCCAGCCTCCTCAAGACTTTTCAGTGGAGGCCAGGCCAAGATGCTGCCAAGCTCTTTTGCTCACCCCCTGCATCTTTCCCCTTCCTGCTGCGGCCTGAAATGCCTTCTTCCTGTGCAGCTTGTCTTAGGTCAGGGTTCTGGATACAGGGCTTTGGGGCACGTGACTTACTGAAGGAGGGCTCTTACCGTAAGGGAGCAAAGAAAGCAGCACAGGCAGGGCAAGATGCCAGCAAGCTTGTGGTTTCAGGTAAAACCCAGCCTCAGCCTGATCCCACAGGGAATGCTGGGGTGTAAATGACACCACACAGTGGTCCTACCTTGAGGCAAAGGGACCTGGATTGTGAAAAGGATGGGAAAGGAGCCCCTCTCATCGAGAGTCTGTGCACCAGCCAGTGTGCTAGGCTCATAAACAGATTTCTACTTCATGCCACCTTTACAGCAACATGGAGAAGTTGGTATCATTAACCCCATTTTTCAGGTGGGAAAATTGAGGCTCCAGGAGGTGAAGGAACTTTCCCAGCCAATGCAGCAGATTAGCAGCAGAGTCAGCGTTGAATCTGGGTCTGAATGACCTCAAGACACCACTCTGAGTGCTGTGAGGGAGGCAGATGCATGTCCCAGTCTCCTGGCATTGCTGCTGCCTTGACTGGGAATTGTGACATTCACCTTAGCATAATGCTCCATGCACCTTCACATACATTATTTTATGTTGGAAGCAGTTGAATGTAGTGGTTAAGAGCATGGATTTGGGAGTCAGACAGACCTGGATTCAAATTCCTGCCTCGCTACTAAGAAACCGTGTGACCTTGGGTGGCTCATATTACCTCTTTGAGAATGAGCTTTCTCATCGGCAATATAAGGATCCTGGCAGTATATCCTTCACAGCATTGTTACATGGATTAAAAGGGTTAATATCCATAATTAACTTAGAGCAGTGTACATGGCACACACCTGGTACATGTGGGCTAGGTTGGTGATGAGAATGGTGATGAGGAAGGTGACAAGGAAGGTGAAGGAGAAAGAGAAGGAGGGGAAATGCTTGTTTAGCAAGGGGTCTGGCACATCATAGGTTGGTTGTTGTTGTTGCTGCTATTATTATTTAAGTTTTACAATAGCATTATGGCAAGGGAGCATGGCACAGTGCCTAGCACATAGTAGCTGCTCATTAAATATTTAATGCCTAAGAAATGAGCAAGGCAGAAAATTGCAACCTCATTTTAAAGAAGAACAAAGTGAAATGCTGAAAGCCTGGGGACCTGCTCACAGCTGCAGGGCACTGAGTATGGACCCCATTCCCACTAATTCTGGGTCCAGTGCTTCCCTGAGCTCTCTGGAGCAGAGAAGGGAGAGGGGTAAAAAGGACATACGGAGAATTTCAAAAACCAGAGACCCTGGAAACAGGAAGAGGGAAATCAAGTCAAGAGGAGGGTGAGTACAGCTGGGCCCCTCAGCAGGGAGGTCTCCCGCTGCCTCCTCAGCTGAGCCAGGTGTGAAAGCTGTGGCCACTCTGGGAACAGGGTGCAGATGAACGTGCTAATGCGCTCCCAGCTCCCTGGATGGGTGAAACTTCCAAGGTCGCCAGCCCAGCACCTTCTCAGCTGCTGGGTGCCTGTCTCTGCATCCTCCTGGGCCCTGGCTCGGGTGTCATCGTGGCTGTGCGGGATTCTTCAGGGGTGACTTGATGACAGTAGCACCACATGCTCAGAGCAAAGTCATGGGGCCTCCCAGGGGCTGTTTTAAAAAAAGAACACCGAGCAAAAAATAATTCCGGGAATATTAGGCCAATATATCAAAGTGCAGCAGGAGCCCGGCTGGAGTGGGGGCCAATGTAGACTGCTTTCCCCCAAGGCAAAGGATCTGGGGTTGTGAAGCAGGGCTTGGCACCAGTGAGGAGCAGCCCCCACCAGGGCTGCTGTTCCCAGCCTGGGCAGTGACCAGTGGGGTTCTGGGTCCAGAGACCACGGCTGGCCCTGGGGACTGATACCAGGAAAGGCAGCGGTGGATGGGGGAGCCAGCACGCACTCTGTGCCCACTGGGCTTTCAGTGGATGGGGAAAGATGCTGGAAAACTCTGCTATCACTCGCTGCCCGCTATAGGGCCTTCTGCTTGCCCTCAAGATGCAGAAGGTGGAGCTCACAGACCTGGTCAGGGCACAGGGAGACCTCACCTAGAGGCAGAGCCCAGGAGGTGGAGGGAAGAAATGACCCCATCTGCCTTCTCTCCACCGCCCCTTGTGAGTTTCCCTCTCTCAAAGGGTCCTCCTCTGCCCCATCATCTCCTCCATTACAAGCTTGGAGGTGTGGAGCACCCCCTCCAAAGAGGGTGATCAGCTGTCCCTGTTTACGTGGGACTGAGGGGCTTCCCAGGATGCTTTTGAGCTGAAGGCTCTGGCTTGGCCGGTGCATCTCCTCTCATTCCGTGTCACTAGACCCTGCCTCCTGCCGCCAATTGCAACCCCTACCGCTCCAGATCCCAATTGTCGGTCCCGCAGTCTGTTTTCACTTTAGACTGTGTGCTTCTGCAGGATCTTCTTCGTGGCACCATCTCCAGTGCCCAGCATAGGGCCTGGAACCAAAAGGACCCACTTGAGGTCTGATGAGTTATTGCCTGTCTGACTGACTGAATGAATGAGGGAGGGAGTGAAGGCCCCTCTAGATCCATAGTTTCTTAGGGCAGGAAGTTCCAGGTACTGTATTTATTAGTGTTTTCTCCCTTCATTTCTGATATCTTCTTGGGATGGAGTCCTGGGGGGGTTGGTGAGCAGGTGCCTAATAAGGTCAGAGTGGCCCTTAGGGGCCCTCGGTGCAGCATGTGATGGGCCTGGGGCTAAGAACTCTGGCAAGAGCCTCTGTTCAGCCCCTGAAGAGCAGCCCATTCCTAGATCCCAGGGGGTCAGAGCTGGATGACCACTTCATAGGTCACCCCACTTAATTGTTCATTCTATAGACAGAGAAACTGAGGCCTGGAGAGGGACTGTGCTGCCCCAACTCCACAGCAAGGGGATGCCAGAGGCAGGCCCAGTTTCCAGGCACCAAATCTCATGCTCTCTCCCTACTCCTGGGGAGAATCAGATGCTCACTTTCCTGTTCGGAGCCTGTCCTGCTGTTGATCTCAGTCTTCTCTGGCTGAGAACCCAGCTACATGGCTGGGGCTGGTTGCTGTCCCATCCTGAGTCTCTCTGCCTCTGTCCCCCACTGCTATGATCCCTTTCCCCTCTCGCAGAAGACCTCAGCAGCTTGCAGAGTCCCCTAGAATTAGGTCCTCTTTTTAGGGAGCCTGAAGGCAGCTCAGATTGGCCCAAGTCACTTCCAGATCCAGCACCTCTGGCTGGCTGTACCTTCCTCCTTCAATAAACATTCATTGTCACCTACTATGTGCTGGACCCTGCAGGTACAGAGAGTGACTCCCAGGCTGGTGAGAAAGGTGGACAGATAGATGAATCCTGGCACATCGGGGTGATGAGGAGGGTCTGAGCAGGGGACAGGAGCACCTGAGAGCCAGCAAGTTGCTCTTGCTGCAAGTAGGGAGCCACCCAGCCCTACGCCTGCTGCTTGCTGACTTCCCTGCAGAGCCCAGATGGGGCCTCCTCTGCTGAGTGACTGTCACCCATTTAGTCTATGTCTCCTTACCGAATCCAGCACTGAAATGACCTCCTTGCAGGTAATGGTAGTAACGCGGGCATTTACTGAGCACTTACTGTGAGCAGGTAGTAAACGCTCTGCACGGGTCATCTCAGGTAATGTTCATGACTGTGTAAGACGGTGTGATTAATGTCGTCAGTTTACAGTCGAGAAGGCTGAGGCTTGTAGAGTAAATATTGTCCCCACCCAAGGTTATTTGCCTACTCAGATGGCTAAGCTGGGATAATAGCCAGGTGTGAGGTCTAAAGTCCTGCCAAGCTGCTTCCCATGGGTTTTGCCTGTCTGCCAAGCATCCAAAGAAATCCACCTCCTCAGGGCCACCCCAAACCAAAAAGATGCTCAGGAAGCTCCGAGTCCTCTCTGTGGCTCACTCCCCTTCCACTCATAAGCTCTGAGTCCCCTTGGTGCCTGGCATGTCACAGGGAGACTGAACAAACAAGGGCGCCATCTCTGCCCTCAGGAGGGCTCAGGCTAGCGCTATTCTGAGATGAGCGTGGGCTTCCCAGCTGTTCTTTTCCACTTAGAGACAACACTCAATCGTTGCAGGTGATATTACTTGAACACTGTTAATTGACATCATTAGCAACTTTGTTTAACGTATAGTCAGTGGTTGACAGCATCATCCATTTACCTGAAGCAGCAGCAGTGAAAGGGTTTTTGAAATCACAATATAATCACTTACTGAATCAGGGAGGATCGCATAGGATTGCATTCAGATGCAAGAGACGAAATCCCAACAAACTGGAGTTTATTTTTGCCCTCAACGTGGAGTCCAGAATTAAGCAGTCCAGGTGCAGCTGAAGGAAGTCAAGAGTACAGACCCGTTCTGTCTTTTTGCTCTGCCATCCTGGCCATGTGGCTTTTGTCTTCATGGTGGCAAGATGGCTGCTGCACTGCCAGACATTGGGTCTGTGTCCTAGTCAGAAAGAAGCAAGAGTACGGGGTGGCACCTGTCTCAGGGAAAGTTGAACATTCTCATCAATCCCCAGCAGACTTCTCTTTACACCTCAAGGACCATAACCATGTCTCATGTTCACTCTGGTCTGCAAAGGAGGCGGGAAAATTAACTCCCCTGAATAAAAGGAGCAAACCAAAGATAAGAAGGAAGAAAAGAATGAATATTCAATGGACAACTGGAAGTATCCTCCCTCACTTATGCAGCAGGATTAAAAACTGCAACTATTAGTTGAATATCTGGCATCAGAATCCCCTTAGGGGAAACTATCTTTGTTTTGGAAAATACTTTGACAATCTTCTGGGAGTGAAAGATAAGACTCAGAGAGCATGAAGTGTCTGGAAATGGCAGATAGCTAAACTGCTAGCCGATGATATGCATGGGAAATTGGAGGTGTGGAAGAACAGAAAAGAGAAGAGAAACAAATAGAGGGAGAGAGGAGGCAAACTGGCAGGAGACCAAAGCTAAGGAAGAAAGTTGGTGGGGGAGGGGACCAAATATATAGCTATATATTTATATATCTTTTTTTTTTTTTTTTTTTTTTTGAGGCAGAGTCTCGCTCTGTCGCCCAGGCTAGAGTGCAGTGGTGCGATCTTGGCTCACTGCCAGCTCCACCTCCTGGGTTCACGCCATTCTCCTGCCTCGGCCTCACGAGTAGCTGGGACTACAGGTGCCCGCCACCACGCCTGGCTAATTTTTTGTATTTTTAGTAGACACAGGGTTTCACTGTGTTAGCCAGGATGGTCTCGATCTCCTGACCTCGTGATCCGCCCGCCTCGGCCTCCCAAAGTGCTGGGATTACAGACATGAGCCACCGTGCCCAGCCAAATATTTTTTAAGAACAGAGATTTTTAGCATCCAGCTGTAAGTCGTCTGAGATTCTGTGATAGGAAAACTCCTCCATCGCCTCCAGATTCTCAGTAGTCTGTTACACTCACCAAAACCTTGTAAGTTATTTGGGAAATATCAGGGGTAAGAGATGGGTTTAGGGTCTGGGAAAGGAACAATGTGGGAGGAAAGGAGGGGCGGGGGGACAGATGGAAGGATTAAAAGAAGTTGGACTCCAACGTGACCAGGAATTCATAGAAATCTTGGAGAGGACACAGACCTCCTAGGAATGTGGAATTGGGGGTGTATTAGTTAACTACTGCTGCATAACACACCATCTGAAAATCCAGTGGTTTAAAGCAACAATAGTCATTTATTTCAAAGCTCTGCCAGGCTGGGTGCGTTTGCATCTACCTTGGAGGTGACACTGCCATTCTTAGCAGAGACAGGGATACCAGCTGAGACTCAGCATGGAGTGACTTTCTGGTTGCTCTCAAGACAAGCATTTGTTATTCTTTTTTTCTTTTTTTTTTTCAGAAGGATTATGAAGTCACACTGAATTCCCAGAACATCAGACCCACCCATCTCCAAATATGACAACAAAAACACATTCCAGAGCCAAATATAAACACATTTTTAATTATCTGCGCCACTGCTCCCTCCCATTAGTGTGGGAAATCAAGAGTTGAGTATACAGTATTTACAATAATAATCCCAGGCACGAAACTTTTACTTTCAAAACAGCTCCTCGTCTATTATTGCATTTGATTTGCATGAGTTTGCCTTGAGTGGGCTTGGGCTAGGTTGGGTGGTTGCTTCATTTTTTGGATGGATAAATGGAAACTCAGGGCAGAAGACTTGGTGGAGACAGGCTGAGAAAGCAGGACCCCTGGGTGTCTTCTCTATTAAGGGAGAAGCAGTTTCTCCTGGGCTGGGACTGGAGATCATGGGGTGGGTGGGAAAAGCACTAGATCTGCAGTCAGGCAAACCTGGTTGAATCCCAACTTGGCCACTTCCTAGCTGGGTAACTGAGCTCTTGGTCTCTTTAAGCCACAGTTTCCCCAACAGCAAGATGGGTACCACTTATCTTGCCTGGCTGTTCAGCCTGTTGAGGTGTGCCATGTGAGAGTACCTAGCATGTGCCTGGGGCATGTTGCGCTCAGTTCATCGTAGCACTGTTCTTGTCTTAGCTTCCCCTAGCAAGACGGCTGTCAAGGTGATATCCATACTGGCTTCACTCTCTGCATGATGCCAGGAGTGGCAAGAAGGAAAGGAGCAAGGGAAGGAGGAAACAAAGAGGCAGGGGCCTGGAACTTTCTGAAGGGAGACATTAGCAAGAAGGCTTCGTGGCTCAGGAGTGATCAAGCCAGAGCTTTTGGATAATTCCTGGCTGTCATTGCCCAGTTTCTTGAGGGACTCTGCTGGGAATAATCAAGTCCTGAGAAGGGTCCTCTCCTGGAGTTCGAGGTGAGGGGATTAGCTGGGATCTGGATCCTCAGAACAAGAGACGGAGAAGAGGCCAGGACCCGAGCTGGCTCCGTGCATGCTGAGAGGGGCCCAATTCCCCTCACCTGGTCTGGGGACTGTGAGCTCTCATTGCTCCCCAGTAACCTCAGCCCCACTTGGGTTTTCATTTTGGAAAAGTCAACTTTCTCTAAATAGCTTCCTGGAGAAGATTGAGGGGAGGGCAGGGCTGGACTAGCCATGTGACTTTGGGCAAATAACTTAGCTTCTCTGAGCTTGGGTTTCATCATCTGTGAGCCTCACCTTAGGTCTTTTTGGCTGCTGTAACACATTACTGCAAACTTAGTGACTTAAAACAACGCACATTTATTCTTCCAAAGTTCTGGAGGCCGGAAGTCCAAATCGGCTACCAATGGGCTGAAATCAAGGTGTGTGCAGGGCTGTGCTCCTTCCAGAAGCTCGAGGGGAGAATTTGCTTCTTGCATCTTCTGGCTTCAGGTGGCTGTGGCACTTCTTGTCTTGTGGCTTTGTCACTCCAGTCTGCAAGGCCAGTGTCTTCCAATCTCTCTCTGCCCTGTCTTCACATCACCTTCTCCTCTGTGTCTCAAGTCTCCCTCTGCCTCCCTCTTATAAGGATACATTTGATGGCTTTTAAGGTCCACCGAATAATCCAGGATAATCTGCCCATCTCAAGATCCTTCACCTAATCACGTCTGCTAAGACCCTTTTCCAAGTACAGTAATATTTACAGGTTCCAGGGATTAGGACCTGATATCTTTAGCAGCCATCATTTGGTCTGTGACAAGCCTCTAATCTATTCATTCAACAACATTCAACAAATATTATCAAGGGCTAATCAACTGCTTGTTATGGAAAGGGTGTAAGTGCAGACAGTGAGGCCAGCCTGAGGGGCTCCCATCCTCCCAGCTGGGATGAGGGCCTCAAAGGGGAGGTGTGGGGCACTAGGAAAGCTTAAGCAGGATTTGACTAGTGACGGGGGTCAGAGAAGGCTCCCCAGAGGAGGTGATGGCTAGGAAAAGCTGATGGATGAGCAGAATGGCATGAAGGAGCGTCCTAGGCACAGTGAAGGAGGAGGTGGCCAGTGAGGCTGGAGAAGAGCCAATAGGGCTGTGATTTGCAGTGCAATCGGAGAGGTGGACAGGAGCCAATTTGTTCTCCACTCTGAGGGCTGTGGTCTCCATCTTAAGAATAAGGGGAAGCCAGTGAGGGGTTTTAATCAGGATTGCTGAAGTCAGATGTGTTTTATGTCTTGACAAGATTATTCTGGCTTCAGAGTGAAGGGTGTGTTAGAGGAACCAGAGTTGATGTGAGGAACCAGGGTGAGAAGTTCTTGGAGGGGCTCACACAAGAGGAGGTGGCCAGTCAAGGGAGGGAGGTGCAGATGCAGTAAAGAGAAGTGAGGGCTTCAGGAACTGTTTAGGAGGTAAGGCTGGCAGCACTTGATAGTAGGTGTTTTATGGGCATGACAGAGATAAGGATGATTCATCAGGTCTGGCCTGAGCCACCGGATGGTGGCGACATTCGCTAAGCCCCAAAGCACAGGAAAGAGACTGGATGAGTGGATGGGGAGATTATGAGGGGTCAACTTAGACACAGTGAGTTCGGTGTGACTTTGAGACATCTAAGTAACCAGTAATTTCTGGAAGAACCTGGGTTCCAAGTAGATGTTGGAGCTGGAAATTTGAACCTCATAGATGTGGGATTAGGTAAGTTAAGACACATAGAGTACTTGGCACAATGCCTGGAACCTAGGAGGCTTCAAAAGAGGGTAGCCCACCCCTTCTTATCTTAAGAGTAAGAACTTCTAGGAGCCCAGGGGAAGGGACATCGCTGGTCGAGAAGGTGGCTTGTCTGGGCCTTGGGGACCATTGCCCATCTGTGTTCAAAGATAAGCAACTGTGCCATCAGGGGTGGGTGAATGGCAGGCCCCCCCACTGATGGTGGAGCCCTAGGAATCTGTTTAATGAATACACTTGTCCTTGCCTTGGCCACCAGGAAGCTCAAACTCAGCAAGCTACCCAACCAAAGCAAACTGTACAGGATATTTTGAAGCTGAATAAAACTCCTTGCATTATTTTATTTCCTACCTTTGCTTTTCTTTGTCCTGACTCTACATCTATTTATTGTAATTGTTACATGTATTTTGAAACTTGCACAAGCCTTTTTTTTAGTGGAATGAGACAGGGTATATATAAACAAATCAACAAAATCAATAGGACAAACATTTGTGGATTGATTTAAAAATAGAATCCTTCTATAATGCACTGGCATTGAAAAAGAGTTTGCTGTTTGGTGACTTTTTTGGTCCATCTTCCTGAAAGGGAAACAGTTGTTCCTTAATTTATCTGCTGGGTGGTTCTGGATTTTGGTTCAGTGCTTAGCAAATTAGCCAGGTGTGGTTTGAGGAGAGATATTAAAAGATCCCATAAAGGGCATACATAAGTTGTGAAAATGCATTATGGATACCAGACCAGGCAGGGGTGAGAGCAGACAGTGAGGAGGGAGTGTGGAAAACTGCCTGGTGGGTTGGATGATCTCCATGTATCTAATTAACTGGGGAAGGTTTTGCAGAAACCGAGGCTGGGTTCAGGCTGGGGCTGGAATCAGGGTTAGGTCTTTGGGGATTGAGTCTATGGGTCTGCTGTCAATCAGCCAGGGGAGTGGAGAGAACTGACCGGCTTTCCCGCATGGTGCATGGTTGGACTGCTGTCAGCCCGCTCCATAGCTGTGTCAGTGAACAAAAGCTGACTGCTGGTCTCTCCAGCCTCACCACTGTTGGCTGCCCTGGGTGGACCTTGCTGCCAGGTGCCCAGGCCTTTGCAGGAGCTGCTGTTCAGCAGGGAACACTCTCCAGCATGGTGTGGAGGTTGAGAGCCCAGAGGCCAGAACCAGATGCTGGCTTCACTGTCTACTATTTCAATGATATTGGACAAGCTCTTTAACCTTTCTGTGCCTCAGTTTCCTATCTCTAAAATGGAGATGATAGGCATACCTACTATATTAGTCCATTTTCACACTGCTGATAAAGACATACCCAAGACTGGGTAATTTATAAAGAAAAAGAAGTTTAACGGACTTACAGTTCCGTGTGGCTGGGGAGGACTCACAATCATGGTGGAAGGAGAAAGACATGTCTTACATGGCAGCAGGTAAGAGAGAGAATGAGAGACAAGTGAAAGGGGTTTCCCCTTACAAAACTGTCAGATCTTGTGAGAGTTAGTCACTGCCGTGAGAACAGTATGGGGGAACTGCCCCCAAGGTTCAATTGTCTCCCACTGGGTTTCTCCCCCAGCACGTTGGAATTATGGGAGCTACAATTCAAGATGAGATTTGGGTGGGGACGCAGCCAAATCCTATCACCTACCTTACTGGGTTGTTTCTGAATCCTGGTGAATTAACTTCAGTGGAGTGTTTAGACAGGCGCCTGCCACAGTAAGTGTTTGCTGTTATTATTATCACCTCTCCCAAATGCTTCACCTGGCTGGGCTCTGTTCATGAGCCAGTGTGCGGTATCTTGCAGTATCTCACTGTAGACTCCCCTAACCATCATTTCTCCAAGGCTGGGTGAGATGTCTTCCTCTAAGCTTCTGCAGGCAGCCTTGCAAACATTGGTCTTTTGTGTTCTTTCCTAGATCTTGAGCCCTTCAGGGGCTGAGGTTGAATCTGGTACAACATCTCTGCCTGTATCTGGTGCCCAGCCTAGAAGCTGGTGTAGATGAGGGGCCAGGAAAGGGATGGAGGATCCTGCAGCATGGCCTGGGAATTCAGGACTTCAACGACAATGAAGAAGAAATACTGCCAAGAGCTGAGGTACCACTGGCATCACTTGGGCCTGTGCCATTCTGCCCACATCCCCTTGGAAGTACAGAATGGAGTACAGAATCCCCCTCCTATCTGGACTAGGCAGGGAGTTGAGGTGTGATGAGGCCTTGCCAGCCGCTCTTCATGGTGGGAATACATTCAAATCCAGCCTCACCTGGATATCCCCCAGGTAAGCAAATGGCATCTGCCAAACAGAGTCCTTGAGCAGGGAAGATGCCTTGTAACCCATCTCAGGGAGGCAGTGTAACGTAATGGTGAGAACACAGGCTCCAGAGTTGGGGCCTGGGGTTCAAATGTATTACCTCCCTGTGCCTCTGTTTCTTCAACTGATAATGGAGTTAATCATCATGCCTATCTCCTAGATTTTTTATTTTTGAGACAGGGTCTTGGTCTGTCACTCACGATGGCATGCAGTGGCATGATCATGCTCACTGCATCCTCAACGTCCCAGACCCAAGTGATCCTCCTGCCTCAACCTCCCAAGTAGCTGGGACTACAGGTCCACACCACCATGCCCAGCTTATTTTATTTTATTTTTTATAAAGAGGAGGTCTCACAATGTTGCCCACATTGGTCTGAAATTCCTGGCCTCAAGCAATCCTCCCGCCCAGGCCTCCCAAAGTCCTGGGATTACAGGCATGAGCCACCACACCTGGCCTCATTCCATGTTTTTCATGGTGGCTTTCCAAAGGAACTGAAGCTCTGCATGATGGTGACTCATCCCTTTGCCCCCACCACCCCCCCCCCCCCCCCCGCCCAGTGGTGAGATAGATCAGACCCGCTTGCTAAGGTGCTGTGTGGGAAAGCTGTTGTAAGTGCGTAGATGCATTGGCCACCCCCTTCTCTGTGTTGTTTTAGTGCCATCTCCACTCCTGTCCCATTACGCTGTGATTTTGTGTTTTGTTGTCTATCTCTTTTGCTGGGTTGTGAGTCCTGAGACTTGGCAGTGTGTTAATTGAGGGTGTGGCCAGTGTGCCATGTGCCACCCCTTCTTAGGTCATTATCATCAGCTCTCATCCATTGAATGACTATGTGTCCCGTGCCTGATGTGTGTTAAGTCTTCATGACCACTCTGCAATGACAAAAGTGAGGCACAGAGAGGTGAAGCGGCTTGCCTGAGGTCACACAGCTTGAAAATGGTGAGATTTGAAGATAATCCGGTCTGATTCTAAAGCTCATGCCCTTTCTACTATGCCATCCTGGTCCAATGCCTGCTGCAGTGTTTGATACGTAGCAGGCACATGGGAATGAATTGATGTGTGTTGAATGCACAGATTTAGTGTGTCAGACACTGAGAACAGAAAGAAGACTAGGACACAGATCAGCGGTTTTACAGTCCAATAGGCTTGAATGTGTTGGCCATCCAGAAGCTTCCAGAATCCTGTGGGACACTTATTTCAGGAGGATGCTGTGGTACACCGTCTTGGTTGCTTGCCCCAAAGCTATCACCATCTTTTCTCTTTGATAGCAGAACTTCCCTGCCTGTCTAGTTCTGGCTAATGGGTGTAAGGGGAAATCAGCTGGGAGAGGGAGCTTCCTCCTTCATAAGAGAGAAACAAGTCAGGGGAAAATCTGCATCTTGTAAGCCCCTATGTGCTGGCTTTAACATGGCCATAGGGAGAATACTATCCCTGAACTGTGACTGCAATCTTGTGATCCTGAGATAAAGGTCAGAGAATTGCAAAGGCCGCCTGTGCCCTGATAATCAGTGAACCACTGACCTAGTCCTAAAACATCTTACCTCCAGACTTCTAAGAAAATACATGACCATGAATGAGAAAAATGCACCTTGGTGGGTTTCGGCCACTGTTACCTGGGGATTATGTTAGTTGCAGCTGAAAGCATTCCCAACAGATACAGAAGCTGATTGCAAGTGGGAAGAGCAAGGAACCTGGCATCAGAAGACCTGGCTGGGACACTCATCTCTGTCGTGAACCAGCAGGACCCTTTCTGGACTAGTCACTAACTGATGTGCAGCTCAGTTTCCTGATATGTGAGATAGGGCTTCCTCTGTGGCTGAAGTGAGATGTAGGGGGCATTTCTAACCCCAGGATCCCCTTGCTCAACACAAGAGAAGTCTCTTTGATTATTCTCTGATAAGCACTTAGTGTGGACAGAGAATCCTCTCCAACATGTAAGGTGAATCATGTAGAGGGGTTCTTAAAAAGTAAAAGGCCCCATGAGAGCCACAGCTGGTGCCTTCCTCCTGGGGCAGAGCTGGGTGGGGGAGTCTAGTCATGAAGGCCACAGGTAGCATGGCTGCACTGGAGCTCGGAGGAGCCAAGGGCTTGGGCGGAAAGTCAAGTTAGGAGACATGTAAGAAACAGTGGCTAATGCTAAATGACGAGTTAATGGGTGCAGCACACCAGCATGGCACATGTATACATATGTAACTAACCTGCACATTGTGCACATGTACCCTAAAACTTAAAGTATAATAATAATAAAATAAAAAAAACAGATTGAAAAAAAGAAACAGTGGAAAAGTAAGGATTTGGAGGACAGGCAGGAAGGTCAAAAGCAGAAAAGCAAAAAGTTGGAAATGGGTAAAGGCAGTGGTTCTCAAAGTGTGGTCCCCAAGGTGCTGTATCAGCATCAACTGGGAACATGCTAGGAATGCAGGTCCTTGGGACACCCAGACCTGCTGGACCAGAAACCCTGAGGCTGGGGCCCTGCAGTCAGCATTTTAACAGGCTTTCCGGGTGATTCTGATGCACACTAAAGTTTGGGAACAACTGGGATTGTTCAAACTTGGTCTGGGAACAATAGGTAGGTACCCAAGAGTCCCCTTGGCAAAGTGCCTGACCTCTGCTGGGGAAATGCAAGGAAGAGATTTCAGGGATCTATATCAAGACATTTGTGGAAAGTATTAATAAGTTCATTTGTAGAATGAGGGCACAGAAAGCTTCACATTCCTGCTTTCTTTTTGCTTTGCAGGGAGCTGAGCCTTAGGTTTTGTGACAGAATTTGAGGCAGTGAATGCTGACCCAGCTTTGTAAGAAAGAATAGGAGAAAGGTATGTGTGTGTGTGTGTGTGTGTGTGTGTGTGTGTGTGTGTGTGTGTGTAGGTAGCTGGAGGGACCTGCTGACATCCTGCCACAGCTTGAGGCAGCCCTTAATTGGGACCCATTTCTCTTTCTCCCAAGCTGCTGGCTCAGCTCATGGAGAAGCAACACGCTGACCATAGCTAGAAGTCTGGGCAACGTTGTGGCCTGCTCCTGTTGTTGTGTGGGCTCTGCATGGGGCATCGATGCCAGGTGAGCAGCTTGCCCACTGAAGGATGAAGCTGAAGGAGCATCTTAGCTGAGGGCCAGGTCCCTGACCCTGTTCTGGAACTCCAGAATGCCAGTGTCTCCGCTATGGCATGAGAGGCTCATTTAGCAGTGATGTGCTTGAACGAGCAAGCTCTTAAATACTGGCTGCTCTGGATGCTTGGTTTCCCAGGTGGGTCTGTCCCATTGGAGGGATGAGGAAGCAGTTCCATTTAGGCTGCAAATGGCTCCAATTAGCTTCCTTCTGTCTATCTTCATTTATAGTGTATGAGATGTGGGAGGCAGTGGTACTTCTCTGTTTGCTGGGCCTCTGCTTCTTCCCCTCCACCCTCCATCCTTATCTTTCCATGAAGAATATCTGTGTTCACTTCACTATAGCTCATCAAATACCTTTCTCACCAGCCTCTCCATCATTATGGCGACTGCATCAGCATGGACCCCAGTGACTATTGTGATGCCTCCTGCATGGTCTCCCTGTGTCTTGTCCCCAGGGCTGCTGACTTATCCAATGGGCACAGTAGGCCCAGTACCTATGGCCCATGATACTTTTAGGGGAACCCATGAAGATATTTTAAAGTCAGAAGAAAAACCAAACTTTTAGGTCAATAAAAATGTTTTAACATATGATATTAATATTTTCACCTTTACAACAGATTTAAATCACAGATTTAAAATGATTTTTCTATCTCTATTAATACATGTAACATAGCATATTTTGTATATATGCATAAAAATTTTCAATAAATAGTGTAGTACTGTAAAAAATAGATTTACCTTTATACCAACACATGGTAAAATATAATTTCTAATATTTTTATGGAGGAAGGAACCCATGAATACACAAGTGCCAAAAGGCCCATGAAGTCATAACGTGGCCCTGCCCGCTTCTTCCAATTCATCTTTTACTAGATGCTAGTCTTTAAAAATACAAGCCTAACCATGACCTTTGCTGCTTGTAGTATGATGAGAAGAATGGCCTGAACTGACCACAGCAGCAGACTCTGGGCTGGCTGGACAGTAAACAAGGGAAGACTGAGTTCTCTCCATCCCACTCTTTCCAGTGAAGGAGCTGCACTGAAGCTCAGCTCCCCATAGGACTGAATACTTTCTCTTCTTGGTAAAGAGGCTACAATATCTCCTGAGCACTGAAGTCTCCAAGTACTGGACAGCTGGTATTCCTAGGAAACTCCTGCAGGATGCTAGTCCCTTGTATCCAGTCACTCTGTGCCAAGAGGTCCGTTGTATCCCCCATGGATAAAGTTGCTCTCAAAATGGCACTTTCTAAAGTGGCAAGAGGGAGGATCTCTCCACTGGAATGGCAGACCCACCTTTACCTATTCAAAGTGGTATGGAATTGTTCTAAACTCTGGTGCACAGCAGGCAGAGGCCAGAAGGGCTCTACCTTGCAGGATCCTCCTAGCCCTGAGTCCCCAGTGCTCACAGGATGAAGTTTGAGATCCTTAGCCTGTCTCCCCAGTGCCTCCATGATCTGGCCTTGGCTATTTCTCTGGCTCCCTGCACCCCTCCTTGCCCATTTACTTATAATTCCTGAATATGCATGCTGTTTTAGGTCTCTGAGGTTTTGCACATGCTTGTCTTCTCGTCTAGAATGTCTTTCTTCCATCTTTCTCCTTGATCCTGTACAGAGGAGAACTTCTATTCATCCTTCAAAATGCCATTAAAGTATCACCTCCTCTCTGAAGGCCTCCTGGATTCTTATCACCTTTATTCCAAGATATATATGAGTACGAGTTAAGAAAAAATGGATTCGTTTTAGCTCTTCATTCTCCTTCCCCACTTCCAGGGAGGAGAGGCCATTATTATTTATTTCTTATTAGAAAGACAAGATGGAAGAAAGGAAGGAAGGAAAGAAAGAAGGGAGGGAGGGAGAGAAGAAGAAAGGAAGGAAGGGAGGGAGGGAGGGAGGGAGGGAAGAGACTCACCTTTACCTACTATTCTGAATTCATGAATGTTAGCATGTGTCCCACATCCTTTTACAAAATAAGAAAATTTAAAAATTACTAATGAAGCTGAAGTTCTTTAGTCCCCTTTCTAGTCTCAATTCTCCTTCTTCATCCCTCAGAGACAATTATAATCATGAATTTGTTTTCATCCTTTCTGTTCATGTTTTCACATTTTTGCCATATGTATTTGTACTTACAGACAATATGTAGTGGTTTTTGTGTGATTGAACATGTTACATAAATGATTCACTGTGTTTAGCCATCTGCAATTTGCCTTATTCTCCCAATACTCTGTGAGTTTGATCTATGCTGATACTCACAGATCTAGTTCATTCATTTTAATAGCTGTATAATATTCCATTATGTGAATATAACACATTAAAAACTATTTTCATGTGGAAGAACATTTAGGTCACTGCCTTTTCTTTTCAGTTATAGTCACTGCTACACATGGAATTTTCTAGGTCTATATATAGACCTAACAGTAGACATGCTAGATCATAGAATATTTGCATGCCTAACTTCGATAGTTACTACAAAACTATTTTCCAGGGTGATTTTCCCAATGACAGCCCCAACAGTGTGTGTGATCCTGACTGGACAAGGATGGTGGGAATGATTTTTTTTTTTTTTTTTTGGCCAATGTGATCTGTATGAAAAATAATTCAATTAAAAAATGTTATTTCCCAGCTTAGTATTGAAGTTTCATTTTTAACATATATTTGTCAATCATTTGGGTTTTCTTTTATACATCTTTTGTGTTTTCTTTTACTCAGCTTAAAAAATTGGGTTGTTTTTCTTTCTTTCTTTCTTTTTCTTTCTTTCTTTCAGAGTCTCACTCTGTCACCCAGGCTGGAGTCCATTGGCACGATCTTGCCTCACTGCAACCTCCAACTCCCAGGTTCAAGTGATTCTCCTGCCTCAGCCTCCTAAGTAGCTGGGATTACAGGCTCCTGACACCATGCCTGGCTAATTTTGGTATTTTTAGTAGAGACGAGATTTCACCATGTTGGCCAGGCTAGTCTCGAACTCCTGACCTCAGGTGTTCTACGTGCCTCAGCTTCCCAAACTGCTGGGATTACAGGCGTGAGCCATTGCACCCGGCCATTTGTCGTTTTCTTTTTGAGTTATAGGAGTACTGTACTGTGTATTCTGAGTACTATTTCTATACTTTTGCAACTATCTTTTTCAAATGTATTTTGTACTTTTACTTTGTTTTATGATGGTTTTAGCATACAGAAATTTTAGTATTTGATGTAGTCAAATGGACAGGGTTTTCCATTATAATTAGTATCTTGCTATTTGTTTAGGAAATCTTTGCCTAACTCCATATCATAAAGATACTCAACTACATTTCCTTATAATAGTTTTAAAGTTTTGTTTGATCTATCTGGAATTTATCTTTGTGTGTGGTATGAGGTAGGGATCCAGTTGAAAATGTCCCTCATAGAGATTCCATAAAGAACTAAAAGTAGAACTACTGTTTGATCCAGCAATCCACTACTAGGTGTCTACTCAAAGGAAAAGAAGTCATTATATGAAAAAAGACAAATGCACACCCATGTTTATAGGAGCACAATTTGCAATTGCAAAGATTTGGAACCAACCAAGTGCACGTTAGCCAATGAGTGGATAAAGAAAATGTGGTGTATGTATGCCATGGAATACTACTCAGCCATAAAAAGGAATGAAACAATGTCTTTTACAACAACTTGGATGAAGCTGGAGGCCATTATTCTAAGTGACGTAACTCAGGAGTGGAAAACCAAACATCATATGTTCTCACTTATAAGTGGGAGCTAAGCTATGAGGATGCAAAGGCATAAGAGTGATATAATGAGCTTTGGAGCTTCGAGGGGGAAGGATGGGAGCGAGGTGAGGGATAACAGACTACATATTGGGTACACTGCTTTGGTGATGGGGGCATCAAAACCTCAGAAATTGCCACTAAAGAACTTATCCATGTAACCAAAACCCCAGCTGTACCCAAAAAAGATTGAAATAAAAAAATGTCCTTCATAGAGGTAGCTAATTGTCCGACACTATTTATTGAATAATCATTCTTTTCTTGATGATACATAAAGCCACCTCCAACATACACCAAGTCCTCATAAATACACAGAGTTCTCTAGTCTGTTCCGCTGATAAATTTGTCTATCCTGCATACCTCTTTCGTTATTTTAATTTCACATGGCTTTATAGTTCATCTTTATGTCTAGCTGGGAAAGTTCTTTCTCCTTATTCTTTTGTCTTGACTCTTCTTTGTTCTCAACTACTTCAGATTAATGTTAGAATCAGTTTGTCAAGCTCTATGAAAAGCTCCATTGGGATTTGGATTGGAATTGCAATGAATTTATAGGTTAATTTGGAGGAGAACTGACATCTGTATAATATTGAGTCTTCCCATGCATGAATGTGTTATATTTCTCCATTTTTTTCAGGTCTTCTACGTCCTTCAGTAACTTTTCATAATTTTCTCCATAAAGGTCTCTCACATCTTTCATTGGATTTATTTCCAAGTAACTTACAGTTTTTCTTGCTTTTATGATTGGGAACTTTCTCTCAGTTACATATTGTAATTGATTATTGTGGGCATATAGGAACACGATTGAGCTCGTATCCAGAAATGAAGCTGACTATCTTATCTTTCTAGTTGTAATTCTCTATAGAATATCTGGGATTTTCCATACAAACAATCTTATGATAAACCAACAATGATTTCTTTTTTAAAAAATTCATTACATGACATTTTCTTGCTTTATGTTGCTAACTGGGGTCTCTAGTACAATGCTGCATAAAAAGGTGTAGCAGCAAACCACCATGGCACATGTATGCCTATGTAACAAACCTGCATGTTCTGCACATGTATTCCAGAACTTAAAGTAAAATAAAATTTAAAAAAAAGAATAAAAAAAAGGTGTAGCAGGAACACTTATTTTATTTCTGACTTTAATTATAATATGTTTACAGTTGTACCACTGCATATAATGTTTATTTTAGGTCTTTGGCAAATACACTATGAGTTAAGGAAGTTTCCTCTATTTTAGTTTACTTTTTTTTTTAAAAAAATAACAGCTTATTGAGATAAAACTCACATACCACAAAATCCACTATCTTAAAGTGTATAATTCAGTGGATTTTAGTATGTTCACAGAGTTGTGCAACCATCACCACTATCTAATCTTAGGACATTTTTTATCACCCTAAAAAGAGACCCCCAACATTCCCCCTCTCCAACCCCTGGTAACCACTAATCTACTTTCTCTCTCTATGGACTTACTTATTCTGGATATTTCATATAAATGAAATTATACAATATATGTGGTCTCTTGTGACTGGCTTCTTTCACTTACGATGTGCTGAAGTTTCATTTATATTGTAGTGTGTATCAGTATTTCATTCCTTTTTATGGACAAATAATATTCCATCATATGGATAGATCACATTGTGCTTATCCATGTTGAGGGACATTTGGAGATGTTCCCACTTAACTACTGTAAGTATTGTAGCTGTGAGCATTTGTGTATAAGTTTTTGTGTGAACAGATCTTTTCAGTTCTCTTAGGTATACACCTCGAGTGGAAATCTGAGTTATATGGCCACTCCATGTTAACTTTTTAAGAACTGCTAAACTCTTTTCCAAAGTGACGGCACCATTTCACATTCCCACCACCAGTGTATAAGCTTTCTAACTTCTCCACGTTCGTGCCAATCCTTGTTATTGTCTTTTAAAAAATTATATCCAGCCTGTTGGGGGTGTGACATGGTATTTTTTGATTTTGATTTGCATTTCCCTTATGACTATGATGTTGAGCATCTTTTCATGTGCTTATTGGCCACTTGTATATCTCCTTTAGAGAAACATCTATGCAAATCTTTTTTGATTAAAAAGTCTGGTCATTTGTCTTTTTACTGTTGAGTAGTAAGAGTTCTTTATATGTCTGTACATAAGTTCCTTATCAGCTGTATGATTTGAAAATATAGTCTCCTATTCTGCAGATTGTCTTTACATTTTTTTGATGCTGTCCTTTGATGCACAAAAGTTTTAATTTTTATGAAGTCGAATTTATGTATTTTTTTTCTATGCTTTAGATGTGATATGCATATAAGTAAACCATTGCCTAATCCAAGGTCATAAAAGTTTTACACTTATTTTTTTCTAAGTGTTTCATAGTTTTAGATTTTACACTTAGGCCTTTGACCACTTTTGAGTTAATTTTTTATATGGTGGAATCCAAATTCATTTTTTTTACATGTGAATATTAAGCGCCATATGTTGAAAAGACTAATATTCTCCATTGAATTATCTTGGCATCCTTTTCAAAACTCAATTGACTATAGATGTTTATTTCTGAACTCTGAATTCTGTTCCATTGATTGATGTGTCTGTTTTTATAAGTCTGTCTTGATTACTGTAGCTTTGTAGTAAGCATTGAAATTGGGAAAGTTGAGTCCCTCAACTTTGTTCTTATTTATTAAGGTTGTTTTGGCTATTTGGGATCTCTGGTATTTTCATATGGATTGTAGGACCAGCTTGTCAATTTCTGCAAAAAAGGCAGCTGGGATTGGAATAGGAATTGTTTTGATTCTGTAGATCAGTTTGGAAAGTATTGCCAATTTAACAATATTAAGTATTTCAGTCCATGAACATGAGATGTTTTGCCATTGATTTAGGTCTTTAATTCATTTCAACAATGGTTCATAGCTTTCAATGTACAAGTCTTGCAGTTCTTTTGTTTAATTTATTTCTAAGCATTTTATTCTTTCTGGTGTTATTGCAAGTGGAATTGTTTTTGTAATTTCGTTTGTGTCTTTGAATCTAAAATGAGTCTCTTGCAGACAGCGTAGAGTTGAATCATTTTTAGAAAGTCATTTGGGCAATATCTGCCTTTTGATTGGAGTGTTTAACCTGTCTGTGCTTAATGTAACTAACGATAAGATAGGATTTACATCTCCCGTCTTGCTATTTGTTTTATATATGTCTTACGTCTTTTTGTTTCTCTATTTCTCCATTAATGCCTTCTTTTGTATTAAGCAAATGTTTTCTAGCACACCGTTTTCATTCCTTTCACTTTATTTTTAGTTATTTTCTCATTAGTTGCTCTGGATGTTACAGTTACCACCTTAAATTAAAACAATCTAGTTCAGGTTAATACCAACTTAACTTAGACAATACAGTCATGCACTGCATAACATTTTGGTCAATGATGGACCTCATACATGATGTGGTCTCATAAGATTATAATAGGGCTGAAAAATTTCTATTGCCTAGTGATGTCATAGTCATTGTAAGATCATATCATAATGCATTACTTACGTGTTTGTGGTGATGCAGTTATATGACTGTGCTGCCAGTCATATACAAGTATATCACATACAATTACGTGTAGCATGTAATGCTTGATAATGATAATAAATGACTATATTACTAGTTTATATATTACTATACCATATATTTTATGGTTATTTTAGAGTGTACTCCTTCTATTTACTAAAAAAAAAGTCAACTGTAAAACAGCCCCAGGCAGATCATTCAGGAGATATTCCAGAAGAAGACATTGTTATCATAAGAGATGACAGTTTCGTGTATGTTACTGAAGACCTTCCAGTGAGACAAGATGTAGAGGTGGAAGACAGTGATACTGATGATCCTGACCCCTTGTAGGCTTAGGCTAAGAATGTATTTGTCTTTATTTTTAACAAAAAAAAGTGTAAAAAGTAAAAAAAAAAAAATAAAATAAAAATGTAAATAACAGAAATAAGTTTATAGAATAAGGATATAAAAATATTTTTATGCATCTGTACAATGTGTTTGCATTTGGTTTACAAAAGAGTCAAAAAGCTAAAAACATTTAAAATTTATAAAATAAAAAAGTTACAGTGAGCTAAGTTTAGTTTATTATTGAAGAAAGAAATTTAAAAAATAAATTTAGTGTAGCTGAAATGTATAGTTTATAAAGTCTACAGTAGTATATGGTTATGTTCTTGGCCTTCACATTCATTCACAACTCATTCATTAACTCACCCAGAGAAACTTTCAGTCTTGCAAACTCCCATTCATGATAAGTGCCTTCTACAGGTGTACCTTTAAAAAAAATCTGTTGGATTATATTTTTACTGAATCTTTTCTATATTTGGATACACAAATACTTACCATTGTGTTACAACTGTCTACAGTATTCAATGTAGTAACATGCTATACAGGCTTGTAGCCTAGGAGTAATAGGCTACATCGTACAGCCTAGGTTGTAGCAGGCTACACTCTGTAGGTTTGTGTAAGTACACTCTATGATGTTTGCACAATGATGAAATCACCTAAAGACGTATTTCTCAAAAAGATCCCCATTGTTAAGCGATGCATAACTGAATACAAATCATTGCCCCAATATAGTTCTATGTAGGTTGATGCAAAACTAATGGAGTTTTTTCTCATTAAAGGTAATGGCAAAAATGGTAATTACTTTTGCACCAACCAATACTACCTCACTTCTCTTTTGTGCTATTGTTCTCATATGAATTACATCCTTATATATTATAATATCTTTAACATAGTTTTTAAAAATATTGCTACATATAGTTAACTTTTAAATCAGATAGAAGCAGAAATTTATAAGAAATACATTTATAGTATCTTGCATATTTACTTATGCAGTTACTTTTACAGTTATCCTTGTTTCTTTCTGTGGATTTAAATTACCTGTCTAGCATCCTCTCATTTCAACCTGAAGGACTTCATTTAATATTTTTTTGGTCTTCTAGCAGCAAATTCTGCTTTAATTTATCTCAAAATGGCTTAATTTCTTCTTCATTTTTAAAGGATAATTTTGCTGGATATAGAATTATTGGTTGTCAGGTTTTTTGGCCATTATTTTCAATATGCCATCCCACTGCCTTCTGGCATCCACGGTTTTTGATGAGAAATCAGCTGTTAATCTTATTGATAATCCCTTGTATGTGATGAGTTACTTCTTCTCTCTTGCTACTTTCAAGATTCTCTCTTTGTCTCTCTCTCTTTTTATTTATTTATTTATTTTTTGAGATGGAGTCTCACTTTGTTGCCCAAGCTGTAGTCCACTGGCATGATCTTGGCTCACTGCAACCTCCACTTCCCAGGCTCAAGTAATTCTTCTGCCTCAGCCTCCTGAGTAGCTGGGACTACAGGCGCACGCCACCACATCTGGCTAATTTTTGTATTTTTAGTAGAGACGGGGTTTCACCATGTTGGCCAGGATGGTCTCAATCTCCTGACCTCATGATCCATCTGCCTCAGCCTCCCAAAGTGCTGGGATTATAGGCATGAGCGACCGTGCCTGGCCTTGTCTATCTCTTTTGACTACATTTGTCTAGGTGTGGATCTCTTTGGATTTATCCTCCTTGGGTTCACTGAGCTTCCAAATGCACAGATTACCATGGTTAAAAAAATTATATTTGGGACATTTTCTGCCATTATTTCTTCAAATTTTTTTTTCTGCTCTTTATTTTTTCCTCTCTTGCTGAGACTCTCACTATTCATATGTTGGTATGGTTGATTATGTCTCATAGGTCTCTGAGACTCTGTTTATTTATCATTGTTCATTTTACTTTCTGTTCCGCGAAAGGATAATCCAAATCTGTTACTGGGCTCTTCTAGTAAATTCTTCCTTTCTGTTTTAATTTTCAACTTCAGAATTTCTATTTGGTTCGTCTTATAATTTCTATCTCTTTTTTTGTATTTTCTATTTCATAAGACATTGTTCTTACACTTTCCTTAAATTCTTTAAACATAATTTTATTTATTTATTTGAATATATTTAATTTATAATGTAGATTTAAAGGCTATTCCTAGTAAGTTCAACATTTAGTTCTTTAAAGACAGTTTGGTTGCCTATTTCTCTGTGTATGAGCCATTCTTTGCTGTTTCTTTGTGTGTCTTAATTTTTTTTTGTTGAAAACGGTACATTTTTAATAATATAATGTGGCTACTCTAGAAATTGGATTACTTCCCCAGGGTTTGTGGCTGTTGATGTTTCTTTCCCCCTATATGTTTGTTTAGTGACATTTCTGGACTAACTGTATAAAGTCTAAATTACTTGTCATGTGTGGCTGCCTGTTTAGCCTAGTGTCAAGCTAATGATTAGACAGAGTCCCTTAAATGTCTTGAACAAATAGGACTTCTGCCCTTTGTCAAGGAGCTCTGTGTGCATCTTCAATGTTCTGTCAGTTTACAACTCTGCTTTACTCTCACTTCCTGCTTGTGTAGGGTCTCAGGTCATCCAGAGGTGAGAGATTAAGACCTTACTTGGTGTCTTCTGGGCACATGCACAGCCATGCACCTGTTCATGGCATTCCAGATTCCCAGGGATATGTTGGAGGTTTTCAAAGTTCCCTATGAACATCTCATTTCCTAAACATTAAGTTTTTGATCAACTTCTTATTTCTTCCAACTGGTCTGTGATGTTCAATAATTTCCACCATTTTTTTTTTAACAAATTCTCTGGGATATGACTTTTTCCAGTTATCAAATTCTGTCTCGGGTTAAATAATGAGAATATTTGCAAATATGGCTTTTTCAGGGAGCTGCCAGTTAGGTAAAATTGTGACACTTCTCTGGGGATGGGACTTTTTGAAGTGCTCCTAATATAAGCACAGTGGGGTATGTTAACTACTTCTAACTATACTGTAGAGTTTAAAGGAAGAAAACAATAAACTCAGCATTCTGTATTCATGACTCCAGGCCACTTAAGAGAACCAGAAAACTTCTATGGCTGCTTTAAATGTAATTTCTCATCTCTGTTAGACGTAGATCTAGCATAGTTGAAAATTAGTTGCATTGCTTGAACCACAGGCTGCTGAACTACAATATAAGTTGAATTCATAGCCTTATGGGTCTCTTGAGTGACAGCAAGCACATGCATTAAAAGAGTGGGACTCAGCTCTAAAATGTAGACTTTTGGAGAAGCTTTTAGTGGCTGAAGCAATCCCCAGTTCACAGAGCCTCCCATGTCAGCGAATCTTGCCTTGTTTGAAAATTCTGGGATGACCACTTTGTAAGAGGAAGCCATGTTTCTTCCTGACCACCTCCACTGCATCTAGTCTATCTCTAGAGCTGTGCTTAAAGTTAGACCCAAGCATTGTATGCACCTAAAGAGTGATTTTTTTTGGAAATTCTTGTTAGCAGAAAATGGGGAGATAGGTGGGCATAGACTCAGAATGTGTTAGACCAGGAATAGAAAAACATAATTTTACATAACATTTCTGAATTAATCTTTGATTTATTCTTTGGGGGGATTTTCCACAGAATCTGGATTCAATGTGCTAGATTGAGCAGCTGGGAGTTCTTACTATTTGCTTGGTTGGCTGCCATGACCCACACCTCCCTGTATTTATTTCCTTGTGTAATTTAATCCCATGTTGGATCAGGGCTGGCCTACTGACTTGCTTTAGCTAGAAATGCAGAAGAAGTGAAGTCCAGGAAGCTTCTGCTTTTGTGCTCTTGCGAGCCCTGAGTAGTCATGTAAGAAATCCAACTATCCTCCTGGAGAGAGAGAGATCATGTGGAGGGGTACAGGGTGCAAGATATGTTAGTGAAGAGGTCAGCTTGGATGTTACAGCCCACAGAGTTGGCCTGTTTTGTTATCCACTGCCCTTGCTCAAATCTGAGGTTTCTCTCGCAAGAACTCAAATTGGGAGATCTGGGTTTGTTCTGACGAAAGGAGAAGGTAGGTTCTTATACAACATACATACCATTGCCCAGATACTTCCAAGAAAAGCCACGGATGGGCCAGATTCTGGTGGCTGGGCAGGGGGATTCAGAGTTCCATGTGCCCATCAGACATCACCTGCCTTGGTGCAGTCTGGGCATACTCAAAGCCCTGGCCTGCAGGAGAGCAATTATTATTATTATTATTTTGAGACAGAGTCTCACTCTGTTGCCAGGCTGGAGTCCAGTGGCACGATCTCGGCTTACTGCAACCTCTGCCTCCTGGGTTCAAATGATTCTCATGTCTCAGCCTCCCTAGTAGCTGGGATTATAGGTACGTGCCACCACACCCAGCTTTTTGTATTTTTAGTAGAAATGGGGTTTTATCATGTTGGCCAGGATGGTCTCGATCTCCTGACCTCATGATCCACCCGCCTCGAGCCCATGGACTTTCAGGATGTCGACAGCTGGAGTTACAGGCATGAGCCACTACACCCGGCCATGCTTTTAACCAGATTTGAACAAGAGAATGGCCACTTGGTCCAGGTAGAAGTAGATGAAGTGTTTGATTTCACGTGTCATGTAACTACCGAAGTTCCTCCCCACGATACAATGCCAGGTGGGATTGTTCTTCTTGTCAAATTCCTTCTTAAGATGAGCTGCAATATCCTTCTCTATGTTATATTTCTCCAGTGCCTGAATAGCGCACTCCACCGAGTCCTGTTGCATCTCTTCCGACATGTCTGCATTTTTGATCATGGTCTCTCGGTGGCACATGGTTACCGTGGAGAAGGGGGCTGGCCGACGGCAACAGTCTCCTGGGGGAGGTGCTAGCATTGCTCAGGCGGGGCTGGAGCTGCTGTCGCTACTGAAGCTGTGGCACATCTAATGGGAGGCACTATTTGTGCCACAGGAAGAACATCAGGTTTGAAGCCTCAAGGCTCAAGTTTAAGACCTGGCTATTTTACTTATCACTGGTGGAACCTTGGGCAAGGGCCTTAATCTTCTGAGTCTCATGGTTTTTTTTCATCTGTAAACTAAGGGTGGTCATAGTAACTTCCTCACAGAACAGTGGAATGGTGTAAATGAGATAGCATGTGTGGAAGCACTTCAAAAATGGTCAAGTACTCTCTCCATATGGCAACTGCCCTTATTTTGCCTCATTGTACAATGAGGAGCAGTGCATGAGCTCATCTACCAATGGTCTGTCTTTTATAACCTCCTCACTCTAGGAAACAAGATCGCTGAGGGGAAGCAGGTATCGTCACTGTCATTTTCACCTTCCCCATCATCGTCACCATCCCATCATGATAATTGTCATCATCACCATTATTGTTGTTATTGTCAGCATCATCATGGACCATTTCCTGAACATCTACCAAACTATACCCTTGTCATAGACTCGCACAGCAATCTTTCAGGTTGTGCTGATTATCAACCCTCTTTTACAGATGAGGAAACTGAGAATAATCTAGGGTAATCCACTTGCTCAAGATCAAACAGAAGAAACTTTGGCTCACTGGAAAATTTAAAACCAATTAAAGGGATGTTTGTTGTTGCATCCATCTTCCTCCTTTCCCCATCAACCTCAGAGAACTAACATCTTCTCTGACATGGCTCTGGGGTATTTGGGATGTCAACAACATTATCAAGCTGCACTCCAAACACCAATGATGTGAATGACACTTTTTTTTTTTTTTTTTTGGAAAAACGGCCCCACGCATTGGAATAGTGGCGACGAATGCTGAATCTGAAGCTGTCGACATCCTGAAAGTCCATGGGCTGGAGCTAAGGGGAAGCCAAGCGTCCCTGTTTTATTTGCTGTGTGCAGCCGTCTTTCAGAAGCTGGGCAGGCACTAATTAGATAGCCACTCAGAAAGTTGCTATCGCTAACTGGAAGCCATCCAAATTGCTCTCTTTATTCCGAGGCTTTGGAAGAAGATACCCCCTCCCCAATTCTCCTCCCACCCCATCCTCACTTGCCAAACCTCAAGGACCACAAATACAGCTAATTATGTCAGCTTGGCTTGGCACTAGTTTTCCAGATAGCATCTTTCATCAGCGTTCACCTTCCGGCTGCCTGGCTTTCTGTACCTGCGGGGACTGTGGGTGATGTGTTGGTTACCCTGGTGACACAGGAAAGTGGTAGGGGGAGGCAGAGGGTGTGGACATCTCCAACTGTCCCCCAAACTATGTGTCCTTTTTCCTCCATGCTTCCTGTGCTCCCACAAGATGGCAGTAGGCGCTCTAGGGAACCCAGCAGTATGAATCTCTGGGGGTGACAGGGAGAATCTGGGGTCAATTTGTTGGCTGTCTCAGCCTTGAGCATCCTAAAAGCATCTGCTGGATGGTCTCCAGGGGTGAGTTTTTAAGGGCAGTCACTGTGTTTTATTTTAAAGGAATTCACTGTGTTTTATTTTTTTTATCCCTGTACCTCACCTCCAAACACACACACACACACCACACACACACACACACACACCCCTCCCAACACACACACACACACACACACACACACACACTGCCCACCCAGCCCTAGCAGTTGGAGGCTAAGTCTTAGGCAATGTATGTGGGATTAAATTAGCATCATTTATGCACCAATGGCATGCACCAAAGGCAGGGGAATGGTAGTTGATCTGCTTAAGAGAACAGACTGTTTCTGTGTTCTTAAACCCAACACTCAAGCTGAGCTCTGAGCCCAGGAGTCAGGCTAAATGTCATCGGCAACTATGAATTTGAGGAGGATCTTGCTTGCTAAATTCTCTACAAAGTGGGGAGGCATGTGGCCTTTTAAGAGACAAAAACATGGCACAGCATATACAGAAATGAGTGTGCCATTGTTTTCTAGACGACCTGATACACTTCCTCTGAGCAGGTGACCCTTTTCCTTTCGCCATGCCTTGGTCACAAGATGTTTCTAGTCCCAGCCCCAAAGTGGCCAGGTGAGCAGCCGACCAAAGAAAGGGCAGAGGTGTCTTATGTGCAAAGCGATCCCTTCCTCCTCCATTGTAACATGGCCCAGTTAATGGGAGGGTTAACAATAATTGCTTTTTCATTCTTCTGTCTTCCATTTTCAAAACTCTTTCTTAGCACTTTGGGAGGCCGAGGCGGGCGGATCACGAGGTCAGGAGATCGAGACCATCCCGGCTAACACGGTGAAGCCCCGCCTCTACTAAAAATACAAAAAATTAGCCGGGCGTGGTGGCGGGCGCCTGTAGTCCCAGCTACTCGGGAGGCTGAGGCAGGAGAATGGCGTGAACCCGGGAGGCGGAGCTTGCAGTGAGCTGAGATCGCACCACTGTACTCAAGCCTGGGCGACAGAGCGAGACTCTGTCTCAAAAAAAAAACAAAAACAAAAACAAACAAACAAACAAACAAACAAACTCTTTCTTAGTCTTAGTGTGACCAAGACCACCAGGGGAGACTGACTGCAACATTCTGCTTTTTTTTTTTTTTTTTTTTTTTTGTGCCAGGAATTGTGAGCCCACCAGTACCCAGCACCATCTGCCTTCCTCTGGCTTATCAGCCTTTTAGTGATGAAAGGGGGACCAGCCCATGACGAGGGATGGTTGCCATCTGAAATGGTCATCTTAGCAGAAACCATGAAACAAACCTTCATTTACATGGACAATAATGCTAACAACATTTAGAAAAAGGTTTGGAATGTTGCCCCAGACTCCCTCAAATCAACAAAATATGGAATCTAGCAGTGACCCTTATGAAATACACAGGCCTGAAGGTAGATTGGTTCCTACGGACAAGAAAATAATATTTCTTTTTCATTTCCAGCCTAGAAAATTTGGCCAGCATCCCAGCTGGCCACAGTACACAGAAGTCAGTTCAAATAGAGATTCCTGCCTCCCCTTGTTTGCAAGAGTTACTTGTATAAAAACAGTCAACAAACGAATCAGCCAGATGAGCTTTCCTTCCTTTATTCAGTCAGACAGTGTTTTATGTCGGGAATCCATGTAGAAACAAATTCATGTGCTAGGTGCTGATGAGAAACCTGAATTTGCTGGTCTGGTTATATAAACTGTGCTGAGATAGGCTGAAGGGAGAAGGCCCAGTGGAGAGCCAACCTGCAGTCGACTCTCTTCTGCACATCAGCAATAAGACTTGCAGCCTGGTGGCCAGTATGGACCGTCCATTCCTCTTTCTACGGCAGCTAATATTCATCAAGGTCGTTGATGTGCCAGGCATTGTGCAAAGTTCTTTGCACGTACTGCCTCATTTTGTCTCACAGCAGCCTTACGAAGTGGGCTATTCTCTAAGGCTCATCTCTAAGGCTCGGAAACAGAGATAATGCATCTGAAGTCATGAAGCTGGTAAGTCCGGAAGCCAAGATTGGGGGAAGATTCTCCAAGATTGGGGAAGCCACGATTTGGGTTTGCTTTTGTTTCTTTGAGACAGTCTCATTCTGTCACCCAGGCTGGGGTGCAGTGGCACAATCTTGGCTCAGTGCAACCTCTGCCTCCCAGGCTCAAGCGATCCTCCTGCCTCAGCCTCCCAAGTAGCTGGGACCACAGGGGCATGCCACCACACCCAGATCATTTTTTTATTTTTTTGTACAGATGGGGTTTCACCATGTTGCCCAGGCTAATCTTGAACTCTTGGGCTCAAATGATCCACCCACTTGGGCCTCACAAACTGCTGAGATTACAGGTGTGAACCACCTTTCAAATTTGATGAAAACTAAATCCACAGATCCAAAGCTCAATGAACTGCCTCCAAAAGCATAAATGTAAAGAAAACCCAAGCTATGTCACATGATAATACAATCACTAAAAATCAGTGATGAAGAGAAAATACTAAAAGCAACCAGGGAAAGGGGACACATTACATATCAAATAAGAAAGATCAGAATGAAAGCAGTCTTCTCATAAGAAACTATGTAATCTGGAAGACTATTAAGGTGACATTTAAAAAATAATGAAATAAAAACAATCTGTCCGTTTGTAATAATACCTACAATTTTTTAAATGAAGGCAAGATAGTTTTTTTCCAGACAAACAAAATCTTAGAGAATTAATCACCAGTAGACTTGAACTATAAGATATGTAAAAGTAGTTTCTTCAGGCAGAAGAAAAATGGCACCAGATAGAAATTGGGTCTATGCAAAGGAATAAAAAGTGCCAGAAATGGTAAATATGTGGATAAGTATAAAATATATATTTTTATAGTTTTTAAATCTCTTTAAAAGATTACTGGCTAAAGTAAAAATAACAATGTATTTTGGAGTTTGTAACATCTGCAGAAATAAAATGTATGATAACACCAGCACAAAAGATGGGAGCGTGGGATAAAAGAACACTGTTTATGATTTTTACCCCATGTGTGAAGTAATATTTTTCAATGGCAGCAAGTTAAAAACGTATATTGTAAACTCAAGAGCAACCTCTGAAAAACAAAACAATACCAAAAAGGAAATATAGTTAATAAGCCAAGAATGGAAATAAAAGGAAATAATAAAACATGAATGCAAAAGAAGGTGGGAAAAGAGGAAATAAGGAAAAAATAACAGATGAAATCAGTGGAAGACAAATAGCAAGATGGAATATTCAAACACAACCATATTGTTAATTACTTTAAATATAAATGGTCTAATGATACTAATTAAAAGTCACAGACTTTCGGTTTCAATAAAAAAGGGTGCAAGGCCTAATCAAATGCTGTCTTTAAGAAACTTATTTTATTTTAGATTCAGTGGGTGCCTGAGTAACTATGGGGCTTGGGCTTCTATTGAACCCATCACCCAAACAGTGAACATAGTACCCAGTTGGTAGTTTTTCAATCCTTGTCACTGTCCTTTCTTTTGAAGTTGCCTGTGTCTGTTATTTCCATCTTTGTGCCTGGATGTACCTACTGTTTAGCTCCCCCTTACAAGTGAGAACATGTGGTATTCGATTTTCTGTTCTTGCATTAATCCACTTAGGATAATGGCCTCTAGCTACATCCAGGTTGCTGCAAAGGACACAATTTTATTCTTTTTCATGGCTGCGTAGGATTCTGTATATGTGCCATATTTTCTTTATCCAATCCACCATTGATGAGCACCTAGGTTGATTCCATGACTTTGCTATTGTGAATAGTGCTGCAATAAACATATGAGTGCTGATGCCTTTTGGTAGAATGATTTCTTTTCCTCTGAGTAGGTTCCCAGTAGTGGGAGTGCTGGGTTGAATATGGTAGTTTTATTTTTAGTTCTTTGAGAAATCTCTAAACTGCTTTCCACAGGGGCTGAACTAATTTACTTTCCTGCCAACAGTGTATAAGTGTTCCCTTTTCTACACAGGCTTACCAATACCTGTTATTTTTTGATTTTTTAATAATAGACATTCTGACTGGTATGAGCTGGCATCTCTTGTGAAGAAGCCTATTTTTTATTTTTAGTAGAGATGAGGTCTCACTATGTTGCCCAGGTTGGTTTCAAACTCCTGAGCTCAAGTGATCCTCCTGCCTCGGCCTCCCAAAGTGCTAATATAGGTTAGTGTTAGTGATTGGTTTTGGCATGAGCCACCATGCCCAGCCAAAACCTATTTTAAATATAAAGACAAAAGTAAAAAGAAGGATGAAAAAGATATACCATGCTAACATTAATCAAAAGAAAGTCAAAGTGGCTGTATTAATATCAGTCAAAGGAGATTTCAGGACAAGAAATATGAGAGAAATATATCATCATGAAAAAGGGATCAATTCATCAAGAAGATACGATAATCCTAAATCTTTTTGCAACTGATAATAGGACTTAAAATTCATGAAGCAAAAACTAATAGAACTGCAAGAAGAAATACAACTATGTAATTATGGTCAAAGATTTCAGCATTCCTGTGGTAAGCAGAATAATGGGCCTCCAAGGCTGATCATGTCTTACTCCCTGGAACCCATGAATCTGTTGCCTTACACGGTGAATGAGAATTAAAGTTGCAGCTAGAATTAAGGTTGATAATTACTAGGTTGGTGTAAAAGTAATTGTGGTTTTTGCCATTATTTTCACCAACCTAATAGCTGACATCAACATAGGGAAGTTATCCTAGGTTGAATTGGCCTAATGTAATCCCAGGGATCCTCAAAAGTGGAATGAGGAAGAGGGAGGAAGAAGAGGAGGTCAAGTGATGCAATGTGAGATAGACTCAATCTGCCATTGTTGGCTTCAAAGATGGTGGAAGGGACCACAAACCAAGGAATGAAGGCAGCTTCTGGAAGCTGGAAGAGGCAAGACAACAGGTAATTTCCCAGAGCCACCAGAAAAGAAAGCAGTCCTGCCAACACCTTGATGTTAGCCCACTAAGACGCATCTCAAACTGTTCTGACCTACAGAATTGCATGATGATACATTTAAGTTGTTTTAAGCTGCACGTTTTGTGGCAGTTTGTTATAGCAGCAATAGAAAGCTCATATTACTCCGGTATCAGTAATTGATAAAATAAGTTGACAAAAAATCAGTAAAGATATGGATTATTTGAACAACACTAACGACCAAGACCTAGGGATTCGTATCTAAAGAATAGAATGCAGTGAAAATGCATGACTTCTGCAGCCAGGTCATAAAAGGTGATACAATTTCTGCCTGGGGATCTTTCTGTTTCTCCCTTTAAAAACTCAGTCACTTTGACAGGTGCAGTGGCTCAAGCCTGTAATTCCAGCAAGTTTGGAGGCCAAAGTGGGAGAATCACTTGAGCTCAGGAGTTTGAGACAGTCTGGGTCACATGGTGAGACCCTGTCCCTACCAAAAAAAAAAAAACAACAAAAACAAAAAAGCTAACAAAAACCCCAAAAACCCCAAAAATAGTCAGTGTGGTGGTGGGTACCCATAGTCTCAACTACTTGGGAAGCAGAGATGAAAGGACTGCTTGAGCCCAGGGAAGTTGAGGCTGCAGTGAGCTGTGATTGCACCACTGCACTCCAGCCTGGGCAACAGATCTTGTCTCAAAAACAAACAAAAAACAACCACAAAAGAACCTCAGTCACCATGTTGTGAGGAAGTCCAGGTCACACAGACAGGGTGTGTTTAAGTGTTCTCTCTGACAGCCCCAGCTAAGATCCCAGCCAACAGTCACCATCACCCTCCAGTCTTATTCACTCACAGGTGATTCTAGCTCCCAGGCTTCAAGCCAGTCCAGCTGATGCTGACTAATGCAGATATGAGCTGCTGCATGAGCAAATTGCAGATGCATGAGTGAAATACACACTGTCATCTTTTCTTTCTTCTTTCAATAGGAAAGATGTGTATTTCTCTCTACTGTAAAAGAAGTCTAAGGTAGGCAGTGGACTGAACATGGCAGTTCATCAATATCTGGGACCTACGTTCCTTCTGTCTTGCTAACACCATGTTTGGTTGTCAATTCATGGTCCAGGACAGTTGCTTGAGTACCAAGTATCATGGCATGTTCTGGGCAATATGAAAGGGAAAGGGTGGAAAAAGGCAGGTTTCCTCCCTGCTTAGGGAGGGAAGGCCAGCAATTTTTCTAGGCCAGAATTTGGCCACATCTAGCTACAGGCTATGGGAAAGGAGCTCTTTATCCCAGATGGCCATACATTCAGATAAAAATTGAGGATTCTACTACTGCTGGGGCCAGCACGAGCTGCTGGGGTGAGTAATTAATAATGCTTGTCAGCTAAAATAAGCCTCTATCATTTCTTTTTAAAAAGTTAAGATATTCACATACCATCTGATATGGTTTGACTCTGTGTCCCCACCCAAATCTCATCTTGAATTGTAATCCGAATTGTAATCCCCACATGTTGAGGGAGGGGCCTGGTAGGAAGTGATTGGATCATGGGGGTGGTTTCCCTCATGCCGTTCTCATGATAGTGAGTGAGTTCTCCTGAGATCTGATGGTTTTAAAAGTGGCACTTCCTCCTTCTCTCTCTCTCTCTCACCTGCCACCATACAAGACGTGCCTGCTTCCCCTTCACCTTCCATCATTATTGTAAGTTTCCTGAGGTCTTCCCAGCCATGCAGAACTGAGTCAATTAAACCTCATTTGTTTATAAATTATCCAGTCTCAGGTAGTATCTTTACAGCAGTGTGAAAATGCACAAACACACCATCAAATTTACTATTTTAAAGTGTACGACTCAGCAATTCTTTTTGTGTATATTCACAGAGTTGTGCAACTATCATCACTTTTTAATTCTAGAATATTTTTATCACCCCAGAAAGAAACTCTGTACACATTAGCAGTCACCTTTCATTTCGCCTTCTTTCTAGCCCTTGGCAACCACTCATATGTTCTGTGTATCTGCATTTTTCCTGTTCTGGACATTTTGTATAAAAGGAATCTTGCAATATGTGGTCTTTTTGTGTAGCTCCTTAAATTTTGCATAATATTTTCAAGGTTTATCCATGTTGTAGTGTATATCAGTACTTTGTTACTTTTTATGGCTATGCCACATTTTGTTTATCCATTTATCACTTGATAGACATCTGGGCTGTTTCCACTTTTTGGCTATTATGAATAATGCTGCTATGAACACTCGTGCACAAGTTTTTGTGTGAACATATGTTCTCCATTCTCTTGGGTATATACCTGGGAGTGGAATTGCTGGATCATATGGCAACTCTATTTAACTCTCTGATGAACTTTCAAACTATTTTCCACAGTGGCTACTGCATTTTACCCCCCTACCAGGAATTTATGAGTTCTGATTTTTTGACATCCTTGCCTACACGTGTTATTTTTTATTTTGAAAGTGTAGCCATCCTAGGGGATGTGAAGTAGTATCTTGTGGTTTCAATTTGCATTTCCCTGATGACTAATGATGTTGAGCATCTTTTTGTGTGCTTGTTGGCCATTTGTATATTTTCTGTGCAGATATGTCTATTAAAAATGTTGGCCCACTTTTCAATTTTTTTTACTATTGAGTTATAGGAATTTGTTATATATTCTGGATAGTAGACCCTTATCAGATATATGATTTGTAAATATTTTCTCTTATTATTGTGTGGATTATCTTTTTACTTTCTTGGTTCTTTCTCCTTCCCTCCCTTCCTTCCTTCCCTCCTTCTTTCCTTCCCTCCCTCCCTCCCTCCTTCCCTCCCTCCTTCGTTTCTCTCTCTCTCTCTTTCTTTCTTTCCTTCTTTCTTTCATTTTTTTGACAGAGTCTCACTCTGTCACCAGGCTGGAGTGCAGTGGCACGGTCTTGGCCCACTGCAACCTCTGGCTCCCAGGTTCAAGTTATTCTCCTGCCTCAGCCTCCCGAGTAGCTGGGACTATAGGTGCACGCCACCCTGCCCAGCTAATTTTTGTATTTTTAGTAGAGATGGGGTTTCACCATGTTGGCCAGGATGGTCTCAATCTCCTGACCTCAGGGGATCTGCCTATCTTGGCCTCTCAGAGTGCTGGGTTTACAGGCATGAGCCACTGTGCCTAGCCTACTTTCTTGATAGTGTCTGAACCAGTCAGGGTTTTCCAGAGAAACAGAAGCAATAGAAGTAACAGAAAAATATTTCTTTTAAGGAATTGTGGGAACTGGCAAGTCTGAGATTCCTAGGGCAAGCCAGCAGGCTGGAAACACAGACGGAATTAATGATGTAATCTTAAGGCAGAATTTCTTTTTTCTTCCACATTCCTCAGGTTTTGTTCTTAAGGCGTTCAAATGATTGGACGAGGCTCACCCATGTTATGGAGGTTTAATCTCCTTTACGTAAAGTCAACTGATTGTAGATGTTAACCACATCTACAAAATACCTTCACAACAGCATCTAGACTAGTGCTTTGCATAAGTAATGGAATATGGTAGGCTTGCCATGTTGACACATAGAATTAACCAACACAGTGTTGCTTGATGCATAGAAGTTTTCAATTTTGATGAAGTTGAGTTTATCTATTTTTTCTTTGGTTGCTTGTGTTTTAGGTGCCATATTTAAGAAACCCTTTCTTTCTTTCTTTCTTTCTTTCTTTCTTTCTTTCTTTCTTTCTTTCTTTCTTTCTTTCTCTCTCTCTCTCTCTCTCTCTCTCTCTCTTCCTTTCTTTCTTTCTTTCTTTCTTTCTTTCTTTCTTTCTTTATTTTTTTTTTTTTTTTTTTTTTTTTTTTTTGAGACAGCGTCTGGCTCTGTCGCCCAGGCTGGAGTGCAGTGGCGCGATCTCGGCTCACTGCAAGCTCCGCCTCCCAGGTTCACGCCATTCTCCTGCCTCAGCCTCCCGAGTAGCTGGGATTACAGGCGCCTACCACCTCGCCCGGCTAATTTTTTGTATTTTTAGTAGAGATGGGGTTTCACCATGTTAGCCAGGATGGTCTCCCTCTCCCGACCTCGTGGTCTGCCCGCCTCAGCCTCCCAAAAATGCTGGGATTACAGGCGTGAGCCACCGCACCCGGCCAAGAAACCATTTCTTAATCCAAGGTAGGAAAGATTCATGCCTTTTTTTTTTTTTATAGAATTTTATAGTTTTAGGCTTACGTTTAAGTTTTTGATCCATTTTGAGTGAATGTTTATATACAATGTGAGGCAGGAATCCAAATTCATTCTTCTGCATGTGATGTTGTCATCTTTTTAAGCTTCTCTGTTCAATTTTCTCCATCTCCTTAAGATTCCAGTAATGTGTTCAGGGTCCTTAGAGGGTGTGAACCCTTGACTGACCAATTTGCTCCTTAATCCAGTTCCAGGTCCCAAACTGGGAGAAAACTGATCTCATCCGCTCTGTTTGGTGGCTTTACTTAGGGCTTGAAAAACAATGGGAGGGGCTGGCACAGGTGAAACTTGGTGTTTTAGAGGGAATGTCCATAAGTTGATCATGGTAAAGTGCCTAAATTTGTTTGGACTTATAACCTGGCAGAAGAGGCTGCAAGGACCTGCGAAATATAGCCCATGGGCCAAATCTGGCCCTCTGCCTGCTTTGTCAATAAAGTTTTATAGAAACACAACACCCGTTCACTTACATATTGTCCATGCTTGCCTGAGTGCTAGAAGGACAGAGTTAAGCAATTGTGAGAGAGACCATATGGCCTTCAAAGCCTAGAATGTTGACTATCTGGTCCTTTAGAGAAAAACTTAGTTGAACGAAATATAAGTATGTGTTCTATTCAAACTTAGAGAAAATGGACATGTAGCAGGCGCTGTTGGTGCCACACCCAGATCCCTGGCTTCCTTTTTATAGTAGATTGCCCATCCCCCAGGTCCTGTGCAAATTGCTGCCTTCTCAGGAGGAATGACCTGGAATGATTGAAGCCATCCCTCCCGTAACTGGCTGGGGTCAGGCGGTGTGCACCAGAACTCTCTGTGGAATCAGGCAGAAGCTAGACTTCATCTTTTTTTTTTTTTTTTTTGAGATGGAGTCTCGCTCTGTCACCCAGGCTAGAGTGCAGTGGTGGGATCTCAGCTCACTGCAAGCTCCGCCTTCCGGGTTCACGCCATTCTCCTGCCTCAGCCTCCCGAGTAGCCGGGGCTGCAGGCACCCACCACCATGCCTGGCTAATATTTTTGTAGTTTTAGTAGAGACAGGGTTTCACCGTGTTAGCCAGCATGGTCTTGATCTCCTGACCTAGTGATCTGGCCGCCTTGGCCTCCCAAAGTGCTGGGATTACAGGCGTGAGCCACCGCACTCAGCCTAGACTTCATCTTTAACCATGTTCCTATGTGGCTCTTTTTTCCCCTACAGAACAAAGCTATACAGAAGCTAGCTTAAAGGCGTGCACACTGGCCAGATCTGAAGCAATTTGAACCTCAACATAAACTATGTTAAAGGAGATTATAATCCTTGAATAAAAGAGAAGTCCATGAGTCCGCATGGATATACATAAATAAATAGATAATGGGGGGAAGAGAAAGGTATTACTGTAGAAGGCCAACTAATAACTGTAGAAGGAATGATAAAATTAGGAAATCACCATTTGGCAACCATCATAGTAATAACTAATTTCTGCCAAGAAATATCAATGGCTACTAAAACCAGTGGGTGAAAGTTTGATGAGGCACAGGTTACTTACAGAGTCTCAAAATATCTCACCACAAAATACTTGTTACTTATATAGGGAAAAGAGTAACTTTACATGCAGAAAGCTGGCAGATGCTACCTCAATCAAGTGATCAATGCTGCCAGTAATGGGACACATCAAAATTGCATGTCACCTGACAGGATGCAATGAGAAGAACACAGCAGCACTTTTGTGATAAGTCCTGCCAAAATGCATAACTTGAATCTAATTATGGAGGAACATTAGGCAAACCCAAATGGAGGGATGTTCTACAAAATATCTGGCTAGAAATCATTGAAAGTGTCAAGGTCATGAAAGTCAGTGGAGTTGCTGCAGATTGAAGGAGACGGAAATGACCTCTGGTGATGCATGTAATGTAGGACCCTGATTGGATTAGTTTGCTGCAAAGGACATTATTAAGATAGTTGGGGTTGGCAGGTTGCGTGGTTGTAACATATCAATATTAATTTCTAGATTTTGATGGTTGTATTGTGGTTGTGTGGGAGGATGTCCTTATTTGCAGGGAATAAATAAATACTAAAGAATTTGAGAGTGTTGAAGCATCCTGTCACCAATCTGCTCATAGAGAAAAAAGTTCAGAAGAAAAGGTTTTGGGACTATTCTTGCCACTCTCCAGTTAACTTGAAATTACTTCAAAAGAAAAAGAGAAAAGAAAGCAGCCATCATCTCATGGTCCATTCCTTCTGCTTCACCCCTGAGAAAAAGAATTCCAGTGGAGAGAAACATTAGCAGTTGTACACCATTGAAGCTGGTACCTCTCTTCCCTACACTTTCTGCAGGGACCCCACGCTGTGTACAGCCCCTCGGTCTTAATACCTTTGACTCTGCCTGAGGGCTTTCTCTGGGTGCCCACATGCAGCAGGAAGAAGCGTCAGGAAATTCCAGTTCCTCCCCTCTTGCCCAAGAACAGCTCTCAAACACTGACTGATGGGAGCCAGTGATTAAATACCCCAATCCCCTCTCTTCTCTGGTGGGATAACTCAGGTAGGCTTTGCACTGGCTCCCTGACTTCCCCAACAGGATTGAGTCTCACACACACTCTTTAGTGATTTTTTTCCATTCCTTATTTTACTCCACACTCCACTATCCATGTTTCTTGGAATTGAAATGGGAGAGTTCCCCGACACACCTCGCAGGATGTGTGGCAGGGGTGTGTCTTGTCTGTTCAAGCACATGCGCAAACCCCTTATGGGAGGGGGAGCACGTAGACAGGCAGGTGCAGGAACCAGGGCGAGTGTTTTTGGGCTCCGGCCCCAGGGTAGCATCTAGGGGTGGATGCCTGTTAATTTCAAAGCCCCAGTGGGTAGTCTACAGTGGTCTGTTAGCTCTGCCATCCAAAGATGGCTTAAGTGTTAACCAGCTCAGTGCCCTCTTGCTACCCGGGTTCTTGTCCAGCATCCAGGAAGAATCAGGTCATGTGTGGACTTGAAGGATGGTGAATGTGGGGATTTTATTGGGTGATGGAGGTGGCTCTCAGCAGGATGGATGGGGACCTGGAAAGGGGAAGGAGTGGGAAGATATTCCCCTGGAGTTTGGCCATTCTATGGTCGATTTCCTCTCTGACTGTCCCCAGTCAAACTTCTCTCAATGTTCAGATGTCCCTTCTCTTTTCTCCTTCTCTTCTGTGCCACTCTTCTCTTCCTTTGCTCTTCTGTTCATCTGCTTGTCTGCTTGTGGAGCCTGGGGTTTGGGAATTATATGGGTACAGGGTAGGCGGGCATGGCAGGCCAAAAGGTAACATTTGGGCACTAAATTCCTGTTCTCATTTAGGGCTGTGGGTTTTCAGGCCTGAGGTTGGGGCCTTTGCCGGGGAACTGCCCTCTTTTACCCAGTATTTCCTTGCCTCCTGCCTCCTACCTATATCAGAATCACCTCCTTCATGAACTATTTTGCACTCAAACCCTTTTCTCAGAGTCTGTTCTTGGGAACCCCAATTGAAGACTCTCTCTGTTGTGTCACCTATTTATTGTCTTCATAGCATTTCTGACTATCCAAAATGGTCTTCTTTCTTCATTTATTTGTTCTGTGCTTGAAACAGGATCTGAAGCTGGGTGGGTGCTCAGTGAGTATTAGTGAAATGAATGAGAGAAGAGTGTTTTTCCATCTGGATTCCCAGAGGTCCATGGCATTGCTTCAAGGTCCCACCCCCTAGTCAAGGGAGAAGCTCAGCTGGGGGACTCTGTCTCTGGGCCAGACCCCCTCAACCCAGTAAAACTCTGGGCTATATAGGTTGTAGTTCCACTTGAAATCGAAGGAGATCAGAATATGCCACTCCAAGGCTGGGCATGGTGGCTCATGCCTATAATCCCAGCATTTTGGGAGGCTGAGGTAGAATTGCTTGAGGCCAAGAGTTTGAGACCAGCCTGGGCAACGCAGCAAGACCCTGTCTCTACAAAAATTAAAATTAGCCAGACATGGCAGTACACACCTGTAGTCCCAGTTACTTGGGAGGCTGAGGCAGGAGGATCACTTGAGCCCAGGAGTTGGAAGCTGCAGTGAGCCATGATTGCATTGAAGCCTGGGCAACAGAGTGAGACCCCATGTCTACCAAAAAAAAAAAATGCCACTCCAAAACATGAAGAAAACTTAGGCTCAACAGACGAAGGAAGCGTTCTCTGGCCTCCCCTTATCTGCCTAAAAGCAGGACATAAATTTCTCTTTGAGTAATGGGTTCCCTCACACTCCTGTTCCAGGAGAGAGGAGGACTCTTAACATCAAAGACTGGGAGTTGACACCAAGATGAGTTTGTCATAAACAGATTTCACTCAAATAGTCTTTATCTTCCGTTATTTTCCCCATATATTTTCTAGTTACTTCCCATAACTTCTTATCCCTTGAACCCCAACATTTTTTCCTCTCTTAAAAGAGTATATAAGTCCCCAAGTCTAACCACTTCTTTGAGTTTCAATTCTCTGCGAACTACATGAATATTAATAAAAATGGTATCATTCCTCTTGTGAATCTATCTTTTTTGTTACTTTAATTTGCAGACTTCCAATCACTGAACCAAAGAGAGTAGAGGAAAAGTTTTTCCTCTCCAGCAGAATATAAACAAGCAAAGAAAAAAAAATTTTTTTAAAGCTTAAAACCGCAAAGCAAATGCACCCAGCTTATTTGTCAGAAGACACTTGAGATTAGAGAAGTTTGGCCCCCTGTTGCCCAGCTAGTTGGTAGCAGAGCCCAGGTGATATGGTTTAGCTGTGTCCCCACCCAAATCTCAACTTGAATTGTGTCTCCCAGAATTCTCACTTGTCGTGGGAGGGACCTAGGCGAAGGTAACTGAATCGTGGGGGTGGGTCTTTCCCATGCTATTCTTGTGATAGTGAATAACTCTCATGAGATCTGATGGGTTTATCAGGGGTTTCTGCTTTTCCTTCCTCCTCATTTTCTCTTGCTGCTGCCATGTAAGAAGTGCCTTTTACCACCCGCTGTGAGTCTGAGGCCTCCCCAGCCATGAGGAACTGTAAGTCCAATTAAACTTCTTTTTCTTTCCAGTCTTGGGTATGTCTTTATCAGCAGCATGAAAACCGACTAATACACCAGGTTCAAGGTGATGCTGTTCTCATTCCACAAATACAGTGTTGGCTGAATCAGTCAGCAGGATGCCTGGTCCTCCCCAGCCGCAGCTGAGCCTAGAGTCTATCTCCTCATTCGATCAAATTTGGGGGAAGGCCAGAGTGAATCTACCTCCCATTTACAGACATAAACTTACTCATTAACTCCTCACAGTAACTCTATGAGATAGGCATTACCCCTACTTTGTAGATGCCAAAATTAAGGCCTAGTGAGAATTAATGAAAATTACCTAAATATCTGAATATAGGGGACTGCTTTCAGTGAATTGCTACATTATTCCTTTCAAGAACATGTGGTGATACAAACTAACTGTTGGCAAAGCGTTGCCAAGCACTGGTCCTGCTGGATCCCCATTAACTGGAGAAATAAGGCTTATCTGCAATTAGCTCATTCATTGTATGCAAATGATACTAATAGCTTGAAAACAGTGTGTTCTCTTAAGTAGGTTAAACATTCCCTTCTGAAATCTTGTTTATACTATTTGAGCAACAAACTCTTCTTTTTTTCTTTCTTTTTTTGAGACAGAGTCTCCTTCTGTTGCCCAGGCTGGAGTGCAGTGGCGTGAACTTGGCTCACTGCAACCTCCGCCTCCCGGATTCAAGCGATTCTCCTGCCTCAGGCTCCCCCGTAGCGACTAAAGGCATGCACCACCACACCCAGCTAATTTTTTATTTTTAGTACAGACAGGGTTTCATTATGCTGGCCAGGCTGGTCTTGAACTCCTGACCTCAGGTGATCCACCCACCTCAGCCCCCTCAAAGTGCTGGGATTACAGGCATGAGCCACCGTGCCTGGCCCAAACTCTTCTTTTATGGAGCAAGACAAACTCAGCCAGACCAGGCTGGGAGAAGGATTACAAATTGTCACTCATTTGAGATGAGACATGGAGGTGTTGACAAGTGCTTGCCAACCTCACTAATGGGAACCCATGGAACAGAGGGCCAGCAAGATTCAGCATCACCTGAATTATTAAGCATTTGTTGAGAGATGAAAATGGCTTCTTTTCTACCACCTGGAGAAACTCAAACTTTTTGCCAACGAAGTCTTGCCAACTGGATGTCCTGCTGGGCCTACTTTAATGAACAGATAAGACTCCATTTTAATTAGCACACTAATTGTTTCCATGCAAATGAATGTGGGGAAAGATCTTGCAAACAGTTTATTTCCTTAAGTGGGTTACCATGGTGCCCCCTGTAGCCCTGTGTAGGGGGCTCAATTGCACAGCCAACTGTTTTGTTCATTGAAGAGCACAAATCCAGCTCATCAAGCATCTCCTGAACACAGCCCCTGTGCTGGGCTCTGTGCAAGAGTTGGGGAATAAACCACACCCAGACCCTATCTTCTAGGAGCCCACTGTAGAAGTCAAAGGTGAGAGTTGCTAAACTCTGTTGGGTAGAGCTCCTGGTTGTAAGCAACAGAAATAAATTCAGGATAATTGATACAAAACAGATGTATTGGAGAGGTTAGGGGCAGAGGCAGGCCGGGCAGCAGGAGCCATCTGGTAGGTACGCTGCCACTACTCAGACTCACCTCTGCCTGCCCCTGTGTCCTTGTGGCATCAAGGCCATTGCCTCTTGCCCGGATGACCTCTGTATTCTTCTCGCTGGTATCCTGACTTCCCCTCTGGCCACCCCGCAATACATTCTCTCCATGGCAACCAGAGGACACATTTAAAACTGAAACTAGACAATGCCACTGAAGGAAACCAAAATATTTCTCTCCAACATAGGATTTATGGGTCTTTGTTAAAATACCATTCAGGCAAAACTCCTAAGCCACTGCCTTAAGAGAGAAATACTTTTGAACTGAAGCCTCACCCACATGATGGGTATAGCATGTGTTAATAAACTTCAGTTTGTTTTTCTTCTGTTAATCTGACTTTTGTTTTCAGGAGAGTATCTCAACTATGGGCCTAAGAAGAGAAAGAAAAAAAATTGTGATTTCTTCCCTAGACCACCAGTGTGTGCCAAAACCTCTGAAGACCCAGTGTCCAGAGTTTGGTTTTCAATATTCTTCTCTAAAAAAATAAACCACTGCTACCTGGAGAAATGTCTGGTCCTAAGACTGGGCTGGAAATACAGAAGATGAGTCTGCGTCAGAGTAAGAAAATGCTAAAAAGAAATCAGTGAGGGTGTACCAAAAGGACAGAGGTGCCAACTGAAAGAGCTCCTCATGGCCCAAACTAGATAATCTGATTAAGGAATTAAACAATGTAGTATTGCAGTATAACTCAAAGTATAAAGAAAATATCTATGATATCTGTATCTATAATATCTATGAGTCTGTACTGATATAAATAGATGATTGAATAAGTAAATAAATAAGGAAGAATAGATGAATCTGCCACAGAGACGAGTTCCAAATAATTTTTGTAGATACTCCCTGCATCAAGGAGGCAGAACATGACACTTCACCCTATAAGCTGCAAACAGTGACTTCCTTCTCTAGGGTAGAGTATGGCAAGGGGAAAAAAGAATAGGTTCACAGCAGAGAAATGTGGCAAACACCACCTCAGCCAGGTGATCAAGGTCCGCATCAACAGTAATAAGTTGTGTTAGTAGCATGCACTCTTAATATCATATGAGGAGAAGGGCACTTTACCTCTGTGGTCTTCCTCCTAAAACCCGTAAGCCCAGTCAAGAAACCCATAACTCCATGAGAAAAACATCAACCAAAACCATGTTGAAAAGACAGTCTACAAAACACTTGACCAGCAGTCCTCAAAACTGTCAAGAACACCAAAAACAAGGAAGCTCTGGAAAACTGAGGAAGGAAATGAGATTTAGCTCTAGGGGTGGGGCTCGGACACTAGACCAAATTGAGGACTAGCTAAAACAGGTCAGGGTGGAAGCAGCTTTCTGTAAGATCCGCCCATCAGTGTGCCTTGTCAGTTTACCATGGCCACCTGGAAGTTACTACCCATTTCCATGGCAACAACCCAACAACCTGGAAGTTGCCACCCTTTTTCCTAGAAATTTTTGCATAAACCACCCCATTTTCTTTTTTGAGGTGGAGTCTTGTTCTATCGCCCAGGCTGGAGTGCAATGGCATGATCTTGGCTCACTGCAACCTCTGCCTCCCGGGTTCAAGCTATCCTCCCACCTCAGCCTCCCAGTAGCTGAGATTACAGGCATGCCCAGCTAATTTTTGTATTTTTAGTAGAGATGGGGTTTTGCCATGTTGCCTAGGCTGGTCTGGAACTCCTGACCTCAAGTAATCCACTTACCTCAGCTGGGATTACAGGCATGAGCCACTGTGCCCTGCCAAACCACTCCATAATTTGCATGTAATTAAAAGTGGGTATACATATGAGCACAGAGTTGCCTCTGAGCTGCTACTCTGGGTGCACTACCTATGGGGTAGCCCTGCTCTGCAGAGAGCATTCCCGCTGCTGCTGCTGCTGTGCACTGCTGCGTCAATAAAAGTTGCTGTTTATCACCATTGGTTCACCCTTGAATTCTTTCCTGGGTGAAGAACCCTCCCAGGATAAGCCCCAACTTGGAGGTTTGCCTGCCCTGTATCAAAACCATCACTACCAAGAAAAGCCTAAGAAGACATGACAACTAGAAGTAATGCAGTGTCTTGGATGGAACACTGGAGTACAAAGGACATCAGATAAAAGGGAAATCTGAATCAAGTATGGACCTTAGTTAATCATAATGTATCAATGCTGGCTCCTTAGTTGTGACAAGTGAACCATCCTAATGCAACATGTTAGCAATAGGGCAGCGGTCCCCAGCCCTTTTGGCACCAGGGACCGGTTTCGGTTTCGTGGAAGACAATTTTTCCATGAACTGGGGTGGCAGGGGATGGTTTCAGGATGAAACTGTTTCACCTCAGATTGCCAGGCATTAGATTACCATAAGGAGCATGCAACTCAGATCCCTTGAATGCACAGTTCACAATAGGGTTCGTTCTCCTATGAGAATCCAGTGTTGCTGCTGATCTGACAAGAGGCAGAGCTCAGGCAGTCATGCTCACTCGCCCATCGCTCACCTCTTGCTATGCGGTCTGGTTCCTAACAGGCCATGAACCAGTACCAGAACCCCAACAGGGGTTGAGGACCCTTGCAACAGGGGAAACTGGGTGTGGGGTATGTGCGATGTATTATCCTTGAAACTTTCCTGTACATTTAAAACTATTGTAAAATAAGATATTTATTGTAAAAATTAAGTAAACAAAATCTGCTGAAGGCTTCTCAGTGGACTAGGAATAAAATTCACCCTTCTTATCTTGGCTGACAACACCTGTGTAACCTGGTCTCCTATCCCCTCTCTGGCCACATTGGCCTTCACTTGGGCTAGGACACAGGGCCTTTGCTCTTGGTGTTCCCTCCCCTAGAGTGCTCTTCCTCTTGTGCCTCTCTCTCTCTCTCATCTTCCCTCCCTCCCTTTCCCCCACCCCACACTTCCTCCCTCTTGGCCAAGTCCTCCTTATTGTTCACATCTCAGCTTAAATGCCACCTGTTTGGGGAAGCCACCTTGAGAAATATCTTAAGTGTACCCCCGCTGTCACTCTCCACCCCAGCATTACATTTGATTCCTGCGCTGAATCTGTGCCAATCTCCCATCATTTTCTGTAATTGTTCACCTGTTTATTTCTCAGCATCCCTAGCACAATGGGCTCAGCCATTCACAACAGTTCCCCTGGCACCTTGCAAGTAGTACTGGTTTAATGAACATCTGATGGATGAAGGGTGGAACCCATGCCTGTCAATTTGACAGGCAGATGTGCTAGCCTTGTCACTCCCTTTGTGGACCTTGCTGCCTCTGGAAACCTTCCCTGATGCCCACTTTGCACCCAAGCCTTGGTCTTTCAATCCTCCATACTCCCATTCATCCCTGTGGTTAAAGCAACGTGATGCTTCTTAAATACAGTCCCTGTCCTGGGTGTCAAACAACCTTGAAGCGATTCTTACTCCATGATCGTAGTTACTTAGTTCCACGTACCCAAAAGTGCCTGTCATTGCATAATTAGGATGCACGATGGAACAAAATCATCCCCATGTTTTATACCTCTATCATTTCCAACCTATATTTTTGTTACAACACCAAAAGTAATTCATGTAGCGAGAGGATGGAGGGAGTACCTGGAGAACAGAGAGGGTGATTTTCCTTTTGTCTTTCCCCATGGCAATAAGGAGGGAGCGCTGGTGACTTAGAGAAGAAAGCTATTCATCATGTCCTCTGGAGAGAGCAGATTCTCTTGCCCTGGAGCATCCTACTGAGCTGGGTGCCGCGTTGTTTGTGGAACTTTCCAGAATGAATGAAAACCAGTATGTCTTTGTGCTTAAGGCACATTTCCAATTTTCTGTGCTGACTGAGCAAAGAACTTCCTCATCCTCGTGAAGGATGCTTTGCAAAGTTAAAGACAACTTTTACTTATGGAGGGAGCGGGAGACAGAGGGGTATCCTTTAATGCGTGCAGAGTTTCAGCCTGGGATGATGGAAAAGGAGATGGATAATGACGGTGGTTGCATGACCATGTGAAAGTCCTTATTGCCACTGAAGTGTGTACACTTAAAAATAGCAAAAGTGGTAAATTTTATCTTATGTATAAGATCCCATTTTTTATTTTTAAAATTATGGGTAATAAGAAACTGGAAATAAAGAAGTCAAAACAATAACAAATTATTTCTGGGAGGAAATGATTTTTACTGTCTTCTTGGGCTTCTCTGGATTTTTCCAGTTGCATATTCTACAATAAATGTTTGTGTATCTTTTGTAATCACATACAACACAAATAGATGCACTGTTGTGAATGCACTTAATGCCACTGAATGGCATGCTTTTAAAAGTGGTTACAATGGTATGTTTTGTGTTATATGTATTATGCCACAATAGTGTTTTTTTAAAAAGACAATCTGTACGAAAGACATTACTTGCCTGGGCTTTTTGAGGTTGATATTGTCCTAATTTGTCACCATCTTCCACCATCCACCCCACTGTGTCATCCAGGGGAGAGAGACCAAATTTAGGAACTGAAAGCAAGTGGTCAAAAGGTACCGGATATGGGTTTAAATGTTTCTGGGTACAACTGAGGAAGCTAAACACTTAACCCCAGGGTGTGGGTGGTGCCTGATACTGGCTCCCTCAAATCTGATTCTATAACAGGAGTTTTTGTTTTGTTTTTAAAAGGATTCACTCAGAACGTATTCTGATTCAAGTTGAGGCCAGGTTAAAGCTGACCCTCATTTTATCTACAAAGTGAAGATTGCTGAATGTGATCATATAAACATGATTGCAGGAGAAAGAATCAAAAATCTTTAGAGGATAAACTGTTTTCAAGAACACAAAGAAACCACATCACTTTGACACTCATTGCAAATAAGATACATTATATCTGTGTAGTGTTTTTAACCTTCTAAAGTATATTCATGGTTTTTATTTATTGTACTACCAAGCAAGTCATGTGGAAGTGGCTTTTCTTTTAAGATAAAAGATCCCAGAGCCCATCTGAATGCCACTTGGAATCGTCTAGGAGCTAGTGGAGGATTGTCGGTGCCAGTGTAGGGCTGTCTGTGGTGTGAAGCCCTCAAGAAGGTAGAGGGGGGCAGGTTTGAGGGGAAAGAAGGGTGCAGCTCCTCTATGGTCTCACAAAGGGAGGAGGAGTAGGTAGGAGCACCAGCCAGGAAGACTGGGGTGATATTATTATAGGGATGTTATCAAGGTAGGTAGTGCTGGTGGAAACTGGGGCTCAGTCCTACCAGGAAATCTGGGAGCCAGTGCAGAACATGAACCTAGGAGTTATCTCACTCCAGGGTTGAGGGAGCTGGGGTATTTACACACCAACTCCTGCCTGTCATTGGTTCGGGGATCCTCTAGGTAGCAACAATCCCCAGGTAATGGCAACAGAACACCTTTCAGCAGCGGGGAGGCTCTTGGGGGCAGAGTGCAGGTGCTCTATCCCAAGATAGTTGGCCGATAGAGTGGCTGTGCTCAATAGGTGTCAGTGATTGCTTTTCAAGGAGCTAATCTCTTGATCTTTTTGTAAAGATGCTCCTCTGAGGTGGCTCAGAGTTTTCTCCCTGTAGACATTGGTTCCTGGGTCATGGAAAAGACCTAGCTGAGGGCTAGCACCAAGCCCCTTGGCCAGGCAGGCACCCAGAGGGTCCCCAGTGCCCTAGTCTGGCTAGACCAGAGCCAGGGCCCTATGGCTGAATAAGGAAGAACCCAGGATTTGGAGTCAGGCAGACCTGGGCGGTGGAGGTGTGGGGTAGGTCTCCCAGCTCTTCTATCTTATAGGCATGTGACCCTGGGAATGAGATTTCACTTTCTTGAACTCTAGTTTCCTCAACTGCAAAGTGATGAGATATCACAGGATTGTTGTGTCACTTACCTATTGTGGTGTTGCAAACCATTCCAAAATTGACTGGCTTAAAACCACAACTATCTATTTCTCTCATGAGCCTGTGGATTGGCAACTGGGGCTGGGTTCAGCTAGGTGGTTCTTCTGCCAGTCTTGGTTAGGTTCTGCCAGTCTTGGTTGGGTTCTTTCAGGTATCTGTGGTTGGTCAGCTGGTGGTCAGTGGCCTCACTCACAGGTTGGGGGTTTGGCTGGCTGTTGACTGGGGTAACTGGTAACTGGCTGTTGACTAGGGTAACTGGTCTATGGGTCTCTCATCATCCCACAGCCTAGGCTGGGCTTGTTCACATGGCGGCAGTCTCGTGATTTCTAAGAGCCACAAGAGAGCACATCCAATGCCCTAGCAATTTTCAAGCCTCTGCTTATGTCAAATTTGTTACTGCCCCACAGTGGCCAAAGCAAGTCACATGACCAGATTCAAGACATGGAAAAATTGATGGGAAAGAGAGAATTTGGCCAGAGACAATATAAGTAAAGCTCTTATTAGTCTTGTGTTTTATAAATGTATTGACAATGATTACATGCCTTATTCCAGTTTTTTAGCAATAAAAAGTAGGTGTTATAATTACTAATAATCATTAAATCAATAGGTAATTTTTGTGCAGGGTCCTGTCTCCACTTCCTCTTCTATATCACGAAGATAATTGCTCTGTCAGACAGTGATGTATTGAGGGAAGAGTGAGGGAAGAACAGTAAAGTATTTGCACAGAGCCTGGTGAGAGGAACTCTATTTATTATGGTATAAAATTTGCGTCTCCTCCCTGCACACAAAAAAGCAATGCAAACTTGATCGCTTTTTCATTTTTGTTTTCACATCTCACATTTCAAAAAACCCCAGGGTCAGAGCTGTTTGTGGAGACTTTCCTCCAGGCTGTCCTTTCTTCTCGCTCCCTGAAGTTACCTCCTCCCTTTGTGTTTCATGCTCTGCCTTCTGCCCCAGCCTAGGGGCTGCTCCTGGCTGAAGCCACAGCTTCAGGAGGATCCGAGGGGCACCCTAGGGCCACAAGGCCCTTTCCAGTAAGGATTACAAAGATGGGAAGTGCCGGCTGCTTCTGTCTGTGGCCTTTAATATTTGCAGCTCAGACACAGCCCAGCATACTCCCAGTTCCCCCAAGTGGTGATTTCTCCCAATCTGTGAAAGAAGGGAGCCCCCTCCATCTCGCATTTTCTCAGGGTTCCCAGGGGCCTCTGAGCAGCTTCTGAAGCTCCACAGCTCCGACTGACACCCCCTGGAAATTGCTTAATGCTTTCAGCCTGAGGAAACTCAAATCAGCCAGTCAGTCAATCCTGAACTACTCTGGAAGAGCAGAGTAGAGTCTCACAGTCTCAAAACCTGGATGGTCTAAAATATGAGTAACTTTTATGTTGAGCATCCCCTGCCCCAGACCTTCTGAGACAAGAATCGGCCGCTGCAGCTTAATTCTCAACCTTCCTCCTCCAGGGCCAGGATGAAAGAGAGCAGGAGGTGGTGGGGGTGGTAAAAGAAAACCTCCTCCTCTGAACTGGCTTAGGGCAGCCCCGCTGCAGGCGACAACTGTTCTTCCAAGACCTACTTTAACAAATTTTTATTTTTATTTTACTTTTATTTATTTTTATTTTTTGAGACAAGGTCTCACTCTGCCACCTAGGCTCGAGTGCAGTGTGGCATGATCTCAGCTCAAGGCAACCTCTGCTTCCCAGGCTCAAGTGATCCTCCCACTTCAGCCTCCCAAGTAGTTGGGACCACAGGCACACACCATCACGCCTGGCTAATTTTTGTATATTTTGTAGAGATGGGATTTTGCCACATTGCCCGGGCTGGTCTTGAACTCCTGGGCTCAAGCAATCCTCCTACCTTGGCCTCCTAAAGTGCTGGGATTACAGGCATGACTGCAAGTAGTACAAGATGTAGTAGTAGCAGTTCCTGGGCCGGGAGCTTTCCCTCTATTATTTTGTTAGTTCTCACAGTATCTTCTTGAGGCTGGCAGTGGCAAACCCATTTTACAGATGCAGGTATTGAGGATTAGAGAATTTAAGAATATGTCCTTTGAGTTCAAAGTTCAAAGATGGAGCACAATTGATTGGTGTGGGTGGAGACAGGGTCGGAGGCAAGGCTGATGCTGGGTCCTGGCCTCCACTGCCTCAGCATAGAGGAGTGGAGAGAGTATTGCATGCAAGGCAGTAAGGCTGGATTCAAGCACTTTTTTTTTTTTTTTAAAATAGAGTCTCACTTTGTCGCCCAAGCTGGAGTGCAGTGGCTCAACCTTGGCTCACTACAACCTCTGCATCCTGGGTTCAAGCGATTCTCTTGCCTTAGCCTCCTGAGTAGCTGGGATTACAGGCGTGCACCAACATGCCCAACTAATTTTTGTATTTTTAGTAGAGACGGGGTTTCACCATATTGGTCAGGCTGGTCTTGAACTCCTGACCTCAAGAGATGCTCCCACCTGGGCCTCCCAAAGTGTTCAGATTACAGGCATAAGCCACTCTGGCTGGCCTTGGATTCAAGCACTTTTAATGAAAACAGAAAAGGTCTTTGGATTTTGCCATGAAGGCAAATTTCATTAAATTCTCTGAGCCTCAGCTTTCTCACCCGTAAAATAGGGTTGTTGTGAGGATCAGTGAGGAGATGCATATAAAAGCACGCAGAGGAGAGCAGGGGCCCAGTGAATGTGGTGCCCCTGGATGGCCCCTCCAGCCAGCCTTGCCTCTCTCGCCGTAGGCTTCCAAGGACAGCTCTGTCCTACAGTCACAGAGGGGCCAGGCCCCAGCCCTAGGCAAATGCTATGGCTTCTGTGGTTGTTTCAACAACTCTACCATTGCAGACGGGACCTAGACTGGCATTCTCTTGTAAATATTGATGAAGGCCCCAGATAGGGAGGAATAAGAAAACAAAGGACGTTTTATTTGTGATAGAAAGAGAACCCAACAGAAAACAAAAATCTACAGGCAGGCCCAACAGGAGGGGAGATGTTTAAATAAACCTTGATACATTCACTCCATGGAATATTGTGCAACTATTGAAATGATGTTTACCTAGGATTTGTAATAACACGGGAAAATGCTTATTATAAAATGCTAAGTGAAAAAAGGAAGAAACGGAATTGTATATTTAGCATAATCGTACCTAAGCAAACATCAAGCCAAACAAAAACTTTGCACAGAAGAAAAAGACCAGAGGGACACACACCACAGTAGGGGGTGTCGTTGAGTGGCAAAATTGGGGAGATTTTTAATACCTTTCTCTATTTTTTTTCTATAATGGGCATGGTTGGTTTAAAGTGGAAAGCGACCCAAATTTAATTTTTTTTTGTTTTTCTGAAGAAGAAAGAATTCCTATTGGAAAAGCAAGAAGCCAAGTGACACAGATGTCACTCTGAGGCTAAGGGCAGGAGGCCAACAGACCCCAGGCTATTAAGTAAAGTCAAGTAGAAATCTGAGACTCTGGCCCCATGAAGTCGTCTCAGCTGCACACCTGAGTATAGGGTCTGCAACATTCTGGTAACGACACTGGCTCTCACTCCTATATGTTGTAAATGTAGGTGTAATTGAGTTTTTTTCCCTTACAACAAAGGCTAAACAGAATAGCTGGGCCCCTGTCCTTCTTCCTACCCCAAGATGGCGCTCCTCGGAAGCAGCCCGGCTCTCCCTGGTGGGCACAGGGAGCAAAGTCCTTCTGGCTGCAAGGCCACCCTTCCGGTTCCCTGGACCAGTCCTGGTCTGTGCATCTCCCAGATTTCCATTCAGGTCCCTGTTCAAATGTCATCCTATCAGGGAGGCCTGATCACATGATTTAAAAGAGCAACCCCTTTCCTCCGGCACTCAGGATCCCATGTCCCTGCCTCAGCTTTCTCCTTAGTGTATATGCAGCCTAGGTACTAGGTTCTATGTATTTCCTTTTAAAAGTGTCCATTTTCCTTTGCTAGAATGTGAGCTCCATTAAGGCAGGGATCTGCTGCATCTCCAGCACCTAGAACACTGCCCAGTCCAAATATTCTGTAAATGTTTATTTCAGGAGTGAATGAATGCATCCTGATCATTTTTTTTTTTTTTTGGTGTGTGTACATATTTAGTTTTATTGTAACAAAGCAACTTGTATACTTTTAATGTTTAAAACAGAGCATCATCTTTCCTTTCCAGTGAAACAAAAAGAAAACTTAAAAATAAACAGGAACAAAATTACAATAGAGAATGTCAATTCCAAATAAGATGCTACGGGTTCCGCTGATGCTCCCATTGAGTGGCAGGACTCAAGCCATCATTAGGAAAGAATTTATTTTTAAAGTGTCATCTTAAACTGCAAGGACGATTGTGCCCTCAGGGTGTCTTTCCAAGGTCTTGAGCTACCTTGTTCCACCCTGATGGCCCTGACCACATTCTTCCTGAAGCCCAGCTCTAGAGCCCCAGGCCAGCACATCAGCTCTAATCTATAGGTAGTGACTGCCTGGGACACTGTATTGAAACACTTATGAAGCCATTGTGAGCGCTCGCCAGGAAAAGATAGGACGACTGATGAATGATTTTGCCAATGGAACCATAAGAGAGGTGGATCAGATGGACTGTGTACTCCTCTTCCCAGCCCAGGCCCAAATCTCAGCTCCACCTCTCATTATGAAGACCACACCCACCATCAGCTGGGGCCTGGAACACATTTGTCCGTCTTATCCCTGGAATCACTCCCCTAGTCTCTACCACAGGTATGCAATGGGCTTTGGAATGTTTTTCCAGAGTGGTCCTTGTTCCTCCTGGGCTTGGAAACTTTCCAGAACTTTACCTAGCTTAGTTGTTGCCTTGTCCTCTGCCTGGCCCCTCACTAGGGGTTGAAGGTTGGATCTAGGTCCACCTGCCCCCAGCTCCTATGTAGAGTTCTCCTCCCAAGCAAGTCCTTCCCCCAGTCCAGCAGCACAATGCTAGTGCCTCCTTTGAGTCTTGTCACTGAAGCCATTCTGCCCCAGCCCACAGGTCCCTTGGAGGTTCATGCCTAGTGTTGACACTGAGCTTGAATGTGGCCTTGGCTGGGTTCAGGGGTCACTCTCCCAAGAAGGTAGCCATGGCCCCAGCTGACTTTCCCTTCCTGGTCTCTGATTTAAGAATAAATTCAGTTGCTTCATCTTTCGAGGCCCAGGCCAGGGAAGTGGGGTGGGGGTGTGGCCAATGTCACCCTGTGGCCTCTGAGCTGCCACTGGCAGAGCCTGGTGCCAGAGCCCAGACCAGGGATGGTGGTCTTCGGTGGTCCAGTGCAAGCTCTCCTCTTATGTCCATGCCAACCTCCTTTTCATCCTTTGTTCCAGTCCTGCTTCTTCCAACAAGACCCACAGCCTGGGCACCAGCAGCTTCCGTGGACACAGGATCTAGCTGGGACCACCTGGGAAACTGGGAAGAACTTTCTCTTTTATCCTCTCATTTATCCCCAGGGCAGACAGGGACATGAATTGTCCTTCCCATTTTCAAGACAAGGACACTGAGGTCCAAAGCATCCTTATTTTCTTCCTTGTCAGGCCCTGCTCTGGTGTACCTCCCATCTCCCCTGGCTTCTGGCTGGGACCAAGAGCATCACTGCCTTCCCATCTGTCACTGTCTCCCTCAGAGGTGGAACAAGGGCTGTGGTAATACACTGGGTCAGGCTCTCTCCCGTCCCTCCTGGAAGGACAGGTGCTTTCCTGAGGCTGGGGGTCTCCTTCATTCGGAGTTTATCAAACCAGATGTGAAAGGAGATCCAGTCTCTGGATGCTTCACTAGACTCTTCTAGTTCCTCCGCTTGGTCATCCACCTGAAAATGTGAATGCGGCAAACCAGGTGACCGTACCTGGCACAAGGAGGGCAAATTATGCTGTCACCCTGAAGTGCTGACTGGTGGTGGTTGCCCCAGCTTCCAGACAGGAAGACGGCTACAGATCTGAGAATGAGTGCAATGGTCAGTTAACATGGGCAGGGCCGAGGAGCAGGGTGGCCCTTGGATCACATAGTTTCTTCCCTTTGCTGAGACCTCCGTGTATCCTTAGCAGACCTCCACCAGAAGATAGCTTGGTACAATGGCTGCTTCTCTTTCTTCCAATAAGGAGAAAAGTAATGTGGGCTTTGGTATATTTTCTCGCAAGCAAGAGTCTCCTAGGCTGGCCCCAGCTTCAGCTGTTCTACTTTTCAAACCACCACTCCCTCTGGCCAGGGCCCCTGGGGCTCCCTCGGCTCCTTCCTGGCCCTGCCCAAGTCACCTGCCTCCATCTTTCCCACCTGTGTGTCCCGGTGCTTCTGGGAACTGTGGAGGTGGGGCCCAGTGGCTGATGTTTAGGAAGGGGCACTGATGGCTCAGAGAGCCAACCCCTCTCCAGAGCAACTAGCGAGGGGCTGCTGGGGTCAACTGGCTCCTAGAATTGTGATTGCAAAAAGACTATGCCCCCTAAGCTTTGGTGGGGTCCCGGTGTATCCCCCCAAGAATTCAGAGTTGAAGCAAGGGCGGTCATCCCTGAAGACATGAATGCCTTCTGCCTTGGAACACCAGCTCCTGGTCCTCTTTTCTGCAGTGGGGCCTCTGCAGCCCATGAAGGGTAAGACTCATCTAAGATCCCTCTCTCCCCAGCTAGGGGAGGAGAAAGGACCGGAATTCACCTCTTGATGGCCACATTCCTGGGTTGCCTGTTTGCCTAGAAATGGCCCCCAGAGGGACGGCTGGCAGTGGAGCCCGGTGGCCCCCAGCTTTGCATGAGGAGCTCAGTTGAGGGACTGCTAGACCCTGGTCTGAGGCAAATCGGGGGTGGGCAAGGTCAGGACGGTGGGCAGGAGGGTGCCCTGCGGGGCCGGGAAACTCCGCAGCTCCTTGGGCACAAACCTGGGTGAGACAGAGTCTGCTAGGAAGCAGAGGGTGCTCCGGCGTCCCACGCAGTAGATGAGGTTGTCCACCACGGCGCACTGGAAGGCATCCGGGTAAGGCGTCCGGTACGTGGCGCACTCGTACCAGAGCCGGGTGCTGGCGCTGCAGCGGTACACGGCGATGCCCAGGCTGCGGTTGAGGTCAAAGCGGTAGAGAAAGCCGTTGACCGCCACCATCTCGGCCGTGCGGTCCTTGCTGCCCCCGGTGGGGCCGGCCCACCAGCGCTGCTCCTGCGCAGAGAAGCGGAACAGCAGGAAGCGCAGCGAGCCGCCGGTGACGAAGATTTCCTTGGCACGCACCGTGGCCGTGTGCGCCAGGGCGAACGTGTCACTGGGGAGCGGCGGGGCAAAGTCCCAGCGGTCCAGGCGGGGGTCGTAACGCTCCACCGAGTTCAGACACTCTCCGCCGATGGCATACAGGTGCCCGTCCAGGGCCACCAGCCGGCAGTGCGGCCGGGCCTGGTTCAGCGGGCACACCTCGCTCCAGATCCCCGTGAGCGGGTTGTAGCAGAAGACGCGGCTGGAGGGCTGGTGCCCGGGCCCCTGGCAGCCGGACACCACGAAGAGATAATTGAAGAGACTGCAGATGGCACAGCCCCGGGACACGGCCTCGGGGGGCATGCGAGCCAGCGGGCGCCAGACATCCTGCTCATCGTCATAGCAACAGAGGCCGCCGGAGTCTTCCTTGGGGCACACGTCAGCCACCACCAGGTACTGGCGGCCCCGGAGCCGGCGCTGCAGGATCAGCTCGCGCTCTGCCCCGCTCAGGCACCCGTAGATGTCCGGGCTGCGCAGCACCTGCAGGTAGTTTTCGCTCATCACCTTGTAGGCCGCCTCTTTCAGGGCCTCCAGGTTCTGCCTCTTGGCCAAGGTCAGCACCTCATAGCAATTGCCCAGATCCAGGCGGACCTGTGGGGCTGAAGCAGGGGTGAGCGGGATATGGAAGAAATTGGTCCCGGCCACCGGCTGCACATGGGGCTCCCGGCTGCTTCTGCCTAAGCCAGGCAGGGCGCCCGGGTCTGGGCAGGGTGGAGCGGGGAGCCGGAAGCCATCTGGCTGCAGCTGCAGCTCTGGGTTCTCCGCTATCTGCAGAAGGCTCTCCTTCCGGCTGAAGCCTCGGGTGGAGGGCCACGGCCCTGTCTGCGGGGAGGCGGCTCTTTCGGCTGCACCCTTTGTGTCACCGGCTTGGCCTCCCGAGGCAGCCCCTGTTCCCAGGGACCCTGGCGGTGGCCTAGGGGATGGAACCTCAGTCAGGGCTGCTGTCCTGGGAGCCAGCCTGCCCTGGAAGATGGCCTGAGAGGTAGATTCCACATAGTAGTCGTACACCTTGCCCTTGAGCCGGGGCTCAACCCCCTCCGCCTTCTGTATGAAATGCTCCTCCATTCGGACGCGGGCTATGGATGAGAAGGTATAGGAGGAGTTGGGGGCGCCCTCCTGCTGATGCAGGGTCAGGTCAACATCGGAGGCAGCCTCGAGAGCCCCAGCCTCTTCTCTGCTGACCCCTATCACACGGGTGAAGACCCAGCTCTGGTTCATGTCACTGCTGCCTTGCAAGGGAGCCACGTAGTGACAGTGGGGAGGTTCTAGTTGCCCCAGTCCTGGATGCTCACGGGGTTTACTGTCCTGCCATGGAGAAGGCTCACCACCGGCACAGCTGCCGTCGGCTGCTGCAATGAGTCCAGCTGGGGAGCTCTTCGGTTCGCTGCCCAAGCGGGGGAAATGGGGAGGGTCAGGGTTACTGCCAACAGCTGTTCTGGTTTCCTGGCTGGGGCAGCAAGGAGGCACCTGCTCAGAGTCCGAGCCCTGCCCGCCCCGCTCCTCACCTGAGCCTTTTCTCTGGGGCTTCCTGTCTGTGGAAGTGGCCCCCGTGACCAGGACATAGGGGCCTCTTGGATTCTCACAGCTGCAGCCCTGTGGTGCTTCAGCCCGCTTGCTGCTCCTCCGACGTCTTGGCCCCCTCAGGAGCACCCCAGGAGAAGCCTCCTGTACAGCAGGCTGCCCTGAGCCCTCTGCTTCCTCCTTGGCTTCTGCCTGGCCATTCCCACCCCACCGCTGGGCTGGGGCAGGCCTCGACTTGTACAGCCTGTAGGCCACAGTCACCAGGAGCAGGGCAGCGGCTGACAGCACCACCTTGCCGGTCAGCTGCATATCCAAATGCCAGTCCTGGGCCTCTGCTCCTCTGGGGAACATGCTTCTCCAGCCAACCTGGGGCTGAGGAATGTCAAGAATCTGATTAATAATTGCCCAGTAGGGACCAGTTCCTGGGTCCTGCTGAGCGGAGGGGAGGGAGTTCTGGGCTGGTTCTGGCTGGCCAGCCGAGGAGAGGAGAGGAGCAAAGGTGACTTTGAGCTGCAGAGGGTGGCCGCTGGGGCCCAGAGCTGGCAGATCCCAGCGGCTGGCCTCCTTCCATGCTTCCCTGGTGGCTGGGGTGGGGGGCCCGCCCAGGGGCTGAGCTTGTGATCAGCCACCTAAGCCAGCTCTGTGGTCAGCAGCTAGGGGATGTTAGGAGTATCCAGTGGGCATACAAAAGAGGAGGAAGCTCTTAACCAAACAGTCACCCGATGCCAGGAAATGCATGGGGTTGGTTATTCTTTATGTGTGTGCTTTATTTTCTCTTTTGCAAGTCCACTGGGCTCAGAGGCTTGGGTGTGGTGAGTCATGGGCAGGTGGAGCCCCAGTAGGCGTGGATGGGGTCATTCTTGTGAGGTCTGCTGGTCCTCACAGTGGGGTCAACTTTATGCTGGCCAAGCAGGGAACGGGAACATGGCAGTGGAGTCTGGAGCCAGGGCATGCAGCCAAGCCACCTGAGCCGGCCCTTGAGTGCCTCTGCCCTCCTTCCCTGCCTGACAAGTTTATTAAGAAAAACCAGCCTTTCTGAGAACAGTGGAGAAAGACATTGCATTAGTGCTCAGATCGGGGTTAGATGTGGACACATCTTCTCTTTTAAAACCAGACAATCTCCTACGGTGAAAGATTGAGGGAAGACTCACGTCTCCCAGACCCCCCCTCACCATTTCCCCTCCCCCATCACCAGTGCTGTGGGTCCTGGACCCAGACTACCTGGCTCTGCTACTTACCAACTATATGACCTTAGGCAAGAGACCTCACCGCTCTGTGCTTTGTCTGAAAAAGGAGGATGACAGCATACGCACCTCATCAGCTTGTGGGGAGAACTAAATGGGCTACTAGGAATAAACACTGGGGCAGAGCCCCCATCATGAAAGCTTAGTAAATATGAACTATTCTCTGCTTCTTCCTCCTTTTCCTCTTTCTGATCATCGGCACCATCATCGCTAGTATCAATTGTCATCAGAGGACCTTCCAAAGCACAGAACTAATTCTACCCTTCTCCTGACCAAGGTCCTCAAAGAGTCCCCAAAGTCCTGTGCAGGGGTCTCAAACTCTTGCTGCATATGGAGGCTGGGTAGGTAAAGTGAACAAGTAAGGACGTCTGTCCGCCCCACCCCAGCCGATGGTATCAGGCCCAGCATTGCCTCATCCTCCCACTGTCGCAAAAAGCTTAGAATCCCAGTAGTGACATAATCACTCTCAATTTTAAAATGTTGGCATCTGATTCAAAAATGAAACTGAAAAACACTGTGGGCCACAGGAAGCACACGCATGGGAGGAATTTGGCTCTGAAGGCTTTGACTCTAGGAGACAATCCTGACTCCCTATGCCGACGTTCACAACTCTCTGTGTACCAGCTTCGGTTTACTCTTCCAGATGCATCTCCTGATCACTGCCTAGCAAACCGGGCTCAGGGTGACTTCTTGGCAGGGAAGGCTGGTGGACATCCCTCTGGCCCATCAGAGTTGGGTAAAAGGCTGTGTCTGGGCCTTCTTCCCTGGTGCCTTCATCCGTCCAAGATCACCTTTTCTTCCTTTGGGTCTCGTGTTCTCTGATGCTCCTCTTTTAGGCTTGGCCACAGCTGCTGCATCGTAAAGTGCATTGTGTGCAAGATCTGGTCTGCTGCATTCTAAGTCCTTGAGGACAGAGGCTGTAGCTGGCTCAGCTGTGGACCCTAAGCCTATGTGGGGCCCTGCACCATTTGGGACAATAGCCAGCAGGGATTGTCTTTACACTGAGTGGATTGGGGTGAACACTCGGGATGAAGCTCATCTCATCTCGTCTCATGCTCACAGCCCCTTTGGGGAGAGACACGATTGTTATCCCCATTTGACAGCAGCGGTAACTGGACCTCCAAGATTATGTCAACTGGCTTGTAAATGGGGACTCAAAACCTTGTTTGCAGAGTCCAGAGTTTTACAGACCTGACTTCATCCAGCAGGTGTGACCTCTTAGAAAGTCAGGTGTCCTCAGCCTGTCCCACTGGTAGCTGTCAAGAGGGGTCCCCTGAATTCTCTTTCTTTCCATCCTGGTCAAAAGAGTGCCTATCAATGCAATGTGCACAAGGATCACAAGGGGTGCTTGTTAGAGATGCAGCTTGCCTGCCTGCCTGCCTGCCTGCCTGCCTGCCTGCCTGCCTGCCTGCCTGCCTTCCTTCCTTCCTTCCTTCCTTCCTTCCTTCCTCCCTCCCTCCCTTCTTTCCTCCCTCCCTTCTTTCCTCCCTCCCTCCCTCCCTTCCCTTCCCTCCCTCCCTCCCTTCCTTCCTTCCCTCCTTCTTAACTCTCTCTCTCTCTCTCCCTTTCTCCCTTTCTTTCTTTTTCTCTTTCTTTTTTGAGACAGAGTGTCACCCAGGCTGGAGTGCAATGGCACAATCTCAGCTCACTGCAACCTCTGTCTCCAGGGTTCAAACGATTCTCCTGCCTTAGCCTCCCGAGTAGGTGGGATTACAGGCATGCACCACCACGCCCAGCTAATTTTTGTATTTTTAGTAGAGACGGGGTTTCACCATGTTGACCAGGCTGGGTTTTTTTTTTTTTTTTGAGATGAAGTCTCACTCTGTCACCCAGGCTAGAGTGCAGTGGCATGATCTTGGCTCGCTGCAACCTCCGCTTCCCAGGTTCAAGCAATTCTCCTGTCTCAGCCTCCTGAGTAGCTGGGACTATAGGTGCACACCACCACGCCTGGCTAATTTTTGTATTTTCAGCAGTGATGGGGTTTCACTATATTAGTCAGGCTGGTTTCGAACTCCTGACCTCGGGTGATCCACCCGCCTTGGCGTCCCAAAGTGCTGGGATTACAGATGTGAGCCACCACGCCAAGCCAGGGATGCAAATTTCTAAGCTCTACCTTTTAGATGTCCTGATTCAGTGGGCTGGGTGGGTCCCAGGAAACCTCCATTTTTAACAATCATCTCAGGAGTTTTTAGTGAGCCTAGGAATTAAAAATAAGTTAGCTTTTCTACTTGTCTGCTGAAAATTCCTGTTCATTCTTGGATGGTGGGTGAGCAGTTCCTCTCAAGTTACATAATCAATTCCTCTTGGTTACATACTCAAGGTGAGTAACAGAATGGGAATGAAGTCCTGGGTGCTTTGTATAAGTAAAATTATTTAATTTTCCCAGTAATCTGGAGAGGTGGTTATTATCATTGTCCCCATTTTACAGATCAGGACATCGAGGCTAAGAGAGACAATGCCAATGGACTGAGAGTGACAAATCCTGATTTATAATGTTTCTTGCTGCACAGCCCATTGTCTTCATCTAGAAACTAGAGAATGAGGTGTTTGGGGCAATAAAAATGATTTTTCCAGGGGTGAAAAATGCTTTGTTGAGGCTGATGAGGGGCCAGGCTACCATTCCACTGGTAGGGGTATGAAGCTCATCTCATCCCATCTCATGCTCACAGCCCCTTTGGGGAGAGACATGTTTGTTATCCCCATTTGACAGCAGGGGTAACTGGACCTCCAAGATTATGTCAACTGGCTTGTAAATGGGGACCCAAAACCTTGTTTGCAGAGTCCAGAGTTTTACAGACCTGACTTCATCCAGCAGGTGTGACCTCTTAGGAAGTAGGTGTCCTCAGCCTGTCCCACTGGTGGCTGTCATATGTTCATATGTCATATGTCTTTACCCTTGGAGAAGGGGAGACATATGAAATGCCCCCTTGGTGAGATGTGACCTCACATTGTCCTCTCAGATGCCACCAAGTTAGAAGGGTCTCAGCCCCTCTGAATGCTGCTTCCCACCTGATAAAGGCTCCATCGTGTCCCAGAGCCCTCTCTCTGTGGCTCCAGCTTAAACCCTTCAATTCAAACAATCAGCATTTCCATTTGAAAAGCTCCTGGGCACTGGATGTGCCCGAACCAGCCTTGGGGTGTGGGGAGGTGCAAGGATCACTGGGAGCAGAAGACAGTCCAAGTCCCAGGGGAACTTATTTTGTCCCTGGTCCAGAAGACGGGGCATAAGCCTGAGATATGATCAAGCTGCCATGCATCGCAAAGGAGAGATGAATGAGGTGGTTTATCAGAATAGAGGTCAGGAAAAAGGATTCCAGAAAGAAGTGTTTGGAATTGGGTATTGATAAAGAGAGGAAGAGGCATAGACTGATTGATTGATTGATTCAAAAAATATTTACAAGATGCTTACCACCTACCAGGCCATGTGTTGTGATGTCATGACATAGGTTAAGGAGACCGCCATGGCTCCTGTGCCCATGGAGGCTGTGGTCTAGGAGACACCAGGCAGGGAGATGGTGGGGGGTGCAGATGCTGGTTCGGGAGGGCTTCCATGGGAGTTCAGAACAGGAGTCCCTGCACCAGGCTAGGACGAGAGGGTGTGGAGATGGTATTTGACGTGTTGGGAATGGCGGAAATAGCACAGGAGAACGTGAGAACAACAAAGCCTGGAGACCTCTAGACTGGAGCTTGGGGCTGGGTGCAGGGCAAGGGGTGGGGCCACATGCCCCCGATTTGAGCCCTGGTTTGGCACTTCCTGCGACCTTCCCTTGTCTGAGGGCAGAAGTAATGCCTGTGAAACAGCTGAGCATAGAAGATGTCTTCATTAAATGAGGCTTCCTGCTGTCTGCCCTGCATTCCAGTTCTCGGTGAACACAGCCACCTGACAGTGTGTGAAAATGTAGGTTTCATTATTATTATTCAGGTCTGGCGAGGCCCACAGATCAGGAGGCGACTGCCATTGAAAGGTGGTTTTTTACTCACGGGTCCCAAGAGAAGGGGGCACACTGCACCAGGCAGGACCACGTGGGGAAGCACTGGGTCAACCAGGAGGCAGAGCGAGTGAGGCAGAAGCGTGGGTGAGAGACGCTTTATGATGGTTTTTGCAGGAAGGAGTGAGAGAGGCAGGGTAAGCAGGATTCAGATTGGCGAGTTGGAATACTTTCAGCAGGCTCAGGGCTGGCTGTCTTTAGTTGTCCGGTACCTGGGCCTGGGGTGATTAGAGGCGGGGAATACTGGCCCAGAGTATGAGAGGCCTTGGGAATCTGATGAAGGAGGTGGTTGGGGGGTATGGGCTCTGGATTGGTTAGTTTGCGTGTGAGAGATACACTCCCGGGTAAGCCGCTTGCTATTTCTAGGAACTAGCTCACCCTGGGAGGGGCAGTCTCTCCTGGTCAGAGAGGCCCCAGATGTAAAACATCAAGGATATAGAAAATAGGAAAATAGGCCAGGCATGGTGGCTCACGCTTGTAATCTGAGTACTTTGGGAAGCTGAGGTGGGAGGATTGCTTGAGCCCAGGAGTTCCAGACCAGCTTGTGCAACAGAGTGAGACCCCATCTCTATAAAAAAAAATTAAAAAATTAGCCGAGCACAGTGGCATATGCCTGTAGTCCCAGCTACTCGGGAGGTTGAGGCGGGAGGATGGCTTGAGCCCAGGAGGTCAAGGCTGCAGTGAGCCTTGATTGCACCATCGCACTTTAGCCTGGGCAGCACAGCAAGACCTTGTCTCAAAAAAAAGAGATGAAAATATAGTTAATACAGACAGACAGAAGAACAGACAAGAACAGGGACTTTGTGGCCCCTGACAGGCAGACATCTTCCTTGCAGGGCAGCTGGGAAGTGAGCTTTTGTCTCTACCCTGAGGTCTCATTCCATCCGGCAGGTGAACACGACGCTCCTGCTAGTTGGCTTCAAACTCCATAAATTAGCTCCTGCTAGTTGACTTCAAACTCCATAAATTACAGCTTTTTTTTTTTTTAAAGTCCCTGTTTGGAAAAAGTGAAATGAACAAATAAAGACAGGAGCGAAATTAAAAGATAATTGGAAGTCTATATCGGGCTTCTGTGAATGTGCGTGCCTGCCGCCAATCTGGTCTCTCCGTGCGGGCAGGATAAATTGAGAACTCTTCAGTTGGCTCAGGGGGTGGATAAAACAGTCAGAGACAAATGCGTGCCATGCAAATAAACAGGCCCATCTCTGTCTGATTAGCTTTGTGTTCCATCGTACCAGTCCCCTCGCCAGTCAGCTTGTTCTAAGGGGCTGTGTTTTCCAAGGTGAGGTCAGACTCCAGGTAGGTGTGTCAGGTAAGGCCTTGAGTGGAGGGTAAGAGGCTGAGAGGACATGGGTGTGAGCACCTGGGAGAGGAGAGGTGGGTTCTGAGGGGTGGAGACATCAGAGAGGGAGGTGTGTGGCCTTTTACACACATATACACACATGCACACACATGCACCCATGTGCACATGTACACACGCACAAGTACATATCCACACCCACACATCTCACCTTTTGAGTCCAGGAGGGTCAGAGATAACTGGATTCTGCTTTGACCAATGGGGAGACTGAGGCCGAGAGAGAGACAGAGAGAGAGACAGAGAGAGACAGAAAGAGAGACAGAGAGAGACAGAGAGAGTCCAGTCTAGCTGTGACTAGAATACAGGGCACCTGGCTGGGTCTGGGGGGTGGAGGAGGAGGTCGAAGATGAATTCCTACTTATCCAAAAGGTGCTCAGTAAGTATGTGGTGTAGTCTTTTTTTTTTTTTTTTGTGAGACAGAGTCTTGCTCTGTTGCCCAGGCTGGAGTGCAGTTGCGTGATCGGGACTCACTGCAACCTCTGCCTCCCGGGTTCAGGCGATTCTCCTGCCTCAGCCTCCCGAGTAGCTGGGATTACAGGCAGGCGCCACCACACTCAGCTAATTTTTGTATTATTAGTAAAGATGGGATTTCATCATGTTGGCCAGGCTCGTCTTGAACTCCTGACCTCAGGCGATCCACCTGTCTTGGCCTCCCAAAGTGCTGGGATTAGGTGTAGTCTTTTGCATTCACACAGGGGGCCTCTCTAGATAAACTCTCCTGGATGTGTCTTGGGGTTTGTTGGCTCGTTAAACCTCACATCCCAGTGCTGCAGCCCCAGCTGATGTGTGGCTCACCATCCATACTGGTTGTTAAAATGCTGAGAAGTTTCCATTCCGGTTGGTAAAAGGGCACTGCCCCAACCCCAGCAGCCTGGCTGGCACTCCCCCAGGACCCCTTCAGACCTCCCCCCTACTTATGAACTAGAAGCCAATGCTTGGCATTGCAAGGGTCCTCCAAACCCCGCCTTATTCAGTTAGGTCAGTCTTATGCATTACATAGTGGTGAATGTACTGAATAGCTCTCCGCCTCTGCCTCCCCCAGGCCCCTGTTTTGTTCTGTCTAGGGAGATGCTGGTGCAGGAGTAGTTACTCTGATGATGTTAACTCAGTTGGTATTCTGAGGCTGCAAAGGTGAGGCCAAACCGGTACAGCAGTGGACCGTCCATGAGGAATGCCGCCTGCCGAGACCAGATAGCAGCTCATTCCAGGGCATCTCATGACACCATCCATTCACACAACCTCAACAAATAGCTGTCACGGTTATTAGGGGCAGAGCACTTGACCAGACACTTTGATTCTGCCACCCTGTGTGGCTATCATCCCCATCTTACAGATGAGGACACTGAGGCTTCCTGGAGGCAAGGTGACCTCCTCGCCCAAGGTCTCGCAGCCTGTAAATGGCATGCAGGGGGTGCTCACACAGTTTTCTCTTTCACCTTGGAACCTACTTCTATTCAGCTTGCCCTGCTGCCTGCTGCCAAAGTTCACCTCCGTGGAACACAAGGGAGAACCAGTGTTGTTCCCCAGAGAGACACGGTACTGTTGCTCCTTTATGTTCTGGATAAGCAGAAACCAGGGGCAGGTGGTGTCAGGATTTTGGAAGGGGAGAGGCATACCACAGCTGCCAGGAAGGGGGTCTGGCCTAGAAAGGGAGTTTCAAAGATTTGGGAGTGCCAAGGGCATGAAGAAATGTCCTACTTACAATTGCCACCACACAGATCATTAGGAAATGGAATAATAGCATGAGCTTCGTGCCTGTGAATTTGATGGGGAAATTGAATGTGAAACGATTCGTGGGTGCTGTTTGAGATGGCAGAATGCATCCTGATTTTTTTTCTCCTGGGGTGGAAGGAGTTGCAGAACTAAAGGAGCATCCTGAGGTTTGAATATGTGGGAATGACCTTCTGTCTCCCTGCATACAGAGACAGACTTTCACAGAGGGCTCAGAGCCAATAGTAATAGTAACAGTAAATATGAATAATAATACATTACTAATTACTGATATTAGTAAATGCGGGCCAGTATTTACTAATAGTAAATTAGTATTACTAAATTGTTTTAGTATTATTCTTCTCTCTCCTCCTTTGCAATACCCCAATATTAGTATTCACTAATAGTATTAGTAACTAATAAATACCGGCCAGTATTTACTAATAATAAACTTGTTATTTAGTAATAGTAAATTAGTACTAGTAATTAGTAATGCTAATTTACTATTAGTAAATACTGGCCAGTATTTACTAATTACTAATACTATTTACTAATTACTATTTACTAATTACTAATGTACTATTTACTGATTACTATTTACTAGTTAGTATTTACTAATTTACTAATTACTATTTACTGATATTTACTAATAGTAAATGCTGTCCAGTATTTACTAATAAGAGTTAAGGCTGCAGACATCATCTCCTTTAATCTTCACAGCAGCCCTGCAAGATTGATAAGATGTACCCATTCTACAGATGAGGAAATTGAGGCTCAGTCTCTTGTCCAAGGTCAAGTCTGTGGACCCCAAATCCATTCTTTGGAAATCCTTGCTACTCAAAAAAGCATCACTGGCCAGGCATGGTGGCTCACGCCTGTAATCCCAGCACTTTGGGAGGCCGAGGTGGGCAGATCACTTGAGGTCAGGAGTTTGAGACCAGCCTGGCCAACATACTGAAACCTCATCTCTACTAATACAAAAATTAGCTGGACACAGTGGCCTATGCCTGTAATCCCAGCTGCTCAGGAGGCTGTGGCAGGAGAATCGCTTGAACCCGGGAGGTGGAGATTGCAGTGACCTGAGATTGTGCCATTGCATTCCAGCCTGGGTGACACAGAGAGACTTTGTCTCAAAAAAAAAAAAAAAAGAAAAAGAAAAAGAAAAAAGAAGCATCACTTAGGAGCTGGTTAGCATGCAGGGTCTTGAGCCCCACCCCAGCCTCAAAAGGTCAGAACTTTCACATGCATCCCATCCCCGGTGATTCTTGGGCATGTTACAGTTTGTGAGATGCTGTCAGTGCCTGGATCAGCACCCCATTCACCCACAATCCCAAGAATCAATCAATTGTATGACCTTGAACATCAAGAGCACATTTTCTCTCACCCTGGGTCAGAGAGAGGTCACACTTTTGTCACTGACCTCTTAACATTTGAGCTTCTGGATCAACCCTAACAGACGTCACTACTGATTATGAAAAAAACTTCTCTGTGCCTCAGTTTCCTTATCTGTCAAGTAGGCATGATGCCATCCATCTCATTGAGTTATAGTCAGCAAACATGCTAGGATGTCCAGGAGGGCACCTGGTGCCTAGCAGGGATTTGGTAAGTGTTTACAGGATGGATTGAGGGGTCATAACAGACCCCACCGTTGTCAAGTGCTGATGATTGTGCCTTGCTGCTTGCTAAGGGCTTCTTCAGGTGCATTTTCTCTCATTTAAGTGAATGTTCACAACCACCAAGCAGGCACAGTTATCCTTGTTTTATAAGGAAGAAACCCAGGCACAGAGGACAGGATAAGTTACTTGCCCAAAGCTGCACAGTTAGGAAACAGCTGAACTGAGATTCAAACCACGAGCCTTCAGATCCAAGGACCTTGCTCCCAGCCGTGCTGTCTCCCCATGGCATCACTGCTCTCTCCTCCGTTGCAATACTCCTGACAGTCACCAGCCCTGCTTTTACCCCTAAAGCAGCAGGAATCTCCCTGGATCCAGTTGCCCATGGAGCGCCGTCCTCATAGCACATTACCCCTCTACACTCCTGCTGGCCTTTCTTGCAAACCTGATTCCCGATCTGCCACTTGCTGGCTCCAGAATGGCCAGTGGCTCCCCGTGGTCTCTCCAATCAAATCTAAATGCCTTGGCCCATTCTCCGAGGTCCCCTTGATGCGCCAGCCTCATTTGTCACTGTTCCCAAACAAAACACCTGTTCTGCTCCAGCCAAGCTCATCGGTTTACTGTCCTCTCGTCACTGCTGTAACACGGGCCATTTCTCCCACTCTCATGGAGCTCTTCCCTGAATCTCTGCCATTCAGGTTGCTTTTGCAAAACCCCAGATCAAAACTGGGCCTTGTCTACAGGGACTCAAGCCGAGGCAAGGGCTCTTCACTTATGCCAGGTCCTAGGAGCCTCTGAGGATCTACTGGACGTTATGGACCCTTGCTGAAAAGATGCACATTCAGATAATGTTTCACATGCGAATGCTGGAAGGTCCCAGGCCTTTGAAGTCCCGGTTCAGAACCCCTGAGCTAAAGGAGGGCACACACTGGGCTCCCGGGAAGCATGTGTTGGATCAGCTGTGGGTGAGAAATAGGTCGCCATGATTGGCATGCTTTGAAGTGGGTGCTTTGGGTTTACTCCATGCAAAAAAAAAGTGGGTGGGTTGTCTGGCCAAATATGTTTAGAAAACATTGCTTTGCAATCTGCAAGCCTCAATTTCTTTATCAGTAAAATGGGGCCAATAAGACCTACTTTGATATAAGCTGTAGTGATGATGGAATGACTTAAGGTGCATTGAGGACCACACTGTCCTTTAGGCCCCTGTGTCCTGTGCTCTTTTCAAGAGACCCCCAATAGGAAGAGAAGCAGAGACCCTCTACTGTCTACCCTCAGTGGGGAGGGGGGACCCAGATGGACTGAGAGCCTAGCTGAGTGTGGCTGCAGCTCCCAGTTCTCTGCCCAAGCCAGGAGAGACAGGCTGTGGGAGGGAGTGAGGGTGGGCATTGCTGGGTAAGGAGCCCCGGCAGGCAGCCCTCAGAACTGATCTGACTCTTGCCTCTCCCGGGACTCCAGAGCCGGTGCTGGCTCCAGAGAGGCAGGGGAGGTTTGTTTGTGTTCCACAGCCCTGAGCCTCTAAATGGAGCTAACACAGTGCAGCCAGGGGTCTTGCGGGCCCATTAGAGCTGCGCTGGCCGATTACAAATCAATGCTCTGAAAAGAGACAGCCTCCCAGGTGCAAAAGGTGGTGAGAGCTGCCCCAGCCAGGGCTGGAGAGAGCTGGAGGAGGGAGGGGAGGCTACAGGGTGAGACAGCCAGGTACGCCTGGACCCGGGACTGGAGGGCAGCACCCAGCATTCACACGGCCTCTGTTAGGAGTCAGATTCCTTAGAGCCTGGGCCTGGGGATGAAGAAACAAATGGAGAATTAGCAGCTTTGTCGAGCATTTACTATGTGAGGGGCACTCAGCTAGGAACGTCACATTCCTTGGCATGTCATCTTTATAACAAATCTGTGGTGGAGACAGGCTATGTGTTCACTAAACCCTGGTTCAGTTTCCTTTTCTTGGGCACCCAGTAAAGCTATATTCTCCAGTCTCCCCTGAAGTTGCAAGGGTGGCATTTGGCTAAATTATGGCCTAGGAAGGGCAAGCAGAAGTGACCAGTGGCTTCTGAATCCAGGAAGTAAAGAACGAGCGTGTTGCGTCCTCCTCTCTCTCCCTGCCATGGTGATCTTAGAGGCCACATGTCCCAGATGGACCAGGGCCACCCAGTTCACCAGCAATTGTGACAATAAACTGGTATTGGGTTAAGCCATTGAGATTCCAGGGTTTGTTGGTTGCAGAAGCTAGTGTCCATTTCCTGGACTAATATACATTCCATTGGGTGGAAGTGATCGTTCCCACTTTGCAGATGGGAACCCTGAGGTTCCAAGAGGCCAAAACTCACCCAATTGGTAGGCTCAGCCTCAGATCTGCAATGGAACCTTCCCATCTGCCTTATCAGGCCCACTCCCAGCCTTCCAGAAACCCACAGTCTAGCTCGGAGGGAATACATCAGAGCAAATTATAATGAACCATGACGGAGGGCTTTGTGGAAACAGGGAGGAAAGAACTAGGGCTTTGGGGAAAGGCTCTTAGAGCTGAGTTGAGGGACTTGGCTGGGAGACAAGGTGGGGAAAAGGCAGTGGAAGCAGAGTCCACTGGGTACAAGGGCTCTGGGGCTGGAGACCACAATGCACAGGTCTACACGTAGGCGGAGCTCTAAGCACTAGAAAAGGAATGAGGTGTTAAAGTGGCCAGAAATTTCCACATGGAGAGCAAGTGAATTGTAGGATTTAAGACAAGAAAGATGGAGATAAGAATCTGGGAAGGACTTCCTTTGATTGGAACATTCCAGATAATGCCAGCTTGGTCGCTCCCCTCATCAGCAGTCACCAAGAACCGGGAGGAAGTGACAGAGTGAACGTTTGGAGAGAGAGGAGCTTAAGCGGTGTGATTCATTGTCTATGTCCCCCAGGTGTAACCCCATTATTTTGTCCCTCCACACTGCGGGAGCACAATTCTTTTCTGTGGTCTGCATTCCAAGCTCTGATTTCCCAGGTTCCATCATGCAAGATCGTGTCCCAGCTCTGTACTCTGGCTCTGGGCACTATGCTGGAAGGAGGTGGGGCTGTTTGTCACATGGTTTTAGTCACATCTGTCTAATTGGCAATGGGTGAAGGCTGCGTATTTTATTCTCTGTCTTCGGAGGTGCTGTGTTTCCGTTTCCATCGCTGATATGCTTGGATGTCCTGTCACCTCCAAATCGCATGTTGAAATGTGACCTCCACTGTTGGGGGTGCCTAGTGGGAGGTGTTTGAATCACGGGAGTGGATATCTCGTGAATGGCTTGGTGTTGTCCTCATGATAATGGGTGAGTTATTTTTCTATTCGTTCACTAGAACCTGATTGTGTAAAAAGAGCCTGGCAACTCCTACCTCTCTCTTTTTGCTCTGTCTCTCGCCACGTGACATGCCTGTACCCACTTCACCTTCTGCCATGATTGGAAGCTTCCTGAGGCCTCACCAGAAGCTGAGCAGATGCTGGTGCCATGCTTGTACACCCTGCAGAACTGTGAACCAAATAAACCTCCTTTTGTTACGAATTACTCAGCCTCAGGTATTCCTTTGCAGCAACACAAAATAGACTAACACAGCCACTGCCTGAGAGCCCAGAGAAGAGGTGAAGCTCAAGTGTTTCAAGGCAGAGCCTGGGCCTCCACTGTTTCTGGGCAGCCGGCTTGCTTTTCCGGTAATCAGAGCTTCTCAGAGCTGAGAGAGGCCTTGGAGAGCCCTGGTCCAACTTTCTCACATCAAAGGTGGGACAACAGGGGTGACTTACCCCCCAGTCAGCATAAAGGGGACTGAAGGCTGGGCATGGTGGCTCATGTCTGTAATCCCAGCACTTTGGGAGGCCGAGGCGGGTGGATTACCTGAGGTCAGGAGTTCCAGACCAGCCTAACAAATACGGTGAAACCCCATCTCTACTAAAAATATGAAAATTAGCCAGGCATGGTGGTATGCACCTGTAATCCCAGCTACTCAGGAGGCTGAGGCAGGAGGATTGCTTGAACCTGGGAGGCAGAGGTTGCAGTGAGCTGAGATCATACCACTGCACTCCAGCTTGGGCAACAGAGCGAGGCTCTATCTCTAAATAAATAGGACTGAAAAGTCAGCTTCAGGACCCTGCGCTCTGCAAACTGTCCTCACTCCCCCACGTGCTTGTAGGCTGCAGGCTCCCCTCGGCTGCTACCCCAGCCGAAAGTAAACTGATGAGTTGGGAGGCCCCAGTGTTATTTCACAAAGGAGAAACTGAGGCCCAATTGGGAAGTGACCTTGTCCAAGTTCCACAGCTTGGAGATGGCAGAGCTGGGATTTGAAGCTGATCTGTCTGACTCCAGAGCCCACATGCTGTCCACCGAGCCCTGCTGCCACCCAGTAGGGAATTCAAGATGGTTCTGAAACCAGTCCTTATCTCTGGGTAGCATCTGTGATGATGGGAGAGACCCTTTCTTACCTTGCAAGGTTGTCGGTTAGGAAGACACCCTGAGACAAAGGCGGAGCTCCTGGACCCAGTGCAGCTGCAGTGAGATTCCTACATCATTCCCTTCTCAGTGGCTGCCCTCCGCAGAGGAGGGAGGTGACAGGCATGAGGGCGAGCAGTGTGTGTGACACGGTCTGGCTCCCACTTGGGGTCCAATAAACATTTGTTGAGTAAATAAATGAATAAATGAGAATAGACTGAGAGACACTTTAAAAATTGCCTTGTCAACAAGAGCAAATAAATGCAGTACAGAAAGAGTTTCATTCGTTTAATTTCCGAGAGGCTACAAGCTGTTGTCATCAGGGCCAAGATCCATCAGGGCCACCTCTGGAAGGTGGAGGGGACAGAGGAGGTGCTGAGGCCACATCTGGAGGGAGGGGACGTGGCTTTGCTGAGAGATTCCTGAGGATGGGCTTTCTGGGAGGGAGGGCAGCTCCAGCAAAGGCTCTGAGGTAGGAATGAGCAGCTGCATTTGCTGGAAGGTCAGTGATGTGGCTGGAGCAGGGGCTGTCGGAGTGGAGCTGGCTGCAGTCTTTGAGCTGAGCAATCCATTCTTTATTAAAAAAAAATTATTATTTTGTTAAGTTCTGGGGTACACGTGCAGGATGTGCGGGTTTGCCGCATAGGTAAACAGGTGCCATGGTGGTTTGCTGCACCTGTCAACCCATCACCTAGGTATTAAGCCCAGCATGCATTAGCTCTTTTCCCTAATGCTCTTCCCCCCATGAGAACACATGGACACAGGGAGGAGAACAATATTCTTTCTTAAAACTGTTCTCAGGGCTACAGGGTCAAGTGGATTGTGTTGAGTTAGATGTCAGATAAGGCTTAGAAATAAAACAAAAAGAAAAGAAAAACTGTTCTTAGGATAGCTGAGTGATTTGAAGACTTGAAATCTCCAAAAACAAAGTGAACAATCATTTCCTTCAAAACTCAGGGGAAGCAGGGCTGGGGTCTGGCATTGTCATGAAATCATTGTGTGTTTTTGGATAAGTGAGTCCTGTTCTCTGGGTCTCAGTTTCCCCATCTGTAAAATGGGTGGGGAATTGGAAGTTTCTCTCCTGTGATGCAAGATCCTGAATGTATGTTCCACCAGTGGGAAGCTGCAGAGGATGGTGGGTGGAGATCTAAGATTCTGTCGCCTTGAGGCCCCATCAAGTCCTTCTCTGTGGTGCTGGAGGCCACGCAGTGGTTCTCTGGTCAGTGTTCCATCCTCTGCTTCCCCTCTGGCCTTGGCTTCTGCTCCTACACCATTCCTCTAAGAGGCTGTGCTATTCCTTTCCTAGGCCATCCATTCCTCTTGGTCTTCTGGAGACAGTTCAAGCATTGGCTACTTCGTGTCCTGCAACTAATCACTATTAATTCTAACAATGAAAATTGTCACGAACATTTATTTTGCCCTCACTATGTGCCACGCACTGTGCTAAGCACCTCATTTAATGCTCAACAACAACCCTGAGAGGTGTTGTTATTATTACTACTATTATTTAGAAACAGGGTCTCACTCTATTGCCCATACTGCAGTGGTGGTGTGATCATGGCTCACAGCAGACTCGAACTCCTGGGCTCAAACAATCCTCCTGCCTTATCCTCTGAGTAGCTGGGACCACAGGTGTGCACTACCATGTCTGGCTTTTTTTATTCCTTTTTTCTTTCTTTTCTTTTCTTTTCTTTTTTTTTTTTTGGAAAAATGAAGTCTCACTATGTTGCCCACGCTGATCTCGAACTCCTGGCCTCAAGCGATCCTCCCGCTTTAGCCTCCCAAAGCGTTGGGATTACAGGTGTGAGCCACCGTGCCTGGACAAGTAGATATAATTATTACTCCTAGGTGGGAAAAATGAGGCTCAGAGGGGCTAAATGACATAGAGTAAAAACCAGAAGTACCTAGGGGAGGGCCATCACTCCTCTGCAGTGCAAGGCCTGAACCTCAGGCTCCACCCAGTAACCCTTCACCCAGCCTGGGCACCCGGCCACTGCCTCTCCCCATGGCAGAGTTAAAGTCAAAGGCCGGAAGGTGACCCCAAGTAGCCCCAGAGCAGCCTCCTGGAACTGGCTTTTCTTGCTCCAGATCTGAGTCTGAGGCAGCCACTGTTCCAAGTCTGGACGAGGAGGACGTGGAACCTGCTCTTCCAGAACCTTCCAGTCACACAGTCTTCTGCCTCTGTAGGCTGGTGAAGTAAAAGGGAGGCTGGTGCTGACATCTGTGATCAGCTGTACCTGCGTGGGCAAGGGTGCGGCAGAGCCAGAAACAGCAGAGGATCGGGAGTCGGGAGAATTGGGCTGGGCCCTGACTTTCCTCATACCTGCTGAGTAGCTTTGGCTTAGGCCATTGCTGTTCCAGCCTCAGTTTCCCCTGTAAAATAAGTGCACTGAGTAGATCCTAAATAGCTCAGATGTAGAGAACAGTCAACACAACTGTTACCAAAGTTAATATTGACACTGCACGCATATGACAGGGAGAACGGTGTGTGTGTGCGTGTGTGTGTGCAGAGCAGAGGGGAGGAGCTGAGGGCAGGGAAGAGTGCTAGATGGACAATCAGGAGACCAGGTCCTGGTCCTGGCTACAGTATTGACTTGCTGTGTGTCCCTAAGAGCGCAGTATGCCATCTCTGAGCACTTAGATCCTCATCTGTAAGATAAGGGCCTTGGGCCAAATGACCTCCAGTGTCCCCATGGCTGAGTCTGATTCTGCCAGGAGCTGTTTTGTTGCTGAAGATCAGCAGGTGGCTGGTGAAGTAAGCTCTGTCCTAGTGGCAGGGCCCCTGGGAATGGCCCTAGCTCTGCCTCTTGCTGGCCTGGGCCAGTCACATTGCCTCTTCCCAGGGCCAACATTGACCACAGCAGGCACACGACTGGGGGCCGAGGCACTTTTAGGGGCCAATGAAATGTCTTAATTTCTTTTCAAAATCAGAAACTAAAAAATAATATAATCCAGCCTAGATTATATTTGTTTATACCACTGTAGGAAAATAGAATTTCTTTTTATGAATCAAGGCAAAAGTGCTCAGAGCCCCTGAAAATCACACATGGTCTGGTGTAATATCCCTGACCTGCCAGGGTGGTTGGGAGGAGGAAGTGAGATGGCTGTGTGGGAAGGTCCCTGGAACACAGGAGGTGTCCCTAGAATAGTCACTGGATCTGGGGTGAGGGGTGTGGTAGCAGAGTAACGACCCTGCAAAGATGTTCATGTCTTAATGCCCGGAACCTACACTGTGTCCAGCTACACAGAAAAGGGGAATGAAGGCTTCAGGTGGGAAACAGGTTTCTGATTAGCTGACCTTAAAACAGGGGGGCTGTCCTGAGTTGTTTTGCGGGGCTCAGTGTGATCACAGGAGTCCTTAAAAGCAGAAGGAGGGGCAGGAGAGTCTGTCTCGGTAATGAGATGTGAGAGGGACTCAGCCGGCCATTGCTGGCTCTGAAGACAGAGGATGGAGCCAGGAGCCCCGGGACGCCGGCCGCCTCAAAAAACTGGAAAAAGTGGCAGAAAATGGGTTCTCCCCAAGATCCTCTAGAATGGAACCCTGCCCTACTGGCACTTTGATTTTAGTCCAGTGACAGCCATGTCAGACGTCCGATTTCCAGAACTAACTGTAAGAGAGTGTTGTTTTGAGTCAGTAAGTCCACAGTAACGTGGAGCAGTAGCAATCAGGAGCTCACACGGGGGTGTTGAGCAAAAGTGATTGGGGAGGGACTTGGGCCAGGCTGAGGCCCCAGACTCTGTCACTGTTCCCTCGAGTGGCACCTCCTCTGGGGAGGAGCCCGCTTCTGGGCCTGGCACGGGAAAGTGGAAGTGTTCCCATGGAGCCCGAGGGTCAATGGAGGTGCAGGAGAAGCTGCTCACATTTTGTTTCTCCTGGTTTACTCTACCCCTTTGTCCCAGGCTCATATTTCTTTATTATTATTATTATTATTATTATTATTATTATACTTTAAGTTCTAGGGTACATGTGCACAACGTGCAGGTTTGTTACTTAAGTATACGTGTGCCATGTTGGTTTGCTGCACCCATCAACTCATCATTTACATTAGGTATTTCTCCTAACGCTATGCCTCCCCCTGCCCCACACCCCCAACAGGCCCCAGGGTGTGATGTTCCCCGCCCTGTTTCCAAGTGTTCTCATTGTTCAGCTCCCATTTCCGAGTGAGAACATGCGGTGTTTGGTTTTCTGTTCTTGTGATAGTTTGCTGAGAATGATGGTTTCCAGCTTCATCTCCATGTCCCTGCAAAGGACATGAACTCATCCTTTTTTATGGCTGCATAGTATTCCATGGTGTGTATGTGCCACATTTTCTTTATCCAGTCTATCACTGATGGACATCTGGGTTGGTTCTAAGTCTTTGCTATTGTGAATAGTGCTGCAATAAACCTACGTGTGCATGTGTCTTTATAGTAGAATGATTTATAATCCTTTGGGTATATACCCAGTAATGGGGTTGCTGGGTCAAATGCTATTTCTAGTTCTAGATCCTTGAGGAATCTCCACACTGTCTTCCACAATGGTTGAACTAATTTACACTCCCACCAATAGTGTAAACGCATTCCTATTTCTCCACATCCTCTCCAGCATCTGTTATTTCCTGATTTTTTAATTATCCCCATTCTAACTGGCATGAGATGGTATCTCATTGTGGTTTTTATTTGCATTTCTCTGATGACCAGTGATGATGAGCATTTTTTCATATGTCCGTTGGCTGCATGAATGTCATCTTTTGAGAAGTGTCTGTTCATATCCTTTGCCCAGTTTTTGATGGAGTTGTTTGTTTTTTTCTTGTAAATTTGTTTAAGTTCTTTGTAGATTCTGGATATTAGCCCTTTGTCAGATGGGTAGATTGCAAAATTTTTCTCCCATTCTGTAGGTTGCCAGGCTCATATTTCTAGGAAGCAGAGACTCAACTTGGCGATCTCAATTCCTGAATCCCATTTCCATAATCGCTCTCCAAATTCTGGTCCCCTCTCACCCCACATCATTCAGCAGAAAACACAGATTCCCCTGAAGCTGCTTAGACTCTGAAAACATGGCCATCAGGGTCTCGTCCCTGTCCACCTGGGCCTGTGAATCATCCGGGCGTGGATGCTCTGGTGAGCTTTCCCGGCTTCAGCACCTCCACGAGGACAGAACGTGAGCTGCTGCCTCGGTGTCCCAGAAGGGCCACGTTCCCTGGGAATCCTTCCCTGCCCTTTTGGCCAGCTCCAAATTCCCACCCAAGAGCAAGCTGCTCCTGCTGCACACTCTGGGAATTTGCTTATCACCACAAACAAAGGCAGGCTCTGGTGCCAGCAGCTGGGAGGCCACTGGAGTCTCAACCTGAGAAACATCAGAGAGATGTGTTCTTCTGCAGGGCCGCTTGTGGGGTGGGAGGCTCCTGGTTGGCAGGGACTCTCCTCGCTGCTCTGAACAGAGAATGACCTGCAGAGAGAGTAGAGGAAGAACAACACTAGTGTCTTCCAACTCCTCTCAAATCTCTAGGCCATTCAGGATGGCAACACTCACACCCACAGCAGCCCCTCAAGTTGGGAGAATTCTTCTCTCATTCATTGATAAATTGCTAGACACTTCTGTGCCTCTGTTTTCTGCTTTGTAGAATGGGACTAAGAACAGTACCTGCCTCCTGAGAATTCTGTGTGTTAATACCTTAGAAGTGTGCCTGCTCCTGCGTAGTGCTCAAAGGGTTACCCAGTAATATTGTTCTTTCATTCATCTCTTCCATCTTACACATCCTCTGGGAACCCGTGGTGCCAGGCCTCCAGGTTGGGGGTGTAGAAATGAATATGACATGACTCTTGCCCTCAGGAGGTTCATGGTTGAGCAGGAAATAAGCCACACTACCATTTTGTAGGGCACAACCAGTGATACAAACATGCCATGGAGTGCAAAGGACAGAGCCCAAAATCTGCCCAGGAGGGGAGGATTGAAGAGGACTTGCTTACCCACAGGCTTGAAGGATGTGAAGAGGTTTCCAGTAGATGAAGAAGACAGAAGGGAATTCTAGGAAGTGGGAACGGAATGAACAAGTTATAGAGACATAACATACCTGGGTACTAGGGGAATGGCTGGTCACTTGTATGTGTGAGTGGGCACAGGAGGCAGCGTGTCTGGTGAACATGCTGGAAAGACAGGTCAGTTTGCGTTCAATGGGCACACTGATGACTTCCCTTGCAGGACACTTTGTGGAGCACTGGGGATAAAGAGATAAAGACATTCTTTGCTCTTGGAAACCTCATACATAGCAGAGAGAGATAGACATTCATTCATTCATTCATTCATTCATTCATTCAATATGCATTGCTCATCACATGCTGGGCACCAGGAATGCTGTGGCAAAATGGATTTCAGTCCAGCCTTCATGGAGCTCACAGTCCGGGGTAGACAGACCTTCGTGGGATATTTATACACCTGAGGGAAGTATCCTAAGGGTGGGTTTCATGATGCCATGACAGAGAGGAAGGAAGGAGCGAGGCTGTTGGTGCAGTGGATTAGTGTTTTGTCTCTGAGGCCAGATGACCTGAGATCAAATTCTGGCTCTGCCTAATTACTTACATTTCATGTAAGTATTAGCCTAATTACTTACATTTCATGAGGCATCAATTTCCTAGATTGGATTCCTTTAGAAAGCAACTAGTTTACAGGGAAATGCCTTTTGGATCAAGCCGTCAGGGGAGTGAAGGACGTAGAACTGGGCAGAAGGAGGAGTTGAACTATGACTCTGCCTTAATAGAGGCCTCAGCCTGCCTCCCAGGGGGCTATGATGCTAGGGTGGCCCTGCAGGCTTATCCCAAACTGAAGCAAAAGGGCTGAGCATCTGTGCCCCTGATCCGACTGGTCATTAGAGATGGGCTTCCTGGAGGAAAGGATGTAGCCTTTAGGGTAGGGTCTTCCCAAGCTAAGGGGAAGCCTGGGGAGGGACTCAGCTGTGAGCTAACAACATTCCTGACAGCTGAAGGAATAGGCGTCTTGGCCCTGAAAGGGGTGATCTAACTTTGTCAGGGGAGGGTGGGGGCGTGGAACACCACAGCCTCCACTGCAGTCAACAATAATCGCATCTATCTCATTAGGATTGTCGTGAGGAATTCACAAGTGAACACATGGAAGATGTACATATTTAGCATCAAACACCAAGTGCAAGTCAGAGCTTAACAAATATCAGCCATTTTTATAAGCGAGATGTCTTATTCTTGGGCAGAGAGCTTCCCACTTAGAGGGATATGCAAAGGCCCTGCTGTAGGAGTATAACTTCTGCAGAAAGGAGAGCCAGAGTGGCTGGAGAAGAGAAAGAAAGAGGGAGTGTGGAAAAAGCTGAGCACAGAAGGCAAACCAAAGTTTAAGTAGGTCATGAAAAACCCTGAAATAGAATGATGAATAAAGGGAGACATGAATACACACACCGTGTGGTTTGTACAGAGGCAGAGAGGGGTTCTGTCAGGATCAGTCTCAGAAAGAGAGTTCATCAGCATAATAGTACTATCATTCAACATTTAATACATGTGCCAGGCACCAACACAAGCACTTCATCATCACTAGAATATTTTGTGCTGTGTATTCTTAAGATCGTCAGTCTAACAGATGAAGAGATGGAAATGTATGGAATTAAGATGAAGGAACACGGAATTAAGGTTTTTGTCCAGTGACAGAAAGCTGGTAAGGGGTCAGGCTAGGATTTGAACCCAGGCAGTCTGGATCTAGGGCCCTTGCTCTAAACCACCAGGATATACAATCCCTGAGGGGAAGAATGACTTCTAGGCAGAAAGGAGACTTCCAGGCAAAGCAGGTATCTGGGGAAGATTCACTGAACTCCCAGATGCTTTTATTGTTCAGCTCCAGTGTGCAAGGCACCATGCAACGTAATGTGCCCTAGGAGGGCCCCCCGATCCCCAAGCCCCCATCACAAAGGTCGGGAAATGCCACAGCCTCCTTCTGCAAAGGATTGCTGATAGGAACAAGAGCTGCAGGCTAAACCGACGGCTCGGAGAGAATCTCCCGCTGTGCAAAAAGCAGTTCTGGATGTCTGTGCGCCACTAATGGAAAAGTATACTCTTCCTTTGAAGATGATAGAGTTGTGGCTATTTTAGCCTGACAGGCTGAACCCCCTGCTGGGCTCCTACTGTGAAATGAAGAACCAGCAGAGGAAAGTGGCCAGGGGACCGCGTGTATGTGTGCGCATGCATATGCCTGTGTGCATATGTCCAGGCAGAGGCTGGAGAAACATTGCAAGACTTGACCCAGAGTCAGCAGCAACACAGTGATTCAATCAATGCCTCAACACCTGCTCAGCCTCATGGGGGACATGGATTGCACTGAGCTCGGCTTTCCCTCCAACACTCCACACTTCCTCCTGACTCAGGAACATTGGAACCACTGTTTCCTCTGCTGTGGAATGCTCTCCCCCAAGAATCTTGCATGGCTCCCCTCTTCACTTCACCTGGGTTTTTGCTCAGCAGTCTCCTCTGAGGAATCTTCCCTGACCACCCATAGCAGAGACAGTTGATATCTTTAAACATCTTCTCCCTCTTAGCTCTAGGTGATAGAACCCCTGAGTTTTAGCTGGATGACTGGCTGGGCACCAGAATAAAGAGTATATTTCCCAGTCTCCCTTGCAGTGAGATGCAGTCATGTGACTAAGTGCTGGCCAATAGAATATGAGGGCAAGGTATGTGCGCAACTTCCAGGCACTTCCAGAAGGGAGGGTGTGTGCCTCTTCTCCTGGCTTCCTCCCTCTTGCGTTGTGCAGTGTGGACGAGGTGGCATGGAGGCGGACTGTGCTCTAGGGGAGTCAGAACCACACTCTAGAAGGAGCCAGGGTGCCTGATTAACCTTGAGAAGTGGTGCCATCAAACCAGTCCTGGTGATAAGTGAGAAAGAAGAAACTTCTGTTTTGTGTAAGCCCCTGTTATTCTGGACTATTGTTACACTCAGACAAACCTGTCTTCTAACTAATATATTCTAACCACCTTATCCAAGGGGGCTCCATGCCACTCCTGGCCACACTCCGTCCCCTCATCTTGCTTTATTTTATACTTATCACTTCCTGATGTAATATCATACATTTACTTTGTTGTTTGCATATTGTCTTGTTTCCCTCTCTAGGATGTAAGCTCCATGAGGGCAGGGGCTTGGCTGTTTGCCTTGTTCCCTCAGTCTACCCAGCTCCAGCAGTCATGCCCAGCACAACACGGGGCTCAATACCAACTTGTTGAGTAAATAAAAGATGAGGACCTACTATGTGCCTGATGCTTTATTTGCATGATTGCAATCGATGTACACCACGGCCCTTCAAGAGAGTGTTATTATCACTACTCTGCAAGCAGAGAAGACAGAAACAGCAGAGAAGGCAGAAGCCACAGCCAGGGAGTGAGTTGCCACTCTGTCCCTTTCTTGGCAAGTCCTTAAGGTATTTGTTGAAACCCCAGACCCTGAAAGTGGCAAAACCAAGATTTATGCTTGGATCTGTTTTCCCACCAAATAAGCCCCTCTTGTCTTCTCCCAAAAGCAATTGTGATATTGTGGCTTGAGGAGAAATACGCTCTTATGACTGACTCAACAACACAAAGACAAATAACTCAATTAAAAATGGGCAAAAAGGGACCGGGCGCGGTGGCTTATACCTGTAATCCCAGCACTTTGGGAGGCTGAGGAAAGAGGATCATTTGAGCCCAGGAGTTTGAGACCAGCATGGGCAACATGGACAGACCCTGATCTACAAAAAATACGACAATTAGCCAGGCATAGTGGTTTACACCCATAGTCCCAGCTACTTGGGAGGCCAAGGTGGGAGGATCACTTCAGTCTGGGAGGTCGAGGCTGCAGTGACCTCTAATCACGCCACTGCCCTCCAGCCTTAGCAACAGAGTGGGACCCTGCCTCAAAAAACAAAAATTGGCAAAAAATTATAGTAGATATTTCCCCATAGAAGATATTCAAATGGCCAATAAACACATGAAAAGACGCTCAACATCATTAGTCATTACAGAAGGTCAAATTAAGACCACAACGAAATACTCTTTACACCCATTAGAATGGCTATAATTAAAAAAAAAAAAAAGACTATCCCAAGTGTTGGTGAGGACGTGGAGGAATCGGAACCCTCACACATTGCTGGTGGGAATGGACCATGGTGCAGCCACTTTGGAACTAGTCTGTCAGCTTCTTAAAAGTTAAGCATAACTTTATATGATATAGCAATTGTAATTTTCCGGTTCCGTCCATAAGAAATGAAAACTTGGCTGGGCGCGGTGGTTCACGCCTGTATTCCTAGCACTTTGGGAGGCTGAAGTGGGCAGATCACCTGAGATCAGGAGTTCGAGACCAGCCTGACCAACATGGAGAAACCCCGTCTCTACTAAAAAAATACAAACTTAGCTGGGTGTGGGTGGGTGCCTGTAATCCCAGCTACTTGGGAGGCTGAGGCAGCAGAACTGCTTTAACCCGGGAGGTGGAGGTTGCGGTGAGCTGAGATCACGCCACTGCACTCCAGCCTGGGCAAAAAGAGCAAAACTCCATCTCAAAAAAAAAAAAAAAAAAAAAAAAGAAATGAAAACTTAAGCTTACTCAAAGACTTGTATGTGACCATTCACAGCAGCATCAATATTATAAGAGCCCCAAAGTGGCAGCAACCCAAGTGTTCAATATTTAAGTGGAAAAAAAAAAACACCCAGATACAAAAGAGTCTATGCTGTCTATTTCCATTTTCACATGAAAAGTCAAAAAAAAGACAAATCTATTGAGCAGAAAGTAGATTAGTGTTTGCCTGGGGCTGGGAGTGGGAACAGACAGTGACTGCTAATAGGCACAAGGTTTCTTTTTAGGTTGATGGAAATATTCTAAAATTAGATTTCAGTGATTGTTAAACCTCTGCAAAATTTACTAAAAAGTCATTGAATTGTACACTTAGACAAATTTTATGGTATGCTAATTATGCCTCAATAAAGTTGTTAAAAAATAGATATATTTTTAGACCATAGCAGGTCTTCAAAGGGAAATAATTAAGAAATTTTTGGAGACAGCTTCTAACCTTCTGACAGGGAGGTGACAGAGAAAGTGTGGAAAAGGCCAATCTGACTGGGCATGGTGGCTCACACCTGTAATGTGGCTCCCAGCACTTTGGGAGGCCGAGGTGGGAGGATTGCTTGAACCCAGGAGTTTGAGACCAGCCTGGGCAACATAATGAGACCCCATCTTTACCCAAAACAAAATTCAGCTGGGCTTGGTGTTGTGCACCTGTAGTCCCAGCTACTCAGGAGACTGAGGGGAAAGGATCACTTGAGACCAGGAGGTCGAGGCTGCAGTGAGCTATGACGGCACACTGCAGTCCAGCCTGGGTGGCAGAGCCAGACTCTGTTTCAAAATAAAGAAATAAATATAAAACAAAAGCCCAATCTTTGGACCACAGCCAGGGATTGAGTTGCCACTCGGTCACTTGTTTGGTAAGTCAATTAAGTTTTCTTGGCCTCAGTTTCTTCATTTGTAAAATGGGGACAATAACATCTACCTCCTAGAGTACTTTTGGGAATTAAAAAGGGGTAATAAAAAGGTTTAGCAGGATGCCTAGTACAGAGATTATACACTCATACATGCTAGTTCCTTCTAAGGGGGTCACAACTAAGCCTTAACCTCATTGGTGAGACTTTATTTCTGGGGGCAAGTGGGATTAATTAATTCAGCAAACATCTCTTGAGCAAGTGCCTTGCATCAGATCCTGCCTTGGGTGGAATATGAAGATGAACAAGACTCAGTCTGTGCCCTCAAGAAGCCCAGCATCCAGAGTGGTGACAGTCATTTGCAAGGCAGTTACACTACTGAGAAGGATACAGAATAGGATTAGGGGAGAGGGCTCCAGCCAATCTGGAAGGAGAGTGGTGAGGTTAGGAGGGCTTCTAGAAGAGGAGTTGCTTGTGTGCTTGGAGGGTACACAGGAGGGAGGTGGACATCCCAGGCTATGGCAACAGCTTCCACCAGCCCAGCTCAGCCCACTTTACCTCTCAGAGCATATGATGAAGGAGCGGGAAGAGAATCTCAGACCCTTGGGTTGGAAGGAACCTGTCAAGGCCATCTTGCCTAATCACTCTGCTTACCAGGGCCTGGACTTCAAAGGCTTTCAGTAAAGGAAGAAGCTGCTCTTTAACTCAAGGTCCCTTTGAAGAGGAATCTGTCGACAGCAATACTTCGTGACTTGCACAGAGAGTTGCAGACAAGTTTCAGGAGATCCGGAGTCGTGGGGGAATCACTCAGGATGCATGGACCAGCCTTGGTTGGGGGGAAGTAGAGACGGATGAGGGATTCTGAGTTTGTGAGTCAGTTCTTGCCCATTGATCTTGGGCAAGAGGCTTTGGCAGCAGTTCCCAGTGTCCCAACCTAGGTGGTGGTCAGGAACCCACCCCAGAATGCCCACTGGATGTAGAGAAGAAAAAGAATTAGAATCTACTGGGCCCCTGCTATAGGCTTCTACATTGTGTCAAAGATTTTTGCTAGGGACTTTATATGAGTTCTCCATGAGGTGAGAATTTTCATCCTCATTTGACCTGAGAGCATCCTGGCGCTCAGAATTGAAGCAACTTGCACAAGGTCACAGAGCTAGAAAGGAGTAGGACAGGATTCGAGTTCAGCTCTGCTCTCCCCAAAGTGCTTGCTGCTTCTCATTCTATGCAACACCCTGCTTGCCCCAATCACACGCAACACCTAACAAGCCAGATCTCTGACATACTGGTGCAACTGGTACCTTTGGGAATTCCATATTCACATTATTTTAAAAAGAGATCTTTCTCATAATAATTTATCATATTTTAAATGAGATTAAAATACAAAAAATTGAAATTGCAACAAAAATAAACATAAAATTAAATCCAATATGTAAAGAAAAGGATAATGCTCATTGGTAGACCCATACTGTATTATGGAGTATATCTTTCCAGACTTCTTCCTAGGCCAGGAACTCTGTTTTTGCATAGTTGATACCATTTTGTATACACCATATTGTGTCCTATTTTTTCCTTCTCAAATTGTATCATAAACATTTCCTTTGCTACTTCAAGTTTCTTGTAAACATTTGGCAACACAATCTTCATTAATCTGAATGAGTTTATTTAACCAAGCTCCTGTACTTGAGGATTTAACTCATTTCCTTTTCCCCCCACAGTACAGCATTTGAAACACCTTCTGGCAGGTGAAGGTGGATGTGGCAGCTCCCTCTGGGTTTGTAGTGGCAAATGCCAACACATCTGGCCCTCACACCAAATGTCCATCTGTCAGGGGAAGGGAGGGTAAAAAAGAGAGCCAAGCACCTGCTTGAAGATTCTTGCGCACTTTCCTGTTCAGTTCCCTCGACAATCTGGGAGATGGACACTGTTCTCCTCATTTCACAGGAGGGGGAAGCCAAGCCTCAGGAGGTCAGTGAGCCAGGTCACAGGATTGGTGCTGAGCAGAGCCACGGTTCTGATTGAGATCAGCCTGAATCTCGGGTCATGCTCCCCTCTCTGCCCCACACTGCTCCCTCATGGGTGTGGCAGGAAGACCACAGGTCTATCCAATGTAATGACTGTTGCTGTCTCCCCTCAAATGGTCACATACAAATTCTGCTGCTTTGTAAGGGGCATTTGACTGGAAAATTCCACAGCCAAGAGCAGTGGCTCCTAAGCCTTTTGTCTGATGAGATGCAAATTCCTGAGGGAAAAATATTTCCGTGTGTCTTTGTACCTGTTCTTACACCCTTTCCATTTGTACCCTCGCAGACTGTTGCTATTCTAGGGCTAACCTTGAACTCACTCTAATGTCTGTGCTTTGTTTTTTGTTTGTTTGTTTGTTTGTTTTTTAACAAAGCAAATAATTTGCATTTTTTGGTATCCTATCTTTGGGGAACCCTCCTGGCGTGTCATAGCACCCAGACTGAGAACCACTGGCCAAGAATAGAGGTGAGAACCAGGAATGAATTTATAAAAGATCTTGGGCTGCCAAAAGTAGCCCTTGAAAATCCCCACACTAAAGCTCCTGCATTTGGATCATAGGAGATGCCCCCAAATCTGTTAAATAAGCACAATATCTGCTGCTGAATATTGCTGTGAGTTAAGCATGAGAATAGGCAATATTTGCAGATTAAAAGGCACTGTAATAAAGAAGAATTATGCTCAGCAGATCTGATTCTTCTCTCCTTCCTGTGCATACAGATGACTACATTTCCCAGACCCCTTTGCAGTCATGTGGGGGTCATGTGACTAGTTCTAGCCAATGGTATGCAAGCAGCTATAATATATGCCACTTCCAGACCAAGACATTTAAAAGCATGTGTGAGTTATTCACACTCTTCCTCACCTGTCTATGAAGACTCTAGAAGTTGGGATAACAGCATCACTCAGGGTCCTTCTACCCATCTGGGACCCTGAGTGACTCTGGGACAGAGCCACCTGCCAACCTGCAGCAGACATATAACATCAGAGAGAAATAAAACTTTATTGCCTTGAGTCCCTGAGATTTCTGGGTTGATCTGTCCCTAGGCTATTCCTGATCGATACACATTCCAAGCACAGGGCCTGGTCTATGGCAGAGGCTTATGCTTTTTCCTTGTCCCCTCCCTCAGTGGCTCAGAGAAGTGTAAGTCACATGCCAATGTAGAAAGGGCAGGTAATGTGGAGAAAACTTCACTGACCTGGAAAGTTCCTTTTGCTCTAAGATGGAGCCTTCTGAAAAGGCCAAGGGCTGTACATTCTCAAGTTCTCTTTGTTTTGTCTTTTTAAAAAAAATTACTTTAAATTCCGGAATACATGTGCAGAATGTGCAGGTTTGTTACATAGGTGTACATGTGCCATGGTGGTTTGCTGCACCTATCAACCCATCATCTAGGTTTTAAGCCCCAAATGCATTAGGTATTTGTCCTAATGCTATCCCTCCCCTTGCCCCCACCCCCCGACAGGTCCCAGTGTGTGATGTTCCCCTCCCTGTGTCAATGTGTTCTCATTGTTCCACTCCCACGTATGAGCGAGAACATGTGGTGTTCGGTTTTCTGTTCCTGTGTTTGTTTGCTGAGAATGATGGCTTCCAGCTTCATCCATGTCCCTGCAAAGGACATGAACTCATTCTTTTTTATGGCTGCATAGTATTCCATGGTGTATATGTGCCACATTTTCTTTATCCAGTTTATCATTGATGGGCATTTGGGTTGGTGCCAAGTCTTTGCTATTGTAAATAGTGCTGCCATTAAAATATGTGTGCATGTGTCTTTGTAGTAAAATGATTTATAATCCTTTGAATATGTACTCAGTAATGGGATTGCTGGGTCAAATGGTATTTCTGGTTCTAGATCCTTGAGGAATCGCCACACTGTCTTCCACAATGGTTGAACTAATTTACACTCTCACCAACAGTGTAAAAATGTTCCTATGGCTCTGCAACCTTGCCAGCATCTGTTGTTTCCTGACTTTTTAATAAAAAAAAATCCCAGTCGCCATTCTGACTGGGATGAGATGGTATCTCATTGTGGTTTTGATTTGCATTTCTCTAATGACCATTGATGATTTTTTTTTCACATGTTTGTAGGCCACATAAATGTCTTATTTTGAGAAGTGTCTCTTCATATCCTTCGCCCATTTTTTGATGGGGTTGTTTTTTCTTGTAAATTTGTTTAAGTTCCTTGTAGATTCTGGATATTAGACCTTTGTCAGATGGGTAGCTTGCAAAAATTTTCTCTCATTCTGTAGGTTGCCTGTACACTCTGACGACAGTTTCTTTTGCTGTGCAGAAGCTCTATAGTTTAATTAGATCCCATTTGTCAATGTTGGCTTTTGCTGCAATTGCTTTCGATGTTTTAGTCATGAAGTCTTTGCCCATGCCTATGTCCTGAATGGTATTGCCTAGGTTTTCTTCTAAGGTTTTTATGGTTTTGGATTTTACATTTAAGTCTTTAATCTATCTTGAGTTAATTTTTGCATAAGGTGTATGGAAGGGGTCCAGTTTCTGTTTTCTGCATATGGCTAGCCAGTTTTCCCAGCACCATTTATTAAATAGGGAATCCTTTCCCCATTGCTTGTTTTTGTCAAGTTTGCATTCCCAAGTTCTGAGTTGAACAAGAAGAAAGTGCTCTTGGCTGATAATAACAGATCATTTTAACAAAGCATCCTGAGAGAGTTCTGTGGAGGTGATTGTCTAAATCGTCCTCTCAGAAATACGCTTTCCTAACTTCTCTTGTTGAGACTTAAGTGGACTCTTTGATGATTCAGCCAACTGCCAGCAGACAGTACTCTCCCCAAGATCTATACAGAATTAAAAACTTCGAGTCCTAGATTGTCAGTGCTGAATGTTGGCTTAGAGGTTATTCCTACAGATGAGAAAACGAGCCTGTGATGGTTCAATTTTATGTGTCAGCTTGGCCAGGTTACAGTGCCCAGTTGTCTGGTCAAACACTAGTCTAGATGTTGCTATGAAGGTATTTTGTAGATGTGATAAACACCTGCAGCCAGTTGACTTTAAGTACAGATTACCCTCAGTAATGGGGTAATTGTAGGGGGCTCTCATTCAATCGGTTAGACGCATGTGTGAATTCTTCACAATCTCTCTGAAATGTTCACAAAGACTCTAGAAGTTGAGATAATAGCATCCTTCAGAGTCCCTCTACCCATCTGGGTTCCTGAGTGACTCAGGGACAGAGCCACCTGCCAACCTGCAGCAGACACGTAACATCAGAGAGGAATAAAACTTTATTGTCTTGAGTCTCTGAATTTCTGGGTCTTAAGAACCAAAACCAAAGTTTCCCAGGAAAGTAGTTCTGGTTGGGTGCGGTGGCTCACGCCTGTAAACCCAGCACTTTGGAAGGCCAATGTGGGCAGATCGCTTGAGGTTGGGAGTTCGAGACCAGCCTGGCCAACATGGTGAAACCCTGTCTCTACTAAAAATACAAAAATTAGCCGGGCATGGTGGCACACGTCTATAATCCCAGCTACTTGGGAGGCTGAGGCAGGAAACTGTTTGAACCTGGGAGGCGGAGTTTGCAGTGAGCTGAGCTCATAGCACTGTACTCCAGCCTGAGCAACAGAACAAGACGCCATCTCAAAAAAAAAAAAAAAAAAAAGGAAAAAGGAAGAAGTAATTCTGCCTCAAGACTCAGACTGTAACATGGAAATCCTGCCGAGTTTTCAGCCTGCCCTAAAAATTTCAGACTTGCCAGCCCCTACACTGCCTGAATTAATTCCTTAAAATCCATCTCTCTCATTTTCTCTATATATGAAATGTTCTCTTTCTCTGGAGAACCCTCAGAGGAAAACGTCAGGAAACAACAGAACCTTGACTGATACAGAGATTCTCTTTCATGCTAATCTAATTAGTAGAGGCTGCCTTGAAGGCTGTGTTCAGAAGGACTCTGAGGCCACATTTAGATTCAGTGAATCCAAATAAAGTGAATGCAAGTTCTATTAAAGCAGAGAACTTCTTTATCTTGTAAATTACTATATTTCCAGTACCTAGGACACCACCTGCTACATAGGGCATACTCTGTGATGATAAAAGTTGCTGGATGAATAAATGACCTTTTAGCGTGCCTGCCTGGACGCTGCCGTGGAAGAGGCATGGCATTGCTAACTGATTGCACAGATGAGAAAACTGAGGCCCCGAGAAGACTTTTCCCTCAAGGTTACGCAGTTAATTAACTGGCGGCATATTCAATGTTAAAACACATCTTTTGACTTTCTTGTCCTGAACTCTCCATTATCTTGTTTGACAAGGGATTTGAAGAGGAACAAAGTTATCAGGAAAGGAGAATCATCTGCTGGAAAAAGAGGCTTTGACCCTTATTTGTCAAGAATGACTTTGAAGAGAGACATCCAGGGCTCCTGTGGAGACAGAATTTACTCCTCACGCCTACGTGCACTAAAACCACACCACCAGGAGGCCCTCCCCAGCTGCTCTCTGCGGCACAGCCTCGTGCCTCAATCTGCTGCTGGCTCCTCATGAGAAGGGCATTGCAGAGGGGCAGCAAGGGCTGCCCCCACAGAAGGACCCAATGCCCACATCCCTTGAAAACCCCCAGCTTAGCTTAGGACTAGAGGCAGGGGTCAGGCAAGTCTAACCAACTGTTCAGGGAGTGTTGGTTGCCTCAGTTGGGACTTTCTCGGTTTCGTTGATAGGGAGGGGGTAGGTGATTTTCAGGTGAGCCTGACAGTGCCCAGGACCTCCTATAGGGCCTGGCACACAGTAGGGCTCCAATGAAGGCTTGTCAAAGGACTGAAGGAATGTCCAAGGCAGATGGAGATAGGGATAAAGCGAGGGATGAGGTACCCGTGTTTGTCTAAAGTTGGGTGATTTCTCCTTCTTGTTAAGGTCTGGGTCATCAGGATTATTGGGGTCATCATTGGGGTCACTGTGTGCATTCTGTCCTTCCCTGGCTGGCCTAAGCAGCCTGGCTGTTTTCATTTCCAAAGACAGGGCTGGTTTCCTTAGGAGCAGATGGGTCCTATCCATCTCTTCATCCCTGCATCCCCACTACACTGTGGGCCTGTGGACATGGCTGTATCTCACTGTGGTCCAGGACTCGGCAAGGGTTGGAATCCTGGCTCTGGAGGACCTGAGGCTGCTCAGTAAGTGTTCTAAGCGTTCATGTCTGCATTTGTAGAAAGAGAGTAGAATAATAATACTTGTGTTGTAAAGTTGTTGAAGCATTCAGTAAGCTAATCTACTCAAAACTCTGTGAATGGGTCCTGGAGTTAAGTAAGCACTCAGCTAACATCATCTGCCATCATGGTGGTGGGCGACTAAGACGGCATCCCCAGGTGACTCCATATTCAATGCCATTGTCTACACTTCCCCACAGGCACCTGATCAGGTAACACGCCAGGCATTAGCATTCATTCAAACAGCACTGAGACTCTGAAAGGTTACATGGCGTGCTCCAGGTGAGCCGCTTGACAGGGGATGAGCTTTTACCTCCAAACCCACCCCTTCTACCCAGAAAGAGGGTGCGTTCCCAGTGGCCGGGAGGATGGGAGGGTGGAGGTGTGACTGGGAGCTTCCTCTCCTCTCAGGAATGCAGGGAATTCTGTCATAGATCAGGATTCTGAGAACTTCCCCCAAGTAAATGAGAAGTTATTTTTGACTTCTTTTTTTCCTGAGAAAAGCATTAATTTTTCCACCCTGGGAAACGCTGGTGCAGTGTATGTGCATGTGTGTACCTGTGCACACATATGTGTATGTGTGTGTGTGCATGTGTGTGTGCATGTATGCACATGTATGTGTGTATGCGTGTGAGTGTGCATGTGTGCACGTGTATGTATGTGTGTGCATATGTGTATTGTGTGCATGCACGTGTGTGTATATGTGCTCGTGTGTGTATGTGCATGTGTGTATGTGTGTGTATATATGTATGTGTGTAATTGCATGCGTATGTGTTGGGGGTGGTGGAGAGGGGCCGCCCTTTGTTTCTTTGGAGGCTGGACTGCTGTGCAGCCAGAGGGCCTCCCGTGTCAGACAGCAGGGCAGAGGCCTGGCTGACCTGCTGACCGCTGTTGGCCTCTTCAGGGTCTGTATCTGGGGTTGCTGCACCCCAGGTCCTTGGATTCCAGCAGGCCTGGCTCCTTGCATTGACCAGCTTCAAATCTCTGATTGCATTGCTTGCAATCATTAGGTGCATCCTGGGGTCCCCCAACCCCCACCATACACACACACACACACACACACAGTGTGTGCATAGGGCAGGCAAACTCATTTCAATATTAGCTGAAGTAAAAGAGGATTAAGAAGTTAAATCTATAGTAGGGGAAAAATAAGTTTAACTGAATGCACTTCAAAGCCAAATAGAAATGACTTCTGGATCCTCGGCTGGTTTTGGATTATCTTTGCCTGGTTTCCCATTTGCCTGCATGGATTATCTGTATCTGTGAACAGTGCACATGGTTTCAGAAGGGACAGGAGTGGTGGGGCCACGGAGCCCAGGTTTTGCTTCCCTGCCAGGGTAGGGCCTGGCCTTGGTGGGGAGGGTCAGCCCCTATTGGCAGCCAAAATGTGTCTGATGGATTTGGGCGGCGGGAGGGAAATCAGGGTCCTTTGATGAAACACCAGGTGCAGCAGTAGAGGGGACTGATTGGGAGGGAGAGGCATCTGTTCTGAAAGGCAGGCTGGGGAGAAGAGAAAGCACTAATCACGGCTTGAATGCTAAACTCTGGGCTGGTGTTCACCAGGGGGCAGGGAGGGAAAGGAAGTTCTCAGAGCAGATGAAAATCCTTGTCATCACTGTTGAGAAACTACTGGTGGCCCAATGACTCAGGTGTACAGAGACTTATTGCTACTTCAGTTGTTCATTGATTTTCTTACCCATAAGTGTCTATTTATTCGTGACAGTGTGGCAGGCAATGTGTTAGGCACCTAGAACATAAGGGTAAACCAGACAGACACTGTCATCTCTGCTGCCAGGGATGAGTAAATGATTACTTTGGTGTGACAAGTGATAGCCTCTTGTCCTACACAGGATGTGTATGAGCACAGAGCAGGGCAAATAACTTTGACTTGGGAGAGATATTCAGAGAGGGCTTCCTGGAGGAAGTGATGTGTAAACTCAGACCTAAAGGATGAGATAGATAATAATCATCATAATAGCAAACTTTTCATAAACACTTGACTACATGCCAAACAGGGTTCTAAGCATGTTACGTGCATTTTCTCATTTATTTTCCACAAAAATTCTATTATTAATTCTGCTTCTCAGATAAGAAAACTGAAGCAGGGGGAGGTGACTTGTAGGGTCATAAGCTAAGAAGTGAGGGACAATGATGAAGAGGTGAGCAATGGGGAGAGAAAGAAGAGAAGCAGGGATATAGTGTATCAAGCAGAGGGAATGGTCAGCCCATGCAAAATCACGGAGGTGAGAGAGAGGGAGCCGTGCTGGAACAGAAGGTGCAAGGAGGAGTGTGGTGAGTAGGGAGGCTGTGGTGGATCCCAGTGGGTTCTACCTTACACAGGTGGCAGTCTTAGGGAGGCAGGGGATGGGGAGTTTACTCCCAGAGATGAATCCCACGTCAGGGGACTGCAGCTTAGGAACGTAGAGGCGGGAACACCCTCAAGACTGGGTTGACTGTGGATGTTCCCTGGACCTGGGGACCAAGACCAGACCTTCAGGACTGGGGAGGATTTAAAAAAAAAAAAACCTGGGAGGATGAGGTGGAATCTTAATCCCACCCCCACTGGACCCCTCTAGTGATTCAGCATCACTGGGAAACCAGACTTGGCCATTCCCCAGCATGCCCCTTGGCCATTCCCCAGTAGGGGCACGCTGATCCAAGCAGGCTTGGAGAGCTTCGAACCTGGCCACTACAAGCCCTGGAGTCAGGGAGGTCTGGGTTCAAATCTAGATTTCCTTGCAGAAGAACTCCGAGTTTGGGCACTGTATTAGTTCATTCTTGCACTGCTATAAAGAAATAACTCAGACTGGGTAATTTATAAAAAAAAAAAAAAGAGGCTTAATTGGCTCATGGTTCTGTAGGCTTTACAGAAAGCTTGATGGCTTCTGGGGAGGCCTCGGGAAAAATTTCAATCATGGTGGAAGGTGAAGGGAAAGCCGACACGTCTTACATGGCTGGAGTAGAAGGAAGAAAGTTGCTGGGGGGTTGGGGGGCATGCTACACACTTTTAAACAACCAGATCTTGTGAGAAGTCTATCATGAGGACAGCACCAAAGGCGGAAATCCACCCCCATGATCCAAGCACCTCCCACCAGGCCCCATCCCTCAACGTTGGGGATTACAATTCGACATGAGATTTGGGCGGGGACACAGATCCAAACGATATCAGGCATATAACCCAACCTTTCTGGGCAGAGGCTCCCTCATCTGTAAAATGGGGATAATAATTTTGTAGGGCACCTTTGCGACACTCACTCCCCATTCCTTCTTCCTAAGGGGACTCCTGTCTTGCTCAAGCATTCGCCCCTCCCTGATGAAGCCATTTACATATATGGGAAGCAGGATCTATCCCCAGGGCTAGGATGGATGATCCTAGTTAGAGTCCTCAAGCATGGTCAGGATTGCCAGTGATTGGCTAGGAGTCCAGACTTAAGCCAATCGGTGTATGGCATTCCAAGTGGGTGGCCAATCGTCTTGTCTGGGGCAGGTGGTGGTGGTAGGGTCTTTTTCTCTCCTACTGGATGGGAACAGTGAAGCCTCTTACTCCAGTTGCTCCTGGTGGCTGACGTGTGCTCATAAGAGCAGCCAGTCTGAGGATAAATCTAACACTTGGAGAAAGACAGAGCTGAGATAACCACAAAGAAATTGAGCCAGAGCCCTGATCATACTACACTCAGAGCCCATCTGACCTCTGGACTCCTGTTATGGGGAATAAAAAAAGTCCTCATTGCTCAAGCCAGGCTGAGTCCTTTTCTGTTACTGCAGGCAAACTGATGCAAATGTATTTTTAGTGGATTGCTGATTTGTGTGTTCATATATTTAGTCAATAAGTATTTAAGTGATTATTGGCCAGACAACATACTAGGGCACTGGAAAGGCAGCATCAGGTGAGGAAGGGGCTCTCACATGGACTTTATTCTCTAGTTGGGGAGACAGGTGGTAAATGAGGGACAAAACAAAACAAAAGCCATCAATGACAGGGACTACAGAAACTGGGGTGATACACAAGGGAACGAGAGGGCACCATGGCAGGGGAATTCTTGGCATCAGAGGAAATCATCAGACTGGGGTCTCAGAGGAGGCAGCGTTGGAGGGGAAGCTTGAATGGGAAGGAACTGGAAGGATCTGGATCATGGAGAACCTTGTAGCTCACTGTGGGGTGGGGGTTGGATTTTATTCTGGGGACATGGGAGGCTATTGCAAAGTTGTTGTTTTTTTTTTCTTTTGAGATAGGATCTTGCTCTGTCACCCAGGCTGGAGTGCAGTGGTGTGATCTTGGCTCACTGAAACCTCCGCCTCCCGGGTTAAGCGATTCTCATGCCTCAGCCTCCTGAGTAGTTGAGATTACAGACGTGCACCATTGCACCTGGCTAATATTTGCATTTTTAGTAAAGACAGCGTTTTGCCATGTTGGCCAGGCTCATCTCAAACTCCTGGGCTCAAGGGATCTGCACACATCAGCCTCCAAAAGTGCTGGGATTACAGGCATGAGCCATGGGGCCTGGCCTGTTGCAAAGTTTTAAACAGAGGAATGGCGTGCTCTGATTTGCATTTGTATGCAGTCACCATGGCTGCTGTGTGTACAATGGACTCCACCTGTGGGAAATAGCAGAAGCAGAAATGTTAGGGAAGCTGGAGCCTAGGAGAGCCAGAGCGACACCATTTTAAAATCAACTCCATCTTAAAACTAGCGAGGCACATTCTTTACCAGTCACGACTCAGGGTCATAAGATGTTTATAGTTGAGGAAACAACCTAAAGATACCTACAAGGACACACTCCCTCAACAGCAGAAAGTCCACACATCCTAACAGCCGTAACAACATATTCCTTCAAGATAATTGTAGTTATGCTTTGATGTACTCACACAGTGGAATGTCAAGGATAGTTTTCTTCAAATCAATAGAATAACACATTTTGTGACGCTGTCTACTTACCCGCACGTAGGCACAGCTTAGCGTAGTCTTTACATAGACAAGACCCCTATATAAGAAAAGCTTACACCAAAGACATTGTATTCCTCTGCCGGCTTTTGGAGGATGCTATACTCTATAACAAAGCAGCTTTCAATAAACTATCTCTTCTCACTGTACTCTGACACCCACCTTGAATTTTTTTTCTGCACGAGGTCCAAGAACCCTCTCTTGGAATCTGGATCAAGACCCTTTTTCCGATAACAGGGAGACCAGTGGGGAGGCTGTTGCAGTGACAGAGGCTGCTGGAGTATAACTGTCAGCAGTAGCAGAGAAGGCAAGAGGTAGACACACAATTAGAGTATATTTGGAGGCACAAGCGCCAGATGTCCTGATATATCACATGTAGGATGTGGGGAAGCGGATGAATCAAACTCCTTGGGGTTTTGGCTTGAGCTGCTGGGTGATGGCATTGTCCTGTATGGAAGTGGGTAACCAGCAGTAGGAATTGGTCTGTTGTAAAGACATGAAGAGGGTACATTTGAGTGACAAGTGGAAATTATTAACCTCTGCTTGTTTTCAATCTGTCAGAGAATTCTGCCTGTACCTGTTAAAGTCTTTTAAAGCTCAATGTTACTTTTTGAGACAGGGTCTTGCTCTGTTCCCCAGGGTGGAACACAGTGGTGTGATCATGGCTCACTGCAACCTTGACCTCCTGGGCTCAAGAGATCCTCCCACCTCGGCCCCTGGAGTAGCTGGGACTTCAGGCATGCACCACTACACCCGGCTAATTTTTTAATTTTTATTTTTAGTAGAGGTGAGGTCTTGCCAGGTTCCCCAGACTGGTCTTGAGCTCCTCCTGGCCTCAAGTGATCCTCCTGCCTCAGCCTCTTAAAGTGCTGGGATTAAGCATTGGGATTCAGGCATGCATGACCACACCCGGCCTAAACTCTACCTTTGAGGCAGGCTCTGCAGTGGCCAGACTGATTTCTTGGGCTTCTTTGCTGTGGAATGGGAGGAAAGAGAGAGGGAAAAGGTTCAGCCATTTAGGAGAAGGGGCACTAGGAGGCATGGGGAGAAGAGAGATCCCAGGAGTCTTCAGGAGGTGATGATAGTAAAGAAAAAGGAATTGCTGTTGTGATCTAGGAATCCTGTGGATGGAGAAATACACATGGGAACTTGAGTTATGTTGAAATTCCTTTTTGATTGCTGGGCTGGGTTCCTTAGCCATAATGTTGCCTTGAGACCAGAACATGGGGGCTGCCATTGTGCTAGGGTTACACACATAAGCCAGCAACAAGGGGTAGCTATTATTATTAGGAACTCTTCCCAACGATGAAGTGGGAAAAAGCATGGAGAAAATGCTCTTGGGACCCGCACTTCCATTCTTAGTGGTGGGTAGAGTTCTGGGCTGACAGGTTGGAGGGAGGGTCCCTCTTTTGTTGTAGCACCCTGACCCCCAACTGCTTCCTGGGCCCTGGAAATATTAGATCGCCTCCCCGCAACACACACACACACACACACACACACACACACACACACACACACACCCCAAGCCCAGCCTTAGCTTTCTTTGTTTAGTAAAAGATTGTTCCCAGGAGGCCCTCTCTTTCCCTGTAGGTTAGTTAAGATGAGCTCCCCAGACTTATACTGGGGGTAGGATTGGGAGAGAAAGTTAGCCTTAGCATGAGTGTTTGGTGGGCAGGGCAGGGGTTAGAGTGAGGCAGACGAGGCATCTAGGGTCTAAAATTTAAGCACACACACCTGTTCCCAAGTGCTCAAACCTGCGAGTGAGTGGCTTCTGACATTTTGCACCTCCAGTATTCTGCTTGCTGCATCCTAGTACCAACCCTGTTAATGGGAGAAGAGAGATGCAATAAAATAGGCTTATACTATGGCTCCATTTGTTTCTTTCTGCCAGACCTGCAGAAAACATACATCTCTCAGAACTTTGGTCCTTTTGCCTGCAAAATGAGGGTGCTGATGCCTGCCTCACAGGGTGCTTGTCATAGGTATTAACCAATGTTGGTTCCTTCTTCCCTTCTCAGGAGTCCCAGTTCGAATTATTTTCCTATTTTACACATGGGGAAATTGAGGTACAGAGAGGTTAAACAACTGGCCCAGGGGAGCGCAGCCTGGAAATGGCACAGCAGGGCCTTGAACCCGCACTCTCAGCAACCGTGGTGCAAAATCTCTCATTGAAGCAAATATAAGAAGAACAGAGTCTGAGGGGCTGTGCTAGGTAGAAGGGGACTTTGCAGGCCATAGAGAGAGGGGACTCCTAGGTAGAGATTTATGATGTCATAGGTGCCCCCCTGACTAGGCCACCCTTCCTCAAGGCAGGCTGGGATGTGTCTCACTATCACTCAGATATGATGAAGCCAACAGACCAGGAGATGCCTGCCATTGAGAAGACTGTTTGTTACTCACAGGTCCCAGGAGAAGGGGGCATGCCACCCTTTGCAGGGCCACACAGGGAGACACAGGGTCAGCCAGGAGGCAGAAGGGGTGAGGGAAAAGTAAGGGTGAAAGCCTTTATTGTGGTTTTCCCAGGAAGGAACGGGCGAGGCAGAGTAAACAGGCTAAGCTGGTTTAGGACCGGCTAATTTGAATAATTCCAGCAGGCTCTGAGGTGTATGAACTGCCTTTAGTTGCCTGTTACCTGGGGTGATTAGGGCAGGGGTGACCAATGTGAGCTCCATAAAGGAGATAGTTGGGCACAGTACATTTATGTTTACTGACTAACAGCTACTGAGTATTTACTTACGTGTCAATTACATGCATTTTTTTAAAGCCATCATTTACTGAGTACTATGTAGAAGGCAGTGTTCTATCCATGGAGGTACCATTACTATCTCTGCTTAAGAGGTGGACTTGTTGGTTTGCATATGAAAGGCACACTCATCTCTAGGAATTAGCTGGCCCTGGGAAGGGTAGTCTTTCCCCAGCTGGGCAAGACCCTTAAGATGTTAAACCATCAAGAATACAGAAAATAAGAACATATGGTGGTTAATACACGTTTCTGAGCTGGGAAGTGCTTACTTGTCTGGAGCATTTGAGGAGGAAAGATGAAAACATTTGTGCTCTGGGAACACCTGTTAAATAAGCTGCCCTGCAGCTTCACAAGCATTAATTAGATTGAGCGCTACCGGGAGGTGGGGTAAGGGGAGCAATCAGCCTTGCAGAGAAAACTGGGGAAACAGAGGCACCAAGAGGCCCTGAGTCTGGTGTTTCCGATCCATTGCAGCTTTGCTGACAGTGAGACCCTGGCTGCCAATTTATGGTTCCTGAACCTCAGATTCAGTACAGCCTAGAGGGCACAATTCTGGAGTCTGGAGTTAGATAACCTGGGTTTGATTTTTATGTCTGCCTCTTATTAGTTTGATATCCTTGAGCAAGTTAAACCTCTCCGTGTGTCAGTTTCCTCATCTATAAAATGGGGATGATAGTATGGATCTCATAGGTAGTTGTAGTAATCACCTAAGTTAATTCATCTAAGGCACTTTATGTGTATGTAGGATATAAAGCCCATCATAGACACAGGCATGCTGATGGTTTTCATTATTAGCCGTGCCAATGACAGTCAACTGAATAGATATCCACAGCTGTACCACCCGACAAGGGTTGTGGTGAGCATTAGGTTTGGTAATGCATGCTGCAGAGCCTGCAGCCAGGTACAGAATAGGCATGCGATGCCTGTTAGAGTGCCTGTCATGCTTACACTCTACAGTTATTGCTGCTGTTGCCATTATGACATGTGGTCCTGTCCCTTCCTCAGTTGTCCATAATGCTGGTGATTATGGGGTGCTCCCCACTTCCCTCTAAAAAACGAGATGGAAGTAGAGCATTAGGTGGATGCTGTATTTCCACCATAGATGATGCCCTTGCCTTTCTCATGGCAGGAATAACTGCAGCAGCACCCCTGACCCTGCTGCCCCACCCCCCACCCCACCCTGAGGAGGGAGAGAGAAAGGCAGGCAAGAGTTGGGAAGGGTGGGGACAAGAAAGCTTGCCCAGGGCTGGACCTGCATGCATGCCCCTCAGGCTTCAATATCCTGGCTTCTGCATCTCACCTTTCTCTTCTCTGTTCCCTTTCCTTCTGTTTCCCTTTTAATATTCTGTCCTTTAATTTGTTTTTAGTTTATCTGCTTGCAAAGTTTACATATTCTCAATTTTAAAAAAATCAAAAGATTCAGAAAGGCATGAGAAAGAAAAACTATTCCCTGGAATCCTGTCACCCAGAAACAAGTAACTACCATTCCAGACCTTCAAACACACAAACACACCTGTGCACGCACACTCACACGCACACACACACACTTTTACACAAATTGCATCAAATTAAACTCTGCTTGACCGTTTGCTTCTTTTATTCATTGACGGTAGCGGAGAAACTTGGGTATCAATGAATGTAGACATGTGTCACTTTTTGACCACTGTACAGGACTTTTTGGCTGTACCCTCATGTAGTTCATCCAGCATGGGTGGGTGGACAGGAGGCCATTCCCATTTTTTTTGCTACTATAAATCATGCTCATTAAGTATTTCACACCTACCGCTTTGCCTACTGGTTTGGGATTGATCCTTAGGAGCAGAAGTCTTAAGTCAATTTGGCACATTCATTCATTCATTCATTCATTCAACAAGATGTATTGAGAATTGTTTACATGCCAAGCATGATCCTAGGCACAGGGGTCACAGCCATGAGGAAAGCAGTCCCAGGTGCCAGGAGGTAACAGAGAATAAACAATGCAAATTGTATATAACAGAATTTTGATATAAACGGGCAAATTTGTTCTCTAGAAGCATGGTGCCAATTTACATGTCTACCAACAGCAAAAGAGGATGCCACTCCCCTTTGAGCTCTTTCCAAAGCTGTACAATGTTAATTTTCCCCATCGATCTGATAGCTAAAAGGTAAGATATTATTGCTGACTTTGTTTACTGACTAACAGCTAATGGAAGATTTACTTATGTGTCAATTACATGCAATTTTTAAAGTCATCCTTTACTGAGTTTCATGTAGAAGGCAGTGCTCTACCCATGGAGGTACTATTATTGGCTCTGTTTAACAGGTGGGGGAACCTGGGTATAAAGGGTTAAACACATGGATCAAGGTTGCACAGCCAAATGGTGCTGTGAACAGGGATTTGAGCCCAGGGCTCTCTGTCTTGGAGTTTAAAGACTAAATCACTTCAACCGGGCACAATGGCTCACGCCTGTAATCCCAACACTTTGGGGGGCTGAGGCGGGTGGATCACAAGGTCAGGAGTTCGAGACCAGCCTGGCCCATATGGTGAAACCCTGTCTCTACTAAAAATACAAAAATTAGCCAGGTGTGGTGGCGGGCCCCTGTAGTCCCAGCTACTTGGGAGGCTGAGGCAGGAGAATTGCTTGAACCCGGGAGGCGGAGGTTGCAGTGAGCCGAGATCACACCACTGCACTCCAGCCTGGGTGACAGAGTGAGACTCCATCTCAGAAACAAAACAGAACAAAAAAAAGACTAACCCACTTCATAAAGCACCTCTTGCCACCCTGCACTGACTACACAGGATTTATGCCATTTCATGTGTTGATTGGGCATTTCTAGTCCTTCTTTGGCCAATTGCCTATGCATGCCCCTTATTTTCTTATTAACACAGAATTTCCCAGGGAACTCCATGCTCTCATCAGTAAATGGGTATCAGAATGTCAACCTCATTGGGGAATGGTGGGGATTTCAGGGAGATGATGGGGAAAACACCCTGCTTTGTGCCTGGCATATAAGAGCCTCAACAAATGTTCTTTAAAAAACAATAAGGGAGTCCAGGCACTCTGGCTCACGTCTATAATCCCAGCACTACGAGAGGCCGAAATGGGAGGCTCACTTGAGTTTGGGAGTTCAGGACCACCCTGGGCAACTGGCAAGATCTCATCTCTATTAAAAATAATAATTAAAAAACTAGCCAGTCATGGTGATGCATACCTGTTGTCCCAGCTACTCAGAGGGCTGAGGCAGGAGGATTGCTTGAGCCCAGGAGATGGAAGCTGCAGTGAGTTGTGATTGTGCCACTGCACTCCAGCCTGGGCAACAGAGTGAGACCCTGTCTCAAAAAAACAAACAAACAAACAAACAAACAAAAAAAGAAGAAAAAGAACAGTGCAGCAAACAGGCCTGTAAACAACAGTCTTTGCCAACGAAGGGATTATCATTAAGCAAGTGGAGAGAAAGGACTCGCAGTTCTTCCTGGGGGGTGTGGCGAACTCAGTGAGCTGTAACTGGCCTAGGTTGTTGTGGAGGAGGGGGCTTAGGAGGGCTGGAATTGGGGTGGCCAGTTGAGGTGTGCGTCAAGCTCCTAAAGAACAAAGGCAGCGAAGTGGACTCTGGGGAAAGGTCCCAACATCCAGGACCCAGGAATCAGGGTGGCATCGAGGCATCCACAGATGCAGAAGATATGGAAATGGAGATTCAGCTGCTCTAGGGATGGGAACCACAACCTCTCTATGGTGGGCTTGGGATGGGACCAGAGCTGAGTGCAGTCACAGCTTCATCACTGCAGGCAGTCCTAGGCTCCAGGAAAACAACAATAAACTGACAAGCAGGGTGCTCACCTTCCAGTGGCCTGAAGCAAGACTCAGGGGAGGTGAGACACCAGAGGCTGGGAGACCTGCCAGAGAAGGTGAGGGCCTGGATAATGGGACAGTGAGGATGGAGAGAGGAGGCTGGAAGGAGAGGATTTTAAGGGTATAGAATCAACCAGAATTGTGATGGAGAAGGAGAGAAAGAGGACACCTGAATTCCTGGCTTGGGCACCTGTGGAAAGGGAGAGCGGATGCTGGGGACAGAGGGGACAGAGCATTGGGGAAGAATCCGAGAGATGTGTGGGTGGAGAACCCACAGGACCTTGGCTTAGGAAGAGGCCCCTGGCATGACTCTGGGATGCTGCTGTTATTGACTGGGTGGAGGGGTGCCATTATCCCTGAGATGGGACATGGGAGAGGTTGGTCAGCTACGAGGTGGGAGGAGTTCCAATTTTGGACATTTGAACATTCATGCCTCTGGGAACAACTGGGTAAAGATGTCATCTTTTGAAAGCCACTGCCTTCCTGGAATACTGGGGCTTCTTTAACCCAAAACTGGGAGCTTCTGGGGAACTCTTAATTTTTTTTTTTTTTTGAGATGGGGTCTTGCTCTGTTGCCCAGGCTGGGCAGTGGCACCATCTTGGCTCACTGCAGCCTCCACCTCCTGGGTTCAAGCAATTCCCCCACTTCAGCCTCCTGAGTAGCTAGGATTACAGGGGTGCACCACCACACCTGGCTAATTTCTGCATTTTTAGTAGAGACAGGGTTTCATCATATTGACCAGGCTGGTCTCGAACTCCAGACCTCAGCTGATCCACCTGCCTCGGCCTCCCAAAGTGCTGGGATTACAGGCATTAACCACCGTGCCTGGCCGAACTCTTGATATTCATCAGAGCTTCTGAAATTACCAGAAAGGCCAGGGTCTTCCAGGAATGGGGGAGGCGGACAAAAATGGCCCAAGTGAGAGGTGGGAGCATTGCCAGACTGTCTACACTTCACCTGTTTGTAGTGGAGAACTCCAGAACTGTCAGGCGATGTGTCCTGGACCCATTTTTTAAGGCAGAAGAATCCTTTCTACCTGGGTAATAAGGTGGTGAGGGCTGGGTGGAGGAGAAGCTGAGACTGGCACAGCCTGCAGAGGAGGAGGGTTTATGGGGAGTAAATCTGAAAAGCGTGCTGAGAGAGTGGGCTATGAGGGAGGTGGATGGGAGAGGGAAAAGGATGTTAATAAGGTTGGGGACTACATTTTTGAGTCACCTTGAGAGACTTTGGTAAAGAATGTAATTACTTTTAATTATCTCTAGCTGCCAAAGTGGGTTTTTGGAGTCAACATAGGTTCTGCGATTAGGCCACAAAAGTATTATGAATAATGACAGGGCTGTAGTAATTATAACCACTATCATTTATTGAGGGCTTTTAAGCCCATGGATTCTGGGACCAGACCTGGGCTTGATGTCATCTTTATCATTTGTGGTGCAGCAGCTTCCTCAACCAGGAAATGGAGATGATAATAATACTGTTCTGATTATCTACTGCTGTGTAGAAAACCACCCCAAAACTTTGTGGCATAGAACAGCCCCCATTTTTATCATGCTAATGATTCTTCAGGATGGGAATTTGGATAAGGCATGGTGGGGATGGCTTGTCTCTGCTCTGTGTAGTCTGTAGTTTCACCTGGGGGACTGTGGACAGAAGCACCTTCATATAGTGCCTCCCCATGTAGCTTGAGCTTCCTCACAGCATGGTGACCTCAGGGTAGCGAGACTTCTCATGTGGAAACTCAGGGCCCCAAAAGCCAGTGCTCCCATAAACAAGGCAGAAACTGCTTTGCCTTTGCTTGTCCAGCTTTGAAAGTCACATGACATCACTTTCCACTGTATTCTACTAGTTATAGGCCTGCCCAGACTCAAGGGAAAATTACAGAGACCATATCTCCCAGTGGACTAAAGGAAAAAGAACTTGCAGTCATGTTTTATTTATTTATTTAGAGAGAGCTTCTTGCTCTGTTGCCCAGGCTGGAGTGCAATAGTGCAATCATGACTCACTGCAGCCTCAATCTCCTCCTGGGCTCAAGTGATCCTCCTGCCTCAGTGTCCCAAAGTACTAGGACTGCAGGTTTGAGCCACTGTGCCTGGACTGCAGTCATGTTTTATAATAGCTGCAGGTACTCACCTGTAGAGTTGTTGTGAAGGTTAAGTTAGTTAATGTATGGAAAGCACTGAGAGCAGCGCTTGGCATCTAACAATTGCTCAGTAAAAGCCAGTCATTATTACTATTTCATCGCTGTTGTTATTGTCAGCTAATCTTATTCTACATGGAGGATATCAGTTTGAGGTCAAGTGGCAGCCTGGGAATCTGAGCGTGTGATTCTCTGCTGTCCTGCTTCCCTTAGCCTAAAGTTCTCAGTGCCCAGTGATTCCTTTTCAGCTCTCTCCCCCATTTGTAGCAAACCTCCACCCTTGGTGTCTTTTCTCCCTCCCTCGTTTTGCCTCCTCTCCCCAGCCCTGAGGCAAAGATGCTCAGGATACCATCTCTGGCTAATGCACTCAGTTCCAGGAGAACCCTTGATCTGTAACATTGTCACTGCTAATTCATTGAAACTCAGCCATTATTAGCAACTCCTCAAGCAGGTGGGTGGTGCTGCTCCAATTCCAGCAAATGAAACTTCCTCCTTCCTGGCTGCTCTGGGAGGTGGATCTCAGTCGTTCTCCTCCAGCCTTCTTTGCCTCTGGGAGGATGGAGTGGATGCAGCACTCAGATCTAGGCCTGAGCCTGCTGTTAGGGTCTGGGCAGCACTGATTCTCACCTTGGCCCTCCCAGCCTGAGCACCGGAGTTCCTGACCAGCCAAAATTGGGTACCACACGTGTGCTTGTTACTCAGTTGCATGGGAGATGAGGTCGCCATCAGGTGATGGTGGGCTGGACTTTGGCCTCTGAGCCTCAGCTCTGCAGCCTATAAGCTGGGTGACTCTGAGTAGGTTCTTTTTTTTTTTTTTTGACAGAGTCTCACTCTGTTGCCCAGGCTAGAGTGCAGTCATGCAATCTCGGCTCACTGCAACTTCTGCCTCCTGGATTCAAGCAATTCTCTCGTGCCTCAGCCTCCCGAGTAGCTGGGATTACAGGTGTCTACCACCACACCTGGCTAATTTTTTGTATTTTTGGTAGAGATGGGGTTTCATCATGCTGGCCAGGTTGGTCTCGAACTCCTGACCTCAAGTGATATGCCCATCTTGGCCTCCCAAAGTGCTGGGATTACAGTCATGAGCCACTGTGCCTGGCCCCTGAGTCGGTTCTTAACCTCCCTGTATTAGTCCGTTTTCTGCTGATAAAGACGTACCCGAGACTGGGAAGAAAAAGAAGTTTAATTGGACTTACAGTTCCATATGGCTGGGGAGGCCTCAGAATCATGGCGGGAGGCAAACGGCACTTCTTACATGGCAGCAGCAAGAGAAAATGAGAAAGATGCAAAAATGGAAACCCCTGATAAAACCATCAGATCTCGTGAGACTTAATCACTACCATGAGAACAGTATGGGAGAAACCGCCACTATGATTCAATTATCTCCCACTGGGTCCCTCCCACAACACATGGGAATTATGGGAGTACAATTCAAGATGAGATTTGGGTGGGGACACAGAGCCAAACCATACCACCACCCCCTGCCTCAAGACTCAGTTTCCCCAGGGAGAGAACAATGACTGGCCAGGGGACTTGCTACAAATGCAGATTCCTGGTTCCCACCTTGTATAATCTGGATGGAGAAGAATTGGCCTTCTCTTGTCCTGAGGATGGGTCCCAAGAGGATTCAGAAGCTGTCAGTGAGGGAGGGAGGCAAATTCTCAACACCCTAAGCCGCAGGCCTCCTCTGTGTGTCTGGCGTGTCTGTGTAACAATACATGTGAAGGAATTGTTGTGGAACTCCTGAGAAAAACATCCAGAAGTTCGTAGCCCAGTGCCTGGCACACAGTTACCTGTGAGCTGCTCTACACGTGTTGGCCACATACATTGTTCTCATACGCGGTATCCTGGGTGCTATTACCAGAGGCAAGTTCAAGGAAGGAAAGGAAGTTTCTGGGGGGTGAGAGCACAGAGGCAGAAGGAGTAGGAATCTAGAATCTCACCCCCAAAATGATGAGTCTGGGGAAGGACTGGAAACCCAGAGGGCAGGAGCCCATGGGAGGAGGGCACTTCTTTTATAAATCTAGGTTCAGTTAATTTGGGAACTTGAATATTCACAGTTAGTTGGCTTTCAAAGTGGGTTGCTCATCTCTCCGGGACTGCTCCACATTTGTGCAGTTCCATGGCTGACCTCAGTGTGTGTTTGATCCTCTTATATCTCAGGTTGGACGAATTCCTCTACAGAAGCCCCAAGCCTCCAGGCTGGCCCCAAGGCCTGGCCAAGGCTTGTGCTGTATTCCCCCACTTCAGTGGGGAGGAGTGGTGAAGAGCATGCTGTTGATGGCCTCATTGTGAACCACATCTGTGCCACTTCTTAAGCTGTGTGAATAAGCTGTGTGACTCTGGGCAAGTTACCACACCTCTCTGAGTTTCCTGGTGATAAAATGAAGGTAATCATTCCTAGCCTGCACAGCTCCTCAGGCTGCTGTGAGCTCCCATCAAACAATGGATGCAAACTTGCTTAGCAAACTATCCAGATCCTTAGGATGAGTTGGTAAGTGGCAGGGACCCGCTGAGCAGATGGGCAATGTGAGAAGGCTCATAGCTGCGGCTACTCAGAAAGCTGACAGTGAGCAGAAGGGCCGCCTCCTCCTCCTCCTGTAGTTTCTTTTCCTGTTGGCTTTGTCCTGATAAACTCCAGCCCCATAGAGGCCCTGTTAATGGGGTTGGGTCACCCTAACATTAGAGCACTTTGGTTAAAGGCAAGGGTCTAGAGCCAGACTCCCTTGGTTTGAGGCCTAGCTCTGCTACTTGCTAACTGTGTGACTTGGGGCAAGTTATTGACTTTTTCTGTGCTTCAGTATTCTTATCTGTAAAAAAAGGGTCATACATCTCATCTCATGGGGTTCCTGATTGTTTGCCTAGGTCGTGCATGTAGAGCACTTTGTACAGGCTCTGGGATCTAGCAGCTGCTATGAAATGCCAGCTCTTATTATTTCTCAAATGCTCTTTCCCCCAAGGGAAATAATGCACGTGTGTGTGAACCCACCTTGCTCAGCACCCGGTGGATGCATGCCCTGCTAGTGGGGGACTCAGAGGTGAGAATACCCTGGTCCCAAGCTCAAGAGGAAACTGAGAGAGGTGTGTGAATAATGGTCATAGCTAGAAATCAATATATGTTCAGGTTGAGGTAGAAAAACAAAACCTTGGCTGGATGCAGTGGCTCCTGCCTGTCATCATGGTTTGAGCCCAGGAGTTCGAGACCAGCCTGGGCATCATGGCGAAACACCATCTCTCAAACAGCAACAAGAAATAATAATACAAAAACTAGCCAGGTGTGGTGGTGTGTACCTATAATCTCAGCTACTCAGGAGGCTGAGGTGGGAGGATCACTTGGGCCTGGGAGGAGGAGGTTGCAGTGAGCCATGGTCGTACCACTGCACTCCAGCCCGGGTGACAGAGCAAGACCCTGTCTCAAAAAACAAAGCAAAACAAAACAAAACGGGTTGAATGCGGTTGCTCATACCTGTAATTCCAGCACTTTGGAAGGCCAAGGAAGGTGGATCATGAGGTCAGGAGTTTGAGACCAGCCTGACCAATATGGTGAAACCTTGTCTCTACTAAAAATACAAAAAGTAGCCAGGTGTGGTGATGTGTGCATGTAGTCCCAGCTACTCAGGAGGCTAAGGCAGGAGAATCCCCTGAACCTGGGAGGTGGAGGTTTGCAGTGAGCTGAGATCGCGCCACTGCACTCCAGCCTGGGTGACAGAAGGAGACTCCATCTCAAAAAAACCAAACAAACAGAAAAACCAAAGTCTTGATCACCGAATTGTATACTTAGGACAGGTGAATTTTTATGATATGTAGATTATAGCTCAATAGAACTCTTAAAGTAAAGCCAAACCCCCAAAACAAAGACTCCGGTGACCTTTCAGCATAGTGAACACTTGTGATGGCCAAGGAAGTGGTTGATCACAGCAGGCTCTTGGGAAGAGGTGGTGTAGGGGCGACAGGAAAACTTCCCCTTCATCCTCTGAAAGTTCACTGAAAATCAACTGACAGCAGAGAAATTCATAGAAGTGGAACACACAGTTATTAATGTGCACAGAGGAGAATCACAGAGTGATCCCCACCACTCAATGTGGTATAAAGGGTTATATACTCCTCCTCTTAAGGGAAAGGAAGATGGAAAAGTGTGGGTGATTTTAGGGAGATAACATATGATTTTTAGGGGAATTAATGGGCTTGAAGAACATATGATGGCCTGGGACAAAATCTGTTGGGTCCACAGAACAGACAACGGTTTGTAACAAAGGTCTGTCCAGCGGTGTTGACAGGCTTCAGTCTTTCTTTCTGTCATATGAGTTCTGATCGTGAAACTCAGTGATGGTACCAGAGGTAATTGTTTTCTCCTTTGGTGGGTCAAACTTTAGGCAGAAAAGGGAACTTCACAGAAAAAATTTATCCTGTGCTTTGAAGGAGACAGAGAATCAAGAGACAGGAGAGAAGGAAAGGTCAGAGAGAACTTGAGGCTGCTTCTCCAGTTCAGCATAACAACGTGCCATATTTTGGGGTTTTGGTTTCTAAGCCCCAACATTCCCCTGTCTGAAACTTCCCTAGAAGTTTTGCACACTAAAAGCTGAGTCTGTGGCTGTGGAGAGAAAAATCATGTTAAGAGTTGAGTATGCAAAGTCTCCCATTTCTGGGAATCGGCCAGTCCTGTTTCATTTCAGGAGCTGGTGCTGCAGACAGAATCTCAGAAAGAAAACAGAGGTTAATGTTTGGAACAATCTAAAAACCTGTTTCCTTAGAGCCTGGAGGGCAGTCAGTTGAGGTTTCTTGATGTTAGATTAGGAGCATCTTCAGTTAATGTGGAAGTAGGCAGTGGCCATCTGATATACTTTTCTTATCTGTAGTTTGCATGTCACAAGTTGTTTATGTATGAGCTTCAGCTTGCAGGGCCTCAGGAAAAACGGTAATAGCAATTTCATTGAGTCCAAGTCAGAAAATGGAAGACAAATTTGGAAACATCAGTTTGGAGACTTGTAGACAGGAAAAAATTCAGGATTCAGTCCAAATTGTAGGCAAATAATACAAACTCAAAAAAAAAATAGTCAGGGTTAGAATCCAATAACAGGTGTACTGTAGTTTTCTTCTGAAACATAATTTTTATCTCTTCAGTTTCCATTTCTACCAAAGACACATTATAGAAGGACCAATTTATTTGCACAATAAGTTTTAGTCTTATTATGTTTGGCCTGATTATTTCCATAAAGCGTGGTAAGAATAGTGGTTGGCCATATAGAACCTTAAAAAGGCTCTGTTTAAGTGGGGTTTGCTGGAACTTTCTTGTAACGAATCTCAGATTAGACTTTTAGAAGTCTCTTGAGAGAAAGCCAAGTCAAAAATTTGCCCCCAGACTATGCCTGTAAAACCTGTATGAATTGAGCAAATTCCTCTCTTCTTGAGGTTCCCCAAATATTTTGAGGCTCATGGGTCTGTCAAAAATTTTCATATTTATCACAAGGTCAGGAATCCTGTAAGGGAACTGTGTAGACAAGATACCAGGTCGATATTTTCCCAAGCCTATTGGCTTTAAAAAGTCAACCTTAATCCCTCAAAGCAGTCTGTTCATATTTGAAAATATGATATTCAGTCAAAACTTTAGTAAGATAACCAGTGTTTCCAACATGTCCTATTATGTAAGAAAATAGATCCTTATTGAATTTATGGAGGTAACTATATTGCCAAAAAATAAGGATATTTATAATTCCTGAATTCTGGAGAAATCAGGTAGAGAGGAGGGTAAATGTTTCAATTTTGTTCACAAAAGTATATTTTACACAATTGCTATATGCTATAAATAGCTCAAAAGAAAAAAAAGAATTTCTTGACTCTAGAAAACAAAACACAAAAAGGATCCGCAATATTTCAAACCAAAGCCATAAGAATGATTTTAATTCTCTATCAGTTCAATCCAATGTAATTAATTCTAGTTTTGCTTGATCTTGAATTAGGAATCTTCATGAACTCATCAGGTTTTGTTTTTCTTTTTACTACAGTTCTGGAAGTTTTTATCTAGTCCAATAGTATAATCTCCAAAGTTATTGGAAACCTGTATTCAAGATTACTTGTCAGAGTCCTTTCCATGAATTGCCTTGAAGACTCAACACTTTAGGATCTGCCAAGTGCTTTTAGAAAATAAAGCATCAAACTAAAGCAATTTACTGCCTATACTAAGACATACCACAAATGTCATGCAATTTTTGAACACATATTAAACCAATTTATGCCTAGTGTTCCATTACTGGAACACTAAGCACATGGGTTATTTATATCATACTGCTCAAGGTCATCACCAAGGTCTGATTGCAAAAATTCAAAAAATTGCAACCTCAGGCATAAATGGGTTAATAACATATCCATAAAAGTAGAACTCAAAAAAAGTCAAATCCCATTTCTTATTTGACAATAATTCCGGTGTGATTTTAACATACCAAATAAGCCTAGTATGTTTCTCTTGGACTTCCAGTGACCCTATATGGAATATCCAAATTAGTTTGGGGTCAAAAAGTCTAAATTTTAGGATTTAAGATTTGATTTGGGGAAGCATGTTAAATATCAAGGGTTTAACACACTTGATATCAAAATGAGAAAAGTTTAAAACACTTGATCAAAACAGGATCATAGATCACTGTTAAAAAAAGGTAATTTATTTAGCCAAGTGATAATTCGAATATTTCAAAAAGCAAAAATGTTGCTCTTTGATAGAGAGGAGACTCAGTTTTCCAAACAATCAAAACACCTAATAAAGACATTATGACAACAACAGAATCTGTCTCTCCCTCTCTCCCCTTCTGTACTTTTTTGCAGATTATTCAAAAGGCGAACAAAAATCTTTTACCTCTTATTAATACTACATGAAAATCTTGTTCAAAAGAGAAAATCAGGCTGGTCACAGTGGCTCTATCTGTAATCCCAAGACTTTGGGAGGCCGAGGCAGGAGGGTTGCTTGAGGCCAGAAGTTTGAGACCAGCCTGGGAAACATAGTGAGAACTTGTCTCTACAAAAAATTTTAAAAATTAGCCAAGCATGGTGGCTCATGTCTGTAGTTCTAGGTACTTGAGAGGCTGAGGCAGGAGGATTAATTGAGCCCAGGGTGTCAAAACTGCAGTGAGCTCTAATTGTGCCACTGTACTCCAGCCTGGATGACAAAGTGAGCTCCTGTTTCTAAAAAGAGAGAGGGAGAGACAGAATCAAATTCTGCCCTTGTATCAGTGTATTATTAATACTAAAGCTAATTTTTAAAAAACCTTATTAATATATCCATCCAATCTCAATCAGCATTGACCACGCAAGATTTCTATAAACTTTTTATAAACTCCTACAATTTTTCTCTTTTTCTTTTCCAAGCATTTCATATCCATTCAGTTTTATCTATCATTTTAAAAATTCCTTCAATTTAAAACAACATGTAAATAGCCTCTAAACTAGGCAAAACTACTTTCCCTTTAACAAAAACCACATTCTCATGTTTTTATAATCCTTTTTTAAATGAAAAACACATTCTACTTTTATTATATACTTTGCATATAGAATTGCTTCTCTTACAGCTAGTAGTTTTAATTATATATATATATATTAATTACAATGTTAACTCTTAGTAACTGTAATTTTTAGTGAAAAACCTAGGAAGTAAGCATTTTGAGTTGTTATATACCAGACTTGGAGCCTAGGACAGAGGACAGAGCTGTGAAGACCATGTCTAAGGGATTAGATCCTTCCAGGCATGACCAAGAGGCACAGCTGGGGCAGAGAGGATGCGGTCCAGGCTGTGGGGACACACATATGTCCCCAGTCCTCACCATGGCCACTTGTGTAGACCCCAGAATCCAAAGGGTCAAAATCAAAGCATAAGCTCATAAACAAATCAAACAAATACAAAAATATCATAGAAGTCACAGTTATATGACCCTAAAACATCCCATAAAGACAGTATAAATTGGTCTGACCAGTACACCCAGGCAAAAATGTCTTAAATTCTAAAAACATTATATTTTATTTTACCAACAATTTTAAAACTAGTGTTATTCATGAAAGATAACTAACATCATATGAATTTGAAAAGCATTTGGGATTATTAATTTATGAGTATTCATTTATTTATAAGTCAATTTGGTACCAGGTAGACAATATACAAATACAGATATGTACAAATAAAATACAGACAGGTGCAAAGTTATTATAGCATTGATTTTAAATTTTCAGTCCTGAGTCAGATAAAACTCACTGGCTGGACAGTTGGGTGAAATGGTGACTCTGTAAATGGAATAAGTTAATCCCTTTTACACGGTGGAAGCCCTTACTAAGTTTTAGAGAGAACTGGTAGAAAATTTATATCTCAAAGCAGAGAGAGAATTTAAGCTATTTCAAGATAGAAACTGGGTTTGTTATTTAGAGGAAGATTAAAAATGGATGCCAAGGGAATACAAAATCATAAGAATGCATCATAGAATATACATATATTTTCTTTGAGAGAGAGGATCTTGCTCTGTCACCCAGGCTGGCACGCAGTGGTGCAATCATGGCCCACAGCAGCCTTGTCCTTTCAGACTCAAGTGATCCTCCTGCCCCAGCCTCCCAGGTGGCTGGGACTACAGGCATGTACTACCATGCCTAGCTAATTTTTTCTTATTTTTTTGTAGAGACAGGGTCTTACTATGTTGCCCAGGCTGATCTTGAACTTCTGGGTGCAAGTGATCCTCCCACCTCAGTCTTCCAAAGTGCTAGGATTACAGACATGAGCCACCATGCCAGAGCATCATAGGATTTTTATAAGAATACCAATTTCATTTAGATAGGTAGCTTCTCATTTAGTCTCTGTTTTCCAGCTGGACCATGGAGCTCAGAGTGGAGCTCATCAACAAATAGAACAAACAAAGCATTTGAGACTTGCAGGTGCTAATATTTAAATATATGAAAAGTAGGTGCAGCTGGAAAGCAGATAATTTAAATCATTAAAAATCAAAGATCTCACTTTTACAATGAGTCTCAGGTCCCCCAAAAAGAGGAAACAGGCTGCTCAATGCTTCCACAGTGCAGTTGCTGCAAAGACATTTTCCTGAGGCTGGTGGGTGACACAATCTGCCTGTTCCTGCAGTCTCCATGTGTTCAAACTGTGCCCTTCTTATCTAAATGGGCAAAGAAACAAGTAGCCCTCTGTAGTAACAACCATCCATTGCAAATGCAGTCAGCCACTTCCAAAACTGCATCCCTCACAGGTGACTTTCTGGCCACTGTACACCCAAAGACTGTGTTCTTGTACAGTACAAAGTAACCCCTGTATTCCCCAAGGCCAAAGAGATCAGATAACTAGCAAATGAGAGTAGAGCTTTAGACTGGAGAGGAAACTGCCGTTAAATCTTGAGACTACGCAAGGAGGGCAGAAGACCCCAAGAAGGGTGTGTGGGGTCTTCTGTCTTCCTTTTTCTGTGTTCCTCAAGGGGTCTCAGGGACACTAGAAATCACCTCTAGCTTTCTTTATGAGCTATCAAAGATGGCACAGAGGAAGTAGAAGTAGAAGTAAATGAGACGACAATTCTTAGAGGAGCCAATTTGGGAAGATTTTAAGCTTTCTAAAATGCCAATGAAGTTTGACATTTTTCTCAGCAAAAGTCATTCCAACAAGAAAAGGAGCAAACAGAGGGACCAAATATATTAAAAAGTGGTTTCAATCAACTAAAAAGCTTCCCAGCAATAGGATCCAGAGGACAAAAAGCAAGAAAGCCTTTTAAAAAAAAATACTAGCCTGAGTATTAGCTTTTAATTAAGCTGACTTCTGACTATAGAGATCTTTAAAAGAATTTTTAAAAATTTGTTATCAGATTTCAGCCAGGACACCCAATATTCTTGGCTTTTGAACATTTTTTTTTTTTTGCTTTTAAACAAAAGATACCTTACCAAATGACTCACCAAACCAATAAGCCTTAACTAAGGTTATAACTTGACCAAGGACGCACTAGGCATCTACAAAGAGGTACAAATCAGTCTTCACAAGATCCAGAACCACCCCCAAAGATAGCTCAAAGAAAAGCAAGTTTCACTAGCCACAAACGGGGTCCAATCCATGTTTCTGTCCTGCCATATTCTCTAGGGCCTCAGTTTCTCAGCTGACCATCTACACACAAAGGTCCAAACGGCCCATATGCCCTACAGATGGGAGATAGGAAATCAAAAGCTGTCCATGGAAGGAAAAAGGATCAATAACAAATGAGTACCCTCAAAAGTCAAAAGTTACATAAATAATTTCCAATGGTGTACTTATTCCAGTAGTGACTCAATTCAATAAACCTCTTCATGGAAAGCCCAGGAAGTAATTTTCTAGGTTTAGAATAGGTTTCTACCATATAAGTAAGTGGTGTTCCTGGTGTAAGTCAAAAGCTATCTGAGACAGGTCTCAATCAATTTAGAAGTTTATTTTGCCAAGGCTAAGCACATGACTGTGATGCAGCCTCAGGAGGTCCTGATGACATGTGCCCAAGGTGATCACGCTACAGCATGGTTTCATACATTTTAGGGAGACATAAGACATCAATCAATACATGTAAGATGGACACTGGTTTGGTCCAGAAACGTGGGATAACTCCAAGCAAGGGGCTTCCAGGTCATAGGTGGAATCAAAGATTTCTGATTGGCAATTGGTTGAAAGAGTTTGAAAGACCTGAACTCAATAGAAGAGAGTGTTTTGGTTACAACAAGGGGTTGTGGAGACCAAGGTTCTTATTATGCAGATGAAGCCTCCAAGTAGCAGGCATCTTATCCGGCTAAAAGAGTCTGTTTTGTCAGTATTGAGGTCTCTGTTTTAACGTGAATGCTGGTCAGCTGTGCCTGAATTCCAAAGTGGGGAATGTATGATGAGGCATGTCTGACCACCCATTCCCATCATGGCCTAAACTAGTGTTTCTGGTTTACTTTATTTATTTATTTATGTTGAGATGGAATCTCACTCTGTCACCCAGACTGGAGTGCAATGGCGCGATCTCAGCTCACTGCAACCTCCGCCTCCTGGGTTCAAGACATTCTCCTGCCTCAGCCTCCCAAGTAACTGGGACTACAGGCATGCACCACAACACTCAGCTAATTTTTGTATTTTTAGTAGAGATGGAGTTTCACCACGTTGACCAGGCTGGTCTTGAACTCCTGACCTCAAGTGATCCACCTGCCTTGGCCTCCCAAAGTGCTGGGATTATAGGCATGAGCCACCCAGCCTGGCCTCAGGTTTACTTTAGAATGCCCTTGGCCAAGAGGAGGGGTCCATTCAGTTGGTTGGGGAGCTTAGAATCTTATTTTTGGTTTACAGTGGAGAGGGCATAGAAGAGGAAGTCCCCATGATCTCCAAAAATTCACTCCAAGGTTTACGCTAAGATAGCAAAAGACTCTTGCCACAGATGGTTGAGGATGGTGTTTGTGTGTATGGTGTCTCCAGAACCCCATAAATAGGTGGGGTCTACCAGTCACAGACCTGTTAATCTATGACACCAAGCAGACCCTCCTGGGATCGGGCTTCCCCAGGGCTAACCAGACAACAGGGGTTGAGACAACAAAAGCCCTTTGTGCATGGGACTTTTTATTAAGACAAACTCCCCTGAGAGCTTGACACCTTTGGAACAAAAAGAGTGCTGCTCAATGTCGTATGTGTCTCAGGTTCCCAGCCATTTTCAGACTGGCCACCAGATATGACCCAAAAATCATGCTCGCTGGACAGCAGGGACCGAGAGAGTGCTCCCGCTTGGTCACAAGTCAAGCTCTCAAGGACATAAAACAAGACAAGAGGGAATCTTATCCTGTTTTATTTTGGGAACCCACAGCAAAATTTGTCTTAACTGCTGGTCTGAATGGAACCATGAAACTGACCAGTCTATACGGCTGTTCCTGGAAAGGGGTTCAGATGGAGACTCCAAGAGAGGGTTCGAGAAAGAATCTGGGGCAAGGCCATAGAGTAAAATAAAAGCAAGTTTACTAAGGAAGTTAAGGAATAATAGAATGGCTATTCTATAGGCAGAGCAGCAGTGGGGGCTGCTCAACTGAGTATGATTTTATGCTAAACGAGGGGAGGATTATTCATGAGTTTCCAGGAATGCGACAGAGATTTCCTGGAACTGAGGGTCCCTCTCCTTTTTTTCGAATGTGTAAGGTAACTTCCTGGCATTGTCATGGCATTTGTAAACTGTCATAGCGCTGGCGGGAGTGTCATGGCGCTAGTGGGAGTGTCAGTGCCGTGACAGTACATATTAATATATTATAATTAACATATCACCCCCCAGCGCCATGACAATACATATTAATGTATTATAATTGGCATATCGTGAGCGGTGAGGACAATCAGAGGTCACTTTCATAGTCATCTTGGTTTTAGCCGGCTTCTTTACCGCATCCTGTTTTATCAGCAAAGTCTTTGTGACCTGTATCTTGTGCCGACCTTCTATCTCATCCTGTGTCTAAGAATGTCTAAGCTTCTGGGAATGCAGCCCAGTAGGTCTCAGACTTATTTTTAACCACCCTGTATTCAAGATGGAGTCACTCTTGTTCAAACGCCCCTGACTGGGCCAGCTTGAACAACAGGCGTATAGGGGTTTTAGGCCTGTGTTCTACCCTATGGTACCCTCTTTATAACAGAACAACACAGAAAGACAAAGACAGAGAAAAACACTATTTCTGGGAGGAAATGTCTCAAACAATATGAATGTTCATACCAAAAAGTACACCAGAGTCACTATACTCAGGACTAGTCACGCAAATCCTTTTTTTCCCATTAATCAAGATTTTGGAGAAGAAACAAGAACAAATTGTGATTTTTACTGTCTGCTTAAACAGGTTCCACAGAGAAAGAGTCTGGAAGCCTGGCTGATAAGAATTTCTTTCCTTTCTGCCAGCTTTTCAGGTCCTGGATTCCTTCACTGCGGCTTCAAACAGAGAGACTTTGGTGACCCTGCTCACAGAGCCAAAACTGTAGTTTTCCCTCACCCTCTGAAGGTTCACTGAAAATAAAGTGACAAAAGACAGATACATAGAAGGAAAGGCATATGCATTTTTTGACACACATGGGGGAGAATTGCAGAGTGGTTACCCCACCACGCAATGGGGTATGGAGGGTTATATGCTCTTTTTCTTAGGGGAAAGGGGGATGGGAAATTGTGGATGATTTTTAGAGGGATGGTAAATGATTTTGAGGGGAATTCAATGGGCATGGAGAACATACAATGGCCTGGGACAAAGTCTGTGGGACCCGCAGAGCGGACAATGGTGTGTGACACGTCTGTCCAGGTTGGTTGGCAGAATTCAGTCTTTCTTCCCGCGATATGAGTTCCGTTAATGAAAACTCAGGGAAGGGACCAGAGGTTACTGTTTTCTTCTTTGGCAGGTCCAGACTTTAAGCAGAAAAAGGAACTTCAGAGAAAAACTTCCTCCTGTGCTTTGGGAGAGATGGAAGATTGAGAGCCAGGAGGGAAAGGTCAGAGAGACCTTGAGGCTTCTTCAGTTCAGTGCGTCAAAGCATCATATTTTGGGGTCAGCTGGTCACAGTGGCTTGCACCTATAATCCCAGCACTTTGGAAGGCTGAGTGGGGGGCGGATCACCTGAGGTCAGGGGTTTGGACCAGCCTGGCCAACGTGGTGAAACCCCGTCTCTACTAAAAATACAAAAATTAGGTGTGGTGCATGCCTGTAATCCCAGTTACTTGGGAGGCTGAGGCAGGAGAATTGCTTGAACCTGGGCAGCAGAGGTTACAGTGAGCTGAGATCACACCACTGCACTCCAGCCTGGGTGATAGAGTGAGACTCTGTCTCAAAAAAAAAAAAAAAAAAATTAGCCGAGTGTGGTGGCGCACACCTGTAATTCCTGCTACTCAGGAGGCTGAGACATGAGAATCCCTTGAACCCAGGTGGGGGAGCCTATAGCGAGCAGAGATCGCGCCTCTGCACTCTGGCCTGGGCAACAGAGCAAAACTCCCTCTCAAAAAATAAATAAATAAATAAATAAAGCATCATATTTTGGGATATCAGTTTCTGAACCCCAACAGTGGCATTTGAACTGGACTGAAAAGAATGGTGAGAATTTGGATGCCAGATATTGAAACTGCTTTTGCAAAGTTACGGCAGTGAGAGAAATCTGACATGGCTGACTCCACTGTGCTTCTAGCCTCACTGTCTTTGCTCATTCCTGGGCATGGGCCAACCTAACTTTGAGAGAAATTTAGTTTATAGTTTAAATGATAATAGCCTTTCCCCAAAACTAAACTGTTCTTGTAAGACAAATGAAAGACCACCAAATTAAGAGGATGAGAGAGTCTTGGATTCTAAATAATTACTAGCCATTATTCCAGAGGTCATGAGATTTGCAACTTCCCCAAATAATCTTGCAGATAACATCATTATTGTAGAACCTAAAATTAGCCTTTTGAGATGTCTTTCCAGGTTTTTGCATTCCTGACGATGATGGCTCCACCTGGAGCCCCCACCCAGGAACTGACTCAGCCAAAGAGAAGAGATTCTCTGATTTCATCTCCAACCCAATCACTCAGCATGCCCCTACCCTAGGCCCCTGCTCACCAAACTATCTATGAAAAACTCCTAACTTCTGAGCCTTCGGGGAGACTGAGTTGAGTAATAACTCCATCTCCCTTGTGGCGTGGCCAGCTTCGTGTCAATTATACTCTCTCTTTACTGCAATGCCATGGTCTTGGTGAATGGATTTTGTTTGAGTAGCGGGCAGGAAGAACCTGCTGGGAGGTTACAATATGATGGGTGTTGGGCTTGGACAATGGGCCCTGTGGGAAAAGCCCAGGATGATATCCGTCTCTGCTGCTCTCAAGCAGGGTGACTGTGGCAAATGGCTTGCATCTCTGAGCCCCAATTCTTCTCACCTGTAAAATAAAAAGAGCCAAGGAATGTGTGCAGAATAGCTCTACAGAACACCTGACACAAAGCTGGTAGCTTTTCAGATGCAAGGTAATCAGCACGAGGGGGCCTATGTGGAAGGTCTTTTACTCAGTCAACAAACTTTCATGGAACCCTCGGTGTGTGTCCAGGCCCCTCAGCTCACGGAGTTTACACTGTAATGGGCACTCACCTAAGGGGTCCAAATGGAGATGTGCAGGCAGCTTGGATTGGCTGGAACTCTGGGATGCATGGATGGAGTAAAGGGGAATAATGTGGGACATAAATTGGGGTTTGTAGCAGACGGGCTTAAAAGCCTCAATAGGTTGTTTTGATTTCTCTCCACATACACTGGGGAAGCAGTGAAGAGTGTGGGCTAGTGGAAGATTTGTCATTAGCTCAAGGTGGACTCCTTTCCCTTATCGCTTTGAGGGAAGTTGCAAAAATTGCAACAGTGAAGACATTATGACAGTGAAAGAGATCTGATCTAACCAACTTCCATCTTGCTTTTAACCTCCAGCTGCCCTTAATCACTCCTGGGCTTACACTAAGCTAACTCTGGGAGACATTTAGTTTATAGTTTAAATGATAATAGCTCTTCCCCCCAAATCAACTGCCTTTGTAAGGCTAATGAAAGGCCTCCAGATTAGGACAATGAGAGGAGCCTGAATTCTGCTAAGGTGTAGACATAAATGATTACCAGCCATGATTCTGGAGGTCACACGATTTGCAGCTTCTCCAATTACTCCTGCAAATAACATCACTATTGTAGAACCTAGGATTGACCTTTTGAGATGTCTTTTCAGTTTTTTTTTTTTTTTTTTTTTTTTCTTGAGAAAGACTCCCACTCTGTCTCCCAGGCTGGAGTGCAGTGGCATAATCTCGGCTCGCTGCAACCTCTGCCTCCCAGGTTCAAGTCATTCTCCTACCTCAGCCTCCCAAGTAGCTGGGACTACAGGTGTGTGTCTTCACACCCAGCTAATTTTCGTACTTTTAATAGAGATGGGGTTCACCATGTTGGCCAGGCTGGTCTTGAAATCCTGACCTCAAGTGATCCACCTGCCTTGGTCTCTCAAAGTGCTGGGATTACAGGCGTAAGCCACCATGCCTGACCCCAGGTTTTTGCATTTTTGACAATGATGGCTCCACCTGGACCACCAACTGGTCCTATGGCCCCACCCAGAAGCAGACTATTTCCATACCCATATAATTGCCTCCCCAACCAATCAGCAGCATTCAGTCTCCATCCTGCCAGCCTACTCTTGAAAAACCCTAGCGTCTGAATTTTCAGGTAAGCTGATTTGAGTAATAATAAAACTCCATTCTTTTGTTCAGCCAGCTCGGCATGAATTAAAGTATTTCTCTATTGCAATTCCCCTGTTTTGATAAATCAGGTCTATCTGGGCAGCAAGCAAAATGAACCCATCGAATGGTTACACCTTCCTCCCTCACTCCCTTCCTTCCTTTCTTCTTCCATCAACTATTCCTGTGCTGGCTCCGGGATTACCAGACACAGGCTGTCTTCATGACACTCGCTCAACATGATGGAGGCAGATGCTAATCAAATAATCCCACAAAGAAATGCGAAATATGTGAAATTGTAATTCCAATTAGCAATAAAAGGAGAGGGGCCTGGTGCAATGGGAATTCATAAGAGAAGGGATCTCACCTCCCTGAGAGGCTGAGGGAAAACTTCCAGCAAACACAACTGGGCAAGATCTGAAAGATGAGCTGAGGAGCAAAGAAGGCTGGGAAAGGATTGCAGGTGGAGGGCATGGCATGGACAAAGGCCCTGTGGCTGGGAGGTGCATGGTGAACATGAGGCTCTGGAAGGTGGTGCTAGGGCTCTGGACACACCACCCCAAAATGTGACTATAGGAGACCAGAATATGCCACCCCCAAATATACCTCTTTGGCATAATAATTATTTTGAGCTGGCTATTTTGAAAAACTGCAGACACAGAAGGAACTCAAAAGTTGCCCTTTTATAAGAGAAATTTACATCTGTAAAGAAAATCTCCAGTTGTAATAGTCTCTTCCTGACTGCACCAGGGAGAAAAAGCTGACTTAATCACTAGAAACTCTTAAATGATGAAGAAAGCAGCGAATTCCATCTGCATAACAAACTTTGCCTTTGTTTAATGTGTTCTTCTTGGTCATCTCAACAGGGCCTTTTCCCAACAGTCTTTTTTTCCTTCATTTCAGAAAAATGATGGTATTTAAGCCTGAAGTTTAAGCTCTTTCTTTGACATCTTCTCTAGGGAATGACTCATTTATTTGAGTTTTCTCCCGTGTACAAGGAGGTAATCCATGCTAATAAACTTCTATTTGTTTTTCTCTTGTTAATCTGTCTTTTGTTACAGGGAGTCCCAGTTAACAACTATGAAAGATAGAGGGAACCCTTTTTCCTCCTTATAATGGAGTGCATGGTGGAAGGCAAGGTTGGAGGAGTCAGACAATCCATGCTCTTGGAGGCCTCTGTAGAGCAGAGGTTTTCTACCTGCAAACCAAAAATTAAATTCTAAGACCCCCCCAATCATCTAAAGGGACCCTCTTCTCGGCCAAGGGCATTCCAAAGTTAACCTGAAAAACTACTTCATGCCATGATGGAAAGGGGGAGCAGGACATGCTTCATTAAACCCCTCTCCCTTTTGAAATTCAGGAAAAGCCGACCAGCATTAACATCAACACAGACCTTAAGTCTGATAAGAAATATTTGCAATCTGTTCTCTTGGAAGCCTGCTACCTGGAGGCTCTGCGTGATACAGCCTTGGTCTCTATGACCCGTTACTGTAACCCAGACATTCCTTCCTATTGATAATAATTATTTTAATTGATTGCCAATCAGAATTTTGTTTGTTTGTTTGTTTGTTGTTTTGAGACAGAGTTTCACTCTTGTCGCCCAGGCTGGAGTGCAGTGGTGCATTCTTGGCACCTTAACCTTGGCAAAATTAAATTTCTAACTTGATTGAGACCTGTCTCACATACTTTTGGGTTTACATATCCATCGCTAGGTTCATGGCTGAGGCCTCTATAACTAAAGAGAGATTAACAAGAAAAAAGCATACTTATAAGTTTTAAGGGAAATAAAGACCCAAAGAAATGGTAAGCCTATGTATTTAAAAAGTGAATAGTTGTAGAGAAGCATAATTGGATAAAAAAAGTATGATCTAATGGTAATAAACTGGGAGGACCTTAGCAGGGTCTGTTTTGTTTCTGTTGTTGTTGTTTGTTGTTGTTGTTTTGAGATGGAGTCTCACTCTGTCGCCAGGCTGGAGTGCAGTGGCATGATCTCGGCTCACTGCAAACTCCGCCTCTCGGATTCCAGCCATTCTCCTGCCTCAGCCTCCCGACTAGCTGGGATTACAGGCATGCACCACCACATCCAGCTAATTTTTGTGTTTTTAGTAGAGACTGGGTTTCACCATATTGGCCAGGATGGTCTCGATTTCCTCACCTTGTGATCCTCCCACCTCAGCCTCCCAAAGTGCTAGGATTACAGGCGTGAGCCACCATGCCCGGGCAAGCAAGACCTGTTTATTCAGATTCTTCTCCCTGTCCCAGTGTCTTTGGAGATAAGCAAGTTCCTTTCCTCTGGATATAGGGAAGTCCCCTTTTGAACGAAGATCTTTTTGTTTCTTTTTTTGAGACATGGTCTTGCTCTGTCACCCAGGTTGGAGTGCAGTGGTGCTATTGCTGGAAAAAAGTTCCTGATCCAGACCCCAAGAGAGGGTTTTTGGATCTTGCCCAAGAAATAATTCAGGGTGAGTCCACAGAGTAAAGTGAACAGAAGTTTATTAGGAAAATAAAGAAATAGAAGAATGGCTACTCCATAAACAGAGCAGCTCTGAGGGCTGCTAACTGGCTATTTTTATGGTTATTTCTTGATGATATGCTAAAAAAGAGGTGGATTATTCTTGAGTTTTCCAGGAAAGGCGTGGGTAATTCCCAGAACTGAGGGTTCCTCCCCCTTTTAGACTATCTGGGGTAACTTCTGGATATTGCCATGGCATTTGTAAACTGTCATGGCACTGGTGGGAGTGTCCTTTAGCATGCTAATACATTTTAATTAGTGTATAATGAGCACTGAGGAGGACCTGAGGTCACTTTTGTTGCCATCTTGGTTTTGATGGACTTTGGCCAACTTCTTTACTGCATCCTGTCTTATCAGCAGGGTCTTTATGACCTGTATCTTCTGATACCAGTTCTGTGGACCTCCTATCTTGTTCTGTGACTTAGAATGCCTAACTTCCTGGGAATGCAGTGCAGCAGGTCTCAGCCTTATTTTGCCTATTCAAGATGGGGTTGCTCTGATTCGAATGTCTCTGACAGTGCAACCTTGACCTCCTGGTCTCAGGTGGTCCTCCTACCTCAACCTCCTGAGCAGCTGGGACTATAGGTGCATCCTACTGTGCCTGGCTAATTAAAAAAAATTTTTTGTAGACATGGATCTCACTATGTTGCCTAGCCTGGTTTTGAGCTCCTGGCCTCAAGCAATCCTCACACCTCAGTCTCCCAAAGTGCTGAAATTACAGGCTTGAGCCACTGCACCTGGTCTTGAATGACGGTCTTATGAACAGCTTTAGGGGAAGGTCAGAGAGTCCTTCCCAGGTGGTATGGCCCGCTTCAGGGAAGAATGGCAGGGGGAAAGTGAGAATGACCTTTCTACTTCTGCCATTTTCCCCAGTGTCTAGATGCCATATTTTGGAGTAGCATGTCCTGAACCCCATCACCATGTTTGTGGTTTTGCTTTTATCTGAGAGCAACAGGAAGTTCTGGAAGGACTGAAGTGGGAGGGTGACACCATCAGAGGTGTATTTGTGGAGGTCAGTAATGCTGTGGGGAGGGCAGAGTGGAGGGGCAAGAGTGAAAGCAGGATGTCTTAGCTTGGGATCATTAAAAAGCTGAAGTGAGACAAGGACTTGGGTGCAGGTGGCTCATTTGGGAATAATCTCTGGGAGCAGGAGTGAGGAACCATGGATTTCTGGGTTGCTGTACCAGGCAACAGGGGCTCCATTCTGCTAGGACCTTCTGAGAAGCAACACAAGGTCTCCCAGAATTGCCCTTCCACCCTAAATGGGGGGCCAAATGCTATCCATCAGTCCTGCCTTCACTGGTGGAGGAGGATTTCCCTCCAGAGTGTTCATTTGTGGGCTGTCCATGAGCACAGGCCCCCCAAACATCAGAGGAATCTTAGGAAGAAAGAGAAGACAAATATGGCACACATGTGAGACCAGACCACATCAGAATGCAGTGAATCATATCCCACAGGGAGCCGTCCACTCGAGCCAGGGATGCAATCAGAGGAGAAGCCAAGAGGATGAGAGGAGAAGGAGGAAGTGTCTGACACCTGCGAGGAGGCCACTGTAGTCATCCAGGTGAGAGAGGAAGGTGGCATGGTCTAGGGCGGTGGCATGGGAGACAGGGGAAGTGAATGGATCCCTGAAATGTTTAAGAGTTAAATCGACAGATCTTGGTGATGGATTTTGTTAAGGCTGGTGCTCTTCATTAAGAAAGAGAATCTTGGAGGAGGACCAGGCACCAGGGTAGGGAATGTGGGGGGTGTTTGGGAGTTCAGGGTCACACGTGGTGGTCTGGAGGTGCCTTTGAGACATCCCAGAGAAGGAGTTGAGCAGGAGCTGCATACAGTAAATGGATGGGGAGCTTCAGGGAGAGGTCCAGGCTGGAGCCATAAAAGTGTGAGTCATCGGAGTCTGGATGGAAATGAAGCCATAGGTGAACATGAGATCACCTGGAGAGGGAACAGTGTGGGAGGAGCCTCCAAAGAGGGCAGTGCGTCGGGCAGGCCTCCTCGATGGCCACCTGCAGTCCCCTCCTTCCTCAAACCTCCCCTGCAAGGGCCCACCTCACGGCAGGGAGTGACATTGCGGCACTAGTGATTCTAATTGAATACAATTGTCTTCTCCAAGTTGTGCTAAAACCTTTTCAAAGTCCCCTGAAATTAGGGAACATTGATAACACCACTCCTTGGGGTTTTAATCTGTGTCCTCCCTGAAAATGGTGATTAATTCTTTATAAGCTAATCATATCTCTTAGGCAGGCTGTCAGCAGAGGGCCCGTCATCTCTCATCAATAATGAAGCGATCCCAGCGCCTGCTTCTCCCAGCAGCCTCCTGCATAATTCACCAGGAGGGCTTCAAACAAAGAAGCTGAGGGGGCCAGGTCCTCTTAATCGGTGTCCTTCGTAATTATCCACAGGGGCGGGGAGGGGTGGGGAGGGGTGGGAGGGAAAGGCAGGGGATATAAAAACTGATTGATGAGCTCACATCTGGCTCCCCTTTTTAACATGCTCTCACCTGCCTCCGCCATCTGTCCGTCATCTCCACCCAGCCTGCCCCCTTCCTCTGGCTAACTCATTTGTACCCCTCTTGTTCTGCTCCCTGCCCTTCACCGTCCCCTCATCTCTTCTTTTCTGGGACACTACTCCATAGGGTTTTTTGGCCAGATTCTGCCCTCTGGCCATGCACCATCTTGTCACGAGGCAGAGGAGGAGCTATGGCCTTCTTTTGACAGATGAGTAAACTGAGGCTCAAAGAGGGGAAGTGACTTGCTCAAGGTCATAGAGCAAGTCAGTGACAGTCAGAACTAGACCTACAGTTTGGTGTCTTCCAGACCTGTGCTCTTTCCCCCCAAATCTCAGGCCAAGTGAGCGACAAGCCATCCCATCCTGCCCCAATAGTGTGCCTACACTCCGACACTGAAGAGGAAGCTGCTGTTGTCTTCCTTATCAACCCCAGCCCAGGTCTTTTCCTGGGAGTCCTACTGCCCCATGTACAGAGCTGGTCTGGGCTTCTGTCACGCCTTGTGGATATATCTCTGAGGCCAAACATCAGAAGCAAACAGTGGCCAGAGGTCATGAGCTGGGAGGAAGTGAAGGGAGACAGAAACAGAAGGCAGTTTCCCTCTCTCCTCTTTAACACCATTGCACAGGCCTGCTCCCACTTGTTGACTGGGCAGATTCCAGCCACAAGGGAAAGTCCTGGTGCCTGAAATCCCCACACTGTGAGCATGGTTTCTCTCATCTAACCCTCAAGCAAATGTCCTGGGAGGGTCAGGAGCTAAGATGTAATCCAGAGAAGCAAGACCAGCTGGAAGGAATACTCTGAGTCCAGTGCTCTTTTCTGCCATCACTGTCCAGGGAAGGAAGACCCCATCCTTGGGAGGGATCCCTCTCTCTATGCATGGCTCAGGCAACTGGGCAGGTCCCAGGGGGTCCCCAGGCCTCTATGAGTGAGTCCCAAATCTGGTTCTCTGGCCTGACCTTGTGCCAATGCAATGGCTGGGCCTACTCCCTGGGGACCTAACTCAACCCATCAAAAACTCCACCCATTTCCCTTCCAGCTTTCCACACCCTTGTTCCTTTGTCTCATTTCTGAGTCACTGCTAAGGTGAGCTATCATCACGTTACAGTGTACTCAGGACAAGGGGGTTTCCAGGGACACGGCACTCTGTTTTAAAATCAGGACTGTTCCAAGTAAGCCAGGATAGTTGGTCACCCCAGTGTCCCCTTTCTTCCAAGCACCTGGACTGAAAATTTCACCATCAGAGAGAGACAGTGCTGGAGGAGGGAGGAGAGGAGCTTCCTCCTGTATCTGCAGCCTGGCTGTACCTCCCCAGGGCTAAGTGACCTTGGGTATGGTCCTTAACACTTCCACTGTTGACTCACCTGAAACATATGTAATAATAATGTTGGAAACAAGTGCTCGGCATAGCCAAAAGAAACTCGCACTTAGACAGAAAATTTCTCAGCAAGACACCTTTACTTCTGCAGAAGGGTGCTGCTTGCACCAGTTGTAATCACAAGAGCACACCGAACAAAGGAGAGAAGGGGTTTTTAACCCTAACGCAGTTCCTGTTTCTGTGTCCTTCCCTGAGTGGCTGGGGTTGGACCGCACAATCTAAGTTGATCCTGATTGGCTAAGACTTAAACTTTCCAAGTAAGGTAAACACGCAATTTGTGAAGGGGGAAGGGCAAAGAAGAAACAATTAGGCTTAACTGAAGAAGGGGTAGGATTGTTTACAATGTATGATCAGAAAATTGAGTCTTTGAAGAGGAATTTAGTTGTCCCAACATAATAAAAACCAACTTTGCAAGAGGGTTCTGAGGAGCGAGTAAGATCAGATGTGAAACTGACTCAGTACAGCACCCTGCCACATGAATGTTCAGTAAAAGGCCGTTCTCACAACAGTCATCCCTGGCACCCTCTTCCTCCTCACTCACCACATTCAGTGCATGGCCAAAATCTGCCAAACCCATTAGGGCTTCCATCACCTGCAAAATATGGTCTCTACTTCCCAGGTTGGAATTCAAGCTCTGGTGGCCCAGGCCTAGCCCTAGCCAAGGCTTGCAGCCTCCCTGCCCCTTCAGTAGGGCCCCCAAGCTCAGCCTGGAAGGACAGTTCCCTGACTCTGCTTCCCACTCTTCAGCTGTTCCTCTCCTGACTCTCTTATACCCATTTTAGGTCCAGAAACAGAAGCTCAGGGAGGTCAAGTCATTCACCAAAGGTCACACAGGAACTTAGGGGCAGAGTTTGGAGAGATAGTTAGGAGGATGGATTTGAGAGTCAAATCTTGACTCTGGTACCTTCTCCGTAAGTGACCTCTACATCCTATTCATCTTCCCAAGTCTCAATTTTTCCTTTTTAAAAATAGGGATCCTAAAACCCGCTTCCTAGGGTCTCGGGAGGATGAAATGGTACTTTCTCTGCCTGGGACATAGTAGGTGCTTGATAAAGGCCTCAGTTGTTATTCTCTTAATTTGAGTAGTAGGTTCTTTTCTGCTTTCTGCTCAATGACTATTTCCTGACCCCCTATTAATTTGAGTCAGTGAATATGTCCAGGCCCTTTGTTTGGAGGTCCCAGGAGCAAGGGTGCACCACTCAAAACAGAGCCTGGCCTTCCTAGGGCTGCAGAGCCAGGCAGAGTAGAGTCTGAGTGTCCCGACTCCAGGATTTCCCTGTGGTACATGTGACCTTGATGAGGATGTGCCGACTTGGGCCAGAGGTCAACATCTGCACCACGGCCCAGGACAGAAAGGGCAACTGCAGATGAAGAAAGGCAGGACTTCAACTCACCGTCCATTGCAGCGGGCCTGGCCCCTGTCCTCTCCTGGCTTGGCTCCATCAGGTGCCCGCAGCACCCCTCGGATTAGCTGCAAGCCGGAGGTGGCCCAACCGGCAGGAGTGACGGCAGAGGCAAGGGGAGACAGTGCCTTTAATGCTGTTCAGATCCCTGGTTCCCAGCGAAAATGCTGCATTTGCATTTAAATGGAGGTTTGGAAGTCTGTAAATCTCCATTTCCCAATCGCAGAGGCCTAATGGCTGTTTAATCGTGTTTAGATGAACCCCCTGGAGCACTTGGGGTTGGTGCATCTTAAATCCATGCGGAAGAGACAAAGATCAAATGAGGACGTTCAGGCGGAGGTGTTGTCCGTCCTTGCCAGGTCAGCACTGCCTGGGGATGCAGGGGGACAGTTTGGTGTTCCCAAAGACCTGGGTAGTTCCCTGTCCCCTTCCAGGAAGGCTTCTGGGATTGCTCAGAAGTAGTTTTCACCTGAAACTCCCCAAGCCTTCCCATTACACTGCAAAGAAGAGAAATGGTGACCTATTGTAGTCAGTGGCTGAGATGTGGCTTCAGAGAGACCTGGATTCGAATCCTGACCTGCCCCTGATTAGCTGTGTGGCCTTGGGCAGGTCACTCAACTGTTCTGGAGTCCCGGTTTTTATCTATAAACTGAGAAGAGTATTTCCAAATCACGTATGTAAACTACCTGGCACACAGTAGGCGCTTTTTAAGCAGTAGTCAATGTAATTCCAAATTACCCTTAAATGGAGAGGGATTGTCTTTGGGGGGCTGCTCTGGAGCTGTGATTCTCAGACTTTCACATCAGTTACTGGGGAGCTTGTTTAAAATGCTGTCTGCATTTGTTCTGATTCAAACCTTAGGCATTTTAAGAAAGAGAGCTTTAGGGCTCCATAAGAGGTAATGACACGCATTTGGCCAGGTCAGCATCCTCTAAGTACCTGCCTTGCCACGGGGCATGTCTTAAGTGGCTGCAGGTGCGTTGAATTGTCCTGCTGTTCATACATGAATTCAGGTGGCCCCATGTGGGGGGCTACATTCTATGTGCTCCTCCAAATAATACCTGATGTTTCCAGGGAGCTTGACTCTGTATAAAGCCCTGCACCATTAATACGACCCTGTCACATCCATTATCTAGTGCGATCCTTACAAGAACCTCATGAAATCTATGCCATTGTCCCCTCTTCTGGAGGAAGAAACAGGATCTGAAGGGAAAGAGGCTTTCTTGAGGTCACCTGCTGGGGAGCAGTGCTCAAACCCCAGCAGGTTTACCCCAGGTCCAGGGCTGTTTCCAGTGCCCTCTGCTGCCTCATACAAGAGCAAAGTGAGAAGGTGCTCTTGGAATGTCTGGATGTGAAACATGCCCTCTGCCTCCAACGTTTTGTCTCCCTTTCTTCCAATTATGAGGAGCAAAGAGGGATTTTCATCTTCTGATCATTTCTACCTTTTCAGGTCATTGCTCCTGGGGCTCCTCTGAAAGCTGGGTCTGCAGGTGGGAGGGGAAGTAGGGGGTGTGGCCTAAGGGTGCTCAGCCTCAGTCCAGTCCCTGAGTGTTCTCTGGAGACTTCCCGGGGCTGTGTCAGCCCTGGACATTCCTGGTCTGTTTGCTGTGTGCATCAGGAGTAAGGTGCATTCCTCTCTCACCTGGCTGAATCCCAGGCCTTGGGACGGGGCACCTGACCTTCCCAAGGTGGCATTTCAGGCCTTTCCTTTGTTCCCTGAAATTTTAGATTGGGCCTACCCGGGACAACCAGGTCAGCCTGGAGCAGGAGAAAGTCTCCAATTTCTTAACAGCTTTTCAAATGCTTCCCGGAGGAAGCAGCAAGGTCTGGGACGCTGGGGCTTGTGAACATCTGGTCACCAGCCCTCCTGCCCTGTCCTGCCCTCGCCTGCCCTGGAGTGGCTAGGGCGTGATGCTGGAGGTGGGCTGAGGTGTGACTGAAGCCGAGCTTTCGTCAACCCCTCTCTCTGCCACCATCCCCACATCCCTCAGAGCTGGTCCTCCGTAAACACTCCCAGAATGCTTTGTCCTCAGACCTTTGCCTGAGCCCGGAATGTGCCCCCACTCTGATTTTCTGGCCCAGAACAAGCCCGCTTTTTTTGAAGAAGCCTTTCCCATCAAAATTTATTTCTTGACCAGGTGCGGTGTTTCACAGCTATGATTCTAACACTTTGGGAGACTGGGGTGGGAGGATTGCTTGAGTCTAGGAGTTTAAGACCAGCCTGGACAACATAGTAAGACTGTTTCTACAAAAAAATTAAAAAATTAGCCGGGCATGATAGCATGCACCTGTGGTCCCAGCTACTCCGTAGGTTGAGGTGGGAGGATACTTGAGCCCGGGATGTTGAGGCTGCAGTGAGCCGTGATCACGCCTCTACACTCCGGCCTGGGTGACAAAGCGAGATCCCGTCTCCAAAAAAAAAAAGAAAAAAAAAATCAGTTCCTTTTCCTGTGACTTCATGGTTTTATTTGTACCTGTCTCTGCCACTCTCACCTGTGACATGGCCAGGTCTGATCAGGTGATGTTTTCCGGAGCCTGCAGGAGGGGAGGGAAGGCTAGGCTGGTAGGATCCAGAATGCCCACCCTCACTTCAAACAGAGCAGCTCCACTTCTTTCTGCTCTAAATTTGGGGGTGTGGCCTCAGTTTTTTCTCTAAATCTGAGTTTTGGGAACTGTGTGCTCCTCCAAGTCCCTTTCACTGGAGGATTCTGGGATCAGAGCTCCCAGAGGCAGTGGGATTCGGGGTAACCGGGGACTGACCAGCCTCCCCAGGCAGCACCTGGCATACAGAGGGGATTTGGAAATGTTTGCTGAGTTGAATTGACTAGATTCTGTTATGTCAGAAATGATGCAGTCCCCAGGAATGACAGAACCTGCCCGGAGGGGCTGACAACTGAAGCTTTCCAAAATACGAAAGCGACGGTCATCTCCCACCTCCTCCGGGGTGGGGCTGGGGCTCCGCCCGCAGACGGAACAGTAGGAAGCCACACATGGGAGGACAGTGCAGCAAGAGGTGCATGGACCTCGGCGTTTGGCAGACTAGGGTTCGAATCCTGACTCTTCCACCTACGAATGCAGAGAATGTAGGCAAGTTCCTGTTGCCCCGTGCCGCGGTTTCCTGATCTGTAAAATGGAAATTTTAACAGCATGAGCAGTCAGTGAGATGAGAGTCAGTGACATATAGAGGACTTAGCACAGGGCCTGGCTCGTGGTAAGGACTCAGTACATGTCAGCTGTTGTTGGGCTTGTTCTTGCCATCCTCTGGGTGGAGTCTCAGTGACTGAAGATGCAGGAAGGAGCCGTGGGCCCTCCCCAGTCACCGCCATTGCTTTAGGTCTCACATACACACTTCCTGAAGGGTTTGTCCCTGGAATGCGGGCCCCGGGGGTTTCTGCGGGCAGAGGAGGTTTCTGAGGTCAGAGGGGTCTGGGAAAGGCTGGGCTCAGCAGAGCTAAGCAGGTTTCTTTACTACACGGTTTCTCAGAAACCTGATGCAGCTTCCAGAAAAGACACAGCTGTGCGGTGCTTCCCAAACTCCCCCGGCCACAGAACCTCCTTGTTCCAGAAGCATCTTGTCAAACCAGATGCTGATTTGAGGAAGGCTGGTGCTGTGGGTTAGGGGCAGGGCTCAGGTTGGCGGTGATGGCCCCTTGTGATGCGGTTCCTGCCCACCTTCTCACCATAGTGGCTACGTCCTTCATGACGTGCCCCCAAACTCCAGCCACCGCAGGCTGTATGGCTGCCCCAGAAGGTGCTAGCTGCTGCCTCAGCTGTGGACCTTCTCTGTGTTCCTCTACCATCTCCTTCCCCTCTTGCTTAGTGAAGTCCTACTCATCCTTTACATCTCATCTCAAACCTGGCCTCCTCTGCAAAGCCTGTTTCAACCTCTGTGGGCAGAGTTACATACTGCCTATGTTCCCACCCTACCGTGTTCACCTATTCAAAGCCTTACCGCTACAATATCTCATGTATGTGCCTCCTTCATCATTAAATAATGAATTTCTCAAGGGCAGGGACCTTATCTCATCTCTAGTCTGGCCTGTAGACCTGGGGGTTGCACAGAATAAGTGCTCGATAAACAGGAGTTGTTACTTGGACATGTGTAGTAGTATTCAGGGACGTTGTCTAGCTTACTAGTTAAAGGCATAGTCACTGGCATCAGAAAGACCTGGGTTTGGATCCCAGCCTTATTCCTTGTTGATTGCATGAAGCAACTGACACAGAGCAAGGGCTCAGCAAATGGGGGTTTGTTGAATAAATAGTTCCTCAGGTTCTGGGTAGACAAAAGAACACTTTCACTTGTGTCTTCAGCCAGTTCCCATCTGTAAAATGGAGTGATAATAGTATCATAGGTTGTTGTGACATTTTCCTTTGAGATGGAGTTTCGCTCCTGTTGCCCAGGCTGAAGGTGGGGTTTCTCCGTGTTGGTCGGGCTGGCCTTGAACTCCCAACCTCAGGTGATCCGCCCGCCTTGGCTTCCCAAAGTGCTGGGATTACAGGTGTGAGCCACTGCACCCAGCCGGTTGTTGTGACAATTAAACAATTAATTTGTGTAGAGTGCTTAGCTCAGTGCCTGGCACTCAGTAAGCTCTCAGTAAATGCTGGATAGTATTATCATCACTGTTGTTATTAAAGATCCAGGTGAGAGTCTTGGCACCCAACTGCCCCCTCACCCCAACAATAACCCTGGTGGTACAGAATGTCCTGCCCTTGACCTGAAGGGCCAGTGCTTTCCCCAGGACAATACCTCCATGTCCCCAGCATCTCCTCCCCTCACCTGCCTTCTCCTTTTCCCAGGTCAGAGTCTGCTGCTCACAGCCCAGTGCTCCTCTCCATCAGCTCAGCTCAGCAGCCCTGACACAGCTGATTGGGAATTTGTTTTATTTCTGAGTGTGCCTCCCCTCTCTCCCCTACGAAAAAGCAATTAAACTTGTGTTTACCAGAGTGGGTGGCTGTAAACTGCCATTTGCCCATCTTATCCTGTTGAGCTGCCCCCATGTCCCACCTGCTTTGCTTAGGCTGGGACGGGAGATTTGCATAATCGTAATAACAGAACTCAGAAAAGTGGTGGGGTTGGGGGGAGTTGGTTTTACGCTGCAAATTGTGAGAACAGCTCTGGGGACCAGACTGACCCAGGAGGGCTGATGGGGTGTGTGGGGGGAGGGCATCTTCCCTAACTTAGAGGTGCTCCTACAGGGTCTTAGCCTTCTGTCACTATTGGATCTGGCAGGTCTCCAATTCTGACTCAGCCGAATCCATCCCTGGAGGCCTGGCCAGTCTCAGAGGGGCCACAGATACCTGCTGATTATGCTCCTCTCTGCATGTAGCCTTCAGTGGCTCCCCAGAGCCCCAGCCCCCATGTTTCCCATCTTATCCTGTCCTCTCTCCTGTATTCCTACATGGGGCCAGTATGGCAGAATTGAACACGTGCTTGGGATTTCAACTCCTGGCTATGCTATGGCCCCTGTTTAGGTTTCCCCAAAGTGGATCTTGAAAAAGGACTTGGGTGCAGGTAGTTTATCTGGGAGGGGATTCCAGGAAGCACAGTGAGGGAGTAGGGGGAGTGAACCAGGGAGGAGAGAAAAGTTTTTAAAATGTGCTAGTGAGTGGATCACAGCTGTGGGCAACTGGGCTCAAGCCCTTTGTGGTCTCTCTGAGACCCTGAGTGGAACACACCTTAGAGTTGTCCCCCTGAGGGCTGAGGAAGCTGGCAGACTTATGCACTGGATTGATGGCTCATTAATGGCCTCCCTGTGGTCCATACCCTTGTGGAGGCTTCTCCCACATTGACTCTAGGTGGGGCCATGTAACTTACTTTAGCCATTGGAACATCAGCAAACATGATGCCAGCAGAGGCTTGATGAACACTTAGAATTAGGGCTGGCCCTCTGGGACTGCTGCTGCTACCACATAAGAAGCCTGGGCTGTTCTGCCAGAGGCCATACAGAGGGGACTGAGGCACCCCAGCTCACAGCTGCCCCTACACAATAGAAACGCGAATGAAGTCATATGGGACCATCCAGTCCAGGCAAGGCACCAGATTACACCTGCATGAGTGGCTCCAGGCTAGATGAGCAGGAGAACCTTCCAGCTGAGCACAGTCCAATTGCAGAGTCATGAGCAGATATATGATTGCTATGATAAGCCGTCAAGTTTAGTGTTTATTATGCAGCAATAGATAACTGATACACTCACCAATTCCTATCCTTTATTGTTGTGGGTTGTTCTGGGGGTGTTAACTCCCAGGTGTTCCTGGCTGGCCCTGCACTTGGATTTGTATGTCCAGAGAAAGCCTTCAGTCAGAGAGATATCCTATTTTGAGGCAGGACATCATCTCGGGGTATGAGAACTGTTTATCAGAGCCTTAGGCAACTTCCGGGTGGGCTGAGTTGTTGGGACGGAGCACCAATAGCGCCTGCTACAGTCACCTGGCTCTGAGAATAATCAGAGAAGGCTTCACCCTGGAAGGTTCTGCTTCTAACAACTAAGCTTCATGAAGACAGACACCTGGACTGCCACCATCTAGAACAGTGCCTAGGTGTGCCATAAATAATCATTGGATGTAAGAATGGATGAAGTGTAAAGTTGACTTGAAGCTAAAGGATTTGTAGAAATTAACCAGGTGAACAGGGGCAGCCAGACATCCCTGGGCAGAAAGATCAGCACCAGGCCCCTGTGCCCAGGCCCATGTGACTGGAGTCTAGAGGGGAAGGAGAGTGCAGTACAAAGTGAGACCTGGGACATGTAGGACCTTAGAGACCCCCAGTACGGCTCCCCAGAGCAAATGGAGAGCCAAGGAAAGGTTGAGTTAGAGAAGGAGGCTTTGTTTGATTTGCTTTAGGAAAGACCACTCTGGCTGCTTTGTAGAGAAAGGTCTGGAGGAGCAGAGGCAGAAGGCAGGGGAGGAGGGCATCTCACAGTCCAGACAAAGCACAGACTTGGGTGGGTGTGGAGATGGACAGACATAGGTGGATCCAAGAGATACTGAGGAGGTGAAGTCAGTAGGCCTTGATCAAGGAGCCCAACAAGGGCTCGTTCTGACCTTCCAGCCCTACCTTTGCTCCTGGCTCCTTCCTGATTCATCCATCAATAGCATCTTCACTGGTAAGCCTTCCCCCCAGGCCACACTGGGGGCTCCTCCTCTGTGTCTCCAGGGTGCCTTTTTCTTCAATTATGGCACATCACACATGGAGGTCAGCTTTTAATAGTGCTGGGCTCATGGTAGCCACACCATAAATATTGTCCTACCTTCGTTCCTTCCTCCCTTCCCCCACTTCCTTTCTTCCCTCTCCATTTCCTTCTTTCCTTTTGCATTCACTAAACCTGGTATCAGGTCCCCTGCAATATGAAACCACCCCACATAGCAAAGAGGTGGTGTGGGGAAGGAGCAAAGAACGTGGCATTTGGGTTCAAAGGGATTTCAGCTCAAACCCAGCTCAACTTCTTATTAGCTCTTATTAGTGTGACTTGCTGTCTTGCTGAACCTCACTTTACTTACCTGTGAAATGGTGCTCATGCCTTACAGGACTGGCATAAGGAGAGGCAGGATTATAAGATGCAGCACATGTATCCTCGGCAAAGGAGGCTGTCTTTGTGTTTAACCCCAGATCCGAGGGCTGAGATTGACTTGATGGGACAGGGAGGAAGGGCTGCTTCTGTCTCTCTTTTCTCCTCGTAAAATGCGCAGCCTGGTTTCCTGAGGTTATTAAATGAGGAGCTGGAGTGATTAGGCTGTTCTCTGAGGCCTGGCTTACATCCCATTTTCATTTGTGAAGCCAGTTAGGAGGAGGCAATCTTTTTATTTTTTTCTTTTAAATTAAATTGGCAAAGTTCTGCAGGAATCTTTGAAATGTTCAGAGTGGTGGCTTTTTAAAATAAAAGGAAAGATAAAGGAAGCCATCCCAGTCCTTGGGTCACACAGGGATTGTGTGGCCCCAAACATTGTTTGAAATGACAACCGTCAGCAGATACCCAGGGACCCGCTTTGTTGTAGAGAGAGAATCCTAGGGTTTGTTATAAGGGGTTTTGCCCCACCGAGCCCTCTCAAGAGAGCACTTCCAAGGAGCTCAGTGCATTTTATATCCATTAGAGTTTCACTTGTCAAATCAGAGATGTAATAAAACCGGTCTCCGATGCTTCACAGAGAACGCATGTGAAGACGTTTTGATAAAGTTAAAAGTGTTCTACAAATGTAAGGTATTATTAGCAGTGGCTGCCATGCCCTGAGAGGGGAGGTGATTTTCCCAAGGTCACAGAGAAAGTGGGTGGAAGAGCCAGAAAAAAGAAGTGGAACCTCTTCTTTATCCCGAGGGTTGAGACCTTGTCTCGTTTTACTCAAGTTGTCTACATAGCACTAAAACAGGACCAGCACACAGCAAGTGCACCATGAATACTGCTCACTGAACAAATGAGTGAATGAGTGAATGATGCTCTAAAAGTCCTGGGAGCCTGAAGGACCCTCATAACTCATCTGTACAGGGTCTTCCCATCCCATAACAGGCCTGGACTGGCCCTTGTCTCTCTTTTTCAGCTCTCCGGGTATCTGTGCCCTTGGCCATGTGATTTTGCATTGCCTCTCACTAGTAGACAGAGAGCATTTCTCACCCTCTGACTGTGAACCTGGCCATGTGACTGGCTTTGGCCAATAAAACAAAGTGAGGCAGTGAGCCTAATTCTGAGTTTGGGACTGGAGACGCCTTGCATGGTTCCACTGGCCCTCTGCTGTAGTTGCTGGAGAATGTGCCCGAGCTAGCCAGCTAGAAGCAGAATGAGAAACATATGGAGCACAGCTGCCCTGGTCCAGCTGCCCAAGAGGAGTCCAGCCCAGAGCAGAGCTCCCCAGCCAACCTGCAGATGTGGGAGCTCAATAAATGCTTTTTGAAGGCTGGGCGTGGTAGCTCTCACCTGTAATCCCAGCACTCTGGGAAGTCAAAGCTGGTGGATTGCATGAGCCCAGGTATTTGAGATCAGTTTAGGCAACATGGTGAAACCCTGTCTCTACAAAAAATACAAAAATTAGTAGGGCATGGTGGTGCATGCCTGTAGTCCCAACTACTTGGGATGCTGAGGTGAGAGGATTGCTGAGCCCAGGAAGTCAAGGCTATAGTGAGCCATGTTTGTGTCATTGCACTCCAGCTCAGGTGACAAAGCGAGACCCTGTCTCAAGAAAACAAAAAAATGCTTTTTATTGTATATCACTGAGGTTTGGTGGGCATAATAGAGGCCATAGTTCACTATATACCACCCAATCCTCCAGGACTTCCCTAGCCTGGTTCAGTCTTTACCTCTTCTTGGAAGCTTTCCCTGACTTCTTTAACCTCCTTATATGCATTAATGCATTAGTTCATTCATTCATTCATTCACTAAATGCCTGCTCAATATTGAGCCCAATGTTAGAAGTTACACAAAATACTGTACTTATGGAACACATCACTCTCTGTCACTTTGTTAAGCACATTGCTTCCATGACATCATTAGGCTTATTGCAGTCCCCTGAGGATCTCCAGATGAGCGAGGGACGTGCATGCCAACCAATGCCATGGCTGCCATTATGCTTGTTAATATTCCTAATCTATTAGCTACCATTTACAGGATACTTACTGCAACAAGCACTTTGTATACATTGCTTCCTGCAAACTTCACAGTCATTCTCAGGGAATGTTTTATACTCATTTTACAGCCGAAGATACTGAAACTCAGAGAAGTTAATTTATGTGGCCAAGACCAGACAGTAAGACAGTAGAGGAGCAGGGATCCACCCTCAAGTGTGCCAGATGCCTGAGCCTGTGCTTTTGCTTCCAAGAAGGGTGTGGTAGTGCAGGTGTGCCCAGGGGTGGGGTTGTGAGTGTCAGGGTGGGTGTAATGGGCTCTGAAAGGTGCTTGGTTCAGAGCCTGGCAGGGAAGGGAGGGCCCTGAGGTGGGAACTCTGCAAATATGAAGTCTTGGAAGTGTGAGATGAAGTGCCCGGCAGGGGTTGGGGACTGGAGCAGGGGGTAGTCCAAGGCACAGATGGGAAGAGCCACCTGCGTCAAAGTTACCTGAGGAACTTGTTATACAGGTGGGTTTCTGGGCCCTTCTCTAGGGCCATAGAGTCAGGATCACTTGGGGCAGACACTAGGTACCTTTATTTATTTTTTTTATTTTTGAGACAAGTTCTTGCTCTGTCACCTAGGGTGGAGTGCAGTAGCACGATCATGACTCATTGCAGACTCCACCTCCTGGGCTCCAGCGATCCTCCCACTTCAGCCTCCCAAGTAGCTAGAACTACAAGTACAACACCACACCTAGCTATGTTTTTTTTTTTTAAATTTTTTTTTTTTTTGGTAGAGACGGGGTCTTGCTATGTTTCCTGGCTGGTCTCAAACTCCTGAGCTCAAGCGATCCTCCCACCTCAGCCTCCTGAGTTGCTAGGATTACAGGTGTGAGCTACCATGCCCGGCCTCTAGTTCTTATAAGCCTTCTGGGTAAATCTCATGCTCCTTAAAAGCAAATCCTCTCATGAAGCTGGAAGCCTTCCCACCCTCCTATATCAGCCCTGCAGCCCCTCCCTCTCCTCCACCTCCGCCCTCTCATGGCTCCTGGTCAACGTTCCCAGTTGCTCACTGCCCAGTTGCTCACTGATTGTGTCCTTTGAGTGTCTTATTTATCTGTAGTCAGACTGTGGGTCCTTGAGAGCAGCTTGGGAGAGTCGTGCTTTTTTTTTTTTTTTTTTTTGCAATCCTATGGTACTTGTACCCAGGGTGGGTGGCCAGCCAGATTCGTCAGTTGATTGCAGTACTCATGGTGAAGTTAGAAAAGTCCTGGAAGATCCTGCTGAGAGGCTCAAGAGTCTGCATAAGCACCATCATTATCATAAAAAATACTGTAATGGAGCACATCACTCTCTGTCACTTTGTTAAGCACATTGCATCCATGACATCATTTCATCCTGCTAGCAACACTACGAGGACAGTTTCCCTGTCTATAAAATGGGGGTGATGAAGGAGGCTCCGAGAAGGTGAGTCACCTGCCAAGTCTCAGACAGAGCCAGGAAACCCAAGACCTAGGAGGTGAGATGTTCTGAGAAGCCTTCGAGGCCAGGTGCAAGCTGCCCCGAAATAGCCCTGGCTGGGTCAGTGGGTGGCAGAGGGGACCCTTAGGGTCAGAGCCCTGGGTTCCAGTCCTAACCCTGCCATGAAGCAGCCAGGGGATCTTGAGAAGCCCTTCCCTGCTCCCTGCCTTGGTTCTTGGACTTAGGATAAGGAAATTAATGATCCTGTCTTCCATGTTAATGGAAACTGCAAGGTCATGCCCTTGCCAAGTGCACGGGGGTTGCTCACTCTCCCCGGGAGCACCAGCAGCCAGGAAAGAGGGGGTCTGCATTCTCAGTCCCTCTGCTGGGCTGAGGTGGTACTCTCCCTGTCCTCCCATGTCCCTGGTTTGACCAGCTCCAAGCTTGAAGATGCTCACTCTCCCTGGGAGCACCAGCAGCCAGGAAAGAGGGGGTCTATGTTTTCAGTCCCTCTGCTGGGCTGGGGTGGTACTCCCCTGATCCTCCTGTGTTCCTGGTTTGACCAGCTTCATGCTTGGGGATGCTCCGCAGGAGAACCAGCAGCCAGAAAAGAGGGGGTCTACATTCTCAGTCCCTCTGTTGGGCTGAGGTGGTACTCCCCTGATCCTCCTATGTCCCTGGTTTGACCAGCTCCGTGCTTGGGAAGAAAGTCAGGTGGGACACCTCCTGCTGTATCCCCTATGCCATGAGTACCCAGCCAGGGCATCCATCTGGTGCACTTACTTGGCAGAGTGGCTGGCTCAGTACTGGTGGCCACAGTACAGGGCCTTATGGAATGTTTGCTTGCATGGAGGTACCACAGTGAAAACCATTTGAAAAAGACCGGGAGATAAGGCTTATGGGGGATGGGCACTCACCTTTGTGATGTCTGTAACCTCTGGGTGGGCCACACAGACCAGACAGGAGTCATCCTGGGCTTCCTTTATAAAACTCAAGGCCAGGGTGGTTGTATCATCGATTAGTTGACACTGTCACCTCTGTTTGCTGAGCTCCTTTGCAAGCATTGACCCAGCTTATCTCTCAGAGTAATCACCTTTGCTTCTGGGCTGCTCCTGGGGAGCCACGCTGCAGGTTCCATGCCTTCCCTGGCTTGATTCTCAAGCCAAGGCTAGAACACAAGGTGCCCGGTTCTTCCTCCCATCATAAGAGGTGGTGGGGGTTTCTCCATCACTCCATTACAATGACAGCCTCCCCAGACTCCATAGCCTCCCTTTTGGTTTTATCTTTCCTCTTAGGATGATGTATTTGCTAATATGTAACATAACTTAGTTGTTTTGTTTATTGCCTACCCCTGTTACTAGAGTGTCAGTTTCAGAGGGGTGGGGACTTCTGTCTGTTTTGCTCCTGGCCGCATCTCGAGTCCAGAGCAGTGCCTGGCACTTAGCAGGTGCTCACGGAATGTTCACTGAATTAATCAATTAATCAATGTGCCCCTGAAAAAAAAGTGTGGGTGCTGGTGCCCGCCAGCCTAAGACACGCAGAGCCAATGACATGGGCTCCCGAAGCCGGATAACTGGAAGGAAGTTGAGTGTGTGTGTGAGGTCAAACTGCTCTCCAGTGTGGATACAAAGCTGGCAGTGATACAGCTGTCATTTCTATCAGCTGCCATCAGCACCTCGAGAGTAATGTCCACTTCGCTGAGGACAACCTTTATTCTTAAAGCCCATATGAAATCTCACCTTGTCCCCACCTCCAGCCTGTGCTCTGTGCGGGGGTCTCCTCCTGCCTGCTGCATTGAGAGGCTTGGAGAGGAAGAGCCAGCTCAGACCCTGATTTCCTTCTCATCAGTCCCTGTTTCCTTGGCAGCCAATTAGCCCTCCTTTCCCCAACTCTGTCTGGGCCTCTTCATCTGGCAGCTTCCAGGGTGATTAGGGACTGCCTGATGGAGCGGGACAAGGACACTGAAGCTGCTGCATTAATAGCTTCAGGGCTGGGCTCTGGGCTCTTATCTGAGGAGGAACCAAGTGGAAAGGTGGTGATGCGGTGCCGCTGAGACACCTCCAAAGTGCCCATTCCCCTGCTCCATGGTCTTGCACAGATGACACAGGGAAGTTTTCAGAGAAGGAAGCTTCCCTGGACACCCATTCCTCATTGAAATGTCCATCACAGAACCAGCTAGCAGTGTTTCTCAAAGAGAGGCCCACAGATGCCTGGTCTCAGGACCACCCAGAGTGTGTGCAAATATGCAGATTCCTGGGCTTCCTCACTTGACCCACTGGATCAGAATTCAGGGGGTGGGTGTCTTAGTCCATTCTGGCTATGATAACAAAAATCCCATAAACTGGGTGGCTTAAAAACAGCAGAGATTTATTGCTCACCGTTCTGGAGGCTGGGAAGTCCAAGATCAAGATGTTGGTGTCTGGTGAGGGCTTGTTCTTCGGTTCATAGATCATGTCTTTTTGGAGCTTCTTCACATGGTGGGAAGAAGAGGCTAACTAGCTCTCTGGGGTCTCTTTTATAAGAATATTAATCCCATTCATCCTGGTCACCTCCCAAAGGCCCTACCTTCTAATTCTATCACATTGGGGACTAGGTTTTAATGTATAAATTTCTGGGGGACACAAACACTCAGACAGTGGAAGTGGAAGACCCAGAATCGGCACCGTAATATCTCCCTGGGTCAGGAGTCCCCAAACCAACCCCAGGTTTGATGATTAATTAAGAGGACTCACAGGTCTCAGCATAGTTGTACTCACAGGTAAGATTTATTACAGAGAAATCATAGAGAGCAAAATCAGCAAGAGGAAAAGGTGATAGGGTGAAGTCCAGAGGAAACCAGGCACAAGCTTCCAGGGTCCTCTCCCCGTGGAGTCACACAGGACTCACTTAATTCCTCCAGCAATGAGCTATGACAACATGCGCGAGGAGCTGTCTACCAGCATAGTGCATTAGACTCAATGCCCAGGAAGTCTCCTGGGGGCTGGTTATACAGGCACTTTCTGCCTGGCACATACCCAGATTCCAGACTTTCAGAAGGAAAGCAGGAGTTTGGCATAAGCCACATTGTCTGTACACACCATTTACACATTGTGAGCCACTCTTATCAGGGTGGTGAGAGCCCTCCTGAAACCCGAGTTCCCAGATGCCAGACATGGGCCCACTTTGCAAGCAGGTCTTTGAAGGACAGCAGTCTCAGGCCAGCTCTGCTCACTCTCCTCTGCACCACCTGCTTCTTTTCAAGGCAATTCTTACATACTTTATGGTTTGAGACTTACTCACTGGTCCGGTGGATGAAGCTGGCTCAGTCAACTCAACCTCTGGTTACTGTATGACTCATGATAAGTGACTGGATCACTCTGGACCTGACTTAACAATTCGCAACAGTGAAAGCATGTTCCCTCCCAAGGAGGTTAAGTCAAGTCTCAGGTAACCTCTTCCTTTACTAACGGAAAGGGAGGAAGCCCCTTTTTGGAGGAGTCCTGCCATGCAAATGGCAGAATTTGTCCTTGGCAGGGATGTAATGAGGGAAAAGGAAGGAAGTAGCTAGGAGGAAGAATTCCTCAGATTCATGAGAACTGGTGCTCTGGACCCCAAATTACCCCATTAGTGCTTTCTTCTAGGTCTCTCTGCATCAGAGCCCAGACTTCCCTCAGCATAGCTTATTCACCGGAGTGGGAGTGTTGGGACACTGAGCTGAGCCAGGCCCAGACTCTGCCCTCAAGGGAAAGCTGGCCAGAGATGAGGAACCCCACCAGGCAGGAAATCTCTGCTCTGCCATCCATGATACATGAAACCTGTGACCTTGGGCAAATCATGTCTCCTGGTTGAGGCTCAGGGGCCTCATTTTAAAAATGGGGCTCTATTGCCTAAGATATAGAGAAAGATTGTAAAGATGAAAAATGCTAATGAACAATTTTGAAAGAGCTTTGCAAATATTACAGACATGTTATAAAATGATGTATCTCTGTTGGTTCCTCCTTCCAAGAATGGTACAGATTGTGGATATTGCCTCTTTCCCACCATGGAAGCCCTGGAAATCTTCTATGAACAAATTTCTTCCTACCTGAACTCAGATCTGGGCAGATTCTTAGTCTTTTTGTGTTGCTATACAGGAATACTTGGGTAATTTATAAAGAAAAGAAGCTTATTTGGCTCATGGTTCTGCGGGGTATACAAGAAGCATGGTGCCAGCATCTGTGTCTGGTGAGGGTCTCAGGCTGCTTCCACTCCTGGCAGAAGGTGAAGGGGAGCGGTGTGTGCAGAGATCACCTGGCAGGAGAGGAAGCAAGAGAGAAGGGAGGGAGGTGCCAGGCTCTTTGTAACAAACAGCTGTCATGGGAAGTAACAGAGTCAGAACTCACTCACCCCCAACCTGGAAGGAGATTCATGAGGGATCTGCTCCCATGACCCAAACACTGCCCATTAGGCCCCACCTCCAACACTGGAAATCACATTTCACTATGAGGTTTGGAAGGGATAAATATCAAAACCATAGCAGCAGAGGAAAGAACGCATGATGGAGATTTAGGGCTGGCTCTGTCACTAATTCACCTGCTGACCTGGCAAGTTCCTCTCTCCCTCTGGGCCTCAGTTTTCTCTGTTTATAACATGGAAACAGCAATACTCCTGCCTATCATTTTACCACCACTTCAGATTCATTAGTTTTCCATCTTGTTCCAGAACCACCACTAAGATACATCTGTGCTGAAGGCCTCAGATCGGCACTTCTCTGAAGAACGTTCCAGAAAAGAGTGGAAAACATTGTTTTAGGTGGGCCCCTCTTGGAGGCTCAGGAGGCATGCTAGCATAGTAAAGGCTCTGATAAGTCCTGCCGCAAGGAGATTTTCTCAAGTTTGTTTGCTCACGGAAGTCCTTTGGGCAGAACACCCACCAGCATCCTACAGTCTCTGCTCTGCCATCCATGATGAACGGTCTGCCTACAGAACGGTCTGTGACTTTCTCTTGGTGGCTGTTGGGCTGGGAGGACCCAGACAAGATCAGTCCCAGTTATATCCACCGAATACAGATCCACGGATGTCCCCAGGTTGGTGGCTGCGTCTTTGCCCCAGCCTCAGTCCATTAGAAAGTGATCTTTGCAGCTGGAACTACTGACATTAGCTCCAGTTCCTCCAGGTGTTATTTCATTCCTGGATGCCTGAAAATCCCTGAAAGTGCTGCTTGAGCCAAATTCAGAAGACATGATAAACCAGGTTAATTTTAGGGCCCATGACAATAAGCAGGTGTCCTCTCAGTGGGTTGGTTGGATAAATGAGTTAATTTTGTCCAAGCTCCAAACATCTTGGGGACTTTGGTGCTGAGGGTGCACATATGTGTTGGGGGGTGGGTAGGGGAAATAGTTCCTGCATAGAACTGCTCCAGGGGGTTTGTGGAGACCTGACAAAGGACAGCTGCATACTCAGCACTGCAATTACTGGTGGTAAAATGGTCCGACGGTAGATCCCAGTGAGGGAGCTTGGCGGGTGGGCTTGGCATTCTTTAGAAAACCCCACATCAGCAGCTTTGCTGGTGGGAGTGGGGGTGATTGGGGACCTTGGTGCCTTATCCTGAGGCTGGGCAAGGCAGTCCAGGGCAGTGGAGGGTGGGACAGAGGGGAAGGTGTTTTTCAGAGTGATCCCAGCAAGGGCAGAGACAAGAATGGGGGTTTTAGGCAGACCACATAGGTCGTTGGGGGAACCTCAGCTGTGCTCTGAAGGGACTGTGTGATGTTGGGGGGCTCCTTTGGACTCTCTGAGCCTCAATTTCCTCATCTGCAAATGGAGGCAATAATCTCTCTCTCTCTTTCAGAATAATGAATGGAATAACTTGGGCTAAGTGCCTAGAAATATCTGGCACATAATATGTGCTCTTGTGAATACCAATTCTCCCCCATTTCTTTGGATAAGCTCAGAGACTGGCAGAGAGGTGTTTTTTTTTTTTTTAACTTTTAATTGAAGTGTAACATACACATAGAAAAGTGCATACAGCTTTTTTTTTTTTTTAATTTACAATTTATTTCAACTCTTCCAGGGCTGGGAATGTTACAAAACCTTAAACCAATAAAAAGTCATGTTTTTATTCTTTTTTGTGTGTGTTGCATTTTTTAAAAAGTAATTTTGAAATAACATAAGACTCACAAGTTGCAAAAATCATAGAGTTCCCATGAACGCTTTACCCAGCTTTTCCCAATGGCATCTTAGCCTCAGAACATTGTCAAAACCAGGAAATTGACGCTGGTACTCTAGTATTCACTAAGCAAAAAAGTCCGCGAGTCTTAAGTGAGCTCAGCGGATTTTCACAACCTGAACACAGCCCCATAATCAGTCCCCAGAATGAGAAGGAACATCTCCAGCACCCCAAAATGCTCTTGTAATCCCTCCAGGCTCCTCCACTCCCAGGGTGACCACGGTGGGCTCTGTGTGCCTGGACCCAAGGCAGCACGAGTTTCTTTCTGATTGGATTCTTCTGCCCTCCCTCCAGCCTGGGCACTTCATCCACATTGTCGTGTGTAGTTGCAGCTTGTTCAGCTTGTTCATTGCCACTGCTGATGGGCAGAGAGTTTTATAGGGTCACAGGGCACAGCTGCCCTGGTCCCCAGCTGCCCTACTTTTGGGGAGCCAGAGGAACTGGCCTTAGAGTCTCTAAGTCTCAGGGGCACTACTATGGAAGGAGTTGTGTCTCTCAAAATACATATGTTGATGTCCGAACTCTATTTTTTAAAAAATATTTCTTTAAAATAAAGATGGGGTCTCACTATATTGCCCAGGCTGATCTCAAACCATTTGACCCAGCCATCCCATTACTGGGTATATACCCAAAGGACAATAAATCATGCTGCTATAAGGACACATGCACACGTATGTTTATTGCGGCACTATTCACAATAGCAAAGACTTGGAACCAACCCAAATGTCCAACAATGATAGACTGGATTCAGAAAATGTGGCACATACACACCATGGAATACTATGCAGCCATAAAAAATGATGAGTTCATGTCCTTTGTAGGGACATGGATGAAATTGGAAATCATCATTCTCAGTAAACTATCGCAAGGACAAAAAACCAAACACCGAATGTTCTCACTCATAGGTGGGAATTGAACAATGAGAACACATGGACACAGGAAGGGGAACATCACACTCTGGGGACTGTTGTGGGGTGGGGGGAGGGGGGAGGGATAGCATTAGGAGATATACGTAATGCTAAATGACGAGTTAATGGGTGCAGCACACCAGCATGGCACATGTATACATATGTAACTAACCTGCACATTGTGCACATGTACCCTAAAACTTAAAGTATAATTAAAAAATATTTCTTTAAAATAAAGATGGGGTCTCACTATATGGCCCAGGCTGATCTCCAACTTATGGGCTCAACCAATCCACCCACTTCAGCCTCCCAAAGTGGAGGGATTACAGGTGGGAGCCACTGCACTTTGCCTGACATCCTAACTTTCAGGACCTCAGAATGTGACCATATTTGTTTCGGGAAGGTGTGGAGGGGGCAGAGTCAGGAGGATGAAGGGTCACATTGGCTGGGGGCCACTGGCCACAGGGGACACAGAAGAGAAGAATGCAGAAGACAGTGGCTTCCTTTGGGCTGAATGCCTCAGGGCATGGAGAGAAATCCCATCAAGAGTTCTGGGTGTGGGATTTAAAACTGGGAGTCATTTGCATTTGGAGGTAACTGGAGCCCTGTGGGTGGGTGAGATTGCTCAGGCTGTACCTCCTAACCCCAAATTTGTATGATGGAATCCTAACTCCCAGGACCTCAGAATGTGGCTGTTTGGAGAAAGGGTCTTTACAGAGGTAATTCAGTAAAATGAGGTCACCAGGGTGAGCCTTACACCAACGTACCTGGTGTTCTCATGAGAGAGGGGATTAAGACTCAGACACTTGCAGAGGGAAGGCCACAGGAGGACACAGGATGAAGACGGCATCCATAAGCCAAGGACAGGGGCCTCCAAAGGAACCCACCCTGCTGAATCCCTGGTCTTGGACTTCCAGCCTCCAGAGCTCTGAGAAAATACACACTGTTGTTTACACCCCGCAGTGTATGGTACTTTGTTATGGAGGCCCTAGCAAACTAGTGTGTTCTACTCCTTGGTTGTAGACCGGGAGCAAGTTCCTTAACCTCTTTAAGCCTCAGGTTCAACGTGCATAAAATGGGCCTAATCCTAGTACTTTTTCCTTGGAATTTTTGCGAGGTTGAGAATATGAAAATAAAACCTTAGCCCATTGTACGTGCTAAGCAACTGTTTGCTATTATTATACCAGGCGCTTTTCCAGAGATGAAGATATAGCAGTTACACCCTTGCAGAAGCACCCCCATACCCGTAAGCCCAGGGAAGGGTATATTCCGTGATGCTAGCATTCAGCCACCAAGCTGACTGGCTCCCAGGGGTTGCCAAAACCACCCTCATCCTCTTAGCCCAGAGCACTGACCCCAGAGCGCCTTGGTTGGCTTAGCCACATGGCAAAGAAGGCTTTCCGTGGATGCTGGCCACTCATCTAAAGGCGGAACCTCGAACATCATGTCCACGTCTGGAGCTGCCCCTTTCTGTGAGCATGGGCCGTCTGGTCTCAGCTTAGGAGGAGAAAAGCTGCCCATAGGCTGCCTGGCACCCACCTGGGCACTGTGGGCCATTGGCCAGCATGCTGAAGTGGGCAGTGAGTCCACGTGCCCGGCCTGTCGCAGCTCAAACCTGCTGGCCCACTGCAGTAAAACCGCCTTCGACTTAATATATGCTAATTAGATTTTAATGGGATTCAGATTTCCAACAGTAGTGCAGTGTTAGCCAGGGTAAGTTATAATCATATCTAATTGGTAATTCTAACATAACAAATTTCTTGGATAAATTATTCTTAGTTAATAGTCCCCCAGGAACAACCTCAACACGCGGGTGCCCCCCCCCCCACACACACACAATCACACACATATATATTTTAGAGGAAAAGAACAAGGTGGAAGCAGTTTCACAGCAAGGTAAAGTTATTATTTAAAACCTGGGCTCTTCAGAGGCTAAACCAGAGCCCCAGACTAAAGCCCTTAAAGTTGTTAGAACCCAGAACAGGGTTCAGAACGCCGGAGCCTGGTCATGGTGGTGCATGTGGCACAGTCAGGGCTGTGTCTTGGAGGGTGGGCTACATTCTCTGGTAGAAGATTCCCCTCTCCAGGAGGTGGCAGCAGGAGGGGCCACCAGGCTCAGAACTCAACCCCTACTTGGGACACGGTCCCTCTCCCTGGGGGAGGCCTGCTGTGGTTACAGCAGCCCCTCCCTCCCTGCCTGGGTTTCTCTGGAATTCTTCCCTTCCACCCTCCAAAAGACCTAAAGAGGGACCCACTGGTTACATTACTATTTTCTTTACTGGGCAGACAGCAGAATGTAATTCCAGAAAAAGGAGTGGGGGTCAGCCAGCCTGGCATCCTGCCCTTACTTTGCCACTAAGCCTGGGCAACCCTGGGTATAACCCAGGTACAACCCCAGGCAAGATGCTCAGGGCCTCTGTTTTCCCAGCTGTAACATGCGTTGAGACTCACCAGGCCTTTCTACTTTAGGTGGAAAGAAGATGCCTCCTCTCTGGTATTCGGGTGAAGGTGTGGACCCTACATAGTAGACAGATGGTCTGGGAATATACCAAGCAGGCCTGCCCTGGGCATCCAAGGAGAAGGTTCTCTCCTTTTTCTGTCAAGTGGCTCTCTGTCCTCCTAAAGCTGCCATTGGCCATAGGAGAGTGTGCCTCTCTGCCTGCCCTCCTTCCCTGCTGGCAGGAGCTTAAGGCTTGACTTCCCAGAGGGTCGGTGGTGAGGTGGCCGTGTGCAGAGAGCATCATTAGTTGAAGGCAGGAGATGTGCTTAAAAAGGATGGGATTCTCACCTGTGCTCCCCACTTACCAGCTGTGTAATTCTAGGCATGTCCTTTATTCCCCTTGGGGTCACTTCTTGTTTCATTTATTGAGTACAATAATACCTTCTTATATGGTTGTTGGGTGGACCCAGGGAAATAACCTTGTGAAGAATCTGAGTTAGTACGTGTGAGTTTCTCTCTCCTTTGTTCTTTTCCTCTTCCTCCATTCCCTTCCCTTTATAATGGGATGATTTGGGGGCACAGAATGACTTTGGGGGAAGAGCAGCCAGCCCCACGAGATCCCTTTTATCTAGTATCAAAGATGGAGATTACTGTCGACACCTGGTGCCAAGTGCGTAATAATGACAGGGAACATTTGTTGAGCACATAGTATATGCAGACACGTTTCTAAGTATTTTATATGCACTGTCTCATCAGCTCTCATAACAGCCTTAATGGGCATGATGGGCATGATTGTGATCCTCATTATTTAGACAGATGGGTCACGTGAGCACAGAGAGGTTATGTAAGTGGCCTGAAGTCATACAGCTAGTCAATCGCTAACCAAGGATTTGAATCCAGGGGAGTTTGGCTCTAGAGCTCTTTAAACACTTCATGGTGCTGCCTCTTGAACTGACTAGCTCAAGATCATCAGAATATTTAAAAGAACCATCTGCCTTCGGGGAGCTTCCAGGGAGAAAGGAGGAAAGGGAACCAACATTTACTGAGTGCCTGGCCTAAGCCTGACCCTGTGCTGGGCTTCTCACCTCTGGAGGCAAAATTACCTGGTGCATTAAGCCAAGTGCAGATCCCAGCTCCAGGACTTACTTGCTGTGTGATTGGGGACAAGTTACAAAACCTCTCTGAGCCTCTGTTTCTTTATTTGTAAAATAGAGATAATGCTTCCTCTATTGAAAGGTTATTATAAAGATCAAACAAAATGATTCATGCAAGGTGCTTAGCACAGTGCCTGGCACATAGAGAATATCTGGTAAATGATGAATTCCTAAATTTATGAACATTGTTACTTATGTAAATTCTTATATGTGTGTAAATATCCCCATTTTGTAGTGGGAAAACTGGGTTCCAAAAGGTTAAGCAAGCTGCCCAAGATCCCACATTGGGAACGTGGCAAAGTTGCAGTTTGACCCCCAAAGTCTTTCAAAGCCCTGGGTCTCACTGTCGCTGGATAGATTTGAGAGCCGTCCTCTGCGGCTCTGCAGCTGCACTGCCACCGGGCTCCAGCAGACGCCTCCTGCCCACACACCACCTTTCAGCCCTGACTGCCTCTTCATCAAAATGAAGACCATTCCCAGATGGGTGAAGTCAGCTGCCTGTGCTGGGAGAGGAAGCTCTAAGAGCATCCCCAGGGCTTGGCTTGGGGTCACCTCCAGGGTCAGGAGTGGATCCATTGGGCCTTTGAGCATTGTGCTCGCTGGGTGGTCTCCGTCTTCACTTCTCTTCCTGCACAGCAGTTCTGTTCAGGCTGCTATAACAAAATACCACAAACTGAGTGACAGCAGAAATCTATTTCTCACGGTTTTGGAGGCTGGAAAGTCCAAAATCACGGGAATAGCAGATTGAGTGTCTGGTGAGGGTCCACTTCCTAGATGTCTTTTCAATGTAACCTCACGTGGTAGAAGGGGAAAAGGACCTCTCTGGGACCTCTTTTATAAGGGCACTAATCCCATTCATGATAGCTCTGCCTCCATGATCTAATCACCTCCCAAGGGTCCCACCTCCTAATCCCATCACCTCAAGGGTTAGAATTTCAACATGAATTTCAGACCATGGTGCCAGTCTTTGGGCAGCCGCATCCCTCTACCTCAAGATCTTTCTCTCTCTTACCTTGGGATTTCAAAGGGGGCAATGGGTGCCCTGGGAAGCTAAAAGGCTCAGTCTAGCAGATACTATCCCTGCCCCACCTCCATCCTCAAAGCCCACCACGGGTCTCCTGCAGTTTACCATGCTATGGCTCTCTACCAGGGACTTTCTCTGGTTGGTTGGCTGCAGGTAGTGGATTTAATGCTCCAGCAATTGGTGACAGTGCTTCCAGCTTCCTTGCTCCTTAGTGGGGACAGTCTGAGATGCATGCAATGCAAAATCTCAGGGTCCCTTGGGATAAAGCCCCAATTGCCCAGGTCAGGCACACCCTGTATGAGCTTTCTTCCTTTCCCTACCCCATTTGCCTGTGTCACTGTTCTTCCTGGATCTCCTCCCAAATGAACCATTTGCACCCAAATCCCTATCTCAGGGTCTACCTTAGGAGGAACCCTAACTAAGACCCTCAGCCACTTCAAGCACCAGATTATGTGTGTTTGGTGAAGCGGAAAACAGTGTGAGTTCTTCGTCCGGGCGTATGGGAGGCTCTGATCACAGCACTGTGCTGTAAGCTGTGTGGACTTAAGCAAATGACTCCCCTCTGGGAGCCTCCACTTGCTCATCTGCAGGGTATGGAGCATCTGTTCTTACAGGCAGTTAGGCGAAGTGCCTGGCCAGTGGTTCGTCCTTAATGAATATGAATTATTGTTGTTCTCAAGGCAGATCATCCCAAATTGTCATGCCTCCTGAGCTCCTGGCCTGCTGGACAGTGGCATGGAATGTCCCTTCTTCCCCTCGAGCATGGCTTGTCCGGAATCCAACTAATCACCACCATCCCCCTGTGTTCCCATTCCTGGTTCTTTTCTTTCTTTCTTTCTTTTTTTTTTTTTTGAGACAGAGTCTGGCTCTGTCACCCAGGCTGGAGTGCAGTGGCACAATCTCGGCTCACTGCAAACTCCTCCTCTCTGGTTCAAGCGATTCTTCTGTCTCAGCCTCCCGAGTAGCTGGGACTACAGGAGCCCACCACCATGCCTGCTAACTTTTATGTTTTTAGTAGAGACAGGGTTTTACCATGTTGGCCAGGCTGGTCTTGAACTCCTGACCTCAAGTGATCTACCCACCTCAGCCTCCCAAAGTGTTGGGATTACAGGCGTGAGCCACTGGCCAGGCCCTGTTTCTGGTTCTCTATCCCATCTGTCCGACTGTGCAAGCCCAAGGCCTCTGGCTTCTTATGACCCCCATGACTACACAACTTCCATTCCCAGAGGGCTGGGAGCCTCCCTCTCAAGCTGCCTTCCTCCAGCCCCATTGTCTGGTAGCCCTGCTTGCTGGAATCAGTCCTGACACACACGGGGCATCTGTGCCTGGGAGAGTCACTTAGCCTCTCTAAGCTTTACCCCCTCCTTTGAAGAGTGGGAAGCAGGGTCATTCTGCAGGATAAAGCACCCAGCACAGCGTGCGGCAGACAGGTCAGGGCTGGTGCACCCTAGGGCCCTCCCTGTCCAGCCATGACTGACCTTGATAGTGTCTCACTCTAACTACCTAAGTAAGCTTCTAACTGGGCTCACCTAGGCCAGGAGCAGACTTCTCCAACTTGACTGGGCACACAAATGGCCTGGGACCTTGTGAAAAGGTAGATTCTGTTTCTGCAGGTCCCGGGTGGGGCCTAAGATCCTGCATTTCTATCAAGCTCCCAGGAGATGCAGCTGCTGCCGGTCCTGGGACTGTGCACTGAGTAGGCAGAGTCTGGAACTCTCTTGTTCCACTTTACTTCCAAGCATCTTCTGTGACTCTGAGGCTTTCACCCACTGCTCCCTATTGCATGATATTGATGACAATAGCTAATACTTACTGAACACTTACCATGTGCCAGGCACTGTTCTAAGGATGTTCCACATCTTCATTTATTTAATTCTCCGAGGTGAACGCCATGGACCTCGGCGTCCCCATTTTCAGAAGAGGAAGTAGAGGCACAGAGAAGTTAGTAAAGTGCCGAAGCCATGGAAATAGTGAGTGACAGAGCTGACAGTGACTTCAGACGCAGGCTGGGTCCCTGTGCTTGATCGCTCTGCCATGCTCCTCTTAAAGCAGGAGCCCAATCCCCTAAGCCTAGGCTTTAAAGGATTTAAGGAAGGGCTTTTCCTGTGGTCAGAAAAGGATGGTCCCTGGAGGAGGTCAAATTTGGGAAGTTGGAAAGGAGAAGCAGTTTAGAGAAAGATTCCTCCGAGGACCTTTTGTCTGTGGCTCTGGGAACTCCAGGCCCAGTGGAGTAAGAGGCAGGAGAGTATGGGGGCCAGGGTTGGGGACTACAAGGGCCCCTCATGAGCTGGCAGCTGCTGGGATAGGATGGGAGGGAAGAGGGGGAGGAGCAGTGGTGACGCAGGGGAAGCGGCTATGGAAACTCAGCCCCAAGGTCGGGTGCAGCTGGCGGCCAGGGCTCCACTGTGCCTGCTGACATTTAAGCCTGCCGCCCCATTTGAAAAAATGCATGCATTTTGCACGTCTATTTCCTTCCACCCACCACTCAGGACTGTCATTCCCCGGAGGAGGCCAAGGGTGTCATCACTGATGCAGCAGCTTAAATGCTTTTTGGAAAACTTCCCCGCTCTGGCCTGGTCTGCAGCTCCACCTCCCCGGCTGGGCTCCAGGGCCAGTCTCTTTCTCCTTACTGTCTCTCTGTGTCTCACTGCCTTTATCTCTGCTTCCAGGCTTGCTCTCCCAACCCTCTCTCTCTCTGTCCTCTCCTCCCCTCTTCTCTGTTTCTCTCTGCACTCTGTCTTTCTCTGTCTCTGTCTCTGTCTCTATGTCTCTCTTTGTGTGTTTCTCTTTCTCTGTCCCTCTGTCTCTGTATGTCCTCTGTACGCTGTCCCTCTCTGTCTCTGTGTCTCTGTACTCTGTCTCTCTCTCTCTGTATGTCCTCTGTCTCTCTCTGTCACTCTGTCTCTGGGTGCCTGTCTCTGTGTACCTCTCTGTGTGTGTCTCTGTCTCTGTCCCTATCTCTTTATGTCCTCTGTACTCTGTCCCCCTCTGTCTTTTTGTGTCTATGTCTCTGTGTCTCTCTCTGTCCCTCTTTGTCTCTGTGTGTCTCTCTCTGTGTGTGTCTCTGTCTCTGTCCCCCTCTATCTCTTTATGTCCTCTGTACTCTGTCCCCCTCTGTCTCTGTCTCTCTATCTCTGCCTCGTTTTTGTTCACTTCCTACTTCTCCAATTTTCTCTTTGCCTCATTCATTGCTGATTTTTGCCTCTTTTTGCTCTCTTTCAGAACCCCTCCCCCAAGTGAGTCCCCTTCTCTGCCCCTTCCATCCCATCTCCTCATCCTTGGAGGAGCCTTCCATCTCCCTGGATCTCTGAGCCTCCCGCTGCTGGCTGCCCCCTCTTCTCCTCTCTCCCTCTGCTCCCTGGCCTCTCCCCACCTCCCCTTTCTCAGCTCCCCTCCCACTCCCTTTCCCTCTCTTTCCAGGCTCCTCCTTCCCCTCCTCTCCCTCTGATTTTCCTTCTCCCTGCCTCTTGCTTTCATTTTCATAGGCACTGCAGTGCTTCTGAAGGGAGTCAGCCCCTGACCCTGGCCCACCCTCATCCCTGCCTCTGCCCCAGAAATGTGCAAGTCCACGTTTGGGGGTCTTTCTGGGGCTGCTGGCTCCCGTGGGCAAGAGTAGAGCCCAGGGGGTCTTGTTTTTGTTTTCTCAGCTCTGTGTACACTTGTGCCTTTAATAAAACCTACAGCTTTTCTGAGGTCAGGACAGTAAATCTGAAAACCCTGCATCACTGTCTTGTGAGGGCAGCCAGTGCCTCTTGGATGGGAGCCACAGTTCACTGCCCTGCGTCTCCCTGCAGACAAGGTAACCATGGCCCAAGATGAAGCTGGCTGCTGGGTCACAGTTACCTGTCAGGGACGGGGCCTCCAGATCCTCTCCTGCTTGGCCAAGAGCCCTGGCCAGGGTATAAGCAAGAGGGATAAAGGTCTCCAGTCTGCGGAGGCGAGAGGGCCAGAGGAGCATGTGACTTCCATTGGGGTGGGGGCTGTTGGGCCCCAGAAGCACAGTGCCCCAATGCTGTGGAGAAGACGGCGACCACAGACTCTGATTCTCTCACAGGCTCCTGGCCAAATGGACCACCATAGAGCCAGCGCCAGCCCTCCTCCCTGGAAGGGGCAGCCTTCCTCCTGGAAGGGGCAGCAATAGGATGAGGGGCATGGCTTCCCCGACTTCCTGTGTCCAGAGTGATGGGGAGGACCCCAGGTGTTCACACTTGAAGAGCCCAGGCCAGATAAAAGATGGGCCCATCTTAGAGCCACCACACACAAGACTGCTAACTACCAGCTGTGGGCACTTCTTGCTGATGAGCCCAACTCTGAGGGCTGATTGCCCAGGAGGCGGGGGCTGAGTCCTGGGCTGATGTGGTGGGTGTTGGTGACAGTGGCCCCCTTGAGACCCAGCAGGTGTCTCTGCATCTACCCGGCCAGCCGGGCACACCTACAGCCAGCAGGGATCAGTGGGCACCTTGGGCCATCCCAAGAGGCAGCTGACCAGCCCAGGGGGCCTCTGCACAGCCAGAGTACCCCTGGGGGAATCTGCAGATGGTGGGTGGTGACCAGGACTCATGACTGGGAAGAGCCATGGGCTGAGGTGGAGTTTCCAAGGAATGGGGAACTTGGTGGTCTGGCCAGGCCCAGCGGCCATGTGTTTGGCCAGTCTATTTTTTTAAAGATGAGGTCTTCTCAGGTGACAATGCAAACCTAACCAGAACTTGGGGCCTTGTCCCTCCTAGTGACCTGCAGCATTTGGGCTGGTGTCTGAGAGATAGCTGAGGCACCTGAACTAACCTGGGGCCAAATTGCATTGGTGGCAGAGTTGACTTTGATGCTCCCTCTTATCCTTCAAGGCCTAGCTGCAATGTCACCATTTCCTAGAAGCCTGCCCTGATGTCCTTGGGCAGAACAGCCTTTCACCCTTTCTGTGCCCCATTGCATCCTCTTCATACTTTTATTCTGATATTTATCACATGGAATTGCAGTGCTCTCTCCCCCAGGTCTGTCATTCCTGATGGATGGGAGCTCTTTAAGGGCAAGGCCTGGCTTGCTTGTCTTTGTGCTTCTCCTGCCTGGCATAGAGCCTGGCCCGGGTGATGCTCAGGGTTTGTCCAATGAGTGAATGAGCGTGTGGATGAATAAATGAGCATCCATCTCCCCTTTCAGGCTGGGCTCTGTTTTGCCCATCGCTGTCCTCCCACTTCTCAATTTCAGGTTGAATAAGCCACCATCTCAGCCTGCTCAGGGCTCAAAGTCCTCAAATTCAAAGCCCAAAGCAGGCAGCCGCCCCAACCCTTTAGCCTTAGGCCTCCCAGCTGGCTCTCTTCGGGCGTGTCCCCTGCCACTTTGCGTGGTTCATCCACTTGCTGCTGAGATATTAATGCCCCTCAGGGGTCAGTGGAGCCCAATGACCATGCTGTGAATGGAGCAAGGCAATTCCAATTTCATGCCTACATGGGCTTCCCTCTGTTAAGAAAAAGAGCGGGAACACATCTTTCTTTTTTTTAAAATTTCCTCCAGAAAACAGGCAAAGGTAGCGTGCAGCAGAGGCTTATGTAGAATTGCTAGCAGACAGTGAGGGGCCAGGTGGTTCCCATGAGACAGAGCAGGGCTTTGGGGAAGAAGGAAGTAGACGGAGGAGGCAGGGGGTACTCTGTTGTTGTTGCCTGCTGATCAGGCCTGGGTGTTTGTACACTGATGATTATCTGAGAGCCTTCAGCAACTGAAAATCATCTACTTCTGTCTTGTTATCAGCTTGCAAAATACAGGCATACAAATATTTATTACTGTTCTCACTGGCCTCCTCTGACTAATCCCTCTCACATTGATGCTTCAGCGTCCTGAGCAGGTCCTGGTGCCAAGTGCACATCACAGTTTGACTTCCATTGTTTAGCTGGATAGATGCTTTCCCAACCCAGGACTGTGAGCTCCTTGAAGTTTTCTTGCTCATCTCTGCAGCCTGGTGACCAGCACAGTGCTTGGCTCATAGTAGGTCCTTGGGAGGTACTGATTCATTCATTCATCATTCATTCACTCACTCAATAATTTGTTATTGAGCCATGTGCCAGGCTCTGGTCTAAGTGTGAGGATACAGCAGTGCACAATACAGACCTGGTCCCTGTGCTCATGGGGCTGACGTTCTGGCTCAGGGTAGGGAAAGACTGCCAATAAATAAACAAGTAAGTAGAAAAAGCATAGGGTAATAATGCATGCCTTGCAGAGAATTAAATCGAGGGTGGCACGATGGAGAGGGGTGTGGTGGTCAGGTAGGTCTCTCTGAGTGGGAGTTAAGCTGCCATCCAATTGCATGGAGGAGCCAGCCCTGCAAAGGAGAAGAGAATTCCAGGTGGAAGGAACAAGTAGAACAAAGGTCCTCAAGCAGGAGCGGACTTGAAGAATTCAGTGAATGGAAAGATGAGTGTGAATGAAGCAACAGGAGAGAGGGAGTGGGGATGAGACACGTTAGAGGGTCAGGCAGAGCAGACCACATCCAGTCGACCTGTAAAGGGCTCAGATTTGTTTTCTGTGTGATGGGAAGCCAGGGTTCTGAGAAGGAGGTCGCTGTGGCATGACAGATTTAAAAGGATTCCACTGGCTGCTATGTGGGAGACTGGACTGGAGATTGGGGAGGAAATCTGAAGACCAGATTGGAGGCTGAGGTGGTTTTCCAGGCAAGAGGAAGCTTTGTCTAGGTTGGCAGTGGGGAAAGAAAAAAGTGGGTAAATTCTAGATGAGTTTTGAGAGGAAAGCCAACAAGCTATTGGGTTGGATGCGGAAGAATGAGAGAAAGAGATAAATGAAAGATAACAGTGAAATGTTTGACCAAAGCAACTGGGTTGATGGTACTATTTCTAGAGAAGGGGAATGCTAGGGAAGGAGCATGTTTTGGGAGGGAAAGCCAAAAATTGGGTTTTGGCCACATGAAGTTGGAAATGCATATTTGATGTCCAGTGAGGTAGGGGAACCATATTATGAAGTTGGACATCTGAGTCTGGAATTCCAAGGAAAAGTTAGGGAGTCAGAAATTCGAAAGTCAATGTGGAAATTGATTGAAATGGTCATTCAGGACCCGACTTGACCAGGGCCAAATGGGCTATGATGACCACAAGGAGATAGAGCCAATGCTTAATTCTCAGCTTGGTGTGTCTGGCACCTGGAGTTTTTGTAGGGATGTCCCTGATTCTTTAAGACATTTGCACTGTCTGAGAGAGAGGCACAGATGACTCAGTGATGTCTCTGCTGGTTGGAAAGGGAGAAGAAGCACAGGGCATTCATGCAGCAGAAGTGATGAGAGCCATTTCTGGTGATGGAGCCTCCTCCCAGTCCTCCCTCCTCTGGCCACTCTGGCCTGGGCGGAATTCATTCATTTCCATGGGATGAAATAAATGAATGAATAATTTCCATTCATTTCATTTCATGGAAATGAATCATTAAATGGGTCCCAGCTTCTCTGTGGAAGATGCAATGCTCTGGGGTCATCATTCTATTTCCTTCTCCAGGGCACACAGGAAAGCTGCATTTCCCAGCCTCCTTTGCAGTCAGATTGGGCCATGTGACTACTCCTGGCCAATGGGGTATGGACAGGGGTGATTTATGTTCTATTAGGCCTGGGCCTTAATCACATCCTGGGTGATCATATTAGTTTCCTAACTGCTGCTGTAACAAATTGCCACAAACCTAAGTTTAAAAGAATATGGCAAATTTATTCTCTTAGTTTTGGAGTCAGAAGTCTGAAATGAGTCTCATGGGGCTAAACATGTTGGCAGGGCCAGTTCCTTCTGGAAACTCCAGGGGGAGAATCTGTTTTCTTGCCCCATTTGGCTTCTAGAGCCTGCCTGAATTCCTTGGCTTGTGGCCCCTTCCTTGCGTGACTCCTATCTCTTGCTTCTGCCATCACATCTCCTTCTCCTGCCTTTCACCTTCTTTGCCTCCCTCTTATAAGGACATTGTGATTACATTGAACCCACCTGGATAATCCAGGCTGATGTTTGCATCTGAAGATGCTTAACTTGATCACATCAGCAAAATCCCTTTTGCCATGGAAGGTAATGTATTTACACGTTCTAGGGATTAGGATATGGACATCTTTGGTGAGAGGGCATTATTCTGCCTACCACAGTGATACTCCAGCCTTCTCTTCTCCTCCCCTGGGGATTTTGGAAGCCACGTATTCCAGGTGATGTAGCTACAAGATGGAACAGGCCTGTTTAACCTACTTGGGCTTCTCATGAGCCCAAAATAAATCTTTATTGTTGGCTTAGGCTGTTCTTGCATTGCTATAAAGAAATTCCTGAGACTGGGTAATTTATAAAGAAAAGAGGTTTAATTATCTCATGGTTCTGCAGTCTGTATAGGAAGCATGCTGCCAGCATCTGCTCAGCTTCTGGGGAGGACTCAGGGAGCTTTTACTTGTGGCAAGAAGGAAAGCAGGAGCAGTCAAGTCACATGGCAAAAGCAGGAGCAAGAGAGAGAGTCAGTTGGGAGTGGGGAGGTGCTACACACTTTTAAACAACCAGATCTCATGAGAACTCACTCACTCATCACCAAAGAGATGGCACTAAGCCATTCATGAGGGATCTGCCCACATGATCCTAACACCGCCCACCAGGCCACACTTCCAACACTGGGGATTACATTTCACTATGAGATATCGTGGGGACACAGGTCCAAACCACATCAACTGTGTTAAGGCAGTAAGAATCTGGGCTCAATATGTTACTGCAGTAGGACCTACCCTATCCAGACTGCTTACAATCTTCCATGGGCTCTTCTTGGTGAATCCCAAGTCTTGACCATGGCTCAGAGAGGCCAAACCCCCCCCTCTCCAAAGACTCTCGGCCCTTCTCTCTGAGTTAATAGCTGAATGGCGTGATGAATTTGTAATGTTTGAGTAGAAAGTTCTGAGAAACCTGTACCACTGACATACATGTGACCTTGACTGATGTCAGCCTTGGCCATGTGACTTGCTTTGGCTAAAGGAGTGTTCATGGACATGACACAGGCAGAGGCCTTAAACATACTTGAATGGTTTGAGTTTCTTCTTGAGCTTTTGTGGTCTACCATAAGAGGATCAAATGTCAGGTAGTCACTTCTTTAGTGTGGGCCCCAGATAAACACCCATGGAGCAAACCAACCCATGGAGGAGGCCTGAACCCAACCCACAGCTTGGAGTCCAGCCCAGTTGACCTGCTGCCTGAAGCAGAACTGCCCAGCTGAGCCCAGATTAGATCAGCTGAACCACTTCAGCCTGAACATGAACATAGTTACAAGTGCTTGTTGTTGCATGCCACTGAGGTTTGGGTTGGTTTGTTATGCAGCATTATTGTATCAATAGCTGACTATTATACTCAGCCCTGAGGAATTTGGATTTCTCGTCTCTGGCCACATTCCACGCCTGGATGCTAGGACTTGAGTGAGATAGTGAGCTCCATGTCCACTGTTCATTTGGGAAGAGCATGCCTTCCATTTCCCTTGCCATTCCCCTCTCAGTGCCTGTCCCAATGCTGAATGCCAGGAGGAGGGGCCCAGTTGCTGCTACTGAACAGATAAAGAATGCAGAGCCACAAACCGAGGTGGGGAAAATTGTTCTGTTTGTTTTAATTAAACCGACTGAAGAAGCCAAGACACAGATGGAAAGAGACTAAGAACAAGACTGGAAATAGTTTAGAAAAGAAATGAAAACCGGTCGTGGAGATGTCAGTGCCTGATGGAGTGGCCGGGGCGGGTGCCTTCACGTCAGCTCCAGAATCACTGTCAGGGCGAGCACCAAGGTGAGCCGGGCACCAGTGGGGCCAATGGAACCTGTGCCAGGAATCAGGGAAAGGGTCAGAGCCTGCAGACCCAACCCCGTTCCAGAACAGCAGAGCCTCCAGGTCCCCAACAAAGACGCTGGATTTCAGCATCAGGACAAACTGGGTTCGAAGCCCAGCTCTGCCACCTGGCCACCTAACTGTCCATGATCTCCTCCCCTACCACTAGGCTTGCTGGGCTACGGTCAGATTTCCTAGAGGCCATGAGGATGGTGCAGTGAGGACCAAGAGTGGGAGCCTCCATTGTGAACTGTGAGATTGGCTCCATGTAGGGAGGGGGTGTGGCAGGCCTGGGAGCAGCGTCTGGGCCCCCTGGGGTGGTGCTCAGGCTAGAGCAGGTTGGGGGATGCCCAGGGAGGACAGTATAAAGGGCCTGCACTGAGACATCCGTTGATGCTCCCAACCACCCTACGGAGTGGTCTGGAGTCTCAGAACGCAGCCCCACGGTCGAGGCTGGACACACCCTTCTGAGGTCAGGGCAGCCAAGCTCTGAGCTAAGAAAGCTAGAGATGCCATGGGCAGTGAGATCAAGCTCTGAGCTAAGAGGGCCAGAGATGCCATGGATGGTGAGATGGGGCAGAGTTGGCCCTGGAAATCTCAGCTGGCTGCTTTGGCAGGCTGAGTCCCTTTTTATTGCCTCAGTACCCACCTCTGCCCACTTTGGACCCTGACTCTGCCCTACTAGAGGGCAATGACCTGCCTGAGGTGTCAGGGAGTGGCAAGGGTGTGCATATGGGAAGTTTGGGGGACCAGAGCTTTCTGGCGCCTCAAAAGCCACTCCCTTTTAAGCAAAAAATCCTGAGGGTAGAGACTTACCATTAGAGTCCTCCGTTCCTCTTGGGATATTTGGGTTTTCTGTTGGAAAGAAACAGAAAGAGAACCAAAGGGTGGATGGCCTTCAGAGCTCAGGGAAGGAATGGCCCTTTACCCAGCACCTGCTGTGAGGTATCACACGCACTGTCTCAGTGCAGCCACACAACCTTCAGGGGAGCTGGATAGTATCAGCCCCATTTTGCAGATGGAGAAAGTGAGAGAGGTTAAGCAGTTTGCCTAAGGTTCTTTCTGAGTCCGAAGCTGATTTATAGTTGTAACCACTGAGCGACCCTGCCTCCCAGTGGGGCACCCTCTCAGGGCAAATTTGGGAGATTTAGGCCCAAAATTTTGGGCCCCTACTGCTTCTTCCTCCTGGGGAAACCTCCCAGACAGGACCCGCCCCTGTGGTTGTTCTCCCAGTCCCCAGTTGAGCGCGCCATACCAAACACGATGAGCCGGGTGTGCGTGTCGGTGGAGCCCAGTGGGTTCTGGGCGGTGCAGCGATACATGGAGCCATTGAGCTCGGCGGGAACCCGCTCCAGCACCAGCTCCTTCCCGTCGAACTCAGCGCTGCCGTCCAGGAGGCGGCTCCCAACCCGCGTCCACGTGAACATGGGCTCCGGGAAGACTTCGTTCTGTTGGCCAGATCAGGGGAGAGGTGGGTCACAGGAGGGCCCATTCTGCCAGATCAGCAAGGGGTCAGGGGCTGCCTGGCCAGGGGTGGCACAGCATTCTCATCCGACGGGTTAGGAGTGGCTGCCCTGAACTCCAGGAGGAGGAGGAGTCTGGGACTTAAGAGAATGTCTCGTTGAAGAGCTAGGTTTACTCTGAGTTCTAGAAGGTGTGAAACATGCATGCACCTCTTTGCCATTCCTCATGGGAGCTGATTCTCCCAATTACACATTGGGAAACTGAAACCCACTGGATGTGGCTGGGGATCAAAGGAAGAGTGTTAGAGAGGACTGCCAGGAATGCTGGTGCTGGGTCGGTGCCTCTACCACCTCCCACCACCCTCCCAGATGCTCAGAGAGAGGCTGACCTGAAACCCATGGACCAGAATCCTCACTGTGTCCCCTACCCGGGCTCTGCTGGGCGTCATCACAATTTTGGGTCCTTTGGGGGCAACTGTAGGGAGAGAAAGGCCAGGTCAGAGAGAGTAAGGAAAGGAGGGACAGGGTACATGGAAGAGAAAGTTCTAGTCTAGCAATCAACATCCTTGGGATCAGCTGCTTCTGTGAGAAGCTCAGTGTGCTCATTCATTCATTCACTCATTCACAGCTGCATTCATTCAGACATATTCCCTAAGCCCATGCAATGAATCAGATGCTCTCTAGGACCTGGGGAGTCAAGGGTGTATATAGGACATGATTCCTGCTCTTGGGGGGTTCACACATCAGTGGGGAAGAAAGACAAACAACAGACAAGTACAAGCCAGTGCCATGAGGGACAAGATCAGAGAGGCCCAGTGGACAGTGGGGTCAGGGAGGGAAACGTACCTGGGGCACGTGCTACTAGGCTGCTGAGGGGGAGCAGCCTGCACCAGCAGCCAGACTTGAGGTACCCCCAACTCCCACCCACGCTACCCCCTTGGGAGGTGCGTTTCTGGTGTCATCAGCCCCATTGTCCAGTTGAGTTAACTGGGCCTCAGAGGGTCATGAAGTGATTTGCCAAAGGTCACACCTTGAGGAGAGCCAAGATCAAGGTGCGGGTCTCCTACTCCTGAGTCAGTGCTCTTTCTAACAGGTTAATCTTCCCAGTGGGATTTTTCTAGAACCTCTGGGTAGGGGTGGACATGGTGTGGGAAGAAAGACCACCTCCTTCCTTGTGCACAGCCTCCCTGCCTCTCTTCCTCACTTTCTTGTATCACCTCTTATTCAGTCCCTTTGTATCTCTGAGCTTGAAAGCCAAGATGCCCAAAGGCATGGCTATCCTCTGAACGACACCTGAGAATATCAGGGATGGAGGAGCCACTCGGGATCATTGGGTCTGTTCCCTTCATTTCAGCTGACAAACAGAGCTCCACGGATAATGTAGAGGCTTATCCAAGGTCACTCACAGAGCCAGTTAACCATGTTTCCTGACCTTCTCGCCAGCACTCTTTCCCCCAGATTCATTCATTCACTCACTCACTCACTCAACAGTAATTATGGAGCCAGCCATTTGGAGCAGAGCTGAGGATATGGTGGTGAACAAGACCCAGTGCCTGCTGACATGGAGCTCCCACTTCAGTAGGGGTGAGAGTTCATAAGCAAACAAACACATACGCAAAACAGGATGAGAGTGACAGTGCTCCATGCAGATCACTAGACCAAGGGAGGGGGCTCAGAATTGGTGGGTGAAATCCTCAGATAGTGGTCAGGGTGCCTCTTCCAAGGAGGTGACATTTAAGCTGAGCTGTGAAGCTCACGAGGCATATTCCAGGCACAGGGAACAGCCAGGGCATGGGACAGAGGCAGGTCAGGGAGGGAAGGGGGTTGGGAGACAGATCCCATTGAGTTTCCAGGGCCGGAGGAAGGGGTGAGGGTTTTGTTTGGTACTCTATGCTTTGTGCTACTCTGTGTAAACATCTTCTAAGGGTGGAAAAGGTTTGTCCTGAGGCCCTGGGGCTGCCCTGGGATTACCCCCACCTTTCCTTGCTGGTCCCCGGACCTCTCTTTCTGACGCAAAGCTCTTAGAACGGAAATCAGAGCAGTTGGCAGATGTGGGTGGCCTCCCAGGCACTGCCAATTTCATTCTCTGAGAATGAAATCAAAGGACTATTAATTAAACCATAAGCAAGACATCTGAAATGCCACATGGGTCTAGGGAAGCATCCGTGGGAAGAGCAGGGCTTGCACCAAGGAGAGGGAATCGCTGGGAAGGGAAGGGCTGGTTCTACAGCTGCATCTGCCAGCCAGTCGTGTGGAAGGGCCACTGGCCTGGGATACCTGCGAGCTGAGTTCTAATCTGTTCTTTGCGCCCTTGGATGAGTGGCTCCCCTTCGCATTCCCAAGTGCACCATGGGAACAATGATACCCCTTGCCTAACACGCGGGGCCGTTAGGAACATCAGGCAGTGGCAGGTTTGATGGCTAACATTTGTTTAGCGAGTCCTAAGAGCCAGGACCTACATGAAGTGCCATATGCATAATCTCATTTAGCCTTCCAGCCTTTGAGATTGTCGCCATAAGGAAATGAAGGCTCAGGGAGCCCAAGTAAGTTTCTGGGTTTTAAAATGAACCCTCAAGTGCTGTAGACATCGTTTTGCAGATGGGAAACCAGGCCTAGGGCAGTCTGCCCCTGGGTAATCTTGGGGGCTCTTTACGTTCTTCAGGTGCTGCTGGGGCGGCATTGTTGGCTGCAGCCAGGAGAGGGCGCTGAAGGGCATCCCGGTCCTGGAGAAGGCTAGAGCCCTGGAGGGCAGGGGCAGACACCTTTCCCTTCTAGGTTAGATTCCTCACTGCCCTGCTTTCTAAAGGGCTTGCCTTACTCCTTCAGGCCCGGGCCTGGGCCTGCTGGTTCTAAGGGAAGAAGGAACCAACTTTTCTCAGGTGTCAAACATGCGCTAGACTCCATTTTAGGCATTTTAGGACAGTCACACCATTCTGGTACTTACGAGGCAGGTTATCACGAAACCCATTGTGCAGGTCATAGAACTGGCCCTCCAGGGGGGCAGTGGCTTGTCCAAGGTCATGCTATAGGAAGTACCAGTAACAAGACGTGATAGCACATAGGGCTTCAGAGGGAGTCTCAGAGCCCAAGGGTGGAGGTGGGGCAGAGATGGGTGCCTTCTTCCACCCAGGGCACCCCGGCTCCTGGGCTCCTGTGTGCATCTGATCCTGAGGGGCACAGAGGGTGGGCAGAAGAGGGGTCTGGTCCTCCCTCGCTGCTTTCAAGCTCTATCCTGGCAGCTGCCACTAGACAAGTGCGTTTGCAGCCGATGGTCCCTGACTCCCTCTTTTACTGCTGTGTTGAGATGTTGCTTCTGGAAGCCAAGCCTGCTGCTGTCAGCCTCCTCACTCCTTCCACCCTCAGCCTCCTGACACTCCGAGCCTGGCCCATTAGCAGCTCCAGACAATCAAAACCTACACCCCCTTGCCTGCTTCTAGACCACAATGGCTGAGAGTGCCCGAAAGGAATGCTCTTAGTCTCCGGACTTTCCTGCCTCTCAAGCCCTGGACGTAGAGAAAGAGCAGGAGTCCAGAGACCCAGGATTGACACCTAGCCCTCTACTTTCTGGCTGCATGACTTGGATGAGTCATTTCAACTTGTTGGGCTTCAGTTTTCTAACTTGTAAATGGGGAGAATAGGCTACCACCCTGCTTGAGGAAATACTCTGAAAATGACAATGGAGGAGGGAGATAAGACTGCAATGTGAAATGTAAAGTGATGTCTATCTGCTCAGGGAATGAAAAAGATCCTGGACATATAAGTTGCCTTCCTTACCTGTCCTGAGCATCCTGATGCAAGGATAGTACTGTGGAATCTCAAGGAAAAGCTCCTCTAAGTTTCCCCTAGGAATTCTGGATGCTTTCTAAGACAATCACTCACCCATTCACCCACTCATCCATCCATCCATCCATCCATCCACCCATCCATCCATCCATCCATCCATCCATCCATCCATCCATCCAAATATCCATCCTTCCAAACATCCATCTATTCATCCATCCCTCCAAACATCTATCCAAACATCCATTCATCCATCCATCCATTCATCCATCTAAACACTCATCCATCCATCCCTCCATCCACCCATCTAAACACTCATCCATCCATCCCTCCATCCACCCATCCAAACATCCATCCATCCATCCATCCATCTATCCATCCATCCAAACATCCACCCATTCATCCATCCCTCCAAACATCCATCCAAATATCCATCCATCCATCAAAACATCCATCCATCCATCCATCCATCCATCCATCCATCCATCCTTCCATCCATCCAAGCATTCATTTTATTCATTCATCTATTCAAACATCCAACAATCCATCCAAGTGCCTACCCATAAACCTACCAATTTGCTTACCCATCCATTTCTTCATTTGCTCTATCCATCTAATTCTTTATTGTACACCTAATTTGTGGTGGTCACTATTCCCGGTCACTGTTGGGGATACTATGATGAATAATAACAGTAGCTTATATTTCCTGAATATTTCCTCTGCCTGTCACTATAAGCACTTTGTATGCACTGCCTTACTTAATCTTCTCAACAACCTAGAAAAGCATTAATTAATTAACTATTAAACAGTTGTTTATTAAGAACTATGTTGGGGTTGTTCTGAGCCCTGTACTCTGTGAACTAGGCGGATAAAGAAGACCCTGCCCATGTGCCATTTAAATTCTAGTGGGTGATGGGAATGCGCAGAGTTTGGTTGAGGTGGTGGTTACACCAGCATTCACATTTATTAAAATCTGTCAAATTGTGCACTGAAGGACCTGCATTTCCCAATATGTAAATTTTATCACAGTTAAAACATATATGAAGAATGAATTGTTCAAGCCAGTTCACCTGACTGCCATTACATCTAAAACCAAATCTCAATTCCTACCTTGTGGGCGATTCAGACAATAAGCAAATATAGAATATACTTGTAGGTGGAAATGAGTTATGTAAGAAAACAAAGCAAGAGAAGGGGTGGAAGGAACCAGGAGGAAGAGGCTGCTTTAGATAGAGTGTTCAAGGAAGGACCCTCTGAGTAGAGGACTCGAGCAGAGGCCTCCTTCCAGTCAATTTCCATTCTTCATAGGCCAACACTGTTCCCATTTCTATCAATGGATATTTATTTTTTGTTCTAGAATTTCAAATAAATGGACTCACACAGTGAGTACTCTGTCATCTGGCTTCTTTTGATCAACATTTTTTTTTTTTTTTGAAATGGAGTCTTACTCTATTGCCTAGGCTGGAGTGCAGTGGCGCAATCTCAGCTCACTGCAACCTCCACCTCCCAGGTTCAAGGGATTCTCCTGCCTCAGCCTCCCAAGTAGTTGGGCCTACAGGCATGAGCTACCATACCCAGCTAATTTTTGTATTTTCAGTAGAGCCGAGGTTTCACCATGTTGGCCAGGCTGGTCTCAAACTCCCGGCTGCAAGTGATCCACCTGCCTCGGCCTCCCAAAGTTCTGAGATTGCAAGTGTAAGCCACCGTGCCCAGCCTGATCAACATGTTTTTGAGCTCCATCCATGCTAATGCAGGTATCATGAGTTCATTCATTTGTATTGATAAAAAGTATTTTGTTATATGAATATACTACAAATACGTTTATTCATTTTTCTAATTATGGACATTTAGATTATTTACAGTTCTGTTGTTTTTGCTGTTGCCATGAATAAAGCTGCTGTGGACATATGTTTTCATTTCTCTTGGGTAAATACCTAGGAGTGAAATCGTTGGGTCATAAGAACAGAAATATTTTTATCTTTGTAAGAAACTGCCAGTTTTTCAAAGTAGTAGTACCATTTTATTCTGCAGTCAGCAAAGCATGAGAATTCTGATTGTTCTACCTTCTTGTCAACATCTGGTATTGTCAGTTTTTAAAATTTTAGCCACTCTAATAGATGTGAAATGGTATCTCATGGAGGTTGGAATCTTCATTTCTCTAATAACTAATAATGTAGTGTAGGTTTTTACATGTTTATTAGCCATTTGTATATTTTCTTTTTTAAAAAATTGGGTAGTCTTTCATTATTGATTTGTCATAGTTCTTTATATATTCTGGTTACAAATGCTTTGTCAGATATATGTATTGAGAGTATTTTCTCTCATTCTATAGTTTGCTTTTCTTTTTTCTCAAGGATATCTTTGTAAGAGCAGAAGATTTAATTTTTGATTAAGTCCAATTTACCAAATTCAATTTATCATTTAGTTTTTATTTAGTTTTTATTTTGTGACCACTTTAAGAAACCTTTGTTACACAAATATCACAAAGGCTATGTTTTGTTCTAGAGGCTTCATGATGCTGACTTCTACTTTTAAATCTATGATTCATTTCAAATTAATTTTTGTGTGTGTGCGAGGCAGGGGTCCAGGTTTAATTTTTCCTTATGCCTATTCATTTGTTTCAGGGTCATTTTTTAAGAGAACTTCTCTTTCCTGATTGAACCGCCTTGGGGGTCTTTGGCAAAAATCAATGAACTCTGTGTATGTAGATCTATTTCTGGACTCTATCCTGTTTTGTCAATCTATTTGTCTACCACAGGAAGGTTTTGGGCGGGTGTCATGATCTGATTTATATTTTAAGTAGATCAATCGGGGTGGGAAATAGGATAGGGTGAAAGTGGAAGCAGAACGATCAGTTTGAAGGCTACTCTAATAACCCAGGCTTGAACTGATGGTGCTTGGGTTGGGTATTTGGAGAGGAGACCGTGAGGAGTGGCAGATTTGGGATATATTCTGAAGTTGAGCTGCCAGGGCTTAATGATGGTTTGCATGTGGGATAGGAGGGAAGAGTGGAAAAGGTGAGGGGTCTGCAAGGCTTCTGGTTTGATCAATGGGAAGGACATGGTTGCCATTTAGTGAGATGGGTGCCAGGACGCTCAGGCATCTGTGGTCCAGATTACGAGAAAGGTACAAATCTGGTGAGACAAGAACTGAGAAGAGGCACAAACAGCTCAAAGGGTTGGGGGAGAGTCAGAGAAATCTTCCTGGAGGGGTGGCATTTCAGCTGCGGAGGGCATCCCTGCAAGGGAAGAGGAGGAGCGAAGGCTCATTGCAGGGAGACACATCCCACCCTCGTTGGCCTGATCTTCAAAATCCTTGTTGAATGATTGGATTTTGTGCTCTGAGGTCATCTAATCCGTCCCACTGTCTCACCCAGAGTGCAGGGTGCCCTGATGGTGCAAGGTGCATACACTCACGACTCTTTGGCTCATGGCACATTCCACTGGTCATATCCCCTGGCTCAGTGACGTCTCACCACAGCCCTGACAGGTGGGCTGTAGAGCACAGTGGTTAAGAATGTGAGATCTGGGGCCAGACAGCCTTGGCTGGCTGACCTAAGAAAGGTTACTCTAAACCTGAGTCCCTCACCTCTCAGATGGGAATAATATGATAGCAACTCTCAGCGGCCTCACAGGTTCACTGCAGGTTTAAAGGAGACCTGGTGAGGAAAGCATCTTGCAGAGAGCCTGGCTCTGAGTAGGTGCTCAAAACATTTGTGCAGTTACTATTCTCCCCCTTCATCAGGTCAGAAAACTGAGACTCAGAGACGTTAAGAAGTCTGAATTCTCACTCAGCAGTCGAGGGAGGCTAGGAAGTCAGCCCAGGTGTCTCTTTACTCACCCACCCAATTAGGGCCCTTCATCTTGGTGGCCCTGCTGTGTCCCCCATGCCCCAAATCCCCCGGTGTGTGCAGACCTGCCTGTCCAGGCCCACTGCTTATGAGTGGGCCCTTCTTTCTCTTGCTCTGATGATGAGTGGGGGTGCCCACAGAGGCGGCTCCAGTTAAGGGAGGGCCTGGGATCCAGGACAGAGCAGGCAAGTGCTTTAATGTGGTTTGGGGTGCTGTTGATAGGGGTCACACAGGCCAGCAGAGGCACACCCCCTCTCATCACTAGAAGATGTCAGCTACAAGCTCACTTTTCACCAGCTGCCTTGAAGTCTGTATCTGGCCTTTCATCTTTCTCCTCCTTATTCTTGGTGGGGTGGGGCAAGGGTGCCACCCCGCTGGAAGCCAGAGCTTCCACAAGAGGGGCAGGAGGGGGCTTTCATAAATGAAGCAACCAGGTAAAGGGTGGAGGCTGCTCTGTCAGGGGAGGAAGAGGCCATGGAAGGATGGAGGGTCCAGAGAGAGGAGTGAAGGGCTGGAAAAGCAGGAGGACCAAGAGAGGGGTCGGAGCAGGCTCTGGGTTGGGAAGATCCCAGCACTTAGTACAGGGCCTGGCCTTGTGATGCTTGTAATATCTTTTTTCCCCCCAACTTTTTTTTTTTCTTTTTGAGATGAAGTCTCACTCTATCACCTAGGCTGGAGTGCAGTGGTGCAATCTCGGCTCACTGCAGCCTCTGCCTCCTGGGTTCAAGTGATTCTCCTGTCTCAGCCTCCTGAGTAGCTGGGATTATAGGCACACACCACCAAGCCCAGCTAAGTTTTGTATTTTTTTTTTTTAGTAGAGATGGGGTTTCACCACATTAGTCAGGCTAGTCTTGAACTCCTGACCTCATGATCCACCCGCCTTGGCCTCCCAAAGTGTTAGGATTACAGGCGTGAGACACTGTGCCTGGCCCTGCTTGTGATATCTTTATGGAATGATGAACAAAGAGTACCCAGGAAGTGGGCACCTGTGACAGAGGGACGCCGTGAGGAGGCAGAGTGAGAGGCTTAGAGCAGACTCTGGAGCCTTTGAATTCTCCCCCACTCACCTTGGGCAACTTAACTTCCCTGAGCCTCAGCTTCCTCCTCTGTGACATGGGATAATAATGGTGCCTGTCTCACTGGGTTAATATAAGAGAGGCCACAGTCTGTGGCATATAGTAGGTGCTCACTAAATGTTAGCCTTTATTTTTAGTTTCTGTATGGGCAGGTGGCCTGTGAAAATCAAAAGGCTGCTGGGTGCGGTGGCTCACGTCTGTAACCCCAGCACTTTGGAGGCCGAGGCAGGTGGATCACCTGAGGTTGGGAGTTTGAGACCAGCCTGGCCGATATGGTGAAACCCCACCTCTATTAAAAAAAAAAATTAGCAGGATGTGGTGGAAGGCACCTGTAATCCCAGCTACTTGAGAGACTGAGGCAGGAGAATCACTTGAACCTGGGAGGCTGAGGTTGCAGTGAGCCAAGATCACCCACTGCACTCCAGCCTGGGTGTGACAGAGCCAGACTCTGTCAAAAAAAAAAAAAAAAAAAAAAGAGAGAGAGAGAGAATATCAAAGGTCCATTGTAATGGGTCTTCAGGGAACCAGTCCCATAACCAGTCAAGACACCACATCCTGGGGCTGGTGAGTTCAGTGGTTGGCATGGTAGTGAGTGAAGAAGGCACCAATAAACTTGGCTTGAAATTTCAACGCCGCTACATACAAAGTTAACGACTTGGCAAAGTACTCTACCAACTTGAGCCTCAGTTTTGCTCATATGCAAAATGAGACTACACAGCCAACTTGTGCTTGTGAGGATTGGATGAGAATCCTTGCAGATGTTCCTGGCACATAGTACATACTATCCGTACAAGAAATCCTTTTCTTTGGTATTTGATACTGAGGAGGTGTTGGGTTTTCTGATGGTCCAGATGAAACAGAAGCTCTCTAGAACACCTGACACAAGCTGCAGTCCCAATTCTTGTCAGTTACTGCTCTCAGTCCTTGGTCATGAGTGGCCTGGGTTAGAGGCTGTGGACTGCTCCAGGCAGCCCCTGACACTACAGGAGTTTTGGAGTATGAGCCCAGGCATCTCGGGCTCAGGGAGGAGCTGCTGGGGGCTGCAAATCAAGGTTCAAAGGACATAGGGGAAAGGACAAGCACAGGTCATCGTGCCCATCCCCTGCCCTCGCCCACCCAGTCCATACAAACAACTGGAGATGAGTCTTGTATATTTTCAGCAACGAAGATTCCACATCTCCCCTTTCCCTGCCCTGAGTCAGTGGGGAGGACCAGTATAAGGGGAAGAGAGTGAGTTACCAGGGAACTGCTTTGGGGATCCCTGGGTTGGTGCTCTGTGGGGAGAGGTGCAGATCATGGACATGGATTAGATTCTTGGGCTGAGCTGTCTCTGGGCAGCCAGTGTCCTCTTTGCCTGCCTCCCACATACCCACAGATGACAGGGTTTTCATTGTACTTAAAAGTGTAAGCCGGAGTGATATCCTTCCATGTCCTATGTGTTCCTGACCCCAACCTGGCAAAAATTCCTATGACTTTCAGAATTCTCGAACCCGATCCAGCAAAGCCTGCAACCTCCCAGGTTTGCAACCCTTATGCAGCAACTGTCCTCTGAGCTCACTGGGCTCATATGCAATCCAGAAAATCTCCCTGTCACCTCCCATGTTCCCACCTGTGATGTAGAAAACTCCCCTGAGCATGCCATGACCTCAAGGTTCCTCTCCTTGATCCGACAAATGTCCCCTGATCTCTTGTGCTCCTGAGGCTGACTAGAAAAATCTTGACCTCCCCTGGTCTTCACGCTGACCTATGCTTCTGACTTGACTCAGCAACCCTTCCTGAAGAAACCCGACTCTTGTGTATACTTTATTTACCCAGCAAACATCCTGGTTCCAGTTTTGACCTAGAAAACCTCCCCTGTTTTTAACACCAATCCAGCATATTTCTCTGACTTTCCATCTTTTTTATCTGGACTGTACAAACTCCCTGACCTCTCATGTTGCTGACCCAGCCCAGTGACTCCCTTGCTTTTCCCCAACCTCTTATGTTCCTGACCCAACCCAGCAAATCTCCTCAATCTCTTGTTTCTGACCCTTCCAGAAGACCTCCTAGACCTCCCATGTTCCTGATCTAATCCAGGAACTCCTCTGACCTCCCCTGATCTCCTGTGTCCCTGACCCTATCCAGCAAACTCTTCTGACCTCTCATGTTCTTGGCTCAACCCAGCAAACTACCTTGGCCTGTGGGTACCTCCCATCTTCTCCAATCCAGCTCAGCAAACCTCCCTAAGAACCTGACTCTACCATTTGTGCTCATCCTGACTCCAGTTTGCTCCATCTCCTCCCCCTTTCCATGGCTGTCCTCAGCCCAGGAACCCTATTCCAAGGCTCTCCCCACACCCAGGTCTGCAAGGGCTCTACAGAAGGGCCCCCACCAAGTCTTACCCAGCGTGACCTCTGCCTGCATGGGCATCGACAGAGCTGGGTGCTTGACCTCGCAGCTGAAGAGGGCCTCGTTGTCGATCTGTGGGTTGAGGGTCCAGGTGAGCAGGGCACGTACTTCCACAGTGCCGTCACTGCTCGGGGTGCGGCTGTGGCGCAGGAAGTAGGTGGGCTCGGCGCTGTGGACCCAGCGGGGAAACTCACGGCTCACGACCGTCTCTGGTATGTTCTCTGTGGTTGGCTGGAGGAGGATGTTGGGATCTGGGGTCAGGCCACGGGAGGGGCGCTCCGTGTAGGGTCGCCCACCCCGGTTCTCGGCGTCCAGGAGGGACAGTGACTTCTGCATCTTGGTGTCATCCAGGTCACGGTGCAGAAGGCTGCGGAAGGGCCTGCTGTCCTGTAGGGGGCCGGAGCTCGCAGCTGGTGGCTCTGATAGGGGCACTGCGTCGATTGGTTCCCCATCTCGTTTGAAATAAACCTGCCATTGTAAGGAGGGTGTGGGAAAATGATTTTGTGCTACTAACTTCAACCTCCCAGTGGGTTCTCCGATGAACTGGGCACAGGATGCCAGTTCTTCCAGAGCATAGTAGTCTAGACAGTAGCCCTCACCCCACTCTTTTCCCTTCAACACCCCCAAGAACTATGAGCCAGTGTGGTACAATGGGAACACATGCAGGCCCTTGGGGCAGAGGCTTAGCCCAATCCCATCATTTACCAACTGATGAGGTTTTTTGAGCCTCAGTTTCTTCACTTGTCAAGAGAAGAATAAGACACCTGCTTCATGGGGCTGTTGGGTGCATCAGTGGAACCACATGGGAAATGGGGACTTCGGCCTACACCATGGCAACCACCTGGGGCCCAAGGGTGTGGTCCATGCCCACTCAGGGAGGTCCTGGGGATGAGGGAAAAATGGAAGGCACCGGGGATGAAGTGAGACGTTGGGAGAGGATGAGGGAAGAAAGAATCTCTGTGCGTGTGCGTTTTGGAGATGGAAGGCAGAAAACAGGTGCATGTGTGGGAGGAAGCTAGGTGCGGGGATGAGGTGAGAGCAAACATCTCCTCACTTTCTCTGCTAACGGGGAACTCAAGTTTTGTGAGGCGGCATTTAATTTAATTTGCTGTCTTTTTATTTTGGTACATGTGCCCAGATTCCTGAGGGGATTGGATGTATTTTTAATAAATCTGATAAATAAATCGATAGGGGGGCGGGAGAGGGAAGAGTGGGATGCAGCTCTCTGGGACACAGGTGGGGGAGCGGAAGGAAAGTGTGTGGAGGGAGGGACTGCAGGGGGGTGAAGGAGGTGGGAGGGGATGGGGGTAGGAAATGTAGGATTTTTGTCGGAGTTTGTAATGCCAACAAAGAATCTCTTCTGCACATGATAGCCTGCGTTGGTTTTTTTTCCCCCATTTATTTTCTTCTTTCCTTTTTTCTTTTTGAAAAGTGCTTTAAATGCAGGTTTGTAATTTATATCAAAGAATTACTTTAAAGTTCTGATGTCTCAGGCAAACATAAGATGCCTGGGATTTGGGGAGATGAGGTTCTTTTGCATGTCTATATCTGAATATTTTATTGCCGTGTCGCAAATGTTGGGGCAGGCAGACAGGCTGGGTAGGAGGGGTCTTCCTACAGCCCCTGGGCTGTGAAAAGCCTTTCTTTGTGCCTTTCAGGAAAGGACTTTTTCTCTGTGAGAAAAAAACAGCTTTCCTGATTTTAGGGAGACTGGACCTGTCTATGGCCTCCAAAGGGGAAAATCTGGGGTCATGTCCTGCTTTCAGCAACTGGCTTTGAAGCTACCTTTTTGGGTCCACTTCCTAGGGACTGAGGCTTGTCTCTGTTCCCCTGCCCACCACCCCACCTGTGTCTCTGTGCCCCTGCCCAGTGCCCCACCTGTGTCTCTACTCCTCTGCCCACAATCCCACCTGTGCCTCTGCACCTCTACCCACCGCCTCACCTGTGTCTCTACTCCCCTGCCCATCACCCCACCTGTGTCTCGGCACCTCTGCCCACTGCCCCACCTGTGCTTCTGTGCCCCTGCCCATTGCTCCATCTGTGCCTCTGCACCTCTGTCCACTGCCCCACCTGTGCCTCTGTGCCCCTGCCCACTGCCCCACCTGTGTCTCTACTCCCCTGCCCACTGCCTCACCTATGTCTCTGTGCCCTTGCCCGCTGTCCCACCTGTGTCTCTGCATCCCTGCCCACTGCCTCACCTGTATCTCTGCATCCCTGTGACCCTGCCAGCTGCCCCACCTGTGTCTCTGTGCACCTGCTTACTGCCCTGTCCTGGACCTCTACAGACCCATTTACCACCCTGCCCCAGGTCGCAAGGCAGGGCTGGCCTAGATTCCCAAGGCCGCACAATTGGACCATGCCTGGGAGACAATTGGGTCTGGAATGAGGGGAACCATTTGGCTCCCGTCTTGAACTGTAATCCTATGTACCCATTGCTCTAGCTCCACACCTTGCTAAATCCTAGTACTGTGCGAAACTCACAGGATCAAGACCCAAAGTATTATAAAATGTCAAAATTGAAAGGGTACGTAGCCCAAACTTTCTCCAAATGGGTTTCATGGAAGCCTACGGGTTCTACAGAGGTGCTTCAGGTGCAATGAGAGTGACTTGGCCTCTCTTCACTTTTAAATGTCATATATATGAGGCTTCCCTGTATATCATTTAGACCAAAAGGGTCCTCGTGCTACTAAAAAAGCTGAAAAACAAATATTGTCCAGCCCCCTAAACTTCCTTGCAGAAACAGAGGCAGAAGTGGGGAGGGGGCATTTCCTGCTCATGGTTGTTCAGTGAGTACAGCAGGGCCAGGACCCCAGCTCTCTGGACGCTGCACCTCCTGCCCCACCCCCTTCAAGAGGTCATAAAAAATCTCGTGAACTGCACTGACAAATATCAAAGAAACTATGTTGGGTCTAATAAGTTGGTCAAAAAGGAATTTCCTCTCTCTTCCCTCCCTTTCTCCCTTCCTTCTCGCCCTTCCATCCTGTCCCTCCTTTCAGATGGGCTTCCTGCTGATCATGTGGGCTCCTGGGAATGCCAGTGAACCTGGAGCTTGAGACACGGACTTGAGACCCAGCTCTGTCAGGAGTGCCATGGTGACTTGGGACAAGCCCCTTTTCCTCTCGGGGCCCCCTTTCATTTGTCTCCGTGGGACTCAATAACTGGGGTCAGGCATGCTGGGTCTTGGGCTCCCCGAAAGGCTGCTCCTGCTGTGAAGTTCTAGTACTTTGTCTCCAGGAGAAGTGGGGGTTCTCAGCATGGGGAGATGGGTAGCAACAGGGGCACATGGATGCCTGGACCAGTCCAATGGGTAAACGGGATCAGACCAAGGCAGATGGGGACAGAGTCAGCCCTGGCCAACCACTCCCTTTCCAGGCACAGTGGCGACACCTGCAGCTGGACCAGCCCCGAAGCAGGGTGGTCCGGCAGATAGGAAGGAGCTGGGCACTCCAGGGGTACTCACCATGGGTGCTGGTTTTCCTCCAGACACGATGCAGACCAGCGTGAAGTTCTGGGCTTGGTAGCGGCTGAAGGGGGCTGGTGTGTCAGCAGCCACCACTTCAATGGAGGTGGGAGGAGCTGCCCCAAAAGGAAGCACAGGAAGACAAGGGCTCAACTGGGAGATTCAGGAAGAGTTCACTGATGACCTAAGATGGGCCACGTCCATGCTGGGTGCCGGGGGTGGGGGAGGGCAGGTGTTGCCAAACTCCAGGGGGTGCCATTGGTATCCACTACAGTGAGGAACACGTCCTTGCTGGGAATATAGACAAGAGCCCTCCCCTCCTGGAGCTTACAGTTTAGTGTAGAAGACACACAGGAATCAAGAGATAGCACAGATCAAAGTGTGAAGTGCATCAGATCCCCGGAGGCATCAGTGTGTTGAGGGGACTCTGCCCGAGCCTGGGAGTTCTGGGCAGACGCTGCTGAAGCAGCCACATTGCTGCCGTGATCTGAGGTCACAAGAGTGGGTGGGAGACAGCGTGGCAGGTAGAAGGAGCTTTGAGTTTTAACACCTTGAGTTTTAACAAGTCCTGAGATTCCCAGCCTCTCAAGTAGCTGGGACCACAGGTGTGTGCCACCATGCCTGGATTATTTTTGTGCCAGAGCCCGCAGTAGGTTGGCCAGGACAGAGCGGGGCAGGCCAGGGGGAATGCGGTGCCCAGCGGGGCTGGGCATATGAGCAGGGCACAGAGCACGTGGTGTGCTGTCAGGGGGATTATGACTTGAACTGGCATGCTGGAGCAGGTTGTGACATTTTCAGGAATTTTATGAACCGGCGGTTAACTGTTTGTAACTTGTCACAGTGAGTATCTTCACATCACAAAAAACAGCAACTGCTATACTTTGGGGCCTTTTCCCCCCTTCCTCTGCCCTAGCCCCCAGAGGGCTGATTTATCTTTAAAGCACAGGTTTTGGGTTTTTCTTCTTTATCCTGAGAGCAATGGGGAGCCACTGAAGGTTTTCAGTGAGAGCAGTGACATCATCTGACTTGCATTTGGAAGAGACTGAAAACAGAGTGGGAATTTCAGCTGGGGAGGATGGTACCGTACACTTGGATGGGGGCAGCTGGACAGCTATTTGTGGCCAGGAGTCTTTCCTTCCATCCTTTCTGGAAGTTGGCTTATTTTTGTTGGCCACCCCTCCCACCCACTCAACCTCTCTTCTCTCCTCACCCACTGCCCCTGGCTGGTTTGTCAAAACCCTTGCTCCCAGACACCGTGGGGCATCGCAAGGGGCAGGGACTGGGCCATCAGGCACACCTGGGTCTGAATCTCAGCTCGGTCACCACCACCTCCACGTGCTTGGGCAAGTCACCAAAACTGTGAGCCTCAGTCCCCCAATTTGCTAAATGGGAATAATATTAATACTTGGCAGACATTTTTGCAGGACAAAACTAGCTAATGCATATGAAAATGCTTAGCATATGGTAGGAATTTGCTATTATTGTGATTTCTGCTATTATTTCCCTAACCTCCTCATAATCAGCAGGACAGGAACCAGAATCTTAGAGCCTCACTTGGGAAAAGCTGTCAGTTCTGATTTACCCAGCCTTGGGACACGCACAGGGAGGGAAGCAGAGAAAATAAAGAGGTATGGGCCTTTCCTTCCTTCAGGGGGTTTTCACTCTAGTTAAGTTTAATTAAATTCGACAAACATTTCCTGACACCTACTAGGTGCCGGGAACAATGCCAGGTGCTGCCAGGAGGTGCCCAATGATGAAACAGGTGAAGCATTGCAAAGTTCACAGTCAGGTGGGGGCGACAGACACACGGGCAACTCTATTTCAAGGCCTAGTGAAATGAAATCAGGTATGAGTCATTCATTCATTCAGGGAGCCAACCCATGCTGTCAGCAAGAGAAGCAGAGCACACAGAAAACAATGGGAGAACAATAGTTGGAGAATTGTAATTAAGCGTAAGATCGCATAAAACAGATGGTAAGCCGGATAGGAATTCCGAGAAGGGAAAAATACAGCAGAACACGTCAATTACCTAGAAATTGCAGATTCTGCAATCTAACCTTTCCAAAACTCAACCGAAAACCTGGATCCCACACAAGAATCCACAACGGCTAACTCTTAGGAATCAGGACCTGTTCTGAGTTCTTAACATGTGTGCATTCTTTCTGTCTTCACCATCAGTCTACAGGCTGGGTTTATTTATTCCCATTTTACAGATGGGGAAAATTAAGAGGTGAAGCAACTTGCTCAGACTCACTCACGGTGCCAGTATGAGGAAGAGCCAGGATTTGAACTCAGGCAGTCTGACTCCAGAGCCCAGCCTCTGACATGAAGCTGAGCCACCTCGACCTTTGGGAAGAAAAAGGGAGCTTGTATCTATTGGTGCCTTTAGGTGTATGTACACATTTGAACCACCAGGAACATTCACTTACCTTCCATGGATGCCTTATAATCAAATTCCATCAGGAACTGATGCTGTGGGTGGCTCTAGTTACTCAGTTACCCCAAAGATCAGTGACCTCTGCAGTTAGAGCTTAGCATAAAACTCTGGCATGGCTCGTGATGGCAGGTGAATAGGTATCAGGATACATTCCAAGAATCCTAGAGGCTCAGAACCAGGCAGGCGACTCCTTTAAAATCACTCATTCATTCTTTCTTATCTTCACTGAGCAAACAGAGATCAGACACCTAGAACCTTCCTGAGAGGAGAGGATTGCTTTTCCTTCCTTCCTTCCTTCCTTCCTTCCTTCCTTCCTTCCTTCCTTCCTTCCCTTTCTTTCTTTCTTTCTCTTTTCCTTCCTTCCTTCCTTCCTTCCTTCCTTCCTTCCTTCCTTCCTTCCTTCCTTCCTTTCTTTCTTTCTTTCTTTCTTTCTTTCTTTCTTTCTTTCTTTCTTTTTCTTTCTCTTTCTCTCTCTCTCTTTCTTTCTTTTCTTTTTCTTTTTTTTTTGTGTTTTTTGAGGCAGGGTCTCGCTCTGTTACCCAGGCTGGAGTGAACTGGCACAATCATGGCTCACAGCAGCCTTGACCTCCTGGGCTCAAGTGATCAATTGTCCTGCCTCGGCCTCTCAAGTAGCTGGGACCACAGTTGTGTGCCACCACGCCTGTTTTGTTTTTGTTTTTGTTTTTATGTTTTGTAGAGCTAGGGTCTTGCTATATTGTCCAAGCTGGTCTTGAATTCCTGGCCTCAAACGATCCTCCCAACTTAGCCTCCCAAAGTGTTGGGATTACAGGTGTGAGCCACTATGCCTGGCTTCTAAGAGGTTTGCTTTGAAGAGTAAATGTGATGGCACATGTAAGTTACCTGCAATGCAGGGTAGCAATTTTAATTAGTGTATGACTATAAATAAGGGAGGTAGTACAGGACAATGGCTAAGGAGGTGGGTTCTAGATCAGACTAGCCAGATTTCAAAGATCAGCTGTACCACTTACTGGCTGTGTGACCTTGGGCAAGTTACTTAACCTCTCTGAGCCTGGTTTCCTGATCTGAAAAATGGAATTGTAAGGTACTTGTGAAGATTCAGTAACGTAGTGCCTGCAAAGTGTTTTGAAAGTGCACCCAATACATATCAGCTGTGCTTATTGTCAGTGTGATTTACTAACATTCTTATTTGAGCCTCCTTGCTAAGGACTGGGAGAATAAAACATGGTCGTACCTTTGGAGCATTCACAGTTTAGTGAGGAGATCAGAAAATGCCCTAGATTCGGGCTGTCCCGTAGAGCAGCCACTCACCCCATGTGGCTGGGGAGCACCTGAAATGTGGTTTGTTCAAGTTCACATGTGCTGTAAGTGTAAAACAGAAGTCTTAATTTTTTAAGAAGAGCGTAAGATATATTGATAACATATTGACATGATAATATTTTGGATATATTGGGTTTAATAAATATATTACTAGAATCAATTTCACCTTTTCTTTTTTAAACTTATCTTAATGCGGTTATTAGAAAACTTACAGTGACATATGTACTTTACATTATATTTCTCTTGGACAACTCTGGTCTAGACTTTCCATTTTATAAGTAAGCAAACTGAGATCAGAGAGAAGCACAGGTTTGGCTACAATCATACCCTAAGTCAGTGGCAGAGCCTGGAATGGCCCCTAGCCTTCCAAATCCTGGCTAGGATTCTTTGCACAGCATGGCGCTTACACCCTTCACCCCCCTAAACATTCACACACACACACACACACTCTCTCTCTCTCTCTGGAGATCTGCACCTAAGTCACACGCACCACCCACACAGACCCTGACTGGAGCTGTGTTTCCATCCCTCGTTATATTAGCAATATGTACAGTTAATCAAGCTCATAAGACAATAACAGATTTCAGTTGTATGGACGATGACATAGCAGAGCTGTTAACATCAGCACGGACAGCTCAGGCTTCCCACACCCTCCCCATCAATATACTCCCATCAGTGAGTCCTAGGAAAATGTCACTCTGCATCTCACCTCCTGTCTCCTGGTGGAGGGCTCTGAGTGCCGGCAGTCAGGGAGCCGTCTCCATCCAGGAGTCCCTGGCTCCTGACAGATGCTTCACTCTTCTAGTCACTATTAGCATCGCCCTCTTCTTTTCTATTTTTCTTTTTCCCTTCTCTTGACCAAGTACGGCATTCCTGCCTGCATAGCCCAATAAAAGCCAGTTTCATAGCCCAATAAAAGCCTTCCTTCACTTAGGCTTCCCTTTTTATATTCCTATTCCCACCCCACTCCCCCTCTCCACCTGCTCCTCCACTTCATTCCCATCCCCATCCCCACCTCATCCCCCATCTCCATTCCCATCCCCATGCCCACCTCATCCCTCATCTCCGTTCCCATCCCCATCCTCATCCCTACCCTCATCCTCATCCCCATCCCTTTCCCCAATTCATCCATATCCCCATCCCCATCTCCATCTTCATCTCCTTCCTTATCTTTATCCCCATTTCCACCCTCATCCCCACTCCATCTTCATCTCCATCTCCTTCCCTGTTTTTATCACCATCCCCAACCCCATCTTCATCTCCAAACCCATATCTACCCCCATCCCCAACCCCACTCCCATCTCCATCTCCATCTCTTCCCCCATCTTTATCCCCATCCCCATCTCAATCTCCTCCCCATCTCGATCTCAATCTCCTTCTCTATTCTTATCTTTACCCCATGCCCATCTCCACCTCTATCTCTATCTCCATCCCATCCTCATCCACATCCCCTTCCCCATCCTCATCTCCATTCCTATTTCTATCCCCATCTCCACTCCATCTCCATTCTCATCTCTGTCTCTATCCTCACATTCAGCTCCATTTCCATCCCTCCCCATCCTCAATCTCCATCCCCTATTCTCTCCTCATTTCTGTCTCCATCTCACGACCAACTTCAACTCCATCTCCTCCCCCATCTCTATCCCACCTCCATTCCTATCACCACTTCTATTCCTGTCCCCACACTTAATCTCTATCACATCTCTATCCTCATCTCCAACTCAATTCTCATTTCTATTTCCATCCCATCCCCAACCCCAATACCATCTCCATTCTCATCGCCATTCCCATCACTGTTACAGTCTCTGGCCAAGGTCAAAAGCCAGCAGCTTTTTATGTGTCCTATGCCTGGGATAGATCCCATGCCCCAGGAAGTGTTCAATCAAAGGTGGGAGATCAGCTGTGAACACAGATATCAACTCTACATGACTTCCTGGGCCAGAATAATCCCAAATACAAAGTCAGGTAACAGAATGAGCAGTGTAAGGTGAGGCCACCTGCCTGTGTCCCACTGTATTCACAGGAGATCCAGGTGGCAAAGAATCATCAACGAAGACCCCTGGCTCACCAATCTCCCTCCCACTCTTCTGTTATCACCTGTAGACAATGATGTCCAGTGCTCCCACCATCAGTGCCTCATTTTTGTGGACTTTGAGGCTGTGTTTTCTGAAATGCCTGTGGCAGTGCAATGCTCTCTGGGGTGTGTGTGGTGGGGGTGGGTGAGTAAACACACTCATCACACTCATCAGCACCATTCATCTGAAATGACCCTTCTAAGGTGAAGAGACACCAAGCAGGCATATTTTGCTTGGGGAAGAATAAACAGTAGTCGTAATTGTATTAGTAATAGTAAGAATCTAGGCCAGGTGCAGGGGCTGATGCCCGTAATCCCAGGACTCTGGGAGGCTGAGGAAAGTGGATCACGTGAGGTCGGGAGTTCAAGACCAGCCTGGCCAACATGGAGAAACCGTCTCTCTACTAAAAATACGCAATTAGCTGGGTGTGGTGACACATGCTTATAATCCCAGCTACTCAGAAGGATGAGGCAGGAGAATCGCTTGAACCCGGAAGGCGGAGGTTGCAGTGAGCCGAGACTGTGCCATTGCACTGCAGCCTGGGTAACAAGAGCGAAACTCCGTCTCAAAAAAAAAAAAAAAAAAAAAAAGAGTCTAGACATGGGCAGAGTTTCATAATTTACAAACCACTTACAGACACATTATTCCACTTGTGTAACACCAGACCTGGGCAGTAGGAAAGGCCGACCCTATTCTATAAGTCCACCATGATGATCAACCAAGGATACCACCATAAAACTCCCTTAAATCCACTGATCTCTGCCCCTACCCCCAATCAAACCAGTTGACTTTCTAGTTTTTTTTTTTACTGTGCCTTAAGGGGAGAGAATTGCTGCTAGAAGTTTCCATGAATAATTTTTTCTAGCATCGGGAAAGGTAAAGTGGCTTCCCATCTAACACAGCTGTATGTCACAGCCAACCTCCATCACTCCTGTTCCATGGCCACCAAGGGAGGCAGGAGTTGAAGTTATTTTAGACTCAACAGTTAACATCGACACAGGGAGGTAATGGTTGGATGATCGGTTTTATGAAATTAACTCCGAAATATTGCCTGTCTTTATCTTGAAAGCAGAACGTTATTTTGGTCATTGTAACTCACTTCGGAGACAATGCAGCAGCTCCTCTTTGCTCTGTAAATCATTCCGTGGCCTTTGAAATTTGGGAACACAAACCTGATCTGATATAAATCTCAGAATTGTTGGAGAGGGAAATCTGCCCCAAACCTGTGTCAAACTGTGAGTACTAGAGTTAAATACTCTTCCATGAGGTCCGCTCCCACTTCTCCCAGGGTGCTGGCTCTAATAGAGTCAGACCAAGGTTCTAGCCCAGGCTCTGCTCCCAACATCCCATAGAACTTTGGGCAAATCAGTTGATGCCTGTGGTCATCAGTCTTCCCATCTATCAAATGAGTTCAATAAGACATACCCTGCCAGCCTCTCAGCTTCCAGGGTTTTTGAGATGAGAAGCAAATGGAAAATAAACATAAACCTTCTGTAAGGATAGCAAAGTGCTGAGCAAACAGGAAAGCAAACATAAACCTTCTGTAAGGATAGCAAAGTGCTGAGCAAACAGGAAAGCTTTAATTATATTATCTCTCCAATGGCCCACGCCCCTCTCTTGGCTGAGAACAATGTATAGGGGAATTTCTTTCCCTCCCAGGAGTAACCATTGTCTCGAGGAAGGGAAAATCTCTCCAGCTCATTGGGTACCACTCTACGAAGGTGCTTAGCACACTCTGGCTCCCAGTGTCATTCATCATGGGGTGGTAATCAATTAGGCTTGGGGGAGGGATGGGGGAGGGGAGAGACAAGTTCAAAATTATATTGTTTGCAAAAAAACCCATTCTTTCCTCTCAGCATGCCTGCTCTATTGACTGCCTTCCTTTTCAATCAGCTCTTAGTCATTACACCATATTTCACAAAAGAAGAAAACCACCTTTTTAATATAAAAGTGTCCATGAATATAAATGTCCCTCCATATTCCCTACTTTAATTTCTTTCTTTTTTTTTTCTTTTGGTTCCACACATCTTAGTTTCTTCCCCATCATCTCCACTAGCCTGTCTCTCTGCTCCTTCAAGAACCTGCTCAAAAGAGCACCTCCTCTGGGAAGCCCTCCCTGCTTCAGCAATGCTGAGCTGCCTGTGGTTCCCTCTTCACTTTGCTCATCTCCTCTGTGCCCTGCACACACTGGGCCTTCTGCTAATTAACTCCACCTCATCCTTTAAGGCTGGCCTCAGATGTTGCCTCCTCCAGGCAGCCTTCCCAGGTTTTTCCAGACAGGGTTAGAGCCTGTCCTCTGGGTGCCTGGAGCACCCTGTGCTTTTCATACTCATTGCTACTTGTTATTCTGTTCTGGGTCAACGTCTGTCTCCCCACTAGAGTGCGTGTTCCCTGGAAGTTGGAGCTTTGTCTTTCTTCCACCTAGCCTCAGAGCTAGTGTCGACCAGCCATGCAATAGGAGTTCAATTTCAATGTCTGTTTGTTTCCTTCATTTCTCCCAGCACAGGAAAGCACATAGCCCATCTGTGGAAGAAAATTCCAGAAGACCCTGCAGTGCTGTAGACCTTGCTCCCTTCTCCAACCCTTACACCTTGACCAATACTTACCCTCCCATCACCATGCGCCAAACACACTGAGACATTTTTCTCTTTGAGTCTATGAACACACTCAGCTCTTTCCAGCCACAGGGCCTTTGCATGTGCAGCTTCCCCTGTTTGAAGTCTTTCACTCAGCTTTTTAGCCTGGCTGAGCCTTGTCAGGACTTTCAAGAAGTCTCAGCTCAAATGTCACCCCTCAATCTAAGCTAAGCTCTCTTTTGTTTGGGGCCCCAGCATTTTGTATATTTTCTTCACAGAGCACCTCACAGTGTATAATTATCTCACATATTGGTTCACACACATCTCTTTTCCTCCGATACCCTCACTAGAATGTAAGCAACACGAGGTCAGGGAAGGCTTCTTACCTGCGGCCGCACCCAAGAGCCTGGCACACCAGGATTTGCTCAATACGTATTTTCCAAGTGAATGAGTGAATGGATTGGAGGGAAGGGCCCAGGCATCCTTCCCTCCAATCCCTGCCCAAGTTGGAAGGGCTGAAATCTCCAGCCCCATCCTAAGCCCCTCTCTCCCAGCAGAGACCCGAAGAGACAGATCCCACCAGTGGAAGGGAGTCCCCGGCAAGAAAAAGAGAGAGGGAAAAAAAAGTGCAACTCTTTGGTTTATGGGAAAATTAAATATTGAACTGAGTAGTAACAGCAGCCAAGGGAAAAAAAAAAGCAACAACAAAAAGCCCCCAAATGGAGCCGCCATCAGTGACAGGAGAGATAAACGCTGCGTCTGTGCTTATATGGGCTGCAATGGGCCCTTTTATGTGGCAGCTGCTGAGCTGAATCTAGCCCCACCCCCAAACTTGAAAGCGGCCATGGGAGCTCCTGTGCTTGGTGCAGTGGCGAGGGGTGGGGGGCCCGGGGTCCAGGTCATTGCCGGAATCTGAGATGGGGGCCGTTCTGAGTGGAGCGGGTTCATGAAGGATCCCAGTGGCTGCGGGCGTCATCCACCCACACCGCCTCTGCTCTGCAGGGAGGTGCCTGGAAGCACCCGCTCACCTGCCTTGCCCCTCCCCTGCCAGCTGTTGTGCTTTCGCAGTGGTAGAAGATAAAATTAACAGCCCCAACTGGAGGCTCTGGCTGGCTGCTCTGGGGGTGCTGCAGACAGGGAAGGCAGCCTTCTAGGCAGTGAATCAGTGAAGCCGGGCAGAGCGGACCCAACTGAGGCTATTGCTGGTGGAGAAATAAAATGCCACACACCTGTAAAGAAAGGGGTGGTGGGCGGCCACAGACGTCTTGTGTTGGATCTAGATTTGTATTATAGCACTATTTTCAAGACTAGTCCCTTAACCTGGTGGTTCTCCAAGTGTGTTCCCTGGACCACCAGCATCCGAATCACCCGGGAGCTTATTAGAAACGCAAATCCTTGATCCCCATTCCAGACCTGCCCAACCTGGGATGGGGTGGGGTCCGGCAGTCCCCACCCTGAGTTTTAACAAGTCCTGAGATTCTAATCCAAGTTCAAATATGTGGACCGCTGCTTTAATCTATGTAAGCTTCAGTTGGTGCATCTCTAAATTAGGGTCCTAAGAACCACTAAATTATGTGAACTAAGGGCTTGGTTCATAGTAGGTGATCAGTCAACAGGAGTGAAGATGATTACTGATAGAAAACGAAAGGCTTGGGGGAATTGGAGAACCTTAGCCAGGCTACCCCAGGCCTCAGCAGAGGGGCACAGGAGAGAACCCTCTGGAGCCTCCCTGGCCCTATACGCTGATTGGATCAAAGGACTTCAAATCCCCAAAGCTCCACTCCCCACAACCGGTGCAACTTTCCACTTACGGCTTGATCGGCTACTTGTCAATGTCTCCAGTTTTCTGATTGGCCCCCTAGGCCTCTAGGCCCATGCAGATCCTCTCTGCTCCTGGAGTTTTGCTGGCTGGAAGCAGCCTGCCCCGCAGCCTGTGGGTGGCCGCTGCCTGCAACTGCCTCCGCTCTGTAGTTTATGTAGCAATAGAGAGAATGTGTTTAAGCCCCACGACAGGTGCCGTGTCTGCAGAGATGAAATCTATGGGGTGTAACGTGAATCTGTTTTAAATAGCAGCAAAGCTAGCCAATTTGGGGGATGTTTTCAATATATCTGAGAGGTGAGTATTACACACACGGGCGATTTCACCAGGTACCATACTTGCAGCTTTGTGAGAGAAGCCTCTGGAAGCCCACGGAAGCTTGGGGAGGCAGGTAGGGAGGCACATTCAAGAACTGGCCAGTAGCAGAGCACCAGCTCCTTATAAGCTGTTGCTCGTCCGTCCTCCCCCCAGAGAGCAGTGGGCTGGACTTGGAGGCTCTGGGGAGACCCCTCTTCATCTTCCCCCAGCGTGCAAAACCTCTGTCCCTTCCAGGAAAACCGTGTACAGGCCTTGGCTTTCTGAGGCTTAGAACAGAGCTTAGCCCTGGCCTTGAAGGCCTAGGGCCTGGGAAACCTGGCTCGAGGTCACAGCCCTTCTGCTTAGAAGCGGTGTGTCCTTGAGTCCACTGATGGCTTCCTGCCCACCCCTACCCCCCCACCCATAGAATGAAGATGGCACGGGTGGCTGTCTCATGCGAGGGTGGGGAATGAAGTACTGCCACTTAGCGAGCAGAAAGGCAATTCTAGTTGTTACGGCTTTTTTAGTTTATTATTGTGTCAGGGGAAAAGGTGTCAACCGAGAGTCAGGGGGCTGAAGATTCCGTCTCAGCGTTGCCGTGGACTTTCTCTGCGACATGGCCGTCATTTCCCCCTCCCTGGGTCTCGGTTTCCTCATCCAGACAGTTAGAGGTGCAGAACAAGGTGTCGAAGGGCCCACGTGTCCTCTAAATGTGGCAGTGGTAAGAAGTCCTCACGTGTTTCCACAGGTCAGTGCTCTGAGCCACTCCCAGTCTCTGGACCACTCCCAGCACCACTGGGCCACGCCTGCCGATCTCCCTGCAGAGCCCCTACCCCCCACCGCACTCCTGGCCTGGCTCAGAGCTTTCCTTCAAGCGGGAGATTTCCCGGGGGGCTCTGTGGCCACGTCTTTCCTGTCCTATCAGCGTTTTAGGATTGATTTCCCGAGTCAGAGAGCAAGTAAATCATTCTTGCCGCTTGCTCCTCATAAAGCAATTTCCAGGGGAGATGAGGTGGGTGAGTGGGGAGGAGCTGTAGAGAAGGGCGTTTTGTGGGAGGGGTATTTTTTTTTGTGGGAGGGGGATGCATTTTTTTTCCCCTTGACATTGGACTCTGCAAATTTCCAAACCTACCAAACAGTTCAAGTAATTGTACAATGAACATTCATGCACCCATCACTCAGGTTCTGCAATGAACATTGAACTGCGTTTGCTTGATTGAATATCTCTTGGATTGCATCTTTGTAAAGAGCTTGGTGAGGCAGATCAAGGCCTCATTCCCAAAGGAACACAACTTCTGGCCAGGGTGGCAGGGCTTGATTGAGAGTGAGGGTGTCTCAGAGACCCAGTGCCTGAGGCCTCTTCCCTTGGCCTTGCCCTGACCCAGGTATTGGGACCTCGAATGCACTTTTGTTCCCTAGGAAGTACTCTCTCCACCCTCACTCCTGCTCCCCACCCACAGGCTACTGCAGGGAGAGTCCCCTGGCCCATCTGGCTCTTGAGGCATCCTGGCCATGGGCTCCCCATATCCAATGGATGGATGGCACTGGATTCAGGGTCTCTCCTTCCCTCTCTGCCTGTGGCCAAGCCAAGTGGACAGTGGGTGAGCAGGGACCATGACAGCCTGGAGGAGCGAGGGCCCTTTCCTCACCACCCACTGCTTCCTCAGGACTGGGCACAGCAGTGGACCTTCCATGGGCTCAGGGCCAGGGCTGACGATTGTATCGTGCTTCGGACACCTACCAGCTGGGTAACCTTGGCAAGCCACTTATCCCTGCTGCACCTCATTTTCGTCGTGTGATTTGTTATATTTGTAATTTAGTGGTTTTTTTTTTAAGAGATGGGGTCTCCCTATGTTGTCCAAGCTGGTCTTGAACTTCTGGGCTCAAGAGATCATCCCATATCGGCCTTCCAAAGTGCTAGGATTACAGGAATGAGGCACACTGCGCTTGGCTAGTTTCCTCACCAGTGAAATGGGATCATCACAAGATCTACTTTCTAGGGATCTTGTGAGCACTACGTAAAGTATGTAGACCCACACCTGGCACCTGCCAAGTGATGAATAAATGTCAGCTGTGGTGAGTGCTGCTGTGGTGAGTGCTGTTGTGATGGATGATATGTTACTCCCTGCCCCTTCTCATGCCTTGGGTTCCTGCCATGCAGGGGTGCCCCCTCTTGCCATGCTTTTCTGCCCCTCATTGTTGCCTATATAGCTCCTTCTGCCTGCAGCGCCTCCTGTCCTATCTCTTCACCAGCCTGCTAGGCCCAGCTCCATGCCACCTCCTCCATGAAGCCTTCCTGATGCCCTCCTCTGGAGGAAGGACTCCCTCCTTCCTCATCTCTTAGCTTGCACCCTAGTCCTCCCCCATCATCCTTATTTTTCTTCTGCTGGAATTCTGGAAACCTGTGCCCTTCTCTCTCTCACCCATCATTCATGGACTCCTTGAGGGCCAACACTGGACCTTAAGTCCCAGAGCAGAGAGGCCAAGCTCTGGCTTCAGAGAGAGGGGCTTGGACACTCCATTTGGTCACTCCCTAAGTCACGGGGTCTTGGGTAAGTTGCTTCTTCTGTCTGAGCCTCGGTTTCCTCTTCTGTAAAAATGGGAATAACAAGAATGACCACCTCAGTAGCTGTTATGAGAATTAAACCAAAGAAAGCTCTTAAAGAACTTAGTATAATGCCTGGCACTCAGTGAGCACTCAATCAGTGCTAGCTTTTGTTATGAAAATTATTGTGATTATTGCTCCTAGGGAGTGAGTGAAGTCTTCCTGCCTCAGAGTTGGTTTTCAAACCCAGATTGCTTGGCTTGGGAGCTTCTCTACAGCACATGAGCTTCTCATATGCAGATGGGGAAACTGAGTCCAGGGATTCACTGCAAGTTGGCAGCAAAGTCAGGGCTGCTGAGCTTCATACCAAGCCGACTTGCAGTGTGATCTTGGCCTCAGTCTCCCTTTCTGTACCTGTACCTGAGGCAGTAGGATCACCTCTCTCTCCCTAAGAGTGCCTGTGAGCAGCATTCCTCCAGAGGCAGCTATAGCCTCCTCAGGCTGTGATCCCTGCTCTCCCAGCTCCTGATACAGCTGTTAACACCTGTAACTTCCACTTCCTGCCTGCCCCTTAAATCACTGGGCCCGAGGCACTGCAGTTTCAACAGCCACATATCACTAGTAATTAAAGGGCCTGTTCCAGGGAGGGGAAGTTTACCTTCTGCTGGAGCCACTAAATCCAGCTCCCAGGGGTGGAGAGGATAAAGCATCGTACTGACCTCACACTTGTCAAGGTTTAATGATGCACCTGCAGGCCTGCTCTGGCGGGGCCTGGGAGGCTGAAGCTGATCTGACTCTGGAACAAGAGGGGAGCCCTGGTATGTGAGACACAGAAGGTCCAGGGAGTTGGTGAGGGCCCCAGGGGGCTTCAGACACCTGCCTAGATAATTCCAGAAGCAGATGAATCCCTTCAGTTGGCTCAGGAGGGCTCAATGGGCCATCTCTTGAGAGGCTGTAGAGAAGCTCCCAAGCTAGGCAATCAGGGTTTGAAAACAAACGCTGCCACTTACTCACTGTGTGACCTTGGGCAAGTTACTTAACCTCTCTGGGTCTCAATTTCTTCATTTATTAAAATAAGAATACTAGAAATACCCATCTCCTAAGGATTGTGAGGATTAAATGAATTTATATATTTAAGTGCCTGGAGCAACATTTGGTACCTTATAACTGAAAAATTCATTGCTATTAGACTGTATCCTGGCTGTCCTATATCAAAATGAATTTCTAATTTGTATAGCTACCTTGAGGGAGATGGGACTCTCTCAGTGCTCCCCCCACAGCAGGTGCACAGTAGGTGCTCACAAATATTGCTTGAATCAAAGGATTTGTAAGCATGAGAAACGAAAGAGCAAGTGGTCTGTTTCCACTCTAGGCTCCGAGTTCCCTTGGAGAGAGGCTGATGACAGTCTGCTAGCTCTATTCCCCAGGGACAAGATGCACCAAAAACTGTGTGCTGCTTGACTGGGTTGTCTGCTTCATCCAGTCACAATAATGGGTCAGAGGTTTCAAAGGCCTCGCTTCCCTCCCGAGCTCAGGGCCTCAGATCCCCACGGAAGGAGAGTGGCAATCAGAATATTTAGATTCAAACTCTAGCCTTCCTTTTATTAGCAGACTCAGTTTTCTTCTCTGTAAAATGGGGATACAGATCCCCACCCCACTGAATTCCAGGACTGTTGGGAGGCCCTTGATCCAGAGGTCCATATGGCTACCACATTGTCCCACACTCAGAGAGGTGGATGTCCCTCTGTTTTCCTGACAGCTTCATGGAGTGGGAACGTCAAGGGCTCTGGTCCCAGAAGACCTGAGCTCCAATCTCAGCGCCACTCACTGCTGTGGGACAGTGGGCATGTCTCCTGACCTCTGTGGGCACTCACACTGAGGCACCACAGGCTCTGCCCTGCAGGCTGTAGGGGGATTAGAGGGACAGCTGGTGGAATGAGCTGGGCCTGTTCCTGGGTGAGGGTGGGCTATGGTCAAGGGCACTTCTTTGCAGAACTGTGTTCAGAGAGGGAGGGAGGGAGGGTTCTAGAAGCCTGTCCAGGAGGCAGTCAGCAGGCTTGGACCTTTGGGGCTGATGCTGGGAAGTGACCGTTCTTGCTAGATGACCCAGTTAGCTTCAAAATGCTCCTCCGAGCCCCAAACCCATCTGTCTGGCCCCTCTCTCAACTGGCGCTCAGCCGGTGACCTCAGCTGGCTGGGAGGTCCGTGGCAGGCAGGCGAGCAGCATGGGTGTCCTTCCTCCAGCTCCCTGACCAGGTCCAGGCACTCAAGACGACAGTGTCCCGTCTCTGAACATGCTCACATCCAGCTCAGGGGCCCCTGACCACTCCCGCCTCAGTCCTGTGGGCTGCAGCCCCCACTCCAGCCAGCTTTGGTAGCTCAGCACAGCCAGCTGTCTCAGGCCCCCCACTTCTCATTCTGCTGCCCTTCTCAGAAGCTCCGGCTGGCAGGGAGGAGGCCTGTAGAGGTCCATAGGCCCTGGCCTCTCCACCCCAACGGCCCATTTTCTGCGATCGCTGGCTGCTGAGTGAGATCACGTGGTTGCATTGGAACCTTCTCAGAGGACCATCTCCATCCAGTGCCAGGTCCGCCGTGTCTCCACATCTGTTCCCATCTTTCCAATTGGTCCCCATGTCCTGTGGCTTCTGCTTGGAAAGGCCTCTTATGTCCGGCCACTGCATTTATTGTCCTAAGTTGGCTCCTATCGTCTCTGTTCTTCTAACTTCCTGCCCTGTCCTAACAATGATGCCAGCATCTGGGCCAAGCATTTCCTCTACGCCCAAACGTGCCATCTTATTCATTCCTTGAGACAGCCCATAGGGTAAAAAGCATGATTACCTTCAGTTTCCAGAAGAGGAAACTGAGGCTTGGAAAGGAAAAGCCACAGCAAGACAGTGGAGGGCGTGTGATTGGACTCCGGGCTGCTGGCTGCATCCTCTTTCCTGACCACCTTTGCCAGCACCCAGGGTGGGAGGCCACAGATGTCACTGCCTGGCTTTGAGAGCTCCCACAGGGCCATTGTCACTTCTCATAGTTCTGACCCTACCCTCAACTCCACTGACATTTACAGGGTGAGGGTTGAAGCCAAATACGTAGGAAGTAAGAACAGCTTTCCTCCTCCAGAGCACTCACTGTGAGCTATGGACACAGCCCTTCACTTGTCTGTTACATTTCATGCCCCAACAGGTGCTACTGTAACCCCCATTCAGCAAAAAGGGACACTGAGGTCTAGGGAAATGAAATAAACTTTCAAAAGCCACATTCCAGTGAGAGGTGGGGGAGCATAGTGGCTGGGTCCCTGCGCTTGGCAGGCAGCCTGCCTGGGTTTGAATTCTAGTTCTGTGTCCTTGGGCACATTTTATAACCCCTCAGTTTTCACATTTGTAAAATGGATAAAGTAATCACAGAATCGACCTTAGAAGGCTGTTATAAATGATATAGCAGGTGTTAAGCAGAACAGTCCCTGGTATATAGTAAATGCTCAATAAACATTAACCATAGCCGGGTGCGGTGGCTCACACCTGTAATCCTAGCAACTTGGGAGGCCGAAGTAGTTGGATCATCTGAGGTCAGGAGTTCAAGACCAGCCTGGCCAACATGGAGAAACATGTCTCTACTAAAAATACAAAAATTAGCTGGACGTGGTAGTGCGCGCCTATAATCCTGGCTACTCAGGAGGCTGAGGCACAAGGATGACTTGAACTCAGGAGGCGGAGGTTGCATTGAGCTAAGACTGCACCACTGCACCCCAGCCTAGGCGACAGAGTGAGACTCTGTCTCAAATAAATAAATAAAAAAACAAGCAAACATTAAACACTTTTATTACTATTAGTTGCAGAAGCTGGTAGAAAAGTCATGTCTGAATCCAAAGCCCATACCCTTAGCCACTCCTCAACTCTCTAAGGAATTAAACTCCATTTATGGTCAAGCTAATTTACTAGAGAGATCATTCTCCAGTGGGGGATTATCTAGCCTCCACCTTTTCTAGTTTGGAGGGGCTGGGCATCTGCATGTCACTCACCCAGACTGGTAAGAAGGAGTGCAGGCAGAGGGAGAGGGCTTGGGAATGGGCTTGTCCAGGCTTTTGCTTGGGGAATAAGAGTAGCCCCAGCCTGGTCCTCAGACCCTGGGGGTTTCTGGGGTAAGAGGTGGAAGCTCGTGTTCATACCTCCTCCCCTTCAGTGCTCTGGGAATTCTCTGCAGCTCTGGCCTGGATCCCAGCCAGCCCATGCCTCCCTCTGCAGCCTCCTCGCTTCCCCTGTGGAGCAGCAGCCTGGCTCCCTGGAGTCTGTGGCCACAGTAATCGCCTGGAGCCAGTTAATGTAATTAGCCCAAGTCTGGCAGGTGGTTCATCCACTCAGGCTCTAAGACAGAGGAAGGAGCTGATCATTTTCCACCCAGCAGACATCCTGGGAAAGGAGGTAGCTGAGGCTCTGAATCTTGCCTTTCTGGGGATTTCCCAGGGATCTCAGACTGGCAGCCTCCCTCCACTGACCTACCCTGCCCCTTGGACCACCATACACACCATTGTATGGCGGCTTTGCTTGGAAGAAGCCCCACTTCCCCCACAGCTGTCCTGTGCACAGACAGCCTTCTTGAAAGGGGATTCTGCAAACTGAACTCTGCTTTCCCATTGCTGTCCCCCAGAGAAGCAGAGTGGTGTTACTTCTGTTTTGCTCAGGCCTACAGGAGATCAGCAGACCTCTGAGAGGGGTGAGGTCTGCCCTCAGCCCTCAGATCTCCTTAGCTCACTTGGAGGTATAGTGTATTCTTCTTCCCAAGTCAAAAGAGGTTCTTCCAGCCTGACCAACAGAGTGAGACCCTGTGTCTACAAAAATTTTTAAAAATTAGCCAGGCATGGTGGCACACACCTATAGTCCCAGCTACTAGGGAGGCTGAGGCAGGAGGATTGCTTGAGCCTGGGAGGTTGAGGCTGCAGTGAGCTATGGTTGCACCACTGCACTCCAGCCTGGGTGACAGAGTGGAAAAGAAAAGAGAGAAGTTCTTGGCACTCTGATTATTGGTCCTGGAAATTTGCTTCTTTTTCCAGAGGGGAGTGCCAGGCTGGGATTCCAGAGAATCACGTTCAAGAATCTGGTCTTAGAAAGCAAGAATCCAGCTCTCCAGAAATCCAAGGTTCTGGCTGGGCCTCCTGGAAGTAGACTCAGCCTTCATTACCCCCAGGACCTTCTGTACCCTCTTTTCCTCTGGGAACCCTCACCAGTCCCAGGGTAAGTTTCTTTTAAGGGGAAAGGTCGAGAAACTGAACAGGAGAGCTTCCTGTGAAACTCATTGCCTAAAGTCACATAGCTGGAGAGTAACAGCCAGGCTGGAGGTGGCAGATGGTTAGAAAAGCACCAGACGTGCACAGGGATAGACATATAGAGCAGTGAAACAGAATGGAGAGTCTGGAAATAAACTCGCACTTTCACAGTCAATTGATTTTCGACAAGGATGCCAAGATAATTCAATGGGGATAGAATAGTGTGTTCGACAAATGGTGCTGGGACAACCAGACATCCACATGCAAATGATGAAGTTGGACCCCTCCCTCACACCATATATAAAAATAAACTTGAAATGCATCATCAACTTAACTGTAAGAGCTAAAACTATACAAACTCCTAGAAGAGAAATACAGGAGTAAGTTGTGAGATTGAGTTAGGCAAAGCCTCCTTAAATAGACACGAAAAGCACAAGTGACAAAAGAAAAAATAGATAAACTGGATTTCATTGACATTAAAACATTTTGTCCTTCAAAGGACACCATGGAGAAAGTAAAAAGACAATCTACACAATGGGAGAAAAATATGCAGATGATACACCTGATAAGGGACTTACATGTAGGTCAGATAGAGAACTCTTACAACTCAATCATAAAAAGAAAAATAAGGCCATTGAAAATGACCAAAGGCTCTGAGTAGATGTTTCTCCAAAGAAGATGTCCAAATGGCCAAGAAGCACAGGAAAGGACGTACAGTGTCATTGGCCCTGAGGGAAATGCCAATCAAAGCCACAAAGAGACATCACTCCACATTCACTAGGATCCACTAGGATGGCTATATTCAAAAAGAGAGATAGTAACAAGTGTCGACAAAGATGTGGAGAAGTTGGGACTCATATGCAGTTGGTGGGAATATAACACAGTGCAGCCACTGTGGAAAACTGTCTGGAAGCTTCTCAGAAATTTAAATGCAGAGTCATTGTTTGACTCAGCAGTTCTACTCCAAGGATACATACCCAAGAGAACTGAAACTACACATTCACACAAAAACTTGCACGTGAATGTTTATAGCAGCATTGTTCATAATAGCCAAAAAGTGGAAACAACCCAGATTTCCATCCACTGAGGAATGCATAAACAAAACGCGATCTATCCATATGAAGGAATATTATTCAGCATTGAAAATGAATGAAGTACTGGTACCTGCTACAATATGGATGAACCTTGAAGACATTATGCAAAGCGAAAGAAACTAGCCACAAAAGACCACATATTGTATAATCTCATTCATATTAAATATCCAGAACCAGCAAATCTATAGAGACAGAAAGGGTGTTTGTGGCTGCCTATGACTGAGGAGAAGAGGGACAATGTGGGGTGGTGTGTAACTGCTGATGGGTACAGGGTTTCTTTGGAGGACGATGAAAATGTTCTAAAATTGATTGTGGTGGTAGAGGCACAACTCTGTGAATATGGTAAAACCACTGTTTTTTACACTTTACATGAGCGGATTGCATGTTATAGGAATTGTATCTCAATAAAACCATATTTTAGAAAAACCAAAGGGCCGGGCTTGGTGGCTCATGCCTGTAATCCCAGCACTTTGGGGGGCCGAGGCGGGAGGATCACTTGAGGTCAGGAGTTCAAGACCAGCCTAGCCAACATGGAGAAACCTCGTCTCGACTAAAACTAGAAAAATTAGCCAGGCATGGTGGTGTATGTCTGTAACCCCAGTTACTTGGGAGGCTGAGGCAGGAGAATCTCTTGAGCCTTGGAGGCAGAGGCTGCAGTGAGTTGAGATCATGCCACTGCACTCCAGCCTGGGGGACAGAGCAAGACTGTCTCAAGACAAAACAAAACAAAACAGAGCAAACAAACAAACAAACAAACAAAAAAAAAAAAAACAAGGAAAATGCACCAGGCACACTTAATAAAAATCAGTAGAACATACTGAAAAAAGACAAACCAACCAGAAACGTCATGTAAAGTTCATTAACATCTGTTCTTTGGGGTGGAAGCTGTGTTTCCTGGCTCCAGACTTGCAAAGCATATGGTGTGGTTTGTTGCCACTCTGGCCTCAGGTTCCAAAAGTCTACTTCATCTGCCAACCTCACTTGGAAGCTTCCAGAAGAGAGACAAGGATCCCAAGATAGAACATTTTATTAATGTGTACCAATACTTTATGAGTCTGGGCTTCCTACTCATTGGTAAACTTCTGGAGGAGCAGAGATGTTAACATGCAGGATGGCTATATACCCCTGCCCTGCCACACACTGGCTGGGTGATGTAGGGAAGTGACATTACCTCTCAATTTCTTCATCTGCTAAAGAGAAAGTGATAGTACTCACCTTGCAGAGCTTTTGTGAGTGTTCAGTGAGTTAACACAAGAAGAGTTTAGCACAGCGCCTGCATATTAGTCAGTGCCCAACGAAGGGTGACCCACGGGGTTGGGAGCAGAGAGTGTCAGCTTCAGAGTCAGACAGGGAATCTTGGTGTGCTACATCCTGACTCAGTTACTGCTGTGGGTTGAATTATGTCCCTGAAGATGATGTGTTGAAGTTCTGACCCACAGTCCGTATAAATGTAACCTTATTTGGAAATAGGGTCCTTGCAATTGTGCTAAAGGTAAGATGAGGTCACACTGGATTAGGGTGAGTCCTAATTCAATGACTGATGTCCTTATAAGGAGCAAATCTGTTGAGGTGGGCACAGTGTCTCATGCCTGTAGCACTTTGGGAGGCCAAGGTGAGTGCATTGCTTGAACTCAGGCATTTGAGGCCACCCTGGGCAACAGAGCAAGACTGTCTCACACACACAAAAAAAAAAAAGAGAAGAAGAAGGAGAAGGAGGGGGAGGAGGAGAAGGAGGAGGAGGAGGAGGAGAAGAAGAAGAAGAAGAAGAGGAAGAGGAAGAGGAAGAAGAAGAAGAAGAAGAAGAAGAAGAAGAGAAGAAGGAGGAGGAGGAGAAGAAGAAGGAGAAGAAGAAGGAGAAGAAGGAGGGGGAGGGGGAGGAGGACGGAGAAGAGGAGGAAAGAAGAAAGAAGGAGAAGGAGAAGGAGAAGAAGCAGAAGCAGGGGCAGAAGCAGAAGCAAATCTGAACACAGGGACAGGAACACAGAGCCAGAGAGAGAAGGCCATATGATGAGAGAGGCAGAGATCGGTGTGATGCATCTATAAGCCAGGGAACTCCAAGGATTGCCAGCAACACCAGAGGCAAGCAGAGGGACAAGGAAGGATTTTTCCCTTGCATGGGGAGCATGGCCCTACTGACACCTTGATTTCAGGCTTCTAGGACTAACACTGTGAGACAATACATTGCTGTGGTTTTAAGCCACCCAGTTTGCAGCAATTTGCTATGGGAAGCCCCAGAAACTAGTTTCGTCCTCTGTACCATGAAGCTATTTCCCTTAGAGAATGTGAGTCCAGGGAGCAAGGACCTTGTCTTATTGTCAGTGTATCCACAGCACCTAGAATTGTGCCTGGCACCTGGGGAATGCTCAGTAAGTCACTGAATCACTGACATGAATGAATGAAGTCCATATAGCTCACCTCTTTTGAATGTTACCTTCTCAGAGAGGCCACGTTGACCTAGAACAGCCCCATCCCTGATGGGTTTTTCCTGACATTGCTTTACCACCCACTGACATCCCATTTGTCTCCCCATCTCTTCACTTGCTCATCTTCTGCCTCCCCTATTGCACTGTCTGTGAGGACCAGTTTTTTGTTTGTTTGGTTTTTTTTTTGTCCTCCTTGTTCATTGGAAACTCCAGTGCACACAACAGTGCCTGCAATGTACTAGGTGCTCAATAAATATATGTTAAATGAATGAACACACAAATGAATAAATGCAAATTAGAATGTCCATGTACGTGGGCATCCAAGTCACCTTATAATATATTTGAACAAAAAAGACATTCTGATATGCTGTTTTACCAGAAAGGAAACTCAATACTAGACCGTCCATGTCAAAAGTAGACACTAATTGGGATTTGGACCCAGGTCTGCTGGACTCCAAGTTCAGTGCTCCTTTCAGAGGGTTTGAGAAGTGGGGGAGGTGCTGGATAGCAGTGGATGAGAGAACCAAAAATGGGGATGGGGACAGGAAGGGAGGCAAGGGCACAGACATTCTGTGTTCCTTCCAGACTCCTACATGTTCCGAAAGGCAAACAGCCCCACCCATCCATCGGAATTCGTTGTTGTTGTTTGGTTTTATTGGTTTGGTTTTGTTTCATTTTTGGAGACAGGGTCTCACTGTTGCCCAGGCTAGAAAGCAGTGGCGTGATCTCAGCTCACTGCAGCCTTTACCTCCCAGGCTCAAGTAATCCTCCCACCTCAGCCTCCTGAGTAGCTGGGACTACAGGCACATACCACCACAGCCCAGCTAATGTTTTGTAGAAACGGGATTTCGCCAGGTTGCCCAGGCTGGGCTAGAACTCCTGGGCTCAAGAGATCCACCCACCTCAGCCTCCGGAAGTACTGGGATTAGACATGTGAGCCACCATGCCAGGACCATCGGAGTTTTTGAGCCACCTAGTTAGGGCTCGGTCTCAAGGAAGTCCCCACTCCCTGCACTCTGTCTCCACTCCAGTGCTTGTTTGAGGTTTGTGTGACTCATGGCCTTTGGGTCAAGGGGAGGGAAATTTCCTTTGGGAGTTAAGGCTGCTGTATAAGTACGTGCTCTGGGCTCAGGCAGACCAGGTGGGACGCCCCGCTCCTGCCCACCCTGCTCTGTGACTCACGTGGATGTACCCCTTAAACTCTCGGAGCCTCTGCTCCGTCATCCGTAAAATGGGGATGACCAGGCCCACATCCAAGGGCTTTTGTGAGGTATTAACTGTGGGTTGAACACTGAGCTCAATGCTGGCACGCGGAGGGTGGCCTTGCTTTTTAGCTTTGGGTTGAAAGGGCCCCACTCGGTGGCAGAGAAACCCTGCCCCTTGGCATTCCAGAGGAGCCAGAAGTGCAGAGTCTTTTAACTTCGGTGGGGATGGGAGTGGGGTGCCTGGCTCTCACAACATCTAATTGATTGTAACAGCGCACCCTTAACACGCTCCCTCCCCCCTAACCTGCACCCCCAGAAGAACCTTCAAAATCCTTCCATGACTGTGTATAATGCGTTCCTGGGGCCCAGCACGCAACTTTCAAATTGGCTTACAATTTATCTGCAGCTCGGATAAAAACATTTTAATGACCGTGTGCAGCATACACCCTTGGTGTCACCCACGGGACTCCCAAATGTCTTTCCCCACCACACAGTGGGATGTTATAGGCGTGAAATTACAGCTGCACTCGCGTTTTCATCTTCACCCGGAGGCCTCTGGAAATGGCCGCGTTAGAATGTGCTGGATGTGGACGTGTGGATGGTAGACTGGGGTGCTGGGCTTTCTGGTGGAACTGCTCTGTGCTTTGAGGCAGGTGGGCCCTGGGCCGTCCCCAGCTCCTCGGCTCTCCTTCTCCCCACTGTCCTGGGAGCTTCCCATTGACCTCCAAACTGGGGAGGGTCTGTCTTGCCCCAGTTTGGCTGCAGTGGCCCTTAGGGTCCCGTGTGGCACAAAAGAGACCCCAATGTTCAGTGACCTCTGCTCGTTTGAAGAGAGGGTCTTTGTGTGTGAATGCAATGCCACAGATGAACCAAAGCAATGAGTCGATTTTAATTTTTGAAACCTGCCCTGAAACATATTTGAAGGAGACGTTCACAGAGATTGGTCTAATTGTGCCTGGTTTGTAACTGACCCGACTACTATTTGTCATTAAGAGATACTATTTATTGATCATCCAGAATGTGCCAAGCCTCAGGCCCAGAACATTCTGTTCTATAGATTATCTCCTTTAACCCTCCAACCTCGGCCAAGTCCCATGCCCCTCTGAGCCAGGTCTGTGCAATGGGCTTATTGTGGTGCCTGCCTCCCAGGCCCATGTGGTCGATGGGTTACAGGAGATGCTGTATGAGAAACACTCAGCCACGCCGCCTCCCCCGGCCCTCCCCTCACCATTCAGGACCTTGGTGAGCTACAGAAGCCACGCTCCTCTGGCACAGAGATAACCCCCACCCTATAAGGCCTGGAGCAAATTCATTCCCTTCCCTGGGTCTCAGTCTCTTCATCTGTGAGTTAGAGATAATAGTAATCCCCCACGCGCCGATCTGCAGTGAGGATTGGATGATGTCCTCAATGTGAAAGCCCCTCTGAAATTGCTCAGATTGGGCAAGTGTGGGGCATTGCCATCATTATGACAGTTGGGATATATCCTGGCTCCTTCCATAGGTGCATGGTGCCAGGACACGCAGACCTTTGGGGAAGAAGCCCAGAGAAGGTGAGTAAGGAGAGACCCCTGTCTCTGCCACTCCCAGAGACACACCCTGGCTTCCAGGTTGCCACGGTGCGTGAAGCTGTGTTCCCAGAGCAGTCATTCCTCAGACTAGTGCAGGGCTCTTTGGAGCTGTGAATGGGGGACTTCTCTTTGCTGGGGCCAAAACCAGGGGCAAGAGGGAGGCAGACACAGTTGTGCCCAGGAGTGGGCACATCAGAGACAGTGATAATAAAAACAACAGTGTCCAAGTAACTGAGCTCTTCAATGATATTCTTGATGAGGTAGGCGTTCTGCAAACTTTATCTACTTTAAGCCTCACAGCCACCCTAGGAGGGAAGCATCCTTATCCCTGTTTTACAGATGGGGAAATTGAGGCCCACAGGAGCACACTCCCTTGCTCAGCAGAGACCATCAGGCCAGTTGTGCAACCTGAGTGAGTCCCACGAGATCACTCTGTGCCTCAGTTTCCTCACCTAGTGGATGGAGTAAGGGACTCAGAAGTGTCAGAGCTGGGAGGGAGTGTAGGATGGTCTGGTCAACCCTCTGATGATACATGATATGGTTTGGCTGTGTCCCAACTCAAATCTCATCTTATACTGTAGCTCCCACAATTCCCATGTGTTGTAGGAGGGACCTAGTGGGAGATAACTGAATCATAGGGGTCGGTCTTTCCTGTGCTATTTCTCATGATAGTGAATAAGTCTCACAAGATCTGATGATTTCATAAAGGGGAGTTTCCCTGCACAAGTTCTCTTGTCTTCCACCATGTGAGATGTGTCTTTCACCTTCCACCGCGATTGTGAGGCCTCCCTAGCCACGTGGAACTGTGATTCCATTAAACCTCTTTCTTTTGCAAATTGCCCAGTCTTGGGTATGTCTTTATCAGCAACATGAAAATGGACTAATACAGTACAGATGGGGGAAATTGAGGCCACAGTAGGAGAATAACCTGCTCAGGGTTCTTTGGTGAAGTAATAGGAAGTGTGGGCCTCATGGAGGGATGGTTTTTAAGGACTCTGGCCTTGCTTGAAGGCACCTTAGATTGAGGCCTTAGCGCAGTGTCTTCACTGCCTCCAGCAATGCGACAGAGCTGGCCTTGGAGTCAAGATGCCTGGGTCCTGGCCCAACACTGAGCTGCCTGATATCATAGGAGGATTTTGTGATCTTGGCTGTGTGACTTTAGGCAAGTTGCTTGCTTTCTCTGTGATCCATTTCTGCATCTGCAAAATGGACTTAATGCTAGCACGTACCCTTGGATTGGTTGTGAGGACTAAATGACATAACACATGTAAAGCACTCAGCCCAATAGCTGCAGAGGGGCCTTCCCTGAGTCCCCTCCCTATGCTAGCAGCCACCCACCTGCAGTCACTCTTTATCCCTTTACTCTGCTTTATTTCCTTCCAGCATGTTGCAGGCTCTTTTTGATTCATCTATGCATGTGTTTTATGCTTGTCTCCTGCAAAATCTCTACAGATAAGCATTTTTCCTATAAAAAGTTTGGGTCCATTCCCGGCCACCTCATAGGTAGGTGCTCAGTACATTGTGATGCATAAATGATTGGTTAAGTACATGTCTCTCATCAGACTTGGAGTTCCTTGATGGTGCAAACTGAGTTCTGTCCCTCCTAGGTTCCCTGGTGTGGCCAACCCAGGGCCAGGCACCCAAACGCTGCTAGTTCCTTTATCAGAGGAGCTGAGTGGTGCATGAGTAACTGCGAGAGAGGGGCTTTTCCTGGCAATGCCACCTCCTGCATTGTGGCTCCATCGGGAAGCCAGAACCACCACGGGTGTGCTGCAGGAATCAATGTCCCTCTGGAGGTCTGGCCTTTGGAGGTTTTCAATTTCCCCAGAAGCGGCGGCTTTCAGCAGGGCCTTTATGCTTTCATCGATTGCCTGTGTACCGCAAGCTTTGTTTCCCTGATACGTATTATTTGATAAGAAAACCGGAGAACACAGAGTCTGGAGTCAAGGCCAAGTCCCCAGCATCCTTGCAATAGAGCCAGAATCCAAAGGTGTGTATCTGACAAGAACATTAGAGCCAGTGGGGGCTTCTGAGAACGTGCAGAGCAGCATTCTTGTTTTACACATGGGAAAACTGAGTCTGGGATGGGGATAGACTTACCCAAGGACCCAGCCAGCTAGAGACAGACACCAGTATTATTACCTCCATTTTACATGTGCATAAATGGAGGCATGGGGAGAGGGTGAGAACCCAGGAGCTCTGAATCCCAGCCATGAGCGCTTTCTAATTCATCTCCAGATCCTATGCCCTCTCCATTAAGGCCTCAGGAGGTGCAGGAGAATCTTTTGGCTGAGGGGCAGAATAGTTCCCTCTGCAGCAGGTGTGCATCTCGGCTGAGGTGCTATCCTTCACTCCCTGGGGAGGGTCCTGTTGGGGTACCTGTGCTGAGAAGGGGACCTCCTGAGGGGAGGCCCATGGGGGGCAAGACTTCACGGGTCACACCTTGGCTCAGCTTGGTCTGGTTGCCCCTCCACAACAAGAGCAGGAAAGGGAAGACACCAGCACAACAGAACTTCTGGTGGATGGCCCCCAGGATGGCCACTCTGTGCGCACATTCACACACTCAAGCATACTCGTCCTCCTCACTGAGACACCAGGGGCCAGTGGCCCTGCACTCACCCATGACGTTGAGGAAGATGTTGCCTGATGCCAGGACCACCTTCTCCCTGGTGGCGCGGTCGTAGATGCCCACATGGCACTCATAGGGACCATTGTCTGAGATCCGGACCTCGGGCAGCCTGGGGGAGGCAGAAGACAGGGTGAGGGCCCTTCATCGTGGGGCTGGGTGAGGCAGCGTTCAAGGAAACTCATCCTGATGCCCACTGGTGCAGCCTCCACTAACAAACACAGGCCTGTGTGCTGGGCTGGGAGGAGGGGAGCATTTATGGAACACCGACTGTATGCAGACCCTGTGCTCGGCATCTCAGACAGTGAAGGTGTGGACTGTGTTCAGCCAGAGCCCAATTTGTGCTCAGTGGGTCCTGGAGCAGTTATTTAGCCTGTTGGCTTCCATGAGCCTGGGATGGTGCCCACTTCCAGGGAGCCGTGAGGATGGCACAGGTGAAGAGGTATGGGCATTTAGTATGTCGCTGCATGCAGTATGGGACCAAAACTGTCACTGGAGGCATCGGCTCCCTCTTTCCTCATGACGGCCTCCACATAGGGTCCATATTCCCATTTCATAAACAAGGAAACTGAGGCTCAGGACGGAACTCAATTGCTAATAAGAACCAGTATGGAAATTTGAATTTCTCTCTCCATGCCGCCATGCTGCCACTTCATGCCCAGTCCTGAGATCATGGAAGAGAAAGACAATAAAATTCAGGTCCCAAAGGAGCCCCCATCCCAGTAGACAAGGAGGTAGAGAAGCTGATCTGGGTTCCACACTCACATGGAAAAGCGTGAGCTTATCTGAGCTCAGGTTGGGGAGCAGCCACTTCCACCTCTGAGGTAGTTGGGAGGGTGTCTCAGAAGAGGTGATCCCTAAGGATGGGAGAGACCCCCTCAAACCTGCTTTCAGTCTTTTCTCCTAAAAGTCCAGAGAGTAAATATTTTAGGCTTTCTTGCCCTTTACAATTGCAATTCAACCCTGTCCTTGCAGCACAAAAGCAGCTACAATCGGTGTGTAAACAAATTGGTGCAACTGTGCTCCAATAAAACTTTACTTATGATCATTTAAATTTGAATTTCACATAATTTTCATTTGCCATACAATATCCTTCTTCTGTTTTTTTCTCCAACCATTTCAAAGTATAAAAAGCATTCTCAGTTCACAAGTTGTAAAAAAATAGGCGATGAGCTAGATTTGGCCTGCAGGCTGTAGTTGGATGGCTCCTGTTCTGGATCTTTCCATAGCATCTATAGGGTCAGACCATGTGAAAATGAGTTGGTATGTTGCTCTGTCTCCCCATGGAAAATGCAAGCAGGGAGGCTCTTTCCTCCCTTCTATATTGAAAAGAGCCTTGACATGGAGTCAAAGAGAACCAGGTTCCAATTCTGCTCCTACTGTTTGTAAATCATGGGACCTTGGCTAAGTCAGTCCATCTCTCCTGGAGACTCCATTTTCTTTCCTAAACAGTGGAGATGCTACTTCCTGTGACTGCAGTGAAGATTAAATGCAATGATGTCCCTGCAGGACTTTTGTAAGCAGGAACATTGCACCAAATGGATAGAGGGGCCATTTTGTGTTTTTCCTGGGTCCTGCGAAGCTCTGTGGGGAGAGCGAATTCCTGGCAAGTGGAATCTGGACACTTGGATGGGAAGGAGCCTTGGCCTGGAGTTGCAGAGGCTATGTCATTGCTGCATTGGGGAAATATGTCTGTCTTCATGCGAGTTCCAGCCTATTCTGGCTACAACTTAGAGGGACTGGGGTTCTGTTTAAGTCTTAGAAGTTCTCAAGTCATAGCAGAAAACTATGGGAAGGGATCCATACCCATGGACTTACCTGACTAACCTGCCTGACAAGGACCCCACTGGGGACACAAAAGAGCAGCAGTTGGTTGGCGCTCAGGCTCTTGGGCGTGTGACCCATCTGCCACCCCTGAGAATGGAGGTTCTTTCAATCCAGTTCTTATCCTCCCTTCAGCCTCCTGGACACACTTCCCACTTTGCTCTCCCACCTGCTTTTGCAGAGCAACATAACCTCAGCTTCGCTCTTTTCTTCTCTCCTTTTAGCTACCTGCTCCATCTTCGTCTTCTGGCTCCTTTTCCCCTGTGACTCACTGTCCCCCCACACCTGGGCTGCCAGCCTCTTTTTCCATCACTGTCGTCTTAGTGAGCTGAGCCAGCCCATCCCTCCCACCACCCAGCACACATTAGCATAAACAAACACCTTCATTTACATAGAACACACAGAGGTTGACATCTGGTCTACCGACTGTCATGGAAGGACTTAAAGAATGGGAAGCTTTTCATCAGGGGGACTTTGTTGAGAAGACGCCGTCCCCCTCCACTCCCTGATCTCAGAATAAAGAGCGCAGTGACATGGGAACAGCAGGGGACCAGTCTCCCCTCTGGGAATGATTTTCTTTGTTTGTAACTCAGCTAGACTGAAAAAATAGCCTCTCTACCAGGCGCCATTACTGAGTGACAGTCACCTGGAGTGACATATTTTAGATAAAAAAAAAAAAAAGAGACTCAGAGAGAGATGGCATGACTTACCCAAGACCCCATGGCTTACAAACAGTAGGAGCAGAATTTGCACTTGGTGACACTCATAGGTGTTGGTTATAAAGACAACCTGCTTAAATGACTTTTGTAGGTGAAAGGAGTTCAGGTGGCAGGTTCAGGTGACAGCTCTGTAAAGAAACAGGCTCAGGAGACATGTGTAGCTGGCAGCTCTCCAGGTGAGGTAATAAGATAATAATAACATGGTTGACACCCAGGCAGATACGTGCAGGTAACCACCACCTAGGTGATGGCTGCAGAAGATGTGTTTATAGGATAGCGACACAGGTGTCATGTTTAGGCAACTGCTACCCTGATGACATGCTCAGGTGATAGTAACGTAAGCAATATGCTTGGGTGACACATGTAGGTGACATCTCACAGGTGGTATAGAAGACAGCTCGGGGTACACCGGGATTGCTGCTTTATGAAAAAGGCAGCTTCTCACTGAGGACTATGTGTACAGCCCCAGATGCTCCTTCTACCATCGATTGAAGGAGCAAGCCCAGGTTCCCTAGTTCCTTGAATGTCCAGACCTGTCCTCCACCATTAGCCCAAGGCACACTCTTGGGCACCCTCCTTGACATCTCCCACTTCCACACCCTCCAAATACAGACAGCGACCAAGTCCTGGGTGTTCTACTCCTAATAGATCCTGAACTATCCACTTCCCTCCATCTCCACAGTCAGCATCTCTTCTCACCTGGAATATGGAGGCAGAGGTTTACTGGGCTTTCTATCCCTGGTAATCTCCCTCCTGATCCATTCTCCAGGTAGAATCTAGATCTTTTCAAATGCAAATGAGATGAATGGTACTCCCTTACCTAAGTCCCAACAAAGGCTCTCTCTGCTTTTATGACAAAGACATTATATGAAAAGGATACTTGCACACGCATGTTTATAGCAGCACAATTTGCAATTGCAAAAATACGGAACCAGCTCAAATGCCCATTAATCAATGAGTGGATTAAAAAACTGTGGTATATATCTATACCGTGGAATACTATTCAGCCATAAAAAGGAACAAAATAATGGCATTCACAGCAACCTGGATGGAATTGGAGACCCCTATTCTAAGGGAAGTAACTCAAGAACGGAAAACCAAACATTGTATGTTCTCATGCATAAGTGGGAGCTAAGCTAGGAGGATGCAAAGGCATAAGAATGATACAATAAACTTTGGGAATTTGGGGGAAAAGGTGGGAGGGGGTGAGAGATAAAAGACTACAAATTGGGATAGGGCATACTGCTCGGGTGATGGGCGCACCTAAATCTCACAAATCACCACTAAAGAACTTATGTAACCAAACACTACCTGTTCCCCAATAACCTATGGAAATAAAATAAAATAAAATGGAGAATATAAAAATCTCCTAAATAGAAATAAAACTGTAAATCTTAAAATATGAAACAGCAATATCAATTCGATAAAAATATTTCAAAAGGTAGTAACATGTGCCAAAACCTAGTAAATGCAGAACACCAGAAGTGAACCCTACTGTGAACTACGGATTTCGGGTGGTAACGATGTATCCATGTAGGTTAATTGATGGTAACAAATGTGTCACTGAAGTGTAGGAAGTCAATGGTGGCAGAGGTTGTACATGTGTGGGACAGGGGCAGGTGGGAACTTTCTGTACTTTCTGCTCAGTTTTGCTGTGAACCTTAAGCTGCTCTAAAAAATAAAGTTTATCAATAAAAAATGGCAAAAAGAGAGATAAGAATCATCATCTTGGCCAACAGGGCCCAGCACACTTTTTCCTTCTACATCTCTAGCTATGTCTTCCACCTTCCCTTATCCCATGTCCCTGCCCCTTCCTCCAGCCATGTCTCCCACCTTCCCTTCTCCCACGCCCCTGCCCCTTCCTCCAGCCATGTCTCCCACCTTCCCTTCTCCCACGCCCCTGCCCCTTCCTCCAGCCATGTCTCCCACCTTCCCTTCTCTCTCGCCCCTGCCCCTTCCTCCAGCTACAGTGGCATTCTTTCCATTCCTCCCATGAGCCAAGTTATTTTCTAAAAAAATAAAATTTGTATTTTGGATAAGTTTAGAATCACAGAAGATTTGCAAATATAACAGAGATCGCTGTACACCCCTCACCTGGTTTCCCCTGTTACCATCTGACATGGCCAGGATCCCCCCACTTCCAACCAAGGCAGATTCTAGTTCTCATTGGCAGACCAAACAGCTGCCAGGTCACAGCTTTGATTTTGACCAATCCATCTCTTCTCAGCACCTCATCTAAAATTTGGTCTTTTCTGTTTTCTTTCTAAAGTGGATTAAGTGGCCCAGAGACTCCCTTTCCCCAGAATTGAGTGGCATTGATCTGCATGATGAATAGAAGGCTTTCCACAGATAGCAGGGACCCGAGGGGGGTGAGGGTGAGGAGGCCTGCTCTCATCAGCAATGGGCTGTGATCAATAAACTATTAATAACTGCAAAGGTTTCTGGAGAGATCAGTGTAATGCAGTTTAGCGGCTGGAGTTTACCAACACCGACGGCATCTCTGAAGGGTGAGTAATTGTGTTTTTGAAAAGCCAGGCACAGCGAGGGCGGATGCTGCATGCCCCGTGACCTGCATGCCTTCACTAGGTAAGGCCATGCAAGCGCTGGGCACTGCAGCTTCTGCTGAATCTGGAGCCAGGGCTGTGGGCCATCCACCTTCAACAGAAGTATGCCATGCCCTAAACTGAGGCTTGGATTGGGAGTGGGTACACGGATGCTAGAGGTTTTGGTCCCTGCCTCCATGCTTGTGCCTATAATGTTAAGCTCTATAGGCTCTACATTCAGATGCCACCTCCACCAGGCAGGCTACCTTGACTGCCCAGCCCTCCAAAGACATAATTCATCTCCACCTCTCCAGGGCTGCATCTGTCTCTGGGAGCACATACCTGTCCATGTCATGCTGCAGTATAACTTGTTTCTTTTCCCTCCCAGGCAAGGAGGGAAGCCTGGTCACTTGGTAGGTGCTCAAGGAGTATCACCTGTATGAATGAGGTTAGTGGAAACAGTCTGCACCAGGAGTCAAGAGCCCTGGGCTCTAGTCTTGGCTCTGCACCTGACTAGCATGTGATGTTGGATGAGGTCCTTTGGCTTCTTTGAGCTTCGGTTTCTCCATCTGATACATGGGTGCTATGACACCTGTCTTGTGGATTACAGCATCTGGGGAGGTGCCAATATGTATAAAGATTTACAGTAGGAGGCACTGCACTGAGCATTTTACCCTCTCTAACTGAATCTTTGCTACATAGAGTGAGTAGGTGGCATGATTTGAATTCAAGCCAGATGGAGGCTGGAGCCCATGAATGCTCTCCCCCACTGCCCCCAGATCTTCCTTTATCAGCAAATTGATTTGAGCTCTCTGGTCTCTGAATTTGCCTCCATCACTCTTGAGCGTGTCTCTATTCTGAGGCTTGCCACCTCTCTAGGTAATGAGAGCCATATGTTTTCTCCCTGCTGGAAGAAACAGGATGGCCTTTTATTTTCCTAAATTTCCTGCTCCAAGCTTCTGGCGGGCCCCTTAATTCTGATGACTGAGGTTTGCTGAGCAAGTCCTGTGCACATTCTCCACGCCCCACACGAGTTTACAGCCTCTGCTTAGCTTTCCTTTCCTGGTTTTGCCTTTCCACTGGGAAGAATCCTAGATTTTCATAGAATGGAGACACTGGAGGGGAGGGTGGAGCTGTGAGGACACAGGAAATGAGTTTGATTTGCTTTTCCTGTGCTGTTGAAGAACCAAGTGATCCAATATTTGACTTTTGCTGAGAACTGAAGCCTGAATGAATGAACACATACCAGTGCACTTACAACAGGGCCTGGCATGCTGGGAGTGCTTGTCATATTCTTCTCCTTACACTGTTAATTGATGAAAATTTTAAAACAAATCGTTAAGCACCCACCATGTACCATGCACCGCTTGTGGTGTTGAGTATATATAAGGGAACAAGACAGACAAAACAATACAGAAGGTCCCCGACTCACAATGGTTCAACTTACGATTTTTTTACTTAAGACAGCGTGAAAGTCATACACACTCAGTAGAAACCAGACTTTGAGTAGCCATACAACCATTCCATGGTTCAATTTCAGTATGGTATTTAATACATTCCATGAGATACTCAGCTCTTTATTACAAAATGGGCTTTGTGTTGGATTATTTTGCCCGAGTGTAGGCTAATGAAAGTGTTTTCCGCACATTTAAGCTAGGTTAGGCGCTAAGCCATGATGTTCTGTAGATCAGATGTTTTAAGTGCATTTTCGACCTAAGATATTTTGAACTTACGATGGACTTATTGGGACGTAATCCCATCATAAGTCCGGGAACATCTATACTTTTAAATGACCACACTATAAAGACACCTTTTCTCTGGAATCTGCCTCCAGTCTACATCCGTCTACTTCTTAGAGGGAGGAGGCTGGACGTTAATTAACCTGTCCCAGGATCAAGGTCATTAAAACAAACATCAATCTCATCCTGTCGAGTCTTAGGGGTTTTGCAATGTGTTAGGTGAGTTTATCCTGATGCTAAATGTCTCCTGGGATCCTTGCCTTTGTTTGTTTCAATTTTATTAATTGCTTTATTGGGGTATAATTGACAAACAATAAATTGTACCTACTCAGCATTTCCACATTTGATAAGTTTCAATGTATTGAGACCATTGCCACAATCAAGATAATGAACATACTCATCTCTCCCAAAAAGCTCCTTGTGCCCTTTTATAATCTATGCCCCTCATCCTCAGGCAGCCATTGATCCTCTTTCTGTCACTATAAATCATGATTCCTAGGATTTTATATAAATGGAATCACAAAGTGTGTACTATGTTTTGCTTGGTTTCTTCCACTCCTTGTCATTATTTTGAGATTCATTCATGTTGTTGCCTTCACCAATTGTTGCGTCCCTTTCCCTACTGAACAGCATCGCATTTCGTGGCTACACACCATTTACTTACCCATCCTCCTGTTGATGGACACCTGGATGGCTCTCTCTTCATTAAAACAGAGCCTCAAAGGCCTGGCAGCTACCTGGATCGTCTCTGTTAGCCCAGGGAGAGGTGCTGTGTGTGCAAATGAGGACATGGCACGGCTGGTCCTATACCTAACTTTATAAGACACTGCTCAAATGTCTTCTAAAGTGGCTGCATGATGGCTTCTTGGTTTTTCATGAGTTTTTGTCTTTTTGCCCACACTGCTCAGTGCCTTCTTCTAGAAGCAGCTCACTCCATGTTGCCCCTCATGCCCCTCCCCGCCAACCTATTCCTACTTTCTAAGTGTTGCTGTCAATTTGCAGTGAGCTTCAAATAACAAGTCCTGTTGGAATTGTGTGTGCAACGTGGATCAAAAGGCTTGGAGAGGAAGAATGGGGAGCTACAGGATTTCTCTATGAGAAAAGGGTGCATGACATTTGCCTGGGTGCCCCTGACCCTCTTTTCTTTTAATCTTCGCCCAGATTAGAGGATGTTGTGGCACAGGAGGCTCATCGATGTTTCCTCGCCTCCACCCCACTGTCTTGCTTGGCCCAGAACCTCTCCATTTTTGTCTTCATTCTTGCCACCATCTCCCTGCCTGAGGCCCCCACCCTGCTGTCAGAGTGACCTTATGACAGCGAAGATCTGGCCTGTCCTTTCCCAACATAAACCCTTCCTGCAGCTTCCATCGACTACGGGAGCAAGCCCAAATTCAGTCTGACTGCAAACTCAGATGTGGCCCAGACCCAGACAGGAGGAAGGGAGGGACAGATGGAGGGAGGAACGTGGTGTGTGGTTTTGCATCCTTGCCAAAATTCAGCAACTGAAGGAGAAGACTCTTCAGGACCAAACTTTCATAATCTACCCGATTTAAAAAGCATTTTGTAATTCAAACGTCTTCATTTATATACACAGTATCTCATTCTGGGCTAACAGAGAAGATTCAGGTAGTGATGGGTCCTTTGAGGCTGTGCTTTAATGAAGAGATGAGAGAGGCTTTTCATTTGTATAACCATTGTTTGCATGGAAACCAAGCTTCTAAAGGGCTGGGGACAGAGTTGTTCCTGCAAGTAGGTTAAACACACCCCCTGCAATCTTATGAGCCAAGTGCCTGCCTGGGCTCTGCCCTCCCTCATTCCTGCTGGAAAGATCCCAAGCATGAAGTAATGAAGTTTTACTGTTTCTGCGCCTGCCATGCATCCCTGATGGGCTGCTTCTTCCCTGAGGCCTGGGCCTTGTTTCTCACTCCCTCCAACACCTGCTCATTCTCCAAGTTCAGGGTCATGCCCTGTGATATGGGGGCAACATTTGCAGAATGCCTGCTCCACCTGGACAGAGCCGTGAGGCAGAGCTAATAAAACTGGCGATAAAGTGTCTGGCCACTCTGGGTACTAGAGGGATGTTTGCTAATAAGACACATGGAAAAGGTTTGCTACTCCCTGGAAAAAAAAGGGGGGGGCATGGGCGGGGAAGAGGTCTCTGCTCTTCCCCCCACCTCCTCACACCTGTGTAATTGGCAGAGGTGGCTGGGAGCTGTGGGTGGCTCAGGTCAGTTAGCTTGGCCTAGTGACCCAGGTGTGCACCTGCTCAGCCAGCCCTGGCTGCTGCCTATCCCCGGCTGCCCTCACGGCATCTTGCTTTTCCATCACAGTCCCTGGGTGAGAGCACAAACCTCCCAGGACTGGGGAATAGATTAGCTACTGGGGGTAGCATTTGTGGTAGCTGGCAGACCTGGGAAAACAGATGGAGACAGGCAGGAAAGGGCCTCCCTAGACCTTGTGGTGGGGTGGGGTCCCTTACAGGAGACCCCAGGGGGGTTCTGGGATGTACAAGAATCCCCTGAGGATTTGGTTCCAGCGCAGATTATGGTGAGCCTACAGTTGGAGTCTCAATGAATCAAAAATAGCTGATGTTCTTTTCACCAAACAATGCTGGGGAGTTGTGGTCTAATTTTTCCCCCAGCCACATAGGAAAGAGGCATGGCAGAATCATTCCGGGGCCCTGAGAATTTCTAACCAGCCACCAGGTACCGCTGCTGCTGGTCAGACAAGCCCGCTCGAAGACTCAGGGCCTCAGTCCTTCTCCCTCCCCCTCAGTCCATCCATCTGTTTACCCTTGCCCTGCCCCACCGCAGACACACTGGGTGGTCTCCTTCCATTGGCTTCACCAAACCTCAAATACCAGAGCCTAGTGCTTGGATGTTTTTGACACAGGGCAGCTGCCTAATGAATATCGTTGAATGGACATTCCTTGAGGACAGGGGTTCTTTCAAACACCAGGGGCTGCCAGAAAGCTGTACACACACAGACATGGCCCCTGCACTAACCGAATGCTGAGCCTTGCTCTGCTCTCCCAGCCCCTGCTCTGTACCTGCTTCCTGTCCTCCGGCTTCTGAAAGAGATGGCGATGCACTCTCTGTCTTTCCCTGCCTGGTGGAGGTGGGTCTACACTCGAGCTCAGCCCAGAAAGTGGGACCCAGACTCCAGGCCTAGCTCAAGAGCAAATTGTCTCATCCTCCCTGCTGTGAACTTGACTAAGGACACCTTAACAATGGTGTCAATATATTCCTGGGGACCTGCCTGTGAAGGCGAAGTTTCAGCTCCAAGGATACCGAAGACGGAATAACCCGAAATCCTGAAATGACTCCCTACCCTCCTTTTGGCCAAGCCCTGGGTTTTCTCCTCCATCAGGCCCTTTCCAGGGACACAGTAGGGACACACTTCCTCCGGGAGGGGTGGGGCCATTGGACAGCACCAAGCAGAAAAGCAGGGGGACACAGGAGACCCTCCCTTGAGCTAAGGGACCTGTCTTGTGAGCACAGAATGTACATGGAGAAGCTCCATTCCTTTAATAGCTCTCCCAGAAGAGTCTGGTCTTAACCAGGGTGACCAGCTAGTCCTGGTTTGTCCAGTCAAGAAAACTAAAGACAGGGAGGTGATTTATGCAAGGCCAGGCAGCAATCAGCAGCAGATCTGGGAAGAAGCGGCCGGGCCACCTGGACCAGGTGATCCGTCAAAGGTTCTGGGAAATGGGGGCTCATGACCGCCCCCTGCAGGCGGTTGGGGAGGCTTGGCGATCCGGCCATCTTGTTACAAAGCCTATGCATCCATCCAGAGGCGGATGTGGAGTACGTGCTCAGTGATAGGCAGCTGTGGCTGCTGTGAGCCAGAAGTCTTAATGAGTCAAGGTATCTCAATGAGCCAGAAATACATGGTGCTCTTTTCACCACACAACGCAGGAGAATTTGGGTCCAACTTCTCCCCCAGCCAAACAGGGAAAAGACACGGCCGAATCATTCCATGGGGCTGGGAGCCCACTGCCTGGGGTCTCCTGCCACCTTCCAGCCATTCCTCTGGCTGGGGAGCCAGTCAGGAGCCCGGCCATTCTTAATGTGGTGGGCTTCCCTGAGAACACTCAGCACAGATGGAAGGTCTCCCAGGTTGTACAGCCTGGGAGTGGGATGGGGGAGTGGGACCGGGGAGAGAGGCAGGGATGGGGCAGCGCTGGACAGGGGGCCTGGAGCCTCCGGAAAAGCCCCACTACCTAAGAGCTGAGCCCCTGGACACTGGGAATTTTATGACCTTCCTCCTTATGTGTTTTCGCCAATTCCAAGGCTGCCTGAAATCTTTTTCTTCAGGGCCTTTAAAAAGCCATTAGTATGATTTTCACCGCCCCCCAACCTGAAAATGGTTTCTGTCATACAGTTGCTCATTGGGTACAAAATATCTGTGGCATCCACTGGAATGCAGGGCTGGCTAGGAGGGGTACCAAAGAAAGTAGGCACAGAGGGGAGAAGTTCCAGAATACTCCAGCCGATGCCCTCTCCGCCCTGCCCCCAGCTCCCTCCCTAAGCCCTCCCCTCACCCGCTTCAGGGAGCCTGGGACCCCTCTCAGGCTCCACCCCTGCCATAGACGTCTCTTAAATTGGCCTGATCGTTGGCGGCCCAGCTGCCTTAGCTCCTTGGCCATTTCCTCCTGCTGACCTTGAAGGGTGAGAACGAGGGGACAACTCTTGACTCACACTGGGCCATGTTTGAGCCACATCTTTCTCAGTTCTATCTTCACACTGCAAGGGGACTTTTGGTGCTGGACGGGTGGGGCTCACCACACTCTGCTCTACCTCCCAGGACTGTGTGACCTCAGGCAGGTCATCGGCTCTCAGCTTCAGCTTCTGCACCTCAAGCCCTTTGTCCTGAGGCCCTGGGTGGTGAAGCTGGGACAGGACAAGGTCACCATGGAAAGCTCCCTTACTCCTGACTAGAGGGACACCCCAGACCTGCCAGTCATGATTTACCAGTGGGCAAACTGGTAGGAACCTTTTTCCAATGTGAGAAAGCACCTCTGAGAAATCAGGTTTTCTTTTCCAATGTTGAATTACCCCAAGAAAAACCAGAGAGAGCTTAGCTTGGGATCCTAGATCATCCAAGCCAGGAAGTCAGTGACAGGCCCTTGGGTGGTGACAGATATGGGGTCGCTGGTCCCGACCGCTCTTTCCTGCCCTGTCCAGCCACTGCTGTTCACCTTGGGCCCTGAACCCGCTTCCCCATTCCCACCCTCCATCTTTCACTGGCTGACCCCTTCCCCTGACTTCCTGGCCCATCGCTTCCCGCTCCCCTTCACCCATTCCGACATCTCCCGCTCTTCTCCACCGGCTTCCTCTCCAGGCCTCTTTTCCAGACTCTGGCTGCTGCCATGGAAACCACTTCCTCCTCCAGGTCCTGACTGATCCACTTAGCCCCTCACTGGTCAGCCTGTTGGACTCAGGCTCTGGGTTCAGGGGTGGGCAGGGGCGGGAGGGCCCAGGGTTCAGAGTGTTTTTCCTACCTTCACCCGACGCCATCCCAGGACTGGCAGGCAGGGGGCGTGGGGCACGTGCTCTTCAGAAAAAGACTCCGTGTGGTGGGGAACCAGGAGCCAGGTGGTTGGCCAAAGGGAAATGAGACCAAAGAAGCTGGGCAGTGAGCAAACTTGGAAGGCTGGGCCCGTGGCTGAGCTCGCCGCCTCCTTCCTATCGTTCGTGATTGCTTTATTTAACAGGAATCTCTGCCTCTGCCTCTCTACTTGGTGGTGGGTGAGAGCTGGCATCAGGAAGGCCCCAAGCCTGTTGGAACCAAGCCTGCCTCCACCAGAAGAGGGAAGACGGGCGTGGAAGGTGGCTGCCTCTGGGTTTCCCGGACTTCCTCAACCTGTTGTTTCTATGATCTTTTTTCAATGAACATGGCTGTGCCCCTACTGTGGGCAAGGTCAGCATCAGGTCCCTCGCCCTTGAGTTCCAGGAGCCGATGCAGGCCTCGTTCATCAGTGTACCAGTGAGAGGTTCACTGAGCACCTCCTGTGTGCGAGACCCTGTGCGAGGCACTGAAAACTGATCTCATTCAATTCTCAGGGAAAGCCTTTTGCAATAAGAACAATAATAGCTAATAACCTCTCTAGACCTTCCCATGGGCCAGAACCACCCAGCTGTAACATGCTGTAGTTGAGTGATCTGGGACAAGTTAATGCCTCAGTTTCCCCATCTGTAAAACTCAATTTCACAACACTCCCATGAAGTAGGTGTTGTTATTGTCACCCGGCCCTCACAGAGGAGGAAACTGAGTCACAGGGATGTTGCTTACAACTTGTTGGCTGAAGTTACTCAACCAGAGAGTGTCAAAGCTGGGTCCTGAACCCTGCAGCCAGGCTCCAGAGCTGATACCTGCTACGGTCCAAATGTCTGTGTCCTCCTCAAATTCAGATATTGAAACCTAATTACCAATGGAATTGTATTAGAAGGAGGGGCTTTTGGGAGGCGATTACGGTGGGATGAGCACCCCCACAAAAGAGGCCCCAGAGAGCTGCCTGGTCTCTTCCAGCATGGGAGGACACAGCCACTTTCTGGCTCATGGGGTGAGAGGGCTCCATGTGCCAAGTAGTGGGCCCCCAGCCAACCTGGAATCTGCCTTGACCTTGGGCTTCCCGGTCTCCAGAGCTGTGAGAAATGAATGTCTATTGTTCATAAACCACCTGGTTTATGGTATTTTATTACAGCTTTCCAAATGGATGAAGACAGTGCCCTTAACTCACAGGCTAGTTGCTGTTTGAGGTGGGTGTAGCACACAGAGAGGCCGAGGCTTCTGCAAGGTCACACAATCAATCAGTGGCAGAACAGAAACAAACTCTTTCAGGCTGGAGAGAGAGTCATAAAGGGCAGGCAGAGTGAGTGGAGGCTCTGGGGTCATCGAGGCATCAGACTGTGGCTCTACAGCAACATGGAGGCCTGGTGCACAACCTGCCTCTGCTTCTGGTGACCAAGGGCAGACCCTTTTGTCTGCAGGGACCATGTTTTCCCTGGAAGCAAACTCCAGCAAGAATGCATCATATGGGTCCCTCCAATATAGGGCCAGAGCCCCCGACGCCAAACTCTTCCACCACAGTTTGACAAAACGATCAGAAAAGAGGTTCAAAGAGATGGTGCTTGACCCCTAGAAAAGCAGGCAGCATGCCAGAGCACTGCAATTCAGAGAGAAAGCTCTGAGCTGACTTGGCCTACCCGCGTGGATGTCAATCAGCCCAGTTTCCTGCAGGGAGAGGGTCCAGGTGAAATATCCTCAAAGCCTGAGATGGACACAGCAGTCAACCGGCATTACATCATTTAGTACCTACAACCACCCATTGAGATCAGAATGATAAACCTCACTGAACAGATTAGGAAACTGAGGCCCAGGGAGGCCAAGCAATTTGTCTGAGGTCACGCAGCTAACTCCTGGAGGAATTGGGCAGGAACTCAAGTCCAGGGGCCCATCAACAAGATAAAATATTTGAGAATGGCTGGAGATCTCTCTCTCACTGTCTGTCTTTTGGGATGGACCAGGGGCAGCTTCAGAGCAGGACCGATGACTCCAGTTGGGCAAAGCAAACCTGAGCATTCCTTGCGAAGCTGTGGTTAGGCCTGGGGCCCCCACAGGAGGCCTTTCCCAACCAGGTCAGCTGATGGATGACCCGGGGCCAAACCTGACTCCCGCCGCTTCATCAAAGCGGAGCTAAAAACAGCTTTGCTTTGGCAGTGGAAAATTGAAACTCCGAGCTTCCTCTTAAGGCTCTTAAACAGGTCAGCCCACCAAAAGCCCAGTCCTTCAATCTGGGTTCTCTTAAAAAGTAGGGCAGGCCAATTATGTTTGACTGTCCTGCGCTACGTGGTGCTGAAGGCGGGGAAGGTCAGGCCAGGGTGCCCAGGGCTGCCAGCAGATGAGAGACAGAGGAGCCAGCCAGCTTCTCCTATCAGCCCCTTTGTCAAAACAAAATTAAAATGCCTGGACTCCTGCTGGCACCAAGATCCGATCCAAGGTAATAGGTATTTATCTTAGCGTGTTCTGCTCTGGGCTCAGTGCCATGGGGAGATGGAAACTAGAAGATATCTTGCTTCCGGTTCTGTCTCTCACACTGAGCACAGTACCCAGCTCTGAGAAGGCAATAGCTATCTGGTCATTCATGCATCCAACATATCGTTACTGAGTACCTACTATGTACCAGGGTCTATCCTAGGTGCTAGGGATACAGCTGTGAACAATAGAAACCAAAACCACTGACCTCATAGAACTCGTATTTTAGTTGAGGGACACAGACGGTAAACAAAGTAACCTTTGAAAAATATAGCAGGTCGGTGATTACAGGTGTATTTAGAAAAAGAAAGACAGGACAGGGATAGGGAGTGCTGGGAGTGGAGGGGGCGCTTCTATTTAAAATTTGAAATTGCTGGGAGGTCAGGGAGGCTTCACTGAGGAGCAAAGTCCTGACAAAGGGGAGACAAGTAACATCTGGTGTAGAATAGATGAAACAAATGCACAATCGCTGAGCTTATATTAAGTACCAAAACTTTGCTAGACATACTTACATTCGTCATCTCCTAGTGAATTCCTTGGAACAACTTAATGAGAGGAACAACAGTACATAAATTTTTAATGAAGTAGCAGAAGCTCAGAGCCAAAGTCAAAGACAAAGTTTCATCTTCACGGGCTTACAGCCTGTGTAAAGAAGTTAAACAATTCAGCAGCTATGCTTCTTTTCATAGTAATAGTTACTATGATAGTTTCCTGGACACATGGTTGCCCAAAATAGAGACTACACTTCCCAGTTACCATTGCAGCAGGTGGCCATGTGACTAAGTTCTGGCAGAGGGATGTAAGTAGGTGTGTTACACACAAATTCCTAAAGGGTTCTTATAGGAGGGGGTGTGTCCTTTTTTTCTTCCTGCTTCCTCCTAGCTGGAATGTAGATGTAATGGCTGGAGCTGGTGCAGCCTTCTTAAACTTTAAGGTGACCTTCAGAATGGAAGCCATGCACAGTGGAACATCAAGAGGGAAGGAGCTTGAGTCCCTGACACCAAGGAGCACCCTCTGTCCTTTAGACAGGCTACCTGGGACTCTTAGGAGAAAGAAAAATAAACTCTTATCTAGTTTAAGACATACTCACTTTGGGTTTTTGTTGCATGGAGCCAAAAGTAGTTCTCACCGATATCATTTCAGACAATACAGAGTGGTGTGGATGGTGAGGGAAGGAAGAGGTCATTCCCTGGTTTAAATCCAGCCATTATTTATGGTGGCTGTTTCCTACAATTTGGGAATAACCGGTATAAAAGCCACATCTTCAGCTTTTTAAAGCAAAGCCAAACGTATAGATTTGTTTGTAAAATCTCCTGGTTTTCAATAATTTGTCATTGATTTAATTAAAAACATAGTTTTAATTAAAAACGTTCAGTGTTAGTCAAATAGAGCGTGTTGACAGGCCGATTCTGGGCTGTGAGTCCCTGGTTTGTAAGCAAGGTCTGGTGAGGAAAGGGCCCCAAAGGAGAGAGTGTGCAAGTCAGTGAGTGAGCTGGGGCCGTCAGGTGCTCAGGGATGATCCTGCCATGGAAGAAGTGGGGTGGCATCCACCTGAATGGGTGAGTGCCCAGTGGGTTCAAATTCCTGGAGTGAGCCCCTTGGATTCTCACCAAGGTCTAAGCAGAAACAGTCCCATTTTGCCAAACGCACGCACACACACACACACACACACACACGCACGCACGCACACGTGCATGCACCCTATCAGTGGAGACAAGGCCTGCAGAAGTGATCTGTGGCTCAGCAAGCTGGTACATTTTAATGGATGCATCACAATCAACCAAAGCCCTCAGTATCTGTCCCTTCTGCCAATTGCCAACAATGTAAGGAGACGTGTTTTTTGATGGTAGTGAGGGCAAGGTGAGAATAAGGAAGGAAATAACTGTCTACCCACCTGCAAATTTGGGACGGGGGGCCAGGGCTTCTTCCTCATTCCCACAGCTGCATCATTTAACAGTTACACTGGCTCAGGAAATGCCAATGGCTGGGTGTGGTGTGGCCCACAATCCTGGTTTGGGAAGAGCCATCTATAGTCACCATGACTACCTGCTGGCTTCTAGGAAGGTCTTTCATTTTGCAGGGAACCTTTCCCATGCATTCTTCAGCCCCCACTGCTAGGGCCTGCATGAATAGCGTGGATGACAAAGACAGTGGGGCATGGACTCTAGAGCCTAGCTGCCCAGCTTTGAATCCTGACTCGCTGCGTGACCTGGAGTAAGTCACTCTACCACTCTGTGTCTCCATCTCCTCACCTTACAATTTGGGGTAATGAGAGTACTTTTCTCATGGGTTGTTGAGAGGATTAAATGAGATAATACACAGAAGGCACTTAGGACGGTGCCTGCCCCGTAGTTAGCACATGTGTGTTTGCTTTGTCATCATGCCATGCATTGGCATTGGTGTTCATGCTTTCTTCCAATCACTCAGCTCTCCTCTGCTGTCTTTTGAGAGGCCTGGGTATGAATGTGGATTCATGGCCATAGACTGAGTGGGGGAAAAGAAAAGGACCAGGAGGTCCCAGGAATGTGGAGCCATTGGGTGCACCAGAGAGAAGGTGCATAGATGCGGCTCTTGACAAACACTCTAGACCAAGCCTCAAGAATCCACATTTTCAAATGATTCCTGGAAGTGCAAGGCTTTGTCCTGGCTCTCAGGTGTGGTTCCCATGGAGAGGAGTGTGGCTTAGTAGCCAGGAGCACAGGTAGTGGCATCCAACAGACTTGGGGTCAAACCTCAGCTCTGCCACTTGAAAACACCGTGACCTTGGGTAGGTTGCTTAACCTCTCTGTGCAATGTCTCTTAATCTGTAAAGTTCAGTATTGTGATGCCTGCCTCACAGGATTGTGGTGAGGAGTGAGGTGGTAGTATGGGAAAAGATGAAATGTGTTTTTTTCTAGCCACAGACCTGGAGTAGAGGAACCACCACTGGTCCTGGAAAAATTAGCATGAACAAAACTAACCACCATTTACTGAGAAGGCTTTGGTTCTAAGCACTTGATCCACACTATCTCTAGCCCTGCCCAAAGCCTAGAGGGGCAGGCACTGGTCAATGAGAAACCTAGGGTACAGTCAGATTACGTGACTCACCCAAGGTCACACAAACAGGGAGTGTTAGAGAGAGATGTCGATCAATTCTGCAAAATAAAACAAAGGGTGGACTCTGTCCTTGAGGTTACCTCCATGAGCCACTCTGTCTACTTGCAGCCCCAGCATTGAGAACATTGCTAGGCATGGATTGGTGTTCAATGTTTATTTGTTGACTAATAATAGATAACACACAGCACTTGGTATGTACCAGGCGCTGTTCCAAGCACTTTACACATATTAGCTCATTATGCCTCTTGCAACCCTGTGCTGCCTATGAGGTAGTATGACTATATTATGTACTATTACTCTCATCCTCATTTTACAGTTGAGGAAACTGAGGCACAGAGAGGTCTAATAAGATGCCCAGAGTTACACAAAAAGAATGGAGATCTCACTATCAATCCAAGAGGTAAAATCAAATCAGGGTCTTATCCGGGAGGAATTGGCATCCCAGAGACAGACTACAGCTGGGACCTAGGGACAGGGGTTGCATTAGGGACCTGCTATGAAATACGGGGGCAGGGGCTTGCACACAAGACAGTAGGAGAATTGTTCACACCAGAGTTCAAGGTTGGATAGAGGATGATACAAAGGAGAGTCCATGCAGAGCCCTGAGCAGGAGTAGGACCCTCTGAGTCCACAAGCAAGGGTTAGGAAGGGGCAGGGCAGCTGTGGTTTCTGGAAGGCCCTGAGGACTGCTCCCTTAACAGCAGGGGAGACTTCCATTCTCCAATAATCAGCTCAAAAACTCATTCCCTCTGGCCTCAGCAGTGGTCAGATTCATGCTGGGGAGGAGGGGACAGGATGACAGCTCTGCTCTGACAGGGCCCAAAGTCTCTGGGGCACCTAACCGCCACCGCTCTGCATCATCGCCTGGCAAAGCCCAGGCCCTGTGAATGGCATGGGCCAAGGACCTCAGTTGGCCTCGTGATGCCTCTGCTTGAGGTTGGCTCTGGGTCTTGGTTTCCCATCAGGGGCTCTGCCTTCCAGAAAGTAAGCTTGAGAGTCAAGCGGGAATACCTGCACTGGAGCATGGCCGGGGCTTTGTGTTTCCAACCTAAAGAACACCAAATGACTTTTCTATGTCAAGCATATGCTGGAGGCTTCTACACAGCATCTCATTAAACCTTCAGCACATCTGTCCATCCATCCATCCACCCATCCATCCATCCACTCACTTCTCATCTCTCCAGCTATCCATCCACTCACCCCCCATCTACCTATCTAGCCATCCACACCTATCCACCACCCATCCATCCATTCATTCACTTCTCATCTTTCCAGCTATCCGTTCACCCACTTACCATCCACTTATCTAGCCATCTATCCATCCACACCTATCCACCATCCATCCATTCACTGTCTACCCATCCATCATCTATCCATTCTCCATCCATCTACCCATCCACCCATCCATCCTACCATCTACCAATCCATCATCCACCTACCATCTGTCCATCCACCCTCTACCCATCCACCCATCCATCCATCCATCCATCCATCCATCATCCATCCACTCATCCAACAATTCTACACTGAGTGTCTAGCATGTGCCACTCAATGGTAGATGGGGTAATTACTAGGAAGATAACAGTGAGCAAGATGAGCATGATTCCTGCCCTGATGGACCTGACTTTCTAGTGTTGCAGACAGGGATGGAATTAACCACCTAAATATGTGTTTAATTAATAGTGTGAGGAGTTCCCAGAGGCATCTGGGGTGCTGGTAGACCTGAGAACAGAAAGATCTGACCAGGCTATACTAGAACGTCAGGAAAAGCTGACCTAGGAAGGGACATGAAAGCAGAGATCAGGAGGAGGAGCAAAACTCTCAGCTCGCTGTTGCATTATCTGCATGCGGCCAAATGAGACCTGCCCTGGAGAGCAGAGATGGGCCGTGGAAATGCTCTCCACTGCTGAGATCCTCTCCTATCCCCGCCCCATCGCCACACTCTCCTCCCTTCACTCCAGCCACAGATCTCTGGAAGCACTGCCTGGCCCTTGTCCCTGCTCTCCCCTCTGCCTGGGATGCTGTCCTCTTATCAACCCCAACTCATGCACCAATCATGATCTCTGATGAACTTCCCAAACCCCTTTCCCTCCTGCACCTCCATCAGCTGGGCCAGGAAGATACCTGTGGCCTCCTGGGACCCCCAGCAAGAGTCCCCATCATTGTACCTGCCGCTGAGCCTGGATGTCATCCGCCCATCCAGCTCTTCCCCTCCTCCTCCCTGCAACCAGGTTTTGAGCCCCTCCCACCGCTCAAGAAATAAATATGTCTCATGGCAGCTTGAAGTCCCAGCAGGCCACTGGTGCAAGTTTTCTGAGAGGTAGGGTAGCACAGTGATGAAGACGAAGGCTTTGGCACGAGACCTCCCTGGCTGGGTCCCAGCTTCACTGCAAGTCACTCTGTGTGGTCTCAGGCAAGTCACTTGCCTTCCCTGATCCCTGGCTCCTTCACTTGCAAAGCAGGGATCATGAGAGGGCGCTCCTTGCAGGCTTATTATGAGGTTTAAGTGAGTTCCTGTAGAGGCCGTAGCAGAGGGCCCGGCCCACGATACCAGTCAAACCCACTCAATTAAAGTAGCACCATTATCATTATTAATTAGGCATGAATCATCTTTATCTATAATGGGCGACCTCCGCTAACCTCAGGGGAGTGAGTCAAATCTCTAAAGCTGGAATCGTGGTAAGAAAGGGGTAGCTAGTCTGGGTTGGAGAAAGAGTCCTGAGACAGACTAGATATTTTCTTTGTTTAAAAAAAAAAAAACCACTGGGCTATGCTTATGAGGAAGGCAGATGCAGGAGAATAGGTTTATCAAGGTGGTTTCAGTTCCACTGTAATTTAAAATAAATAAGTCAATTTAATGTTTATAGAGTGAGTTATGCCTTATTAGGGACACGGTGAGCTGAGAAACTTGGCCAAGGCGAAATTTGAGAAATTGGCCCCGGCCGTGAGAGTAATTACAGCAATGCTTCAGTGTGCAGCCTTGCCCAATGATATTTTCATTCTGTCTAATTTATTAGTTTATTAGCTTTATGGTGGATATAGAAAGTTATATCACAACATGGGCCTAATTTGATCAGAGCCAAATTTTCACGTCTTCCTGAGACGGCTGTAATAAAGGAAAAGACCCCCTGCTTCAAAACTGTTTCCAAGTTTTCCAGAAAGATTCAGGGCAGAGTTCCAGGGCTCTGGGTCCCAGCACTGCAAATCTGAAAGGTGAGAGAGCGCAGTGGCCCAGAGTGCAGGCCAGTTCTAAATACTGGCTCCTCTGCTTTCTAAGTATGTGGACTCAGGCAAGCACTCGGCAGGTCTAGGCCTCAGTTTTCTCATCTGTAAAATGGGAGCAATATTAATCCTTATCCAGGTGGAGATGGAGAGCCCTGTGTAACCAGAGGCAGAATTGCTCACTGCTGTCTCCCTGGAGCCCAGCACAATATCTGGCTCACAGCAGGTATTCAGAAAATGTTAGCACATAATCATCACCAGCCCCCTATCCTGCATACCTTGTGCCAGTTCTAAGAGCTTTATTAACTCATTTAAGCCCCATGAGCCCTCTGCAAGATAGACACTATTATCATCATGTCCATTTTAGAGATGGGGAAACCAAGGCATGGAGAGATGAGTGACTTGCCTAGGATTCCACAGCCAGGAAGCGGCAGAGCTGGGATTCAGAGGCTAGGAGCCTGGCTCCAGGTGGCTCTAACATCTCACTCTTGTCTGAAGTGTTCCTTATGTTTTAGCTTTATTATCCATAGCAGAGACCCAGTTCCATGACTGGTTCCCTGGAAGGGATCCACCTGAGGTGGGGCAAGGGCAAGCCTCTCTCATTTGAAGCCCGAGACCTCCCCGAGTTTCTTCCCCTCCCTCACCTTCCTCCCGGCGGTCCTCCCTGTCCCTCTGCTGGGGCCCTGTCCTCACCGGTCATGCACGGTACCCGGCGGGTCTGCTCGGTCCAACAAATGTTCAGGGCCAGGATCAGCCCTGGATGGTGGGGGTACAGGGATGAGTAAAACGGGGCTCTTGCCCTTCAGGAACTCAGGCCACATTCCTGAGCCCCTGCTGTATGCCAGGCCCTGAAGAGGGAACTAGAGACACAGAAAGAAAGAAGAAGGCAGTCCGTGTTGCAACAAGGTCACTGTCCAACAGAGGAAGCAAACTTGGACATGGTGAGTGATTGTCACAGTGATAACCACAGCTGTGGTATGTAATGCATCCTCCTGCCTCAAAAATGCCCACGTTCAAATCCCTGGAACCTGTCAATGTTTCCTTAGTGGCAGAAGGGGCTTTGCAGGTGTGATTAAGGATTTTGAGATGGGGAAGATTATCCTGGACTACCCACAAGGATCTAATATAATCACAAATGTCCTTATTGGAGGGAGACAGGAGGGTCGGAGCGGGAGGGGATGTGATGATGGCAGCAGAGGCCAGAGCGATGCCATTGCTGAAAGAGGCCACAAGCCAAGGTATGTGGGTGGGCTCTAGAAGCTGCAAAAGGCAAGGAAGCAGACTGTCCCCTGAGCCTCCAGAAGAAGCACAGCCCGATCAACACTTGGATTTTAGCCCAGTGAGACTCATCTCGAAGTTGTGACATCCAGAACTGTAAGATACTAAATTTGTGTTATTTTAAGCCACTAAGTTGGTGGCGATTTGCTACAGAAGCAATAAAAAGCTAACACAACAGTTAACGTTGACTGAGTTCCTACTGGGCTAAAACCTAGCTAAGCACGACCTATCTCAGTGAATCTCCTGACAATTACCCCTGCTCCTGCCAGTAGATGCTATTTTTGTTTTCATTTTGCGGATTCATTTAATTCATTCATTCAACAGATATGCATTGACTGCCTCAGGCAACCTACCAGGTGCTAAAGATGGAGCTGTGATCAGGAGACCAGAGGAAACTTGATTTCTAGTGCAAGAGGGAGACAAGAGATGGGCAAACAAGTGAGGATGCCGTGCCCACCCCTAGGCAGAGATACACGCTACGGAGAAGCAGAAGGAAGGTGAACCTGGTGATGGGGTGGCATTTTGGAGCAGATGGTCAGGGAAGGCCTCTCTGGGGAGGTGACACCTGAGCAGAGACCCAGAGGGACCAGAGGAGGGAGCTGATATTGTTTGGCTGTGTCCCCACACAGATTTCATCTTGAATTGTAGTTCCCATAATTCCCATGTGTTGTGGGAGGGGCCCGGTGGGAAATAATTGAATCATGGGGGCTATTCCCCCCACACTGTTCTCATGGTAGAGAATAAGTCTCACATGATCCGATGGTTTTATAAAGGGAAATCCCTTTCACTTGGCTCTCATTCTCTCTTGTCTGCCACCATGTAAGATGTGCCTTTAGCCTTCTGCCATGATTGTGAGGCCTCCCCAGCCATGTGGAACTGTGAGTCCATTAAATCTCTTTTTCTTTATAAATTACCCAGTCTCGGGTATGTCTTTATTAGCAGCGTGAGAACAGACTAATACAGGAGCCATGTGGACACTGGGCTTCCTCCTGGAACAATCCAGGTAAAGAAATGGATGGCAGAGAGGTGAAGACACTTGTTCACATGGTTTCAAAGACCAGCTCCGCCGCTCCAGAGCCTGCAGCCTTCACTGTCACAGAATGACAGTGGAGTCTGTCCAGAATGACCAAAGTGCAGAGACGAAGCAGAGGGAGGGCCTGCTGAACTTGGCCAGGGCAGATGTGCTTGGGGAGGCTCCTGGGGACAGTGATTAGTCTTATGGATGGGGAGGGGTTTGCCAGGCAGAGGTGGCAGGTGCTGCTTCTGCAATGTCTGGATGGGGAGAGGCATGGTGGACACTTTCAGAAACAGGGAGTCATCCTTGCAGCTGGGTCAAGAGTGGGGGACACACAGGATGTGGGGCACCTGGGGCTCTCATATCCTGCTGGCAGGGATGTGAATGTGTACATGTTCTTTGAAACTGTTAGGCGGTGTTGTAGGGTGAATTGCGCTCCCCACTCCCAAAAGATCTGTTGAATCCTAACCCCTGAGACCTGTGGATGTAACCTGATTTGGAAATAGGGTCTTTGCAGATGTAATCAAGTTAAGATAAAGTCAGGCTGGAGTTGGGTGGGCCCTAATCCAGTGACTGTGTCTTTCTAAGAAGGAAATCTGGACAGAGAGACAGACACACAGCGGGAGAACGCCGTGTGATGATGGAGGTGGAGTTTGGGGTGATGCATCTACAAGCCAACGAATGCCAAGGACTGCTGGCAACCACCAGAAGTGAGGAGAGGCAAGGCATGACTTTTCCTTGGAGCTTTCAGAGGAAGTGTGGCCATGCCAACACCTTGATTTCAGACTTCTAGCCTTGAGAACTGTGAGAGAATACAGTTCTGTTGTTTTAAGCCTCCCAGTTTGTGGCATTTTGTTACAGCAGCCTTGGCAAACAAGCACAGGCAGCATCTCTGAAAGCTGAACATTTGCCTTCCCTGCACCCCACACGTCCTCTCCAAGGGATACCTCCAAGAAAAATGAATGCTTACATTCAAAGCAGCTTTACTTGTCATGGCTCAAAAACTGGAAGCAACAGCTCCAATGCCACTCCACAGGAGAATAGGTAAATAAACTAATAAGGTCCACGCAGTGGAGTACTACGTAGTAATGAAAAAGAACAAGCCACTGCTACGAGCAACCACATAGAGAAATCTCCCTGACATTCTAATAGTCTAAATTAGACTTAAGGAAAAACTAGTCTAAGTTCATACAAAAGTCAGAATAGCACCTCCCTCTTGGTGGAAGGAAACCTCATGAGGGGCTGAGAATGTTTATCTTGACCTGGGCAGCTGTGTGTGCATGGATACCAACTCCTTTATAAAGCCCTTAACTGTGTGTATGTTATATTTTAACATAAAAGGAAAATAAATTGGTAGGGATTCCACAGTAGAGAGCCTGGAAGGCCTCACCAAGGCATCTGTTGGTTCTGTCAGCCTTCATGAGGCTGGGGATGGCGGGGTGTTGAGCAAAGGAGGAGGCACATGCAGCCACAGGCGGGACTGGGGATCTTTAGTGGTGTGTAAAGGGAGCTTATGACAAGTCCAGAGCCCCCTTGGCCCATCAGCAGCTAGAGCAGCTGGCAGGGCCTCCATGCACCCCCCAGGGCCTCGTCGGCTGGCATCACAGTCTGGGTAGGTGGGGGAGAAACAGAGCAGGAGAGCTAATGGTGTGGAGACTCAGTCCAAACTGTCTCTCCCTCCCCTGCTAGCCTCTCCTAATCAGCTCACTCTGCCGGTCCTGCTCCGTTTCCAGCAGCTCCAGCCCTCCCAGGGCACCCTGGTATTTCCTCTGTCAGACCGCAGCACCTCCCTGCTGACTGCTGCCTCCCACACTGGCAGAGGGCAGAGGCAAAAGGAGGCCGGCCCTCAGCAGCGGCTAGAGGCGGTGGAGAGAAGGGTCACCCAGGGTGCAGAGGACTGGGCTCCCTGTCATGGAAAGTGCAGTGCAGGGGCTCAGAGAGGCCCACATTGTCAAAGGGACAGATGTGGGGTTCTCCTGAAATGAACTTCCACGCCAATGGGGAAAGGAGGGGGTGTGGTCTAGTGGAGAAGGGCCAGTACCCTAACCTGACTGCCTGGGTTCAAATCCTGGCTCTGCCCCTTGCCAGGTGCCTAACCTAGGGGAGGGCATTGAAGCTTTTGATGCCTCAGGTTTCTCATCTGTGAAATGGGGTTAACAGTGGCATCCCCTCCATGGCTGAGTTCTCACATGTAAGTGCACTTGGCTTGGCACACAGTAAGCCCTAGACCCGAGTGTGTGTTATTATTAGCAAACAGTGGCATCATTGCCCCTAGGGTGGCTACAGAGATGAAATATGCCTTTATATTTCCTTTCATTCCCCAAAGGGCAATGACAGTAGCATTTCCACTTGGAAGCCCTTTGAGGGCATCAGGCCCACAGACAAACTCCCTACAGCTACCTCCTCCTGTTTCTCAGTGGCTCTGCTCGGGGCAAGCTGGGGGCGGGGAGTATGGGGGTATGCAGTGAGGGGGCTCTCACCCAGCTGGTGGAGCTCTGAGGCAGAGCTGCATCCCCTCCTTGGAGGTAGCAATATGAGTATGGGGACCTGGTGCCACCAGGTGCCAAGTGGCTCCCACTTCCCAGCAGCTCCAGGCTGCACCTGTGAGTGCCCTGGCCTGGGCTTGCCAGGCCCCACTGCCCTGATCTAGCCTGATGCCCGCCTTGAAATCCAGGGTCTCTTCTGCAGGCTGCATAGGTCCTGGGCATGGACTCAGGCTCTGCTGGGCCCACAGGTCTCACAGGTCATCAAGGCCATCCTCCTGCCTTCCCACCACACTCAGGTCAAGCCAGAAAAGGGGGCTCCTGCTGCATGTCTGAGTCTCCTGGGGGAGGTCAGAAGTGGAGGAAGCCCGGGCATGGAACACACATATCCTTGGCTCCCACAGCCCATTCTGGAGCTTGCACACTGTACTATAACTGCCTCATTACATGTCTGTCTGGGCCTCAGTTTTTTAATCTATAAAAATGGGACATGGGGCATGAGCTGCCTCAAGGGGTGTTGTGGAGCTCAAAGAGAGAATCCATGTAAGATATTTAAACCGTACAGGTGCTCTGCAAACCTAAACTCTTTGTGTGTGTGTGTGGAGGGGCTCTGGCTTTTTCTATGACCCAATCATCCCGCCGCACTTGGCCTCTGGTGCATCAGAGGTGCTCACTACGTGTTTGCTGAATGAAGAAATGAACAGGATGTCCAGTGATGTCTCAAGGCCAGAAGGTGGATAGGGCATGGGCTGCACTTGGAAAGGCTGGCCAGGGAGAGGAGCCAAGAAGCGGTCCCCTAGAAGCAGAGGGAGAGGCCAGATCCCCCGTTAATTCTTCTGTTCCCTCCTCACCTCTTTGTGCTGAGCTCTGTGGGAACCGGGGTGAGCGTTTGGCGGTGATGAGGGAGATGTGGACATGGCCCCTCCCTCCAGGAGCCACAGACTAGTAGGAGGAGGGGGACATTCACCAAACCATGGAAGAGAGAGGCTCATGAGGTCACCCAAGGGAGCAGGGTGTCCCTTTAGGGGCCGTTGGGAGGGTCATCTATGATGCGATGACCTTTTCTCCTTAAGATGACGATTGCATTTTATGATGTGACAATTGTTCCATCCAGGAGAATAAGCATGTAAGTTCTGAAGCACAGCATGAGCAAGGGCCTGGGGTCGAGCCCTCCTTTACTTCATGGACTGTGCACGAGATGCTGGCTTAGGCACCCTGAAGATGAGAACCACTACAGCCCTCACCGCAGCTTAGGAGTCAGAATTGTGATTCCTTTTACCAATGAAGGAGCTGAAGCTCTGAGTCCTGCCCAGTGTCACCACTGATAGCTCCCGGCAGAGGCCGACCACAGCTGCCTGTCTGCCCGCACGTGGCCAAGGGTGATGGGGATTGCGCATCCCCTTTTCCCAAGCCTGCTGGAGCACTCACAGGGCAGCGATGGACAGCCTGTGCCCTGTTGCTGAGTTTTCACCCAGCAGGCGGGTTTGAATCCCGGCTCAGCTGCTTGCCTGCTGTGTGACCTTGGGCAAGTCACTTAACCTCTCTGAGCTCCATCTTTTCATCTACAAATAGAAATCATAACAGGACCTGCTTCGTTGTAACATTGTGAGGATAGATGAGTCGATGTGTGTAAAGTTCTTAGAGCAGAGCAGGGCATATGCTAGGAACTTGATAAACATTACTGTGAGCACTGTTATTATTAGTCCTCAGATCTCAGGGCTCTTGCTATATCATCGCTCCCATGGGGGAAGCAGAGGTCCAGGGAAGTTAAATTAAAGTGTTCGAAAGCCCCTGGCAGGGTTGGGGAGGAGGAGGGAGAGTTATGACTGGACTTAGTCCCATGGTCCCCACAAAATACTCAACATGCCCAGGAACATTAACCAAGCAGGGGAAAAAAAAAACAAGACATGGCCAAACAAATGCCCTGTCAAGGAAGGAAATATGTAATCAATTAACTGAGCCTCCCCAAACCTCTCCAAATAATAATTAGGAGTGTCAGCCCAGCTCACAAGGAAATTGCCATTGAGAGGGCAGGCCACTCCCCTGAGAATCCAAATGCGAATACGCAGAACCAATCGGCTGACTGGGTTCCTGGAAGGTGGCAGGTTTTCAGCCCCAGTCCTGGCTGTGCCTGGAGCCTGGTCACCCTGGGGCCTGGTCTATTGCCTGTTTCTCTCAATCGTGCACCGAGGAAGGGGCCGATAAGTGAAGCTGAGGGGGCTTCCCATCATCCAGCACAAACACATTTGTGCATTGGACAAAAAGGAAACTGAGGCTCAGACACATTGTGTGACTGGCCAGCTCACCCTATGGCTCTGTCACAGGATCAGGACTAGAACCCAGGCCTCTCTGCTCAATGCCAGCTGATGGCCCAACAGCCAGGCCCTCTGATCAGGAATTCGCTTATCCGTATATGAAATCTACATTGGCCCCTGACTAGGGAGGGGCTGCCTGGTGCCATTCTGAAAGCTAGGGGGACAGAGGAGGGGCAGGGGGACCAAGTCTTTATCCTCGGGGTGCTTGATATGAGAGGGAAAAAGGAAAATGTATATTCAGATAAATAAATGAGTCTTACTGGGTAGTAATCAATGCTTTAAAAAACAAGCAAACAAATCGGATCAATGGGTTAAGAATGATGGGACACAGGGGTGGGAAATTCTGGGTGGAGGTGAGGCAGTCAGGGAAAGCATCTCTGCAGAGGGACATTTGATCTGACACCAGGGTAGAAGAAGAATGTATCTGGCAGAGAAAAAGCATGAGTAAATGTCCTGAGGTAAGAACAAGCTTGGCGAGAAGGCCAAGGTGTCCGGAAGCTGATGTTTAGGAAGCTGAAGAGGGAGAGGGTAGGAGATGAGGCTGGCCAGGTGGATGGGGCCGAGCATACAGGGTATCCTAGGCCTGATGGGAGACTGGGTTCTATCCCAAGTGAGTGGGAAGCCCATGGAGGGCTTCAAGCAGCAGGTGACCTGATTTCACTTTAGAAAGCTCACTCTGGCTGCTGGGTGGGTGTAGAAGAAACTCAGGTGGCAAGAAGCCATGATGCACAGAGAAAGGACCTAAGTTGTGAGCTGGAAAGAAAACTATAGCTCTTAGCTGGACATGAGGAAGGCTGGCCCCTGTCTTAGCTCCATCGCTACTGGGATATGTGACCTCAAGCAAGTTACTCAATGTGTCCGATCATCTCCTTCCTTTCTGTAAAATGAGGACGGCTTCCCTGCCCTGCAGCTTTGTGCAGTGTTGCTTCATTATCTCAGTTGAAGTCTGTTATTTGCAAATAGAGGCAATGGTACATATTTTGTACAAATGGCCCAATGGTCCACCAACTTTTATTTCTGTCATTTCTATCAATGGCAAGTTTTAGATGACTTCTTTTCCTTGACTAAGATTTAGGTCTGCAAAAACCTGATGATTCATCTGGAAGCTCATCCATCCATCCATCCATCTATCCATCATCCATCCATCCATCCATAATCCATCCATCCATCCATCCATCCATCCATCATCCATCCATCCATTCATAATCCATCCATCCATTCATCCATCCATCCATCCATCCATCATCCATCCATCCATCCATCTGTCATCCATGCATGCATGCATCCATCCATCCATAATCCATCCATCTATCCATCCATCATCCATCCATTATCCATCCATCCATCCATGCATCCATCCATCCGTCCATGCATCTATCCATCTATCCATGCATCCATCCATCCATCATCCATCCATCCATTATCTATCCATGCATCCATCCATCTATCCATTCATCCATCCACCCATCCACCATCCATGCATCCATCCATCGATTCATCCATCGTCCATCCATCCATTATCCATTCATCCATCCATCCATCCATCCATCCCCTTCCCTATCTCTTATTGAGTGCTTACTGTGACCTCAGGCAAGTCTCTTAACCACTCATCTTCTGCCCTCTCTCAGCCTTACTTTCCCAGGAACTTCAGGCTCACCAGACCTTCCCGATCATCCTCAATTCCACCTAACCCTCACTCCCTGAAACACAGTTATCTTCCAAGGCAAAGATTCTCCCAGAACTGGGAATTTTATTAGATTGCCATAATATATTAAAGAAGGTTTGAAGCACCTGGAGCAAATTCTAATGTGAAGAAATACCACGGCAACAAATACTTTATTCTGAACTGTTTACTAAATTGGGTCTTTCCTGGACATTTTTAGCCTTCAATTTTTTTAAATACCAGCAATAAAGCACTTGCATAATTAGTAATAAAGCTGACAGCCTGGTTACTGATTTTTTACTTAGAAGAAGGAAAAGGATAATGTGTGTGTGTGTGTGTATGTGTGTGTGTGTGTGTGTGTATGTGTGTGTGTAGATAATTTCCAACAGCTCTGGTTTCCTGACTGCAGACATAGAAATGATTTGCCATATCAGCAATTCTGCCCAGCAGGCTGCAGGTCAGGGGGAAGCTGCATTGAGCACTGTGGAATGGAAACAGTTCTCCTTTAGGAGTCAGAAGTTGACTTTTGATTCTGCGGCTGGCTTGCTGTGTGACCTTACGGAAGTCATCCACAGTCTCTGGGCCTTGGTTTCTCAGGTGGAGAATGAGAGGATTGGCCTGGGTGATGTCTGAAGGCTGCCAGCAGATCTGTCCCGAGTCTGGAGGGGATGGTGGCTTTAAGTGGCATCCGTGTGTTGGTGGCTCCCATATTTGTATCTGTGGTCACAACTTCTCCCCCGCCCTGTGTTTCCACCAACCTACTTGCTGGCTGTGCTCAGGCATCTAACAGACATGTCTAATCTGATTCAAACAACTCGTGAGTTCTGTCCTACACCCTCAGCCAGAGCAAGTCTTCATCAGTCACCTCTTCTCAGGAAGGAGCCCCTCTCCTCCCAAATGCAATGGCTATGGCCCTAGGGGCCACGTTTAACTTCTCTCTCACTTTCTGGTGTCCCCCTTCCAGCCCATCAGCGAGTGCTGCCAGGTCTGCTTCCTAATTCATCCCCATTTCTTCTCTCCACCTCCGCCTGTCCAGCCCCATCACACCCCACCCCAATCTCCCTGCTTCATCATTTGGCAGTGTAAAACTCAAACCGAGGTCAATTTCAATGACTCCTCATCACTCTAAGAATACAATTCAAGTTCTCTCTAATGACCAAGGATGTTCTATAACAGTGGTCCTCAAACTCACCTGCAGATTGGATGATTTAATACATGGATGCCTGTGTCCCTCACCCTTGCTGACCATATCCAACCTCTTCCTGGCAGAGCCCCACTGCCTCCCCACCTCTCTCTGTGTTGCTAGCATAGCCCTGGGAATGTCAGCTCCATGGGGACAGAGAACTTACCTGTCCTGCTCATCTCTGTCTCCCGATGTCTACAGTTAATAAACAAACACTTCTAAAAGGACGAATGAATAATTAAGTCAAGCCCTTACTTGAGGTGCTTGAAACATGCCAAAGTGCATTCAACATCGGAACTAACTTCCCATTACTCCCCCCAGGGTGCTTCCTGGCACTGGGCTACAATTCCTGATGGCTGATTCTGGGTGAAGATGCTGTCTCTGGAAGGCCCCTGATCAAGGCAAGCCACTACCCAGAGGTGGGAACAGGTGACCCCAGTGCCCCCACCCTATTCCATGAGCATAGGGCTCAGCCTCCTCAGCTGGGGAGGCTGCCGGGGGAGGAAAATTCTGCCTTAACGGGGAGCTCTCAGCTCTTGTGCAAGTCGCTTCTCTTCTCTGGGCTGCACCTGAGCCCCCTAAATAGAGTCTGAGATCTGCACTGCACAGGATGGTTGCTAGGGTTTGATCAAACAATGGGTGGGGAAGAGTTTTGCTGAAATCATAATTCCATATTTGGATAACCTGACAGCCCATTAATTTAACGAGCCTTTCCTGAGACCCGTTGCTGGGCACTGAGAACCTAGAGATGAATAAGGGAGGGTCCCTAGCCTTGAGAAACAAGACCCATCCTTGGTGGTTGGGGGCCCCAGGCAAGACGCCCCCCACCAAATCCGACCCCCAGCCCCCAAGTTGCCATACCCTAGTGCATCACCAGAGGGCAGCAGACAGCTTTGCAAGTGCTTCCCTCCCTGGGGAGCTAGGCTGGTGTCAGAAGGGTGTGTTCTGGGAGTTCCAGTGGCCTCCTTGTGGGTCCAAGGTCAAATAGAGAGTGGGGGAAGGTAGGTAGAGAACTCAGTGGCAGCTGTGGATGCAACAGGGATCATCTCAATTCCCTGCCTCAAATGTCTTCACTAACCCAAGACCCAACCAAGGAGAAATACCCCTGACCCTCCTTCTAAATTGGAAACGGGAGCCTCCTTGAAGTTCCAGGGGCCTCTGGGGCATCAAGATCTGGAGTCTGTGTTGCAGGGGAGATTTGAGGACCACAGAGGGACTCCTAGCCAAGAGATGCAAGAATGCATGGGGAGAGAGGGAATGAAAACACCGTGCAAGCCTGTGTGCACAGGATGGCAGGAAAAGGGCACCGCAATAGGAAGTGGGCTCTTGGAAAGGGGGGAGAGAAAGAAGAGAAGAATATCATTCTAAAAAGGAAAATCAAAGACTGAAAGTCAAGGAACAAGAGGAGAAGAGTGTCCACCTTCAGTAACAGGAGGTGGAGAGAGTTAGGGAGATGGTGCCGGTCCTCTGTGGAGCTTGCTCCTATGCATGAGGTAGGAGCCATGGAGAAGAATCAGCCCTGCCCTGTCTGGGCTGCTCATGGCCTTGGTGGAGACAGTAGACATGCGAGTGGACAGGTGGGAGCCAGCAGGAGAAGGCTAAAGTGGAATGCATGGGGCGCTCCCTGGGCACAGCAGGCAGGTTCAATTCTGCCACTGGGGAGAGGGTTGGGGAGGGCTGCTGCGTCAAGCTGAGCATTGGAGCTTGGGCCTGGAGCACCTTTGGGCTTTGAAAAGGCAGAGAAGGCCAGGCAGCCCCTGAAGAAGGAGAGAAGAAGTGGGAACCTGAGAGGTCAATGCCGGTATGGGGGAGGCAGTGAGAAGGTGCCAGGGGCAGGGGAAGATGGGGAGCAGGGGAGTGTGCCCAGCTCCATGGGGACTGAGGCGGAGCATTTGAAACACATTAGGTTAAACAGATTTCTCCTCTAGTCAATGGAATTGATGCTACCAGCCAAGAGAGCAGAGAAAATGCAGGGCACTGGCTTCCCAGGTCCCTCTCCCAGAGCCAAGAGTAGGCATCACTTGCTCTCCCTGGCTGTGGCATCCAGGGGCCTGGGACTGCCAAGCTGTGGCTCTTTTTAAGGTGATGACTGATCCTGGCAACTTTCTACTTGGAGGGACCAAGCATCCTGGGTAGATCCTCTGTGTACACACGCACATGTGTGTAGGGGTGGAGAGACAAGCTCACGTGTCAGTCTCCCCTACTAAGTGACCTGGCACAGGGTGGGCATCAATTACTGTTTGTTGGGGCTGGGCACAGTGGCTCATGCCTGTAATCCCAGCACTTTGGAGGCCAAGGCGGGTGCATCACTTGAGGTCAGGAGTTCGAGATCAGCTTGACCAACATGGTGAAACCCTGTCTCTGCTAAAAATACAAAAAATTGGCCAGGTGTGGTGGTGGGTGCCTGTAATCCCAGCTACTCGGGAGGCTGAGGCAGGAGAATCTCTTAAACCTGGGAGGCAGAGGTTGCAGCGAGCTGAGATCGTGCCAGTGCACTCCAGCCTGGGCGACAGAGCAAGACTGTGTCTCAAAAACAAACAAACAAACAAACAAACAAACAAACAAAACAATTACCATTTGTTGGATGACCTGCTCACCATGCTCCATGGCCCAGGGGCCCCACAAGTGGACCTGGCTCCAATGGCCCATGGAGTGCCACAGCTTGGGCGTTAACCCAGGCTTCCCACTGCACGACCTGCTTGACCTTGGACAAGTGACCATTCCTCTCGTTCTTCCATGTCAGCATCTGAATAACAGGATTCAATGAGTCTGAGATCTGTGCTCCACAGGTTAAACCAGATGATGGGTTGGGAAAGAGTTTTGCTAACTGTTTGAAATGATAATTCCACATTGGAATACAACCCTTCAGCCCATTGATTCGACAAATCTTTACGGAGGCCCTGGGCATCTATCCCAGGAGCTGGGCTGAGCATGGAGGACCCAGAGATGAAGAAGGGAGGGTCCTAGTCAGAGAGATGAGAACCAGGGAGGAAGGCTGAGAGCAGATTCCTGCAGTCTGAGCGGAGCGTTGCTCTGGGACCTGACAAAGGGGGGCCCCCCTTTCCTAATTAGAGCTCTGGGGGTAGGAGGCCTGGGATTGGGTCCAGTGGAACTTCTAGCTGGAAAGCATGCGCACACTCTATCTCTGGGGAGAGTGTCATGGCCAGGGAGCTACAGAAAGAGCATCTTGCTCCTGGCCTTCCCTTTGGCCTGCAGGCAAGGCCTCACTTCCTGAGGAGTTTAGCCCAGGGTCTGGCCAATGAGTGCACCACACATGCCAGCTATTATTGCTTTGCTAATGACTGGCAGCCCAGGTATGCGGGCAGCTCAAGCTCCAGGGCTGGCTGGTGCCTGTGAGTTCACTCTGGCCTCAGGGAATGGACTCTTAGGTCACTGGCTGGCCTGGCTATTTCATCATCTTCAATTAAAAGTGGTCTGGCTTTAGGGGCCTTAGAATAACCACCTGTTGGCAGATAGGGACCAGCAACAATTAGAATTATCTATGCCTTGGTGCCGGCCATTGAATTCTTTGACCCCAGTGTGCACATCCGAGCAGGTGGATGGGATTGTGTGAAGCGGGCTTTCCAAATCTCACTGCCCATATCTTAACCTGGAAGACTTTTTAGCAAATGAATTCCAGGTTCCCCAGGTCTTGCTCTGGGCTTGAATCAAATTCTGTCTTGGTGGAGCTCAGCAATTGGTATTTTAAAGCAACTTCCAAGGTGATCCTGATGCAGGCAGTCAGTGAGCTGGCCTGTGGTATAGACACCACCAGTGGGTGGCTTGTTGCTCAGTTGATATGTAATTTTATATTTATTTATTATTCTAGAGAAGAAGTCTCACTATTTTGCCCAGTGTGGTTTTGAACTCCTGAGCTCAAGTGATCCTCCCACCTCAGCCTCCCAAGGTGCTAGATTACAGGCATGAGCCACTGGCCAGTTGATGGGAAATTTAAGGCTGCTGAAGGCTGCTGAGCATCCCCCTAGTGGCTGGGAGGAGACCTGCAACCCTGTCTTCTAAAATCACCCCTGATTTTGAGAGGGGGACCAGGTTCCCACTTGGGGTGGAAAGCCAGGGGCTTTCAATTCTAATGCTAAGAGGCATAATCTGTTAAAAACAATAAAATAAACAATTCCACTCTCTCTCATTCACACTCCTGGATGAACTCTGGGTGGGAGAGAGAGGAACGGGTTTCCAGCAGGTCAGGAACTGAGCGTATTCTTGGAGAGTTAGTTTCATAAGGGCAGGGCCTGTGTTTGTTGTTGCTGAGTGCCTGGCAACAACAACGTGTGTTTGCTGAGTGGTCAAAAGAATCAATAAATGAATGACCACTTCATGTGGCAAGCAGCACCTGTTAGGTATATTTTAGAGAAAGAAGACGTATGCTTCATGAAAATATACAGAGGGAGAAGGGAGCTGGAGAATTCAGACTTTGAAATCAACGAGGGTCAGATGGCACTTTTCTTTGTATCAACTGTAAAAAAAGAGTTTGGTCTCCACATGAATAGATTGTAGAAGGATCATTTAACTTTTCAAAGGGAAACAAACCCCTCTGCTCTTTGAACCAAACAGTTAATGTGCCTATTTAAAAATCAATCCCTTATTTTTTTCATTTGAACAGATTCCAGAGAGCTTCCGCTTAGAAGCCATTGTCTGCCCATAGAGTGGTCTTGCCACTACTTGGTCAATTTCCTCTTGCCATGCCTTTGCACACATGGGGCCCTCTGACCAGAGAATCAGCTCCCAGCTCCTCTTTGTCTAAAACCCACTGATGCCTCTAGAACCACTTCAAATGCCAGCATCACCCTGATTTCCCCAGTCTCTGCATCTCTGATTCATCATTGTATTATATCTGAATCTTCTCTATGACAGCGATCACTTTATTACTTGAATTGTTAGCTATTTATCTCGTGTTTTATCTCCCCTTTCTCTCTTTTCATTCCACAAATATTTATTGTTCCTTTCTAAATGCCAAGTAGGTCCTGGGGTTACTGAGATGAAGAAGATATAGCTGAGCCTTGGAGGAGCTTATAGGCCAACGGGCGTGAAGGGAGAGGAACAGGCTGTAAGCTCCGAAGAGGCAGGGGCTGATTTTAGCCACTTTTGTGCACCGTAGCTATGTGCCTCAAATGCAGCCAACGCTTATTGTGCACTGTTGAGTGTACATGTGAACCGATGCACCTCAGAGTAATAAAGGAAGTGGCATTTCTTCCAGCGCCCTGCATTCTCAGCCTCTTTTTTTCATTTACTCCAGCTCTCCCGAGTCTCCCTCCTGATAAACATACATCAAAAGGTGCAGCCCAGCATTGGCTTTCTCTACATGGCCCCCAGGTCCACCCTGCCCCGCCCAGCTGTTCCCCACCACCTGTGGCTTTCAGGATGCTTCAGGAAATGGAAGACACAGCATGTGTGTGGGAGGAGTGGTTGAAGCCTCGCTGTGATTCACCCGGACCTCCAAGGAAGTCACAGCTGCCCTCTGGGATGGCCACATTCCATGGGGAGGGGCTTCAGGACACGCTACCTCAAATACGGCACCTTGGTATATTGAATACTTTATACCTGGAAGTCAGATTCCAGGCTCCTCTGTGGACGGCTTTGTCTTCGTTCCCTGGCACTTCCAACCCACCCTCTCTACCCAGGAACTAAGGTGAGCTTGACAAACCGCATATCAGAGCATGCCATACCCTTCAGCAGCTTCTAGGGCACAGAGAGTGAACGTCAGCTGACCTCCCCATTCACTGTGCTCTGGTGGCAATGGCCCTCTGTCAGCTCCCAGATCACACCAAGCTCTTTCTCACCCCAGGACCTTTGCACTTGCCATGTCGTCTACCTGGAGTGCCCTCCCAAGCCCCAACCTTGCCTGGCTGGCTTCTTATACTACAGATCTGTGCTCAGATGTCTCCAGATTCCTGGAGATACATTCCAGGTATCTCCTATGAGGAGCTGTGCAATGCCCTCACTCCATTATTCTCACCCCTCTCTATCACATTTCAGTTGGCCTTCCGGATCCATGGGTTCAGAATCTGCAGATCCAACCAACCGTGGACCAAAAATATTCAGAGAAAAAAAATAATAATGCAACAATATAAATAATACAAATAAAAATATAGTATAACAATGATTTACCTAGCATTTACATGATAGTAAGTATTATAAGTAATCTAGAGATGCTTTAAAGGATCCAGGTGGATGTGCGTGGGTGATGTGCAGATGCTGTGCCATTTTATATGTGGGACTTGAGAATCCTAGGATTGTGGTATCTGCTTGGGGGTGTCCTGGAACCAATCCCTCATGGATCCTGAGGGACAGTTGTACCTTATTCCCTTCACCACACTCATCACACACTGTAACTGTTTTTCCTTATTATTTTAAAGGCATTTTTGTAGTGTGTCTCTCCTCACCCACTAGATCAGAAACCTCCCGAAAGCAGGTCTGATTATGTCTTGTTCACCACTTTATCTCCATCATTGTCCCTGATATATGGTAACTACTCAATTCCTTTGTGATGAATGAATGATGTGAGTGTTGGGGGAAGGAACGGGGGCCTGGATGTTCCTTTCCTAAGGTGTCTTGTTCATCCACCCCAGCAGCAAGTGTTGCATTGAAAGGACTCCACCACCATGTTCACCACGAACTCATTCACCCCACAGATATTTACAAATCATCTACCACATGCCCAGGGTTGGGTGCTGTCCTGGGGGTTGGGGAGAGGATGGTGGTGAAAACATCAGACCTAGTCCCTGTCCTCATGGGGCTTCCAGTCTAGTGGGGGGGCGGGCAGACTCTGAAGACATAGCATCAGTCGGTGAGCTTGAGCAGTTGGGGCTGACTTCCTGTAGGAAGCAACCTTTAAGCTGAACTTGAAAGGACAAGTAGGACCTTGTTGGCAAAGAGCATTGGCCAAGGTGTTGGAGGGATCTGCAATAGCAGGTCGGGGGCAGGAATACACTGAGCCCCTCGAATCTAGATTCCCTGCACCAGTGAATTAAGGCCAGTGAAATCTGTCCAGTGTTCCTCATCGCTTCCTGAGCAGATCGAATGGGACAAGGGCCTCAGGGTGCTTCAGGAAATGGAAGACACAGCATGTGTGTGGGCGGAGTGGTTGAAGCCTCACTGTGATTCACTTGGACCTCCAAGGAGGTCACAGCTGCCCTCTGGAATGGCCACATTCCATGGGGAGGGGGTTCAGGACACGCCACCTCAAATTTGGCACCTTGGTATATTGAATATTTTAAGCAGATGGAATTTGAGAAATGGCAGGCGCAGGAAGGACTCTCTGACCTTTCCCTGAAGCAGGTCACAAGACCTTCACGTGAGAGGTTCCCTCTCTGTACCTGGAGGAAGGCAGCATCTTCACTTCCAAGGGATCTGAACAAGCCACCCTGCTGAGTGTCCCCAGTTTACTGCCCTTAGCTCAGGTCCTTCTATCCTTCACACTTTCCCATGACTCCCCACCCTTCATCCAACCCAGCAAAAAACACTCAGCTAGAACCACTTCTGTGGGTCTTCATTTCCTTATAAAATCTCCTGCATCACCTAAAACGTATACAAACTAGACTTGTATCCTTTTGTCTTGTGAATTCGTCTTTTGCTACCGGGGACCCAGCCAAGAACCTAGAAGGGTGGAATGAAGAGTAGACCTTGAAACAAGGATTTAGGAGGAAAGGGTTTATGTGAGAAGGGGTCCCAGGAAGCTGATGGAATGAGCTAGAAGGGAAGGAAGCCAATACGGGTGCCTTCTCAAGGTTATTCTGGGGGGTCACTGAGAAACTCCGGGAGAGAGTTGACAGCATTCATCCCATAGTTTCTCAATGTCCCCCCTTCTTATCCCATTTTCTAATTTTACCTATTAGGAAACACCCCCAAGGGGCCAAGGAGCATACCCAGAACTGCCCGCTCATTTTGCACATTTCATTATGCACCCACTGTGTGCCAGGCCCTGGGCTGAGAGCTGGGCATACGAGGTGAAGGAGGAGCTTGTACTTTGTCCTCCTGAGCATGCATCTGAACTGTCCCCCTGGAGGGACGAGGGGGCTGGGTATGCACCCAATAAACAGTCATTGGTCAAGGCTGCTCCCGGGGTGGCGTCAACTCCCCGGCACTTCTCACCTTTCTCATGTGCAGGCTGAGTGGTCTCCAGTGCCCTGAGAAAGCCCTGTGGAAGCACCAAGGATGCTGGCACTGCCAGGAAGAGCGAGGGGTAAGAGGAAGTGGGCAGGGTGGGATAACTGTCGGCCACATCTGCCTCCTCCCTTTCACAGAGGGCTCCTTCCTGCCCTCAGTTCTCCACCCAAGTGCCACCTTCCTCGATGGCCCTGCCTGACCACCCATCTAAATGGCACCCAGCATCTCATTCCTTCCCGGTACTGCACCCCACTTGCCCCTTCATTACACGCCCATGGTTTAGAATCACTTCTTTGCAGAATGTGGAATGATGTATTCATCTACATTTTGCCATGTCTCTCCGACTAGATTGCAAAGCCGTGCTTTTCTCATTCCCCCTGTATCCCTGGGCACCTTCCACCAAGCCAAGGTCCTAGTAGGTGCTCAACTAAATAGCCTTGGAGGGAATACATTCTTGTCAATTCCAACCTGGGAGTTCTGGGCTCTGGGGCTAAGACCTAGAAAAGCATTTGATAGATGTGCCTCTGGGACGCTCTATCCAGAGAGGCAGTGATCTGTCCAAGGTCATACAACCAGGGATACACACCTGCACCCCCTGGGGGCAGAAGTCCTGATGATCCACCCGACTTCCATCCCTCCAGGGCCCCATCAGTGGGACAAAAAGCTCCAGGAGTCCTTGGGGCTCCTCTAGGCTACCCGCGAAATTGCTCTCAGCCAATTCTTGGTAATCTTCTCAGTCTCATTCTCTCCCTACTTTCCCCAGCTGAAGAGGAAACGGCTCAGACAGCTGTGGAGCTGGGACTCTCTCTCGTTGAGATGCATTAATTTGTAAATATCTTCATTTATATGTAAATGCGGAGTCCCGCGCCCCGTCGCCAGCCCTGATGGGGCTCTGCAGCCTGAAGAGGCAGTCGCCCCCAGCATGGCTGGTTGGGAGGGCTGACAATCCTCCGTGATCCCGTTAGGCTCCAGAGGGTCTGCTCCTTCCTTCCCTCTCCCTTGGTGGTCACCAAACAGGACGGCTCAGCTCCCTGGGGTGTTCTTTGCTTGGGAGACCGCCCCTGTTACTGAGGCTCAGGGAGATTGGCCCCCATGTGGGGAAGAAAAGAGCACTGGCTCCTGATATCAGGCTTAAGTCAGGGCCGCTGTGTGACCTCAGGCAAGCCTCATTCCCTCTCTGGGCCTTGGCTTCCACAACTGAAAAGCAAGGGGTCTGGTCAAGTTCATGTCATTCCAGAGGGAGACTGTTGGGCCTGCTGAACTTTGACCTCTTCTGTAGTAAGAACAGGGCTAGAGAAAATGATTAATAATAATAATACCTGCCTGCATTCATGGGGTTGTTTGTGCAGATCAAAACAGAAAGCGCATAAAAGGAGGCTTTATGAGATTTGTAAAAAGGTGAATTTTTTTTGTTTTGTTTTATGGTGGGAGAAGGAGAGGTTGTTCTAGGCAATGGCAGCAAACATGTACCACTTAGAGGCCGGAAACCAGCACTTCACTTGAATGCACGCCATCAGCTCCTCACAACTTGCAGCTAGCCTCTTAGTGCTGTCATGTTACTTTGGAGGTCAGGAAACTCAACTGTGGGGTTACCAGCCCCAGATTTCACTAATGCCAGGATGTGGAAGAGGCAGGATTTGAACTCAGGCTGTTGGACATAAATTTCACTGAAATTCCACAATTGTACAAAGCCTGTCATGTCAAGTCTGCTCTACAGGCGAAGGACCTGAAGCAGAGAGAGAGAGAGGTTAAGGCTCTCATCCCAGGTCATACAGTAGGCAGAGACTGAGCTGGGATTTTCATCTGGGTCTTCTGGTAGCAGGGCTTGCCCTTGAGGCTCCAGGAAGCAGGAGAGGGTGGTGCTCAGGAATGTTCTAGATGGTCCCTGGGTTTCTTTCTTAGCTAGAAATCAGAACCAAGGAGTCCTAGAGGCCTTGCTGGTGGCAGCGGGTGGCTTGGTGAGGAAAGAATTCTCAGAGACACAGTGACCGGCAGGGGTGGGCTGGGTGGCATTAGGCTTCTGGGAGTCGTGGAGATTATTTGGGAGTTCACTTACTACAAAACCATCTGTGGTTTCCAGAATAGCTATTTTCTCCAAAATGAATTTTTATCTCCTTTTTCATCTTGATTGTAACTGGCTTGTTTTAGGTGTGCTTTAATATTTTAAGGCACCATAATTTCTTTTTGGAAGCAGGTTCAGGAGAAATCATAACTAGGGGGATGAAGGAGTTTGTGCGGCTGTTCACACACCTCTTCACACACCTTCACGTCCACATTCTCAGCATGGTCCTGGCACAGAGCCCAGAGAGGACGAGGACCCAGCCGGGCCGCCTGGGGAGCACACTCACCTTCCCATTTTTACAAAAGCAGGCAGAGGAGGATGCCTGGGTCAGATTCTTGATGCAGGGTTGGACTTACCCTTTACAATCTTCTTGTCCCGCTTTCTAATTTCACCCAATAGAAAACAGGCCTGAAGGGCTGAGGAGTGTAGCCTGAGTTGTCCACTCATTTTGCAAATTTCATTATGTACCCACTGTGTGCCAGGCCCTGGGCTGAGAGCTGGGGATGCAAGGTGAAGGAGGAGCATGTGCCTTGTCCTCCTGGAGCTCACGGTCACAGAGACCCACAGCCCGTGCTGGAGAGTACGGCTTCCCCCTCCTCCAGGCTCAGTCTAAAGACAACACAGTACCAGGCACTAGCTGAGACATCCACATAGCATGGTGCCACAGTGCACATCATGTGGGCTTGCCGGGGCTGCAGTCCCCCTCACGGTACCCGATGCAGCACGGTCCCCCTCCAGCTTTGGAGCAGACCACTACTTTCAGGCTGGGCACCTGGCAAAGCATTTGGCGGTGTGGCGTGGAAGAGTGTGTGTGTGCAAAGCTGTGCACTCTTCATGAATGCAGTGAGATTCCCTCTGAGGAGGGGTGGGTACTGGGGCAGTTGCAGCCGACCAGCTTTGGGGGATCAGTTCAGCTAAGGTGAGGGCTCCCATGGGTGGAATTGCTGGAGTGGGGTTCTGAAGGCTGATGAGGAGTTTACCAGATGACCGAAGGGAGAAAGGCCCTTTGAGAAGAGGGACCGGTGTGTGTTAAGGGTCAAAGGGATAAAACAGGACTAGGATCTTGTAGGGAGTTTGTGGGAAGGAGATAGAGCCACACACATAGAGAACAGCAGGCTCTGGAAGATCGAGTCAGCTTGATTCTGCCACCCGCCTCCTGGAAAACAGGGATGGGGTAGGAAAATCAAGCATCTCCGACTTGAGCACTGCTCCTTCCCACCCTGCTGCTTCTGACCTGGGAGTCCAGTTGCTTGGGGTCATTCTCTCTTAAGCTCGGGGCCCTTATGGCCTTGGAGCACACAAAAAACAGTAGAATGTGGTGTTTGAGCTTCCAAGCCGGGCAGAACTGCTTCACCGCCCAGCGGTGTCATTGTTGCCTGTGTGACTTTAGGCCCATTGCTCCCCCTCTCTGGGCCTCAGTATCTCACTTGGAAATAAATGGAGTTTGGAATACCCACCTTCCAGGACTGTTGGAGGAGCTGGCAGAGGAGGCCAGTCAGAAGAGCGGTGGCCTGGCCCTCTCCTGCCTCTTCCCTCCAGGGGATGTCCCTCCAGGGAATGGGTCCCACTTCCATAAGGGGAGCCCCCAGTTCTGCCTTCCAAGCCCAAGAGCACCGAGGGATTGATGTGAAAGGGCTGGAGAACTGCCCTCTGCCCCACTCCCCATCCCTCCGCCCTTCCCCCGCTGTCGGCCCGCCACCCCCAGGCACTCACCTCACAGTGGACTGGTACACCAGGTCCTCTCGCTTGCGGTAGTTCTCCATGTGTGAGTAGTTGGTGGAGAACATGGCGTCGAAGGTGAAGATCTTTTGCTTGATGGTGCCACCATCCGTCACCTGCCACAGAGCACAGAGATAGCCACACGTGAGTGCTCAACCGGCCCTGGTCACCCCTTTCCCCAGGACACTGACAAGATGCAGGCAGGAAGCCCAGAAGAAGGACAGCCCCCATCCTGAGAATAAGGTAATAACCGAGGGCTTCCTGGAGGCAGCGATGTTTTAAGTTGCCTCCTGAAGGAAGAGTAGGAGCCAGCCTGGCAACGGGTGGGAGTTTTCTAGGCAAAGGGAACAGCAAAGGCCCTGCGGCAGGAAAGAGCAGTGTGCGCTCAGGGGAAGCTTGCTGCCTTCACAGCACCTGGAGAAGAAAGGAAGTGGGATGAGAAGAGGCTGCGAAGAAAAATGTGGGCCAGATCATGGAGGGTCTCCACAGCAAAGGAGCTCAGCTTCTCCTGAAGGCGGTGGTCCCCGGGGCCAGGATTAGATTAGATTTACAAGCTCCTCTGGCTATAGATTGAGGATGAATCGAAAGGGGCAAGACTAGAGGCAGGGAGCCCGGGAGGAGGCCAGGAATCCAACATCCCGGCACGGGCGATGCAGACGGGGACAGCGTGGGGCACTTGCCCTCGTCTTGGGATGGGCCAGGAGAGAGGACATGAAGTCCCCATTTCACCTAAGAATGCGGAAGTGGGAGAAGGCAGGGAGGTGGCGATGAAGCCAGCGCTGGAAGCCCAAGGCTGCCGGGCTGTCCCGCTGTTCATGGCTGATGGAAAGCGAACCCAAGCGTCCGTGCCCTCAGCTGCCGCCCGCCTGCTTCCCCACATCTGCGCTGCCTCCAGCTAATGAAAGTGTTACTCCACGAAGCAGCAAGGTATGTGTTGTCACTGTTTCAATTATTTATCTGTTTACTCGGCTGCAGTTTTTCCGCTTGTCTCAGCAACTCTATTATAGACTGGGAGCTTGCAGCCTCTCGCAGCTCAGCTGGGCTCTGCGCTAACAGCCTGCAATGGGGAGGCCTCATGCCTGGGCCTAGAGAAGTGGAATTAGCTCCCTGCGGCTCTGTGTGGTGGAGGCAGCGGGGAAAGGGGCAGGGAGGGGGCTGGCTAGGGACGGGTGACTCCAAGGGGCTGGGGTAGGGGGGATGCTGAAAGCAGCTTCCCCAGGCAAAAAGGTGAGGATTGGAGTGTGAATCTGTCCCCCTGTCACCTGCCTGGGAGTACTGGCCCTAGACACAGCTGGGCTCCTCTGGACACATATGTACCCAAGCTGACTTGGACCACATCTCTCTGACCTAGGTGGTGTTGCTACTGGTTTAGGAGAGACTCCGTGCATCTGGCCAGCACTGGTTGAGCAACCAGCTGTGTGCAGACACAGGCTACGTCTGTGCCAGTCACTTTCCATAGCCTGCAAGCTTTGTAAAGAGTAAGGTGGCCTCTGTGAGGACGGGGGATGGTTAGAATCATGAGAAGGCCTTCGCAGGCTCTGGGACCCTGAGAGGAAGCGGCAGTGAGACTTCCCAGGGCACGGCTTCTCCTTACCCCTCCGTAAGCCCACACCCCTCCTATCTCTGTCGGGACTTAGCGACATGTACACGCGTCACTTTCTTCCCCTCTGAGGGCTTGGCGCTTTCTGACCATGTGCAGAGGGGAGACAGAGGACCACTTCCTCCCACCTGGCTGCTTCTGCAGCACAGGCCCAGCTTCTGAAACGGGACCATGAGAGTGGAGGAAGATGAGGAGGACGGGGACAGGAGGATTCTCCTCTCCTCTTGGGATCCCTGCTGGCACTCACCCCAAGAAAGATGCTCACCCCAACCAACCACACCTTGACTCTGCGTCCACTGTCATCACCCAGAAGAATGTCCCTGAGTTGACTGTGTCCAGCTTGGCATGGGGTGGAGAAGAGAGTTGGCTGTACTTGGGATCAGAGCTTCCATCTCCCCACATCCCAATGTCCCAGCCTGGGGTAGAGGCCAAGACCCTCCAGGGGCTCCCCATTCTCCATGCACCCTCTTCCCATCCCCGCCTCACCCATTTGACTTTTTTACAGCCACCAAAGTACCTTTAAAGCAGGGCCTTTTCACTTGGGGGGTGATTTTGCTCACCCTAACCACCAGGGGACATACAGCAAGCTCAGGAGACATTTTTGGTTGTCACAACTGGGGAGGAGAGGTGCGGTTTGGTAGGTACCAGTGTCTAGCTGATAGAGGCTAGGAAGCTGCTGACCATTCCACTATGTCCAGGACAGCCCCTTGCCCCCCTCCCAAGAATTATCTGGCCCCCAAATGTCAACAGTGCCCAGGTGGAGAAACCCAGTTTTAAGCCCATCACATTGTGTGGCTGTACCAGGTCCCTGGGAACAGAGCCGAATAGACAAGAATGTTCCCATTTTGCAGGTAAAGAAACTGAGGCTTGGAGAGGCAAAATGATTCGGCTGAGGCCCCACACTAGGTTCCTGACAAGCGTCTGGCTTCTGGACCAGAGTTCACATCCCATCCCATCAGGCTGGAAGAGACTGCGGGTGAACTGAATGCCTCTCAACGTCCCTTTCCACCCCTGGTGGCCAGGCTCATTAGGAGAAAGGATGTCAGAATCTCAGTGGAGGTGTGAGGATTTTTCTCCCAAAGTCATAAAGCGGAAGGCATCCTGCCTGTTTAACTGGCAGCCCGTCTTCTGGCCTCACCTCCCTTCAGGTACTGCTTTTTTATCTCCTCCTAAAATGCGGCAGCCCTTATCGTCCCAATCTCAAATTTCACTCCATTTTTTTTATTACACAAAAGAGAAAAAAATCTGTCAGTAAAACTGTCTCCTCAAATTTATTCGCCGAGACTGAGGGTTTTATTACGAGGAAAATACACCCACACCCCACACATCCACACACATACCCACACACCCCAGATAAAGCACTGAAGAATTATCCGAGTCGTAAATCTCTGTTTCAGGCTGAGGGACAGGGGAGTTTCAAGGACGAGACTAGTTTTCCTTTGGTTTTATTTACATCTGTTTCTCTGGGGCTGTGTCAGGGCCTCACTGTCAGCCAGAGGAGTAAATAACTGCTTCTGTGAAACCTGCTTCAGGCAGCTGGAGACAAGTGCTTATCTCAGCTGCAGGGTGAGGGATCTGGAGGGCAGGCCCCACTGTCCCAGCTGTCTGTGGTACACACTCCTTCCTCCCTCAGCCTCTCGGAAGGCAAAGGAAATGGGAGGCTCAGACACGCTCAGGTGGGGCCAGCGGGCTAGCAGCTATTTGCAAGGATGTTATTCTGTGGTTCCTGGTGGTTAGAGGGCCCAAGAAAGAGGCCAGGTGGGAGTTGGGGATTATTAGTACAGGCTGTGGACAGAAGGTGTGGTGGGTGTGCTGGAAGACACCTCGCCTTTAATTCTAGAAACATTTCTCCACGCCTGAGACATACAGGGGCAGTTGCAGCCTCACGGCCGAGAAGGAAATACATTTCAGACATGGTTGCAGCCCATTACGACCTTATTCACAAGAGGTACACAGTCCACAATTAGCTGAGGTTCCAGAGTCAGTAAGATGATGGCTGCAGCAGCAACAGGTAATTACCAAGTGTTATCCAATGATGTTCTGACACTTCTGAAGGAGCCAAGAATCCCCTTGGAGGGAAGGGTGATCATGGAAGGCTTCCTGGAGGAAGTAGGCCCTTTTCAGGGAGTGCTTGGTCCTAGGCTGGCTCTTTCTGTCTATGGGAGGCTTTGGAGCATGAAGCAAGGCTGATTTCCTCCATCCCCAGTTGAATGTTTGATTTCGGTTCCTAATTTTGTGCTCTGAAGAAGTCATTCCACCTCCCCTAGTCTCAGTTTCCTCATCTGTGAAATGGGGATAAGGCAACGTTCCTCCCTATGAGGATTACATGAGCCTTGTAGAGTCCCTGGTGGGTGGGAAGTGCTCACTCATGGGGTATTTTCACGAGCACTCACACCTTTCTGGACCATCTGTTTTTCTGTGTCCCTCCCCACCCTCCAGGGCTCTTTCTGTCTATGGGGCTGGAGAGCAAAGCATCTCTTGCTAAAATGCCAGAGGATGTGGAATTCAGTAAATGAAAGAAGGGAGCCCACACCCAGAGAGGGAGGCAGGTGGAAGGTGCCAGAAGGCTGGGTTGTGTCTATAAGGAGTGGGGTGCAGAGAGCAGGGACCGAGAATTTGCTAGTAGTCATCGTAGCAGCTTCAAAACAAAGTGCAGGGATGCCCTGAGTGAGTACCTGGAGGCAGGCAGGTCTCATGGGCTCTGAGAGGCTCCCATGGTGCCAGTGGGTAGGGACCACGAGGCCAGGGCCGACCGACAACCACAGAGGTGACAAGGCAGACAAGGTAAGCCAAGCCCTGTGGATGTGTGGGTTTGCCTGGCCCCAGAGCGAGAGGCACTTCTGAAATGAATGATTTCATTCACTCCATATTCAACAGACTTTTGATGAACAAACACACAGGTCCTTGAATATGAGCTACTCCTAGAACATAAGCTCTATGAGGATGGGTGGATTTTTTTTTTGTTTTGTTTGTTTGTTTGTTTGTTTGAGACAGAGTCTCGCTCTGTCACCAACCTGGAGTGTAGTGGCACGATCTCAGCTCACTGCAAGCTCCGCCTCCCAGGTTCACACCATTCTCCTGCCTCAGCCTCCCAAGTAGTTGAGACTACAGGCACCTGCCACCACGCCTAGCTAATTTTTTGTATTTTTATTTTTATTTTTATTTATTTTTATTTATTTATTTATTTTATTTTTTTTTTTTGAGACGGAGTCTCGCTCTGTCGCCCAGGCTGGAGTGCAGTGGCGCGATCTCGGCTCACTGCAAGCTCCGCCTCCCGGGTTCACGCCATTCTCCTGCCTCAGCCTCCCAAGTAGCTGGGACTACAGGTGCCCGCCACTACGCCCGGCTAATTTTTTGTATTTTTAGTAGAGACGGGGTTTCACCGTTTTAGCCGGGATGGTCTCGATCTCCTGACCTCGTGATCCGCCCGCCTCGGCCTCCCAAAGTGCTGGGATTACAGGCGTGAGCCACTGTGCCTGGCCGAAGATGGGGTCTTTATCTGTCCTGTCCATTGCTCTGTTTCCAGAATTTAGCAAATGGCACTCGCTCGATAAATATCTGCTGGATGAGTCAATGAGTGAATGAATGAGTTGAGACCTTACCATGTGCCAGGCACTGGGAATACCATGAAGAAAAGGGAAAAGGCCCTTGCTGCTCTGCGATACAGACTGGCCCCAGGACAGCCTGCTGTGCCTGGACCCTGATCTGTCTGGGACTCCCTGGTAAGAGTAGCCTGGCCCAGGCGGGACAGTGGCCTCAGACCACCTCCGATGTGAGGCTCCAAAAGGAACCAGCAGGCTTTCTCTTTCTTAAAGCTCCCAGCATTAATGATATTCTGTGCAGGAAAACATCCTAACTCTGCAAAGCGTACACCTGGACCAGACAGAAGAGGCTGTGCACGTAGTTATGCAAAAGAATCTGCATCCTAACCAGTGCCTACACAGGCTGAGTGTCCCCCAGCCCTCCCTTCCATTGTTCCTTGGAATCTCAGGACTGTAAGCTCCAAGAGCCCTGTATCCCAGAGCCTAGCACAGTGCCTGGCATACGAAGGGATGTTGAATAAGTGAACTATACCAAGAGACGTGTGTCATGATCCCCATTTGCAGACAGGAACCACGGCCAAGAAAGAGGCAAGTGAACTGCCCAAGGTCACACATGTATTATACTTGTAATAGTAAACAGCAGAGCTGACCGCTCAGCATGGATGAGTCCAAAAGAAGGGAGCAGAAGACCTACTTTGAGGTTGGGGATATGGGAAATGTGCAGAGGCTTTTGGGGTCACACAGCTCTGGAATCAGATCCCAGCTCTGCCACTCAGTTGATTGCTGGGTGAGGTTGGAGGGTTCTGTGTGCCTGTTTCCTCATCTGCAAAACGGGAAGGATCATGCCTCCCTGTAAGGCACACGTGTGAGAATTCAGTGCGTAAGAGTGAACACACAGAGAGCCCAGGGGATTGCTTGGCATGCGGTAATAATAGCATGACGGGAATAACAATAGCTGGCATACATTGGCGCCTACCCTGTGCCAGATATTGCTTGCAAACATCACCTCCTGTCATCGTAACAGAAAGTGCTCCATCATATTAGCTATTGCGTATTTTTCTTAAGTCCGAAGTAGGGAGGTTGGTCAGGGTGGGTGGACTGCAATGATGGCAGCAGACCGTAACATGGGTTCTTAAGAACAGGTGTCTCTTTTCTTCCCCATGCTGAGAGCATCTCAGCCAGGAATTCCCCCAAATGACCAGCTACACTGTGTAGAAGTTTCTGAGAGGCAGAGAGCTAGGTTCTAAGTCCCAAAGGTTGTCTCTGCACTGTTCCTCTCTCTGGGACCCAGTTTCCCTAAATGTTCCATGAGGAAACTGAGGACTCTTTGCTGCCCTGAATGCCCGCAGTGTTCTGATTCTAGAAGAGTCAGCCTAGAGACCACAGTTTCTCATGCTCCAGAGCTGCCAGACCCCACCTCTGGGCCCTGACTGCCCCCTGACCCCAACCAGCAAATCTAGGCTGCAGCCAGGCCAGGTTGCTTTTCAAGTAGAGTCATCAAAGCGTGGCCGGTGGACTTAGTCCAGCCAGCAGTGTGAGAGCCCGCTGACCGGCCTGGCTGTTTAATTTGAAAAACAAATAAGTCTCCAACTTCGGCTGCCTCACCAATGTCCCTGGGTGCTGTCATCCGAAAAAGAAAAAAAAAAAAAAGAAAAGGGGAAAATATCACCTCCCCCCACCTTCCCAACCTCCTTCTCTTTGTTTTCCACAAAACCAATTACAGGTTGGAAATAGCTGTAATAAACTTGATATCCCACTTATGGGCCAATCCCGCCACGGCTGGAAAGTGTAATAGTGGCAGAGAGTGAAAACTGCTGGTGTATTTTGCCGGCTGTTTAAATTGCCTGTCTACATTATCCCAACTCCTCTCCAGCCAGGAAGGAATTTGCTCTCCTGGAAATGGAGCAGCTGAGGTCTCTGTGTCCAGGCAGCCGAGAGAGTGTTTGCAAGGAGGGTTTTAATGAACTGATTAGATATAGAGGAGTGGATGGCACCTGGGATCTTGTGTCAGCCCAGCACAGCTTCCAATCCCAGCCCAGGCAAGAGGTGCTCCCTGGCTGTAAACAGCCTAAGGCGATACCTGCCTTTCATGGTAGTTAGGGGAAAAGGGCATTAAATTAGATAATGCAAGAGACAATGAGGGCTAGAAAGGGACTCAGTTTTACTGTGGGTGCTTCACTCCCTGGCTCTGGGTTCTCAGGCAAGTCACTGATTGTTTCTAAGCCTCAGTTTCCTCATCTGTAACGCGAGGGATATTAAACAAACTCACACCCCAGAGTTGTGAGAAATACTAAAAGAAACAAACATATGTAAAAGCATCTTGCAAAATGCAAAGGCAAGTGGACACTGCTGTTAGTGTGAATTTATTGCTCAGCTTCTAGACTGTGGGAGGTGATGAGCAAATCTAGAAACTTCTGCCATGCAACTATCAAGTGGGAGTCCTTGCCCATCTCACTTGATCCCAGGAGCCTAGCATGGGAACCGGCACGTAGTACATGCTCAATGTGCATTTGTGGAATGAACCAATGAGTCAGTGAAGGAAGGAACGGACTTCCTGTTCACTTAAGCAGATCTGCCGCCATCCCACCCACTCAGAAAGTATGCCTAGAAAGCGCCCTGCAAGGCTGGGCACAAAGATGGCACTAGACCAAGTCAACCTCAGGCTAGAGCTTGAGTCCACTGGTGCCTTTGTGAGTTTGTCTATTGCTTGAGGTCCTTTCAGGAGCTGTGCTTGGTGCTGGGAGTATGGCTGTAAACAAAGCAGATGAGGACAGTGAGAAAACTGACTCATCTCTTCTAAATTTCTGAAACGTGTGGTTTCCGACTCCTGCAGTGGAGCCTGAAGCCCAGGGTGGGACTTCATTTTGTTCAATGTTGCATCCCCGATTATAGAACGGAGTCTGGTACTTAGAAGACTCCTTTTCAACATTTTTTTTTATAGGAATGAACATCATTTTTTCTTTTGGATGCAAAACCCATGGCCAGAGAAGGGATGCCATTTGCCCTGATTCCCAGTTAGGAGGTGGTGAAATGGAGAGCTTTGAACATGGGTCTGATTCCAAAGTCCAGACAGGAAGTGGCTCAGGTAGTAGAGTTGGCTTTAGTTTCGGGCAGGGGGGCAAGAAAGGGAGTAGGTATTCTAGGGAGAGGAAAACCAGGGCAGGGGTGTTGAGGGAAGAGGTGAGGGGAATGAAGGCGGAGAGGAAGCCTGGGAGAATGATTCAGCCGCCTGGCCGCCTGCTGTGTAGGGGGAGGGGCACAGGGTTCTTCCCTTTCTTGTTGCCATAACGACCCTGGACCACTCTTCCCCTAAACCTCCCTGCCCACCTGTTCTCCACCCTGAAACCGCTCTTGCAGTTCCTAGGCCTGGGAGCTGGGCCAGAGAAGCAGCCTCAGAGAGGGTAGGGCAGGCTCTGTCCTCCCCAAGGGGGCCTGGGGGAAGAGGATACCAGATGCCCAAAGACAAGAAGAGGCAGAAAATCCTCATGTCAGGTGCCACTCACCTCTCTGGGCAGTCCCTGCTCTCCCTTGTGGGCCCCGGTTTCTGGCAGGGCTGGGCTCAAGGTAATTGGCTTCCCCTGGTGTGTGTGGGAGATCCGGTTTTGACAGAGACAGCTGGTGTCATAAATTGCCTGTCTCATCCGGTTACCGTGCGATGGCAGACAGCAGCTCAGAGATGGGCCTGGGGGCTGGGGGGAGAGTGGCAGGGAGGAGAGCGGCTGCAGCTTCTTTGTAGGACCCACACTCCACATGTGGGCAGGTGCTCCTGCAAGTGTGAGGAGGTGTGTGCCACTGGTGTGAGCTGGGACCCCATCCTGCGTGGGTGAGCCTGCTGTGAACAAGGAAGCCTGTGTTCAACGGAGTATGGGTGTGCATCTGTGCATCCGTAGGGATGACTGTACAAATAGGTGTGTTTCCAGGCTGCCTACGAGGCTGTACATGTGTGTGAAAGGCAAAGTAATAATGAGAATGTTCATGCGTAGTTTTAGATGTTAGCACAGGGAAGACCAGGAGGTCTCACAGGGAGTGTAAGAGAGTGTATGCAGGCATTTTCAGGGCTGCGTGTCAGTTTGTGGACTTACGGTGTTGTGCATGCACAATGCCTGCACCCACAGCTGTAAGTGCAATTATATACCCTGCTCCTCACTCCGGGAAAGGGTGTGTGTTTGTGTGTGTGTGTGTGTGTGTGTGTGTGTGTGTGTGTATGTAAGGGGATGAGTTTTTGGCAAATGTAAGGTTGTATCTCCCTTGCCATTTCCCATGCCCAGATAGGCACCCACCAGTCGAATACAAAGCCCACAGTCACGACCCAAACACCTGAGCCCCCCAAACTCTATCAGACACATGCATGGGAGCTCTGAGACCTCCTTCTCCACCTCCCATGCAGCACCCCGCTCCCGCTTCATGCTTTAGGGGCTAGCAGACAGGAAGCAGGGGAAATAGAAAGGGCCTCAGATAGATGCCAGACATTCGAACTTCAGTGCACAGTGGAATCACCTGGGCCAGAGTGGGGGTGGGGTTTGAAAATGTCAGTTTCCCCGGAAGCCCATCCTGGAGGTTCCAACTCAGTGACTTCTGAATGCAGTCCTTATTCTGCATTTTTAACAAGCGTCATCAGGTCATTTGGACACAGGGGTCAGGAACCACAACCGGATACACAGTCCGGAACCCCCAGGCCCACTCCTCACCAGGGTCTCTTTGCAGCTTTCCCAGGGGGCCATCAACTGCTGGACCCTTGGTGCCCTAGGAGGTCATTCAGAGCAGGAGCGCCCTTGACTGTCCCATTTAGGGCTCTCATTTTACACAAGGCAAAGCCAAGGCCCAAAGAGGGGAGGGGCATGCCCAGGGTCACAGAGGGAGGAGTCCGCAGAGCTGGGAGCCAGGCTCTTTGCTCCGAAGCACACCCTCTTTCCACCACACCCCCAAATCCAGATGCTTGGAATCCAGACCCTAAAAGCACAGGTTCACCGAGGGCTGAACAGCTGCAGCACCTGAGATACTCAGGTCCCTCCTCCAGACCAGGTGATCATGTCCAGCTCCTCGCTGCCTCCTCCCTGCCTCCCGACAAGTATGCTCTTGGAAAATCCCAGCATTAGAGACAGGGTTCAGGGTCACATGGCTTGCCCCTAAAGAGAGGGGCTCGGGGGCTCTTTCCCAGTTTAACAAATGCCCTCCCCTCTTGTGTTCTGGAAGGAGTGGGCTGAGGAGGAAGGAGGAGGGACTTATTCAGCCACCTGTGTCTCCATGACAGCCACTCTTTTTTTTTTTTTTTTTGAGACAGAGTCTCACTCTGTTGCTGAGGCTGGAGTGCAGCGGCACCATGTCAGCTCACTGCAACCTCCGTCTCCTGAGTTCAAGCAATTCTCCTGCCTCAACCTCCAGAGTAGCTGGGATTACAGGTGCCCACCACCACGACTGGCTAGTTTTTATATTTTTTTTAGTAGAGACCTCAGGGTTTCACTATGTTGGCCAGGCTGGTCTCGAACTCCTGACCTCAGGGTGATGCACCCACCTCGCCTCCCAAAGTGTTGGGATTACAGGCATGAGCCACCATGCCCGGCAGAAAGCCACTCTTCACTACACACCCTCGGTGTGCATTCCTGTAACCCCAGTGACCTCAGCTTCCCATTCTTTCACTCACCTGTTCATTCATTCATTCATTCACTCACCTGTTCATTCATTCATTCACTTGCCTGTTCATTCATTCATTCATTCATTCGTTCATTTCTTCATTCATAAACACCTCCTGCAGGCCAGGCCTGTGGACAGAGGGGTCATCAGGGAGTTCACAGAATGGGTGAGGTGGAGGTTGGGGTCAGGAGAGAAACATTAGCAGCAGGTGCTCGCTCAGCAGCAGGCTGCTGACATGGAGTGGAAATGGCACTGGCGTGCAGGCCGGGGAGCTCTGCCAGGGAGGGTCCAGGGCAGGCCCTGCCCAGAAGGGGACCCTGAGCCCTGCTTTGGAGGTTGAAGCAGAGCCTTCGGGGCAGACAGGAGGAGATCATGGGGGTCCCCAGGCATCAACAAGAAGGCAAGGCTTGGGTAGAGAGTGAGGGGGGTTCAGGACAAGTTCTGGGGGTGCTGTGTAGAAGGGCCTGGTGTGGGAGGGTCATGGCTCACACATGTGGAGTCTGGGTTTGGTAGTGGTTAGGCTCTGGAGTCAGACCTCTAGGTTCAAGTCAATTTGAGATCTCCTATCTCCCTGTCTCAGTCTCCTTACCTGTAAAATGAGGATAGCAATAGCACCACCATCTAGGGTGGAGGATGAATCGGGTTCTTCCCTATAAAGTGCTTAGAAGGTGTCTTTCACATAGTACACATGCTATAACTGAGTGCTGTTAGCTGTAAAATGCTAATAATGCATATTATTATTACTATTATTTTATTGGAGGGAAATGGAGAGCCATTGAAGGCTTCAAACAGGAGAGTGATCAGCTCCATTGGTATCAGAGAAATCCCCCTGGCTGCAGTGTGAACAGTAGAACTAGTGGCAATTGGGAAGAGGCATTGGGTTGGAGAGAAGAGACCACTTTTCCAGCCCCTCTTTCAGGGCTGCAAACTTGATTTTTGGATCCCACCAGTCAACAGGGCAGGTGTGGGGGGCGGGAGCATGGCAGAGTCCTATCTGATCCCAGTATCTGTGTACCTGTGTGTGAGGTTCTGGCCCACATCCCCTGCCTGTGACACCCCCTACAAGGTCTCCCCATGGTCATGCTCAGCACTCAGTCCCCGTGTCACCCCCCGGGCTGCCGGTCAGTGGGCACACCTGTGTAGACAGGTTGTGTCCAGCAAGGGCTCATCATGGGACAGATGCCCAGCTTGTACCAGTCTGGCTGACCAATGCAGTCAGAAGGGGCTGCCAGTCCTCGGAGAGGGCCCTTGCTGTGCCAATCTGCCTGGCCCACCCCACTTAGCAGGCGCTGTGCACAATTGGGCCTGTGTCAGCATGATCGGCCGCCGGCAGACCCGTGGCAGATCAGTGGCCTGCGCCAGCCTGCCCACCTGCTAAACGAGGGGCGGGTGCACCGGCAAACATTGCTAGGCTGGCATATCCTGTCTGCTGTAATTAACACATGGCATCAGGGCAGCCCAGCCCAGTGAAGCCTGTCTGTCCATCTGCCGGCTGTTCCTGGGAATCAGCACTTTACCACGAGCTCCAGCAGCCAGTTGGAGAGGAAGAACACTGAGCTGGGAGCTAGAAGACCTGGGCCCCATCTCTGCTCAGCCACTCACTGGTAGCGGATGCTGGGAAATTTGCATTCCCTCTCTGGGCCTTGGCTCCCCCATCTGTTAAATGGGGCCCAGGGGATGGCTGATTGCTAAGTTCTCTTCCTGCTGTTCTATGGGGGTGGCGTTAACACTAGGCAAATTCTGGGTGGCAGAATTCTACACTTGAGGGGTTACGATAGAGCATATGCAGGCCCTACTCATTGCTTCCTTCATTCCACAAAGAGTTACTGTGTCCCCACTATGTGCCAGAGATATTGCCATGAATTAGACAATGTCCCTCTTCTCCTAGAATCCACATTCTACTGTCAGGAGCCATATACCTTAAATTAAGGAAGATGGAAGAGATGTATCAGCTAGAGAGAATTGCCATGCAGACATTAACATAGGGTGATGGCTACAAGAGATGGGTGGCCAGGGGAGGGCAGCCTCAGAAGGTCACATGTAAGCTGAGATCCAAATGAGGAGGTGGGGCCCCGCTTGCTTAGAAGAATCAAGTTGCTTCCTGCCACGTCCCCATGGGCTCCTCTTTATTCACTGCTTCTCGTTTGATCCCAGGGTTGCCCGTCTGGGTAGTGCTGTCTGCATTTGACAGATGAGGCTCAGAGACAAGCCCTAGCTTAGTTCTATAGCTTCATGTTTTCTTCCCCCAACATTTGATTACGAACATTTCCCAACATGCAGGAAAGTGTAAAAATCTTTAAGGCAAACACCCATATACCCATTACCTGGCTTCCACAATTAAAATGTGAACATGGGCTGGGTGCAGTGGCTCGTGCCTGTAATCCCAGCACTTTTGGAGGCCGAGGCAGGCAGATTGCTTGAGCGAAGGAGTTTGAGATCAGCCTGGGCAACATGGTGAAACCCCATCTCTACAAAAAATATCAGAAAATTAGCCAGGCATGGTGGTATGTGCCTGTAGTCCCAGCTACTCAGGAGGCTGCAGTGGAAGGATTTCCTGAGCCCAGGAAGTTGAGGCTGTAATAAGCCAAGATCTCGCCACTGTACTCCAGCCTGGGTGACAGGACAAGACCCTGTCTCAAAACAAACAAACAAACAAACAAACAAACAAACAAACAAAAAAAACCTTACACCTGTAATCCCAGCACTTTGGGAGGCCGAGGCAGGCAGATCACTTAAGGTTAGGAGTTCGAGACCAGCCTGGTTAACATGGTGAAACCCCATCTCTACTAAAAATACAAACATTAGCCAGGTGTGTTGGGGGGGCGCCTGTAATCCCAGCTACTCAGGAGGCTGAGGCATGAGAATTGCTTGAACCTGGGAGTCAGAGGTTGCAGTGAGCTGAGATCGCGCCACTGCCCTCCAGCCTGGGCAACAGAGTGAGACTCTGTCTCAAAATAAAATAAATAAATAAATAAATAAATAAATAAATAAATAAATAAATGAATGCAGCCATGTTTGCTTTATCATATCTCCCCCCACCCTCCATTCATCCCTCTCGATGCAGCCACACAGCCTTATTTATTCGATGCCTTCCAAAGTGAGCTGCAGACACCTGTACAGTTTACTCCTAAACCTTCTATTTAGAGTTCAATATTTATTTACAATTCCTTTTCTTTTGAGGTCAAATTTACACACAATGAATTGCACAAATCTCAAGAGTACCACTCAGGGTTCTTTTTGAGTTTTGGCAAATGCGTGCACCAGTGTAAGCTGAGCCCTTCTCAGGATGCAGAACACTACCATTACTCCAGAAAATTCCCTCCGCTCCTTCCCAGCCAAACCTCACCCGAGAGATGATCGTTATTCTAATCTGTTTGTCACATTTTATCCTGTTCTAGAATTTCGTATCAACGAATTATACGGTACGTAGATTCCAGGGAAGGCTCTTTTCTCCCAGCATAATATTTTTTAGATCCACCCCTGCTGTGTGTGTACCATGGTTTATTCCTTTTAATCACTGAGTAGTATTCCATGTCAAGGAGACGCTATGTTTGTTAAGCTGTTCTTTTGTTAAAAGGCACCTGGACAGTTTCCAGTTGGGCTCTGCTATGCTTCAAGCTGCTAAGAACATTCTTGCACAAGTTTTCTTTTTTTTAAAAAAAGTCACGTTTTCATTTCTCTTGCTACTGCTTTGTTTGACAAAGGGTCAGTCCAATCCAACAAGGGTTCCCTGAGCACCTACTATGTGTCAGCCCCTGTGCTAGACACAGAGGTGAGTGAGTCTCAGCTAGGGCGGGGGAGTTTGGCCTCTGAAGGCCCCACGCAGGCACAGAGCATCAGAGTGTACAGGAGGGCCTGTCAGGACCAAGTGCTCCGTGCCTGGCACTGTATTTCATCCTTGCAACCACCCCACGGGATTCACGTTATGGCCCCAATCTTCAAAGGAGGCAACCGAGGCCAGAGTGATGGAGTGATCGGCCTGAGACAAGAGGCAGGAGCTGGGCCTCAAACTTGGGGTGACCCCAGCCTTTGTCCTGCACGATGCAGGGGTGACATCTTTTCTTTGTTCTGCACAATGCAGAAGCAACAGCCCAGGGAGGCCAGGCGATCTATTCAAGGCCACCAGGCAGTACGGTGACAAGAACACAGGCCCCTGGGTCTCTCAGTCCTGTCTCTTTCCCCAACACCATCTTGGAGACTTCAGAAAAGGTCTACACATTTGTTGAACCAGCATTTATTTCCAGAAATTGGGCTGGGAGAGATGAGTTATATAAAAGTTCTGATAATTTGTATGTATGAGTGTCCTTGTGTGTGGCCCATCTGACTGGTCCCATGCACCTGTTAGTCCAGGACCACCAAACGATGGCCCCAGGAGCCAAGGAGAGAGCCCCTGGCAGGCAGCGGGAAGGGTGGGACCAGTGTTGAGACAGGGAGTCTATGCAGGTCCAAGTCATCTAATTAAAAACAGAAACCCCAGTGTAGATCAAATTAACACAATCTGCAGGACAAATTTGGCCCCAGACAATGGCTTGTGACCCCAGCTCTCAGCAAATGAAGAAGGTGATGATAATGAGAGGAAGGAATGTGTGGTAGATGAAAGATGGCACATATTCTTTGAGATTCCTGCATTAGAGATGGCGGGGGTCGGGGGGTCTACGATCTCTCCCTTTGAAACTAGACATGTTTGGAGACTGCTTTGACCAATAGAATTGGCGGACGTGGCAGACGTGTGCCAATCTCCAAGCCCAAGCCTTAGGGGCTGGAAGCTTTCATTCAGGGCTCTGGGAACAAGTACATCCTGAGCTGCTGCTTAAGACATCCCATTGTGGTGCTAGAGAGGCCACCTGGAGAAGGAGGGGGACCTTGCTGAGCCAGCCTTCTAGCCATGCCTGCAGGTGGGTAAAGCTGCCTTGACCCCTGCAGACCAGATCAGCCGCCCACTGAATACTACCCAGTGATCCCAGCAGACACCAGGGGAAGCATTAGAATTGCTCAGCCAGAACAGTGGTCAACTTCTTGCCAAGGAGGAGCCCTGTTCAGCACCCACCTTTGCAAGAGGAAGTGTGGATGCAACTTCCATCTGTTACAAGGCTCTATTTGACTGAAGCCATTTGGGTTGGGGGAAGATGGTTGTGCCAGGCAGGGCACAGCAGGAAACAGATATTCCTTGAAAAGATCATAAATAAGAAGACCTTAATTCCAAGGTGATTTACAAAGATATGGGCACGGCGGAGAAATTCCAATAAGGCATGAGGCAACACTGGGGCAGAGACCGGTGGGGACTGTAGTCCTCTTAGGAGAAAAGGGAAGGGGGCAAAGGAGTGGGAGGTCTCCCTGAATCCAAGAGAGCAGCAGCTGAAGAAGAATTCCACCCAAAAGCTTGGGTGGAGGGACCCAGGGGCCCCACTGGGAGGAGCTGGGGAATAAAGACTTTGGCCGCATTTCCATCTGGCTTCCTGTCTCCTGCAGGTGTCTGTGCAATGGAAGGGCAGATGACACAGACTTTAGTCCAGGAATCTAAGGGGTTGGGGTTGAGCGGACACCTAGCATGGAAGGTTTCCATGAGCCCTTGTTCTCATTTTGCTGTTCCATAGTTGGGTGAGGTGAGGTTCCTTTCCCCACTGCTCCCCCATCAGATAGTTCCAGGTGAGCATGGGGAGAACAGCATCGTCAGAGAGAGGGTCCCATTAAACTGCCATGTGTCTTCTTATGGCTGCTGCATGTCTGATCACCAAGACACTCCCGGTGGGAGAGGCAGCTGGGCCCACCTCTGCTTCTCATCACAGCCAGGCTCCAAGAATGGGACGGGATTGCTGAGACGGGAAGGTCAGTTCTCCATCCCCTTGGCTTGGGGAGTAGATCCGAGGCTGGTCTTTCTGGAGGTTTGGCTTGGGGATTGGAGACGCCAAGCCCCAGCTTAGATCCCTGGGTCAAGACTGCCTCCCAGATCTACTCCCAGTGTGGTTTCCCAGGGAAGAGCATGAGCGCAACTTCTAACTCTGCCCAGAGCCTGCAAGAGCTGCACAAAGACCTGTGCCTACAAGGGCTCTGCAGTTGGTTTAAGACTCTGCTTCTGAAATTTGAAATTTGTAATCGGTTTTTAAGAAGAGGCCCCTGTTTTCATTCTGCATTGGGCCACACAATTTAGGTAGCCACTTCTTTTTTGTTTGTTTGTTTTTGTTTTTTCAGAGTCTTACTCTATCACCCAGGCTGGAGTGCAGTGGCGCGATTTCGGCTTACTACAACCTCTGTCTCCCAGGCTCAAGCGATTCTCTTGCCTCAGCCTTCCCTAGTAGCTGGGATTCCAGGTGCATGCCACCACATCCAGCTAATTTTCATATTTTTAGTAGAGATGGGGTTTCACCGTGTTGGCCAGGCAGGTCTTGAACTCCTGACCTCAAGTGATCCGCCCACCTTGGCCTACCAAAGTGCTGGGATTACAAGTGCGAGCCACCATGCCCAGTCATTAGGTGGCCAATTCTAGTTCTAAGCAAGAAAGAGATTTCTGGGCCTTTCCTTGGCCTGACTCCTTTGTTTAGATCAGTGGACAGCAAACTTTCTCTGTAAGAATATTTTAGGATTTGCAGGCTACACAGCGTCTGTCACAATTAATCAACTCTGCTCTTATAGCACAAAACAGCCCTGGACAATCCAGAAATGAATGAACATGACTGTATTCCAATAAAACTTTATTTACAAAAACAGATGGCCAGATTTGGCCAATGGGCCAGAGTTAGGCAACCCCTGGTCTAGCTTATAAGCCCCTCTTTTCCTCATCTACCTGTCTGATTCTGGCTCATTCTTTGCGACTCAGGTCAATAGCTTTTCCTAATCTCTCCAGGAAGAGTTCAGTTTCTCCTCTTCTGGCCAACCTGACCAGAACCTGTACATACTTACTTCTTGAGCCCAGGCTAAGAGGCTAGCTTTGTGATAAGGCACAAGGTCTGGAGTGTTGAGCAAGAAGGTGTGGTTATAGCCTTCATAGGCCTTTGCCATAGATACCTGATAGTACCTGGCTATAAATTGCAGAAGGGTAGGGGCTGGAACCATTTTGCCCAACACCGTGTATCTCCAGTCCTAGTATAATAATGGGGTAAAGAAACAAGTTAGCCAATACCCAAATGCTCTGCCACACACTTACAATTCTTTTCTTCTAACTGGACCATGTGAGCCCCTGACTCATCTTTGACTTGGTAGGTGTCTTTACCAGAGAGGCCGAGTGATTTCCCCCAACACATAGAGCAGCAGACTAGTGGCGAAGCTGGGATTCAAACTCCCAGGCCAGGTGCATTTCAGCCACACCCAGGAGTTAGACTTAGGCACTGGGGTCCTAATAGAGCCTGAGAGGTAGCACGGGCAGCTCCTATCTCAGGTCCCAGTGAGAGCTGTGCTCATGTTTTCCCTCCCACCTCGTCTGCAGGAGGCCTGGTTTATTTCCTTTGGGAGAGAGGAAGTTCAAGAGTCTAGTGTTGGTTTCTATTATAAGGAAACTGTTCAATAAAAAATCACCCAGTATATTAAAAAAAAAAATCTTTACCTGGCTTTGAACAAACCCTTGGTGTTATTACAGCAACAACAAAAAAACCCATTTGCTTTTCATTATAGATCTGGTTGTGTTTTGTTTTGTTGTCCCCAGAGAGCAAGGACTTTATGGGCAGAGTGGTTAAAAAAAAAAAGTAAAGAAAGACGAAAGAAAGAAAGAAAGAAAGAAAGAAAGAAAGAAAGAAAGAAAGAAAGAAAGAAAGAGAGAGAAAGAAAGAAAGTGAGAAAGAAAGAAAGGAAAGGAAAGGAAAAGAAAGGAAAGGAAAGGAAAGGAAAGGAAAGGAAAGGAAAGGAAAGGAAAGGAAAGGAAAGGAAAGGAAAGGAAAGGAAAGGAATGGTGGCTCATGCCTGTAATCCCAGTACTTTGGGAGGCCGAGGTGGGTGGATCACTTGAGGTCAGGAGTTCAAGACCAGCCTGGCCAATATGGTGAAACCCCGTCTCTACTAAAAATACAAAAATTAGCCAGGCATGGTGACATGTGCCTGTAATCCCAGCTACTGTCTGAGGCATGAGAACTGCTTGAACCTAGGAGGTGGAGGTTTCAGTGAGGTGAGAGCATGCCACTGCACTCCAGCCTGGGCAACAGAGGGGGACTCCATCTAAAAAAAAAAAAAAAAAAAAAAAAAGATCCGTCTGGCTGCTAGTGGAGAAGGGATTGGAGGGCCCAGTGGGGGCAAGGAGACCTGGCCAGTAACGGGGAAAGACACCAGCTCCCACCTGAGCATAAAGTGGACAGAGGCTGGGCCTCTTGTCCATTCCTTTTGTGGTTTTATTGTCTCCTCCCACATATCTCTGTCATCTGAGGGGTTTGAATGCATGTCAAAGGCCAAATGGGGAAAATTCTGGGGGAGGGATCTTTAAAGTTAAGTGCATCTTTGAATTAAAATGCCTCTTTTGTCCAGTGGGCAAGACTGTGAGAGGCTTGAGAGGCCCCCTCTCCACTGCCCCAGGGCAGCCAGGTCCCTGGCAAGAGCCGAGGGGACACACTCAACCTATTAAGAGATCCAGCTTCTTCCAAACCACTCATTCCAAAGCTGGAAAATGGAAGAAGGGGCTGTCGCGGTCACATGGGTGATGGATCTTCAGCATGAACATAATGATGTGGAGAGCAGCGATGACAACAGTGGAAGTGCGACCATTTCCTCAGAACTCATCTAAGGCCAGGTGCTAAGTGCCCTGTGTGCACTTGCTCACTGGATCCTCCCAACTACCTTAGGAAGCAGGGCTCTTATTCCACGCAGATGAGGAAACTGAAGCCTGGAGGGGTGAAGCGACTGGCCCAAGATCATGTAGCCAGGAAGTGGCAGAGAGGGTGATATGGCTTCGCTGTGTCCCCCCCACCCCACCCCCAATCTCATCTTGAATTGTAGCTCTCATACTTCTCACGTGTTGTGGGAGGGACCTGGTGAGAGGTAATTGAATCATGGGGGCGGTTTCCCCTATACTGTTCTAGTGTTAGTGAATAAGTCTCACGAGAGATGATGGTTTTATAAGGGGAAAACCCTTTCACTTGGTTCTCATTTCTCTCTTGTCTGCTGCCATGGAAGACTTGCCTTTCACCTTCTGCCATGATTGTGAGGCCATGATTATGAGGCTTCCCTGGCCACGTGAAACTGTGAGTCCATTAAACCTCTTTTTCTTTATAAATTACCCAGTCTTGGGTATGTCTTTATCGGCAGCATGAAAATGGACTAATACAGTGGACTTGGAACTCAGGCTATGACCATTGCCATGCTGCCCTGCCTCTCAATGACACCCTGTTGGTCCATCACGAGCCACACTCCATCCCTAGCCTCTCAAGGTGCCATCCTCCATGCCAGCTACTCACCCATGGTCTTGGGGCTTCCTACCCAAAATCTCCTTGACACCTTCCACAGCCCTGAGGGGCTGGGGCTTTGGCTGAGGCCACCCAGCTAAGAAGTGGCACAGGTGGGTTTGAGCCCAAGACTGAGTCTGGCCCATCCACCATGTTGCTCCTTCTAGAGACAGGACCAGCCACTGATGCTCCCGGTTGATCTTTCCTGCCTCCCTGGGGTGCCTAGGGGAGGGAGGGCAAGAGGAATCACAGCAACCGCACTTGTACCTTGGGTAGGCTATCAGATGGAGGAGGAAAGATTTTCAGATTTGCTGACATAGATTTTTCTGCATAGGGTGATAACTAGGCCAGGTTTGCTTGTGATTGAGAGGGTTACCAGGATGCAGGACTTTCAGACTTAAAATCTGGATAGGTTTAGACAAACCACACTGAGTTACTCATTAAAGTGGAGGCCTGGGATGTGGGGCTTTCTGTGTTAAAACTGGGAAACATCTGGGCAAGTCAAAATGAGCTGATCACCTTAATTCTACATCACCCATGAAGCAGAGGCAGCATTAATGGGTTGAAGTTATGGGATGACAGATATCATCAGTGTCAATACAGTACTTTGTCACTGTCAGAGGCACTCAGAGATGGAATGGTATGTCTACGGTGGGTGGTGAGCTCTCCATCCTCAGAGTCATGTAAGCAGCAGTGAGACAATGCTTCATAGAGAACCATGAAAACCAATCCTCTGCCCATAGCTCTGCGAGCAGCTGTCTCTCTGTGCTTGTCTGAGCTATTAGGACACCTTCTAATAATATTTCAGCTTCTCTTGGGCCTGCTGTCCAAAGTCAACGCCATCCCTGCTTTCTTCCATGCCTCAGTGGCCCACTAAGTGAAGCCTGAAAATTACTTGCACGGTCAGGTAAATATTACAGCAGTCAAAGGTGTGGCTTCAGTGGGGAGAATGATGTGTAATTTGCAGAAATGCTACCAGTGTGTCAAATCGCACATGCGGCTGGCTCGTAGGGAGGAGAGTGAGTGACAGCCTTGATGGCACCAGTTTGGGTAGTTTCCTTTTTTTTTTTGAATCTCTGATGGACACTGATGTGAAGGAGGCTGAAGAACACCCCTCCACTGGTGGGGTCTGCACGAAGGGCAGGAAGCCCATTGTCACGGAGCCCGGCTGTTTTCAGTGCAGCCAACATGGCCGCCTCCATGGCCTTGGTCAGAAATCTGGTCTCTAGTTAATGGTGGGCTCTGAGCATCCAAGAAGAGTCCTGCTGCAGATGCTCTGCACAGGGAAGGAAGCTGCATGTGTTGGACACCTCCCACCCAGGTGCCAGCTTGGTGCTCAGTGCCCTCTCCCTGCATTCTGACACCAAGGGCTCCCTCTTGCCCGAGGCTGCCCTGGAGAGGCATGAAGCAGGACCAGATGCCGAGTGTTGGCAGAACCTTGCAGGGCATGAGTCATCCAGGCCCACCCCCATCCTCTGCCCATTCACCCTCCCCAGAATATCTGGGGCTTGGGAACGAAACCATTATAAGGGATGGAGCCAAGAGAGTGGGAAGAAAATCTCAGAACTGTTCTCTCCCTTGTTTAAATTGAGGTCTTCAAAGGAGCTGTTTCCCTGCACTTTGGAGAGTGAGTGGATGGCAGGCAGGGTTGGGGTCTCTTCATTTTGCTTCCCTGCAAGACTGGTAGTTCAACCACAAGAAATGCTGTGAAGGCAGAATGGGGAGCAAAACAGCTAGTGTAGAGTCAGCCAGTGTAAGTGCAAAGATGCCACCTGGCTCTGCCTTGGGGCCCGGGGTCCTTGAGAAAGGGAGATAGCATGAGGGTGAAGGGCGGTGGTTGGTGCAGAGTCCTTAGAAGGTTACCTCCAGAAGGCACATGGCAGGAGCTGAGAGAACCGGAAGGATGCTTCTAACATACTGGAAAAGTCTCTGGGTTTTTGTTTGAGGGACACTGAGGCCCAGAGAGGGAAAAGGACTTGCCTAAGGTCACACAGTAAATTCCAGTTCCTAACTCAGTGGCTGCCCTTGCCTTCCTGGAAGACTCTGCTCTTTCTCAAGGGGCCCTGCGGGGAAAGAAAGGTCCGAGATCACCATTGGAGAGCAAGAAAGGGCTCACCTTGCTGCTGGAGGGATGAGGGAGATGCGCTTCAGACTGGGGGTATCTAGCACCCACCCACTAGGAGCTGCTGGTCCGGTGCACATGTATACTTACTGGTCTTGAGGAATCATCAGACTGATGGTGGAGACACAGCTCTGACTCTTATGGAGCTCCCAGACACAGCTCTGCAGCAGGAGGTGCAGACTCTGGACTTTAGAGAACTTCTGGGCCAAGAAGAGACCTTCTGTTCAGTCTCACTTCTTGGCTGAGGGGAGCCCACAGTAAGCTTTTCCTTGTAAACGTATCATTTATTCAAAGATGCTGATCCTCCTCCTCCTCCTCCAACAAGTCCTCCCCAAACACTTGCATCCATGCCAATGACACAGGATCAAGGCTGTCTGGATCCTTCTGCATCCACTGAGAAAGGACAGTCACCCTAAAGTCTCAGGCAAATGCCCAAATGGCCCCTCAGGGCATCACACTTGTCCAAGACCTGCCCCAGGTGGATCACCCCAAGTCTCATCGGCATCAGCAGCCACCCTCACCTGCAGATGCTATGGGATCCCATCAGAGTCTGCAGCCACCCCAATCCCCAGTGACCCTCTGTTTGCAAAGCTGCTGCAGCCTCACTTCCTCCTTCAATAGCAGCTCCTCCTGCGCCCCATGTGATGCGGTTGTTTACAGCTCATTTGCTCCTGGATTAAGAGGTTTGGACGAGGAGCTGAGGACATCAAGAACAATCGACCAGCTCAGGAAAGAGATTGCCCTGAATTGTTACAGGCACAGGATTTACTATACAACATACCTGGGAGCTATCATCAAGAGTGAGGTGGGCCTGTCCTATATGTGTTTCAACTTGTAGAATCTGCCAAGGACAGGGATGAGGGATTCCTGCTTTTGGTGTCACATGTGGGACATAAGACTGCCTTCCATCCGGATAAGCCTGTGGGACAGCTCTCAGCCCTTTCTCCAACCCTGGAGACCTTCAGGAGGGAGACCAACTACATGCATGATTCCTCCCGCCCTTCTATCTGTTTCTGGATCTGCAGAGGAATAAATTGCCTTTTGTTTTGCAAGTTCTGACAAATAACTTCCCCCACTCCCAAGGCACATTGGTGACCACCTTAGGGCCGGAGGAGAGATGAGGCAAACCACAGCTGCAGGTTTCACCGCGCACCTGAGTTGGGGTTGGGTGTCTTTCCAGACATATCACATGTAAGCTTGGTGACCTGTCTTTGGGACCCATCTCGGCTTCAGCTTCACTTCTTGGGACCCAGGAGTCCCTGACACCCCCAGCCACAGCCCAAAAGCACTTACAGCAGCTGGGAATCTTTTGCCAAATGCCAAAGGAGAAAATCTCCTAGCTGATGGTGCAGGCTACCTTGTGGTAAGAAGCTGTTGAGGAGCATTTCAGCATGTCCAGCAGAAAGAGCCCTGCCCTGTGGGTCAGTAGTCCTGTGTCCCAGAGCTGGCTCTGCTACTAACTGGCTGGAGGACTAATGCTGCTCACTTGGACTTCCCAAAGTTCTGTTTTCCCATCTGTAAAATGATCAGTCGAAGTAGATTAAAACAAAGGGGTTGGGTAATATTGCTCCGTGTGGTTGAAAACATGATTTGTAGAGAGGCCAAGTCGTTCATTCCTGCATTCTGCATGCATTGATTAAGCACCTGTTATGTGCCAGGCACAGTTCTGGGCACTGGGGACACAGCAGCAAATAAAACAGACGAAGATCCCTGTCCTAGTGGTGTTCTCGTTCTAGATAGAGCAAGGATTGGCAAACATTTTCTGTAAAGAGCTAGACAGTAACTATTTTAAGCTTTATGGGCCAAATGTTCTGGGTCACAACTACTCAGTCTGTTATTGCAGACAATACATGAGTGAATGAGCATGGCTGTGTTCAAACAGAATCTTATTTATGAAAGAGGTGGTGGCCCAGAGTTGGCCTGCAGGCTGCAGTTCCTTCTCTCCTAGAGGCCTGTTCTAGAAGACACAGGCTGCAGAATGAGCTCCTCCAACTCTGACGGTGGACCCAGGCATGGTCCAAGGAAAGCAGCCTCCACCTAGGGCCCGTGATCTGAGAGCTCAGTGTCTGGGAAAGTCCCAGGTCCAGCCGCAGAGCTACCCTCTTCTCCCGCTTCCTCCATGCTCCCCTTTTTCCAAGCTTCTCAAAGTGGCCTGAGGCCTTTCTCCAAACCTCTTTCCACTCTCCCTCTGAGCCTAGAAATGTCTTTTTCCATAGTGGCTGCTGTGGAGTGAGGGAGGCAGAGGAAATCTAGGATGTTACCAGAGGGTGGGCCCAAGTGGGAGGCCAGGGCAGGGTAGAGAAGAGTCTCCATCAAAGGCCAAGGAACTGGAAAATGAGCTCCCCACATCCTGTTTTCCTGAGCACCCTGATGCTCACCTTCTAATCCTTGTCCAGCTGAGAGCTGCTTCTGCTTCCTTAACTGTAGCTGAACCTCACCACCTCCAAAACGCCCACACAAATTGACTCTCCTGAATAAGTTCTTCCCGTATCTCCCCAAATCAGCTGGTCCTCAGTGTACAATGACATTTATTTTCTGCTTATATCAGTGTCCTGCCTCACCTATTAGACAACCCATTCCCATTAGAGTGAGGTCAATGCTTACCCTGTCCTACTGGGAGCTCTCTGAGCCTGAGTTACATACATACAGCTCTCCACAGCCAGGGGCCATGGGCTCTCCAAGGGCAGAGACTGAGTCTCCTCCATCATGCTGGCCTCTCCTGGAGGTCAAATATTGTCTCCCTTATTAGTCCTGGAAGTTCCTGAAAGCAGAGAGCTTTCATTGACCCCATTTGCTGGGTCTCCCTTTCAGTTTGATTGGGAGCTCACAGAGGTGGAATCCAGGGTCATGAGACTCTCAGGTGGTCCCTCTTGTCTCCCTGCAGGACATAGGTGCACACTGTGGCTGTGAAGGCCCCTGTGTCACGTAGTGAATTGCAAAAGGGTTCCCATTTTCACGACTTCTTGGGTCCACACTCAGCGTTTCTCACTAAAAAGGCAGCATCTATTTCTCTGCTCCTTGGACCTGGGCTGGCCATGTGATATGCTCTGGCCAACAGGGAGGTGACAATGCATGAGTGACAGTGCATGGCCTCTGGAGGCCTAGCAAGTTTCCACATAAGTTCTTGGGCCACTGCCATGAGTACATGCTGGGCCAGCCCACTGGAGGATGGGAGACACATGGGACAGAGTTGGTCACTCCTGTTGTCCCAGTGAGGACAGCCTGGGTCAGTCAAAGGTCAGATGCTCTCAGACATATGAGTGTGCACAGCTACCTAGCTCATCCACCTGAATGTGTGAGAAAAAAGTGCCTATTGTTGTACACCACTGAGGCTCTGTGTCCAAGTGTTACACAGCATGTTCATGGTAATAGATCACAGATACACATATGGTCAAGAATTTGGGCTCTTGAATCCAACTGCCTGTGATCAGCTCCTGGCTCTACCATATACTGGCTGTGTGGCCTGGAACAAGTTACCTAGCCTCTCTGACCCTCTCTCCTTTTCTATAAAATGAGAATAATAATGGTAGCCACCTCCTAGGGTCTTGTGAAGATTAAATGAGATAGTTCATGTAAGGTACTCAATGCAGAGCCTGACACATGGAAAGTGATCAATCAATATTATTCATAATAATATTGCTATTCCAGAGCCTGCAGGGTAAATTTCTGGGGCATTCCCACCTCATCTGCACGTTCTGATAGCAAAGAACCCCTTGCCCCTGTCTCCGGGCTTCATCAAGGCTGCATTAAATCCCTAAAAGCCTCTCCCTCAGTGGGCACCTCCAAGCTCTTAATCTCTATGGCTCAGGAGGAAAACCTGCTGGAGAAAATGCCAGTGGAAGGCCCAGGCGCTGGGACAGAGCCCATTGGCTGCACCTTGCCCGCTCCTCAGCCTGCGAGCTTAAGGAAGGAGCGGGCTTGCCTAGGAAATGCATTCTTTCTGTTTTGAGATCCCGGTTGTGTGGCTCTGGTGCCAAAAATCGGAGTGAAGAGCAGAGAATTCAGCCAGCAGTGCCACATGGGGGAAGGCAAGCATGTGGAGGTCAGGCAGGGAGGACGCTGTCCCTTCCAGTGGCCTGATGGGCACAGGAGTTGGCCTGGAAACCGGACTGGTGTAGGGGCAGGTGGGCAGCGTGATAGGATGGAGACTAAGCACTCCAAGAAAGGGGCTCCCCAAGGATGCAGGTGTACCCAAGTGGGTGGGTTTGAGCTGGATTTATGTACAGGGGCAAGTGAGGAGGCCGCTGCATGAACAACAATTTTCCCAGAATGGAAGCTTGCAGGAGGAACACCCAGAGGACACCCAGAGGTGAGAATTTTTGCCTGACATTAACACTAGTTCCACAACCACCATCCCGAACCCTTGGAGCCAGATGTGTCCCAGAGCTCAGGCTGAACCCTACTTCTGAAAGGTGATATGGGGCTTGTTCAATATATCACACAACACAACTGGGGTCCAAAGAATCACTGTGTAATCACTCAACATTAATATTTCTGCAGTGACGCATTTGGATGGTGATACTAAGTGAGAAAAACAAATACCATAAATATCCTCCCATCGACCCAGGCTGGGTTTTGCCACCAAGTCATTTCAAGTCAGTTCAGGTCAGGTTCAGTTTTCTCATCCAATGAATTACAAAAAATAGAACAAAATAAAATAAATCTTTCATTTATCAGAGCTTTTTGGATTTCTGGTTTGCAGGGAAGGGGTTGCAGGCTTGTGAAAAGAGCCGGGATTGTGACATCATGCTCACGACCACTGTAATAGCTGCTATTTGTGGGATGGCACGGTGTGGTGGCCCTGAGCCTAAGCTGGCTTGAATATTCACCATGGCCCTGCAAAGCAGGCCCTGTCTTCTTCATTTGGTAGAGAAGGGGAAGGGTAGGGTTGTCAAGGTAACGGGAGCCATCTAAGTCACCACAACTGATAAGAGGAGACAGAGCATAGAGGAGGTAAATTGTCCTCAGAGAATCATCTGGAACAAAGTTCCTAGAAGAACAGAGGTTTAGGTCAAATTCAATGATTCCTTCAGCTACATTTGCACCAACCGGTCTGGGGGCAGACATAGCTCCTGTATGTTCTGTAGGTATGTTAAGGAAATAACAAGGCCTTAAGAACTCTAACCCCTTTGCCTAGGGGCTATCTGTCCTCATGCCCTCCTGTAATGAGATTCTAGCATAATAATCCCTGCTCTGGGCTCCCTCCGTCCATGTGTTCTCTCCCCCATTTCACTGCTGGAAAAACTAAGGCTCAGTGTGCAATGACTTGTCTGAAGGCACAGACTATCTTGTTGAGACCAGAATCATGGTATTCAAATGTCATTAATAATGACAATAAACATGAGTTGGGCACTTACTCTATGCCAGGAGTTGTTCTATATGCCTCAGATATATTATCTCATTTAATTTAAGGGTTGGGGGCCGGGCAGAAAGCAAGCATGCTAAAAGTGGTTCATAAATGCATGGCTTCTTGCTGCCGGTCTTAACGGGATTCTTGTGAAATAAGAAATGATGAGAGAGGGGGAAATAGGGCCATCCCCTCATACAGAAGGAGGGGACTGCAGACTCCTGGGAATTTAAGATAATGAGCAAGGAAAACAATCACTTTATTTAAATGAGTTGAAGAACTATTTGGCTTCTCTCTGTAAGAGGAAGCAGTTAAGGGGTTTTATTTTATTTTTGGCCCTAATAATATTACAGTCTCCAGGCTGGTTATTATCTGTCACTTTCCAGGGAAGATTGAAAAGAAAATAGTTTTATCCCAGGCAATTGTAAACTGTTCCTTTTGATGAGTTGTTGCTTCCACTTAGATATTAAATGCACCAGCATCAGGTGACCTGGCCCAGCTGGGTGGCTTTGTTTAACTGACTACAGAAGAGAAAGAAGACGAGAAAATTTTCTTGTTTTTTAGACAGGACTTCTCAAAATGCAATACGTGTGAGAGTCAGGGGGGATGAGCATGCAGTGGAAGAAGAAAATTCCTGGGTTTTACAGGAAGAGTGTCTGACTCTGCAGGGCCCCAGTGGGACTGGGAATCCGCACTTTTCGCAACCGCTCTGGGTGATGCTGCCAGAGAAGGTTGCTCTGGGTTCTCCCTAAACCTGCTTGGCTGGAGAAGTGTTTGGTTCTGAGAGACCTCCCCAAAATTAAGATCCAGAAGCTGTCAGCAAAAAGGACCCCAGAGATAACTGAATAGATTCACATCGCAAATAAAAACCGGAGTCCCAAGATCCTACAGCGAGTGAGAGGCAAAAATGAACCTGAAACTCAGATGTGCATTCGCCTGGTTCAAAACTGGACCCGTTACACTGCAATGGTGCTGAGCAGGTGCCTAGTAGAGGTGGGGGTGGGGCTGGAGGACCCCCACACTCTTTCTTCCCTTTGCTCAGGCTCACCTCATTGTTGTTTCACAAGCAGTGATGCAAGTAGGTTGAGAAAGCCAAATGGCTCCCAGGCAGTAAGAGTCCTTCCCGAAACTGGCTCTGAGTAGCATCCTACATCCAAATCCCCAGTGCTATTATAAACTAGAAAAACTCAGTGTGATATGGTTAACCCTCTGAGTTGTTGTTCTTTTATTTCCCCAAGTGGCCCTCCGTATTTTCCACCATTGACCTCTCCTCTTTTCTGCACGACCTCCCACCACCTGAAATTCTTGATTTTGTCTTGCAGGTGCCAATTGCCCCATCCTGCGGATGTCCAGAATGCTTCCTTTTATGCCATCCCCCACATACTCAAGGGAGGGAGGGAAAAGAATGGGCTGGGAGCTACCCCGGGGTGGGGAAGGGGAAGCGGCCAATGCATTCCATTCCCACGGCATTCAGTGTGCAGTTGCAGTTGCCAACCACCCCTGGAAATGCAGACTTGCCTCACCAGCCCCTTGGAAAACATGCCAGGTCGCAGGCAGCCCCTTGAGGCCAGGTCTCTAGTAAAGCTTGCCTCTGGATGGCTGCAGATGGAAAGGACTTGGTTCTTAGCACCCAGGAAGAATCTCTCTCAATTGATTATTTACTTATTAAGGCAACGAGGATCCAAGCAGACATGGATTCATGCAGGGCTTGTGCCAGCCTGCAGCCTCCAGCTCTCTCCAGGAACCAGACCTCTCTCATCCCGCTTCTGGAACAGCGCTGCTACAGATGCAATAAACATTTACGGTGCATCTACTATGTGCCAGACACTCGCACCAGATTAATCTCATTACATCTCCATAATGACACCGATGTTGGAATTATTATCCCCATTTTTTCAATGAGGAAACTGAGGCTTGGGGAGATTATAGACTTTACCTAAATCCCACAAATTATAGAAGACAGGGCCAGGATTCAAAGCCGGACCCTCTGAGCTTGCAGCAGATGCCACAGTGTTCATCCCATCCGTCCTCACGTGTCCACTTGCTGCCATCCACTGCACTCTCTGCCTCAGGTTCTTTATCCGGTCGCCAGAACCTCCAGAGTTCATGCCCCCAGAAGCAGCCCTCAACAAGGACAGATGCGGAGTGGGTGGATAAATACTCCAGCTTCCCCATCCCTTTGTGGGCTGGGGATTAACCCAGAGGTGTAGTCTACACTGCTATTCAAAGTACGGTCCCGATTTGGCAGCATCAGTAGCACCTGGGAGTTTGCTGTATGCAAATTCTTGAGTCCCGCCCCAGACCTGCTGAATCAGACTCTCTGGAGGTGGGGCTCTGGAAGGTTTCAGAAGCCTCTTCAGGTGATTCTTACACACATTGGAGATTTAGCAACTCCATTCTACTCCACTTCCCAGAGCTCACTGGTGAAGCTGAGCCCCACCTGCCCAGTGCTACAACTTCACTGGCTTTCTTCCCTTTGCTGGTTCACATCCACACTCCCCTGACAATACTTCCCGACGTCACCTCCAAAATACATGATTTGTACTCAAATCCTTGTCTGAGGGGTCGGGGGGCTTCAGGGGAAACCCTGCCTAGGACAGACCCAAGTCCCTCCACTTCCTCTGGCATCTTCAAGGTTAAGGCAGGGAGACATTCTGGACGCTGATGGTGAGAGTGAGTTCTGAGAGGTACCAGGTCCTTCTGTTCTGGCCCAGAGGGCCAAGACCTAAGACCTCACAGGCAGGGCTACCCCACAGGCAGTGCACCGAGAGTCATAGCTCAGAGGCAGTTGTGCACTCCTATTTATACCCACTTTTAATTACATGCAAATTAAGGTGTGAATTATGTGGCCATTTCTAGAAAAAGGGTGGTGACTTCCAGGTCATCAGGTCATTGCCACGGAAGGGGGCAGTGACTTCTGAGTGTTGGCATGGCAATGGTAAACTGACATGGTGCACTGGTGGGCATGTCTTATGGAAAGTTCCTTCCATCCAGTCCCTGTTTTAGCTAGTCCTCAGTTTGGTCCAGCATCCGAACCCTGCCTCTGAAGTCAAGTCCCACCTCCTACCTAAGACCCCTGACTGGCTTTTCTTCTCTGTCTCCTCTTCTCCCTTCTTGCATGACACTTCTGGAAAACATTTTATAGGCCAGCCACGGTGCTAAGGGCTTCCCATGCGTCCTCTCATTTAGTTGCTGCAAGCATCTTCCTGAAGCAGGTGCAGCCAGAGATGCTTGGCCTGGCTGAAGTGGGAGGAGGAACAGAGAGCTGGGTTGGCCTGGGGTCCCCAGCTGGGTGCTCCAGCAGTCCTAGGCTCCATTTGAATCAAAATACAAGAGATAGGACTGATTAGAATGTCTCCAGTCACTTCTGGTCTCGAGGCAAAGCGATGTCCCCCCATCTCTTCACCTAGGCTCCATCTGCTGCTCCCTCACTCTGCATACCTCCCCTCAGGTAGGTGGCCCCCAACACCTCCACGTGGAAAAGGCCCCACTAGCCAAGACCAGGATGGATTCCTATGGCAACTGTGCAGAAGTTCCAAATGAGGTAGGAGGTGGGACTGGACTCCAGAGGCAGGGCTCGGACGCTGGACCAAACTGAGGAATAGCTAAAACAGGGACTGGATGGAAGGAACTTTCCATAAGACATGAAGGAACTTTCCATAAGACATGCCCACCAGTGCACCATGTCAGTTTACCATTGCCATGCCAACACTCAGAAGTTACTGCCCCCTTCCATGGCAATGACCTGATGACCCGGAAGTCACCACCCTTTTTCTAGAAATGGCCACATAATTCACACCTTAATTTGCATGTAATTGAAAGTGGGTATAAATAGGAGTGCAAAACGGCCTCTGCACTATGACTATGGGTGCACTACCTGTGGGGTAGCCCTGCTCTGCAAGGAGCATTCCCTCAGCGGCTGCTGCGCACTGCCGCTTCAATAGAAGTCGCTGTCTAACACCATCGGCTTACCTCTGAATTATTTCCTGGTGAAGCCAAGAACCCTCCCGGGCTAAGCTCCAATTTTGGGGCTCCCCCACCCTGCAGCACAAAGATAAGACAAAGCTCTCCTGCCACCATTTCTGGGCCTCTTGCTTCTTGGCTGGCCTTGGCCCCTGGACCAGCCACCTGCCCCTTCCCTCGACAGACATTGGGCTTTCACTCTCCTCGGACCATCCTCAGTGTCCCTCCTGTTTGCCCCTCTCCACATCTTCGCTCATCCTCTGCGTGCTTCTCCAGCCATGAGGAGGAAAGGGAGCCAACATTTGTTAAGAATATTCCAAGTGCCAAGCACTGTGCTAGTCTTGACTTAAATCTACTGCCTCTCCAAACGATGAGGGGGATGTTTTTATACCCATTCAAGAAGAGAGAAAGCTGAGGCTTGGAGAGATGAAGGGACATGACAAATGCCACACATCTAGCAAGTTACAGAGCTGGAGTTTTAACCCAGGTTTGTCTGTCACCACACACACAACTCCAGAACACCGTTGTGCCCCTACTGCCCAAGAACTCATGCTTCTTTCCATGGTGAGCCCTTCACTTGGGTTCCCAAGCCCGCCATTGCCTACACATGCTGTGGCCTCATCTCTTCATTGACTTTCACATCAGTGCACCTCCAAGTTCTCTCCACCCACTGGCTCCTTCTCTGCAGCCTATACACGTGTGTACCATTCCTCATCCTATGTGTGTACACACACACTCACACACCCTTCCTCCTTGAGCCTCATCCCTCACACTTTTCTCTCTCTCTTCTTTATATAAAATGTCAGGAGGAAAGTCCCCATGAAGAGAAAAGAGTGAAGACTAGAATGCAAGAGGTTCTGGGGAGGCAAAGAATGGAGGAAAGGCATTTGTAGGGGGACTTCCTTCCAACAGGAACTTTATGGAGGCCAAACCCAGTGGCCTTTTTCAGACCTCTTCTTTATCCTCTGCAGTTAAAATGAATGACCTTGATTTGTTCTATGATTCTGGGACAGGGTGGAATACTAGCCTGTACTGAGCACCTACTGTCCACAATGAGTTCATGGTGGCTTTCTTTCTAGTCCTGACCATTGTGAGATGGGTATGGATCTCCTCATTTTACAGATGAAGAAATTGAGACTTAGAGTGGCCCCATTCAGCATCAGAAAGATGCCCAAAGGGAGAATCAAGATGCAAACCCAAGCTGGCCTGGCCCCAAAGTTCCACTGAGATTTCTCTCATAAACTGGCCTCAGTCATGTGGCTCAGCCCCGAGGGGATGTGGCAGGTGCCCAACCTAAGAGTAATCTTTCTCCTTTTACTGTTTTATTTATTCACCTAAAGGCCCAGTGGCCAAACCCATTTAATTTCTTTCAATATGTATTTGTGTTTTGCCTGCTTTCAAAAGGGCCCCAGCAGAGGCCAAAGGGAGAGAGAGGGAAAAAAGGGCTGGACCTGGCTCCTTGCCTGGTTCTGTCCACCATCAAACTCAGATGAGCACTGAAGCCTGGTTACTCTTTCAGAATCAGTTGCAGAAAGCATGTCTGGAAACTGGATTTGGCGGAAGGGGAGAGATGAGCACTTTTGCACACTTACTAGGTGCTAAGCCTTGTATCAGAAACTGAGCTTTGCTGTGCATTCCATTCTCACAAGATCACATGGAAGGAAGTATCTTCCCATTTTATTGATGAAGAAACTGAGTCTCAATGAGGTGAAGCAAACTGCCCAAGGTTACACAGCTGGAAAACGCAAGGACCAAGCTTTGAATGCAGGTCTGAGCTCTTCACTGTATCATGCCTCCACCCTAAGGAAGGATTCTCTCCTTAAACATTCTTACACAGGGGCTTCATTTCACACACAAGGAAACTGAGGCTCAGACATGCCCAAATTCAAACAGTGTACTTATGACAAAAATCAAGACTAAAACCCAGGTTTCCTGACTCCCAATCCAGTCCTCCTTCTACCATCCTACTGGGCTTTGCTAAAAGCACCAACTGTCAAGGTCAAGGTTGCTGGAGCCCCAAAGGCTACAGGGTCCACCTTACCATTGGTGGTTACTGAGTCCCTTCTCTTGCCTCTGGGACATTCTGCTCCTTAATCAGTCTAGACAGAGAAGAGAACAGAAGTAGGCAGGGTGGTAGACAGAAGTCCCTTTAATCCCCAAACACCCCCTAGAAGAGATCTTGGAGAGAGCAACAAAGCCCAGTGCAAAGAAGGGAACCCCTTTCCCTCTCCCATCCCTTCTGTCTTTGCTTGTGTATCCTTGGTGGGTCACCTTAAGCAGCCAAAAAACTTGGGGAGTGTCAAGGAGCGCAACTGTCCCAAAGGAATTGAAGAAGCCAACAGAGGCTGCTACCTCCTGCACATTGGTGCCTGGGTTTCTCAGGAGGACCTGACAGGATGATTTACAAGTTGTATAAATATAACTCAGCAGCCAGCGGCCCTGCCTCAGCTCAATGAAGAGCATCACTCACTTTTGAGTGGGAGACTGCAGCAGGGGGCCCCTTGCCCACGGGGCTCTCAGAAGACTTCAGGTGAAGGGTTCATGAGGGGGAGGGAGAAGTTTCCCATGTCATTCTACCCTTTGTCCAGTACTGGACAAAGAGAAGAGCCTCAAGGAAAAGGATGCCTTCCTCTTGACTATTCTTCCAGCCCCCTTTTTGTAGATGTCTGTGCTCTGGGCTAAATCCTCCAGGTTGTAATGTCTGAACCTGGTGCACAGTAGGCATGCAGTAGAAATTCACTGTACCCAAGCCTTTCTGTGGCTGTAGCTCGGTGCCTTTGCCACACAGTGGGTACTGCTAAGTGTTTGTTGGCCAGAATTGAGCTCAGTGCATCAGGAATCCTAGAAACTCTAATCAGCAGCTCTAGTTTCCACTCCAGCCATGACTTGACATACGGTCTCTCTGAGCCTCCGTAGCCTCCACTGTCACATGGGGAAAGTACCTATACAGTTGTCTATAGTGTTGGATGGGGAAAAAAATTAGATGACAGGTGGAAATATGATTTATATATATAAAGAGTAATGTATTGCCATTACAAGGGGCTTTCATATGCATTCTCTCCACTATTAATATTAAGAAGACCTTCCATAGGTCTGACTTCCATTCTGCCTGCTGTAGTTTGGTAAAATAAAGATCTATGTATTCCAGGAGACATAGGCTAGTGCAGTCAACACTGGCATGATGCTCCTGGTCAAAAGGAATGTGGAGATGAAAATAAAGCGTGTGTTTTCTTTAAAAAATAATTTCCCTCACTTTCAATGCTGTTCAGAATAAAGAGTATAATTTGCTTGACTGCCCTGGCCCATCAGCTTATCATGGAGGCCCTAGCAACTCTGAGAGGGAAGGATTATGCAAATAGAAAATCAGCTTTCAAGAAAGTGGGCTAATCCAATATTACCAAGAGGGCTGGGTTTGAGAGGAGAAGAGGAGGCAACTGAGATGGGTGAGCTATGGAGAGAGTCAGCCAGTTCCTGGAATGATGTGGAGTAAAGAAGTTGGCTAGAGAGTGTCCGCTTGCCGGCAACTGGGCCAGGGTTTTAGGAAAGGGGACCTGGTCTCCATGTCCCTGGTACTAAAAGATGGAGGAAGAGGGGATTAGGCTAGCGGATGGAAAAGTCTTTATTAAATTATTTGCGGCTGGGATGTCTCCTCCCCTGTCTCAGAAATATAGCCAGATGCTGAGAGGCAAATATGGTACCAGGAGGTAACGGCAGCAGCTCAAAGCCTTCCCAGTGAACCTCCGCAAACCAGCAGGCCCCGATCCACTGGGAAGGGCAGATCGTGGATTCAGAATGTCAGACCAAGGCCTTTCCTTCCCCCTTGGGAAACATCCAGGAGAAGCGCACAGGGCACCGCCAGGGTGGTTTCTGAGTGAGGCTGCCCCTTGCTGAAACACGGGAACTATCAGCACCACGGACAGCTCTCAGGGCTAGCCCTGGGAGCCGGCTCCCTGGGTGACCTGAAAACAAACGTTAGGGAGACAGCTGTACGCTTTCCTTGGGGAACTGGAAGCCTATTGTACCCTAAGCCCTTGCGGCTCCAGCAGTGAAAGCAAACAATTAAACAGGCAATTAGAATTCACTTTAATAAATGCTGTAATTTAGGAATCACAGGGAACCATTGCAGTGCAGTTGCGTCTCAGTGCAGAAGCATCTCACCCAGACTTGGCAGTTGAGGAAAGATTTCCAGCCTAAAGGGGGGTAGGAATTACCCTAGTCATACAGGAGGGCATATACAGCAGGCAAAGACCCAGAGGTCAGGGAGGGCATGGCTAATTTGATGAATAGAAAGAAGCCCCATTGCATGGCTAGCCCATCAGGTGGGAGGGCCTGGGTTGGGGCTGATGAAAGATGGGGTGCAGGGTGGGCAGAGGCCAGATTCTGTAATGCTTTGTAGGACATGGAACAGAGCTGCACTCCATCCTGAGGCCAATGGCAAGCTGCTGCAGGGGTTTATGCAGTGAAATGACACCATCAGATGTGCATCTTGAAAGTTCCCTCTAGCTACAGTGTGGAGAATGGACTGGGGCTGCACAAGCCTGCACCTCTGGGCAAGTTGGGAGGTAACAGACATTCAGACTAAGATGATGGTGGACTAGAACAGCACTTTGGGACCTCAGGAGGGAGGGGAGGAGCAGGCACATTGAAGAGAGATTTAGGAAGTGGAATTGACAAGACTTGGAGCAAGATGACCTGGGTATGGGGAAACAGTAGGAAGGGGGGTTGAGGATGACTCTCAATGTGTGTGAGCAGGTGTAAGATGCAGAGAGGAAGAGAGGAACACAGGGTATAATCAAGAGGGAGTTTCAGGGAAAGAAAGAGGGAATGATTTAGAACAGAGATGAACAGAGCCAAAGAAATGAGAGTGAGGAGTGTGGAAGAAAGGGAGGGCCATGAGAAGTGAGGGAATGAGGAAGTTAGGGGCATGATGGCAGAATCAGGAGAAGGGATTTGAGCCTTTATTTTGTCATCTGTGTGTCCTGTGAGGATGTGTCCATGTCTGTCCCAATCACAGCATTGCAACAGGCAGAGGGCACATCTCTCTGCACAAGACCATGGGCAATATTGGGCTTGACAAAAACCATCCTGCTTGGATGGGAGAAAGCCCCCACAAGCCCAGCAGGGGCATCAAGGTGGGTGAGTAATGAGCAGGTACCCAGGGGAGTGCAGAGTGAAGTTTGGCTTTAGATTGCCATGCTCTTGAGGCAGGCTTAGCCCCCTCCTCCAAGCCTCAGTTTCTCACTCTGTAATCCAGGTGCTGGGACACTTCTTCATGCACATCTCTACAGAGGAAGGGGCTGGAGACTGGAAGACCAGATCTGGGCAGGGCCAAATTTGTCACTTTCGCTGGGGTCAGTGTATTTCACCTTGTGGCTTCAAAGCACCTATCCCTTGACAAAGCCTGAAGGCAGATAGGCTGTGTGAACTAACCCCTTCATTCTCCAGATAGTCCCAGCCCACAGTGCTGAGGGCCCAGTGTAAGAAGGACAACGTCACTGGCTCAAAATAAGTGCTGGATGAATGGAGGGATGGATGGATGGATGGATGGATGGATGGATGAATGGATGGATGGATAGAAGAATGGGCAAACAACTGAAGAATCACCATGCTCTTATAGGCTATAAGCATTGACAAAGTTTCTGGAAGATTCCAGAAGTGGAACAGAGCCACCAGACACTTGGCTTGGACAACCTATGTCCAGGAGTGGCACAGGCAACAGCCTATTTAGTGGTTGATGAGGAATTTCAAGTCCATCAGCCACAACCTGAGAAGGCCACCTGACAGAGAGATACCCCTTTGGGAGCAATGGCTTTCAATGGCACCTACTAGACTAGAAAGGATGAAGACAGCTGACAAGAGGGACCAGGGCCCAGGGACAAGTTCAGGCAGGAGGTCAAGATCCAGTGAATGGGTGGGTAGAACTAAATAAGGTTAGGATTAGGGTTAGGATTATGTTTTTGAATCTAACTCTAGGGTTAGGGTTAAAGATACCTAGATCCAGTGAATGTGTGGATGGAGCTAGATAAGGTTAGGGTTAGGGTTAGGGTTAGGGTTAGGGTTTTGAGCCATTCGCTGTATTCAGATAGAGGTCTAGATCCAGTGAATGGCTCAAAAAGAGGGAAATGGGGGCCTCTGGACTTCAAGGAATGACAAACTCTCTCCACTTCACATCTGCCTGAGCCCTCCCCAACTCATCTCTCACTTCTCAGCCTGGGGTTAAGAGCAGAAGCACTGGGATCATCTGCTTGGGCCTAGTTCAGGCTCCAGAACTTACTACAAGCATGAACTGGGTAGAAGCACCTAAACCTCAGCTTCTACATCTACAAAATGGTGATAATCATAGAGCCTGTGTCCCAGGGTGGTTTGAAAGATTAGAGATCACGTCTAAAATGCTTAGCGCAGTTCCTGAGACAATGAAAGTGTCCAATCAGCACTGAGGATTAGCCCCTCAGCCTCACCTTTGCTCCTGCAGAATCTCCTGCCTGAGAAGCCCCCACTTTCTTTCCACTTTCCCCTGACTTGATCCACCTTTCAAAGCCCAGCTTAAAATCTGCTGTTTCAGAAAGGCTTCTTTGAGTAACCTCACTCCATTATCTCATTTCTCTCTTTTGGCTTCTCTCTGGAGCCTTCTAGGAAGCAGGCGCCCAGTGACTGTGCGGGGTTGTTCCTGTCAGAGGAAGCAGAGAGGGTGTTTCCCAGAGGCTTCATTGCCTCCTCTTCCAGATAAAATGCTACCTCCCCCCATCCCTTCTCTTCCAGATAAAATGCTAGTAATAAAGTCATGTTGAACTGGCCTGGGCCTTTAATTGGTGTTTTGGCAAAGGACAGATTCCCTGCCAAGCATTAAAAGGTTTTAACATTCTCTTTATTGAGCTACTTCTGAAAGCCATGCTGGATCCCAGGGACTGGTAGGATCCAGCCTGGGGGTTCTCTGGGCAGGACCAAGGAGCAACGAAGGGGCCCATGCAGCTTCTGCAAGGCTGATGGGCTGTGGCCCATCCTGGGACCTGGCCCAGTCCTCAAGGGTGTGCATTGGCTCCCCTGCTCCCAGTGAATTTGATTCAAGGCAAACAACAGAAGTTCATTTAAGGACATTAGGGTGCCAGGAAACAGTGTAGCCCATCAGATGACTCAGGAAAGTTTGGGTTTGCTGAGGCCCCCCCTGGCCCTCTGGGCAAGGTGCCAAGGATGCATAGTGTATCTTACAGCAGAGAAACACGGGGCTGGGTAGACCCTGCACATCGGATGAAGATGCTGGGAAACGCAGCCTGCTTGGGGAAAGAGGGACACATTCATTTATTATGGTAGAGTGAGTTCCTAAGCTTGTCCCAATTCCAGAAGGGCTTTTACAAGGTGACACAGGGACAGCACCCAGGGTGCTGGGTGTGAGGGGGAAGGTGAGGAGAGGAGGCTCAGCGTTTCTTCCAATTAATTACTTCCAGGGTTGAGGATCTTCTAGGTATCAAGCTCTGAGCTAAAGGTTTGTTACCTACACTATCTCATGTAGCCCTCATAACAACCTGGCGAGGCTGGCATCATTAGCTTTCTTTTCTAAAAGGGAAGTCTAAAGTTCAGAGAGGGTAAGTAGCTAACTCAAGATATAACAGTGAGGAAATGGCAGAGGTGGGCTGGAACCCATGATCTTTGTACCCCCGGCCCCCGTATATTGTTTCTCAGGCACAAGAAGGAAAAAGAGCAGCAGACAGATTTGGGTGGGCAAGACCAAGTCCTCTCTGATTCCCTTCCTCCTCTTCCACTCAGATCTTATCTGATGTGACCAGGAGAGAAACTCTACCCCAGGCTTCCCCAGCTGTTTGTACTCTTGGACTTGCTGGGGGAGAAGAAATCCGGAAATCACTTGACTTCATAGACAGGCACATAGACCTGGGCCCTGGCCCTGGCCCCTGCTTAGATGTCGACTGCCTCTGTGACTGGAGCAAAGCTACGGCCACCTCTGAAGCACTCACTCTTTCTACCTGTTAAAATGCAGAAGGAAGACTTGAACATCTCTAAAAGCCATTACTACATTCCAAGGTTTTATGAGCATGTCTTTAAAAAAGCCTTGGTCAGGCCGGGTGCAGTGGCTCATGTCTGTAATCCCAGCACTTTGGGAGGCCGAGGTGGGTGGATCGCGAGGTCAGGAGATCGAGACCATCCTGATAACACGGTGAAACCCCATTTCTACTAAAAATACAAAAAATTAGCCGGGCATGGTGGCAGGCGCCTGTAGTCCCAGCTACTTGGGAGGCTGAGGCAGGAGAATGGCATGGACCCAGGAGGCGGAGCTTGCAGTGAGCCGAGATTGCACCACTGCACTCCAGCCGGGGTGACAGAGGGAGACTCCATCTCAAAAAAAAAAAAAAAAAAAAAAACGCCTTGGTCAGAAAGTGTTCCAGCCTATTGACCTTGTGAAATCAGAGAAAACCCATTTGGCAAATATGACTTCATCTTGTAAAGAAAGATTAAGGTGTTTTAATTATAAAGGATATTAAAATAAGAGCTATTGTGTAGTGGGGGCCTACTGCTTAGCCATAGTACCAAGTGTTGTATGAATGTTACATGTGTCCACTTCCCTGCATCCTCATTGCCACTTCTCACATGCAGGCCACCATCATCCCTCATCAGGAAGACTAGGAGAGCCTCTTAGCTCTCCTAGTCAGGAAGATTGGGAGAGCCTCCATATACACACTTCTGTCCTTAGCAGAAACAGCTGTATGATCCCCAAATCTTGTTTCATTATCCTCTTCCTGGGCATCCAGTAAAACTACACTTTCTCAGCCTCCCTCACAGTTGCATCCGTGTGGATGGACACAATGAGTGGAAATGACTTAAGCCACCTCCAGACTGGCCCATAAGAGCAATCCACATGACTCTCTTGGTTTTGTGCCCCCTTTGGATGGTAACTGTGCATATTGAGAGGATGGAACTACAAGACAAAATGAGCCTGGATCCCTGAGTCACTTCATGGAAGAGAGTAGCTCTGGAGATTTGCCAGACTCATATCCAACTTTCCGTGAATAAGAAATAAACCTTTGTTGTAACAAACCATTGAGATTTGAGGATTATTTTGTTAGTGGGGCACAACGCAGGCTCTCCTGACTAGCACACTCCCCTACAGTCCAGTCTATGCACAACAGCCAGATAATTTTTTTTGAAACCTAAATTAGATCATGTCACTCTCCACCTAAGACTCTCCACTAAGTCCTATTATGCTAAGAATAAGATCTACAAAGCCCAATGTGAGAAAGCCCTGTCACCGCCCTGACTTGTGTTCCCCTTTCCTTTGCCTATTTTCCAAGAACACAGTCTAATCCCTTGACAGTGTGACCACGCTCATCCCATCCATAGATACCCTCTCTGCCTGGCATGCTCTTCCCTCAGGTCTTTGCTTGGCTAACTCCTTGTCATATAGAGCTCAGCTTCAATGTCACTTCCCCAGAGGCATCTTTTCTGGCCAGCTGATCTAAGAAGCCCCAGTTACTCTCTATCACATCACCTGAAATTATCTACACCACACTTATCATTATCTGATATTTTCTTGCTAATTAATTAATTAATGGTCTGTCTCCTCACCCCACTAAAGCAGAGATCTTGTTTGTCTTATTCACCATTACATCCTGGTGCCTAGAATAGTTCCTGGCACTCAGGCACTTTATAAATGCTTGTAGACTGGGAATATTAACTTTTATGGCTCTGTGAGTTTAGAGTTACTATCCCCACTTAGCACAAGAGGAAACTGAGGTCCAGAGAGGTTAAAACCAGTAAATGGCAGAGCCGAGATTTCAACCTGGCTTTAACTACCTGGCGATCCTCTTTCTAGTTTATAATTTTCGCCATATAATGTTTGAAGGTAGTTTAATTACATATCTCTTTATGAGACAGCACAAAGAAGAGAGGGAGAGACAGCGATGGGTGACGGGTGGGTGGCCAGGTGCCTGTTAGACACACTGCACAGTGAACACACGGCTGAGTGAGAACATGGAGGCTGCTTCACCAGATGCAGAAGGTGAGGGAGAGGGAAAAGTGGTGTGGACGGGGCAGCTGTACGTGCAAAAGCACTTACTCTGTCTTTAGTAATTTCTCTTCATTCAGCCCTTGGCCTCAGGGGTTCCCAGTCTGTTGAGGGAGATGCAGTCATTTGCTCCTGAAGGAACTCCCAAACTGATGCTGAAGACACAGCCCTGGCACCTGAGAGCATCGTCAGAACATTTACAAAGCAATACACATGTGAATTCCCTGGGGTCTCTGAAAAGCCTGTACAAATTGAACTAAGAGAGAGCAGGAGAGGGAGGGAGGGAGGGAGGGAGGGAGGGAGGGAGCGAGGGAGGGAGTGGGGGATGGAAGGGGGGAGGGAGGAGGGAGGGGAGGAGAAAGAGAGAGACAGAGACACAGAGACCATGTTGGGCACTGGGGCCCCAACTGCCTCCTCCGTGTCCACACCTCTCTCCCCAGGGAAAGGAGGGGAGCAGCCTGCCTCATGGCAGAGCCGGCAGCAGAGTCAGATCCTGCCAATGCCTCCCCTGGCAGCAGGAAATGAGGCTGAAGACACACAAAGGGAAGGTGGTCCAGAGCCAGGGCCTGGGGTGCAGTCTGACTGTTGCCAGCACCCGTGCCAGTGGGTTTCCCATCCACAACTGTGGGCCAGTAGAGGAAAGGGAGGCAAAACCTAGCATCTAGAATCAGAGCAACTGTTGGCAGGTGTTATTTGAAAAACTGAAACTTCTTCTCTTGCTGCATGGCTCTGGGCCATTCCTCTGGCCCCAACCAGAGAGATTTATAGGCACAGCGGGGTGAGAGACACCACGGGGGCAAAACAGCTTGGGCTTCATTCAGGGCGGCCATCTAACTGTGCCGGCTGAGCTCTCCAAGCCCAGAGAGGCTGCCCCCAATGTCCACACTGCTTTTGCACGTACAGCTGCCCCTTCCCACACCACCTTTCCCTCTCCCTCACCTTCTGCATCTGGTGAAGCAGCCTCCACGTTCTCACTCAGCCATCTGTTCACTGTGCGGTGTGTCTAGCAGGCACCTGGCCACCCACCTATTGCCCATGATCCACCCCCAACTGCTGATCCCCTAACTCGGGCTGCCATCACTTTCACCTGAATGGCTGCAGCTGCCCTCAACCTGGAGCCCTTGCCCTGTCCTTACACCTCCCACCCTCCCCTAATCCCAGTTCAAGGACCTCACAGCTAGCAAGCAGATAAGACCATGCTGCTCCTCTGCTTAAGAAGAATGGCTCCCCTTTGTTCTCCAGGTAAGGTTCAAGCATCTCACCAAGGTGAATACCTGATCTGGGTCCTGCCCACCTCTCTGGCTGCTATCCATTCCTTTCCTCCTCCCTGTCTGGCCTCCAAACGCATGATCCAGTTTAATTTGGGCGGGGGTGCCACACTTTCTCTCATTTTAGGAGGCCTGCGCAGGCTCCCAGCTAGGTTCTACTCATTCTTCAAACCTTAGTGTATACTTTTCTTCCCCTGCGAAGCCAACCTTGACCACTCGAGTCTGGCTTGGGGGGGTCCATGCTATGTACCCCTCCATCACTTACCAAGCAGGTCAGGCCTACCTGCTCTGCATCCCAACAGGATGTAAGCTCCTTGGGTGTAGAGAGAACTTGCCTATCTCGTTCAACGCTATATTTAGTCTCAGCAACTAGCACAGGGCCTGACACCCCTGTAGGGGCCCGGTAACTATTTGTTAAGTAAAGGAATGGTGTGGGAATGTTGGAGGAATGAAGGATTTTCACCCAGAGCACCTTGCACCGGAGAACTCGCCATGTGGACTTGTCAGATATTATCTTATCAATATCTGTGTCTTAAGCACCACGGCAGGCATGAAGTGAACACATTGAATGAATCTCTCAAGGCCCCAAGAAGGAGACTGTCTGTCTGCTTGGGTAGCATTTTCCCAGCTCCTACCCTCTGACCTTCTAGAAAGCCACAACAGCGAGCCTCCCTGTTCTAATGGAAAATCCCAGCATCACTTTTCTACAAAGGCAATCTATCAATCACGCCACAGAATTTCACCAGATCACAGAAATCAACCTCCGACAGGCTGCCCAAAGCCCCCGCTATGCTGTGCAAAGTTTTGAGATGTACAGAGGGGTTAATTCTGGCAGCTCGAAATGCGTTGCAGTGTCTCCCTTCAGAGTCCAGTTAGCCAGCATCAGCCAGGCTCCCACTGTGTACACAGCCTCTTGTGGGGAGTGTTGAAGAAACAAAAGGGAAGTAGAGGCAGAAGCTCAGCTTAGGGGACATTTATAACCCCAATAACCTGGTTGCATCTCCTTTGGTGGTGTTACGTGCACATTTCTCTCCAGCACTAGAGGAAAAATCCTCCTTGCAGTGTAGACACTTCTATCCTTGCCAGTGTAGATGCTTTAATCCCTGGAATTTTTAACTGGAGTGCTCACACCTATAGCTAATGGCTCTATTTGCCTGGGCAGACTGCGTGTGTGTGGGGCTGGAGTTTGGGGGAGGAACTAACATTTTAAAGAAGGTACTAAATGAGAGTGTAGATGCTGAAGCCAAACCACCAGAGTTTGAATCCCACTTCAAATCCTGTGGGATCTTGAGCAAATGATTGCCTTTCTGTGTCTCTGTCTCCTCATCTATAGAATGGGGACAATGACAGTACCCACCCCTAGGGTTGCTATGGGGATTAAATAAGCTGATATATGTAAGTGTTTAGACAGCATTTGGTCTATAGTCAGTGCTCAATAAACAGTAGCTTGTTATTGGTATTGATATTATTTGCCAGCCCTTGCCAGAGTGATGTCATTTTCTCCCTGCGATACCCCATCCAGGGGCGTTACTTCTCTCATTTTGCAGATAAGGGAATGGAGGCTTTGACAGGCCAGTGACCTGCCACCTCCGAGGATGGGCTGCTTCCTGGCCCATGGTTCCTGGCTGGGCACTCTCCTGCCACTTTCACCTCTGATGCTTTGAGTGTAAGAGCTCCAGAAGCTCACACTCAAAGGATGGCACCCTCATTCCCTGCCACCACCCAGGGCAACAAAGACACGTGGTGGATGAGGCTGGCAGCAGGTCCCAGGCGGATGAAGGAGTTGATGGCCCAGGGGAGGAAGGGGATGTACCTGCTCCTTCAATCCCCAGCACAGTCCAGGCACCCAGTCTTGCCTCCAGAAGCCTGACAGAGCTGGCCCCCATCCTGGGGTCACCAAGGCTGGCAGCCCCTGTGAAGTGGAAGGTTCACATCCCCTGACCATCTCAAGGGAACAAGAAAACGGGTAGAGTGGCAGTCTGGAGTTAGAAGCACTGGGTTCAAAGTCCAGCTGTGCAGAGATCGTGCCACTGCACTCCAGCCTGGGCGACAGAGCAAGACTCTGTCTCAAAAAAAAAAAAAAAAAAAAGAATTCCAGCTCTGCAACTTTTGGGAATTCACATCACGTCTCTGCGCCTCAGTTTTCTTGTCTATACAATGGAGCTACTTGTAGTTCCTCCTTCCGGTGGTGCATGGAGAGCTCTTAGCTTAGTGCCTGGCTCAGCATCAATAACCAACAAAGATTCGCTCTCTTCTCCCTGAGTCCAAAGCAGCTTCCAAACTCAGATGTGTTGAGCTTCACAGAGTCTGCCAAGAGCCTGGGGCAGGGTGCAGAGCCTGAGGACTTCCCGGGATCCTGGGAGGCTCCCAAGCCTGTTGTTGGTGTGGACAGGGCAGCTCTTTGGTGCCGCCAGGGTGCGCTAGACAGGTTGCCACAAACCACACTGCAATTTAGTGTGAATTAATAAAAGATGTCCCAAGCATGGAGTTTGGAGATTACAGCACATACCGAGCTAGCTCCCTCTGCCTTCTCAGTCAGGCACCCCGTGTAGGGTGTAACTCCAGGGACTCCACAGCAAGACACCAGCTGCCATCTTTGCAGGAAGCCAGAGGGGACAAGACCACAGAAATAATTGCAGAGTATGAGCCTGGAGGTTGGAGTCCTAAGCTCCACATGCATAATTAAGCTGACTTGTGTTAGGTGAAGGGAGATTACAAGATACACGCTCATAGGGCTGTCAGATGCTGGGAAGAGTCAGTGCAGTGATGAGACGGAGTAATTAGCTCAAAAACCAAGGGCAAATCTATAGGCAGGAAGGGGTGGGACCTGAGGCAGCAAGAGTCATGCCAGGCAGTGAGGGGGGCCCACTGGGCACTGAGATGCCATCAGCCTCTTAGTGACATTCACCCAGGAAGCAAGAGGGCCTCATTCACAGACTCAGGGAGGGCCTGGGATGGCAGCATGCTGCCATGCCATCTCACACCCCCCAGAGCTGGGATGCTGCTCAAGAGAAACAAAATATAACTGGGACTTTCACTCCTGTTTAATAGCAGCAAGTCCCAGATGCAAGAACAAAAAGAAGGTCAGAGAGCTGGACCATTCAAGGCCAGGTTGCAGGGTAAGGGCATCTATCTTCACCTCCAGGCCAGAAATGACTGCTGCATTCCCAAGCTTTGGTTTCCCCTTCTTTGTCAAGGTTAATTACCCCTGCCCCTTGAAGGGGAGAGTCATCGGTCAGGAGGCAGCCTGACCTGAGGGTTAATGTGTTTGAATCCTGATCTGACTCTAAGTGGTTTGGGACCTCCTGGGATTCATTCCCTCATAAGGCCCCTGCTCTCAATATTCCAGCTGAAGAGGGTACTCCAACCACCCACCCTGCCAAGCAGCAGCAACAGCAGCAGAGGAAACAGATCCTAGCCCAGTGCCTGGCACATAGTAGGCACTCAACACATGCTTGCTCATTGCTAAATGCAATAGATCTAAAAATACAGGAAAGAAGGAAACAAAAATATCAGCTGGGGAGACTGGATGCCTAGACAACTCAGAGAAAGCACTACATGCTTATTAAAGAGAAAAAAAATGAATTCATCTAATTTGTAGGATGCAAGATAAAGCCACAAAAAATCAATTGCATTCTTACATCCCAGAGACCCACAGAAAATCCAATGAAAAAGATCCCATTTATAATAATAAAAAAACAAATACTTGAGAGCTCTTTTAATTTGCTACACAAGCTATTTGTTTAAAGAAATTACAAAAACCCAATGGAGGCTCAATATTAGGAAAAACATCAACATAATTCATTACATTAGTAAATTAAAGGAGAAAAACCATATGATTATTTCAATAGATTTTTAAGGAGCATTTAATTAATTTTTCTTTATAAAAATTCTAGGTGAAATTGGAATAGAAGTAACCTTCCTATTCATAACAAAAAAGAATATTTATCAGAAGCCAGCAGGAAGTATCATATGCAATGTTAAAATTATAAATGCATTCCTATGAAAACTAGGAATAAGACAGGGAAACCCTTTTTTACAAGCATTCTGGAAATTTTAGACAATGGAATAAGGCAAGAAATTATAATCAGTTCAATAAGTATAGCCCTACCAATATTTATATAGCGTCAGGCACTGTCCTAAGTTCATTACATGAGATGAGGAAACTGGAGCACAGAGAGGTTAAGTAACTTGTTAAAAGTCACACAGCTTCTAAGTGGCAATGCTGGAATTTGAATCCAAGTGATCTGGTTCCAGGATATACATTTTTCTACCTTAAAAATGCTGTCTCTCAGGCATTGAGAGGAGAAGTATTATTATTATTATTATTTGCAGATAATATTTTCACATCATAATGCAAAAGATCAAAATAAAAAAAATCTATTAGCACTGATAAGTGTCAGTAAGATGTCTGCATAGAAGATCAATGTGCAATTACCAGTTTCCTTTATTCCACCAGGGCAGGGGCCTCTGTGGCAGCATCCAGCACCAGGCCTGAGACACAGAGGGCTCTCAATAACTATTTGCTGAAAGATGAAGCAACAGGCTCTACGTATGGCACAGTTTGGAAAGGCCACATAGGTCAGCAATGCAGCTGGACTTGTGCAAGGGATCCATTGTTCCGGCATTGAGTCCACTCCTGGGTGACTGGGTTGCCTTTCCTTCACGAGCTTTCAGACACAGAGAAAGGCCCACCCAGCATCACCTGCAACAACCCCTTAAACCGTGATTCCTGTCCTGCCCATCACAGCCCAACACCTAGGTGGGATCAAGGCCCATGGTCCATGCTGGAAAGGGAGAGGGAGGTGAATTCCAAAGTCAGCTCTTTTCATCTGGCAGGCTAGGGCTCCGTCCCTCTTTCTACCATTGCCCAGAGTTGTAGCTTAAGAAATCTCCCGACCGGGGGCAATGCATGGAGCGCTGCCCTTGAATCTGTCCCATGGTCTATGTGCACAGAGAAGTAGAGCACCATCCTGAGAAACGACATTTGCAAAGCGCTTCCAGAATGCTGCATTGGCAAAAGTGTCATTTGTCGTCCAAATCAGGCACTTTTGAGGCTGAACAAGGGTTGCTCTTAACAGTCACCCTCAGATAACAAGCGCCATCTGGACTGTTCCAGGCATGCTTGGTTGCATGGTTGCTGTCATGGCCCTCCACGAGGTCAGTGCTATTATCACCATCCCATTTTATAGACACAGATATGGAGAATGGGGGAGGTGACAGAGGAAGAGGTGGAGGCAGGAGTTGCTCTTGGATCTTTCTGTCTCTAGAGGCACCTTGGCAAAGCAGCATCTTCACTGCTGGTCCATATGCTCGCTCCTCAGGGTTCATGCTGCTCATCTTTGAAATCCCAGCAGCACCCAACACAAGGGCCTGCACATCGTGGATCTGGAGGTGTGGGCTGGCTCCTGTTTACAGAACCCAAATGAGGCTGGTGTGGTGGGAGGTAGTGGAGTGGGCGAGGCCAGAAAGGGGCAGTGCCAGACCGGGTGGTGCCTCCCGGGTTTTATTGTTAAGTATCAGGCAAAACTGAGGAATGATAAGACTGTTCTGATTTCAAAAGGTCACTCTGGCTGCTTGGTGGATACTGGATTTGGGGGCTGAGGGGACAAGAGTGGAAGCAGAGAGTGTGATCAGGAGGGTGCTGACTTGAAGTAGTGATAGAGGCTTCAGCTGGCTTGGAGGCCCAGGAATGGGGAAGAAGCAGTGGATTCAGGGCTTGTCTTTTAGAACGGATTCGATGGAAGAGATGCGGGGAGTGGGCAGGGGCAAGGGATGAGATGTGATAGGAGAGACGCCCTAGATTTTTCGCTTCGGAAACTGGTGGATGGTGATGCCGTTCGCTGAGGTGGAGAAGACTAAGGGAGGGGTAGGTTTAGGGAAGAAATGCAGAGCTTTGCTTTGGCCATGTTAAGTCTGAGATGCTTATCAGACATCTCTAGGGAGGGGTCCAGAGCTTCCTAAAATCGAATGATGATGCTTTTGTGTTTAAAATTTCTTGACTGTTCCCCTTGGATATAGCTCAAGCTCCATTGCAGGGCACCCCAGACTTGGCATAGGTCCCTGATTGCCCTCAGCCTCCTCCTCCTGCCTCCCCTCTTCCTGACCCTTCACTGAGCGCCTGATGGGAGTCAGATGGGCCACCCCCAGGCCTTTGCACCTGCTCTCACCTCTACTTGCCATGCCCACTGTCCCTTCCTCACTCTTGAATAGCTCCAGACAAGGGTGCGGGTCACATGACACCTGTCCCCCCCAGCAGAGTGTGAGCCAGGGATGGCATCTCTAGGCTGCAGCCAAGGCCCTGCCAAGGTTTTCTGCAGGTGTTAGTTCTCTACCTGGAGGGATGAAGGGATGAACGAATAAACTGGAGACTTCCCTAAATTAGAGCCTGCGATTTCAGACAGGCTTCACTTCTCTGTCTCCAAAGAACAGGCTTTGCATGACTTGATATTCATAGAGTAAAGAGGGTTGAAGGGGAACGTTGAAAGCACGTAAGGAAATAAACAGCCTTCTTACACCCTCAATTATTTTAGAAGCACCTGCTCCCATATAATTAATGTGCCAATTGAAATGACTATTATAGCCATTACAGCAGGTCCCCCAAGAACCACTACTTGACAATACTTGTTTAGACTCATTTGAGTTACTCTACCACTTTGCAAAATAATAAAATAATAATAATACAACTTCCTTTCTTGAAGAATGGTATCCAATTCAGAAGCCATCCCTCTCATTAATGGGATTCCTGAGGTCTGTGTGCCATGACTGGAAGCAGCCTCAGCCGTGGACGGTTTTGCTAGACATTTTCCACCATTCACCAAAAGAGAGTCCAGCTTGGGAGGGGCATGCAGGGAGGCAGCGTGGGGGAGAAGGGGCCCTTCCTTACACCTGTCTGCTCTGCCGTGCTGAGAGTAGGTGAACCATGCTGCCTGTGTCATCTCAGAGTAGGTGAACCGTGCTGCCTGTGTCATCTCTGCAGGGTGGAAGCTGTTTTCCCTCAAGTCCTCATTTGACGTTGACAGCCTCTGTGTGGATCTGTGCCGCAGCACTACTGCAGACAGATGGCTCCGGCAGGGTGATGATGAGGACAGCCTGAAGCAGCCATGTCCAGAAGCTCCTCTGCCCCCAGGCCATCTCCATCTCTCCCCCACGGAGGAGGCCACAGAGCTTCCCAAAGGGGGATCCAGACCACTCCATCAGCTTAGAGTGAGAAGGCTGGGCTGCTCTAAGGGGACTCAGACAAACCCCTTCCGCCTTACCATATGCAAGACTTGGGGTCAGTTAGTTAACTTCTCTGAGCCTCAATGTCCCCAACCCTAAAATGGACAACTGTACCGGCATCTTGTGATTCCTGTATGGATTCAGTGAGGTGATCTTTGTAACATACCTAGCGCAGCACCTGACCTGAACGCACCGCTACAGCAGTGGCATTCATGATGATATGAGGGAGATGGGAGGAAGGCTTGTCTTACCTGCCACAGGCTCCCCAAGCCAGAGGGATTCAGCGCATTCGAGGGTCCAGTCCTCATACTGCCCATCGCTCAGGGGGAAATCCCTCCAACCCCTAACAGGGTATTTATGGCCTTCAATGGGACCTAACAGAAAGAGCTGAACTTTGTAGTCAGAGAGTTGGGTTTTGAAGTTTGACTCAACCACTATCTAGCAGCAGGACTTTGAGCAAGTTGCTTAACCTCACCTAACCTCAGTCTCCCTGACTCTAGTCCTTCTACCTCCTTCTCTCAAGGCTCTCTGAGGTCTCTGATATCCCCAGAATCTTCACTTATGGGTGCATACTGGGAGAGGAGCCTCGAGGGGCAGGCAGGGGCCAGACAATGCAAAGTCCTGTATGGCAACACCAGGGATATTTGTCTGTATCCTAAGAACCATGGAAAGGCATCACTGATGTGTTTAAAGCAGTGTGGCATGGACAGAGATGCTTTGTATAAGGCCATAAGTTGTGGAGTGGACTTCTGAACCCTATAAAATTCGTTCACATCCTCCCCCTCCTCTCAACTCCCAGGTGTCCCCTGGCCTCACCTTTGAATGTTCACTCAAGGGTGGGGCACTTTCTCTGGACATTTACAGCCACACATGTCTGCTTCTCAGAACAGTCACATAACCCTACTCCTGGGGAATCTGGAACTTTCTGATGCCTGATTTCCACAGAAGCCCCATACTCAACCCCAACTAGCCAGGTTGGCTGGACACTCTGCTTCTTACCCCTTGTCATGATATCATGGCTGCGCAGCTGAGCTTGAGGCAGCACAGAATTCCAGAGCTGAAACAAATAGGGTCAATAGCTCTGGGTGCACTGGGCCCAGGATTACTTCCTACTGCAGTTTTGACAGGTGGCCATGCCATTTGCTTAGACATTTCCAGGGTTAGGAAGTCCACCAGTCCTTAAGACAGCCCATCCATGGTTGAAAAGCTCCAACTGTGGGAAAGTTATTAACCTCATCAACTACAAGTTTACCTCTGTGACCCTCAGGGCCACATAAGATATCCATCCATGCATACATCTATCCATCCATCCAACCATCCATCCTCTAAGCTATGTGCTCAGCATCATGCTAGACACTCAGGAGAGAAAGACAAACAGGACACCTGGTCACTGCCAGCAAAGGGTTTGCATTCTGGGAGAGAGACATTCAACTATTACAGTTCATCTCCTACTATGAGCTCTCAGCAAGCAGACACCTGTCTTTCTCTGTCAAAGCGGTGACCACAATTTGAAAGAAGCATTTATTTGACAGTCTTTCATGTAATACCTGTTTCCTCCCGCTTAACTACAAGCTCCACAAAAGACAGGGCTACCTTGTTTTGCGTATTTGTTTTGGGTTTCTTTGTTTTTGTTTTTGAGACAGGGTCTCTTTCTGTCCTCCAGGCTGGAGTGCAGCGGTGCAATCACAGCTCACTGCAGCTTTGACCTCCTGGGCTCAATCCATCCTCCCACCTCAGCCTCTTGAGTAGCTGGGACTACAGGTGTAAGCACCACCATGCCTGGTTAATTTTTCTGTGTTTTTATAGAGATGGGGTTTTGTCAGGTTGCCCAGGATGTTCTTGAACTTCTGGGGTCAAGCGATCTATCCTTCTCAGCTTTCCAAAGTGCTGGGATTACAGGCATGAGCCACAGCCTGTGTGTGCCCAGCCCATTGTTCTTATTCTGTGCTCTATTCCCAAGGCTTGGCACTAGTTGGTACTCAAGAAATATCTGCTGCAAAAATGAACACATGAGTCCAGTGTGTTGAGTCATATGGTCACGTGCTTAGTATTTTGAGAGTGTTATGAGAAGCTAACTCAGCCTGGGTCATGGCAGTTGAATGTGGAAGAAGATTGAAGGGGGAAAAATGGATGGGGAAAAGCCTCTGGTGGCGGGGAGGGGGGGCAACACTGAAGCTGGGCCTTGGAGGGCAAGTAGGAGTTGACCAGATGGAGGGGAGAAGGGCATTGCACGCAGAGACAGCACATATGCACCAGCTCGGAGGTGGGAAAGAACGTTGGCACATTCTGAGAACTGCAAATCAGCCATATGATTCGAATGGTGGGCCCATTTGGGAACGTGGTAGGAAGCAAGGCTGAAGAAATCAGTCAACAGAGGTTGAATCAAGAAGAACCTTGTATGCTGGGCCAATGACCTTGAACTTGGTCTTTCAGGTGATGAGAAGCTCTTGCGAAGTGTGGGGCAGGGAGGGGTGGTCGTGGTAAGGTCAGATATGTGTTTTAGAAAAGCACACGGCTGTGCCTGTCTGCAACGGGAAGACTGCCTGCCCTGTGGGAGCTCACACCCAACAAGGAAAATGTGGGGAGAGGAGGGGAGAAAGGATTTAGGAGGGATGGTGAGTCTGAGCTGGGAAACATCCCTCATTTCAGTCATGTTCTTTTCTTTTCACTGGTGTGCTGGAGCTGAAGTTCACCTTTAATCCTTTTCCGACAAGTTAAGTCAGCCCCTTTGTCATTTAAACCCAACAGGGCATAGGAAAGCCAGGAAGAATCTGCTGGAAATCACACTTTGGGCTTAATATACTTCCGGATTCCATGTGCTCGGAGGCCCCAACAGTAGTAGCTCAGGCCAGGACTCTCACCCCTGAGAAAGCATTGTTCAAGCCTCAGCTGGGGGGTGCCCTGACCTGGGAGGCACCCACCTCTTCCATTAGCTCTGAGTCTTCTGGGGAAAAGATAGCGGGGTGGGGAGGTTGACCGCAAGGTGGGAGAGAGGCTGCATATTCCTTAGAGACCATCTCACTGCACGCTTTTATTTTACCTATGAAGATCCTGGAGCTCAGAGAGGGGTTGTGGTTTTTTCAAGATCACACAGCAGGATGGTGTGTCCCAGGCCCTTGCTCTTTTCTTTTCTTGGTAAGTGAAGTGAGCTGAGCCATCAGTGTGTTATCCTTAGATATGCCGTGTCTTTCTCACCCATGCAGTGTGGGAGCCCATCACTGGTGGACTCTGCATGTGGTCTAACAAAACACCTGGTTATTTGGGTGTCCACTTCAGCTGTTGGCACCCCCTCTCAAGAGTTTGGAAGCCAAGAGCTCTTATCAACCCCATGTGGACCAGGGAAGTGGTCTCCTTGCCATTATCAGAAACTGATCTTAATCCCCAAGAGAAGATGGATTTGCTTGGTCAAAAACCGCTCCCCTTCAAGCCAGGGAGAACAGTGATGTGTGGCCAAAGCCAGTCTTCCCCCACCACCCTGCTTCTTATCTCCTCTTCCCGTCCAAGGGCATCTGTGCACAAATCCAGGCTGACTGAGCTGTGGTGTCTGGACGGATCCCAATCACACAGCAGCTCTTCCTGCCTAAGGTTGACTGCCTCACCTCTCACCCCCATTCCCCACTGCACTCCTTGGAAGCTCGTGGACCACTCATGGGCCATCTGGCACAACCTCGCAGCTACAGGGTCTGGTAGAGCCAACCTAAATATGGACCTTGATGACCCAAGAGTGGAGATAATGAGATGCCCTACACATTTCACACTCAGCGAACACCTGCATGCCTGCTGTTGCATTTCCTGGGTTTTTCAGTTGGGGCATGGGGGCATCACAGAGTCCTTTGAGAATATTCTGCACCTTTCTCCCACAAAAACACACACAACATATTAGGCATATTTTCTGGGGTTTGAGCACCCCCAGAAGCCCATCCACATATTTCCTAGGGACCCTGAGGCCCCCACATAGAATCCCTGGCCCAAGGATCATTCATAAATGAAGGGCTAGAGCGGGATCTTTCTTTCAAATACCAAATATATTGTTTAATTACATTGGAATCCCCTAAACTCTCTGGGAAGCCACTTTCACATTTTCAAGGAGGAGTGCAAGGCTGCTACCAGTTCCAGATTGAAAGGCTAAAGACAATGGACTTGTAATTTTATGAATGACACATAGGAGAAGCGGAAAAATAAAACTCCGCAAGAGATGCAAAGATGAATAACTAAGCTACCAGGTGCTGTCTCTCTAATTGAAGAATGTACAAAACGCTGAGAGAACACAGCAGGTGATCTCTTAATTCTGCTTTGGTGAGAGGGGTCAGAAGGCTTCACAGAGGAGAGAATGAGTAAGATTTGCCCAGGCGGAAAAGAGAAGATGAAGTAATATATGTGAAGCCTATTTCCCCTGCGCCACGGGGGACAGAAGCAGCTCGTCTGTGGGGCTTTTCGTCTGTTTTGCACAAATCTTTGTGAGATCCTTAGGGAAAGTGCAGTCAAGCCCATTGGCCAGGTGATGAAACAGAACTTAACAACTTGATGATGGGCAACTGGACGGGAAGCGCTCCCCTCGAGGGGAGTGGGCCCACCTGTCCTTCTTTATACCTTCAGACCTGTGTACAGTGCCTAGGAAGTTTTGGGAATAGTTGTCATCCAAGGCCACTGAGTTAATTAAATGGTAGAGCAGGATTTTTCTTTCAAATACCAAATGCATTTTTTAATTACACTAGAATCCCCTAAACGCTCTCGGCTGCCACTTTCACATTCTCGATGAGGAGAGCGAGGCTGCCACCAGTCCCAGATTGAAAGGCTAAGGATGGTAGGAAAAGACAGTGGGCTTGTAATTTTATGAATGACATGCAAATAGGAGTGGATTCAATAGAAGCAATTGGGTCTTCATGTTACTTGCAAAGGTTTGTTCAGATGTTCAAGCTCAAAACTCTTTACTAGACAAAATCTCAAGGCCATGTTACTGCTGATCTCAATGCACCCCTCAGCCCACTCTAGCTAGGCATTAGCCCCCACGACCTCCAAGGAATCTGCCCTTGCCCAGGTCCCCAGTGGGCTCCATATGTTACCAAGTTCATGGTCATTTCTCTGCTCTCAAGTCACTCACTGGAGTGTGAGACACAGCTAGCTGACAGCTGACTCTACTATTTCTGAAACCACTTTCTTTTCTTGGAATCCAGGACACTCCACTCCTCACCGTCTTCACATCTTGCTGGCTGTTCCTCCTCCTTCTCAGCCTCTCTGTTGGTCTACTTTTCTATCTCTAAATATTGGAGTGCCCAAGGGTCTAGCACTGGGTACCATCCATTCTCTGACAATGCCAAGTATAAGTCTCCAGGCTTCACCTCTCCCCAACATTCCAGATTTGTGGCCTCAATAGCGGCTGCAGCAGCTCCATCTCCATGTCTTAGAGGCACTCCCAGCTTAACATAGCCAACAGAGAGTGCTTGACGCCTGTCCCTGTGTAATAGTCTGTTCTTACACTGCTAATAAAGACAAACCTGGGACTGGGTAATTTATAAAAGGACAGTTTAATGAACTCACAGTTCCACATGGCTGAGGAGGCCTCACAGTCATGGTGGAAGGCAAATGAGAATCAAAGTCACATCTTACATGGTGGCAGGCAAGAGGATCTTGTGCAGGGGAACTCCCATTTATAAAACCATCAGATCTCATGAGACTTATTCACTACCAGGAGAACAGTATGGGGGAAGCTGCCCCCATGATTCAATTATCTCCACCTGGCCCCACCCTTGACACATGGAAATTATTACAATTCAAACTGAGATTTGGGTGGGGACATAGCCAAACCATATCACCTTGCAACCTGCTTCTCCTGTCCTGTCCTCCCTGTCTCATTAAATAGCACTGCTCCTGCAAACCCAGCCGAAGCCCCAAAGCAGGGAGTCATCCTGAATCCCCCCTTCTCTCATCCCTTCCACATGTTAGCAAGCCCTTAACTTCTACCTGCAAATCATAAGCAGAACATTTTTCCCTTCCATCATCTCCACTACCACCATCCTGGTAGTCAACCAAACCACTGTTGCCTCTTGCCTGAACTATTCTAACCTCCAAGTGACCCCTCTGCTGCCAGTTTCTCACCTCCTCTGCAAACCATTCTCCACCCAGAAGTGACCTTTTTAATAAAGTAAACCAGACCCTGTTACTTCTCTGCTTAAACTCAATGCTTCCTGGTGCCCTTAGAATAACTCCAGATTCAGTTTCTTACAGCACAGGGCCTGGTATGAACGGTCTCTGCCCATTTTTCCAACATCACCCCCTATTCGTTTTGTTCCAGCCACATGCACTTTCTGTTATTTGAACACACAAAGCTTTTTCCCACAGAACTGTCTTGCATTTGCTTTCCCCTCTGCCTGGATTATTCTGCCTTCTTCCCTTGGCATGGTAGGTTTCCTGTTGCCTTTGCGATCTCAGCTTAAATGTCTTTTCCTGACCACACAATCTCTTTCTATCCCACCACTCGATTTTAATTATATGCACTGCGCTTATCATTAGCTGGTATCTTCCTTATTTGTTTATCTTTTTAACTCCTCCCCCATGGTAAACTGTGTGAGCACAGGATCTTGTCTTCTTCCTTGATGAAATCCCAGTGCCTAGAACCATCCTGGTTTCATAAATATGTGTTGAATTAATGTTGGATGAGTGCATGGAACAGCTCCCTCTATCAGAGTTTCACAAACGCCATGACATGCTCCGTGGCTGGGTTGAGTGCGTCACTGTCATCTGGGGAACTCGTTAAAAGTACAAATGCCCTGAGGCTCCAGTCCTGGAAATTCAGATTCAATAACTGTAGAATGAGTCTCAGACAACAGTGTATTTTTAGTGGCCTCTGAGAAGTCTAATGAGCTGTCAGAGTCAGGTACCCCTGCCGGTTTCCAATAGAACTTCCATTAAAGATCAAGGATCAGGGCTGCAATGATTGTGATTCACACTCTGGCCTCTAGAGGGAGCTGAAGGTTTCTCCCATCACCCCATCCCCAGGAGGAGGAGCTCAGTGTGATGAGTCTGGATGGTTACAACTTAACAGCTGTGGTTAGGGGTGGAGTTTTCCTTGGGGTTGAATTAAAGGATTGTGATATGGTTTGGCTGTGCCCCCACCCAAATCTCGTCTTGAACTGTGGTTCCCAAGTTCGTGAAAGGGACTCGGTGGGAGGTGATTGGATCATGGAGATGGTTTTCCCCATGCTGTTCTCATGATAGTGAGTTCTCACAAGACATGATGGTTTTATAAGCACCTGGCATTTCCCCTGCTGGCACTTCTCCCTGCCACCATGTGAAGAAGGACGTGTTCGCTTCCCCTTCCACCATGATTGTAAGTTTCCTGAGGCCTCCCCAGCCCTGCAGAATTGTGAGTTAATTAAACCTCTTTCCTTTATAAATTACCCAGTATTAAGCAGTTCTTTATAGCAGCATAAGAACAGACGAATACAGATTACAATGGAAGTAGACCTGGGAACTTGTTCTTATTTCCTGTTTATGTGTTATTACATTTGTTGTAAAATCAACTATTGTTTGGTGGGCCCTCTCTGGCTGCCTTCTCTTCCTTCCCATGTGACTGATATGATAAGACTGAGCACTGGACATACCTCATCAGGGAGAACCTGGCTCTTTGGAAGGCCAGGGGTTGGGGAAGGAGGCCTAGACAAGGCAAGTTGGGTTGGCTCAACCCTGGCTTTTGTCTTCCTCACTCACATCCTTTTCCAGACTTATATCTGTAAGATCTGAACTCAAGATCAGAATGTGGGGTCAGAGGAGTAGCAAAGAGCAGCCAGGATGAGTGGCTGCCAAGCAAGAAGGGCCAAAGGGGTTGTCTAGACCCATCCTCTGGGACCTTGGTGCTGGTCTCTCTTGGTCACCCGAGAGTGTACCTACCTTCTTGCCCTTATGATATGGTTGGACTGTATTGTTTCCTGTCTCCTTAGGATCATCATTTTCAGTTTTGCTTCAAATAATGAAACATTGTGAAGGGCTGGGACTGAGAGAGAGCCAATGATAGTAAAGCCATTTTGAAATAGCTCCCTGTTTCAGGGAGAGCTAAAATCCATTGAAATGGCTTAACTGTGTTAAGCCACTGGGTTTCCAAGAATTGAAACCCAGTGAGTTCACCAGCATAACCATTTAAAGCGTTGTCTCTGCCCATATCCCTTGGGAATGCAGGTGGTAGGATGGAATTCAAGGAATCTAACCGTGGTGATCCTCCCCAAATACCTTCCCCTCTTATTCTATAATTTCCCTCTCTAGATCCTGTAAGCTATCAACAGACATGAAATGACAATAGCTATCATTGAATAGGTGCCACAATGAGCTGAACAATGGGGTCTTTTGGTTGCAGACATTATCTCATTTAAGCTTACAAAATACATGTTTTCATGCCCAATTTCAGGTGAAGTTTCTAAAAGGCTGAAAGGTTAGGTCACCACCCAAGGTCAAACTCACACACAGGTATTCTGATGCTCAAGTCCTCTCTCTTCCTACCTCAGCCTTCCCAGCCTCTAGTCTCAATTCCTTTTCAAATGGTCCCAAGCAACCACAAACCCTCATTGCAGAGGCATCCAGCAGAACCCAGAGGGGACGATCACCTGGCGAGGTCGCATCATCTGCACCACAAAACACACACCCAGGTATGCATCTTCCCACATGGTGAAAAAGGTGAGATAAAGGGGTACTGAAAGCAGGGATGTTATCACTGTTTGTAGATCTCCTTCTCTCTCTATCTGGCTCTCTTTTCTGTGGCCTTGTAACCTGGGCCCAGAGTGGCTCCTGGGAACAAATTGTAAAAGAAGGAGAGAAAACAAAGGAGGGATGATAAAAACTGCTGTAAAAGGTTAAACTCCCATGATTCTCTGTGGCTGTTTAATGGAGTTCCATGATATAAACAGACCTTCGGCTTTGCCTGCTGGGCAGGCGGCCTCCAACCAAATGAGTTCAGACAGTGTTTCCTAATAAGAAATGTTCCCTTTTCCTTCATACTTAACAAAGCCCCCTGAGTATCCAAAGACCCACACTCCCCACCCCCTGACCAACAGATACTATCAACATTACACAGATGCCCACATGAGACAGAAGTGGGCTACATAGCATGGTCTGTCAACAGGTGCACATTATAGCTCCATGATTTGTTAATTTAGCAAATGTTCACTGAGGTGACTCTGCTCTAGGTGTCAAGAATACAGCAGGAGAAAAGACAGTCTTTGCTCTTCAGATAGTCATGGTCCAGGGGCAGGTATTTTGACATGATGAGGTAAGCACTAGTGTAAAGACCCACACAGAGGATTCATGGAGGAGGGTGTGCCTACAGCTTTCTGGAGAAGTCAGGGAAGGCAACATGACCCGAGACACAGTCTCTTCGAATGGCCTCAGTTTCTTCATCTGGAAAATAGAATTAATCATAGTATCTACCTTTCAGTGAAAATATGAAAATGAAATGTCATCACGTATGTAAAGCACTTGATCTAGTGCTCACACATAGTAAAGGCTCAATAATGTCAGCCACTCAAATTAGTATAAGCAGCATTAATAAATAAGTCCCCAGTTACAGATGTAAATAGGAATGATTAAGTAAAGAACATTATTTATTATTCATTTTCTTGAACCAAGTCCCAACTTAAGTGCTAGGGTAGATTAGTTATTAGCTGACAGCCTCCTACTGGTGAAATATGGAATTGCACCCCTACTCTATTAGCCAAAAAAAAGCTGTCTGGAGCTTATCTATATGAGCTGTGAAGATGAAGCCTGGACACTCAAATCTGGGAGATGAACCCATGTAACAGTGGAGAAAGCAGAGGGGGATGGTGAAAAGCATCCTCAAGTTGGACAGGGCTTTAATAGACAACTACGATACTCAGCACCTTAGAGGGATGACAACTCTCTTGACATCTTTATGTTTTCAAAGAAGTGATTTGAGCATGATGACCATCTCCCTTTTTTCACCCTCCCTCACCACACACACACACACACACACACACACACACACACACACGATCTAATGATGTCAGGTTACCAAATGAGATCCATCTTACTAAAATTCATTTCAGGGCAAGTTTGCCTGGAAAACTGACTCAATGATCACTCACTGCTATTCTCTTGTCAGGTGAGCACAGTGTATTCCAGAGGCTGCAAAAGAAAATCTCAATGTTCTACAGCAGGTTATCCAGTGAAACTTCCTGCAGTGATGGGAACGTGCTATACTTCATCTGTCCAATATGGAGGCCACCAGCTATAGGTGGCTAGTGAGCACTTGAAATGTGGCTAGTCTGACTGAGGAAATGAATTTTAAAATTAATTTGATTTAATTTAAATGTTAACATCCACGTGTGACTGGTGGCTACCATATTGGACAACCCAGACCAAGGGGCTATGATTACACATACTTCCTTGAGTCTATTCTCATAGTTTTGGCATCTTATTCTACAAACGGGCTGAGCTCCTCCCCACTTGGCCAGACCATGGGGGTAAAGTGTCCAAGAGTCAGGCTCTTGCCGCTTCCTCCCAATTTCCTTCCCCTCCCTTGAGGGGTCCACAAGCAAGACCTTCCCAAATATCCAGCCAGAGGTTTTGTTAGCTCCAAGGTTAGGTGATCCCTATGGCTTCAGATAATTTCATCAGCTGCCCTGATTTACCCAAAGAATCCAATGCATTCATGATGTTTTCTGACAGCTCAGGATGATCCCTTTGCTAAGATAATGTATTTAGGACCAGAGGGGAGGCTGCTGGGCTTGACACATGTTTTGGGCCATTTTGTGCCCACTGTGCTGAGCAGGCAGTGGCGGCCTCATCACAATGCCCTGCTTCTTCCTTCTAACGGGGTTGGAGCCACAGTCCTGACTGGGCCTGTGTAATCTATTCATTTCCTTCCAAGCCGGGCTCTGTAAGCTCATTCACGGAGGATGGAGAAAGGAAGCTGGGACGGGAAGCAAACACACGTACAGAAAACAAACAGCACTCGGCAGCTCCCTGCTTGGAGGAGGGGGGCAGGCTGCGGGGAGAGGGAGATGGGGAAGGAAGCCACAGTGGGGGGTTCGTCTGGCAGGGGAGGAAGGGGTCAGAGGAGGGTCTGGCTGGAGAAGGAGACTGGAGCTCCTGTTGCTGCTGCTCCCATTCCCTCTGGAAGCCCTGCCCTGACCTTGACTCCTGGAGCCCCCATCTTGGTAGGCTCTTATCTCTCTCCCTTCAGCTGCCTCTTTGGGAAGAGAGACAATCACTAGAGAAAGCTAGAGTGGCAGAAAGCAAAAACTGGCCACACGGAGCCCTTCCCTGGAATTTCCTTCCTTCCTCTGCCCCCATCCTTCCCATCATAGGCGGGCACGTGGGCTCCCTGAGACCTGAGGACAGTAACCAGTCAGCTGAGCCACCACCTCCGTCCAGCTACAGAATTACAAGGGCCCAGGCATTTGGCTCTAGTGGGTGATTTGCATGTGATTTGCATACATCTGCATATGCCTGCTCCAGAGGCCCTCAGTCAAAGGATGTGAAATGAAATAAAATAAATTAATTAGTGCAGCCTACCATGGCCCGATATGCAGCGCCTGACAATGGTAAGAGATGCCACTGATTCTTAAAACTACCAGTGGCATCAAGGTTAGGCAGCAAGAGTGGGGGAGAGAGGAGGGTCTCCCTACCGGAGGATGGCGAAGAAAAAGGAGAGTCTCTGTCCAGCCCAGGACATGGATCCTCCTGCCCCAGTCCTGCTCACCATCTTCAAGAACATCAAGTCAAGCCATGTGGAAACCTGCTCCTGGCTTCTACACCTGGGCACAGCCTGGCACTAGCATTGCCCATAACTCCAGCAGGAGCCTCTGCAGGGAGATTTTCACCACTGTGACTATGGTAACATTCGATTTCAAACCGGAGGGAGGACAGTTGCTTCAAGAGCTTGGAAGGCAATGAGGTGCCCACTGCTATTTTCCCATCTCCAAACTTCCTTCCATTTCGCTCCATTAACTGTTCCCACTGGGTCTCCATATTTCTATCTGTCTTTCACCACCCCTCCCTCTGATCCCATCTATGGGATGGCTGAGGGAGAGATGTGGTCCCATCATCAGCAGTGAGCTGGAGTTAATTTATCCCTGTCCTTCTGCCAGGTGCTAATGAGATGCTCCCAGCCTGTGTCAGCCAAGCAGTTCCCATATCCTGTAAATACACCTCTTAGTGATTCAGTTCATGGCACTATTTAACATATGCCTTGACTTTCTCTAGGCCCACTGATCTATCCAGGATGGCACCCTTCCTTAAGGCTGGGACCCTCTAGGGTGCTGGATGTCAGGTTCACACCTGTGAAGCCCAGGCTACCTGAAGAGCTTGGGTGGAGGGCACTAGAATTAACTCTAAACAGGAGAGACTGCAATGCTGAAATAGAGAACTATGATTTTTGGTTAGAAGGAGTGCAGATCACAGCCAACAAAATAGCAACAACAAGCAAACCATGAATCAGAGACCGAAAATGCAAAGCAGAGCAGCCAAGACAGGCTGGTTCAAAGCTCACCTGGACCAAGAGCAAGAAGGAGACTGAAGAGAGCTGTTCTGAGTCAAGACTATGAACAGCACGCATGCCCCAGGGATTCCTCTAACACTGAGTTTCCATGCTCTGTGTGTAGATGTGGTGACAGCTCCAAGGAGCAGAGGAGCCAGCTCTAGATCTTGAATCACAGTTTGGTGCCCACCCCCCACCTTCCTTGCCCTCTCTTCCATGCTCCATCACTTCCTCCAGAACAGCTCCACCTAACTGTGCTATCCATCCGTTTCATTTGAAGAAAGGGCAACAAAGATTAGGAAAGCGTGGTTTCTGATCAGGGATTTGCAAACTATAGCCCATGAACCAAGTCATTCTATAGCCTGTTCTGTACAGCCAGCGAGCTAAGAACAGTTTTTACCTTTTTTAATCATTGAAAAAAAATAAAAAGAAGAAGAAATTATGACACATGAACCTTGTACAAAATTCAGACTTTGGTGCCCATGAGTAAAGTTTCATTGACACACAGCCATGCCCTTTCATTTACACACTGTCTGTGGCTGTTTTGATGCCATACCAGCAGAGTTGAGTAACTGTGACCAAGACTGAATGTTTGGCAGACAGGAGAATATTTACAATCTCAGTCGTCACCAAAAAATGTTGCCAACCCCTGTTTAGATGACAGAAGAGGAGTTCTCCCCCAGGATGGTGGTGCCTTTATCTGTGCACACTCAAGCATGCATTGGAAGAAAAGCATCACTGCCCCCTGGACCTTCTGAGCCCAGCCCCAATTCCTTTGTGGCAAAGGGATAGAAGACTGGGATGCCCCATCCAGACACAAGAAGATTTCACTCAGTGGTTGAAAAGGCCCCTTGTGCTCAAGATTCCAAGCTGTTCTTCCTGGTGCCAACACCTGGGCCCTGGGCAGGTGGGTACCTTCTCATCTCTAACCAATTCCCTTCTCAGATGGTGCCAGACACCAGGATTAGTCCTATACGTAGTCAGATTAGGTGGCAGACTATCTCTGTGATTTGATTTTGCAAAAGGCAGGAAGCCTTCCTGTTTTTCTCTCTCCCTTGCCAAAAACATTATCCGAAGCCTCATGCTCAAAATTCCACCATCAGATATCACTTGTGATTACACTGTGCCCAGGGTCCAGGGTGTTCTCAGTAACTTCTACTTTGCCTAATGGAGTTTTCCAAGCGTAGGGGCATAATAGGAGCACAAAGAAGGTGGAAACCAGATCAGTCCTGAGGGTAGAAGGGATGGCTAGTACCCAAGGAGGGTGTCAGCAGAGGGCGGGGACCCAGCAGATGCCCAGGACAACTCAGGACTGGGTCAGGGCTGAGGTCATAGCCACACCAGTGAGGGTGTCCAGAGGGCTCTGAGGACCTCACACCAGTCCTGGCCATGGGCATGAAGGGGGCAGTAGTAGTGACTTACCCGGTACCACACGATCTCCCGCATGCGCCCATCTGTCTTGAAGTTACACTTCAAAGTCACGGCGTCTCCAGCCACCACAGGGGGGAGAGGCTCAATGTTGACTGTCAGGTAGCCTACAGAAGAGAGGAGAAAGGGGTGGTAAGGGCACGAGCAGATCAGAGGGGCTGGGCTGATGAGGGCAGGGCCAGGGAGACAGCAGACAGAGGAGGGAAGTTTGGGGTCTGTAGTTGCACAACTTTGAGGGACGCTGTTCACACTGTGGTTTCTGTGAATGGTGACTGCAGGCCCAAATGGAGCCAATCACCCTCTTCTTCCCTCTCTTCAACATCTCCTTTTTGGCTGCCTCCCTGGCTCCAATGGATCCCTCCAAACCAAAAACACTTCTGCTTGGGACACATTTTTCCCTGAAGGTAGGACCTGCTGGCACCTCCAAGAACAGCCTCAATGTATTTCTATAAGATACCCCAGAGAAGGCTTCTGTGCCCCAACATCGCCCCTCCACCCCTTTTTAGAGTTGTGGCATTCATGATTCATCTATTCGGTCCTGCAGGAAATGAATGCCGAAATGTATTTACTTGGCATTTCCAAACCTATTTGAATATGGGTCGCTCAGCCACCCCTTAAGCCCCACCACCATCCTACGCAGCCAGGATCTGAGAAATACACACTGGGACATGGTGTTCTAAGTGCCCATACTCCTCCATTTCCAACCTCATAAACAAATGACTCCTGGTAAAAAGAGAGCCCTGGGAAACCACCATTGGCTTCCTTAACACCCTCCATTGGCTTTCCCACCACACATACTTTGCCACCTAAAGGGAGGGTCGGGTCCAAGCCTTGGCCATGGCAGTGGTGATATGTTAGAGAAGTCCATTATAGACCCACTATCTGGGGAGGAGTCTGAACTCATTGCAAACACCAGGTGATGCTTCCCGGACTACTACCAGCTGCCCCTGGGAGTGCCTGGAGCAGACGCTGGGACTCTTGCCCTGGTAGCCACACCTTGGGGACACTGCTCTCTCCACACCAAAGTCTAGTCTGGTGAGGCCTCTAACCCACTCCTCTGCCTCCACTAGCCCCATCCCAGAGGCCTGGACCTTCACCGCAGTTCCGAGGGGAACCTCATTCCTGGGCTGATCATCCAGGCTCATCTGATCGGCTTCCTGCCGGCTGATGTCCAGTCATTGATCTAATGGATCAATCCAGTCCGATAGTCTTAATGAGAAAACTAGCCAGGATGGGTTCGAAGATTTCAATTGTGCAGGCAAGCTGAATAGATGGAGCCCATGGGCCTGACCCCTGCCTGGAACTCAATGGTTACAACACTCCAGGAAAACAAAAAACAAAACAAAACAAGAATCGACCTGGAGAGGATCAATTTGGAAGTTGGAGTCAGAGCGGACCTGCACGGTCCAAGGCTTCAGGACCCAGCCTCCAGGGTGAGGGGCAAGGCAAGGAGCTCACTCCAGGGAGGCCTGTAACTTAGGCCAGAGGTCAAGCCCCTGGATAGCCCTGGAGCCCACTTGGTCTGACAAAGCCACAACCACAACCAACCGGTCCAACTTCCAAGATCAGAAGGACCAACCCGGATCCTCCTTTCCTCATTTACTCAACCCCAGTTCACTCCCACCTACCCTGTGCGGGCCTGGGGCCAGGATCTGGGAAGCAGAGACCCAGGCATTGCTCGGCCCTCCAGGAACAAGCAGTGAGGGTGAGACAGAGATGCCCAACACAGTCACCACTCAGGTGACCAGCCAGCCTCTAGGTAGGCGGACGGGGGCCTGTGGGTGGGCACAGAGGGAATCTGATCCAGCCTGGATGATCCCAGCCATGGGGCATGACAAACAAGGAGGCCACCTTCAGGAGGACAGACCCCACGGAAAGGGAGACCTCCGGGCAAGCCAAGCCTGAGTGTAACATTGTGATACTGGCTCACATGTGCACACCTGCTTTGTGCCAGGCACTGGGCTAAGCACTTGATATGATATGCATCTACTCACTTAATCACCAGGACACTCCTAGGAGAGAGGAACTATTATGATTCCCACTTTCTGTGAGTGAACCAAGAGGTGAAGTCCCCTGCCAGATCACACAGCTGCAAGTTACAGAGCTGGAATTCAAACCCAAACCTTCGGGCTCCATGACAACCACCACGCTATTACAGCCTCTCGGAAGAGGTGAGAGAAAGTGGCAAACACTGTACATCTGCAGCCTGCATACTTTTTTCTTCCAGCCCTAAAGATGGAGGATGGGCATTGTGGCAGGAACTGTGATAGGAGTTGAGGACCTGACCCCATGGCCACAATTCTGAGCCACGTGGCTCAATCTTCCAGTGAGGCTGCCCTCCCCTGGGCTCTCTCTCACCTTTGCAGATATAGTTATGAGTTGAGCCTCATCAGTCCAGATGGCTGATGAGATCAAGGCTCATGAAGGTCCTCCTCCCACTGGAAAGAGGAGGGAAGGACATATTCTCAGATGCATAAATCTTTGAGCAGCCCGAGGTGGGTGCAGATGGTGTGTGCCTGTGAGGCAGGCAGGGCAGGATGGAGGGTCACCATTTGTTGGCAAGCCATGAGGGAATTGCAAGTGTAAGTGTGGCGGTGGCGGGGAGGGCAAGTAGGGGAGTGGTTGCAGCTCTGGTGATTGGGTGGTAGTGTTAGGAGCACTGGCAGGCGCAGCAGATGTCTGGGGCAGTAGAATTCACAGAGGCATGCCAGGGTGAGATCAGAGAGCCCACTGCATACGCACTCAGTCTTAGAGGTGAATCAGGAAGTGTGTGCAGGAGTGGGGTGGCTCTGACAGGTTAAGACAAGACAGCTTTTCCCAGAGTGTGCAGAGAATAGGGATCTTCTCACCAGTGTTTCAGGAAACATGATTTCTTTGTGTGTGTGTGTGTGTGTGTGTGTGTGTGTGTGTGTGTGTGTGAGAGAGAGAGAGAGAGAGAGAGATACAGAGTCTCACTCTGTCATCCAGGCTGGAGTGCAGTGGTGTGATCTTGGCTCACTGCAGCCTCCACCTACCGGGTTCAGGCAATTCTCCTGCCTCAGCCTCCTGAGTAGCTGGGATTACAGGTGCTTGCCACCATACCCAGCTAATTTTTGTATTTTTAGTAGAGATGGGGTTTCACCATGTCGGCCAGGGTGATCTCAAACTCCTGACCTCAAGTGATCCACCCGCCTGGGCCTCCCAAAGTGCTAGAATTACAGGCATGAGCCACCATGTCTGGCAGGAAAACATGATTTCCAACATCCATGAATTTTAAGAGATATTGGGTTAAGTATAATTAAACCCGTTCTTCCCTTCAGGACTTCTCTTAACTTTCTCTCCTTCCTTCTTCCTGTCTTTCCTTTATGCATGAAAAACAAATTAATTGAGAATCTATTCCGTACCAGGCACCGTTGTAGGCAATGGGGACATATCAGTAACAATAGACACGTCCCTGTCCTCATGGAGCTGCCAGTTTAGCAGAAGAGCCCATAATCAAATAAATGATGGAAAATATGTCCAGTGGTGATAAACATAATGAGGAAAAGCAAAGCAGAGTGAAGTGATAGAAGGCAATGGGGGAGGGGCTTCTTTAGCCAGAGGGGCCCTGGGAGGCCCTTCTGAGGAGGCTGGAATAAAGGAAGGTGTGAGCCATAGGGGTATTGAGGAGAGAGCATTCCAGGCAGAAGACATGTCAAGCGCAAAGGCCCTGAAGCTGGAGTGTGTGCTCACAGTGCCTTGTGACCCTCCAAGTTTGGGCCAGAGTGGGAAATTTTTCTTCATATTTTACACTCTGGAGCCCATCTTTTTCAGAGCATCTTGTAGAACCTGAGCCAGGAATGGGAGCGAATACAGTGAGACAAGCAAGGGGCCTGCAGTGCAAAATTAAAGGACACCGTCTCATTGCACCATCCTGAGAGTGAGTGGGTGCCTCTTTGAATGTTACCCCCTGTGCACCTGGCTAGCTTCACCCTAGTCTCAGCCCTGCTGGAGTCCTTGAAAACAAATGTCGGGAAACACCACTGTAAACCGAGGCAGGAGTGACTGTGTCTTCCATTCCAGGGATGGCCCTACTTGGAGTCATGGTAGCAGCCAGGAGGAGAAATGCTCGTAGCTGGGCACTCCCCTTCTCATCCCCGCAGGAAGCTGAGGGAGTGGGGTTTCCAGGCTGCAGAGACAGGTTTAGCTCTAAGGACTAAAACTCCTTGCCTGAGCATGTGTCACTTAGTTTTCCCAGCACTCTCACTCCCATTTTTTCAGCAGCTCAGGCAGCAACCAGTGCCTTGTACGATGCCACGACCATGAGTATGTCACACTGGAGTGCAATTGTCTGTTTGCACATCTGCCTCTCCTTCTGGAATATGAATTCCATTAATATCAGTAGAGTATTAAAATATGAATACAATAAGCGATGCATTCTGAGCGTTCATGGGCACAGGCAGTTTGGGTCCTCGTACCCTCCTGTAAATATGCCTCTGTCACAGACAGGAACGAGCTACTGTTCAGAGCTATGGAGCACCTCATTCCATGCCTCATGGACAGAGCAGCCAAGCTGGGATCTGAACCCAGAGCTATCTGGCTCCAAAGCCAACTTCTTTCTACCACTTCTTGCTACTGGCTGGAGCAGAACATACTACTTGATGGGGTCTCTTGGGAATTCTGGGTGGTATCCCCCAGTTTGCAGCTCCATCGATTGCCACTGAGTCTTCACCAGCTGCCTGGCTCTCAGACAGGGCAGGGAAGCCAGTGCAGGAGCTGGGCCAGGTGAGTGGGGAAAGGACTGACCCAGAATTACACACTGAATGATAGGAACCATAAACAGAGAGACCTGGGGTTGGGGCCAGGCTCACGTGAGAGATGGTGGGCAGAGGGGAGACCCTACTGCCTCAGGGCTTGAGGTCAGAGCCTGGCAATGAGCTGTGGGCTCCACCCTTCTTATCCAAGGCCAGGACAAACATCAGGTGATGTGTGGGGTCTAAGTCTCAGGTCTGGAGGTGGGCTCTCTGGCTGGGGTGAGGAGGGAGAAGGTGGAAAGCAAGGTGATTTTCCAACAGATGTGCCAGGCAAGGCTATGACAGCACCAATCAACACCTGGATCACAGGTGAGAAAACACCTCTGAGACACAGACACACACAGGAGAGGAGATGGCAAGGGTTCATATAGCAAGGGAGCTGTTTCCAAGAGAAAAACACAGGAAAAGTTCTCCTCTAGGTCCAATTAATATTCCCCCAGCCCTGATCTCACAAAATTCCATCATCTTCCACATACCCTGCACGGATTCTTTTCCTGAAAATCTCCTCCCCATCCTTCCTGGCTCTTCTCCACCCATGTACCTCCCCAGAATTTGAAGTCTGTCGATAGAATCGAGTTTCTCACTCTAGCATTCAGTAGCGACCTGGGCAAGTTATGGGACTGCCATGGGACTCAGTTTCCCCATGTGTAATGTGGATGCAGGAATAATCACAGGGTCCAAAGTGGTAAAGCATGGTCCAGGGCTTCATTCAACACAAGCTCTACCCAAACAGGACATCCTGGATCAGGGCGAGGTGGCACCATGCTTCCCGCCAACCCCCTTCCCTTGCCTGCACTCCCTCCAGCATTCCACTCTCCAGTCTAGGAAAGACAGCTCCAAGGTAGAGGTTGAAAGAACAGAGACTGGCATCTGGAAGCTGACTGGAGAGAAGAGAAGATTCAGAGATGACTAGCTCAGCCAGACATCTCATCCAGGCTGGGGTCAAAGTCAGGAGACCCACAAAGTGAGATCCTCCCCCGAGGCAGAGGACATAAAACTAGAGAGGAGGCTCAAGAAGGCTTCTGCTGGGGACCCTCCTGGAGAGGTTTCTGAATGGAAGCACTTCGGGGTTCATCCCTCCTATGGAGCCCCTGGGAATGAGGAGGCACAGCTGAGCAGGCATGGGTGGGGGAAGCCAGGAGCACAGCGGTGAAGAGCAGAGGAGAGGTGAGTTCTGGTCTCAGCAACACTGCCACCCAGCGCTGGGACCTCAGGCAAGTTTTCCCTCTTCCTGGGCCTCAGTTTCCTCATCTGTAAAATGAGAAGGGAGCTTGATTTTGGGGGTCTTCCTGCTCCAACTAACCCCGTATCAGATGCTAACTGAGCCTGAACCTGGGAGGCCAGAAGCAGAGGCCACCTTCCCACCTTCCTTTTGGGTACAACTCAACACCATTCCTTAGAGAAGCAAATCCACCAATTACTCAGCCACCAGCTGAAGACGGAGCTCTGTCTTTCAGGGCATTAAATTTGCCACCAATCAGCCTCGATGTGTGAGCCCCACTAAGCGCGGTATCGAGAAGTGGATCAGGAGTGGAGACGGATCCATCTTAACTAAGCAGTTCATTATCCTGGATGGTGCCATCACTCTCCCCTCTATCTCTGACAGCGTTTACACCACTCCTGTTCAGATACATTTAGCAAAATCGCGGGCAATATTTAGGAACCTGGCACCCTTCTAATGAGGTGATGACAAATAGCTCCTACACCCAGGAACTCTCCTGGCAACATCCCGACATCACTCCCCGCCCTTTCCCAGCTCCAAGGGGATGTGTCCAGAGGGCTGGCTCAGGCCTGGCCCCAGGGGACGGGGTCAGCGAGGGCTTCCATGAGAGGGATATGGGCCTGTCTCTGAAAAGAGACATAAATTATGTTAGAGTCACCACATGTCCCTATCTGCCCAGGGCTGAGGGGGTTTCCTGGGACGAGAGACTTTCAGCACCTAAAACTGACAATGTTTCTGGCAAACCGAGATGAGTTTTCACCCTTGTTATAACTTCACCGTGGTCCATGGATGGCCCTGGCTAATTCACTTAAACCTCTGTGCCTATTTGGATAATAGGGGTAACGATGCCTCCCTTGACTCGGTGTAAAGCTGAAGGAAAGTGAATGGTAATCCCCTCCTCAGAGCATGGCTGCTCTTGGGTTCTCAGACAATGGTGGTGGTGGTGGTGGTGACAAAGTATGCAACATGGGCTTCCTGCACCCATTCATGGTCCCTGATCATTTCTCTAATATGCACGCCCCTGGCTTTCTTTAGGGTCTCCAGGAGCTTCCCATTGCTCCATAGGAAAAGTTGCACATCCTCCCAGCAGGGAGATCTGGCCCATGCCTAGCTCTCAGGTTCCTCTGGCACCTCTCACTCATCATCCAGGGCCTGCTGCCTCTGCTCTCCTGCACACACAGCCTCCTCTAACCTCTGGGCCTGAACACAGGCTGTCCCTCTGCCCTAAGCCCTCTCCCTCACTTGGGTAACTTGGATATTTCCTGGGCATCCTTCAAGGATTCACAAAAATGTTACCTCCTCAAGAAAACAACTCCTCAAACTTCCATAGTCCTCAAAGCACTCCTGCCTCTCCTGCTCCTACTGCTTGGGACACCGAAAATTACTTGTAATGACATATTCAGGGTATGCTCACCTCAACACAGGCCATGAACTGTTTCTATTTGCTATGGTCCCCAGGTGCCTAGAACAGCACCTGGATCAAAGATGGTGTTGAAGAAAGAAACAAATGGATTCTACTCATTCCCTTGACTGTTTTATAATTCCCAGGAGGGCCCTCACAGAGGCACCTGTTTCTAATGGGCTTTTCCCTAAGCAGCCTGAGCCAAAGTCTCCCCCGACCTCAGGTGTGTTCTGAACCTGCTTCTCTGACCACATCTGCTTGGATTGGTGCTGCTGCCAGCTTGGAGTATCCAACAGCCTCCCATGAAACCAAGCATCAGAACTGCATCCAACAGAGGAAATCAGCACTGAGTGGTGAGTGGCCACCCTATCAGGTTCTCTCACTCAGGATGGTAGGATATGAGACGTTAACCATGCGTCAGCAGACAGCACGGTGGTAAGGGAGAGACTGTAAGGCAGACAAATCTACAGGTAGTGGCACTTAACTGAACCACCATAACAACAAGGCCCTCGAGCAAGAAACTTGGTGCCCACCTCAGCAGGTGAGTGCCAGAACCAGCAGACTCAGGGCTGCAAGAGGAGCTGCTGCTGCATCCTGAACAATATCCTGCTTCTCCTGGTCACAGTGAGCTGAGCTTTTGTCCTATCTTCCTGGCTTCTCCCATTTCCTTGCCATGAGGGGAGCTAACAAAGGAGCTTGCAGCAGATGAGGGTGTGGTTCTTCATGCTATCTCACAAGCCCAGATGCATGGACTCAGATTAGCCAGGAAACTTCACACTTAGAAATGCAAACATCCTCCATGCCCGTGCCTAAGTCCTGGGTAGGGAACCCTGCTGTAAGGCAGTCCATCACTGCCTGATGCACCTCTTGGTTGTCTCCAGGCACCACAAGGAAACAGGCCCTACAATGATGTGATGTTTCCCCTATTTGCCAATCAGGGAGCTCAGAGCACACCAATCTACTTCTTGGAACCTCCTCTTTTTCTCATGCTCACATCAAAGCAGCCAGCAAGGCCTGTAAGCTCTATAAAATATATGCAGAATCCAACTAGCTCACCCCTCCGCTGCTATCTCTCTGCACCTGGCCACCATCATTTGTTTCCTCACCTACTGCTCCATCTCCTCACTGGCCCACCTGTTCTGCCTTCACCTGGCCCTGTGTCCTCCCTACCTCTCTGATTTCAGCTCCCCTCACTCTGAATTCATTCAGTTTCTCTACTCACAATGAACGCTGCTGGCCCCTGAGCTTCCTAAGAATATCCTCACCTCAGGGCCTTTGCCCTTGCTGCTCCCACCTTCCAGAACAATCTTTCCCTAGATACCCACATGGCTCAATCCCTCAATCCTTTCTCTGCTCAAATGTCACCACTTTGGAGAAGACTCTTGCGACTACCCCATGTAAATAGCACCCCTGTCACTCTCTGACTTATTACCCTGCTTTACTCCTTCTTAGACGTTTATCACTGCCTACATATACTTACTTGTTTATTGTCTGTTGACATCCCTGACCTCCAACTAGACTGTACACCCCATGAGACTGTGTGTGTGAGTTTCAATACTTTTTTCTCTGTTATTCAGAGTGGATAATTTCTATTGATCTACCTCCAAGTTCACTGATTCTTTCCTCTGTCATCTCTATTCTGCTACTGAGTCTAGTCAGTGAGTTTTTTATTTTGGTTATTGTATTTTTCAGCTCTACTTTTTCAACTGGCTCTTCTTTATATCTTCTATGTCTTTGCTGAGCCTTTCTATTTCATTATTTGTTTCAAGACTGTTTTTGATAACTTGTTCAAGCATTTTCATAGCTGCCTCAAAATCTCTGTCAGATACTTCAACCATCTGTGCCATCTCATCATTGTAGTCTACTGATTTTCTTTCCCCATGTGAGTTGAGATTTTCATGGGTTTTTTGTGTGTGTGTATCAAGTGATTTTCATTTGTATTCTGCACTTTTTAAGTATTACCCAGTAAGACTGTAGGTTTTATTTATCTTCATTCTTTATGTGGCACCTTGATTCTAGTGTTTTCCCCAATCCATCTGCTAGTATTTACTTTTCAGATTTTTCAAATAGATGTCCATATATTCTGCCTAGGTTTTATATTTGAATTAGTGAAAGATGAAATGAGGCTTGTCTTCACTTCATCTCACCAGAGCTGGAAGTCCTTGATTTTGTGTTGTTTAATTACTACTTTGATATGATTTGGCTCTGTGGTCTCCACCCAAATCTCATGTCGAATCGTAATACCCAGTGTTGGAAGACGGACCTGGTGGGAGGTGACTGGGCAATGGAGGCAGACTTTTCCCTTGCTGCTCTCTTGATAATGAGTGAGTTTTCAAGAGATCTGCTTGTTTAAAAGTGTGTAGCAGCTCCCCCACTTTCTCCTGCTCCAGCCATGTAAGATGTGCCTGCTTCCCCTTCACCTTCTGCTATGATTGTAAGTTTCCCAAGGCCTCCCAGCCATGCTTCCTGTACAGCCTGCAGAACTTTGAGTCAATTAAACCTCTTTTCTTTATAAATTACCCAGGCTCAGGCAGTCCTTTATAGCAATGCAAGAATGGACTAACACTACTATATCCCTAGAATCTAGAACAGTGCCTGGCACTTAGTAGGAGCCCAATAAATAATTGTTGAAGGAATGAAAAAATGAACATGTGACCAGTGCTTGGCAGTTTTCAAAGGATTTCTGTAATTACTAGCTCATTGATTACCATTGCAACCCTGTCGGATAGTGTCCCCATTCTACAGGTGAGGAGACTGAGGCTCATAGATGCAGAGTGACTTTCTCACCATCACAGAGAACCAGGCTTGGCAGGCAGGCCCTTTGACTCTGAGTCCAACACTCTTCCCACCACCTCATGGCAACCCACTCCCCCTTGCTTCTAAATGGAGAAGCTGAAAACAGGAGTGGGTAGTGGGTAGTGGGACTACGGGCTAGGAAGGACACAAGAAGTCTTGCTGGAGTGTAGCAGGGTCAAGCACCCTGCTATAGTCACAGGACACAATGCATCCACAAGGTGGCAGCAGGAAGACAGATGGCTGAGGCCATTTTCAAGTTCAAAGCCAGCAAAGTCTGCAAGGAGGGCCAGGAAGTTGTGTTTGACTGAGAACGTCTCTGGAACTGTAAGAGACTTGTGGCTGGGCTGGCCAATTTGTTCCGCCACATCTCTGACACACAGTCCTCTGAACCTAGCTCAGGACCAGTTATTTTGGCCCAGAAGTGTCTGCCGTGTATCACCCAAACCATTACTTATTGATAGCAAGTAATTAGTGAAGACTGAAAAGCAACATGGGTCATCCATCCTTTCCTCAGGGGGCAGCGGGTATGTCTGCCATTGGACTAGGAGTTCCTGAGAGCAGGGACAGGTTCTCAGCCCACTCTGCATCTGGAAGTGCAGCAGTGGTGACAAGAATTCAAGGACCCTTATCTCCTAAGAGAACCATTGTGGATCACACCACAACTTGACCTGGGGCAGACGGGTGGTCAGGTGGTTGGCAGCAGCTCCACTAGCTGGATTTTAGGTCTTGCTGGGATGGACCATGACAGTCAGGGCCACATAAATTCCTCGCACCACCCTCCCCCTGCTGTGGGTCTGGAATTTATCTCCATGTGATAACAGGAGCTCCACGCACTACCACTCATGAAGAAAAGAGGTCACCCCTATCTCATGAAGACAAATACCCTATCTTGGCACTAAGGACATCCTCCCTGGGTTCCAGTGCTACATAATTACTATTGTAATAAATATTATTACAACAAACCAATTACTGCAACCATATCTTCTAGGCAGGTACAGAGAGTTCTGTGAAATACACTCTTCCATGCTGGACTAATGGGCACTCCCAACCATCTACCTCCTTGTTGGCCGAAAAAAGGGTGAGAGGTGGGGCCAGGAGTGGGCAGTGCCTTTAAGAAAAGAAAGCCACTCCATAAAGAGGGGGAAAGCTAACAGGTCATCAGTCTCTAAGACGGATCAATTCTGCTTCTCCAATAACTCTCACAACTGTCTTTTTCACTCCACTCTGCACCAATCTGGCCTCAGTTTGGACCCTCCACATCTCCTGGTGGAACTCTGCAATAGCCAGCTCACTGGTCTCTGGCCCCCAAACTTGTCCCTCTAAGGTACCCAGCCCCCTAAAATCTCAATGATATTTCTAAAATGCAAATATGATGATGCCACCTCTCTGGTTAATGCCATTCAATTTCCCTGCCCCATTGCCTTCCAATTCAGGATAAAGTTCAGACTGTCATGGCCAACTGAGTCCCTTATGAGCTTGCCTCTCTTTGCCCCTCCAACTCAATCAGTCTCACATTGTGCCTTTGCCCACCTTGCAGCACCCTCATCAGCCCTTCCAAACCCCTCCAATTATTTTTCCCTGTGCTGTTTCCTCTTCCTGGAACACCCTTCTCCTCTGAGTTCACCTAGGGTAATTTGCATCCTTCCAGGTTCAATGTGATGGTCACCCCCTCCTTGACTGATATGAGTCTGATACACCCTCTCCTGAGCTCATAGACCTTTGTAAACATCTCAGTCACAGCCCAAACACATTCCATTGTAATATAACATGTGGTTCTTCGTGTGTCTGTCTCAGACATCAGACTAGCGCTCAAGCCCAGGGACCCGGTATGCACCTCTGCATAATGCTTGACACAGGATGGGTGCTCAGTGAGTGTGCTGCACAAATAAAGTAATGAATGAACCAAGACATGAACACTGTACCTTACGGGGATTTGTGAGCCATGGAGCCCTGGAACAATGTGGATTATGCTGTAGCCCAGGTTGCTCATGTCCTGGCCTGCATCCAAATTCTTCTTTGTCTCCCTGTTGCCTTTGGGATGAAGTCCAAACCCCTGACCCCTATACAAAACCACTCATGGGTCTTCCTCCTGCTCTGCTCATCTCTTGCCCTTCTATCTTTTGCACCCTGAGCCACAGCCATCCTGACTTACTTAGAGCTCCCCAAGTATGTCAGGCTGCATCGGGCCACTGGGTCTATGCACCTGCCGTTCCTTTGGCCTGGAAGACCGTCACTTTGCCCCCATCACTTCGCTATGTCCTTCAGGTCTTAGCTTAGATGTCATTTACCCCAAAGACCACTCCTGATGTACACTCCAGCTTCACCTACCCCATGCCCAGCATTCCCAAATCTGGGTTAGGTGGCCCTCTCACAGCATCTACCATAGCCCTAACTCATTGCATGAGGACACTTCTTTTTGCCAGTCTGTTTCCCACAGCAGACTGGGAGCCTCTAACGGGCCAAATGCCTGTCTCTGTTACTACATTCTTAGTGCTTTGCGTGTTGCTGGCCACACTACTGGCATTGAGGACACATTGAATGAATGAATGAATCCATGAATCTATGAATGAATCCATGAATGAACTAATAAGTTCTACAGGTGATATGGTTTCGCTCTGTGTCCCCACCCAAATCTCATCCTGAATTGTAATCCCCACGTGTCAGGGGAGGGATCTGGTGGGAGGTGACTGGATCACGGGGGCAGATTTCTCCCATGCTGTTCTTGTGAGTGAGTGAGATCTCATGAGATCTGATGGTTTAAAAGTGTGGTACTGGCCAGGCGCAGTGGCTCACGCCTGTAATCTTGGCACTTTGGGAGGCCGAGGAGGGCGGATCACGAGGTCAAGAGATCAAGACCATCCTGCCCAACATGGTGAAACCCCGTCTCTACTAAAAATACAAAAATTAGCTTGGTGTGGTGGCGTGCACCTGTAGTCCCAGCTACTTGGGAGGCTAGGCAGGAGAATTGCTTGAACCCGGGAGGCAAAGTTGCAGTAAGCTGAGATCACGCCACTGTACTCCAGCCTGGCCAGCCTGGCGACAGAGCAAGACTCCGTCTCAAAAAACAGAAACCAAAACAAAAACAAAAAATTGTGGAACTTTCTCTCCCGCTTTCTCTCTCTCCTGCCTGCATGTAAGATATACGTTGCTTCCCCTTCACCTTCCTCCATGACTGTAAGTTTCCCAAGGCCTCCCCAACCATGCAGAACTGTGAGTCAATTAAACCTCTTTTCTTTATAAATTACCCAGTTTCATGTAGTTCTTTATAGCAGTGTGAAAACAGACTAATATAATAGGTATGTTCAACTGGCCCAGCCTGGACCATGAACTCTACTTTTGCTGCGGCTGGATACTTTTTGCCTTATTGAGCTATAGATTTCCCATCCTAAATTTGGGCCATGAAAGAACATCAGAGGGGGAGCATCTCACTCAAGATTCCTGGTTCTCACCTCCCCTAACAGGTCAGCTCAGCTCTGGGCCACCAGGGACCTCAAATGATTTACAGCCTTTGCAGGGAGCAGTCCCCGGTGCTTTCTGGCATCCATCCCCTGCCCCGACCTCCCGGGCTCTTTTGAAATATTCCCCCTCTCTAATCTCCAGCAAACTAATCAAATTCCCCTCTGTCAGAGGCAATAGATGTTCAAAAACTTGTAGGATTAATGTATTATTCATGATGTATGTATTATTTATCATTAGTTTGTTTATTTATTATTAATATGTGTTTCATTATTGATAATGATATGCTTATACTATTAATAAGACTTGGGAAGGCTGTTCTATGGCCCTTTGTAGACACCTGATGCTCCTCCAATTCCCTGCAAAGCTAATGTTGGTCATTTTTCTTCCCATTTTATGGATGGGTGACAATGAGGCCAGAGAAGGGCAGGACTTGCTCAGTCAGTCCTCAGGCCTTTGAAGTGTTGGGCAGGGAAGGTGATGAGACTAGGGAAAAGCTTCCTTAGGCAGCAGATCCTGGGCTGATGAGAGGGATTCCTGTGGGATGCAATGCTGGGCCTGCCAATTCCGGGTCCACCTGGGACCTCACGTTCTTGTGTTTGTCCCAGACTCCTTCACCCGAGCTCAAATTGGGATCTGAAGCTTCTGTCTTGTACATGGTCCTTGCTCTGTGCTGTGTGTGTGTTGCCCAGACCCAGGAAGATGGCCGTGTGCTCCCCACACTCCATTTCCTTTCCCTCCTAGCTACTCAGGCAGTACTTGCAGTTTGGCAGGGCCATGTGACTATATCCTGGCCAGGGGAATATGACTTTCCTGCTTGGCCCCTAGAAACCTCCCATGCTGCCTGCACACCCTCTCTCTCCATTCATCACCAGGGTGGGGAGGGCTCTGAGGACTTGGCAGAGGGTGGATCATAAGATGAAAGGATGAAAGAAACCTGGGTACTTGAATGACTGTATGGAGCCAAGTCCTCCTATGGTCCCCAAAAGCCCTGATATGAATAAGATATAAAATACCACTGTGTTAAGCTGCTGAAATTTGGTTTGTTACAGCAGTTAGTCTACTATTACATTCCACTAATGCATTGCATACAGTGGGAATTCAATAACGTTCTTGGTGGAAAAAAAGTGAATGAATGAATAAGATGAATGAAAAAGCAACAAAATAAATCAGTGGGTCTGGCCATACTGTTGCTGAATTGGCATCCCAAAGGAGGTTTCCCATGGCAGGATATCAGAGGGAGGGGACTTAAGGATCTGGAATTGAAACCCTTTTGTTACACAGATGGATAAATCAAGGCCCAGGGAAGAGAAAGCCCCGGGCCAAGGCCACAGAGCCAATTAACAGGCAACTCAAGACCAGGACCCCTGTCTCCTAAAGCACAGTCCTATGACCTTTCTACCATACTAGTGTCTTTTCCCTGACCGTCTTTCATCTGACAGCCTGTGGTCACCCTCTGGAACTTTCTCCATGTCCTTGGTGGTGGGTGAGGGGAATTCCCATTTTCTTAACCCTGGGTCAATCCTGCATCCAAGGAACAGCTGAAACTGCTGACAGGGAGGAGGGCTGAGACCAATGTGACCACAGGATGCTTGTGAGGTGCCCTGACAGCCCATGGCTGTCTTTGCAGTGCCCTCTCCAGGGCCAGGGGCATGTTGAGCAGAGGGGCCAGGACCCCCCCTGGGTTGGGCTGGTGGTGCAGTCAGCAATAGGGAAACCACAGGCTGAGGCAGGAAGAAAAGAAAGCAGCCCAGACCTTGAAGCAGAAGACCCCGGGCTAGCCCTCATTCTGCCATGGACACAAAGGGCAAGTCCCTACTCCTCTCTGGGCCTCAGTCATCTATCTCATCGGAAAAATGGGCTCATGGCGCTTATTTCTCAGGACAATGGTGATGCCAAGATGAGAACAGCAGGGAAGGTGTTCTGAAATGTTCTATTGGAGAAGTTGGTCTCATTGCTTGTAGGAGAATTGTCAGGACCACTAGTGCTGAGAGATTATAACTTTGAGCTTGGGAATCAGACAGACCTGGGGACAGCTTCTGACTCTATCACAAGCTAGCCTTGCAACCCTGAATAAGTCACGCCACTGTTCTGAGCTTCAGTTTCCACTTCTGCAAAATGGGATAATTCTCTTTACTTCTTAAGGCTGGCAAGGGGAGATGCAGAGAGATGGCCCAGGCAAGGACCATAGCACTGTGCCCGGCACCCGGGGGCCGTGCTGCCGCAGATGACCTGGGATTCACTGCCCTGCCATGCTCCAGCTCCCTGCAGCTATCCCACTTCTCTGCGCCCCTCCACCCCCATCAGCTGCTCCCAGCAAGCCTGCCTTATGGAACATTGCTGGGAAGCTGTGAGGCAGATGGCCCAACCTGTTGGCTGCTCCACATGGGCCTCAGGAGCGTGGAGGCTGGGCAGTCACCAGTGGCTGCTGTTTCGCTTTCTGCACTGAGACTTAAAGCAAAGCTGGCAGAGGATCTGGCAGCCCTGTATCCTCCAACATTACTCAGAATCATGAGGAGAGACGTGTGAGCAACAGGGAGGCATCTCTGACTCAGAATAAAATTTAAAATATGGATGATGGGTTATTAAGGAATATTTTAAAAGAAAAATAGTTATTACTCAAGGAATACAGTCTATGCTAGGTTATAAAACTGGTCTTAATAAGTGAAAAGAGGCAACTTAATGAAAAAAATTACAATTTAAAATAGGCCTACATTAAATAATAATGCCTCATAAACACAGAAGTCCTTTAGCACATACGAATTAATTGCTGGGCTCAGAAGCTAAAAGCAGAATAAAGGAATCCTTAAATATTTTGCCTTTTATTTTTCTCTCCCAAAAAGGCAACTCGCATTAAACTGGATTACCTTGCTTTGGCACGGAAGGGCCTGGAAATTTGCAAAGGGAATTTGCTCAGTAACAACGCTGTTTCCTTGAACCTATTGTCTTAAGACATGTTCTGAATGCAGCGTGGCTTTGCTCTCTGGATTTGCATCAGTTTTAAATGAACTCAGGTGACAGGGTTTTCCCACTGAAGAACAAGGGAATGGACTCTTCTTGCAGGATCAAAGCTCTTGAGTTCAGACTCTTCAAGCTGGGCAGCTTAGTTATCAGGGCAACAGCCCGACTGGCCCAGGGAGATTTCACATCTCCACTCTAGCAGCCGTTAGAAATGGTCCAGGGAAGGCCAGGCACAGTGGCTCATGCCTGTAATCCCAGCACTTTGGGAGGCCAAGGAGGGCGGATCACTTGAGGACAGAAGTTCAAGACCAGCCTGGCTAATATGGTGAAACCCCATCTCTACTAAAAACACAAAAATTAGCTGGGTGTGTTGGTGCACACTTGTAAACCTAGCTAGCTAGTCAGGAGGCTGAGGTGGGAGGACCACTTGGACATAGGAGGTGGAGGCTGCAGTGAGCCTAGATCACGCCACTGCACTCCAGCCTGAGTGACAGAGTGAGACTCTGTCTCCAAAAAATAAAATAAAATAAAATAAAGAGATGGTTCAAGAAAGCAGAGTGGTTCTCAACCAGGGGTGATTTTTGACCCCCAGGGGACACTTGGCAATGTCTGAAGACATTTTCTGCTATCACAACTGGAGGGGGGCTGCGCTACTGGCATCTGGTGTGCAGGAACCGGTGATGCTGCTAAACACCCTGCAGTGCGGGGACAGCCCCACAACCAAGAGTCATCTGGCTCCAAGCACAAGAAGTTCTGAGGCTGAGACACCCTGCAATAAAGGTAAGAAAACAAACTTCAGGGGGGTATGCACGTGGACTCAGGAGTTCCCTAGCACAGCAGAGAGAGTCTCCAACACCAGGACCGGCCGTCGAAAGCTGGAAGTATGGATTACTGGAAAACTTCTCCCCAAACGTTACCCCACACTAGCTATGCCTAACACCTGACATTCAGCCAAACTTCTTTGCCACTAAACTAGATCCACTCACTCCATGGGAGCATCTTTCCTGCTCTCTGGAACATATTTTGATTTTGCAATGCAAAAATCCTATGAGAAAGTCCCTTTACAGTCACTCTGTTAGGATGCATTTATTCTGCAAAGCAAAGGAGTCCTGGCTCACAAAGGAGAGTGTCTGGGGGGGATCCCTCTTCCCAGGGGAGCACCCAGCTTCTCTCTCCTCTCTAATCTCGTTCTTCCACTTGACAGGAGAAGCAATCCGGTCTTCATATTAATACTTCATTAAATGCATACATCCTACATCCAGCAAGAGAAACATCAGCCTATTACAGTTGCATGGTTATAGAGTGCCTGGATGTCACCCGAAGGCTATTTGTACCTGATTCACACACCATCTAACTTCGTCCTGCTGAAGGCCCAGGTGCAGACTGTAGACGTCTCATTGAATGGAGGGGTTGGGTGAGGAGCAAGTGGGCCGGGGTGGGGTGAACAGAAGATCATTTATTCCCAATCTGCAGGCTGCCAGATTCTACATGAAGACAGAAAGGCCTGGGGCCTCAAGGCAACGGATGCATGGACCGTGTCTGGGGCAGGTTTGTCTCCAGGGACAAGAAATGACAGGACCAGGGCAGGGCACACTCCACCAACTGTCCAGTACCATTTAGAAAAGAAAGCAGGCCTGGCCGGGTGCGGTGGCTCACGCCTGTAATCTCAGCACTTTACGAGGCCAAGGTGGGCAAATCACAAGGTTAGGAGTTTGAGACCAGTCTGCCCAACATAGTGAAACCCTGTCTCTACTAAAAAAAAAAAAAAAAAAAATTAGCCAGGTGTGGTGGCGGGCGCCTGTATTCCCAGCTACTAGGGAGGCTGAGGCAGGAGAATCGCATGAACCCAGCAGGCAGAGGTTGCAGTGAGCCAAGGTCACCCCATTGCCCTCCAGCCTGGGCGACAGAGTGAGACTCTGTCTAAAAAAAAAAAGAAAGAAAGAAAAGAAAAGAAGGCGGGCCCTCTGTATGCAGGTATTGGGTAGGCCCTGGGCCCAGGTCACCTGGCCTTCCTGATAGGAAAGGCATTGAGACAGGCCAAGAAAGCAGCCAGGAATCTTGTTATGTTACTTCCTAACTATGCTCTTGGACACAGGAAGCTTCAGTCTTTTTATCTATTAAGCAGGAATCATAATGCCTATCTCCCAAGGTTGGAGATAATAGCTGTATAGTGCTAATGTAGCACTCAAAATGTGGTTGATGCTACCACTATTGTAATGATTTTATTCCTTTTTGTAGGTATAATTTATAGTTAAATGCACAAATGCTCAAGCGAGCAACTCGATGCATTTTTACTTATGTGCACACTCATGTAGACACCACTCAACCATTCCCAGAAACCCAGAAAGTTCCCACCTTCTCCTTCCTCCCCAGTCACTACCTTCACCCCCACGATAACTTCTATGCTGGCTTCTCCATATAGATTAGCTTTGCTTTTTCTTGAGCCCACATACCTGGAATCCTGCAGTATGTGCCCCTTTGCATCTGGCTACACGTTCTCAGCATGATGTTTCTGACATTCCTCTATGTGTTGCATTTATCAGGAGTTTGTGCTTTCAAAAAAATGTGTCCTGGTTAGTATCTCATTGTGTGAAATATTGCAATCCACTTATTCCTTCCATGTACTATTGAAGGACATTCAGTTTGGGGCTATTATGAGAAAAGTCTGTTATTGGTATTAAGATATTATTCCTAGACTGGGCCGGGCACGGTGGCTCATGCCTGTAATCCCAGAACTTTGGGAGGCCGAGGCGGGCGGATAACGAGGTCAGGAGATCAAGACCATCCTGGCTAACATGGAGAAACCCGGTCTCTACTAAAAATACAAAAAAAAAAAAAAAAAAAAAATTAGCTGGGCTTGATGGTGGGCTCCTGTAGTCCCAGCTGCTCGGGAGGCTGAGGCAGGAGAATGGCGTGAACCCGGGAGGCGGAACTTGCAGTGAGCCGAGATTGCGCCACTGCACTCCAGCCTGGGAGACAGCAAGACTCCGTCTCAAAAAATATATATATATATATATATTATTCCTAAACTGAAGGAGAACTGCCCAAAACCCGAAACCTTTGGACAGCATTTTCCTTCCTTCCCAGGGGAAGGAAAAATTGCTTCCCAGCACATTCCTTCCCAGGGGAACTGAATTCTGCTCTGGGCAAGGAGATCAGGTGGGTTATGAAGAAGGTGAAGGTTGCTTTCAGCATGCCCACCAGGCCTCTGGGCCCCTTCCCTTCCTCCCAGGGGCCCTCAGGCATCTGTGCTATTCCTTCCACCAACCCAAACTTTTTCCGATAAATCTTCCCTTAGGAAAACTCCCCTGTTGGCCAATGATATGCATTTGATGTGGTTGTTAATTCCTATCTCTCTCCCAGGGGCATGTCAAAGCGAATTCCTGCCACTCACAAAAATAATGACACTGACTTTTGAACCCGTTTTTTTTCTTCCAAGTGTACAGCCCTTCTGTATCTGATCTTCCCACAAACATGTGGGGAGGCCAATACTCCTATTTACTGGTATGAAAACTGAAGCACATTGATTCATGCACTGGCTGGACAAATATTTATGAAACACCTGCTAGTTTCTGAGCCAGGCACCAGACCAGAACATGGACTGGTCTGGTGGGAGAGGTGTCAACAGGGAATCCCAGCCCCTGCCAGATTCTTCCTGCCTTTGCATCCTTTAGCACTGAGCTCCCTTGCATTTTACCAAATCCAGTACTTGCTTTCTGCATCATTAGTTTCAGCTCCCCAGTGATATGCAATTGTCTGCTGTTGTTTTAAATCCTTCATCATGCAAAACACTTTTAGGAATGCAGAAGTGCTTAATAAATGCTCTTTGAGGGAGTGCAATAAGGACTGGTATTGTAGTCCTGACTTTGTAACCCTGGATTTCATGGTCCATATTAGAGAGTCTTCCACATACCCAGATGCCTTTCCTGCAAGGAGAGCTAAACCATGCCTCACATGAGGTGGGCAGAATTCTAAAAACGATCCCCTTCCCTAAGGTTCTGCATCCTAATCACCAGAACCTATGAATATGATGGGTTATCACTCCATGATCATGTAATGTTACATGACACCCTTGACCTTAAGATAGGGAGATTATCCCAGTGGGCCTCCTCTCATCACATGAGCCCTTAAAAGTGGGAAGTTTTCTCCCTCTAGGGATGGGAGAGGAGGCCAAAGAGATTCAAAGTCCAAGATGGATTCAACATGCCCTCATTGTCTTTGAAGAAAAATGCAGGCAGTCTACAGGAGAAGAGAGTGACAATCAGCAAGGAAGCCGGGACCTCAGTCCTACACCCACAAGGAATTGAATTCTGCAACAACTTAAATGGGTTTGGAAGTGGATTCTTGCTCCTAAGACTCCAGATAAGAGCCCAGTCAGCTAATGCCTTGATTTTGACCTTGTGAGCCCCAGAGTAGAGACCTGAGTGTAGCCTACTCAGACTTCTAAGCTACAGAACTGTGAGAAAATAGACAGGTGGTGTTGTAAACTGCTAAGTGTGTAGTAATTTGTTACACAGCAATAGCAGACCAATACATCATGTTTATCTGAGATAGCAGCAGTCCTCTGAAGCATCAAGCAGATCATGCTGCTCCTTTGTGCCAAGCCTTTAGGTAGCTCCCATCATACTGAACAGTCAGAGCCAAAGTCCTCTCCATGGCCCAGAAGCCTGTGCGGTGAGGCACCCAGCTCTCACTCCAGCCTCACTTCTACCACTTTCTCAGGCCCACTCTGCTCCAGCTACATTGGACTCTTTGCTCATTCCTAAACATCCCAAGCTCATTCCCACACCAAGGTCTTTGCACTTACTGTTCCATCTTCCTAGAACACTCTTTTTTTTTTTTTTTTTGAGACGGGGTCTCACTCTATTACCTAGGCCAGAATGCAGTGGTGCGATCATGGCTCGCCGCAGCCTTGAACTCGTGGGCTCAAGCAATCCTCCCACCTCAGCCTCCCCAGTAGCTGGGATTACAGGCATGCACCACCACACCCAATTAATTTTTTATTGCTTGTAGAGATGAGGGTGTCATTATGTTGCCCAGGCTAGTCATGAACTACTGGGCTCAAGCAATACTCCCACCTTAGCCTCCCAAAGTGCTGGGATTGCAGGCATGAGCCACGGCACCCAGCCCCAGAACACATTTGAGCCAGCTGTGCACATGGCTTGCTCGTTCACTTTGCTCTGGTCTCTGTTCAATGTCATAACCCACAGAAGCCTTGACTACCCAGTCTCAAATGCTCTAAAATTCCCAGCTAACCTCTCTCTCTATCCTGAAAATTGCTTTATTTGTTACAGCACTACATCTTTGCCTGACACCATATTTAAAATTTATCTACCCCTTGACTAGAATGTCAGCCCCATGAGGGGATGGGTTTTGTCTATTTTGTTCACTGTAGTGTGTCCAGCAGAAGAAACAGTATCCAGGAATTGTTGACATTTTATAAGGCCTATGATGAGGTAGGCATAGTGTTAAGTGCTTTCTACTGCTTCTTGAAAATGACACATCAACCCAACCATTCTGTAACATAGCATTAAAAGAGATCATCATACAGGGCAAGCATTTAAAAGAACCCCGTAGGTAGAATTTTGAATCTTTCTCACGAATCCCTGACAGTTATCATTCACAATTTCTCCTAAGTCTGATTCCAATCTACATTTTTATTAGAATTCTTCATATAGATCACCTTAGTCCCACCTTGAGTCAGTCCTCCTCCCAGTTCAAGACAGACTCCAGGGTTTCAGCTGAGCTTAAAATCAAACGCTTGGGCAGTGTCTCTTGGCTACAAGACATGGCATTTTATTTGATTTCCAAAGCTGATTCTGCGATTACCCTCCTTCACAATGGGTTGTTTGAGTCATGCTCCGTGGGCCTCACTCGATCACAGTCCCTTTTCCATCCTTCTCCTTGTCAGCAAGATAAGAGGGAGTCAAGGAAACACCGGATGACAAACGTGTCCTGTACAAACAGGATGATTTTTCTCGCTGGAAAGGTAGCTTCCTACTCCTACCTGGCTCTGGAAGAAGAGGCACAGACCCACTCTTATCAATATTTTAATCTTTAATGACATCTCTCTCTGGTGATTTCAAGAATCATATATGTTTATTGTAGAAAATAAAAAATAACCCAGGTAATCATAAAAAAACAAAAATCTTCTCCCATAAACCACTACACAGAGAAAGCCATGGTTAATATTGCAGAATTCTCTCTCTCCTCCTCTCTCCTCTCCCTCTCTCTTTCTCTCTCTCTCTCTCTCTCCCCTTCTTATCTTTCTTCTCTCCCCCATTCCTCTCTCTCCCCATCAACTTTTTAGCAGGACTCTGTGGCCTTTGCATCTTTTGACATGTAAATGTAATCCCTCTCTGTCCTACATGATAACGATCTAAAACTTTTCCAGGAGTTTTTGGAAATCCTCTCAGAGGCTGTGTGTCCAACATCAGTTTATTTTAAACAAAAAACGAAAAGGGAGTTTTGAACACCTGAACTGTAAGGAAGGTATTTGTACCTATGGAGTAGTTTTTCTCTGCAAGTCATAAACTCCCAAGCCCAACAGGAAGACAGGATGTAGCCCTGAAAGGTCAACTCAGTCATCCCCCTGCCTCTGGGCTAAAACCAGGTCATGAATTGAATGTGATCCATTCTCAGGATGTTTCTCTAGTTCCTGCTCCTGCCCAACCTAAATCTCTCTTTCCAGGACTGAGAGAAGCCAGCTGTCATGCTCCAAGGGAGATCAGACACACACTGCCTTGTGTGTTTGTAAACTGGATGGCCCTCCTACTTGACCTAGCCTTCTCTAGCCCCTCTCCCCTTCATCTCCCCTCCACCTCTGAGCACACATTCAGAGACGTCAAACCAACAGATTCAAGCCATGGTAACCCAAGAGGTGAACTGGTGGCCAAATAAAACCAAGCAGCGCACGCCACACTCAAAGAAGGAAGATTTTTGTATCATCCATTTTCTGGCAGTGTTCCTGTCCTGGCTCGTTTTAGATTCCTTTGGATCCCTGAGAAGGATAATTAACAGCAGCAACAATGACTACTGCAGCTGCTGATCACTGAAGTTGCGAGCACAGGCTCTGAAGTCTGAGTCCCTGTGTTCAAATCCCAGCTCTGCCATTTAACCAACATGTAACTTTGGGCAAATGACTGCATCGTTCTAAGGCTCAGTTTCTTCATCTGTAAAATGGAGACCGAACAGTACCTATGTTATGGGGTCAGAGGAGCTTATGAGTTCATATTCTCAGAGGAGTGCCTGGGAGTAAGCCCTCCATCCCATAGGGCTTTTAGGATTATGGTGTTACCATGTGCTAAGCGCTGCCAGGCACATTCTGTCTGGTGTATGGAATACCCACAACCACCCTCAGAAACAGAGGTTGGTCACATCTTACAGATAAAGGAAACAAGGCTTAGAACAGCTCTCGGCAAGCGATGGCCCCAGATCAAATCTTGGCCAGCCTGTTTCTGTAGGACCCACCAGCTAAGAATGATTTGCATATTTATAAATAGTTACATTTTAAATGATATACAAATACCCACATAACAGTTTCGATTTTGCCCTGTGGACTACAAAGCCTAAAATGTTTACCATCTAGCTCTTTACAGGAAAATGTGCTGACCCCAGGCTTAGAAAGAACTAATACTGGAGGCAGGATTCTGACCACCCTCGCCCCCACCCCACCTGTTCCCCTTCATAGCAGACTCTGCTGCTCTCATTCTGGTGAATGAAGTGACTTCAGATTCAAGGATATACAAACAGTCATTCATTCATTCATTAACAATTAGTTATCAAGGGGCTGGTCACGGTGGCTCACGCCTGTAATCCCAGCACTTTGGGAAGCTGAGGCGGGCAGATCACTTGAGGTCAAGAGTTCAAGGCCAACCTGGCCAACATGGTGAAACCCTGTCTCTACTAAAAATACAAAACCTAGCCAGGTGTGGCGGCATGCACCTGTAGTCTCAGCTACTGAGGAGGCTGAGGCACAAGAATCGCTTGAACCTGGATGGCGGTGGCTACAGTGAGCCAAGATCGCGCCACTGCACTCCAGCCTTGGCGACAGAGGGAGACTCGGTCTCAAACAACACAAAACAAAACAAAACAAAAACAATTAGTTATCAAGGGCCAGAGGTGGAGCCAGTCATGTCCCTAGACTTGAGGAGGCAAAGACCTGCTTGTTGCAGCATCCCTGGAGCCTTTCCCCACCTAGCCTTGCAACAAGTGGGCTCAGCAGGAAGGACCATGAGGTTTCAGTAAAACTAGATTGATAAGAAAACGTCTCAGTAACTGAGTTGTGATGTCCTCTAGAGAAAGCCCACTCAACCACCCAGAGGCTCAGGGGCTTGCAAATCCCAGTGTTACCCAGCTAGCCTGATGCAGCCTGGCCACTCCCAACTTCCTTAGAAGTGTGTAGAGTGTCACGAATGGTGTCCCTCACCCAAAGCCAAGACTGGGATGGGTCTAATGGACCAGGCCCATGGCACCTTTCCCTGGGATAACAAGGTTTAGGGGATGCATAGTCTGTGCCTTCTCTGGATGCCATTTTTGGTGTTTGTCCATTCCCACAGCTTAAGAGTAGTCTAGCAGGTTTTGATGGTTCCAACCAAAAATAGATATACTGATTGATATGGTTTGGCTTTGTGTCCCCACCCAAGTCTCATCTCAACCTGTAATCCCCACGTATCAAGGGAAGGACCTGGTGGGAGGTGATGGGATTATGGGGCCGGTTTCCCCCATACTGTTCTCATGATAGTGAGTGAGTTCTCATGAGATCTGATGGTTTCACAAATAGCTCTTCCCCCTTGGCTCTCTCTCTCTCTCTCTCTCTTTCTCCTGCCACCCTGTGAAGAAGGTGCTTGCTTCTCCTTGGCCTTCTGCCATGATTGTAAGTTTTCTGAGGCCTCCTCAGCCATGAGGAACTGTGAGTCAATTAAACTTCTTCCCTGTATAAGTTACCTAGTCTTGAGTATTTCTTTATAGCAGTGTGAAAAAGAAGGAACACCCAGATTTAGGCATAAAAGAAGGGCCCCCAAAAGTAATGAAGGTGGTAACCCAAGGAAAGACAAAGAAGACACCTAGGAGTTTGGCTCCCAGAGTTTGCCTTGAGCCGTCCTCCTGTGCCAGTCCCAGCCAGCCCTGAGAATGTGAGATTGCATTGCTCATCGACTTTGAATACATGGAGGACTATAACAGGCTTATGAAAATATGGGTGTTTACAGCCTTATTCTCATCAGGGGAAAATTGACATTAGGAAAGTACATGATAAAAATCTTATGTACTTTCCAGAATGTAAATAGAGTTAAAAGTGAGACTGTCAGGAGGCAGCAGGGTGCGTGGAAGCAGAAATGAGCTGGGAAGGCTGGGAATGGAATTTTCCAAGTGCTTGGTGCTCTCCTGAACAAAACTGGCCACTTTTGGGGCAACTAGAGGGAGAAGAGGGTCAGGAACGGAGGGAGGACTGAAATCACAGATTTGATATCTAACTTATTTTCAGATGGGTTTAATCAAGATTAGAGGACAGAAATAAATGATTCCACTTGTAAGGCACAGGAAGGGATGCTTGGGCCTGTGGAACCTTCCCACTGTTGACTTTGTGGATGTTCTATCAGTACAGCTCAGACTTGGCTATAAAGGTCAAAATCTTCGGCATGGGATGGGAGAGGGATGCCAGTAACGGACAGACCCCCCGACACACACCCCAATGAGAGGGCAGAGGAGGCAAAGTCCAGAGATACCTGTTCCTTGCTATTTCCCTTAGAAGGGAGAGCAGGTGGGTCCCAGCTCCCAGATATCCTGGGGCCATGCCTGGTGTCCCTCACCAGCGTGAAGGAGGAATCAGGACCAGGAGGCTGAGTTGACATGGGTGCTGTCCATCCAGCCAGGCTAGAGGTTCCTCTGGGGAATTTCTGGATGATAGACTTCCACAGCTCCTTGAAATTCCAGTGCTCGTTGTGTCCCTCCGTGGTGAGGCTTTCCTTCAGCAAAAACTTTGAAATGTGTTTGCTGCTGGATTAGCCCTTGGAGCCACGATTCTGCTCCTACCATGTCTCAGTTCCACAATCTTCACTGGCTCCCCAGTGCTGGCACAATCAAGTCTGCACTTCTTAGCCTGGCCATTCTGAGTGTCAGCCCGGCTGCCCTTAAAGCCTGACCTCCAGGGAGCTCCATCCTTCCCTGAGCACGCGCTCAGTCCCTGACTCAGTCTCCCAGGGCTGCTCACCCATGCTGAGACAGCTCAGGGGCGCTCCTTCCTCCAGTCCCCAGCTCAAGCTCCTTCCTCTACCCAGAATGCCTTCTTTACCCTTCCAGGACCAGCTCAGTGGGTCTCTCGAGAGCCTTCCTATTTTCACTTCCACTTAGTGAGAAAGGGACACTATCTTTGCTTCCATAAATGCTTATCTCCCTAGTGTGGCCCCTGTCTCATGTAAACACTATTATCTGTTTACATCCATCCCTAGCACAGAACAGGATAGCGCAGCAGAAGAGCAAAGGTGGACCCCTCCTCATTATCCCTCCTCATGGGGCTGGGGTAAAATCAACGACATAAATCACGTGAAACTCAAAGCAGGGTCAGCTCAGTGACAGAGGCTGATCCAAGGGCAACGTGGATCCCGGCCACTCAAGTTAGGAAGACTTAGCCAAAAGGTAGCATTGTAGGGTGAGCTATATCCCTCTAAAAGATACATTGAAATCCTAAGCCCTACACCTGTAACTGTGGCCTCATTTGGAAATAGGGTCTTTGCAGACATAATCAAGTTAAGATGAAGAAGGGCCCGAATTGAATATAATGTTCTTATAAGAAGAGCGGAATTTGGACACAGAAGCAGACACAGAGGGAGCAGGCCACGTGATGGCAGAGGCAGAGACCGGAGGGATGCAGGCACAAGCCCAGGAACACCAAACACCAAGAATTGCAGCAGCCACCAGCAGCTAGGAAGGCACCAGGATGGATTATTCCCTGCAGGAATCAGAGGGAGTGTGGCCCACCCACACCTCGATCTTGGACTTCTAGCCTCCAGAAGTGTGAAACAATAACTTCTGCTGTTTTAAGTCACTGTTACAGCAGTCCTAGGAAACTAATTCAGGTAGGAAGCAAAGGGGGGCGCTGTCTACCTACTAAGCCCCAGGCATTTCCCTAGATAATTTCACTCACATAACCTCACTTAAACTCTCTTTGTCAGGAGACAGATAGGCTTGTTTCTTATTTTATAACCGAGGTGACCAAGATGCAGAGAATGGAAGTGACCATCATGCAGTTGGGAAGACGCAAGAGCCCGGATGTGAACCAAGAACTAAGGCAAGCCTTCCCACTGTCCCACAATGGGCAGAATCTCAAGGGTCTTCCAGCCAGCAGGAGAAGCAGCAGAACCCATGAGTGGGGAAGGAGCAGGGGCTTGGGGTCTTTGTCTGGATCCCCAGAGCCCCCTTGGACCCGCTCCTACCCATCCCTCCTGTTACCCTGCTCACACAATGCAATTGCCTAGGGATGGATTCTCACGGGGGTAGGGGGGGGCCGGGAGCAGCTTCCCTAGTGTGAGCCCCCAAGCAAGAGCACCTTATCTGACGAAGCGGGGAGGGGCTCTGAGCTCCCGATAAAACTTTGCCCATTTGTTAACATGTGTTCCCAGCTGAGATTACCAGGCGTGGAGCAGACAATGGAAGCGATTAAATAAAGTCGGAGCTTTGCAGCCGAGGTGAGAGATAGGGAGGGAGGGAGACCAGGGAAGGGGGAGGGGGGCTGCCACCTGCTCACTCTGGGCTCTATTACCGCAGCCACCGAGGAGAGGCACAGGCACAGCTTCCCATCACGCACATGCAGATGGCCAAAGAGGAGGCAGTGGAGTCACCAGGGCTGGGAAGCTGAGAACTGTGGAGTCGGATGCCTGGATTGACAGGGCCTCTGTGAGGGCACTTCAAGAGCCGGTGCCCAGGATCCGAGGGGCGCCTGGATGTCCGTGTATCCAACAGCAGTCAAATCACAGTAGCCGTTGTTGTAATGGGGATATCTGAGGAGTTTACTCTGAGCCAGGTGCATCTTTTGTCTTACTGAATCTCCACCATGAGAGGTGAGTTCTAGCACTATCCTCATTTTACAGATGATGCGATAGAGGCTGGGAGAGGTCGAAACACTGAAACACATCCCCTGGGTGGTGAGTGGCAGGGACAGTATTTGAACTCAGGGCACGCCACTGATGGGTGCAGGGGCCCCAACCCACTCTTTATTCACCAGAGCCACCCTCCCTTCTATCTGTTTAATGTACCGGGGGGCCTTGCAAAACTGAGTATTTTTTAAAAGTTTGCTTTAGAAGGACATGGGCCTAATTCATTCAACCCATTTACGGGCACCAAAGCACCCCAGTCCAAGGCCCGCTGGGGAAGGGGGACCAGTGAGATGGGCAGGGGAGAAAGACAGAGAGTCCCAGGGGGCCACCCTCATCTGGCCCATGGAACCTGCCACCATCAAGAAGTCTTGCTTTGGGGGGGCATCTGGGCAGAGGGGGCAGGGGAGAGGTCTTCCTATTGTCCTTTTATTCGAATTATTTGTAAATAACAAAGCCTATTACTCCCACGACCTTATTAGATCCTCAAAACACCCCAGCAGTAAAGTAGGGCCAGGGGGGTGGTGACAGAAGTGGCGTCACTCTGCCATCGGATGACCCAGCCCAGTTCCACCTGGGGCCCAGTGTGGAACTGCTGCAATACTCTGCTCTCTCTCTCTCTCTTGATCCCATACATTTTATACTGCCGGCCTCCTCCGTAATTTTAGAGTTTTTCCCCAGCCAGTTTTATTACAGCATTAAGAAAGCGCCTGGCAGGCCTTGCCTAACATCACAGACTCATCTGGAGACCGTCTGTATTTTTTAAGGTCTGGCTACGTGGTTTTTCTATGCTTTATAGTGAAGAAAATAAAAACGGGGGAGATGAATGACGACGATCCCTTGGCACCCTGGGAGCCTGGCTCCTGGGCTCACTCAGTTCTTACAATGACAGCTGCTCCCCTCTCTGCATGGGCAGGGCCACCCTACGGGCCCATGTGGGTCCCGGCAGCTATAAATGGCATCTCAGGAAGAGAGGCAGGCAGGACCCAGAGCTGCCACTTATGACTTGGGCAGGTCCTACTCCCTGGAGCTGGCTCTGGGCACTCTCCCCCAAGTTCTGATCTCCAGTGGGCTCTTACTCTGGTATGGCCACTCAGAAAATGGCATTGTCCAGTCAACCCCGTGTTCACTTCGAGACAGATTATACTGTGTACATCATCTTTATAAATTTTCAAAGGATTGCAAAATATCAGATACACTTGAAAACTGAAATTTTATTTAAAATATCTTTCTGCAAAGAGCCAGAGAAATGTCTACAAGTGATTAAGAAACTGCTGTGTGCCAAGCATTTTAAGCACATTGAATTTTTAAATCCCCATCCCCTCTACACAGATGAAGAAACCAAGCCTTGGAGAGGTTACGACACCTTTCCAAGAATCCACTGGATTCTTATAGAAGCCAGTGGCCACGTCAGCACAGCTAAGACACAGTCACAGTGACAGGAGCTGACACTGGCTGAAGACTTACTCTTGTTCCAGGCATCATTCTAAGCCCTTGGCTTTCACCATAGCCCCAATATGAGGTAGTCTTGGTTATTTCCCCAGTTGATAGATGAGGAAACTTAGGCTCAGATAGATAAAGTCACATACCCAAGGTCACCCAGCTGTTGAGTGGCAGAGCCAAGGTTTGAACCCACAGGCTGCCTCCAGAGCCTGGATTCAAGGCCCTCTCTGGAGCATTCCAACGTCTGCCTTTGTCCTTCACACCCAGTGACTTCTCTGTAGGTACCAGGCAAGTTTCTGCTGCCTGGGAATCACTGAGGATTTGTCAGCACCAGACAAATGCAGTTATTAGAACATCCAGCAGGGTGAATGGCTTAGCTGAAAACAGCATTTGTGGGATGATAATTATGGAGCGAGATTTCCAAGGACCAGAAAAGTTAAGTAACTTATCCAAGGTCACACAGCTTACTGTGGGCTGATGGAGACCTAGAATCCGAGGTCAGCCTCCCTCTTGGACTCTTGTACCTTGTGCATCCAAGGGACCCCTCCTGGGTCCAGACACCCCACAGGCTTGCCATCTGGGGGCCACAGCACCTCTCAGCACCAGGCTTCTCTGCTCTCCAGGCACTGACAAGACTGGGTTGCCCGCCCATGACCTTGTGAAGGGACAGGAGTGGCTTTAGCAATCCAAACACACTCCTTCCTCGCATCGAGACACCCGAATGCTGAGTGATTTGTATGCTCTGAGCACGTCACCTCCTTTCAGGAGACAGAGAGGCTGCCTGAAAAGTCATTTTTCAGCATTTGACACAAAGTCTCTTTCGCTCTCTAGCGAAGCCAGATAACCATCAGCAGCCGGGCCGATTAGAAAAAATATATACTTGGTACCGGGAAGCCGGGAAAAGAGAGGAAGCCAGCTCGTCCGTCTTCCTTCACTCATCTGGACAGGGGCACGGGGCGGCTCCCCCACTTGTCTCTGTGGCTTGCATAGAAGGGTGTCTTACTGGAGATATCACCTTCCTGGGAAAACAGCATCTTCCAGAGGTGGCAGCAGAGGCCTGGGCTTGAGAGGCTCAAGATCATGTGTTCAAGTCCCAGCTCCGTCACTGCCTAGGGTTGTGACCTTGGGCAAGTCACTTCCCTGCTTGGAGCCTCAGTTTCTTCGTCTATCAAACAGATATAAGAAGAGCACCACCTCATGGGGCCATTATGTGGCTCTGATGAGATAAAACAGAGCACTTCTAACAGACTCTGTCAACTAGACAGTGCTCAATAAAGGTCAGCCTTGACACGGATAATTTTTCAGGGGGTACCTTCAGGACCCTGTGGAGCCCCCTGCTAAGCTTTGGCAGTGAGGACAGACCCTGGGCTCTCCTGCTGACATCTAAGTATGTTGGTTGTTGAGCTCTTGGCTGCACACTGCACACTTGGATTCTGCAGACGCGCCCTGCAGGGACTCAGGAAGTATCCAAGGCATGGCCTCTCCTCCCTGCCATTAGGTCAGATGGAGTCCTGCAGGTCAATACAGAATCCAGCTCAACGAGCATTTAGTAATAACCCAAATTACTCCTCCCTTCCCTGTAACCCCAAATCCATTCAGCCTGCTGGCATCTTTCTCGGGGATTATAAGGTGGCATCCTCCCCGGCCTCCCTGCCTCCAGCCTCTGGATATCTGACAGAGATCCGACCACATTCAGCCCCCTGATTAAACTCTTCAAATCCTCCTCAACCCTACTGTCAATCTCAAGAGAAGGGATACCCCAGGATGAAGCCCCAGCCTCTTCATGTGGACCTCTCCATCAACATTTTCCCTTCCCAAGTCTCTCTGCACACAACCCCCCAGCATCACCAAGCTGCTTGCAGTTCCAGAAGGCTGAGCTCTCGCTTTTGCCCAAGGGCTCTGCACCTGCCACTTGCGCTGGCTGCTGCCTCTTCCGGGAAGCCTTCTCTGCCTCCCTCCCATACCATAGTCTGGACCAGGCTTCTCTCTGGGCTCTACTATTGCCATGCACTGCCCTAGGGACCAGCATCTGTTTATGAGTCTTGGTCCCCACCAGACTGTCTTTCATTTCATTCCGGTCTGTGTTTTCTGCTTTGAACACATAATTGTGTTTAAAAACTCCTGTGGAATCAGTGAATCCGCAGTGTAGCTGTTGTGTGCCGCTGCCTGTGTTAGGTGCAGGGAATGCAGGAGAAAAGAGCAAGCCCTGGTCTTGAGGAGGTCCAAAGAGAACGCCAGGTGCAAAGAGAATGGAATTCATTCCAGAGAGGCACAGACAACAGGGCTGGGCAGCTCAGAGCAAGGGAACACATTCACACAGAGCCGGGGAATCTGGGAAGGTGTTAGAGGATGGTGGTCTCTGTGCTAGGTTCAGAAGGTTCCAGAAAGTGGAGAAGAAGGAAGAGGAAGAAGGGGTTCCTCTGCCCCTCCAAGCCTGTTCTGATCCTCATTCCAACTTCATTTCAACTGACCTGTCTCCATGCCTGCTCCAGCCGTTATAATCCATCGATGGCACCCAGAGCACCCCAAGTTCCCTGTGCTGTTCCGAGGCTGGCATGACATTCCATCCCCTGGAGACAGCTTGGCTGTGTAGAGTGAGTGAAGACTCTCATCAAAGACGCTCTTGGGTGCAAATCCAGCTTTGCTACTTTCTAGCTCTGTGGCCTTAAGTAAGTTTCTTTACTTTCTGGATGCTCTGTGAAGTGGGGGCGTGATACGGTTTGGCTGTGTCCCTACCCAAATCTCACCTTGAATTGTAATAATCCCCATGTGTCAAGGGCATGGCCTGGTGGAGATCATTGAATCATGGGGGCTGTTCCACCCATACTGTTCTTGTGGCAGTGAATAAGTCTCAAGGGAGCTGATGGTTTTATAAATGGGAATTCCCCTGCACAAGGTCTTTTGCCTGCTGCCATGTAAGACATGACTTTGGTCCTCATTCATCTTCCACCATGATTGTGAGGCCTCCTCGGCCATGTGAAACTATGAGCTCATTAAACCTCCTTTCTTTATAAATTACCCAGTCTTGGGTGTGTCTTTATTAGCAGTCTGAGAACAGAGGGTGACATTATCACTCCGTCAAAAGAGTGGGTCTCCTGGGTTGACTAGTGAACCCCACAACATCCCTGTCCTCCTGGAACATCAGAATGTGAATTTATTTGGAAATAGGTCTTTGCAGTTGTAATTAGTTAAGAGGCAGTCATACTGGATGAGGGTGAGCCCTAAAGCCAATATGACTGGGGTCTTAATAAGAAGAGAAGGGACAGAGACACACAGGAAGATGTTGGCTGTGTGACCACAGAGGCAGAGCTTGGAGCAAGGCATCCACAAACCAAAGAACACCAAGATTTCTGGCAACCACCAGAAGCTGGAAGAGGCAGAAAGGATCCTCCTCTGGAGCCTTCAGAGAGAGTATGGCCCTGCCGACACCTTGATCTCAGATTTCCAGTCCCCAAACTTCAAAGGAATACATTTCTGTTGTTCTAAGCCACCCAGTCTATGATCATTTGTCATAGCACCCTAGGAAGCTAAGATAATAAGGGTCAAAGGGGGATTGTTTGTAAAATGGTCAGCACAGAGCCTGCACATGGTACCTGCATGAAACATGTTCGCTCTCCTCCCTTTTTAACTCAGTAGGAGGGTCTCCTTTCTCTTCCCTTTACCAAAAGCAGAGAACTGCTGTTTTGTGGAAGTGGGAATTCCAGTGGCTTCCCCTACTGACCTGTTTGCTCCAGCGTCTCTCACATCCAGTCACATCCTAAATTCCTATTATCCTAAATTCACTCATTCACTCTTTCACTCTCTGGGGACTTAGGAAACAGCCCACATGATCATTTCTTCATAAAACCACAGAATCTCCAGGTCACAGGGCTTACTGAGGCTGACTAGTCCAACCCTTTTCTGATTCCTGAATGTCCTCAAGTGTGGCAGCATCCAGCACACACACAGACACACACTCAGGGGGAAACTCCCCTTCAGCTTGTTCCATTGTAGGCTAAACCATATTTGTATGTTACATAAGCATATAATAGACAAACACCCACCCTGTCCATCCCTGCCCCATCCAAAGCCTCTGTGATGGTCAATGCTGAGTGTCAACTTGATTGGATTGTAGGATGCAAAGTATTAATCCTGGGTGAGTCTGTGAGGGTGTTGCCAAAGGAGATTAACATTTCAGTCAGTGGGCTGGGGAAGGCAGACCCACCCTTAATCTGGATGGGCACCATCTAATCAGCTGCCAGTAAATATAAAACAGGCAGAAAAACATGAAAAGGTTAGACTGGCCTAGACTCCCAGCCTACATCTTTCTCCCATGCTGGATGCTTCCTGCCCTCGAGCATAGGACTCCAAGTTCCTCTGTTTTGGAACTCAGACTGGCACTCCTGGCTCCTCAGCCTGCAGACAGCCAATTGTGGGACCTTGTGATCGTGTGAGTTAATGCTTAATAAATTCATATATATATATATATTCCATTAATTCTGTCCCTCTAGAGAACCCTGGCTAATACAGATTCCCATGGTTCTCGTCTCCCTTGGACTAGATTCCAGATTCTGAATTTGGCCCACAGGGCCCTGTAAGCACTGGCCCCTGACCACAGCTCCAGCCACACTGGCTCTCCCACTGCCTCTTTTCTCCACAGGGGCCTCTATGCTGCTCTTCCCTCTGCCTACTACCCCTGGCCCCACAAGTCTGGGCTTGTTCTTTCTTCACTCAGCTGTCGGTGTCAAATGCCCTTCCTCAAAAGCCCCTGGACACAGCCCTCACCCCCTTCCCTGTGGGCCACTTCTCTTTCCCCTTGTCTCAGCCCCATGAACTTGGTGTGCTTGTCTCTCTGCTTGGGGGTTGCTACCTGCTGCCCATTTGGAGTGAAGGCCTGTGAGGACCAGGATTCCAGTGTTGCCTTATTCACCCCAGATCCTCAGCGCCAGGGCTGCACTTCCCACTTAGTAGATATTCAATTAATATGTGTCGAATAAACGAATTGAATCGGCCCACTGCATTTTATGTCTTTCAAAGGATATTCACGTTTATTTTCTTGTTTAATTCTCACAGAGACTTCAGGAGGGAGATTATCCCAATTTTCTGGCAGAAGGAAACCAAAATTAAACTCAGAGTATGGAAGCAACTGGCTATTGTCCACCAAGATAATTCATTGCAGGGGAACGATGCCAACCCAGGCCTTCTGATCACCCCTCTGCACTGCTCTCCAGCCCTCAGCACACAGACTCAAATCTTAGCTCAGCCATAGGATCCCGGTGCATATGCTGAACCTTGTGGTCCCCAGTATGCCCAGCTGCAAGCCTGGCAATGGCCTTACCCTCTATGGGTCCCAGTGAAGTCACAGGACAACACCAGTAGGGATGACAATGTGAGCACCCACATGGCGCTAACTGTGCCTCAGGCACCCTCAAAGTATGTTGCAGATATACAGACTCGAGTACTTCCATTAATTCTATGAAGCAGGTCTTATTCCCATCTTGCAGATGAGAAAACTGAGGCACAGGGAGAGATTCACTAATATGCCTTGAAAGAACCAAGATACAGACTCCAGAGACCCGGCCCAGAGCCGTGTTCATGCCCCAGTCTGCTGACCACAGGCAAGAAGGTGTTAGACAAGACTGATCTTGTTGCATCCTTATGGTACTACAAAGTGGGAGCATGATCCCCATTTCACAGAGGCAGGAAACAGAGGCTTCTGGAGGTTTAGCTCAGGATGCTTACGTGGTAAATGCAGCGCCAAGAGTCCACCCAGGCTTGCGTGGCTCCAAAGCCAGTGCTGGGGAAGGCTGGGCTCTTCTGCCATCTGAAGCCTGGTGGGGGAGACAGGTGTGCATGACAGAGCGTGGCAGCCCTCCCCGGCCCAGGAGGGCTGGAGGGAGGAAGAAAGCTTCTTACTGGACTCTCAGGAGGGCAGATGTCACATGTTTGTGTCAGGCAGGGCCAGCGCCTTCCACAAAGATCTGCCCTTGCCCCACCCATCCCGGACCCTGGCTCTGAGACCTGCTGAGGCAGCCGGAACCACCTACTGCCCTAAGAGCAGATGCCCAGGTTGCAAACAGATCTGAGCCTCAGAACGCAGGGGGCAGGGACCGGATGAAGCCCCAAACAGATGCCAGGTTCAAAAGAAAATCGCAGGGAAACAGTGACAAAAGGGGAATTCAGCACAAAAGCATCCAAAATGACAGCAGAAAAACAGAGCCAGATGGGCCCGGCTTCCCCAACCCGCAAGCCTGCCACAGATCCACACAGCTCAAGCCGTGTGCTCCCGCGCCAGGGGATACACACCCCGTGTATCCCCTGCCCAGCAGACCGTATGGATCCCATTCCCTTTGCCTGGAATGCCCTCTCTATTTCAACCCCTCCTTCCCCCAGAGTCTTCAGCAAAGCCTCACATAATCTCCTGCTCCGGGAGTCCTTCTCTGGTCCCCCTGAGATGTCCCTCATCCCTCTAAAGCCATTCCTCTAGGTGTGTAATCCACATGCAGGCTTATCCTTTGATCTCATCCTTATGGGCACAGGACTTCACAGTTTGTAAGGCAATTCTTTCATATCCACTGCCTCAAGGGATCCCCATAGTAACCTGGTGAGACGGGCACTATTATTCCTATTGGACACTTGAGGCTCAGAGAGGGCAAGTGACTGGCCTGAGGTCACACAGCAAAGTCCAGCACTTTGGATAGCCTAGCAGAGGGCCTGGCACTGAGTGGGTGCTTAACGAGGAATGGGTGAGGGGGCCACTGACATTGATGCAGTTCTGAATGTTTTTTCTGGAATTATCTCCTTCTGGGTCCCTGGAGCCTCGCAGGGTCCCCCCACACTCTACCATCTCCCTGCAGGGAAGAGAAGAAGGAAGAGTGGGGCATGGAATCTGCCATGGTCCATTCCAGCGATGTGTCAGCCCCAGCAGGCCTGGCCCTGATGCCCCCCAGCTCCTCCACCCACCCGAGCCTTTTCCAGAGGACTTGGCTGCTGCCTTCCCAGGGTAACCCAGCTCTCCCCTCAATCACAGGCCAAGATCACCCGGTGATTAGGCCCAGCCGAGAAAGCACTGTGCCCTGGGGAGATGGCGTGATAGCTGGCCATGTTTTACAAGCTCACAAATCCCCGATAACAGCTGGCCAGTGGCTGGCTCCTGTGAGATAAAGAAGTGGCCAGCCTTCTGCCCGGGGCTTTCACTGAGCACCCTGCAGGGAAAGAAAGAGGGACCAGAGATGAAGTCTGAGGAGGAACCACTCACCCCCACTGTCCCCAGCACTGCCCAGCAGAGTTTACAATGACCCATAAGACAGGCTTATCGGCCCCACGTTGCAGATGAATAGAGGTGAAGAATCCCTTCTCTGTGACTTTCTCAGCTCCAGATGACCTGGCAGGGATTTTGGCAAATATTTATGAACACTTAGTGTGTGCCAGGAATCTTGTGCACACATCACACGCACACTGGCATGCTTGCCTCCAGACTACCTCTGGCTAGGTGTTCCATTCCCATTTCACAGATGGAATCGGAGGGGCAGAGGGACAACTATGCTTAGGAAACAGACCATGAGATAGACAGCTGTGTGCAGGAGATTGCGGTACTCTCAAGACAGCTTCTGCAGAAAAGTGGAGACCAGGCAAAGAGGGAGCTGGCTGTGGATCCACTGGGAGCTCTGAAGCTGAGACCAGCTTTCCCTGAATTGAGGGAAGAGGCAGGGCTTTGTGTCCTCATCCAGCAGCACAGATGGGGGCCACCTCTGGAGAGCATCACCTTGGGTCTGGCGGTGACCTTCAAGGGCAATTCCCAGACATGGATCAGCTGTGAGCAGGGTCTCTGTCCAGGAAGAGGGCTGAGGGTGGCCCACCAAGGGAGGAGTCCCCATCCCCCAGGCCATGGACTGGTACCGGCCCCCACTTCTCACCCCTGCAGCAGCCATACACTTCCCTAATACCACAAGCCTGGAGTGGCATTGGTTGGGCCAACCAAAGGGCAGTGGCTAAGGGTAAAGGCTCCAGGGCAGAGGAACCAAGTTCAAATCCGGTACCAGCCCATGGCCTGTTAGGAAACGGGCCACACATCAGTAAGCGAATGGCAGGCAAGCTTCATCTATGTTTACAGCCACTCCCCATTGTTCACATGACCACCTGAGCTCCACCTCCTGTCAGATCAGCAGCGGCATTCGATTCTCATAGGAGCACGGACCCTACTGTGAACTGCATCAGTGAGGGATCTAGGTTGTGAGCTCCTTATGAGAATCTAATGCCTGATGATCTGTCACTGTCTCCCAGCACCCCCAGTGGGGCCATCTAGTTGCAGGAAATCAAGCTCAGGGCTCCCACTGATTCTCCATCATGGTGAGTTGTATAATTATTACATTATATATTACAATGTAATAATAATAGAAATAAAGTGCACAAGAAATGCAATGTACTTTAATTATCCTGAAACCTTCGCCCCTGCCCTGGTCTGTGGAAAAATTCATCCTCCACGAAACTGGTTCCTGGTGCCAAAAAGGTTGGAGACGGCTGCACCATGGTGCCCAGCACAATGTCCAGCTCACATGATTACTAAGTGAGCTGGGAGGTGATGACACTAAGCCATCTCTCTGAATAAACTCATGATCCAAATTTAGTTTTCTGCTCCTTTCAGCAAGCGAGAGAGAGAACTACATAGCAAGAAGGGGATGTTTGCCCCAAAGTCGGGCGACATTGGCTTCAAGGTCTGGATCTGCTGGCACCCCGCTATGAGGCCTTGGGCCTGCTGCCACTGCCCATCTCTGGGCCTGAGCTTCCTGTTAAGTGTGGGGAAGGGCCTCCCTGGCCTTTCCCTGGGCTCTGACTCTGGGATTATCTGTTCTGTTCCTCACCCAGGGTGAGCCCAGGGGCAGTGCCAGCTCATCTCTGACTCTCACAAGGATCCTCACTCCTCACCCCTGCAGCAGCAGAGGGTTTGTGGGAGCCACACTGCCCTAGCACCGCAAGTCAGGAGTGGCATCGGCTGGGCCAACCAAAGGGCAGTGGCTAAGGGTAAAGGCTCAAGGGGCAGAGGGGCCAAGTTCAAATCCAGCTCTGACACGTCTGGCTATGAGTCCTTGATCAACTGACTTTGCTTCTCTGTGCCTCAATTTCCATGTGTATATGGGGACCATAATAATGTCACCTTCCTCTTGGGAGCTAGAGGAGCTAACACACATGAAGTGCTCTGCACAGTTCTGGGTACACAGGGAGCCTCATACACCAGCTGTCACCAGCACCAGGTTACCCAGTGAAGGAGTCTACACGCCCAGGTCTGTCCCCATCCCTTCCCTCACGCTGACAACCTTCAAGAAAGTCCAAGTTCCAAAATGTCACCGTTATTAATTTACCTCCTCTGCTTTCTCTTCCTCTCCATATATTTATATTTTACTTTGTGAGGATGTGGTGAGAGTTCCTAGTCTCAGCTAGCACCTCAGCCTTCCCTGCGGTGATCTAATCAAAGGCCATATTTTACTGGCATGCACTAACCCAAAGGCCATATTTTATGGGGGCGATCTAATCAGCAAACTGTATTTCCAAGGAGGAGATCTAAATTCATGGTTATATTTCATGGCTTGAGATCTAATCATGGGGCAATACTTCACAGCAGGGGATCTAATCCCAGAGGGATATTTCATGGCTGGGAGATCGGAGCAGTTCCACGTGACTTTTTCCTCTTCTTCTTTTTCGAAAATTTATTTTTGTTTCAGAAAAAGTCAAAATATCCTAGCAAGCCACAACTTTGCTACCAGTTAGGTCACTGCTAAGAAAAGATAGAGTCTTTGCTGAATAGTGTCTTATCCAGCCTCCCCTGTTGTCACAAAGACCTCTTGAGGCATACGTGGATTCACAGGGTTCCTCCAAAATCTAGGGGGGACCTCCAGATTCAATGTTCAAGCAGGACTATAATTTTTTTCATGTATTCACTTGTTTGTTCATTCATTCATTCATTTATCCATTTGTTCATTCATTTAACAAACATTCTGAGTGTCCGCTTACTACCAAGGACTGTGCTCAGAATCAGTGGTCCAGAGAGGAACATAACTGCCTGTTACGTACTCAATGTTTATGTCTCCCCCACCCCCCCAGAAAAAATTCATATGTTGAAGCCCTAGCCCTAATCCCTAATGTGACAGTATTTGGAGGTAGGATTTCTGGGAGGTAATTAGGTTTAGATGGGTCTTGAGGGTGGTGCCTGATATGGTTTGGCTGTGTCCCCACCTAAATCTCATCTTGAATTGTAGCTCCCATAATTCCTATGTGTTGTGGGAGGGTCCCAGTGGGAGATAATTGGATCGCAGGAGTGGTTTCCCCCATACTGTTCTCATTGTAGTGATTAAGTCTCGTGAAATTTGACGGTTTTATAAGGGGAAACTCCTTTTGCTTGGCTCTCTGATTCTTTGCTGCTGTCGCCATGTAAGAAGTACCTTTCACCTTCCACCATGATTATGAGGCCTCCCCAGCCACGTAGAACTACAAATCTATTATACCTCTTTTACTTTATAAATTACCCAGTCTTGAGTATGTCTTTATCAGCAGAGTGAAAACGGACTAATACAGGCCCTTATGATGGGATTAGTGTCTTTGTGACAAGAGGAAGAGAGAGAGATCAGAGTGTGCTCACTCGCTCTTTCTCTCTCTCTCTCTCTCTCTCTGTATCTCTCTCTCTGCCATATTCAGAAACAGTGTGTAGGCAGCCATCTGCAAGCCAAGAAGAGAGCCCTCCCCAAGAACCAAATCTTCCGCCATCTGATCTTGGACTTCCTAGTCCCCAGAACTGTGAGAAAAAAAAAAATAATCTATAGTTGAAGCCACGCAGTTTACAGTATTTTGTTATAGCAGCCCGAGCTTGCCTTTATGGTACCACTCCCCCAGGAGAGGTTAAAACGATGGTCACAGGAGGGATGATGGTTACAAAAATAAGTGTGTTGAAGAAAGACAGAGGATGCTATGAGAGCATAGATCCCAGACACAGCCAGGAAGGCCTCCATCAGTGAGCAAGGCAACGGGAACCTGAAGAATGAGCAGAAGTTACCCCAGGGAAGTTAGGTGAGGGCAGGGAGATCATGAGAGGAGGGAAGAGAATTCCAGGGGGCAGGAAAGGCATATGCAAAGCCACTGAAGTTGGACTGAACCCCCTCTGCAAAATAAGGTAAAAACAGGTCCTTCTTTATAGGATTTTGAACATTTTTCTTAAAAAAGGGAAGCCAACAAAGAATTGGGGGACGATCAGATGAGTGTTTTTTAAATACTCTGCAAGCTGCTACTTGGAGAGTGGATTCTAAAAGGACAAGAAAGGAGGTAAGAGATGCAGTTAGATGTCATTGTAGACATTCAGGGGAGAGCCACTGGGCTCTCCAGCCAGGGAAACAGATTGGGTCACTCCAAGTGCTATTCTGGAGGGATCTTTCTAGGCCTTGGTGACTGACTAGCCACGGAGGGTGAAGAAGGAGGTATGAGGAGTGATTTCCAGGTGCCCGGCTTTGAGACAGATGGTATCCATCTTCTTCTTCAATTGCTTTAGAGGAGGGAGGAAGAGCAGGAGACAGAGAGATTGAGATTCAACAATCCATTTCCCAATCATCCAGCAACTCACTGTTGGGGGCAAGATTTACAATTTCCCTGTCCCTTTGTGCTCAACCCCCTAAGAGCTTTGCCCTCCCCAAGCCAATTTTGAGCAAATCAGTCTCCCAGGTGGAAAGTGGAAAACTACGAGATATTCCAACACAGCAAGTGTCTGGGGGACAGGGAATACAGGCTTCTGGGGAGCTTCAAAGTTCTCATTTAAATAGCCCAGCTCATCACTCACCTCACTGCCACTCACACTTATGTTGCCATCCCCCTAATAATCCCTCAAAATGCATAACGCTTTGGCATTTGGCTAGGCACTTTCCACCACTTTATTTCACCAGATTCTCACCCAGCTCCTGGGAGACAAGGACCAGTGCACCTATTTTATAGAAACTGAGGCTCAGAGAGGGGCAATGACTTGCCCAGCTGCAGGGATACAGTGAAATGGCAACAACAGTAGCAACAAACACATGACCAGCTCTCCTGTGCTGGGTACTCTCAGAGGCACTTTCAACATTTTGATTTATTCATCCTTACAGCAACCCTATGACATAGGTGCTATTATTATCATCCCTGTTTTTCCAAGATGGGGAAACTGAGGCACGGAGAGGTAAAGTTGCTTGCCTAAGGTCAGAGAGTAAGAGGCAGAGCTGGGATTCTGAGCCAGGAAGTCTCACTCCAAAATCTATCTTTAACACCAGGCTCTCACAATTAGGAAGAAGAAATTCAACTCAGATCTGCCCAGTGTAACAATACCCCAGCTGTCTATAGGCTGCACAACCTGCAGCTTAAATGCCCGAGCAATGCCTGAGTGATGCCATTAGGAATTACAAATTCATGTGGATCCTGCTGCCTGGCGGAACTCTGGGAGGGAATATGTTTTGTTCCAGTGTTTCTCCTCAACCATTAACTTTAATACTTGGAAACCACTTGAAGATCAGTCAGAAGGATATTTCCTAGAAGGTAATAGAAACAAGCAGCCAGCTTCCAAACCCACAACCCAGAGACTAAGAGAAGGACAAGCTGTTCGTGTATCTGACATTCCATTAGTCCCTAGATAGGTCTGTGGATCCCACTCATTGTCCCACTATGCGGGGATCCCTTGCACCCTTTCTGCCAGGCTGAGCCAGAGTGTTGGACCTACATTAAGAGAGGGGTTCTAATCCCATCTCTATAACTTGGGCAGCTCACCTCACCTCTCTGAATGACTCTCTCCATCTGCCATGCATGAGTAATTATGACTTACAACAACCAACATTCATCAAGACCAAATACTATTGTGCCAAATACTACTTGAAGCTGTCCCTTGTATTCTTCCAACAACTCTATGATACAGGTACTCTTATGAACCCATTTTCCAGGTGAGAAAACAGTTAAGTTACACATGCCCAAGGTCACACAGCTCAGAAGTGTCTGGACTGGGATTTGAACTCACGGTCTTACTATTGTCTCATCTCACCTCTCAGGGAGATCGTGAGGATTTGACATGCCAAGTACAAAGACAGGGCACACATTCCATATAAGGGATAACTGGTGGCCAGTGGGTCACAAGAGGAGCTGGGGGAGGGAGGGTGCACGTCATCAACCACCCATTCCTACTTCAGGAAACACACAGGTAAAGAGGCAGGATACCCACAAAAGCTTGGGTTGTTTTGTTGGTATGAGTTCCTGATACCCACAATCTTCTTATCTCTGGGGCAGCTTGGTGCACCCTCCCCAAAGGGCAAGAAACCTGTCAGCATGACAGGCTGTCACCAGGCTGCAGCCCGTGTGCGGTGGGAGTCCAGACAAGCGTCTCATTTGAATCTCATTCGAGGAAAATGATTAAAGGTTCAGAGGGATTAATTTACGAGGAAAGATTAAAGGAACGAAATCTGTGTAGCTTGGCTTAACCAGGACCGAGACTGGGGACCCCAGGGACGTTTCCAAATATTTGAAGAGAGTGGAGGCCCTGGGGAGGGGGAGAAGGGAGGGTGGTTTGGCCCAGCAGAAAGAAAGGAGGATGCGGGGAACCAGAAAGGATAACAAAGAGGAAATTGGAATATCTCTCATCATCTTTGAAATCATGGTGGACATAAGTGCTCACTCTGTGAGAAGCCCAAGGCTAGAAGGCTGGATGGAGATTATGTCATTGAATGGGCTATGTTTGATATCTGCTTTTTTGGTGGGGAAATTGAGGCACAGAGAGGGGAAGTTACTTTCCTGAAGTCACATGGCTGATGAATATCAAAATGTGAACCCAGACTCCAGAACCTATTCTCTTGACACTATCCTGTGTTACCTTGTGAATGCTTGAACTGGTGTTCGGCAAATACCCACTCCCTTCTCCCCTTCTCTGTGGGCAGAACCTACTTCTTCATCCCATCACTGTGGGGTTTTGTCATGTTACTTGCTTTAGCCAATGGGATGTTCGGTTGAGCAATGGCTTGGAATAGGCTTGCCCAGTGGGACCCTCCCTTCTGCATTTCTGCCCCCTTCACAAGAAGAGCTTCCCCCCGCACCACCCGCCACCCGAGGGAGCTGCTGCTCCCTCAGCTGGGACCTCAGAATGAACTACACAGTTCAACCCACCATCTGGAGCCAAGCCCAGCTGGACCAGCAGCTTAAATGGCCCAGCTGAGCCCAACTCACGCAAGCTGACCTCCACCCACCATAAATCTGTGGTAGGAGAATAAATGGTTATATTTAAGCCACTGAGTTTTGGGCTGGCTGTTACACAGCGATGGCTGTTACGTATCTCATGATGTCAAATGCTGCTCAAGGCTATCCATGACCTGGGCTTGTGCCAGCTTTCCAGGCTCACCTCTGACCTCCTCCTCATGGGTACCAGATGCACAAGGTTATCATTGTTCCTGGAATATTATTTCAGCTGCCATATATCCTATCTACTTGCATTCATTGTTACCAGCTACCTTGAGGTTTAATTTACATAAAATAAAATTCACCCATTCACAGACATGGTCCAGTTCTCATGCAGTTTACAACTTAATGGAAAGGAAGAGCCCCCAAACCTCAGAGCTAGATGGTGCCTCAAAATTTGTGGAATGAACCTGTTTTATTTTATTATATTCTATAAAACGGACATTCTTCAGCCAGCCAGCAGGTTCAGACATGCAGGGCAAGGTAAGATCGTGCCTCCGCCAGGGGAATTACCTGGCTGCCTGTCTCAGGGGCTTCTGAGGCTGCTTTTAGAACAGCACATAGGGTTCAGGTCACTCTATTAGAAAAAGGATATTACAGAGGCGAGGGCAGCCAGGCCCAGGAGGGGGCAGGGTGGCTTCCTGTAATGCCTGGGCAGCCAGTTTGCAGCGGGTGAAGGAGGGTGATGTCGCGTCTGCTGGATAAGGAGAGTGATGATGCTGTGTCACCAGGCCTCGTGTGATTCATCAGGGGAACGAGAGATGAGGGCAGCGGGGCCTGGAGCATGGGTCAAGTGGACAGACACAGACATGGAATCTACAGGCAATTTCACCAGGTGGAGAGGCTTCGGACCCCATTAGGCACCTTGGCTCTGTTCCCACCCCTATACGGATGACCCCCCTCGAGGGGTGGGAAGTGCTCAGAGGGCAGCATGCTAGAGCAATGAAAGGACAGAACTCAGGAAAGAGTTTCATGTTTCATTCATTCATTCATCCATGCATGCATTCATTCATTCAACAGTGGTGACAGAGACAGTCTCTGCTCTCACAATGAGTCACTTAATGACAGCTCTGGTCACTGCCAGGAGGGAAAAGAACCAGTGCTGGGACAGCTGCTAAGAGTTGTGACATATGCCACAGGTTCAGGAAAAGAAGAAACAAGTTACCCTCAAAAGACACTTTCTGGGGGTCGGGTGCAGTGGCTAATGCCTGTAATCCTAGCACTTTGGGAGGCCGAGGTGAGCGGATCACCTGAGGTTAGGAGTTCAAGACCAGTCTGACCAACATGGCAAAACCCTGTCTCTACTAAAAATACAAAAAAATTAGCCGGATGTGGTGGCATGCACCTGTAATCCCAGCTACTGGGGAGGCTGAGGTGGAAGCATCACTTGAACCTAGGAAGTGGAGGTTGTAGTGAGCCGAGATCACGCCACTGCACTCCAGCCTGTGCAACAGAGTGAGACCTTGTCTAAAAAAAAAAAAAAAAAAAAAAGACACCTTTCAGAAGTGGTGGCAAGACTTTCCACTTTGTGGTGGAAGGAAAGGAAGGAAAGCTTGGTCTGCTGGACACTCAGGACTTGTCCCGATAAATAAAGGTTTCAGATCCCATTTAAAGGCTAACAAATGGGGGTGCCTGGCATAGGGCAGTCACCCAGAGTTCTGAATCTGAGTACAGCTCTGGAAATTCCTAGCTGGACAACTCTGGGCAAGTTGCTTAATTTCTCTGAACTGCTTTCCTCATTTTATAGCAGAGCTCATCAGACACAAAATGAACACAGCCCGCCGTCCCTCTCAGTGTCTTATCTAGTGATGGCAGTGGTGTCAAGATGGGAACGTGTGCTTACTGAAGGCCCTCACACTGACCCAAATGCTGCCTGGGCCAAGGGACCCTGGCTTTGGGTGGCCCAAAGATGCTGCCAAGCCAGATGTGCTTCTGGGAGCTGGGAGAAGAGTCACTATATTCAGAAGGCCTCCCCTGTTCCCATCTTCTGCAAATCCTTGGAGGACAAATTCAAAAAAGACAGAGCTGACATTCTGCCTAGCCAAGATAGGATGGGTGTCTTTCCAGGGCATGGCTAGGCAGAGTGGGCATCCATGTCAGGAGCAGGAAGGGGAAGGAGGAGCTGGGACCTGACCACAGGTCACTGGCTGGTGCCCTGCTCCCTGCCAGAAGCATGTATTATCTCATTTAATCCCCAGCACAATCTAAAGGTCCTTATTATTATCATCACACACAGCGTTTGGGCTGCTCAAGCTGGAAAATTCTGGGCCAAAACAGCGTTTGGGTCAGTGTGCATGGTCCTGTAATTAAACGCACCCTGTCACATCAATGTCGCAGCCATAATTAGACAAGAAGCCGAGCAGGGCAGTGGCTTATGTCTATTTGGAGTTCGGCAGAGCTATGTGCTCACAGCTACGTGTAGGATGGGGCTTCGGAGATATGAGGCAGGTGTTAAATGATGCCAGAACACATCCGCCGCACGACCGAGGATCCACCACCACCTGCAGGCATCAGGCCCTGAGCCGGGGACTAGGAGGAGGGGAGGCAGCAAGGAGGAGGGCTCATTCCCTTCCCTGGTGGGAAGCCTGGATGCAGAAGAAGGGAGCACTCAGCCCTGCCCGATGCAGGGATCACAGACTGTGGCCCAGTTCCCTCCTTTACAGAGGGGGAGACTGAGGCCCAGGGGAAAACAGATCTGCTTAGGTTCTGCAGGGCAGGCACTTAAACCAGTGTCCCCAACTCCAATGTCTTTCTTCTTGATTTCAAATCCCTGATCCGCCTCTTACCACAATACCATGTGATATCAAACGAGTTATCTAACTTCATGTTGCCTCAGTTTCTGCATCTGTGAAGTGGGGATAATACTGCAGAACTCATCAAGGTTGTATAAGCCTTAAATGAGTTAATATATGTAAAATGCATAGAACAGTGCCAGGTGCATATTAAATTCTGTATAAGTAAGTATGAGCTATAGTGTGACATCCACAGTTTCCAACAAAGAGCCTAGAAGGCTCTGGTGCAGACAGAAACTGAAATGCTGAACCTGGAGTAGGAAGGGAAATCATCAGCCCCCTTATTCCCTCATCCTTCCATAACTGCGCCTTCCAAACCACTTTTTTGCTCAAACCTTGGACCTGTCTACACTTTGTTTTATCCAGGGAAGCTATTGATCTACCTTAACTGTATGACTGTGGGGCATGCTTGTTTGTATGTCCAGGCCTCAGTCTCTGCAATGGTGGAAGAAGGCCAATACCTCCTCACTGAAGGCTGAGGGCTCAGCAACCCAAAGCGCTAGGCACAAAGATGGTTGTAACTGCCATGTATGTGCCAGACATGTTTCATTCATTCATTCATTCAGGGTTTTTTGAGCACCCTGCATGGCAGGCACTATTCTAGATGCTAAGTGCACAAAGAAGAATGAAACAAAGTCCCTACAACCTGGTAAACATCTACACCTCGCCACATGCAGCGTATATTCTATTATACCCTATGTTTCCATGTGTCACGCAGTGGAATATAAGGAAGCAGGAAGTGCTATGGAGAAAATTAAGGAGGGGAAAAGAACAGTGGATAAAGGGAGTAGAGGGGCTATTTCGATCCAAAAGCCAGGAAGAACCTCACTAGGATGGTGACCCAAGAAGAAGGGAGAGCGAGTCACTCAAATACCAGGAAAGAGGATGCCAGGCCAGGAGAGCTAAGGCGAAGGCCCTGAGCCTGGAATGTGCTTGGCAGTTTCTTTTCCTTTTGCTTGGAGGCTTTTGAAGAATGCCAAGGGGGTCAGGACAGTCAAAGCAGAGTGTGCTATTCATTCATACTCATTATTATTACTTTTGTTATTCATAGAAATTGATGATTCTTACTTAATTTCAATCTGTGATCTGGACCTAAAGGATGGGATCTGAGTTTCCAGATCCTCACATCCCTTGGGTGGCTCTGCCATCCCCTGGAGACCCTCACCCCCAAGCCGACCCCTCCTCACCAGTTCCTGCTTCCCTGGCTCAAGCATCCGTCACCCCGACCCCAGCCAGAGAGTTGCCGCCTCCATCAGGCCCAGTAGGGACCGTGCCCAGGGCCCAAAATATGTTTTCATTTTGATTCCTTTTAAAATCAGGGAAAAAAATGAATAAAATAATAATGAATATAGAATTACAAATCCAGCCTGGATTACATCTTTGGAATACATCTTTATTCCAATGTGGTCATAAAATAAACATTTTACCATTTTTACATGGAGGCAGGGGCCCACGGAGGTAACAGTGCTGGACCCATGAAAGTCACAATGGGGCCAGGCTGGGCTGGGACAGTGGCCCCTCTCTGAGGGATGGGGGTGGGAGTCTGCTCCATGCTTTGGGCAGCTCTCAGGTGGAGTCTCTCTCCCTCTAAGACCGCAGCCTGGGAAGGTTGGAGCTCAAACGAGCACCTGTTGAGTTGCCGTGAGCTGCTTGGATGTTGCCTCTGCCACCTGCCAGCCTCCCTGATGGACAGAGTCCCCTCTCGGCTTGGACAGGAACGAGGTGACCAATGGTCGGTGGCTCCGTAGTCCCACCCCACAGCTGGCTTCTCTGAGCCCTGCACAGTGGCATCTCCAGGACACCTGCTGCCTCCATCTATTGGTGAGTCCCCCACCCTTCCTCTTAAATCTAGGGAAGTGGTGATTTAATATTAATATTTATTCATGAACTCAATTCTTTCCCTGTTAAATAATTTCTCAGCTGTCGGAGGCTTCTGAAGGCTAATTTAAAACAGGTGTCACGGTTATCTAACTTATGCCCTTAGATTCTCAAAGAGAGGAAGGGCGGAGAATAAGCATCCCTGCGCTCGCTCCCCGAACTGCTGCCTGCCTGGGGGTCTGGAAAACAGGCACAGACCCGTCCTCTGGGAGGCCAGACCCTGGGGTGGGGTAGGGGGAAGGGGAAGGGGGGATGACATCACTTGCTGGCCGGAGAAGCCGACCCCAGGGCTTAACTCTTAAAAGGAAGGAGAAGCTGGCAGGAAGGGGCACTGGGAGAAAGAGGGAGGGACAAGATTTTTAACTGAACAATCTATGCTCGTAGAATAATAACAATAGAATAATAGCTAACACTTATACAGGATTTAATATGCACCTGGCACTGTTCTATGCATTTTATGTACATTAACTCATTTAAGGCTTATACAACCCTAATAGTTCTGCAGTATTATCCCCACTTCACAGATGCAGAAACTGAGGCAACATGAAGTTAGATAACTCGTTCAATATCACATGGTTATTATGGTAAGAGGTGGATCAGGGATTTCAACTCAGGAAGAAAGACATTCGGCTGAAACCCGAGTCTCCCTTTCGGTGGCCAAGGGACCTCTTTATGGTTTCACTTCCTCTTCTGTAAATGGAGAACATACAGCTTAATTGTAAAGAATAATTAAGGGGATAACGAGAATATCTGATTGGGCAAGACCTGGCTGTATGCATTTTGGGGCTGGCCTGCGGCAGGTCAACAGGACACGATGGAGGGAATGACGCTGTTGTCACAGTGTCTGACACTCCCTTTCTCTCTTTTCCAGCCTGCTCCCTCTTTCTCTCTCTCTCTCCCCACTTCCCCGCCTTCCTTTCTTCTTTTTCCTGACAACCTCACACTTCAAGGTTATATCTGTTACAGCTGATTGAAATCTATGTGATGGCTTAAGCACTGGCCAATGAGAGCTAGAAAAAAAGTAAGAAACTCGCCCCATCGTGCCCACCTTTGCATCCCACCCCTGCCCCTTCAGATAAACTCACCAATCTCAGCGCCTCTTCATCCACCCCCTAGGAGATCCAAATTCATCATCTTCTCCACTCACTGAGAAGCTTGTTTGCCATAGGATATATTTTGAAGACAACGGGCATACCGAATATGACTTTTTAACATATATGTGCCACCTCCTCGATCCAATCACCCAAACACACCCACTCCCCCTTCCACAGGGTCGTTGCTCTAAATGGGGAATTCCTTGTTCAAGTGGAGAGAGGGGATGAGACATTTGATCATTCCCCAGGCACTATGCAAACCCATGCAAATTAAGGAAATGCACACCACATCAGTAAGTGTGTTTGTGAATAAGAAATAAGAGATGAAGAGACAGGACAAGGCAATAATCAACTGCAGAAAAAAAAATCATCAGAGAGAACCTGAGACTGGATAATGGCCTGTGTTTATGTTTTATGTGCACATGAATATAGATAGGTTTATGCATATGTACCAAGAACCATGTACACACACACACACACACACACACACACACACACACACACACACCTCACTGACCCCATCCCCACACACGACCACAGTCCTTCTCAGCCATCTCTGGGTACATGCTCAGGGCTCTGCATGGACTTTTCGGGGCAAAGGAAAAACCTTGGACCCTGGACCACCTGCCCTGTTGTCTGAGTCCTTCAGAAAGTGCCCATTATTGGATTATTACTGACTCTGGATTCTCTAGGCCACCAGAGTCTATGCAATCTTTAGCTTATGGAAGGATCTGTCTGTAAAGTTCACTTCTAAGTCAGCTTCTTGGATCAAGCAATATATCTTCCCAGATAAACAGTGTCAGTGGATACAATAAAGTCATGGTTAAAAGCACAGACTGGGAGGATGGCAAACTTTAGCCTGGAATTAAACCACTCTGTGTCCTCATCTGTTAAAGGGGGAAATAAAAATACTCACCAACCTCAAATACATCCAGAAAAATTATAGGAAGCGCTGTATGTCAAGTGCCCAGCAAATAGGAGCTCAATAAGCAGTGGGCAAGGCTACTAATAGCACTGCTAAAGTCACAGCTGGCCTGTTGTCCTTAAAGCCCCAGGGTAGCCCCCAAAGCCCCCTAATCCCCAAGGGAGCTGACAACGTTTTATTTACATTTGTGGTTACCAATGACTTGTAACATTGTTTCCTTGGGGAATTGCTCTGTATTCTAAATTCTCTGTGGAGACCCCGGAACTCCTCCCACCTCACCAAGGAAGAGGAGGAAAGTCTTCCATGGTGGGAAGAAGGTCACAGGGTCAGGGGCGCAGATACTCTTAAATACCAGTTAGTGAAAACGGCACATCAGTGTGAAAAGGCTTACTCCTTGGAAAACTGCTCCCGAGGATTATCTGCTATGTGCCAAGAGATGCCCTACTTATTAGATTGTATCCTTTAATCTCGACAACAGTTCTGGGCTTGACTGACTCCTTTTGCAGATGGGACCCCTAAGGTTCAAGGAGGAAAAGTCTTGCTCTCAAGATCACTTGGCTAGAGCCTGGGGGAGACCAGACTGGAATTCAAGTCTGTTTGGCCCCAGAGCCTGTGATCGTTCCTTAACTTTGCCACAATGCCTTCAGGTGTCTGAAAAATGAAGCCAGGTGTCTCGTCATTTGCAAGTCAGATATCTTTAAGCTAGGATGCCTCTCTGTGTCCCCTCCTGCAGTTATCTGCCTAAAAGCAGCTCAACCATGTGACACTGCCTTGAAAATCCTTCTTGTTTTCACCCTGCAGGCAGAGCCGACAGCCCGCGGAGCAGGAAGCCTGATTCCCAACCAGGCTCATTGCTGTGTGTCTGTAATTAAGGCCCTTGACATCTCTGAACCTCATTCTGCAGTTTCAGACATCCAGGCCAGGCACCGGGCCTTCCCTCCTTCACAAGGCAGAGGGTACAATGAGCTCACATCCAGCGGCATGCCCAGGGACTGGCAGAGAGCCAGCATCCTACAAATCCACAGGTCTGCTGGGCATGATCTACTGCCAGGAGCAGGGAACAGGCACTGCCCTCTCCTCCAAGAGGGCTGGAAGAATTAATATTAGTACAATTATTTTAATCAGTGCGTGATTAACAGGCACATGCATAATTCACCCGGCTCTTCCCTCTGCCTTGCTCTGGGCTTTTGGAGGCGGAGGGAACATGGCTCTGGCTCATTAGCTCTCCCTCCACCCTGTCCTGCCACCCCTGTGCTAGGGGAGGTGACCTCCTGGTGAGAGAGTCCTCGTGGGAAGGAAGGTTCAGAACAGCCTCTGCCCAAGGGACCCCTTATAAGGGACTGGACAGAGGAAGGGAGCCCCCGCTACCCCAGGTTCTTCCCGGGTCACTTCCCACCAGGAGCAAGGGACAAGGAGGTTCCAGACTGACCCCTCCTGCCTTTAACCTTGGATGTCTGCACCCCTCTCCCCGCAGCATCCCTCAAGGAGCTGCCCTTGTTATTCCATGGCATCTTCCTCTGAATCCTTCAAATGGCTCTTTCTCGTTTCCTCCCGGCTGTCTGCGGGTGCTAACTCTGCAGTTCACTCCCCGCTAGATAAGATAGGGAGGCCTAGTATTTGTCCTAAAATCACCTCCTTCAACCTTAGCTTCTACCAAATGTCAGAGCTAGAGGGGCCTGTTTACATCACACAATCCAGTCCCTCCAGATTATAAAGGGGAAATAGAGCCCAGATAGGGGAAGTGACTTGTCCAAGGCCACACAGCACATCTGTGACAGAGGCAGAGACAGAATTCTGAGTTTTGGACGCCCAAGCCCAAGAGTTTTACTCAAACTCCAGATAAGGGTCACACGGGCATTTGAATATGTTTGTTTCAGGGTGGAGGTGGGTAGGGGAGAGGCTGGGAGTCTGAAACCTGGCTTGGCCACCCACTAAGTGCTCGACTTCAGGCAAGTTACCCATCATCTGCAAGATGGCAGTGAACGGTCCCACCTCAGGGGACTGTACTGATGAAAGCAGTGCATAAAGCAGCCAGCCCAGGGCCCCAGAGACCTCCAGTGCTCACTGCTACCATTTGGCTCAGAATGGGCTTCCCAGAAGCAGACCTGAGGCAAGGATTCTGGTGCAGGTAGTTATTTGCAGACTATGTCAAGAACCACTGTCAGGGCACAGGAGAAGCCAGGCAGAGTGTGTCGTCGGCAGCTACCCCAGTGGGCAACGGGGCTCAAGCCCTGGGGAAACGCTGGGAGCCAGTGTCGAACAGACGTGAGCCTCAGAGTTATCCTTCCCTGGGGGGAGAAGGCGATGGGAATCGGGTGGGCAAAACTGCCCTGCCAGGCAAAGAGAACCCTAAGCAAAGAAATCAGAGAGCTGGCAGGGGGAAGTCGGGTGGCACGCTTGAAGTGACAAGAGCGAGCGAGGGGATGTGGGTGGGTCGTGACAACATCAGCTCCTGGAGCAGGCAGCTTTTTGTCTAACCAGGGACATGGGAGAGACTCCTGGGCCTTCCCGTCATCCTCTTCCTCGAGCCTTCAGATCCATGCAGTTCCCTCACTTCAAAGCTTCATTTCATCAGCAGCGGGAAGAATAGTAATGAAGCATGAAAGCTTGAGACTAGATAAAAGAAGAACTGCCCATCTGTGAAGACGCTTAGACACGGGCTGCTCGGATTCGGGGAACACATGGAATTCCTTCCTGCAACGCCTCGGGGGTGGGGTGCAAGCTCTCTGGAGATATGAGGGAACTAGAGCTATTTAGATGAAAGATCCCAGGATGGCTGTTGGAAAGCAGTACAGGCTCAGCAGGCCCAGCCATCTGGGTGTTTCTGTCTTTGCGGTGTGATTCCCCGCAAGCCACAGAACACATGAGGTTGAGCTTCCCGGAACATTCATGTATGGAAAGTATGATTTTAAAATTCAAAGAGGCCAGGCGCGGTGGCTCATGCCTGTGATCCCAGCACTTTGGGAGGCCGAGGAGGGCAAATCACCCGAGGTCAGGAGTTCAAGACCAGCCTGGCCAACGTGGTGAAACTCTTTCTCTACTAAAAATACAAAAATTAGCTGGGCGTGGTGGCACTCGCCTGTAGTCCCAGCTACTCAGGTGGCTGAGGCAGGAGAATCGCTTGAACCTGGGAGACCGAGGTTGCAATGAGCTGAGATTGCACCACTGCACCCCAGCCTGGGCGATAGAGTGAGACTCCGTCTCCAAATAAATAAATACATACGTACATAAATACATAAAATAAAACAAAACAAAATAAAACTCAAATCCACATCTGCTATTTCCTCATAACAGAATACTACACAGCAATAAAAAGGGATGAACGAGTGGTCCGTGTAACCACATGGCTAAATCTCCAAAGCATCATGCCAAGTGAACAAAGCCAGACCCAAAAGACACAAACTGTATGCTTCCACTGGTAGGAAATTCTAGAAAAGACCAAACTGCAGGGACAGGAAGCAGGTGGGTGGTTGCCTGGGCCTAAGGGCAGGATGCAGGAGATTCCAAAAGGTCCGTGATGGGACTTTTGGGAGTGACTGGCTTATTCTATATCCTGACTGTGGTGGTGTTTACACAACTGCATACATTTGTCAAAATGCAGCTAATCTGACAGTTCTAATTGGACTTTTTTGTTGGTAAATTATACCTCAATTAAAGCTGATTTTTTGTCGTTGTTGTTTTGTGTTTTTGAGACGGAGTCTTGCCTGTCGCTGAGGCTGGAGTGCAGTGGTGTGATCTCAGCTCACTGCAAGCTCCGCCTCCCGGGTTCACGCCATTCTCCTGCCTCAGCCTCCCAAGTAGCTGAGACTACAGGCACCCGCCACCACGCCTGGCTAATTTTTTGTATTTTTAGTAGAGATGGGGTTTCACCATGTTAGCCAGAATGGTCTTGATCTCCTGACCTAGTGACCCACCTGCTTCGGCCTCCCAAAGTGCTAGGATTACAGGCGTGAGCCACCGCACCTGGCCTAAAGCTGTTTTTTTAAAATGTGAAAAATTTTATATTAATTATCTTTCCCAGAGTAGGATAGTAAGATGACTTATGGATTGAGTCACACACACACACCAGAGGGGATGCTTGACTAGCACAGAGAGCACACACTTTAAAGTGCAGACTTCTGTTCAAAGCCTAGCTCTGCCCCTTGCAAGTGATGTGATTTGGGCAAGTCACTTCACATCTGTGAGTTTAATTTTTCTTGGGTGTGCAGTTGTGATATGGACTGAATTGTGTCTTCCCAAGTTCATATGTTGAAGCCCTAACCCCCAATGTGACTGCATTTGCAGGTAGGGGTTTTAGAAAGTAATTAAGGTTAAATGAGGTCCTAAGGGTGGGGTACTAATCTGATAGGATTGGAGGATTTGTAAGAAGAGGATAAGATTCATTCTCTCTCTCTCTCTGCACATGCAACAAGGAAAGGCCATGTGAAGTCCCAGTGAGAAGGCGGCCATCTACAAGTCAGGAGGAGAGCCCTCCCCAGAACCCGACCCTGCTGGCAGCCTGATCTCAGACTTCCAGCCTCCAGAACTGTGAGGAAATCAAATTCTGTTGTTTAAGCCACACAGTCTATGATATGTGTTATGGCAGCCACAGCAGACTAAGACAAATAGGGATATTAATTCTGCTCTACTAGTGTGAGCGTAACAAGAAGTAATATGTACATAAGTGCCTTGCTCCAGGAAAACAGACTCTTACCAAACTTTAATTAATAGAGTATTAGGTAGATGCTTCCATCTCAGGTAACAGGAAACATCAACAGGAAACTCAATTTGGTTTAAACAATGTTGAAAATTATTCTCTCACATAAGAAGTCTTGAGCTAGGGGGATTCTAGGGCTGATGAATTAATCAGCCCAGGCCCTCATCAAAGTCCCAAGTCTATCTTTCTTTCCTGCCCTCCTCAGCCTGTAAGCATGGCTGCAAGGTGGCTGCTGTGGTTCCAGCCCTCAACTGCAGACACAATCCTGTCCAGGGGACAAGAAAAGGAACTATTTCTTCCCAGGTACCTCTTCAACCTTTCCCAGAAGCTCCTTTATAGATTTCCACTAATTGAACAGAACTGTATCAGCTGCCCATGGTTGAACCAATCACTATTAGAGGGAACAGGTCAACCAGGATTGGCTTAGCCTTAGACCAATCATCACTCACTTCTTGGCTCTGGAGTTGGTGCCACCCCCGTGAAGTCCATATCCACATGGGGGAAGGGGAATTACTCAACAAAATTAAAGTTTTGCTAGAAGAGAATGGTTGCTAAGTAGGTGGCCAAGGGAGTTTGTGCCAGAAATAAGAATGAAGGCTTTTGTTTATTAAGTGCTTGTGATAAGCATTGTGCATTATCTCAATGGTTCTGCATGACAACTCTAGCATGATTAATTCTTGATTTACAGCAGAGGAAACTGAGGCTTGGAGAGGAAAAGTCACTCGTGGCTAGTGAGCAGCAGAGCCAGAACGAAAACTTTCTGACGCTGGGGACTGAGTTCCTAGCTGCTCTGCTACACCCCTTCCTCAGCATGACTATTTCCTTACCTATTATTACTTAGCCCTTGCCAGGAATCGTGGACCTTCAGGCACTTCCTGTTCCAGAGCAGAGAGGGGAGCGATTTCCCCTCCAGGTTGCTATGGGTGCCCTGGCCTTCGTTCTGCCCTGCAGCCCTCTGACCCCAGCCCTCTGACCCCAGGGATCCCATCAGGCCCTAAGGATGAGTCTTCATTTGGGAGGATTGTGAATCTGTGAATGCCTCCTCTCTGGACTGACCTTTTAATCATGGCTCAATTCTCACTGAGCCTAGGGTGGCTCTGGAAATGAAGGCATCTTGAGGGCTTACAATTACTGGCATGAGAGTGAGGCCAGCATGCTACAAGACACCGAGACACTTGCTCCAGACAGTGTCTTCCAAGCTCATTCCACACACCTAGTCTCACTCCCAGGTCCTTCCACAGGCAGCCTCCCCGACGGGCCTGCATGTCTGCTGTTTCCTTGCTTTTGTTCATGCTATGCCTCTCACCCAGATTGTCCTCCTCTCTGATTCCCTGCATCCACCATAACCTGACCCTCTTAAGTCCACCTGCTCCATGAAGCCCTTCCTGAAGGTGCAACCTACCCTGACCACTGTCTTCTCTGAATGTAAGACCACTGGTTGACAATGATCATGAGTCTCAAATCTGCAGCCTGGAAGAATCATGGACAGGAGGGCGTGTGCCCAGCCAAGTGAGATTTCCTCAGCCTTCATCAGAACCGGGATAGCAGTGTGCTTTAAAGCATGGACTCCAGAGTCAGGCAGTGTACGTTCAAATCCCAGCTCTGACAATTGCTGCTGTGCCAACTTGAGCAAGTTGCTTAACCTCTCTGTGCTTTACTTCCTCCATCTGTAAGATGGGGACAATAACAGTACCTATTCCCATAGGATTCTTGTGAGGATTACATTAGTTAAACAAAAAAGTAAAATATATAGGATAAAATCAGCAAGCAGAAGACATTTAATACATATTAGGCATTCTTACCTATTGAATCAGACTCTCTGGAAGTGGGACCTGGCACTCTGTATATTAATGTATTATCCAAATGAGGTCTTTGGGGCCTATAGCCAGCCAGCAGGGGTTCAAAGTTGGCCATTTGGGAGCCACCGATTTGTCTTATACAAATCTGGATTCTAGAATCCCTACTCAGAAATGGTCACTGGCTTCATAAGACCCCATTCCTTAGCTAGCTGTCTGGTTCCCAAGAATCTCTCTTTCTGACCTCACTTCCTCCCCTGCCCCTGCCACTGGCATCCTTTAATCCTGGCACAGGATCCCCCAAATGCAGCATCAAGGTCCAGTGATGCCTTTGCCCATGTGGCTCCCTATAACTGGAATGCCCTCCTTACCTTCTCCACAATGAGGGCACTCACAGCTACCACTTCCTGGGCGCCTGCTGTGGGCTGGGGCTTGTGACAGATCCTGGGCTTGAACACAGATGCACTTGGTCCTAAGATCTGTGGCCTTCATGGCCACCTGCCATACCTTGTTGGCACCGCTGCTCTGTTGAACTTCTCCCGGTTCCATCTCCTGCAGAGTAAGAGATCCCCTCCCCCGCCAAAAAACCCTGCTCCACTCCTGTCTTATGGTCCACGCATTTTCCAGCCTGTCTGCCTCCCCCATCAACAGGCAGCTCATCTCTGTGGGCCAAGTACCACACTGTGGACCAGGAGCCCCAAGGACAGTCCTTCCCCGCACCCCCAGGACTCCATGATTTGAAAACCCTGCTCTCCCTACCAAACAAGCGGCTCATATTCAGCAGCAATTAGCCCATCTTTCATTTCTGTTAATCAGGCGCATCTGACTGCCAGTGAGAACTCCCTACCCTGGGCTGGGGGCAGGGGGCTTCAGCCATCAGCAAAGACACTCGCTAACTCGGCCACCTGTGCCGCCATCCTCACATGGGGCGGAAGCAGCCAGGGTATGTGATTTCCTTGGGGTCTTATGAGGAAGTGGAATTAGCCCTGGAATGCTTGGGCCACCCTTGTGAATTGGAAAGAGCAGAGGACCCCAGCACCACGGTTGGCATCCCAGTTAGCGTGGGCAAGACGGGGGTTAGAGGAATGGTGGAAGAAAGAAATACGCCTGGGCTTCGTCTTCAACCACTCCCAGGCATGAGTGGAATTCCCCAAGCACAGGGGCCCCACTTCCCAGTTCCCTGCTCTTCCTCCACCCTCAGGACCTGACACTGGATCCCGCTCGCCAAAGCTACTTCGCAGATGGGCCTCCATGGCGGATCCAGCTGGTGGGGATCTGATCTGGGGAGTCTCTGCCTGGGCCATTGGGGCCCAATGTGAATTCTGAGCCTTTCTCTGAGGGAGTAAACAGCAATTCCCCCAAAGTCATCATCACTCATTAAATATTAACACTGTCCATTTGCCAAGTGGGTGCTCCTAGGTGAGCATAGCCACGCAGGCGAGCAGCCACAGGTTAGTGCTGTGCCCTTGTCTGCAAACCCAGACAGACACTCTGAGCCCCCTACTCCTGATTTCAAAGCCTCCACACACAGGGCTCTTCGGGGCCCCTCGGGGCTGTCCACCTGCACCAGCACCTGCTCCCCTCCGGCCCCAGAACCCCGTGTTTACTGCAAATGACATATATGCAAGGGCCATAGGCAGGGTTCAAATCCCAGCTTTGTCACTTACAAGCTGGGTGACCTTGGACAAGTTACTGAGTCTCTCCAGCTATAAATGAGCAATAACACCTTTACTACTGTGTACAATCGAGCATTTCATGAGATAATATGTGTAAAGTGCCTGGCATGCAGCAGGTTAATTCGGATAGGGAGCGATTCCTTTCTTCTTCCATCCCCTGCCCCTTGCAACATAAGGCGTAATTAAGGAGAAGGCTGAGTGAAAGAAGGAGAGAGGGACAGGCGATAAAGTGACAGGGTCTCCTGGTGCATCTAGCAGTGGTAACATCATGGGATTCAGTGGTCCAGCTCTGAGGCAATGACCCTGTCCTCAGGTCCCCTTGTCTAAGTGACGATGACCCAGGGTGCAGGATGTTGGTTCTGTGCTGCTGAGAAACTCAGGCATGGAGCTGAGTGATGCTTTGATATTACAGTGGTTCTTATTTATGCAACAATGTGTGTGTTCAGTGTGCTGCTAAGTCCTTAAGCTGCCCAGTACCAGCCATAAAAGCCTCCGTATATCACCCTGAACTCCCTTCCTGGGTAGTTTAAAAGAATGAGAGGTGACTTAATGGCAGCGTTTAAGGGTTATTATATATAAGTTAACGGCCAGATGCTCTTCCTTGGTGAGCAGAGTGACGAGGAGGGGGCTCTGGCAGCAACAGAGACCCTCCTTGCAGTTCAGAGGGTTTAACGTGTCTTCACCCCACCCCCACCCCAAAGGCAGCAGGGTGGTCCTGCTGGACTCCCAAGGTCCTGTCCAGCCCCTGGGGGACATTTTGGACCATGATGCTAAGCTGGTTGTTCTCCTTCCATGAATGTGGTCATTAAAAGGAGAGCAGGTGTTCCTGCGGTAGAGGTGATCAAGGTGTTTGTGGCGCACGTGGAGCAGGGAGAAGAATGAGGAACGTGCAGGAGGAGCTGGCCCTGGGATCTGTGGAGAGGAGCCAGACACTTCGGAGTGGCACCCAGGGCGCCGGGAACCTGAGAGTGCCCTGGCCACACAACTGCACTTGCTGTGGGGAACAGAGAGTGTTCAGTGGGGACCCTTCTCTCCCCTGTACAGCAGGAGTGGGGATGGAGGTGAGGTCCCAAATAGGCTCCCCCACCCCAGCAGATCACGAGGGTGGAGGTATGCAATGAGGTTCCAGCAGCAGAAGGAAAGGGTGGACGGGGCCCTTTTCTCTAGAGTGGGCTCACCATAAACCCCACGCCTTCTCAGCCTAATCCACTCACGGTGGGAAAGGAGGGAACTTGGCAAGGCAGGTGGGTGGTGGAGGGCACTAAGCCTTTCCACAGGGATCACTTTCACTGGGGTCACCACCACCCAAGACCCTTTTCTAACCAGCATGGGGGTGCATGCAGAGAATTTAGGCTCCCCAGGTTCTAAGCTCAGCTCCTCCACCTAGTTCCTAGTTGGACTTTGGGTAAACAATTTCACCTTTTCAAGTCTTGGTTTCCTCCTCTGTACAATAAGGCCGGTCATATCTACCTTGCAGGTTTGCAGTTAGCATTAGATGAGGTAAAGGGCCAGGCACTGAGCCACCTCTATCCAGCATGGGCCCTTGGACCAATCCCCACTTCTTGGGGATGTCTCTGATCATCCAGCACTCTTGCTTCAGATACACCCTTCTCAAGCCCTCTGCGATCCGTGCCAGCAGAGCCCTTGCTCCCTGAAAGCTCAGGCTCAGCCAGCGATGTGTAGCGTGAACATCATCTGCTCACCCCGTGCCCCTTCCCTCTGCAAGCACTTGTGGCCTCACAGTCAAACTCCATCAAACACTTGTGTGTTCTGCCTGTTTCAGGTAAAGACGGTTCCTGTTTCCACAACAGAGTCTCCACGCTGCCTCCCACTTTCAAACCAGAAACTCTCGAGTAGACAGAGATGCCTTGTGATCCAATGAAGGTGATCTCTCCTTTCCTGCCTCCCTGCTCTGGGACATCCTGGGCCTTCCCACTGCAATGCCCTCTCCCACACCCCTCCTTCCTACCTGTGAAAATCCTCTTCCACTTACAAGGCTCAGATATGAGTCTCCCTTCCCCATTTGGGCTTTGAAGGACAGCAGGGCCTGGCCCATGCATTCCAGGTCATGGTCCTGACCATGAGTCCCTGAGAGCAGATGCCTGGACAGACCCCACTCTGCATCCCCCTTCCCCTCAGGCCCTCGGTGCCATGGATGCTTGATAAATACGAGCTGTTATTCATAAAGAAAATCGCAATGGTTGCAGCATACTGAACCCTGGTGACGGGCCAGACACGGAGCTACGCGTTCTAGAGATATCATCTCATTTCGTCCTCACAGCAGCTCTGCCAGCTAGCTATTATTAGCGTCGTTTATAGAAAAGAGACTCAGCGTCTCAGATAGAGTGACTTGCCCAAGGTCACCCTGCGGCTGTGCGAATTGCCAGGACTTCAGGCCAGGGAGGTCAAAGTGACTCCAAAGCCCATCACACCCTTTCCTCTGGATCAAGCTGTCTCTGAAGACAAATTAGGGGAAACCAGGCAAAGATAAACACTCAGTTTTCTGGAGCAAAGCTGATTTCAGATATTCAAATTTGGAGACTTGAGGAGGCTATACTGCATAGGGTAGGGAGAAAATATACAAGGTAAAATTTTTTTTAAAAGCAAGCTCAGAAAAAAAGATATGTGGGACTCTGTTAGTGGCTTGTTAGGAATGCTTGTTCCCTGGTTCTGTAAAGAAATAGCACTTGAACATAAATTTAATTTCTTCAGCAAGGCCATTTTTACTTTCTGCAGAAAGGGTACACTTGCTAGCAGTTTTACCACGAGAGTACACTGAACAAAGGAGACAGGGTCGTTTATAACCTGACACATCTACCTTACTGCTGTGTCTGGTTTCTACTGGCTGGAATGGGACCTCACATTTTGTATTTGTCCTGATTGGCTAGCAACTTAGAACTTTTTAAAAGAGGCAAAAGCAGAAGAGAACAAAGGAAGGAGGAAGTAACTTGTGGAATGCTGAGAAAGATAAAAACACTTTTAAATAAGGAAGAGGAACAGGCTATGACTTAATGCTTGCTTGGACTGGTATAAACATGCCAGGGCAAATATTTAGGCTAAATTGTGGGAGCTAAGAACATAAAGTGCAATTGATTTCTTTATTACGGCTAGCAGATATTTAAGGATGTTAGCACAGGTCTTTGAACAAATTTTGCCTCTAAGAGAAGTTACTATTTATTCTTAATTAGATGGGGAGGAAAGTCTTTGAAGAAGAACCTCTACTTTACTCTTTACAGGCTGAGAAGTGTTCCCTCAAAATTCTTATTTGAAGCCCTAATCCCCGGGACCTCAGAATGTGACTGTGTTTGGATGTAGGGCCTTTAGAGAAGTAATTGGCCTAAAATGAGGCTGTTAGGGTGGACCCTAATCTGCTCTGACTAGTGTCCTTATAAGAAGAAATAATTTGGAGGCACAAGAGACACCAGAAATTGCCATGCACAGAGGAAAGACCATGTGAGGACTCCGCAAAAAGGTGACCATCCGCAAGTCCAGGAGAGAGGCCACACAAGAAACCAACGCTGCCAGCACCTTGATCTTGGACTTCCAGCATCCAGAACTGTGGGAAAAACCATTTCTGTTGTTTAAACCACCCAGTTTGTGGTATTTTGCTATGGCAGCCCTAGCCAAGAAATACAGACTCCTATTATGAATGTTATCCTCAACATATGAAAAGTTCCTAGAAATTGTGAAGAAAATGTGGCACATATACACCATGAAATACCACGCAGCCACAAAAAATGATGAGTTCATATCCTTCGTAGGGACATGGATGCAGCTGGAAACCATCATTCTCAGCAAACTATTGCAAGGACAAAAAACCAAACACCGCATGTTCTCACTCACAGGTGGGAATTGAACAATGAGAACACTTGGACACAGGAAGGGGAACATCACACACTAGGGCCTGTTGTGGGGTGGGGGGAGGGGGGAGGGATAGCATTAGGAAATATACCTAATGTAAATGACGAGTTAATGGGTGCAGCAAACCAACATGGTACATGTATACATATGTAACAAACCTGCACATTGTGCACATGTACCCTAGAACTTAAAGTATAATAAATATATATATATATAAAAGAAAAAATACCAACAAAGGAACAAATATGGGCAAAAAGTATGAAAGATAATCGCGAAGAAAGAAATACAAATTGCCCATCAATATATGAAAAGATGCTCAACCTCCTTCACGATCAGTTAAAATTGCACTGATCAGACGGGCAACATTTCCTAAGGTGTGTGTTTGCTGACACCGTGTTTGGCAAGCCTGTGGGAGAACAGGGTGAGGCTCTCCAACATTGCTGGGGGGAGCGTAAATTGTACAACCTCTGTAGAGGGCAATTTATCAATATCCGATTGAAAGAAAGGAGAGAAAAGGATAAAAAGGAAAGATGGATGGAGGGAGGGAAAGACAGGAAAGGGAAGGACAGCAAAGGAGGTAAGGAGAAGAATGAAAGGAAGGAAAGAAGGGGGTCAGAAGGAAGGAAGAGAGGGAGGGAAGAAAGAAGGAAAGGGGAGAGGGAAGGAGCAAGGAAGGGAAAAACTTGTGCCCTGGAGTCAGTCAAACCCAGGCTGAAATCTCAACTCTGCTACTTATTAGTCCTAAACCCTTGAGTAAGTTACTTACCTTGCCTATGCCTCAGTTTCCTCATCTGTACAAGGGAGCAGTCATAATACATGCCATGTAGAATGCTATACAGATGGAGCTAGTATGCTGTTCTATCATTATTGTCATCATCATTATCCTCCATGTGTCAGCCACTGGGCAGTCTCCCATTGGTGGATTCTCTACTTCTTTTCACGTTCATTGTGGTCCAGTAATTCACCAAATCAGTAACTAAATTGCATTTCATATAAATGATGGCTATCACGGTATTTCCCTTTTCATATAAATCATTTTTCAGGAATTGGAAAACACCCGTTATTGTTAGATCCTGAGCTCTGACTTTTGGTTTGGAAGTTATGAGCACTTAGCTAAATCCATCAGTGCCCCTAGGCTGTGAAGACACAGTGAAGTCAGAGAAGACATTGGTGGGCACTTCTGTTCCTTCCCTTCTCCCACCCCAAAGAGGCGCTGGGCAGGAGCTTGGGGGGCCTTTTCCCACCCACCAATGCTGGCTGCACCAATGGGGTTGCAGGGAAGTTGGAAAAATGCAGGTCTCTAGCACAAATAGAGTGGATGAAAAGGACAGCATAGGCTTATCTCAGGAGCCTTGTCTCCTGCTGGGGAAACCGAGACCGATGTACCTGAAATGTAGCTGTGCAGCCTTGTCCAGAGCCTTGGGGATCTGCTCTAACCCTGTGCAAATGTGTCATGGTTTGCAAAAGAAACCGCCTCCCGGCAAGTGCCAAGGAAATTGGGATTTAGAGGCAGATACATCCATCCTCCCATCCTGCACTAACTCCTCCCTCCACCCTCTCACCTCTTTCTCTTTTATCCCTTCTGCAACTCATCCTCTGTCCACCACCCCATCTGCCATACCTCCTCCTGCGACATTAACACCACCACCAATAACAACCACTATTCTGAGTAGTCACCACCGGCCTGCCACATTGCCTTTTTTTTTTCTTTTTTGCCCAACAATTCCAGAAGGTAAATATCATGATTCTCCCTTTATAGTTTAGGAAACGGGCTCACAGAAGTGAAGCAGATTTGTCCAAGGTCTTAACCCCAGAATACGATACCCGGCCTCTGCCACTGTGCCCCCAAGCCCCATGGAAACATCTTTCATTCAGAAGAATCACCCTAGAATGACTGGGGATTAATTTAACCTCCCCATGTCCAAATCCTGCATGGCCAACTCCAACTCACCCTCCGTCTACCACCCCCAATGTGACACCATCACTGTTCACAGAACATGATCCTGGTCCCCCAAGTCCAAAGACTCCTCTGGGTTTCAACCCTTCTGCCTTCTGGACCTCACTTACCATCATTGTCCCCAGGAGAGCGGCTCCTTCCTTTTGGCCTGGTTTAGAGGGTGAATACGGTCTCATATCTCAGCTTGCTAAACCCTCTAATAAAGGGAATGAAACTAACATTTACTGAGCACCTATCATATGTCAGGCCCCACGCTATGTCCCTAATATGCAGACGCTCCTCAACTTACAGTGGAGTTACATCCCAATTAACCAATCTTAAGTTGAAAATATCCTAAGTCAAAAATGTATTTAGTACACCTAACCTACAGAGCATCAAAGCTTAGCCTAGCTGACCTGAAACGTGCTCAGAACACTTACAACGGCATATATTGGGCAAAACCACTTTGCACCACAGTAAGCTGCAGGGTATCAGTGTATCACTGTCCTGATGGCATGGGTGACTGGGAGCTGCAGCTCCCTAATGCTGTCTGGCACTGCTAGGGAGTTTCCCACTGCATCAAAATTCAAAATTCAAAGGATGGTTTCTACCAAATGGCTATTGCTTTCACACCATTAACGTAAAGTAGAAAAATGGCAAATTGGGCCAGGTGCGGTGGCTCACACCTGTAATCCCAGACTTGGGGAGGCAGAGGCAGGCAGATTGCTGGAGCTCAGGAGCTTCAGACCAGCCTGGGAAACATGGCAAGACCTTGTCTCTACAAAAAAATACAAAAATACAGGCACATGTGGTGGCACGTGCCTGTAGTCCCAGCTACTCAGGAGGTTGAGGTGAGAGGATCGCCCTAGCCTGGGAAGTTGAGGCTGCAGTGAGTTGTGAGTTGTGATCATGCCACTGCACTCCAGCCTAGGTGATAGAGTGACACCCTGTCTCAAAAAAAGAAAAGGAAAAGGAAAAAGAAAGAAAGAAAAACAGGAAATCGAATCATTGTAAGTTAGGGACCACCTGTATATTAAGAAGTTTGCTCTATAGGAAGGGTATGATGATCCCCTTTTGCAGATGAGAAAACAGAGGCTCAGAGACGTTAAGTGCCCTGCCCAAGGTCACACAGCCCTCCAAGGGGATCTGGAATTCCAACCCAGGTCTGCTTCATCTGCTTGATTTCAAGCCTCTGTGCCTTTGCTCCACCGCTTTGCCTTTTGCAGTAAATGCTTCATAAATATTTGGCCTCCTCCCACCGCCACGCGAGACTGTATCAGTGTAAGTTGGGAGCACATCTGTCTGGCATCTGTTTTCCTTTCAAACATGTGTTTGTTTAACCCCGTTTCATAGTTTTCCTCGCCTTTGAAAACTCTGGCAGGCCTCTCAGCCAGGGGATTGCTGAGGGTTCAGGCTTGTTTGTTCTCCTGTCACCGGTGGGATACTTGGAATGGGCGCTTGCAATGTGAGCAGCTGCTTCGGCCTCTGCCTGATAAGCCCAGGAAAGTGGGCTGGGGGGAAGGTAAATAAGGCTTTTGGTGGCCTGGGTAGAGTTCTGGGACTCAAGCTGGCATTTGCAGGCTCAGAATACAGGGCACGATGTTGGAATCAGGCAGGCCTGGGCTGGTGACCTATCTCCAAGGGTCATTCACAGCACCATCCCCGCAAGCCACCTCTGCTTGCTCCTCTGCGGCATGGGGATGGTAATAGTGCCTAGAGAAGCACCTGCTCTATACAGCAGGCATTGTGTGAATGCTGGCTTTCCCTTCTCGTTCATGCCAGTGGAGGCTGGGAGGGCCCCGTAGGGACTCTGTGGAGAAAGGAGGCTGAGGCTGGCCGTGCTAAAACGGGAGAGGGCCGAGTCACGGGGTTTTCTTTCCTTACCTGGACCCCTGAGATTCAGGAGTTTGCTGATCTCAAGTGCAGGCCAAGGAGGCCAAACTCTGGCCCAAGAGATTCCCTGGCCAGGCCCCAGCAGGAACAGAGGCCTAAAGCTCTACAGTTGGTCCCCTGCACCCATAATGACTTCCCAGTGTCTTCCAGGATGCAGGGGGTACATGGATCACAGTCACCTCCCATCTCGAGCAGGCCAAGTCAGCCTCCAGGAACGGCCACCACCACCCTCCATACCCTCTGTGGTCCTAACCGTCAGAGCCCACATTGGTCCAGCACTCTACAGTTTAGGAAGGCTTGTCAGCAATAGGATCTGCTGACTGCAGTGATTCTGGGTGGCTGCGGGTGCAGGGACTGTGATTCCCAGATAGAACAAGGAAGCTGAAGTTCAGAATGGGGAAGCTGCTGGTTTAGTTCCCCCCATCAGTGGGTTATAATGACTATGACAGGAGCAGCCATCGTCACACCGAATGAGCACGCTCTGAGTGCCCGGTCCTTCCCCAGACCCTGTGAGGAAGTACTGTACGATCCTCATGTTACCAGAAAAGAAATTATGACTTAAACCAGAAAACACACAAGTTCGCCCAGCTAGAAAGTGCAGAGCCAAGTGTGCCTTAAGTCAGACACCTGGGCTTGTCACCAGGAAGCCACACCCAGGAGAGCTCACCGCCTGCCATTATAGGAAATCTAACTATAATAACATCTGCCTTTTGTTGAACACCTACTGCATGAGGGCATAATGCTGTGAGCGCTTGAAGTGCTTTATGTCATGTATTCTCTGAACACATCTGATAAAGTAGGTTTAGCCCGTTTTATGGATAAGTATAGGAAGGCTCAGAAGGACCCCAAAGCTGGTTAAGTCCCAGAGCTAGGCTCTAACTCCAGCAGAGTGAGACCAGTGAGGCTTTTCTATCTGGTTATAACTCTTCTTAAACTAGTTCGGTGAGAAGTGACTGTTTTTCCTTCCTTCTCTCCCCCTAGCCTGGCCCTGCCCAAAGATCACCACTCTGCCCATCCTAGGGGATCCAGAAATGCTTCTGAATTTGTCCTCTGAGGACCTGGACCACGTCAAGATTTGGATGTTCATTGGGAAGCTGTACTAGTCTGTTCTCACGTTGCTAATAAAGACATACCCAGGGCCAGGCAAGGTGGCTCACGCCTGTAATCCCAGCACTTTGGGAGGCCAAGGTGGATGGATCACAAGGTCAGGAGTTCAAGACCAGCCTGCCCAATGTGATGAAATCCAATCTCTACCAAAAATTCAAAAAATTAGCCGGGCGTGGTGCTGGGCACCTGTAATCCCAGCTACTCAGGAGGCTGAGGCAGAGAATGGCTTGAACCTGGGAGGTGGAGGTTGCAGTGAGCCGAGATCACACCACTGCACTCCAGCCTGGGTGACAGAGCGAGACTCTCTCTCAAAAAAAAAAAAAAAGACATACCCGAGACTGGGTGATTTATAAAGAAAAAGAGGTTTAATGGGTTTACAGTTCCACACGGCTGGGGAGGCCTCACAATCATGGCAAGAGGCACATCTTACATGGCAGCAGGCAAGAGAGAGAACAAGAACCAAGCAAAAGAGTTTTCTCCTTATAAAACCATCAGATCTCGTGAGACTTACTCACTACCACGAGAACAGTATGGGGGAACCACCAGTCCCTTCCACAACACATGGGAATTATGGGAGCTACAATTCAAGATGAGATTTGGGTGGGGACACAGCCAAACTATATCAGCAGGTGAATCCGAGAGAAGGCAGAGGGAGCTGTGAAGGGCCCATTGATTCTAACATTTCTTCGGCCCCCTGTTCGGAGTCCTCCATGGCTCCCTATTGCCTGCTTTCTCTAGAATCCAAACTGCACCCTGACTTGGAGCATCTTCAGCAGACAAGTCCAGCCTACTGATCATCTTTCATTGAGCACATTTTTCTCAGGTTCCGGAGCTGTGCTGGACACCAGGCTAGTGGGTCAATAGAACAGAACAGCTGGAGGAACTCATAGTCTAATGGGTACAGTGACAGCACGATGTGATGGTCAGGGGATGGGCAGAGAGGCGACCAAACCCAAGGCAGAGACTCTCAACACAGGCACCAGGGAACCTGGGAGGGTCTGGGAGGAGGTGCCACCCTAGCAGAGCCCCGAAGGATGAGTGGGAGGGAATCGCCCTCAGCACCTCCTACCTCTGGGGGTAACGCCCATCTCCAGACTCTCCCACACACCCTACATTCTTTTCTCCTCCAGATTCTATGCCTGGGCAGGACCTTCCCACCCTTCTCTGAAAGGGTGCATAACCTTCTAACTACATAACCTCCCTGATTTCTCAATGCCTATCACCCATATCCAGTACTTAGCCTGAAGAACATGGCTCAGAGATGGGAAGTGACTTGTCCAGGGTCACACAGTAAGTGGCAGAATGGGGATTTGAACACAAGCCCAGGGCCTTCTGAAGGCAGAGAGATTGAGAGAGAAGAAAAGAGATTGAAAGACACAGGAGCTCCAAAGTCAAGGGCAGAGGGATGCCAGGAATGACCCCTGGGCAAGGGCAGCAAGGATGGCTTCTGGAGGCACTGTTCCCCGACGCTGCCCTGGTCAGGAGTGGGCAGCAGACACCCGGGCCTGGGTGGGTGGGCAGAAGTGACTCAGATGTCCTGTCAGGAGGATATTAACAAGCCGTCCATCCAATTAGGAGTCAGTAATTAAAATTCCTCTTCGTTCCTACCGCACAGTATTAAACCACAAACACTTCATTATATGCCTCTTACCTCGCTGATTTGCATAAATGGGAAGAAACACTTAACAGCAGCAACACTAATTAATGCCGAGGGTGCACTGTGGTTTAGTGGCCTGTTGGCAGCTTCTGCTCCGGCTGAGGGTGAGTCCTGTGCAGGATGTGAACACCATCAGGGGTGCCATGGCAGGGGGTCCTAAGGCGGGGGATGGAATGACAGGGCAGGTGTGTGAGATCCTGAAGGACTTCAGACTCAGTCCCTGCCCTCAGGGAGCTCCCAGTCTGATGGGGGCGCCACTGAGCTTGCCCTTAGGGAAAGATCCCAGTTTGATGGGGGAGATATGACCTTCATAGTGTCCCCAGGGACCCTATACTAGGATATTCCTAGTGTAATGGAGGAGATGCACGTTCTACCTTTCGAGGGTCTGGCTGACGGGAGGTGTACAGCTTCTGCCCTCAGGAAGCTCGCAGTCTAGTGGGAGAGACAGAGTTCCTGCTCTGAGCAAATGCTTACTCTGATGGAGGAGACCCTATGGGAGCCCTGAGTCAGATGGAGGAAACACCCCTCCCCTCCAAGACTCATCCAGCAAAGAGGCAATCTGATGGAGTGGAAACATCATGGTGTTGGAGTGGCGAACCAAATATGTGACCCTGGGAAAGTTATTTAACCTCTCTTAATTGCAATTTCCTCATCTGCAAAATAGGCACTTAGCATCCCATTAGTGGCTGCAGCTGGGAGGAAGACGGGCTGGACTTGCAGGTTGCAGTCTTGCTTAACGTGTGTACCAGACCGGGCTGGGAGGCAGAAAGTCAGAGCGGACACGTTGAGAACAGGACGATGGTGACCACAGAGATGAATGAACCCCCTGCCTTGGGAGTCCCCAGCTTGTGGGCTGCAGCGTGGAGGCAGGGGAGAAAACTACTCACTTATAGACAGACACACGCACAGGGCCATGGTGTGGCTATGACCGAGACCTTGAGGGGATTGGCGGGGAGCAGTAAACCTGAGCTCCTGGAGCTGCCCCCAGAGTGGCTCACAGGGTGAGGTCCTGGGGTACCCACCAGGCAGGTGAGCCACCATGGCCAGGGGACAGACAGCGAGGCAGAGTTAGCCCTCCAAAGAAAGAGCTAGAAGCCCCACTGCCCCTCTGAAATTCCACGAGGCACCAGGGAGTCTGGGGCCCTGGACTGAGCAACACAGCAGCAGTGAGGGTTGTAGAAAGTTATTTTGAGTCTGAATGTCTCTTTTTTTTTTCTTTCTTTTTTGAGGTGGAGTCTCCCTCTGTCACCCAGGCTGGAGTGCATGCAGTGGTGCAATCTCGGCTCTCTGCAAACTCCGCCTTCCGGGTTCAAGCAATTCTCCTGCCTCAGCCTCCCAAGTAGCTGGGATTACAGGTGCCTACCACCATGCCTGGCTAATGTTTGCATTTTTAGTAGAGACAGGTTTCACCACATTGGCCAAGCTGGCCTGGAACTCCTGAACTCAGGTGATCCACCTACCTCCGCCCCTCAAAGTGCTGGGAGAGTCTGAATGTCTTTTTGACGGGAACTGCTGAGTCCGGATTTCAGTCCCACTGTCCGCTCTCACTTCCAGCCTCACACCTGCACCCTGCCCGGTCACCTGCAGTGGATGCCAGACTTCCTGGGCTGTAAACACTCAGAGACAAAAGCCTCAGAGCTGGCTGTTAGTGGCAGCTCAACTTGTTTGGAATCTTCCCTTAACTTTCTCTGGTTTCTCAACATTTGAGCTAAATTAAGAGGAGAGACCCAGAATGCCACAGACCTCTCTCCGTATCCTCAGTACAGGGGATCAATGGGAATCCTTTTGGGGGCTCAGCAAGAGTGAACTTGGTTGGGGCTGGGGACGGGGACAGTGGCTTTGTTGTTGCTTTCTGGAAGAAACAGCACTCGGGCTTAGAGCCAGGGGACTGCATTTGAATCCCAGCCCTGTCGCCTACTTGCTGTGCTTCCTTAAGCCTCTCTGATTTTCTCCATCTGCAGAGAGAAGAGGAGGAGACGCAGAGTGGGCATGAAGTGTGAGGTTGTGGGCACGGAGCTTGGCCAGCGAGGAGTGCCCAGTGGGCACAGGGCTTAGCCAGTGAGGAGTGCCCGGTCCAGCCTGGTTTCCTTCCTTCCCTGATGACCACCTCCTTAATAGTGGAGAATTCCATGCCAGCCCAGACACTCCAACCCCTGGAAGTGCCAGCCCCAGCCCTGGATGCCCACCCACTCTATCAGAATGTTCCTCTAGGGCTACACAAGTCCAGGTGAAGCCCAGGCCCTCCCCGCAGGATAGAAGCCAGCCTGTCGCGTGTGAGAGGTGCCCTGGCCCACTTACCGGGATTAGCTACCAGCTGGGTAACTATTTACACAGGCTGCCAGGCCGGTGGCACATCATAATTATATATTATATGTATTAATACTTCACCTTTCGCCAGCACCGCATCCGGGCCCATCAAAACATGTACAACTTTAATCAATTAGGCTCTCAGCCTCCTGACCGACCACACTTCTTAGCTTCCCGTTCTTGATCCCGCAGGGATGGGAGCATGGCGCACCCCAGGTCAGCGCCCAGGCCTCCTGGAAGGCCCAGCCTTTGTCTGGCCTTCAACAGAGTGGGGTGCTGGCTTGCCCTCTTCCAGCCCTTCCCGGCTCCCCTCAACACTGCACCAGCAGTTCATCACCAGTTCCCCAAGCCTGGCTGTCTTTCTTGATTTCAGGCTTGCCAAGATGGTCTCTATGTCCTATGACTTGGTTGAGGGGCTGAGTCCCTCTGTTAGGCACCCCAGCTTTTTGGGCACCCGGGGCCCTGCATGCTGTGCATTCTTCCCCTTCGTGAGCTCAGCAGAATTGCCCCTGGAGGGGGCTGGAGAGCCAGCCTGGGTGGGACCCCTTTTTCTGACTGCTCTCAAGCCAGTTGGTTGACTGCCTCAGAGGTGCCAAGCTCATGGTACACAAGGGCTGGATGGTTATTCCTATAGCAACCCTACAAAGTAGGTATCCTTATCCCCATTTTACAGATGCAGGAGCAGAGGCTCAGCAAGGAAGTCACATGGCACCAGCAGAGCCAGGGCCAAAACTCAGAGGACTCATGGGACAGCTTCCATGCAGGGGCGAGGCTCTCTCTATGTCCCATCCCGTGCTGGGTGCCAGGTGTAACAGGACAGCCTTGCCTTCAAGGGGTCACAGCTGGGGAGGCGGGTGCAAATGACAAAGGCAAGTGACAAAATCCAAGTGCATGCACAGTGCCATGGGGCCCAGGAAGCAGAGGCTCCCTGGAGACCCTTGTGACTGGCTAGAATCTACAAAAATCCTGGAAGGCTGCCTGGAGGAAGTGTGAATCTAGTAGCGCTGGCCTCTTGACTATATCAGCCTCAGCTGGGACCTGCAGGAGGCATAAGTGAGCCCCCCATTTGCCTAGCCCCTGCTCCCCTCCTGCACTTCACAGTCTGCCCTCCCTGGATTCACACTTCCTCCAGACAGTCCTCCAGGATTTTTCCAGATTCCAGCCAGTTGCAAGGGTCTCCAAGGAACCCCTCCTCTAGGGAAGTGAAAGGGAAGTGAAAGGAAAATGAAGGGAGGAAGAGAAAGGAAGGGAGGGAAAGAGGGAAAGGGAGGGGAAAGGAGAGGACGAATTTGGTTACACAAAGCAACTCCATTTTCTCTGAGCCTAAATAGTTTAGCTCTTGTGTTCTCTGCCTGGAATCCACCCCACCCCCACCCCTCCCCACATCCTTCAAGTGAGTTCTAACCCAGAAGCCACTGCTCTCCCAGGGCAGGGCCTCCTCACCCAGCCCTGCCCTGGGCCTCCTTGCCTGGGATGAGAATCATTCTCAGCATCAGATCCATTGCAGCTGGGGACATGTGAGCTTCTCTCAGGGCAGAGCCCAGCACAGGGTCAGGGGTGACAGGGGTGATCCCAGCCTCCGTGAGCCAAGAAGACTGAGTGGCTGCCCACTGATATCTCCTTTCCTTTACTGAGTCTGAAGACCTGAGGAGGTGAAGCTTTGAATGGGGAAGTTTTGATATAGGAAAGAGGGCTGAAAAAAAAGATGTAAAATGGGAGATGGGACTCGCGGCCTTGAAAGAGATGACAAAAGAAAGAGAGAAAAGCACTCAAATCAAATCCCATCCAAGTCCCCTGTAAGGAGAGCCCAGGCAGAGAGGCAAATGCAGACAGTATCAGGCCAGCGAAGCAAATGAGCGCATCAGCCCAGGTGAAGGCGATAGGGAAGGGTGGGGACTGGGGTGAAGCGAGGAATGCATGTTCTACCTAAAGGTGAGAAAATTAACTAAAACACACAGACAGTGGGCTCACCGTGGCTCCTGGGATGCCAGTCAGTGGTCTGTGGATCCCACGGATGCAGATAAGGTGGTGAGACCTAGGAACGGATCGGCTCCTACAATTAAATCACTGTGTGATGCGGGCAAGACTCTTCCCTGCTCCGGGCTTCAGTGTCTCCACCTTTTAAAGGAACACATGGGCTCAGGGCTGCATGAGGGGTTCCAGTCCACAGCAGCTGATGAAATGAGATGCAGCTGGACAGTCCTGGTTCAGTGGGGATGGATTCGCAGACGCTGCGTGGGGAATCGGGGACAGCATGCATCTGGGGCTCAGACCAACGGAACTCAAGTCCTGGTCCCTTCGTGTCCCCAGCCCCCCACCCCACCACCTCTGCCATCCCTAGCTGGACCACCACAGATGATCACTTCACTCTCCTGACCCTCAGTTGCCTCATTTGCGAAGTAGAGATCATCACACCAAGTCCATAGGATGGTGAGGATGAAAGGAGAAAATTCACCTTCGGCACCTGGTTCCCAGTCAGTCATCCACCCCGTGGCTGCTGCTGTTTTATGAGCAGTGACTGTGCCTTGTTCTTCCTGCCTGTTATTGAGCCAAGTCACTGGGTTTGGCTGCGCTTAGGGTCCAGCCCTAGGCCTGGGGCCTTTTGAGTTCCCTGGGGCTACATTGCAGATGTCTGAGCAGCTCTGAGCCCCGCTCCATCCATCTGGCTGGGGCCTCCTCTGCGGAGTGAAGACAAGACTGTTGGCATTGGCCTTCTGAAGCCCATTAGGGCCGTGTGTGGATGCTAATGGGATGGACATCTCCAAGAGGACAAAACCATCTATAACTGTTCCATGGTTGACAGTGAAGCTGAAGCAACGCCCGGGAATGCCTCCATCACTCTCTTGGCCTCCCTACCACCCACTGCCTGTTCTAAGCCAGCAGAGCGGCTGGGAGCAAACCTTCTCCTTTCAGGACCCTGTGGTGGCTGCTGCTGGGCAGAATCTGAGTGCCCTTGGGGGCTCGAACACTGAGCCCCCAAACCTGGGGCTGTCACCATTGTTGGCCGGCACACTGCAAGCAATCAACATCAACCCTCGTGCTTTTCCATCATAGCTATGGGCAGAAGCTGTAGGAGGCTTGTTAACTGCATTATCTCTTCTATCCTCACCTGTACCCTATAAGATAGCCTTGGATATTCCTATTCCAAGGAAACAGAGGTTCAGAGAGGCTAAGCTGTTCAGACTTACACAGCTACTAACTGGCAGAGCTAAGGCCAGATCATGGAACCCTACGTGAAGAAGCGGCATCTTGTTATTTAGGGCTCTGGGCACTAGGAACTGGGGAGCTGTCCTTAGTTGGCTTTATAACAATGCATGATGAGAAGGGCAAAACTTCATGGTCCCTCCATGGCCAGAGACCAAGCTCCATAGTGATGGAGCTTCAAGTCTAAAATCTAAATAAGAGAAATCATGATTATGATAATCAACACCAGTTACTAGGTCCCAACCACCCTGCAAAGGTTCGGATGCCTGGTCTCACTTTGCAGATGAGCGAGCTAAGGTTCAGAGAGGTCAAGTGACTCACCTAGGCTTACACAGCACCCAAAAGGCCAAACCAAATTGTGAGCTCAAGACTGTTTGGAACTGAGTCTATGGTCTGTGTTTTCTAAAGATCTGTGGCTCAAATATCACCTTCTCAAGGGATCTGCTCTGACCTCACACCTGTAGCTAACATAGAATCCTGGGACAGGTGTCTCCAGGGCAGGGCACGATGACTGCATGCAGTGGAACGCAGTTAAAACCTTGAAGCCACCTCCAGACTCAGGCATGACCTTCTGGAGTCCTTGGACATCACCCTTTCTCATTTGACATCTGCTTAGCTCCAGGAGGGCAGGAGCACTGTGGATGAATGTGCAGTCGGTCCTCAAAAGGAATCTGTGAGACAGTTGAGTTAATTCATTCGTTCATCTACCAGGCATATAATGGGCACCTCTAATGTGCCAGGCCCAGTTCTAGGCACTGAGGATATAGCAACAGAGGGAGAAAGGTCCCTGTCCTCACGGAGTCCACTCCTAGGCAGTGATTAAGTGTGAAAAAGAACAATAAAGCAGGCTGAGAGGATGCAGAGTGATGAGTAGGGTGACCACGTGCCCCAAATCCCTGGAGCAACCTGCTTGAAACCCAGTGTTCAGAGGATAATCATTAGTGACCCCTTTCACCTTAAAATGGTCCCATTTGGAAGATGAATTATACGGTCACCCACATGATGAGAAGCACTACTAGGATCTCTTTAATTACTAGGTTGTGGGGCAGAAACTGTCAGTTTTCACCAATATCCATGAGCTTCTCCGTATTTCCAAGACCCGCCCCCCACAGCCCCCTGCAGTTAAGGAGGATGTGTGAGTCAGTTGTGGTCCATGGAAGCAGGGAATAAGTGTCGCCCAGGCCTGGCCCCAGACATCCTGTGAAATCCTCTACCATGGTGTGAATTATTCACTCCTCTCCCCCGCCTGTTATATGTGGCATGCACTGTCCCTCCCCATCAGTGTTGGATTTGGCCATGTGACCTGCTCTGGCCACTAGAATGTGGATGTCGATGGTATATGCCACTCTGGACCTGGCCCTTGAAACTCTAGGTCAGAGCCTCCATGTGATCTTTCTCTTCACTCTTCAGCAGACTGAATACAGAGGATCCAGCGGGGAACCTCCCAGGGATGACAGAGGCACAAAATGAAAGAGGCTGGGCCCCCAGAACCATTGCCTGGATGTGAGTGCTCAGGGGAGCCTCTGACCAGGAATAAATGCATTTGATTTTGCATGAACAAAAAATACACTTTTACTGTGCTGTGTCAAGAAGAGGTTGGAATTGTTTGTTACAGCAGCTAGTGTTAATTACCCTGACTGTGACAAGTGGCTCATGAAGGACTCTCTGACAAGGGAAGATTTGAACAGAGACCTAAATGAAGTGATGAAAGGTCCCTCCACACAGAGGATACAGCCTGGGTAGAGGCCCTGGGACGCTCAGGTATTCTGTGATTCATCAGGGCTGAGCCACAGCCATCCGGAGACCTTGCTCAGGTCACATACCCTGCCTGAGCCTTTGTTTTCTCTGGTGCCAACTGGGACAGGCACCACCCCTGCTTTTTTTCCCGATGGCACTAAGCTGGGAGGCTGATGTGGTAATGGACATGACAGGGATTTGGGGCTAGGGCCGCCCCATCAGCTCAGGGGCCACTCTTGCCCCACCAGCAGAATGATCCAGAGTGTAATGGCATTTGTGATCCCACTCAGAGAGACCTTGGTGAGGGGGGCAACTGCCCCAGTGAAAGTGCTGGAGTCCCTGATGGGGTATCTTGATGGCATTGGTGACGGAGGACACTGCACTGACTTCAGGGCTCTCAGCTCCCTGGGAGGTGCTGAGATGGATTGAGTCCCCTCTGGAATTCAAGGAGGAGAAAGGGGTCAAATGTATGTGGACTTCCTGGCCCTGAAGTAGGTATGAAGTTACCGGTCTCGCCTAGCCCCTTAAGCCCATCTCCAAGGAGGCCAGCATTCCTGTCTCTGACCACACTGACTCAAACACCTACAGCTAACACAGAATCGGGGACAGGTATCTCCAGGGCAGGGCACAGTGACTGCACACGGCAGGAACTCAGTTAAAACCTATAAACTACCTTAAGTATCCTGAGACCCCCCCCGCCATGCCAAGCACCATCCTCCTTGTTACAAGTGAACTGTCTCCAATCCTCCCAGCCTCCGTAAGGAAGGTGCTATCCCCATTTTCCAGAGAGGCCCAGGCCTTAGAGCACGTGGCAGCAGAGGATTCCACCCCAGCTCAACCTGGTTCCAAAACCTAAATTCTCTTTCACTCTGTCACCCAGACTGGAGTGCAGTGGCATGATCATAGCTCACTGCAGCCTTGAGCTCCTGGGCTGAAGCAATCCTCCCACCTCAGCCTTCTGAGTAGCTGGGATTACAGGCATATGAGCCACTGCACCCGGCTAATTTTTTGTTTTGCAGAGACAGAGCCTCCCTCTGTTACCCAGGATGGCCTCAAACTCCTAGGCTCAAGCAATCCTCCTGCCTCGGCCTCCCAAAGTGCTGGGATTATAGGCATAAGCCACCACTCCCCGGCCCCAAAGCCTACATTCTTGCTACTGAATAAATGAAAATGTAATTATTATAATAATAATTAGCGTATGGTGAAACTTGCGCTTGGCATTCTGCTCAGAGTTCCACATCATCCCAGAGGCTCCCCAGATCTACCTTTTATAGTAGACATGAATGATTCTCATTTTACAGATGCAGAAACAATGGGGGAGGGGAAATGACTCCCCAAGGTCACAAAGCCGAAAAATTATGGAGCCAGAGTCTAGAGATGGATCAGTGAAGCCAGGCTGATCCTGCCCCGAAGGAAGCCTCAGAAAAACACCCAGGATTTCCACAATCTGCCCATGTTACGAAGACCTATTGGGCCAAGCTGTCAGGCTGGCCTGCCACCGAGAGAGCTCATGCACGAGTGGCTCAGCCATTTAGCTGAGCGGTACTGGGGAGGCAGGTCTTGCTGGCCGGGCACCCAGCCAGGACTGAGGAGTCAGGATATATCACCCCTTATTATTAGCAACATTAGCTCTGTGATTCGCCAGCATTCACGGTATTGACACTAATGATTAGCACAGCCATGAGTCTGAGCCTCTGAACCGTGCCGGGATGGCCACCCCCTCCCTCTGTGTGTGTCATCCCCGCTGTGCATGGTTCACTTAAATCAGTCCCTTGCCCCGAAGCCTCGGAGACTGTCCCTGCTCCCATGGTCTCCCCTGCACACCGAGCGCTCCTCTGTCTCTCCACGTGTCATTACCCACCATGGCCACACACACCCTCTGCAGGCTGCTGGCCCATGTCCCAGCATTGGCCAGCAGGGGCTGTGCCAGGCTGGACAGAGGGGCTCAGGCACACATGTCAGTGACACGCCTGTCCCAGCTGTTGTCCAGGCAAGGTGGGCCGCAGGAGTACTACGGAGCATGCAGACCTCTGAACCCTGCTCCATGCACTTAGCCTGGCAGAGTCTCCGGGATGCCGCCAGACACACTCTGGTGAGCACGTCTTGCTGACACCGTAAGAACTCGTGCACACTTAGCTCAAGCACTGGGTTTATGCTCCGGCTTTTTTAATGAGTATAAGACACTAACTTGTGTGTGCAGGGGCAGGAGGGCTACTCTGTACTTGACTACAAACAATCTCACTCATTCAAGGATAACATGTTTATGCTTTGAATTATACAGGCTTGTTTTTTCCACTTCTTATTTTTATTTCCCTGTGTCTTCTGAGCAATGAAATAAGCGATGATATGATATCTCTGAGGGCAGGGTCTATGCTTACTCACCGTGGCACACATCCTCTCACTCCACAAACATCTACTGTGCACCTTCCTGGTGCCAGGCCTTGCACTAGGCACTGGGGATGCAGCAGGAAACAAAAGAGACCTGGCTGCTGCCTTGATGCAATTTACAGCCTAGTGTTGTGGTCCAGAGTCTAGACGCTGAAGCTGGACTGCCTGAGTTCAAATCCCAGCTTTACCACTAGCCAGCTGTGTGGCCTTGGGCAAGTGACTTAGCTTCTCCGGGCTTCAGTGTTGTATTAGTCCGTTTTCATGCTGCTAATAAAGACATACTTGAGGCCGGGCATGGTGGCTCACGCCAGTAATCCCAGCACTTTGGGAGGCCGAGGCGGGCGGATCATGAGGTCAGGAGATCGAGACCATCCTGGCTAACATGGTGAAACCCCATCTCTACTAAAAATACAAAAAAAATTAGCTGGGCATGGTGGTGGGCGCCTGTAGTCCCAGCTACTCTGGAGGCTGAGGCAGGACAACGGCGTGAACCCAGGAGGCGGAGCTTGCAGTGAGATGAGATCGCGCCACTGCACTCCAGCCTGGGCGACAGAGCAAGACTCCATCTCAAAAAAAAAAAAAAAAAAAGGACATACTTGTGACTGAGTAATTTATAAAGGAAAATGGTTTAATGGACTCACAGTTCCACAGGGCTGGGGAGGCCTCACAATCATGGCGAAAGATGAAGGAAGAGCAAAGAGATGTCTTACATGGCGGCAGGCAAGAGAAAACTTCTGCAGGAAAACACCCCCTTATAAAGCCATCAGATCTCATGAGACTTACTCATTATCAAGAGAACAGCACAGGAAAGACCCACCCCCACGATTCAATTACCTCCCACCAAGTCCCTCCCACGACACATGGGAATTATGGGAGCTACAATTAAAGATGAGATTTGGGTGGGGACACAGCCAAACCATATCAAGTGTCCTCAGTAAAAATGGAGATAATAATAGTACCTTTCACAAAGTTGTTGCAAATCTCAGTAAGTTATGTATATGCAAACCTAGAACCATCCTGGTATGTAGGAGGTACACAATGTTTCATCATCATAGTCACAACAAAAATTATATTCTAGTGGGGAAACAGATGATGAGCAAAAAAACCAACAAAATTATTAATGCTAGCAAGCAGTGTCCTGACAGATGGCTCAGATGTATTCATATAAAGGGAAAATAGGGGAAGGAGGTGACATTTCAATGGGGTGGTGTCAGGGAAGGTATTTCTCGGTGCTTTTTATTTAAATTCAGCCCTGCAGGACAGGAAGGTTGTAGTCTTAGGATCATCCCAGCAAGGGTGATCCAAGCGGAGGAAGCTCTGAGTTCAAAGGCCCATAGGCTGGACAAGCACGCTTGGGAGAAAGCAAGCGGGCCAGAGTGGTGGGAGTGGCATGAGCACAGGAGAGAATCAAACAGGGTGAGGTGGGAGAGCAGGCACCACCAGAGGAAGGAGAGTAAGGCATGGGATTTGATGTCAAGCACGATGGCAGACCTTGGAGGGGTTCAAGCCCGGAAGCGACTGGATCTGATTTACATTTTAATAATATCTCTCTGGACACCTGGAGAGCTGGATGATGAGGGTGGCAGCCGCAAGACCAGCAGGGAGGCTATGGCAGGCGTGGACACGTGGTGGCCTGGGCTGGGGTGGCAGTGGCGTCAGAGGGAAGCGTCATCCAGATGCAGGATGTATTGGGGGAAGAGCCTCCAGAACTCGTTCCTGGACCAGGCGTAGAGAGCAAGGGCAGACAAGGAATCAGGGTGACCATGTTTTTACTTTTGGTGTTTGCTACAAGGCATGTGTTTTATTTCTTACCCTACCATTAACCAGCTGTGTGACCTTGAATATGTCACTTAACCCCTCTGAGTCTTACTTTCCTCATCTACATATCAGGGGTGCTATGAGGATCAATTAAGATAGAACATGAAGACAGAGATGGGAGAGCGTCATGAAGAGAGAAATGTGGAAGAAAGGCTGGGGAGAGGGGCACGTCAGAACTGATTCTGGTCTCACCCGGGACCCTCGGTGGCTCCACAACCTTGGCCAGAAACCAATTCCAGTTTGCTCACATATCAAACAAGGCTGAACGCTCAGTTCCTCTCCTACTACCTTGACCAAAAGGAGGCACTTCTCCCCTAAGGGAGTGGAGGTGTGGGCAGCATGTGGTTGGGCTGGTGTGGGGAGAAGCCTGACTCTTCACTGTCCCAATCCCTCCCTGCGTTGGAGCAGTGATCCCAGGAGGGCCCAGGAGAAGGTGCACTGGCTCAGCTCCAGCCTCTCCTGAGAGTGAAATGACTCAGTCAAGGTCGCCCGCTGAGCCAACGACATGGCCCAGAATAGACTCACGTTGCCCCACCTCCATACTGCACCCCACCCATCCCCCTCTTGGTACAAAGCAGAGGAAGGGACCATCCTCAAACTGATGGACGCTCACTCCCTGCTAGGCCCAGTGCTTTGGACTCGGTGTTCTGGCACAAATATAGCAAGAGATCTGTCCTTTGCAGTTTGCAAGAAATTCGGAAACTAATGGAGAGTGGGGAGAAACTGGCATTGATTACATATTCCCTCTCTGCCTGTTTCCTTACAGTATGGCACTTAATCCTCATAATACCCTCCTTTTTCTCTCCTTTAGATGGATATGTAAACAGGATCAGAGAGGGTGAGGTATTTGCCCAAAGGTCACACAGCAGAGCCAGGGTCAGTGCCAAGCCCACTCTTCATTCACTGTCCCAGCAGAAGCCACACTTTTCTCCCCTAAAAGACCAAGCTAGGCTCCTGTCCCTTTCTGCCCAGGAGGGTTTGAGCCAGAGCCTGGAAACACTTCTTGGAAGGAGGAATAAAGGAGCAACCAAAGTTCCTCCTGGTTCTGGGCTCCATCCCCTGGCAGAGCGTCGACCTTGGCAGGGGAGCCCAAGGGCATCATTTGGACTTCCCTAACCTCCACGCTCAGCCGGCAGGTGCCCTGCGCATTCCTTATGAACCTGCCACATTTGCCGCCCTGAGAAGCCGACATGAGGGATGGCATTTTATTAGTCCCTCCCCACCCTTCTGTTTGGACTTCAAAACATCTACATAAATTACAGTCCTCGTATTTATTGCATCTGTGTTGTTGTGGCAAGAGGATGTGTGTGCTTCGTGTCCTCGGTGGAAAGAAGGTCACCCCCTGGACTCTCTGCCTGCCCATCCCTCTGTCCCAGGGCCCAGTGCCAGTTGGGGCGGCAGGTATCAGGCTGCCTCATGGGAACCAGGAGGGGCTGGGGGCTCTCGGGCACTGGGGAGAGAGTGAGGTGGATTTTACAGCGGAGTTTTCACATGGTTGGTTTTGCCATTAACTTTGAATGCCTTTGTGGGCCTATAAAGCTCCCCATGGTGGTTTATAGGGAGTGTGAATTGAGGAAATTGGTGGCAAGAACAGGGTAATGGGCAGCTTTCAGATACCCACACAAGGGTCAGGGAACAAAGGTGGGGAGGAGCCATCTAGCCACAAAAATGACTCCGAGGATAACTTTTTAAAAAATATTCCATAAATTCCTCTCTGTTTCCCTCCACGGTTCCCTGTCCCCACGCACAGAAAAGGCTGACAGGGTCAGCACCATGCCACGAGCAGCAGTCATCTCTGAGTCATGCTATTTTCTTTTTTGTGCCTTTCTAAACGCTTCAAATTATCTCCAGCTTTCGGGTATTACTTTTGGAATAATAATAAAAAAAGTTATCTTTTGGAGTCAGATAATTCAAAACAGCAGGGAGGAAGGCTTTTTGAGGCACCCGGGACTCACCCATCATAATCACTCATCAGGGAAGCTCCTCTTCTGCTATCTCATTTTATTCTCACCACAATCGTCAAGTTGTGGCAAATGGGGAAATAGAGGCACGGAGAAGTTAAACATCTTACTCAAGGTCACGAAGAACAAGGGCCCCAGCAGGAATCTCACTCTGTCCTTCTGGTCTGGCTCTCAACCCTCTCTGTCCGAGTGGCCCTGCTGACACAAGGGGGAGGTTCTGGCTGACCGTTCTCAGATCAGCAACGTGCTCTGGCTTTGAAGGGTCCTGGGCAGCTTTTCTTGGTGGTCTAAGGGGCTCTATTTACTGGAGGCTTCTCTGGTTAGACCAAGTCACCTAGTACTACCTAGTGGTATCTTCAGGGGACTGGAGGACTGGACCTAGGTGCTTCCAGAGGGTTCCGGACCCAGGCTAAGCTAGGTCAGAATTGGGCAGAGGAATAAATGGAAGGAAAGGTGGGCCAGATCTCTTCAGGGTCAGGGGCAGAGCCCAACAGCTGCTTCAGGCACAGGCAGCTTGGGCAGGGAGGTGACTAGGGGTAGCCCTACCTCTGGGTGGGACCTGGGGAACTGAGTCCAAGGGGGCATGGGGCCCTTGGCTCCTAGCCTGGGGCAGCGGGGCATGGAGGTCTGTGAGCCGCCTGTGGACTCAATCCTTCCAACTCGACTGAGGCTTACCAAGGTGCTGCTCTGTCCTGGGAAGGGGCTGTGGGCCAGGCCTGGGGAAGGAGAAGATGGGAGGAGCAGAGGCTCCTGCTGGCCTGTCCTCCTTCCTCTGCATGCCTCCTCCCCGAGAGGACCACGTGGAAACATCAAGGAACAGAAAACGGAACAGAGTAGACACTGACATTCCCCTAAGGTGGAAATGTGACAAGGTCTAGGGACACAGACCTCAGGGGGCTCCCACTCTGATGCAGGGAGACAGTCTTCTGCCATCACGAAGCCTTAATCTGATAGGGGAGACACAGCCCCAGCCCTGGGGAGGTCCCAAATCTGATGAAAGAGTCATAGCTCCAGCCCCGGTGAGGTCCCAGTCTGATCGGGGAGTCACAGCTCCTGCCTTGGGGAGAGAATCCAAGTCTGATGGGCACCACTCACCCCCCTACCACCTAAGAGCTCCCACCTAAACAGAAAGACAAGACCTCGCCCAGAGAAGGGACTTTAGAACCCTTTAACAGAGACATAGAAGGGAAGGCACGGGCCTACCAGGTCACCTGTGTGCAGAGGACTTTCTGAAAGACACGAAATCCAGGGGTCGCACAGACAGCATTCAGGAAGCCTCCCTGGGAAGGTGATTCCTCCAGCCTCTGAAAGTCCAGCCAGGCTCTGCCAGGCCATGGGAACAGATTCTCCAGCAAGACTTCATCCACCCCCACAAGGCGTCTGTGGTGTGGGGAGCTGGACACTGACAAGGAAAGCGAGGATTAGAAACCCATGCCATGGGCATGGGCTGGGACGGGAGTTTGCACTTTATGACTGGGCACTGGGGAGCCATGGAGAGTTCTAAGCAGGAGGGAGAGTGCTCAGATTTGTGATTTGAGAAGCTCAGCGGGACTGTCTAGAGGAAGAGCGGAGGCAGGAGATCAGGGTCCAGGCTGTTGTGTCATCCAGCCTAGAGATGAGGGTCCCGGCCTGAAAGGGGACAGCCGAGGGGGTGGGGGATAGCACACAGAAGTCCTGAAGCTCCGCATCCTGAGCCCAGGCCCGACAGAAGGGCCCAATGAGATTAAATCACGGCTGCACTCCAAGCAGCTGCCTGGCTGAGCTCAAGGACGCAGGCCCAGGGTCCTCCTCTACAGATGCCCACTCATCTGCGGGAGCCTTGGAAGCTGAACCGCAGACATCTGCTGTTACTAGGCCTGTGTGGGGTCAGGCTCATGAGTCCTGTCCCTGAGAGAAGGCCCAGGGAAGGCTCTGGGCATCCTGGGGTCCCCCAAATTGGAGAGGCCAGACCCTTTGGGTAGGGACTTGGGGAACATGTGACCACAGCCTCTGGTTCCCCATCCAAACACTCAGGTCATGATTGGACCCTTCAGCTGCCAGGCAATGGCCACTGGGGGCTGCCCAGGCCACAGGCCGCCCCTGCTTGCTGCATCTCCCATCTGGATGGGCATTTGTCCCACTCGCTAGTGCTTTAAACCAGGCAGTACAGGGGTCAGGCAGAGGCCTGAACTGACCCATCTGGGGGAAGCGCTAATCAGCCCCCCAATTTGCATATATGCAAACAAGGCTCCACTGTGGACAGTGCAATTAGCATTGCCTAATGCCTGGCCAGGCCACGAGGATTGGCTGTGGGGCTTGGGATTTTATCTGTTGGGCTCAGAGCCCGGCTCCTTCTCAGCTGAGGCCTGGTTGGGTGGATGATGAAGTCCCAGATTGAGCCAAGGCCATCTGGGAAGGGGCAGGGAGGGCCCGAGGGCCAGGGAAGACTTCCTGGGTCTTGTATCCTAATCTTCATTTTGGGCAGGGGGAGAAGAACCATCAGGTGATCAAGTAAGGGTAGAACATCTGACCATCACAGCTCCAATAATGTGGCAAAGGCGGAACAAGCCAGGGCGTTGAGTCAGAGAGGCCTGAGTTCTAATCCCGGTTGGACCAGTTAATTGACCACTCTGGGCCTCAGTCTTCTCATCTGTAAAATGGAGACGAGCCTCCTACATAGGCTGTTGTGAGGATTAAGGCCTTTATAGGTGCTAGTCATAGAGTAGTTGTTCATTAAATGGAGTCCCCTTGTCCTGATACGGATTGCTAGAGAAAGAGAAGCACGTGCTTGTTTCTCACCTTCTCTCCTCACCCTGTTGGTTTTGGTTTTGTTTATTTTTCATCCAAACTGTGCTTTATTTTATATATACATATACATATAAAAATTATTTTGCGACAGTATCACTCTGTTGCCCAGGCTGGAATGCAGTGGCACAATCTTGGCTCACTGCAGTTTAGGCCTCCGGGGCTCAAGTAATCCTCCCACCTCAGCTTCCCAAGTAGCTGGGACCACAGGCATGCACCACCATGCCCGGCTGATTTTTGTATTTTTTGTAGAAATGGGGGTCTTGCTATGGTGCCCAGGCTGGTCTCAAAGTCTTGGCCTCAAGCAATCGGCTCGCCTTGGCCTGCCGAAGTGCTGGGATTACAGGTATGAGCCACTGTGCCCAGCCATGAACTGTGCTTTAAATTGTATAAAGTGTATGTCCATCTAATAACTTGTGAAACAGCTGGAGATGTTGTCCAGGAATGTATTATTGTCCCCGTCTTTACAAATAAGGAAATGGAGGCCCAGAGAGGTAAAGCGACTTGCCTAAAGTCATCCAGCAAGTTGAGAGTAGAGCAGAGAATTAGCTCTCCAGGTCCCTCACTCTCAGTCATATGCTTCTTCCTGCCCCAGTGGCTACTGGTGATCCACAGCATCCTCCCTGTCCTCTGTGTGTCAGCCTCTCCCCCAACCCCCTGCCCTACATCCCTGTGTTCCAGCAAGTTCTCTGCCTGCTGAGAACTTGATGACAGCCAACCCTGCTCAACCAGAAAGTGGGAAGTTCCTTCTTTTGTCTGACTGCAGCTTCTCTTGCTTTAAAGTCAACCTATCTCTTTTTCATCATTGGCAGGTGGGCAAAACTTTGGCCCACCATTCACCTCATTACATAATAATGACAGTAGTCATTATAATAAATAGAAACAAGACAAAGCAAGGTCTCAGAGCTTTAAACTCTCTCTCTCCTCCTCCCTGTCTTCCTCCCGACTAGATGAGACCTTGAGCTTAAGATCCTTCCTTCTCAAAGCCAATTCCCATCAGCCTGGATGCCCAGCCTTCAGTTCCACTTGTCCCAGCATCCTGTCCTGCTGGGTGACCCCCGAGGTGGTGAGGAAAGAGAAAAGGTTGTGAAGGCATGGAGACTGGGGTGCTTCACTCTGGTCGTGCTCTCCTCAGATGGATGCTAAGCCCTCATTGTGCCACGTTTGCTGGGTTCCTGTGTGCAGACACAGGTCAAAGGCCACAGGGAGCAGAGGGCTAAGGGGTGTACAAGATTCACACCTGGGCTACCTCCTCCCCCAGAGAGCTGGGCAGCAAAGAAATGTGGTCTCAGGCCTCAAAGAATAAGTGGGGAGAAGGGGCAGCCCGCAGAGGATGGTAATCCTGGGTGTAAATGCCATGACAGTGGAAGGAGCCTATGTGGATGCTGAAGAGGGATCCCCCCTGCCAAGCCAAGCACAGGGCGTAGTCAGGGAAGACTTCCAAGAAGAGGTGACCACTGAGCTGAGTCCAGAAGGATGTCTTGGCATGAGCCAGGTGAAGAGGAATGGGAAGGCAACCAGGCAGAGGGCACAGCAGGAGCAGACACGCGACTGTGAAGCATGGTCTGGCTGGGGAACTGGAGCCACGATGTGGGAGTGCCCGCTTCCATGGAGCATGCATATGCGGCCGCCTCCAGTGCTTTCCAGATCCTCACCCATGTGATCCCCACAGCTGCCCCCACTCTAGGCACATTGAGGCTTGGTTTGGGCTCCCCGAGATGCAGACTGTGAGAAAATAATTCAGATGCAGGTAGCTTATTCGGGAAGTGACCCAGGAAACATCAGTGAGGGAGCAGGAAGGCAGGGCAGGATACTGGGTGCATTAAGCCAGCTTTCCTGCAGGCAACTAGAACTCCACCCTGCTGGGGAACTAGGCGAGACAGGGTAGAAGATACACCTCCAAGTATCAACACCAACAGCAAGGAAGCTGCGTGATTCCAGCACTCTGGGATGCCGAGTGGAGAGAATCGCTTGAGTCTACAAGTTTGAGACCAGCTTGGGCAACATAATGGGACCTCTGTCTCTACAAAAAATATTTAAAAATCAGCCAGGCACGGTGGTGCACACCTGTAGGCTCAGCTACTCAGGAGGCTGAGGCAAGGATTGTTTGAGCTGGGGAGGTTGAGGCTGCAGTGAGCCGTGATCGCACCACTGCACTTCAGCCTGAGCGACAGAGCGAGACCCTGTCTAAATAAAATTTTTTATTTTTTTTAAAAAAAAGGAAGTTGGGATATTCATTCTCGAACTCCCTGTCTGTCCTTGGTTGAGAGCTGCTTCCAGGAGCCCTAGCTCTCTGCACTTCTGGCCTGCCCTGTGCACTGGCCAGGGATGCTGCCTCAGGCAATGAGTTTCATTCACAGTAAGCAGACTTTGGCGGGTGGAGAGAAATACAGAGAGTACAGCCAGGCACTGACAGCATCTGCTACAATATTAACCCCATCTCACAGATGAGGAAATTGAAGCCTAGGGCATCCAGATAATGAGGCCTAGGTCACACACCCAACACGTTGTGGGGCTGGCCTTCAAACCCAGAGACCTGTCCCAGAGCCTTTGACCATAACCACTGAGCCACACTGCCTGACAGTGGTCCATTCCTGACCTGACGACAGCACTGCAGAGGGTGGTGAAAAATGAAGACAGAGGGGAAGGCCCTGGGCTCTGGAATGGGAGCAAGAAGCTCTGGGAGGCCGAAGACACTGGGAAGAGGGTGGGTGAGATGGATCGCCCAGGGAGCCTGCACGATCTTCCAGCAGGGGGAGGTGCTCAGGAACCCAACTGGCCCCATCATCGTGTGACGTAGACAGCTCCCGGAACCCTGAGCTTTGAGTCAGATGCCCCGGCTCCCATCCCTCTGGTTCAGCGACCGCATTTTCCCAGCCCAAATGAGAATTTCTCATTAGACACAGCACTCCCAGTGGGAAGGGAAGAGTGAATTTATTCATGCAAAAAGTGTTACCAAGATTTAAACATTAGAGTGCATTTGGTTATATATACCACAAATTATCTTTATTGAAAAGAATAAAAAGTGTTGCCATTGGGACCATCCTAGAGAATCCAGAAAATATGGACTCTGCACCCAAGAGGGAAGAGCGCTCCTGCACCAGCAGCATTGAATTCAGTGGGTAAGGATGTGGGTTTTAACGGCAAAGCCACGACCAAGCACACTGGCTGGCACTCAGCAGGTGCTTACTAAGTGCTTGAAGACAAAATGACAGGTCTGAATCCCAACTCTCCCAGACTCTCTTTGTGGCTCTCTCTGGGCCTCAGTTTCCTCATCTGTAAAAAGAGGACAATAATGTCCATTGACAAGACATTTAGCTAATTCAGGGAAGGGCCTTAGCGGGCATCCTGGCTCATAGTAAGTGCTCAGTTAATGGTGGTGGCGAGGGAGCAGATGCCAAGCTGGCATCTTGCACTTCTTTACCTAAAAGAAGTCTGCTGTGAGAGCACTTGGCCCATGTGTGGGGCAGGTCACTGAGAGGTGGGGGTTAGAGGATCAGTACCCCAGCTTCCTCGCCCCTTGCCAGGTGATTCAGAGTATGTCCCACACTGCCTGTCAGCGGTTCCCTCACTGAGAGAGCAAAAGTGAAAACCGCATCAGTTGCTTTTCTTTTCCCAGCCCACATCCCTCCTGCTGCTACCTCCTGGGGTCATTCCCAAAATAAACCCCTGCATCCAAATCCTTCTCTCTGGCTCTGCTTTGAAGGGAACCCCAAAAGCAAGCAATAACAGTAGCAGTAGTAGGAATACGGTCCCCCGTGCTAGACCCCAAAGAAGCAAGTGATCAAGCAACACCCCACTGGTCCCTGCTTACTTCTCAGGCCATCGTAAGGATGGATTGAGATAAACAGCTGGACAAAGCTGTGGAAATGAAGAAAGTGAGGCCACATGTCCTGCGAGGGATTATTATATTTCCTCGATGAGATAAGGATCTTAAAGCTCACTGGTTCTGTAGCCCATGCTTGGGGCTCCAGAGCAAACTGTCTCTGGCTCTGTTAATCCCAGCTCAGCCCACCTGTCACTTACGAACCCATTATCTTCAGCCCAACCCTGGGGCAGCTGCATGTGTCCCCAGCATGGATCATGTGTCCTGTTGCTGGGGACACGGTGGGCCAAAGACAGGGAGAGAAAGAAGATGGCCCTGGCTTCTATCGCCAGGTCAGATCTGCTGGAAACAGAATCCCAGCTCTGCTACTCCCTTGCTGTGTGGCCTTGAGTCAGCTACATAACCTCTCTGTGCCTCAGTTTTCTCCATTTATAAAATGGAGAAAATAATAGAATCTAACTCATGGAGTTTTTAATGCAGATTACACACATTAATATTTATAAGCGCTTAGAAGACTTCTCAGCGCACAGTAAGCACTACATAAATATTTGTTAAATAAATACCTATCTTGCTTACCACAAAGGGTTGTGGTAGGATCACCAGATGATAAACACATGAAAATCCTTCATATGTGGTAGAAATCCATGCAAATATATTAGAGTTATGAACTTTCTCTATGTCTCCATCCCCCCAAAGTGGCTTTCCTCAGTGGGCTTTGTCCTGCACTGTACAAAGGAGGGACTTTGGAGTTTCCCACGCCCAGCTATGAAATATGGTGCTGCCTCTCACCAGCCACGGGATCTTGGGCAAGTGACTGCATGTCTCAGAGCCTCAGTTTCCCCATCTGTGAAACAAGAATAACAGTGGCTCCAATCTCTTAGGGTGGGGTGAGCATTAAGGAAGACAGGTGATATAGGGGGATCAGGGGGATCAGGTGGATGTGTGTCCCCACCTAAATCTCCTATTGAAATGCAATCCCCAGTGTTGGAGGTGGGGTCTGGTGGAAGGTGATTGGATCATGGGACAGATTTCTCATGAATGATTTAACACCATCCCAAGTTGGTACTATTTTTGCATAGTGAGTGAGTTCTTGTGTGATCTGGTCATTGAAAAGTGTGCACCACCTCCCCACCTTGCTCTCTTGCTCCTGCTCTGGCCATGCAATGCACCTGCTCCCCCTTCACTTTCCACCATGATTGGAAGCTTCTAGAGGCCTCCCTAGAAACAGATGCCAGTGCTATGCTTCCTGTACAGCCCGCAGAACCACGAGCCAATTAAACCTCTTTTCTTATAAATTACCCAGTCTCAATTGCTTCAAAGAGAATAAAATACCTAGGAATCCAACTTACAAGGGATGTGAAGGACCTCTTCAAGGAGAACTACAAACCACTGCTCAGTGAAATTAAAGAGGATACAAACAAATGGAAGAACATTCCATGCTCATGGGTAGGAAAAATCAATATCGTGAAAATGGCCATACTGCCCGAGGTAATTTATAGATTCAATGCCATCCCCATCAAGCTACCAATGACTTTCTTCACAGAATTGGAAAATACTACTTTAAAGTTCATATGGAACCAAAAAAGAGCCCGCATCGCCAAGTCAATCCTAAGCCAAAAGAACAAAGCTGGAGGCATCACACTACCTGACTTCAAACTATACTACAAGGCTACAGTTACCAAAACAGCATGGTACTGGTACCAAAAGAGATATAGACCAATGGAACAGAACAGAGCCCTCAGAAATAATGCTGCATATCTACAACTATCTGATCTTTGACAAACCTGACAAAAAGAAGAAATGGGGAAAGGATTCCCTATTTAATAAATGGTGCTGGGAAAACTGGCTAGCCATATGTTGAAAGCTGAAACTGGATCCCTTCCTTACACTTTATACAACAATTAATTCAAGATGGATTAAAGACTTACATGTCAGACCTAAAACCATAAAAACCCTAGAAGAAAACCTAGGCAATACCATTCAGGACATAGGCATGGGCAAGGACTTCATGTCTAAAACACCAAAAGCAATGGCAACAAAAGCCAAAATTGACAAATGGGATCTAATTAAACTAAAGAGCTTCTGCACAGCAAAAGAAACCACCATCAGAGTGAACAGGCAATCTACAGAATGGGAGAAAATTTTTGCAACCTACTCATCTGACAAAGGGCTAATGTCCAGAATCTACAATGAGCTCAAACAAATTTACAAGAAAAAAACAACCCCATCAAAAAGTGGGTGAAGGATATGAACAGACATTCCTCAAAAGAAGACATTTATGCAGCCAAAAAACACATGAAAAAATGCTCATCATCACTGGCCATCAGAGAAATGCAAATCAAAACCACAATGAGATACCATCTCACACCAGTCAGAATGGCCATCATTAAAAAGTCAGGAAACAACAGGTGCTGGAGAGGATGTGGAGAAATAGGAACACTTTTACACTGCTGGTGGGACTGTAAACAAGTTCAACCATTGTGGAAGTCGGTGTGGTGATTCCTCAGGGATCTAGAACTAGAAATGCCATTTGACCCAGCCATCCCATTACTGGGTATATACCCAAAGGATTATAAATCATGCTGCTATAAAGACATATGCACACGTATATTTATTGCGGCACTATTCACAATAGCAAAGACTTGGAACCAACCCAAATGTCCAACAATGATAGACTGGATTAAGAAAATGTGGCACATATACACCATGGAATACTATGCAGCCATAAAAAATGATGAGTTCACATCCTTTGTAGGGACATGGATGAAGCTGGAAACCATCATTCTCAGCAAACTATCGCAAGGACAAAAAACCAAACACCGCATGTTCTCACTCATAGGTGGGAATTGAACAATGAGAACACATGGACACAGGAAGGGGAACATCACACACTGGGGACTGTTGTGGGGTTGGGGGAGGGGGGAGGGATAGCATTAGGAGATATACCTAATGCTAAATGACAAGTTAGTGGGTGCAGCGCACCAGCATGGCCCCTGTATACATATGTAACTAACCTGCATGTTGTGCACATGTACCCTAAAACTTAAAGTATAATAATAAAAATAAATAAATAAATAAAACAAGTACATAAATAAATAAATTACCCAGTCTCAGGTGTTTCTTTATAGCAATGTAAGAACTGTCTAATACAACAGGTCAGTGAGGCATCTTGGGCAGAGCCTGCCCCAGGAAACACCCAGTCAATGTGATTTTCTCTCCCCAGCTTCCTGAAGGAAGCCATTTCACGTTTGGGGTTTGGGGTCCTCATCTGTAACAGGAGCTCAATACCCCAGCTCACTAAGCTGACAGGAGGATGGCGTGGGCTGATGTGCGTGGAAGCTCAAAGCCCAGGGCCTGGAGTGAGCATATGCTCAGTAGCAGCCCTTTTCCTCCAGAAAAATCTGTTGCTCAATCTAAATCACAGAGAATCCTCTAATCTCCCAGGCATGGCTGTGGAACCCTATGTAGGATTTCTCTGTCTCACTGTAACTGACTGAGGCCCCGGTCTGAGCAGGTTGAGTCGGGGAGGAGCCAGCCACAGTGGACTCTCACTGCCCATGGACCCTGGGGCAGAGGACCTGGGCTTGGGTGCTGGGGTTTTTCAGTACCTGTGAGGTCCACCCTGAAGGTGTGGGCTGGACAGGTCTTTGTGGTGGGTGCTGTGGTGGGGAAGAGGGGGGTGGGCACTGAGGAGGCCAGGCCAATGCCCATGTGCATCCACAGCCCAGGAAAAGCCCAGAGATGTTTGTCCAAAGGCTCTGCCCTGCTCTGGCCTAATGTGTTTGCCTAAATGCTTATGTCTCAGATAAGAGGCCTGGGAGATGAGCGGATAGTGCCTGCGAGTAATTAACCCTCCCCCAGGGAGATGAGCTGGCATCAAAGCTGGTCACAGAGAAGAACCAGAGGAGGAAAGGGCTGGTTATAGGATTTCTGCCTCAGAAGCTTCTGAGGCCATGTCCACAAGGAATCAGAACATCTCTGGCAGCTCAAATGGGGTTTGAGATGACAGCCTCTCTGCCCCCCTTACAGAAGGGGAAAATTCAGAGAGGGTGACAGCAGAATCAGACCTCTAAACAGCAAAAATGCCAGCTCCCCAGGTAATGGGAAGGCCACAGAGGAGGGTTAAGGGGGGCCACAGAAGATGGTTTTCCTTTTATTCATTCATTTATTCACTCACTCACTCACTCATGGTTCTACTAAGAGTAACTGGTAAGCCACTCTCCTAGGTGCTAAAACACACATTACCTTCCTCTAGTTTGTAGCTACCTGAAGGTATAGAACCTCCCCATGCTGCTCACTGCTGTCTCCAAAGCCTGGCACATTATCAAAACTTGATAAAGATCTCTTAAATAAGGGATTTAGCTCATTTTATTCTCCCCTGCAAAGTAAATATTCTTATTATTCTCATTTTATGCTTAGAAAGCTGAGGAGTGAAGTCACTGACCCGTGTGGTCATCATGAATTTATTCATCCACAAGTAAATATTCACGAGCCCCTACAACGTGCCTGCAGTGACCAAGCCAACAAAGCCCCCCACCGGAGGCTTCCAGCCCCATAACGGGGATCGGCAGTTGTCCAATAGTGAAGGATTTGGCCTGAGGACGTGTCATTATAAACCGAGGCAGGGGTCACGGGAGGAAAGTGGTTACTTTGTATTCTGAGCTCCGTGCCATGGGGCAGACTGTTGGTAGGGGAAGATCTGAAGGAGATGGTGGTGCAAGGGGGCTGGCAGTGCAGTCAGGTGGAGGAGGCTGTAGATTACCTGAAAGCGGCAGCATGGAGCACCTGTCCATTTACAAAGCACATTTGCTCAGATGATCCCACTGGACAATGCCATGAAGGGTAAATTACAGCCGCATTTGTCAGATGGAGAAGCGGGGGCGCCCAGAGAGGTGAAGCGACTTGTCCAGGGCCACACAGCGGCTGTGTAGTGAAGCCGAGTGCAGACCCAGCCACTCTGCAAACCCACTGTCTTCCGCCAAATTGGAATCAGGGAAGCCGTGACATGGGGGTTAGACCAGAAAGGCTCCGCTGCTCAGCAGAGGCGAGATGGAACCGGAGCCCTGGCTCACATGCTCTGGGGGCCTCAGGAAGGTTGGGGCTGGGGCCAGAGGCCTGGCTTCACCCCCAGCCTCAGTGCATGGGTATCTTGAAGCCAAATCCAGCTTTCCCTTCCCCCTCCCTCTTCCTTTATGGAGACGCTAATTTTAGCAATCCACAAAGTCAGCCTGAGCTTTTAAAACCGGACTGATTTATGCTTTTCCTTAATTGCTCCAAAAAAGTGCTTTGCATCTAGAGGGAGAGAGAATGAATATAACTCTATTTAGGTTAAAAATTTAAAGCCAAATTCTCACTGGTCTGGCAAGAAGAAAGGAAGACACTCAACCCTGTCTCCGTCCCCTCCCTCCCCCACTCCCTCCACCTGCTCAGAGCCTCTGTTTCTGCCCCACAGGCCAGACCCCGCCCAGTACAAGAAAACAGGGAGATGCTAGGAGGCTTGCCAGATGCTTAAGGGATGGCAGGACACCTTTTAAGGGCATCATGGGGAAGTTTGCAGACCCTGTTAAACCCAGCAGCGGTCCCCCACCCCCTTGCCCACCAAGGGACCCATGAGCACAGGATGGATTGGGTGGGGCCCCTGGAAGTGAGGTTTCAACTCTCAGTCTTTGCCAGGGAGAAGAAAAGGGGCTTCCCTCCCTCCTTGCCTGACAGCCCAAGAGGTGGCCAGGACCCAGAACGCAATCATGGGGTAAATCTCTGCGGTCATTTTGCAGTGTGGGAATTAGCTCATATCTCAGCCATCTTGGCCATCCCTCTGCCTACAGGCTGGGGCTGCTGAGGCTGAGCCCAGATTCTAATACTGACCTTTCCAAAGGTCTTCTCTAAGGCTTCCATTCAACAAACACTGAAAAGCTGCCTTTTGCCATGCACCATGCTCAGTGATGGGAATCTGACAGTCAATGAGTCAGGCAGGGCCCTATGCCCACAGGGCTGACCATAAATCCAGGGGAAATCTATGGGTCAAATCTATGGGTCATAGATATGACCTTGTCATAGGTCAGTGTGTTTGTCATAGGTCATAGGTCATAGGTCATAGGTCAGTGTGGTTTGGTTTACTATCATTCCATCCATCCATCCATCCATCCATCCATCCATCCATTCATCCAGATATTGGATAAACATATTCTGTGTCCAGCACAGTGTTAGGTGCTAGGGTTACAGAAATTAATAAGCCAGGATCAATAAGACAAACAGAAACACTGTCTTCATGGATTTCACAGAAGGGGTAAAGCAGGCAAGTAAATGAGGTATTTATTAAAGTAGAGATAGCAGCTGGCTACCAAAAATTCATATCTCTCCTCCTCAGCATTATACAGAGTTGTCTCTGGAAGGCAAACCACCCCTCAACCCCCACCCCTACCACCTTGATACATTTCCCAGTCTCTCCTGTATGCAAGTGTGGCCAGTGACCTTTGTATATGAACCATAAGGAGAAGGCATGTGCCACTTCCAGGCTTATAAGAAGTAGAAGACAGTCCTCTACCTTTCCTCTTCCACTGCCTGGAAAGGACTATGTGCCCCAGAAGATGGCAGAGCCACAAGACAGAAGGAGGCCTGGATCCCTGAGTCAGCACATGGAGGAAAACCACCCGCCTACAGAGATACCTTCAGTGAACTGTGATGTGAGCTAAAAATAAACTTCTATCGAGCTTGTGCCAGTGAAATTTGGGGGTTTGTTATAGCAACAAGTGTTACCATGGCTAATATAATTAAATTTTATAACACACCTTTCTGTAAGTGAACAAAGAGATAAAATCATGTCATTTGATTCTTAACAATTACATGTAGCAATTAATTGTCATAACATCAGAGATGTGAAGTAACTTGCCCAGCATCACACAGCTTGTAGGCGGTGGGCCAGGATTTGAAACTGCCTCCCACATCCTTCATCCGTTCACTTTATATGACAGTGTGCTCCTAGCTGGAGGTATAGATGAGAAAATCAGTCTGGGATGGAAAAGCGATGTCTTCATCAACCTCTGGGTTCAGAAGCTAGGGTTGGGAGTTTATGTCTGAGCTACCAGTGTGGTTTCTGCTTCTGAGACACGTGAAGAAAAAAACAAAAATCTGCCTCAGGTATGCCCCTCCCCAAGCAGGGACAGGAAGCCTCAGCTGGACCCCTTTCCTCTAGCAGTGGCCATCTTTCTGGAGGGGTTTTTCTCAATCCACGGGGAGCTCCATTCTCTCCTCCCTGGATAGAGGAAATGAGGAGGTCAAGACATGCAGCTCCCTCGGGCCTGGCTCTGTCCTCAGCCGCCTAGGCGGACCTCAAAGACATCTCCATCAGCCGGCCCGAGGCTGTCAGAGCTGAGGGGCACTCAGGTCCCCCATACAGGCTGTGAGAGCTGTATTCTCCAGGGCTGGCTCAGCCATCAGAGCAGGGGGGCCAACAGGGACAGCCGGACATGGACAGATTCTGAGGTGGCTGAGTGGCAGGAGGGTCCATTGCACACCTGTAGGAGGGCTGCTGCTCTCCACAAGCGGTCTGGAGTCATCTTTTTTCTCAGGTAACATTTTTTTTCTCCACAAATGTCCTGATATTCAGACAAGGAGGTGTGCTGTGTAATGAAGAGTTCTGAGCTCCTGAGAGCCAGCTGATCTGGATTTGAATCCGGGCTCTGACACTCACTAGCTGTGTAACCTTGGGTGAGTTACTAACCCTTTCTGAGTTCCTCAGTTTACCTATCCTGAAAATGGGGCTAATGATGTTTATGTCACAGGGGCTACTGAGAGGATTACATGATACAGTGGACAACTGATGGTTTAAGAAGAGAGAGACACAGAATCAGAGAATGTTCTAGCTAGAAGAGCCCTCAGAGGTCTGGTAAGGAAAACGAGGCCCAGAGAGAGCCAGCCCCTTGCCCTGGGTGGAACAGAATGGTAGGTGCTCATGGTTCATCCTGACTGCTCCGTTTCTGTCTTTTCTCTTCCTCCCAGTCTTCTTCCCACAGGAACTTCTCATCCTGGTGTGAAGAGTTGAACTAAAGCAAGGGAGAAAGAGAAGAAGAGGGTGTCTCACTTCTAAGCCCCTTGTCACACTCAAAGGCCAGACCTCACAGGGTCACAGGGTTTCCCACGGCTTTTGTGGGATGGGGTTGGGGGGTGGTGTCCAGTGCTTAGAGCAGAAGGACACTGGGCTTTTGTCACTCAGAGGTAGGACCAAGTCCTGGTGCCGCCCATACTCAGCAAGTCTGTTTACCTCCTGCACCTCTGCCCCTCTGTCTTAGCCTGTTTTGTGCTGCTTTAACAAAATATCACAACATGGGTAATTTATAATGAACAGAAAGGTATTGGCCCATGGTTCTGGAGGCTGGAAAGATGGAGAGGCTGGCATCTGACGAGGCCCCTCTTGCTGTGTCATCCCATGTTGGAAGGCGCGCGGAAGGGCAAGAGGGGCCAGACTCACCCATTGATAACAGCACCAATCCGACCCATGAGTGTGGAGCCCGCGTGACCTAATCACCTCTTAACAGTCCCACCTTTTAATACTGCTACAATGGCAATTAAATTTCAACATGAGTTTTGGAGGAGACAGACATTCAAATCACAACATATCCTCTGTGCATGGGGACAAGATGCCTACCATGAGGGGTTGCTGGGTCGATACGAGACTGCACCTGCTGAGGCTGCTTTCCATGATGGCTCCCTCCTCACCAGCCCCACAGTGCTGGCCTGTATGCCTCCACCCACTGACCCCTTCTCAGCCTCTGAGTCTTGCCCGTGGGTGGCATGGCCAGGCCAATAACCTCAGAAGGGCCAGTGCCAGAGTCAGAGGCTCATCGAGGTGGCGTGGTTGAACCAATGTCCAACTCAGAGCCCTTATTCATGGGGAGGAGCTAGAGGGGGCACATGAGAGAACTGCATCCATGACAGACACCCTTGGGAAGACTGGAAGGGTCCCCCTCTGCTGACCCAGCACTCCTTTCCTGCCTCTCACCTCCTCTCCCACCTCTCATTTCCCTGCCCGTTGCCTTTTCCCAACCTGAGTAAAATTTGCCATCCTGGTGCCCTCCCAGATGGTCCAAGCCCCGGTTACTCTCTCTCCCCTTTTCCTGACCCAGGCACCTTGAGTGAGGAATTCTCCTGCCTCTCTCCCCATAACGCTATACTGCTAATAAGATTAAAACGTATCTCCCTCTTACAGTATCGATTCATAGCACTGACTTACTGTTGCTCCTCAGCTGCTACAAAACGGATGCACGGACCGCCACCTTAATCTCTATCCATCTCCCCACTGCTGGGGAATAACTGCTAATTAATACCTTTCTGCCTCCCAATGCCTGCCAGCTTTGAGAGCCATCAATACTCTGTGGGCTCCAGGCCACTCAGCCCACTCACCCAAGCGCTGGAGGCTCCAACCCTGTCCAGAGGTATCCTGGGGTTCAAGGTGAAATAAAAGGAGGTGAGGGGTGGGCTTTTTCCCTCCATCATCCTCCCATGTGACACAGAGACATACACACACACACACACACACACACAGCGAATGAGCAAGAGACAGTGGCTAACTCAGTAGTGATGGAGTCAAATCCCAGCTCCTCCACAAACCCACTAGGGGAGTTTCATCTCTGAGTCTCAGTCTCCTCATCTGCAAATGGAGAATACAGTAGGGCCCACCACGTGGAGTTCTGCAAGAATTAAATAAGAACAGGTCTAGAATTGCTTCCCTGGGGCCTGGAATGCTCTTTCCTCGGGTCTCCCCAGGGCCAAAGGGGACACTGTCATGGGCCAGCTGAGCTTGCATCACTGGTGGGAGGGAATTACCAGTGACAGATTCCCAGCAATGGGGTCAGAGTCCAGAGAAGGCCCCATCCAGGGAAGGAATCAGCTACAAACATACGCCCTGGCCAGGAGACGCCAACACCAGGGCTGAGCCAGACTTTTCCTGCTATTTTCTTCCCTACTCATCTCATAAGGCACCTCCTCCCAGAAGCCTTCCTTGACCACCCAATCTAGAGAAGCTGCTCTGCTCCTGAGTCCCTCACAATCCCACAGCCCTGCTTTACTCCCCTCACAGAGGTTCACAGCCAGAAGTAGGTTATTTATCCATATGTTTATTCTTGTCTCATCCACCAGAATGTCAGCCCATGCAGCCAAAGCTCTTGCCTCCTGTTCAGAACCACCTCCCAGGCACACAGTAGGAGACCAATAAATATTGGATAAACGAGTAGTAAGTTATCCATTAGTATTAGCTAACAACAATAATAATAATATCCAAGAGTATCACTAATCTCTTCCCTTGAATGAAGACCTGATTAAATGCCCTCTCTCCTTTAGTGAGGGAGCCCACCGTGAATTAAATAGTTATGGATGTCAGATGCTTTGGGCAAAGATGTTCAGCTTCACCCCCATTTGTTTTTAGAAGACAGTGTCTTGCTACGTCACCCAGGCTGGAGTGCAGTGGCATAATTATGGCTCACTATAACCTCGACTTCCCGGGTTCAAGTGATCCTCCCACTTCAGCCTCCCGAGTAGCTGGGACTACAGGAGTGTGCCACCATGCCCGGCTAATTTTATTCTTTATTTGTTTGGTAGAGATGAGGTTTCACCATGTTTCCCAGGCTGGTCTTGAACTCCTGGGTTCAAGCAATCTGCCCACCTTGGCCTCCCAAAGTGCTGGGATTATGGGCAAGAGCCACAGTGCCCAGCCAACCCCCATTTTGCAGATGAAAAACTGAGACTTAAAGCGGTCACGTGCCCTGTCCAAGATGACCCATCTAGCAGGTGGCTCAGCTCTCATTCAGACCTAAGTAGGCCCCACCCTAAGTTCTCCACGTGGCCCTGATACCACACAGCACTGTCCGGAGGAGGACTGCTTCTCCACCAGAAATATCTAGATGCCAGGACTCTTTCCTCATGACTTCCATATTGAAACTGACAGGTCATAGGGCACCTCCTCCAAGAAGCCTTCCTTGACCACCCAATCTAGAGAAGCTGCTCTGCTCCCGAGTCCCTCACTATCCCACAGCCCTGCTGTACTCCCCTCACATAGCTCCACAGCCAGAGGTAGGTTATGTATCTGTATGTTCATTCCTCTCTCATCCACCAGAATGTCAGCCCATGAGGCCAAAGCCCTTGCCTGACCTGGCCAACTCCCATTTTGCAGATAAGAAACTGAGGCTCAGTGTGGTCATGTGCTCTGTTCAAGATGACCCATCTAGCCAGTGACTTAGCTGAGAGCAAGGAGTTCCATGTGGTCACTGGTAGATGGAACATGAGCAGCCTGGGAAGGGACAACAGCCTGGGCTTGTATTTGCATGGGGTACGTGGGGAGGGTCAGAAATGCAGGGTGAGGGGCATCTAATGGGATGTGTGAACACCAGGCAGGATTATCATTCCAAATTCCCCAATCTGTCCCCACCTGCAGGATTTCCCTTCATCTCATCAGCACCTGACACCCTGGCTGTTCCTGGTGGTAGGGGTGGAGGATGGGTGGCAGCTGTCGGCTCTGGAGGGGGTGTGGGGGGAGGAAGCCTCAGGACTGGGCCCAGCAGCTGTGCCAGCGGAAGCCAGCACCAGCTCTTTTAATAAAACATAACGAAGCATGGGATCATAAAATATTTCGTTTAATTCAGGGCTCCCATGAGGGTGGGGCAGGCCAGTTGGGCTGGCAGAGGAGAGGTTCAGAAGGGGTGTCCTGCAGCTGGGCTTGGGGTGGAGGAGCCACAAGTAGGGGGGCACTGCCGCAGTCAGGATCCCCAACAGCAGCTGTGAGCCTCGGGTCCAGGGTCAGAGTCAAGGTGGGCTTTCTCACAGGCCTCCCTCCCAGCTTGGAAAGAGGCAGAAGTCAGAGGCATTTATCCCAGATCTGGCCCCCTCCTGCTGATGACCTGGGACAACCCAAAGGCCTCTCTAATCCTCAGTTTCCCCACATGTGGAGGAAAGGAGGGTGGAACCAAGCAGAAAATCTCCAGAACCTCCCCCAGCCCAGATGGCCTGCACTTCCTCCCCATCATCCAGCCCACTCATTTTCAAATTCCTTTTCTTGGCTATTTTATTTTCATTCAAAGTGAAGCTGGAACTGAAGCCCCATCTGTGAAAGAGCCAAAGCGAGCGAGCTCTCAGCTTGATTGGGGCACGAGAACCCCCTCAACCATCATCTTGAGCCACATTCTCGCCTCCCAAAGTGGTCCCCTGGGGCACCTCTATGGGAAGTTGGGGTTCAAAGGAGCACAGTTTGAAAACCAAAGGCCGGCTGCTAAGTCCTGCCTATGGCCTCCCATCCTTCAAGGCCCCACTCAGCTCTCAGAACCTCACCGAAGTCCTCCCTGATAGCAAGCCTCCCCTGGTCACTACTAACTGGGTTATCCTGGCTTCCTCCTTTTTCCTGAACATTTCCTGTAGTTGTTGATTACCTTTCTTGACTTCTTGGCAGCCCCAAGGCCTGCGCAGGGTCTGGAACATAGATATTCCATCAATAGGGCCCCTGCCCAATCCTGAACCCCCACACTTCACCATTACTCTTCTGGGTCTTAGTCTTCTTCATAGCAGTTACTACTTCCTTACGTTATCTGTTCACGTATGTGTTAGCTGGCTGGTCACACACTCTAGAAGGTAAGCTCCCAGAGGGAAGGTTTTATCTTTGGCCTATTCACCACTGTATCGCCAGTGCCCAGCACACTATCTGGAACATAGCAGGGGTCCAATAAACATGAGTTGAATGAATAAATGAATGAATCAATAGATGCACTAAAGGAGAAAGGAAGTGAACTCTCCCTTCCTTCCCTGAGCAGGTATGGCTCTGCCAGCTTTAATCAGTTCATTCAGAGTTCTTGATGTCTCTGCTGTAAATTTCCAACGAGGTAGCCGTATCTGTCCTCCAGACCCCAGAGCATCCACACAGGCCTTGGTAATTTCCTAAACATGTACTGATACCTGCCCTGCACCAGGACCTGTGCCAGACTCAGGGGACATGAAGAGGAGTCACAACTGGTCTTTGTGCCCCATGGTGTTGTGAACATAGTAGGTACACAGAAAATACATGTTGAATGAATGAAGTGATGTCCCAGATGAGACCTGAATCATGAAGAAGATATAGTCCAAAGAAGAAGGTGGGTTCCCGCAGAGTTCGAACCACATGTGCAAAGGCCCTGGGGCAGCTGGGAGTGCTGTGTCTTCAGTGCTGAGAGCCTGTGTGGCAGGGGGACAGGGCCTCCTGTCCAGTTTTATGTCTCTCCAGTGAGTCCCTCAGATGGCAACCATCCTCCTCTTCTTCCCAGAACGTTGCACAGTAGTTTCTCTCTGAGGCCACACTTTCTGGGGAAGGAGAGGGAGGGGATGCTGGCGGCACATCTTCCCCTCGAGTGCCTTTGCCCTGGCCCCATCACCATGGATGACATCTCCCTGGTCACTTGCACACCCACCAAACACCACACTCATCTGCTCAGACCCACACGCCGCACTAAATATAACTATCGCATATGCCTCTTCTGTCTCCTTTCCGAGGGAAATAACATTGTTTAAGTAAAGCCCTTTAAATTTTAAAGAGCTGGATTGTGTGTTGTCTGCGGGAAGCTTTTAGCAGCATGCTGGAAAGAAGTAATAATAATAACGAGGCCAGAGACAACACAGCAGAGCCAAGCTGCCATCCAGTGACTGCCGAGGCAGGGAAGGGCAGCCCTGTGACCTTCCACAGCAGCCCAGCCACGGGGTCCGGGGCCACCTCCAGCTGTAGCTGGAGCCCCTGAGACACGAAGAGCCACATAAGGTCAGGATGGGAAGTCCAAGCAGCCTCAGAATCACAGAAGGTCAAGTTGGAAGGGATTTCTGCAGAGAAGCAAGAAGGCAGAGAGTACAGGAAGCAGGCCAAATGGGTTCAAAACTCAGCATGGCCACTTACAAGCTGCGCAACCCCTTAGCCGGTGGCTTAACCTCTCTGCACTAGTTCTTTCTCCTGTAAAATGAGGATACTAGTGGCATGCACCTCCTGAGCGGTTGCAAAGATTTTAGGAGTGAGGTAATACAAGCAGGAGCTTGTCACAGTGCTTGGGGTACAGCAAGTGTTCAATAAGCATTTGCTACTGTTATCACTTTGCAGGTGAGGACGAGGAGGTCCAGGAAGAAGAGAGCCTGGACCTGGCCACACCCCTATTTTGGCTTCAATGTTTCTCTGGATCCATATAGCCGAGAGGGGCTGCTTTATAACTAGTGTGGCTGTCGCAGCTGCAGGGCCTGGGTTAGAAGGAGGCAGCACCTTGTCAAAAGACCAACCTCTGCTTCTTGCTCTGAAGCCCTGTCCCTCTGGAGTGCTCTTCCTGTCTGCATGGGGCAAACAGCACCAGTGGCATTTTCAGTGGGAAAGGGGGGCTTCATGCTTCCCAGGGTGGGGCCAGCAGAGTCCAGGCCTCCGTGAATGCCAGTGGGCCAGGGGGCCTACAGCTAGGGAATTTGTCTAATTGCAGGACTGGCTTACCTCCAGCAAATGCACTTCATCTGTCCCCTGTGTCCCCTCCAGCCTCACTTCTTACCTGCAATACACATCCTTCACCCCTGCCTCCCGACTCTCCCACGTGCCCCAGGCCCTTTCCAGCCTATAGGCCTTTATCCTTGCTGTTGTATCCTGCTCAGATCCCTCCACTCCCTTCTTTACTTGGCAAACTCCTATGCATCCTTCAAGACCCAGTCATGCATCACCCCTTCTAGTGATCTGTGACTCTCCTCCACACCTCAAGCAGATTAAGCATTCCCTTTTCTGCACTCTCCCTAGGACTTGGTACCTATGTCAACCTTAGAATTTCCAATATTATGCCATGATTTATTTGTTTGCCTGCCTATCAGCCCCAAGAGACTATGAATTCCTTGAGGACAGGCACTGGGTCTTATTTGTCTCTGGAGCCCCAGCCCTAGTAGAAGGCCCGAGCCAGAGCAGATGCTTGGTGCAGGGCTGCTGACTGGAGCTGGAATAAGGCTCTGTCCTATGCTCCCAGGAAATGGAGCATCCCTTGTCACTGGCACAGCTATTCTTTGCCAGGGTTCTCTAGAGGCAGATGCTTCATCCTAGAGGCAGGAAGCTGGGAAGGCATCAAATTAGTCTTTAAAAAATATTTTGAGCATAGGTGGGGTGTTCCTTCTAAATCCTATTGCCCATCGAATAATCTTAGAATGGGATCATCCGGACTCACCCTTTCATTTTACGGACCCGGGAGAGTGGGATAGTCACACAGCAAATTAATGGAGAAGTTAAAATCAGATCCTAGGGTCCAAAACTGCTAGGCTGGTGCCCTTCCTACCAAACTGGTATTTTCCAAAGCAGCTGACAGGCTGATGCTAAGATGGTATGAGAGAAGCTTCTCAAAAATTTCAAATACTCACATATTTATCTTAATATGAATTAATAAAAAATCTGGCTGGGTGCGGTGGCTCATGCCTGTAATCCTAGCACTTTGGGAGGCCAAGGCGGGCAGATTGCCTGAGCTCAGGAGTTCAAAACCAGCCTAGGCAACATGGTGAAACCCCATTTCTACTAAAAATACAGAAAAAAAATTAGCTGGGGCGTGGTGGCATGCACCTGTAGTGCCAGCTACTCGGGAGGCTGAAGCAGGAGAATTGCTTAAACCCAGGAGGCAGAGGTTGTAGTGAGCCGAGACCGTGCCACTGCACTCCAGCCTGGGTGACAGAGCGAGACTCCATCTCAAAAAAAAAAAAAAAGAAAAAAAATCGACAGTCAATACAACAAACCCATACATTATTCCCTGGAACCAGACAAGCCAAAAAAGAAGAAGTCCATTATTGAAATTTGATTTTAAGAAAATGATGGTGTAAAAAATAGTACAGTTGGGGTGGCTTGGCGTGGTGGCTCACGCCTATAATCCCAGCACTTTGGGAGGCCGAGGCAGGAAGATCACTTGAGGTCAGGAGTTTGAAACCAGCCTGGCCAACATGGCAAAACCCTGTCTCTATGAAAAATACAAAAATTAGCCGGGTATGGTGGCATGCACCTGTAATCCCAGCTACTCGTGAGGCTGAGGCATGAGAACCCTGGGGGCGGAGGTTGCAGTGAGCCGAGATTGCACCACTGCATTCCAGCCTGGGCAACAGAATGAGACTCTATCTCAAAAAAAAAAAAAAAAAAAAAAAAGAAAGAAAGAAAGAAAAAAGAAAAGAAAAAAGCACAGATGAGACATAGACATGACAAAAGTCGTGAAGAGGGTGACTGAGGTTTCTTTGGCAATCTCTGCAGTGTGTCCAGGCTCAGACCAGGGAGGGATTCGGAGCTCACAAGCCATAAGGCAGTACCCCTACCGCCCAGGCAAATGAGACTCATGGGTGACCAAAGCCATCCTGGTGACCCAGGACCTGGCTCAAGGAGACAGAAGTGGTGCACCTGCCTGTGATGGAGGACTGGCCTACAGAACGTGTCCCCTTATTCAACTGGAAAATGAGTCCTCATCAAAGGCAATTTGGACAGTCGGGTACATGGAACAGGGGCTGGGTAAAGGAATATCACCTCAGCCAACTTGGACATTGAGAGCCAATGGGGGTGTGGGTGAAATTTTTCCCCCTAAGGCATATTTGTCCCCCTTAGGCAACCCATCTCCTCCTAAAGGGTCACACACCACTGAGCACGTAGGAATGGCTGAGATGGACCTGCATCGGGGCAGGGCCAACAGCAGGGCTGGTGGAGGATGGCAGATCCGACAGATGGCATGTCGGCGAGGGCAGGTGCACTCTGTCTTGCCCAGAGTACTTTAGAGAATGAGCCAGGGAAGAAATTGCCACTGGTATTTGTCACGGCAATTTCAGCAAAGCACCAAATGGGTAAGCGTCTCATGAATTTCAACGGACAAAATTAGTCCTCATCAAAGTCAATTTCAACAGTCAGGTAGATGAGAAAAGGGGCTGGACAAAGGGAAATAGAGGATCGTGAGAAAAGCCACCTCAGCCAACTTAGTAGCTGGGAGCTAAGAGGACTGCCGGTGGAAGTTTTCCTGAGGAATATTTATCTCCACGTAGAAGCCAGCTACTCCCTGAGCTCCAGCTACTCCTTTAGGTCCCTCTAAAAGTGGCAATGGCACTTCCAGCTTTCAGATGAAGGATAAAGATCCAGTGGTCCAAAGTGCTAAGTTACTCAAGAGTATCTTCCCTTCCCCCATCTGCAAGGGTGAAAGTAGCCTCTGGCAGGAGTAGCTGAGGCTTGGAGAGTACCTGCCTTCCATTTGGAAGGAGACAGCTTTGAGCCTCTTCATAACTGATGTGGACCAGGCTGCACATGATAGGAGCCAGTGGGGATGGTGGAAAGATGACCTAAATGGATCTAAGGAGAAAGAACGTCTCCGTGTGAAATAGGGTGGAAAATAGACTGGGGAATGACGAATAGGTAAGCCCTGGGGTGAAGTAATCAATCAGTGAGATGGACTAGGGCACAGGGGAGATGTGGAGATGTCGAAGAGACCAGAGTAGGAAGGACACACTGCAAAGGTCAATACCAGCCTGTGGAGAGCGCTAGTGCTTCCGCTTTGCAAGCTGCAATTTGCCTCCAATGTTGTCTGCCCCTTCAAATTCACATGCTGCCGAAAAGCCAGTTCCACCTTGTACCCTAAAACCCCATTCTCATATGCTACTTCCTAGCTCAGGAAAAATCTACCATGGAGCCTGGGACTGCAGAGTAGGCACCGTTTTGCTGCTGTTGTTATAAATATAAATAGCTACCAATCATTAGCTATACATATGTTGTCTCATTGCACCATCGCCACAACCCTGTCAGGTACAATGAGCATCGTAGAGCATTTCATAAATGGAGAAACTGAGGCTTAGCAGAATTGTGCTGGATCTCTGCTACTTGGACCCCAGCTCGTTCTCTTCCCTTTCTACCAGCTCTGCACTTTGGAGGCTGATCTGTATGGGCTTTCAATAGGGTTTGATCAATGGGTGGCACCATCAAGGGACCCAAAGGCAGGAAGAGGGTAAAGTTGGGGTATTTCTCCCTCCAGCTTCCTGCCAGGCCCCCAAGAGTTGGCTGCAGTCCTCTACACAGGGCCGCCTGGCTGTCTGGCAGTCCTCTTGGCACAGCCCAGCCTGCTTTCTGGTTACATCTACTCCTCCAAGCTATAGGTAGAAAGTGCCCCACTCTTCTAGCTCCAAGGGGCTGCACCATCCCCTGCGGTTTTCCAGAAATCCTATGCAAATAGTCCCTTGAACAAGTCCTCCTCAGACGCTCCAGGCTGAGCCTGCCGTTTCCTGCCAGAACCTGATTGATAAGGACTGAAGTAACTTGTTCCCCGGATCACAGAACATAGAAATGGTGGTGCCTCCAGAAGCCCATGTGGTTCCATCTGAACCGAGGTTTCTAACTGCAGACATTCACATCCACCACCTTCACAGATTGGCCATATCTGCATGCCACCTGCTCCACTATGTACTTAACATTTTTAACTTGACTCATTTTTTACTTAAATAAAGCCATTTTTTTAAAAGAGGGAGAATTTAAATCACTGCCCCAAATGGCAAATTGGTACCAGTTGCCTTAAACAGAGAGTGACTGAAAAATAATTACAATGAAAAAAAAAAAAACACCGTTATTAAAAGCCTTGCCCCCTCTGGCTCGCTGGAGGCTTGTTGCCCCAGACCTATTATCTTTATGTTGGAAAGAAATCAGCATGTGATAGAGGGGCATTAAAGCTTGAGGGCATCAGCCTGAGACCTTCTCCTTGGCACAGCCAGAAGGACAATCTGAGAAAGGAAAAGAGAAAGCCACCCCCTTGCTATGATTCCTTGTTACTTTCTTCCTGTCAGTGGGCATGCCACACCCAAAGAGGAACATTGTCCTAGACCAGTGCTGTCCAGTAGAGCTTTTGGAAGTGCACTGTCCAATACCGTCATCACTAGCCGCCAATCACTGTTGAGCACTTAAAATGTGACTCAGGTGATTGAGGAACTGAATGTGTAGAATTCAGCTAAATGGAAGCTGAGAAAACTTGCTTAGTTTTAATTTAAATGTCAGTAGTCACACATGGCCACTTATTGAAACAGCGTAGCCCTAGACTGTAAGCCCCAGTGGGGCAAGAACTTGCCTATTTGCCCTCCTCTGGATTTCTAGAACCCAACACAGTGCCTGACCCCCAGGAAACATCCAATAAATATCTGCTGCATAAATGAACAAGAGCCAGAGAAGGAAGGAAGGAGGGAAGGGAAGAAGGGAGGAAGGGAGGAAGGAAAGAAGGGAATAGGTAAGTTCTTGCCCTCCTAGGGCTTACAGTCTAGAGCTGCACTGTTCCAATCAATACATAGCCATGTGTGACTACTGATGTTTAAATGAAAACTAAGTAAGGTGTCTTAGCTTCTATTTAGCTGATTTCAACAAAATTCAGTTCCTCAATCAGACAAGGAAAGAAGGAAAGAAGGAAGAAAGGAAGGGAGGGAGGGAGGGAGGGAAGGAAAGAAAGAAGGGAGGGAGGGAGGAAGAGACTATATTGCTTCCTGAAACAAGAAGTTGCTTTCTGCAAGCCAGACTGGCCTGGGAATGACTAACTCTTCCCCATGAGGTAACCCCCATGCTCTCCATGGGGTAACTTGTCCTTCTTCCCCCCACCTTCCCAAAAGCTCCCCAGCCAGGCAACAGGCCCTAGGAATTGGCCTTCTGATGCCTCTTCCCTTCCAAGCTGAGATCAGACCCACTTCTCTGCTGCAGACGGAAACAAAGAAGTCTTTGTGGGGTGACTGCCTTTGCCGCCCCCCACCTCACTCCTTCCGCCCCTGCCTGGGACATTAGGTGCTGGGTAACAATTAGCAACTCATCACCTGCTTCTGTAGAACCAGACACCTGGCCTTCCTTCAGCTCTTGGCTGTTGTATGGTCTGAATACCCACTCGACAAAACCAGAGCACTCGGGCGGTGAGCACCAGCTCAAGATGCCACAGCTACCCACCCTCCAGCTGCCCCAGCCTCTGCCAGTGTATCGGACGCTTGTGCTGCCCCTCCCCCAGCCCAGCCCAGCCCAGAATGATGCCAGGGCAGCCTGTGATGAACGCCTTCCTTTGGGGCGGCGTTAGGGAAAAAAGGAGGAAGAGATGGTGCTGGGGAGATAAAGGAAGCACCAACGACTGGTGACAAACAAGCCCATCAGAGGAGCGCTGAGCGCCTCTGTAGAAAGAGAAACAAAAGGGCAAAGGGAACAGCTTGGCAAAGGAACAAAAAAAAACCCCAAAGGCTCAGCTGCTTCTCTCCGTGGCGACTCCCAAGCTGTCCTGTGATGTAGGAGGCTGGGGGTTGCTCCCTACTGAAGTGCTGCCAAGGTCCCCACCCAATTTCAGGGGACCCAGAGGCTTCCCCATGCCAGGCTCTTCAGGTGGTGGGTCCACCTGGCCAAGCCCTGGGACAGGTCCCTGACATTGAAGGAGAAGACCTGCCCCCCACATCATGCTCAGTGCATGCAACAAAGAAGGACTCATTCCTCTCTCTGGGCTCAGTTTTCTTGTCTGTAAAATGGGGAGAGAGGAGACAGTGCAGATAATTTCCCAGCTCCCTTCTGGCTCAGATGCTCTGTAATTCCAAACCCAAAGGTTCTTCCAGTGATCCACATGGGGAAACCTGCCATGCATCCTCTCCTCCTGGGAATCAAGGGTTATAAACACTTCTTTCCCTTCAAACCTGGAGGGTGCTCCTACCACATGGTGGGGAGCCAAACATCATCAAGGGAGCAACCACTTTTCAAACACCTGCTGTATGCTAGCCACTGTGCATATGGCCTCCTGGTATTATCCATTCACGCTTCCCAGCAGCCCCCACCAGACGAGGCCACCATGAAGAGTGACAAGTGCGGTTGAAGAAACCAAGGGTAAAATAATGAAGAGGTTACTTGAGTCCACAAATTGGACAAGTGGTGGAGGTGGAATCTGAAAGCTGGTTAGACTACAAAGCCCATGCCCATTGGAGATCTAGAAGCTTCTCCCCAGGACCGCGCTCCTCCTCCCTTCACTCTTGGGTCAAGCCCAAGGTACACACTCAGGCTGGGGCAGTCTCATTCAAGGCTGTGCAATCTTGGTAGGGCCTGGGCAAGGGCCTGGCTTTCCCTCCTCACTGGGTCAGGATGTGCTGGGAGAAGTGGGCCATCTCCAAACGATGGCATTTCTTTCTGGAGTCCATCGTTTCTTTGGGCAACCCAGAGCAACCATTTATAACCCAGTGGAGGTTCAAAAGAGCTTCCAGCTTCAGGTGGCCCAGAAAAGCCAAATTAATCTTCCTAGAGCCCTGCTCTGGGAATGCCACTCCACTCTTTTAAACCATTCCCCTCAGCCCATGGGCTCAAATCCAGACCGCTTTCCTAGCAGGCAGGTCTCTGCCAACTCCTCCATCCTCCTCCCCAGCTTCTCAACCAGGACCTGCACTTAAGCAAGGCCAGGAGCCTCATAGCTCCAACCCTCACTTGCCCAGATGGCATTCCCCTCTCTTCCCCAGCCCTTTGCATGTGCTGTTTCTCCTGCCTGGAAACCACTCCTGACCTGGCAAGATTGTTTCAATCCTTCAGAGCCTTCCTGGGCCACTCCCTTTAATCCCCAAAGACATAAGCTTGGTTCAAGCCCTGTATTGGCCATTTGATTACATGTGATTTTTAATTGTTCTCAATGAATGTGGGATTGCCCACAACCTGAAACTCCCCGAGAGGTCTCTGTCAGTCCAGAATCAGGCCTGGGGCAGCTGCTTAATTAATGGAAGTGACTGGATCGTGGACTTCTCGCCCAAAGCAGCTCCAGCAGAGGGAGAAGAAACAGTGACCCCACTCTCCTCAGAGTCTCCATGGCCTGCTGGCCCCATCAGGAGGAAGGGAGAGGCCAGTTACATGCCAAAAGCTCTCATGTGTTATTGCTGTATCTCACTCACCCTCCATTTTTAAAAGACAGGGAAACTATGACTCAGACAGCGAGTGTCTTGCCCAAGGATACTTTGTTAGGAAGTGGTGGACAACAGGAGCCCATTGCAGATGGAAACCAAAGCACATTAACCGCAGGTGGCTGCCCCACAGAGACAGGGAGGGATTAGGAAGGATGGGCATACCCAGGGATGTGCTGGCAAGTGTGTAACAACCAATTCTCGGGTGAGGGAGGCCCCAATGTATAGTTTGCCGATTTCCATTGTGTGAATACTCCAGTAATGGTCTATTTCAAGCTACCAATGGGAGAAACTCAGATTTGGGAAGAGATGTGCAAATCAATGCCTGGGTGTGAATCTGGCTCTGCCCCTCACTCAGGCAAGTCACACAATCTCTCCAAGCCTCTTTACTCATCTGTAAAGGGGGAGAATATTATCTCCCAAACAGGCATTTCTGGGATAGTTGAGTATGATGTTATGTGTGAACATGTCTGGCACAGGGTTTGGCACATAGTAGCTGCTCGGTGAATGCTTGCTCCTCCCTCCCTCCCTCCCTCCCTCTCCTTCTTTCTTTCTTTCTTTCTTTCTTTCTTTCTTTCTTTCTTTCTTTCTTTCTTTCTTTCTTCCTTCCTTCCTTCCTTCCTTCCTGTCTTCCTCCCTCCCTTCTCAACCTTTTTCCTTCCTTTCCTCCCTCCTTCCTTCTTTCTTTACCTTCCCAAATCCCCATCACCCATCTAGGACAGTCCCCTCTCCAAGGAGAACATAGAGGGGACACGAAGTCCCCTTGGTCTTCCCATCACCTTGCAGTGTTGGCCCTTCCTCCAGATGCCAGCTGTGATGCCACTGTGGTCCATGGAATGGAGAAGGACAATGGACACATTCTCACACCAGAAAGGACTTCCAGAGGCAACTGAGCAGGGCCAGGAAACAAGCCTGGGTCTGGTGTTTGAACCAAACCTCAGGCTCAGGGGAGACATCATTCATTCATTCAACAAACACATCTTCAGGATCTATGTGCTCAGAGCCAGGCCTGGTGCCAGGGCCGAGGGTGCAGAGATGCTCACCCTCAATAGCTCTGTTCAGGAGGGAGACTATCCCCAACGATCTCCAGCCCCAAGGAGGGCTGCTTTCAAAGTGTTGCCAAAAGTACTGCTGCCAACATGCTTAGGGCACACCTGAGTCTGTGTGTGTGTGGTGGGGGGCTGTGGAGGGAGGATGTGGGTGAGCAGAAACTTGGAGAAAGCCTTATGGGGAGCCAGGGACTGTGCTAGCTGAGGGCAGATGTCTGCTCTCTGAGCCAAGAAAGGGCGGAAGTGGGGGAGGAGGTGGAGGATGGAGAAGCTAAGGCCAGAAATCTCTGAGCAGGACAAGACTGTGGAGACAGGGGAGACAGTGAGCTCTTGTCTCAAGCTGTGTGACCCTGGGCATGTCAGTGTCCTCACCTGTGGACTGGGGATATAACACCCACCTGGACAGCAGTGGAGGATAGAGGAAGTCACAGCAGCAAAGTGGCTACAGCAGCACACAGCTCACAGTGCACACTTGAGGTCAAAGCTTACTGGCCTGTAAGCACATGGGAAACTGACCTGTCTCATGCCAGACCCCTGTGGCTAAATGAAGTCCAGCAATGGGTTGAGGATGGGAGGAAGGCTGAGCTCGCAACCACAGAATCTGGGTTCCAGTCCAGCCACTGCCTACTGCCATCCTTTCATCTTCCTGGGCCTCATTTTCCCTCATCTGTTCAACAGGTACAAGACTAGCTGTCTCCCTGTGTGATGTGAGGTCTAAATGGAATAATGGGCGTGGAAGTGTTTTGTGCATTTTCAAGTACTGCCAGCAGGTAGAGAGTTAAGATATCTAGTCAGGGCCTCTGCTACTTTATCTGAGAAACTGCAGAAAGAAAGAATGTAGTTCCAGGATCAGAACATCTTTGCTGCCAGGAAGTCCACCTGCAAGTCCAGCCTCAATTCCACATGCTATAAGCCTTTTCACACAATTTTCCATAGAAATAGAAAGCCACATGCTCAGTCTTTTTCAAAACCAGGTTGCACATGTCGCAAGGCCAGAGGTAGCCTAATCACCCAAACAAACAACCTGACTGAGCACCTGCTATGTGTTTTGTGGAGGACTCAACAGTGAACAGAACCAGATGGGGTCCCTGCCTGGGTGGAGCAGGGTCTAGTGGGTCAGGGGATTGGAAGTTCACTATAAGATTGGCCTCCATCTGTACATTTTACTAGCGGGGAACAACTTGAGTCTCACACTGCACTCAATGGGCCTCAAGACTCCAGGGAAAGACAGAGGGCAGGCGGTGGGATTGGTCACCCCCAGCCAGAGGGCCATGAACCATCCTCTGTGCATTACCAAGAGTGCACTGACTGGCAACTCCAAGGCTGGCACTGGTCATCACACCTAGAGAGGTTATCACATGGGATCCTTTCCTTGCAAGCAGCAGAAATTGACACTAGACTCTCAAGCCAAAAAATGTAACCAATGAGAACACTACGAAAAAGTCGAGTAACGCAAGGACTGGGGCTGCTTCAGCGGGTACTCATCGTTACCATGGTTAACACTAGTAACAAGCATCAGAGCCCACGGGACTGAGCTAAGAGCTCTGCTTGTAATGCCTGATTCCACCCTCTCAGTACACTGGGAGATAGGTCCCATCATTATCAGTCTCAGGAAACCAACAAAGGACGGTTTCCTGGGGGTCCCAGGGGCAAGGGGGACATTCTAGTGTCTCTCAGTCTTTGTGACACTCCGCTCAATATTCAGATTCCAGGGCCCATCTTGGGGATGCCTTACCCAGTAGTTTCACCCACCAAGATGTCATGCAATTTATGTGTTGGGTGGGGTGGGGGTGGGGTGCGGGGTTGGTGTGATTTCCCAAAGCAAATTTAGTATGTGGCCAGAAGATGTAACAAAGGCTGGTGGAAAAACCAAACACCAGATTCCTTTCCTGGGAGGGGACTAAAGTCTGGGTCTCAGAAAAACCCCACCCCCAAGCCACACCCTGCCCACGACCTGTCTCTCCTGCTCTTTTGGGCTGCAGAGGTGACTGAACAGGGCCTGCATCTCCAGCCCCATACACACTACCTTTATTGCTCCATCCATGGAATCTTAGCCGGGGGTCTTAGTGAACATGAGCCCCCTCCACTCCTGGAGCTCACTGTAGCATAAAGGTGGGTTCCAGGATCTCACCACCCCAATCTTCCCTGGAATTTCATCCTAAAGAAGGACACCTCCTAGGAAGTGATCTCATGTGTTTTACCACCACTGACATTTATCATTTGAAATGAACAGCTTTGCAGCCTCCTACAAGTAGTAAGGGCTGCTGTACTCCCTTTCCAGTGATGAAAAAGCAGCTGTCTCTGGATTGCTTCAGACCTGGTTTTGAAACTCCCAGTTCCTCCACTTACAAAAGATCCTGAACCTCCTTTTATTTAAAAAGAAAAAAGAAGGCAAAAAGAAAAAAGAGAGGAAGGGAACAGGAGTGGATGGGGGAGGAAAGGAGGTGGAGAGGGAGGATGGACAAAATAGATTGTCGTTCATCTTTTCGGAAACATGCCCAGTCTCTCGCTGCCCTGGGATGAGGATCACACTCATAGGCCTTGCTCTTTTCACATGTGCCCTGCCCACAGCAGATGCCTATTCATTCTCTTGGTGATGGCAATAGCTTTCAGGGACACTCCCTCTCCCATCTGTGCAGATGAACACCCTGGATGATTCTATTTCAGTGTGGGTTTGGGAAGGAGTCAGGCATCCAGACAGGAGACTGGACACATCCATGTGGCTGGGGCTCAGGAAATGATCACCAGGAGACAGCAGAGCATGGAGGGAGGAAGCACAGGCCAGGGAGTCAGAGGGCCCTGTATCTGAATTCCTGCTTGCCATTCAATGACTCTGCAGCCTTGGCAAAGTCACCTAGCCTCTCTGAGCCTCAGTTTCCTCATCTACAAAATGGACTTCATTTTACTTCTCAGGGTGCTTGTAAGGATTCTGTAAGACAAGAAAGATAAAGCACATGGCGTGACACCTAGCTCAGTTAGGGCCAGAGAGAGATAATAGCCCCTTCCTCCCTCTAAATGAAGCATCAATTTCCCACTGAGCCTTAAACACCATAGAGGCAGGGGACTCCTCTACCAAGCTCAGGGCCGTTTTCCCAATGCTCAGCACCGTGTCTGGCACATAGTGTACAATAAGCATTTGTTGGATGCATGAATAAATGAATTCCTGGTGGCCTGGGGCTATAGCGGAGGCGGGCAAGGTGGTAAGCCAGGCTGTCAACTGCCTAGGTTAAATACCTCTACAGATCCCAGGAAACCCAGTTAATAGAACTAAACAGCCTCTATTTTGTCGGTCTCTGCCTTTGAAGTCACACACCACTATAAACCAGGCACCTAACTAAGCAAGTCCCCTAAGCTCCTCCACCTCCTTCCCCTACTCCGTCCTCTGCCCATCTTGCCAGAGTGTAGTGAAGTTCAAGTGTGTCTGTGACTGACGTTCTGAAATATCAGAGTAGCAGGCAGATCTGAGGCATCACTCAGATGACCTGGGTCCTTCTCTACTCACATGCCCTGCCCAAGGGATTCTTTGCGGCCAGAGAGAGGAAAGGAAGATTCAGCGGAAAGAGGAGCCTGGGGCAGAACTAGGAGGGAGCGGAAGGAGCCTGTACTTCTGTCATTAACAAGTCTTAAACCTCAGAACCTCAGTTTCCTAATCTGTGAAAAGAAGGTCTTAAATCTATCTTGCAGCATGAATGAGGACTGCGAAGCAGCAGCCAGCATCCTGCTTGACACATCGCAGCTGATCCATATAATCGGGGCTATTGGAAAAACAAAACCCCAGCTACAATACTAGCTGCGGAGGAAGGGAGCAGTCTTGAGGTTGTGAAAGACTTGTGTGGAAGGAGCGCTCGATGTGGGCCTCATCCCCAGCATCCACCAGGGCAGCTTTACTTTAAGATCTATCATCTTGCTCAAGGTATTGGGATTTTAGGAGGGTGATAATGTTTCCTCTAAAAGGGTTTTCCTACTTAAAAGAAAAAGAAAAACACACAAGTTTCAAAACCACCGAAGTGAGTGATCTCCGAGGTCGCTCCAGCTCGAATATTCTCTGCACTTAAAACACGAAAATGAAAAACTCCCATTTGCAGAGCGGTTATGGGGTGGAAGAGGGGTGGAGTTTATGGCTAGGGGCGGGGCCACGCTGGAGGGGCATGGGCGAGGCAGCCTGCAAGGGATTAGGGCCCTTAACTCCCCCAGTTGGGGCTGGAGAAGAAACCCTGCCGCGCCAGAGGCCCCGCCCAGTGGGAAGGGGGCGTGTGAAGGGAGGATAAATATATAAAGTCGTCACACCCGCTCGCGCGCGCACAGCCCCCGCAGTCTCGGCGTTGCGGTTGCGGCGGCCTAGCGGAGACAGCCCCTCCATCCCATCCACCTGCTGACACGCGGCTGCGGAGACAGAGAACCCGAGAACCCGAGAACCCGCAGGGCCGCCCACCTCCGCCCGCGCAATCCCGGAGACCCCCGGCTGGGGCCGTGGGCTACCCCTAACTGGGGCTGCCCCCACCCTGCTCTCAGCGGAACGTTTCCCAGGGCTGAACAGCGGCTAAGGACCACTCCTCCATCCCCAGCCCGGCGCCACTGCACAGGCTCCAGTGCAGGACTTCCCAGAAGTGCCCAGGCACGGTTCACGGGGGCTGGAGGAGTTGAAAACGCCCCAGGACACGCCCAGGAGTCCCGAGAAATGTGGGTTTCTCCTTTGGAGGGTCTGATTCTGGGAAGTGGGGAGCCAGGGCAAGGACTTCCGGCCCAGCCAGTGCGAGGGGCAGCGGCCTCCTTCCTCCTGCCAGACCCGACTCTCTAGCGTCGGGCACCCTTGCTCTGCCACCCAAAGGGGCAGAACCGGCGAGGGCGTTCTGGCCGTGCCCCTCCCCGAGCAGTGACCGCCAGTACGTTCGTGAAGGCCGGCGCGGGTTGCTCCTCTCTGCGCCCTCGGAGGCAGGTGGCCCTGCAAAGCCGCTGCCAGGTGCACCTCTCTCGGCCACCTCCAGGAAGGGCGCCCTCCTCCGGCACAGCCCGCCTCTTGCGTCTCTCACGGACTCTTCTCGCACCCCGCCCCCCATTCTGGGCACAGACTTGGAAGGAGGAAGGAGGGACCCCACCCTCGTGTGCTCTCCTCTGCGGAGAAGAGAGGGCTCCCGGCTGCCTCGGATCTCCCTCTGCGCCCCAGACGCGGAAAGTTTCCCATTCGCGATCCGCGTCTGCGCTCTTCCTTCATCCTGAGCAGCGGAGCTCCGAGGCCGCGCTGGCTGCACCGGCCCAGATGCGCTCACCCTCAGGCACGCCAACCCCCGCCTCCCGCAGCCCGCAGAGGCGGGCAAAGGGATTTGAGGCGTCAGGATGCCGGGTCAGCTCTCTGCAGCCGGGCAGCCAGAAGAACCCTGCTCCCGGGTTCCAGGGAGAGCTCGCAGGGTGGGGTCCTGACGGAGCCAGGGTTTCCCAACAAGCCCTTCTCATCAGTCCTCTCCTTCACCCTGCCGCGTCTCTCTGTTCTGCGCATTCCCAGGGAAAGGGGTGCTTACCTTAGGTCCCCAGCCTCCAACCCCCGCCCCCTGCAATGTCCAGGTGAGGGCTCCAGTGCCTTTCAACAAACCCCAGTGCCCTCTCGGCGGCGCTGGAACGAGGACCTCCCCCATGTAACCTTTCCCTCTAGAGCCCTCCTCCCAAAGTTGAGGGGGGACATTTTGATCCACTTAGGAAAGTCTCTTGTTCCAAGGGTAGGGGAACAAAGTACAGGGTTTGCATTCCTTCTGGGTTACACCAACCCCTCCCCCCTCGCTGTCAGGACCACCTTCCGGGCTCAAATTCTGCAGCTTCTCCCATCAGCAGACCCAGCACTCCCCAAGGACTTCGGGGTAGAAGGAGTTGGGGTTATTTTTAAGGGGGCACCCCTTCCTGGCAGGCACTCTCAGAGCCTAGGTAGGCACCTCCTGCTGGGACAAGGCTATGGCATAGGACAGAGGTGATGCCCACCTCTATCATCCAGTGGGGCTCGGGGTCGAGACCTTATTGATCATAAAGACGACTTTTTGGCACCTCGCGTCCCGCTCCCCTCCGAGGCGGAGCCAGGCTCTGACTCCAGCCAGGCTGAGGTTGGCACCAGGCTCCGAGGAGGATCCCGGACGCGGAGCCTGTAGTCTCGGTGCCTGCGGCTCTTCGCTGGTCCCGCCTCCCTCCCTCCTGGCTTTTAGCCTCACGTTGGCTCTCTGCTCACTGCGCGAAAGGGTTCAGCTCCATTTAAGACCCACTACGCGGCGGCACTGGGTGGGAGGCCGGCCGCGGACCCTGGGGCTGCGGAGCCACCTCTCACTGGCTCCGGAGAACCCGCTCGGCTTCAACCTCCTTCTAGCTGTCTTAGCCTAACCCGGGAGCAAGTCCACACGGCGGGACACACACACACACACACACACACACACACTGAGCTGCTCACAACTCCCCAGCCCCGGAAGCGTCCATACCTCCCTGCACACGATAACCACACGCTCCATGGCACGCATACACACACTCCCAGCCCCATGAAGCCCACGACTCCCAGGCACCTGCACCCCCACCCATCCCACATAAGCAGACTCTTGTCCAGTGTCACAGTCCCATCTCCTGTGCACACAGAAATAGTAATCCGCTGTCGTACACCCCTAGAGACCTGCACACTCGGGACACACGTGAAACGCCAAACCTCACATACCCACCCCCTAACACCTCACACCCACAGTGACACAAGCTCACACACTTCACACCCTCACAGGGAAGGTGGCACATGTTCACACCCTCCCCCCAACATTCGCTCACACTCTCACACACACACCTTCTCCATGTAACTGACACAGACACTCTAACACCCATCCAGACCCTCGCTCACTCACACGCAGACCCCACACCATCACACACACACGCACACACACACTTGCATCTCTAAATACACTCCCGCACCTTCTGCCCACACAGCTCCTTCCCGGACACCCTCACCCAGACACACAACAAAGACACACAATTTACACACACACACACACCCTGGCACAAATCCATGAGCGCTCTCCAAGAGGCGTCCTCCCTCCCTCATCGAGCCAACCAGCTCCACAGACCCCGGGCAGGACCGGTGCTCGTAGCCCGAGCCTCTCGGAGCGACCCCGGCCAGCGCCCTCCCCCGGCACCCCGTCCCCGCGCACGTTCACCGCTCGGCTCCCGCCAGGCGCCCGCGCACTCACCGCGCGCCAGGTCCAGGATCGCGGCGAGCAGCAGGCAGACGCAGCGGCGGAGGCTCGGGGCGGTTCGCATGGTGCCCGGGAGCTGGCGGCGGTGGCGGGGCGGCGGGGGTGGAGGCGGTGGCGGCGGGTCCCCTCGCCATGGGCTCAGACGCGCTCCTGCCTCCGGCCACTGGCCGAGGCGGTGGCGGGCAGCGCGGAGAGCCGCGGGGGCGCCCCCATGCCGCCGCGGCCAGGCAGCCCGGGCGCCCGGCTCGACTCGGCTCCGGCTCTGCGAGGCGCAGCGACCCTCGCGCTCTGGGCGTCCTCGGGGCTCGCCGCGGTTCTCGGCTCCCTAGCTGCGCGCGGTGCCCACCGCGGCCCAGAGTCCGATCGGCTGCAGCGCCGGAGTTTGGAGCCGAATCGCGCTCTCTGCCTCGCGCTCGCCTCTCCCGGCGGCGCGAGCACCCCCCTCCTCTCGCCCTCCCTCCGTCCCTCCCCCTCTCCCCGCCCCCCCGCCCTCCTTGCCCTCCCCTCGCCGCGCTCTCCGCGTATTATACAGACTTTTCTTTAATCCTTTCTGGGCTGTTCGGCTCTCGTCCGCTAAGCCGATTTATTGCAGGGAGAAGGAGAGCTCACCCCCTCCTAACCTCCCCTCTCCCCTCACTCAGGTCCCCCCTCACTCAAAACTGGCTTGCTGCCTCCAGCTTCTTAACCCTTACCCAGGTGACCCAACACCCCGCCCTGGAAGCTATGCTCCATCGGATCCGCCTTTACCTAGCCCCTCCTATCCCCGGGATTACCATCGCCCTCCCCGCTACTCAGCCTGATGAAAGGAGGCAGCCTCCCTCCCGAGAGGGAAAGATGCCATCCTGGGAGCAGGGCAGGCAGGGTGTGGCTCTGGAGTTCTGACCTTGCCAACGATGAATGCCCTCATTGGGCAAGATTAAGGGGTTTCCATGTTCTGAAACTTCCCCAATTACGGCTGCTCCTTCCCCCAGGGACCCACGGAAATGGGGTGTGTTCTGTCTTTTTCCCATGTGCTAGGATCCAGCCAGGAAGGGTGAGGAACTGATTGTTTCCTCCTGGCAGAGACCAAGTTTCCACCTTTTTGCCAGACCTGACAGCTTTTCTTCCCAGGTCCGAGAAGAACAGGTTTGGGACTTGTATGTTACCATTACTCTCCCACCAACACACACGCGAGCACACACACACACACACACACACACACACACACACCATTGAGCCTCAGCCCTGGCGGTGGACTTTGAGGCCTCCTGCGAGGATGAAGGGGAGGGGTACTCTAGCCCTTGGAGTGGACTGGGGATGTGGTTAGATGAGGAAGTTCAGGAGATAGAATTTCACCATTGGTAGGGACCCAGAAGATTGGCAAAGCCCAGAAAAACCAGCACGACCAGGGGCAAAACCTGCTCAGAACTCAGGTGGGTCCCTTTACCCAGGCCTTCTATGGAGAATCTCCAGCTTCCCTAGCTCTGGCAGGTTGCTGAGTCAGGCTGTTGCATCGTTTACCTACATGGGCAATGGGTCTATAGCCAGTTCCATCTCCAGCAGCCCTCTGAGAGGAGTGTAGGGAGTGGGGTGGGCAATGGGTGGTTGCTGGGCTGCCTCTGGGTGAGCTTTGTGCAGAGATGTCCATGAAAGTGAACTGCTCCCTCCTCCTGCCCTCTGGAACCTCACCCCATCGCCTCCCAAGGCAGCTCTGCGGCTCAGCTTGCTCACCCACCCCAGAAGGAGCGATTTGCATTTATGAAGATCTGAAAGCATACGTTCACCTGACAGGCTTTAGAATGATCCTCTCAGTAAAATAATAATAATGATCATAATAAACCCTTATAAATAGGTGTTTGATTACAGTTTGTCCCTAAGTGGGATTTTTTTTTTTTTTTTTTTTTTTTTTTTTTGTGAATCAGACTAATTGGTTCCAGGTTGATTGGACTGCATATGGCTTGAACACTTGATGAACACTGGAGTCTTAGGTCCTTTCTTCTCCCTTTGGCTGCTGTTCTTTGCTCCCTCTCACTCGCATCCACCCAGGTCTCCCCTTCTCCAGGCTGCTGAGGGTCAGCTTGAGGTCACCTCTCCCCCTCACCTTCTTCTCAGGCTGCAGGGCACAGTCCCTTACTGCCTCCTCCCTGGCCCTCCCTCCCCACTCTGACCCAAGAAAAAGTCAACAAACCCAAAAGTCCATCCCAGGTTCTAAATCCTCTGTGGAAGGGGCTCCCTGGCTGGGGAACAGCATCAGGTTCATGCGGTTCCTTGTGCTGGTCTGAGTTGTGCAGGGAAATGCCAAGCATCGCTGTGTGGGCATTCCTACTCTCTGGCCCCAGCTGCAAATCGGCGTGCAGCTAGGCAGGTGGACAGCATCAGTTCCTCAGGTGAACCCTGAATTGGTGGGGCTTCCTGGCTGCGCTCCCTGCAGCCCAGCCCTTGGAGATGAGGGCCAGGGAGCAGGTGGGATTCCAGGGCCCCTTAGTGATGTTTCTTCCCAGCCATGGTTCACACCAGCTAGAAAAGAGAGCCAGCAGAAGGAGCTAGAGAATGGCATCTGAGGATATGCTAGTGAGGAGGAAAGCAGGCCTAACAGCCAAGGGAGGGTTGCTTCCTAGGACCAAGGATTGGGGCTGGTGTGTTGGAGATCTCCTTCAGCCCCAAGACTTCTGAATCACCTCAATTCTCTTTAACATCACCCTGTATTATAATTATTATTATGCCTAGCCAGTGCCTGACACATAGTGGATCCTCAATAAATACCAGTTGGATGAATGCGTGAATGAATGAATGAATGAATGAATGAATGAGGGTAGGTCATTCAGTCTTATCCACTCTGTTCCTCAGCTCCTTGCACAAGTCTGGCACTTGGTAGGCGTCCTGTGGCAGTGAACCTCCTTGGAGCGCCAGGATCACATATTCTGACTGGGCCCATCAGAGAGGAGGTGTCTGCTCAGGTGCGCAGTTTGGTTTTGCCCAAAGGGGCCTGGCTGTGATGTGCATGTCTATGGCCATATGGTAACCATAGTGGTTAATACGGCTGCCTTCACAGGCCCCTCCAGGGAAGCCCACTCCTCCAGCTCCTGTTTCATAAGATATAGCTTTAAAGCCTTTCCTTTGTCCCAGAGAAAGACATCTCTGGAGCACTGAGAAGCACAGTTAGCAGAGGGCACAGGGTGGGGTGCCTTAGCCAAAGGAAAAGGTCACGCGGGACAGCCCTGGGGCTTTTAATTTGCTTAACATCCCTTGGCTCCTGTCTCCTAATGGATCGGCAGGGCCTCCACTTTGCAGTCCTGGCACTCAGACCCATGAGTCACGGCAGGACAGGCCTCTTCCTCGGACACTGGCTGAGCTGGAGTCCTTGGCGGAGGTGTGGCTGTTTGCCCCCAGCCTCCCTCTGTTCATGGTGCTGAGTTAGGCTCTCCCAACAGAGTGCACTACAGCACAAAGCAAACTTCTACTCCGCGGACCCCAGGGAATAGCCCCAGAGGTCAAAGGGCCCCTCTGTGACCTCTAGTCCCCACCCTCCCTGCCAGGAAAGGGGAGGGACGCAGCACATGACTGCCTACCCCAACCTGGCTCCCAAGGGAATGGGCTCTGCTGGTTTGCAGCAGGACACCCAGTGAGGTTCAATAATAAGAGTCTGAAGCACTTATGAAAGTGCCTCTTTGTGCCGGGTGCTGTGAAAGTATTTAATGTATATAAATTCATTGACACCACACAATAATGTATGAGGTGGGTCCCATCATTAGTCCTGTCTTACAGTTGGGAAAGCTGAGGCACAGAGAAGTTAAGCAACTTTCTCAGTACAATACAGCTATGAATAGGACCAGATTCCAACCTAGGAAGAGCTCAAGAACCAGAGTTCCCAAACACCTTACCTAGACACAGTACACCACACATACACACAGGCACACACATACAAGTGTACACACACACACACAAGTGTACACAGACACACACAAGTGTACACACATACAGCCACACACATAAGTGTCCACACACCAACACAGGCACAAGCAGAAGTGTACACACACAAACACAGGCACACACAAGCATACACACATACACACAGGCACACACACATGCCCACAAATGCCCACACACAGGCACACACACACAAATGTCCACACACACAGGCACACACATGTGTACACACACACATGTCCACATGCACATACAGGAACACACACACAAATGCCCACACACACACACACAGGGGCGCACACACACACACCCAGGCACACACACACAGACACGTGTCCTCACACACAGGCACGCACACACACGTGTCCACACACACATACAGGAACATACAACACGTGTCCACACACATACAGGAACACACAACACGTGTCCACACACATATATAGGAACACACACACACGTGTCCACACACACATACAGGAACACACACAGATGTCCACACACACATACAGGAACGCTCACATACAGGAACACACGCACACGTGTCCGCACACACATACAGGAACACACACACATGTCCACACACACAGGAACACACACACGTGTCCACACACATATACACAGACACACATCTTGGAAGCCAGTATTTGTATATAAAAACTCATGAATCCAGTGCGTTCCACCTCTCTTATCTCATTTAATCCTCCTGTAAGTCCTCTGTGGCAATTTCATTTATGTCTGGTTTACAGATAAGGAAACTGAGTCTCAGAGAAATGAAAATAATTACCCAAGGTGGCCAGGGTAGAGGATACTGGATTCTGGGGACAGGGATCTAGCGTGGACTTCCCCAGGCAGGCCCTGCCCCAGGGGTCCACATTTCTCTCCCTCTCTATCCTCCTCTCTCCCTCTCTCATCAACCCACTCCTGCAGTCCTCCGGCTTTCCTATCCTGCATTCTGCCTCTCTGTGCTGGGAATTAAACCTCCACCAGCCTCCATCGCAGTCAGGACAGAGCTTTTTATTGTTTGTTTAAATTAAATGCAACCGAAAGTGACATCTTAACACCAGTGACCCAAATTGATATGGAGTCAGCCACTTGGAATTAAGTCCAATGCTCCATCCTTAATGAACCTCAGCCCCACCTGGACTCTCAAGTTCCATCACATCTTCCCGGTAGAAGATGTCAGCAGGTGTGCGTGGGAATCTCGAGCTGTGGGCTGGGGAAGGGGCCTCAGCATTATGGGACCAGAGAAAAGGGATGGACCCAGGAGGACCATTGCTCCCCAAACTGGGTCTCACTGACCATTTGTTTTGCAGGTTTGTAATAAACATTTCTTGCAAGAGAGTTTCATGGCTAAATATATTCAAGAAGTGCTACAAACTCAGCTGTTCTCCACTTAGAAGTTTATAGTTCACGTGAGCCTATGAAAGGTTATGAGAAGTCCTGCAGTTTTTTGTGTTTGGCTTGTCTATGTTCATTTTCCAGTTTTATTTTGTTGAAGTCCACACTTGTTTGGCCTCAGAACCCTCTTTCCATTAATATCTATTAACATCGTGTGAGCAAGAGCTCTGGGAATCACAGGGTGGAAAATGCCGCTCTGGCCCTGAACAAGCCTCCTGATCTCTTCCTCGATATCATAGCAGTAGAAATAGTAATAATAATAACAACAACTACTGCCAATTGATGCCATTTATTGAGAGCTTACTATGTGCCAAGTGCTATACTTTGCTTGTACTATTCATTGAATTCTTTCCAGAATCTTGTAGGTCATTTCTGTGTTTAGACCATGGAATAAACAAGAATAATGAGACACTTAGAAATGCAAGCCCTGGCCTAAGGGCATAGAGTCAATAAGAGGTGAAGCTGGCATTTGAACCCAGATGATCTCTTCTAACTAGTCCCTGCTTCCAGACCCAGCCTCCCCAGTTCATCCACCCTGCTGCCGTTGGAGAGACCTTTCTCCTGCACGGTTCTCACCATGTCTGTACCTCAACTCCTCTGCTCTCTGTTTTCACAGCACTCCCTATTGTTGAAGGTCCAAGCTCTTTAGTATGCCCCTTTGGCTGCATCCTAAGCCCCCTCTGGTTTTGTCCCTCCTTCCCCTGCTCTCACTCACCTCATGCTCTGGATCATTCTATGTCCCTCCAACACTAGGGGTTTTGTTGCGTCTCTGCCTTTGCTGGTGCTGTTCTTCCTGTCTGATAGCCATCTCCCCTTCTCCAACCAACAATTCCCATTCATACATTAAGGCCAAGGTTGATAGTCACATCTGTTGGGAAGCCTTTCTTTCGCCTCCCTCAGAGTCAGGCGTAACTCACCTTTCCGATCACAGGCCAGCACCTATAACATTGTTTTATGGATCTGTGGGAATGTGACCAACATAAGGGTAGGGAACACAGCTGATTCATCTCTTTATTGACTGTGTCTGGCAGGTGGTAGGTGCTTAAGAAAGTGACTGTTGGATAAATGCAAGGAAGGAAGTTGGTTATGAGAATTACTGGGTGGGTGGATGAATGGATGGGTGGATGGATGTGAGAATGATTGTATGGATGGATATGGGAATCATTGGATGAATGGATGGATGGATGGGTGAGTGGGCAGATGAGTAATGGTAGGTGGGTGGGTGGGTTGACAGAAGGATTAGAGAAAGGATTGTTGGGTGGATAAGGGCATGGATGGAGGCATGGATAGATGAACCGAGGTTAGAAAGCATCAGCAAGATTTTTACTTTTTCCTGTATCGCTGCACTTGCTAAGTGTGAGACACATGGACCAACAGATATTAGTCATAGTTAGAACGTGCCAACAGATGTAGTCAAGTGTACCGGCTTAATGCATGGGCTCCAGAGTTGGCCTGCCTAGGCTCAAATCCCAGCTTCAGCACTCAAAAAAAAAATGACGGTTGGAAGGGAGGAAGGAAGGAAGAAAGGAAGAAAGGAAGGAAGGAAAGAGGGAAGGGGGTAGGTAGGGAGGGAGTTGCGAAGAAGGGAAGGAAGAAAGGAAGGAAGGAAGGGAGGAAAGAGGAAGGGAGGGGAGGGAGGGGAGGGAGAAGAAGGAGGGAGGGAGGGAGGAAGGAAGGAAAGAAAGGAGGAACTTCTGTAAGAACTTGTGCAAATTATTTAACGTTCCTGTGTTTCCATTTCCTCATCTGTAAAATGGGACTGGGTCTAAGAGTACCAACCTCATCAAGCTGTGTTGATTTATTAAGACAATGCTTCAAATGACATAAGCACCCAATAAACATTAGCTGTAACAACTCTTACTGAAAGCCAAGGCAGCCATACGATGCTGTAATTATCCCACACTGTGGCTCCTTCTTTTTGTCCTTAGCTTCCTGCATTCTTAAGTGGAGAGAGGTGGATAAAGACTCCCAGGGTCAAGATCTCAAGGGACTCAGATGTTGGCCATGACTCCAAATCAAAGAAAAAAGCCAATGGGAACAGAACCTGTGATTTGTTTTTCCTCTGTGGCATTTTCCAGCATTAGTCAGTCCATTCCTGGCTCTGGACTCTTGTCTCCACGATTGTCAAGACGGGGCTGGGATCTTCTGAGGTCACCCTTGGAGCGGCCTCTTTCCTCCTTTCCTGGACAAGCTGCAATATCACACATTGACAACAGGTGGCGCCATCGAATACATGATTTGTTCCGTTTTTACAACCTTTCAAGTTCAAGGGCCTATCTATATTCCGTAAAACCGAATCAGCTTCCTGTTTTACGAGTTCTTTAGGCTTTATTATATTTGCAGTGAGGCAGGCTATTACAAAACACAAATCCTTAAGCTCCTTAATTAGCCACAATTGTAGGATGGGTCCATAATACTATAGATGAGACCCAAAGCAAGACTGTCGGCTCCCTGCACTCTTGGAGGGGCATTTTGTCCCTCCTGCATAACGCAGCAATGCTCTCTTCGGTCGGTTCACGCATGTGTCTTGCCTCCCCAGGTAATAGTCCATGCTTTGGGAAGTCTGGGCCCATTTCACTTTGTTCCTTATTATCTTCCACACCTCCCCTCTCTGGCCTGGGTCACGTGGTTCTGGAGGAACCCGGAGCAAAGAAGGAAGGTCCGGCTAACCAGGCTCGTCACTCAGTTGGGAATGAAGAGGTATTTGTTACAAAAGGCCTCTGATTAATTACAAACGCCATCCGGCGAAGCCTGACAATTTCCTCAGCCTATTTTCCCTCTTGAGTTTCTAGGCCCTGAAACATTGTAGAAAATCCCCATTTGATTTATAAGATAGGGAAGTGATTTCATTTCTCTGGGCTTCACAGTTTTCATTTGTAAGAGGCAAAGGCTGGGCTGGCTTTCCGAGGCCCCTGAAAACCTATGGCTTGTCTGGGCACAAATCCACCTCCGCTTTCCTTCTCTTCATCTCTTCCTTCCTGTGCCACTATGGAAGCGATTACTCTGCACCTGGCACTGAGCTAGGACTTGGGAGACTGGCTTTCTGGAGGAGGTGAGACCTAAAGCTCTGAAGGATGCCCAAGTTAGCCAGGGAAAGAAAAGCTTTGGGGGCAGAGCTGCATGTGCAATGCCTTACAAAAGCATGCAGCAGAGATTGCCTTCCAGGAGAGAGCAGGTGGTCCAGGAAGGCTGGAACTAGGTGGTGTAGGGGGAGGAGGCTGTGAGGTTAAGCAGGATTATTGTAAACCACACAGGGCTGATGAAGGACAGTGCAGGAACAATGAAAACTGCATTGAACAAATGAGTGAGATGCACATGCCAGTTTGAGATTTGGTGACTCTCGACATTAGATCCTTCTGTACCGACCAGTTCCTTCTCAGCCCCAGAAGATGCTTCGTCATCCTTGGAGCCCTGACATCTCCACCAAGGTGCTCTTTTTCTTCCTCCTTTCTCTCTGTACTACTGATTGAAGACGAAGCAATCCCATACCCCTGCCGGTCACCTAACACTATCTCCCCTCCCTGACTTCCTTGTGTTGACTTCCACCCATGCTCAGCCTCCTGTCCTGCTCTCCATTGACCCTGGCAAGAGGATGATCCTACAAGGAGGCAATTGATGAATCAGACTGGAATGTTTCCCTGGAATGAAAGGCTATTGGGAGGCACATAGGGAAAATCACTTACCTTTCAAAGCTATCTTTTCCTGAAAAGAGTGCTAATGGA